>NC_000003.12:31260000-32510000 GCF_000001405.40 Homo sapiens | reverse complement strand
TCCTATAAGTTCATCCCCTTAGCACTTTTATGACTGTAACTATTTAGTTCTATGAGTATTTCCCAAATGCTTTATTTCCTCCAATGCTCCAGATCCTTTTTTTTTTTTTTTAAACAGAGCTGGTGCCTCAGCCTCCCGAGTAGCTGGGATTACAGTCATGCGCCACTACGCCCGACTGATTTT
This sequence comes from Homo sapiens, assembly GCF_000001405.40. Lineage (NCBI taxonomy): Eukaryota > Metazoa > Chordata > Mammalia > Primates > Hominidae > Homo > Homo sapiens. Next base: position 32,509,817 of record NC_000003.12, on the reverse strand, counting down.
TGTATTTTTAGTAGAGACAGGGTTTCACCATGTTGGCTGGGCTGGTCTTGAACTCCTAGCCTCAAGTCATTGGCCCATATCGGCCTCCCAAAGTGCTCGCATTACAGGTGTGAGCCACCGCGCCCAGCCTCCAGATCCAAATTTGAAACTATTTACCACAAACTCCGCTTGATGCCCTCTGGCACCTCAATCTCAGTGTGCCCTAATCTGAGTTCTTCATCTTCCCTTTGTTGGAACAAATGACCCAAAACCTGGAAATAAGGATTACCAAGTGCCCTTTCAATGTCATATTAGCACAGTAGTTCTCAAAGTGTGGAGTGTGGTCCCTAGACCAGCAGCATCATCATCACCTGGGAACTTGTTAGGAGTGCAAATTTTCAGGTTCCACCCAAGATCTACTGAGTCTGAAACTCTGGAAGTTGGATCCAGCAATCTGTGGTTTAACAAGCCTTCCGGGGGATTCTCATGATCACTTAAGTTTGAGAACTACTGAACTAGAGCAGGGGCTAGCAAACTATGGTTTGTGGGCCAAATCCAGCCTACTGCCCGCTTTTATTATTTTTTAATTTTAATTTTTAATTTAATTTTATGTTTTTGAGACAGTGTCGCCTAGGCTGGAGTGCAGTGGCGTGATCTCGGCTCACTGCAACCACCATCTCCTGGGTTCAAGCGATTCTCCTGTCTCAGCCTCCTGAGTAGCTGGGATTACAGGCACCTGCCATTATTCCCAGCTAATTTTTGTATTTTAGAGGGGGTTTCACCATGTTGGCCAGGCTGCTCTTGAACTCCTGACTTCAGGTGATCCGCCTGCCTTGCCCTCCCAAAGTTCTAGGATTACAGGCGTGAGCCACGGCGCTCAGCCTATTGCCTGCTGTTATAAAAGTTGTATTGGAACACAGCCACACCCATTTGTTACTATATCATCCACAGCTGCTTTTGTTTTACAACAACAGTTGAGTTGAGTAGTTGCGACAGAGACCATATGGCTCTCATAGCCTAAAATAGTTACTATCCGGTTCTTTAAAGAAAAAGTTTGCAGACCCCTAGACTAGAGCATGGTCTACAAAACCCTCCTAAGGGTCATCTGATCGTCTAGGGAAAGACAATTTTCTTTGAGTTAGTATTTATTACTGAGTTGGGCCCAGATTCCATAATTAAGGTATTAATTATAGAAAATTGGTAAATTGCAAATTATTTTTGTTAGAGGGAGATAAAAATGATTTATCTGTGTTAGAGTTCATCACAAAGATAACAATTTTATTTTCCGGTAAACCATAAACCAGTTTTGGATTTAACCTAGCAATCTTATCTTAGCATTATTTTTTTTCTTTCACTGAATACACACACACACACACACACACACACACACACACACACACCCCTCTCATAACCGCCTATAAACCAGTTTTACATTCTTCTGATTACTTAACTAATAAATTAGGTTGTTTTTTTTTTGCAATTTTATAACTTTGATGTATTTGACCATCAGCAATTAGTTCTCATCCACATTGACTGTCTGTAGATTTTTGAAAGTGGTAACCGGTACATAGGTAACCAAAGTATAGAGCTTATTTGGTGAATCTTCATCCTTATTCTGGATAATCGCACACGGATTCGGTATGAGACATTCCTTATTCCTTTGGCCCAGACAGCTTTGTTGAGCCTGGTAGCAACGCACATGTCTGGAGCTACCATCTCCTTCATGGCAAATTTCCGAATCTCTTTGAGTGCCCAAGGGGCACACTTCTTGAAGCGCACTCCATGGGTGCGCTTGTGAATGTTGATGGTGTATTCTTGGGTCACCACCTCGTTGATAGCAGAACGGCCCTTTTTCTTTTGGCCACCCTTCTTTGCGGAAGCCATTCTGTTGGGTCCAAGTTGGAAAGGCAATATTTTATTTTATTTTATTTTTTTAAGACAAGGTCTCACTCTGTCACCTGGGCTGAAGTGCAGTGGCACAATGGCACAATCAAGGCTCACTGTAGCCTCAACTTCCCGGGCTCAAGCGATCCTTCTACCTCAACCTCCCAAGTAGCTGGGACTACAGGCATATGCCTCCACACTCAGCTAATTTTTTTTTCTTTCTTTCTTTTTTTTTTTTTAGAGATGGGGTCTAGTCTGGTCTCGAACTCCTGGACACAAGGAATCCTCCTGCCTGGATTACAGGCATGAGCCCAGCCTATTAATAAATTAGATAAATCTTTGAAGCAGGCTTACTATATGCTTGTATGAAAGTTATCTTTTTAATTTTTTGAAATTTGTACTTTGACATCAATAAGAGTTACTGCCTCCTATATTACCTCTCTGTTATTATTCTCCCTCAATCTCCTTGTTACCCAGACTTGAAATATTGGCACCTGCTCCAGTTCCTTTCTTACTCTCTAAACAAATCAGTCCTCAAATCTCACTGGTTTTACCTCCAAGGTTCTCTTGGTGCCATCCCCATGATTAACGTCAGAGTTTAAGCTTCTATTCCCTCTCTCCTGAACTTTTACAATAGCCCTTACTTGGATCTCTGTAACCACTGCGCTCAAGGCTACTAGAAAAATATCCCCAAGGAAAAGCTCCGATCATTTCACTCCCCTTCCTAAAACTCGTTGGGGGTTCTTCATTACCCAACAATAATGGAAAGGCCCAGTTCCTTAGCTTGATTTTCAAAGCCTTCCAAAATTTGATCTCGAGCTTATATTCCTTAACTACTCTGTCCTTTCCTGCTCCCTTCATTCACTGTGCCTATGCACACTTTCTTTGCCTTCCTTCATACCACCCTACTGCCTGAATACTTTCTGCCCTGTATCTGCATGTCCAAACCGAAGTATAGTTTAACCCCATCTTGAAGCTCCACTGTAGTGATCCTTTAAACTGAAAGTTATTTCTCTCTGCTCCGAATTAGCAACATATTTAATTTGTATCTCTTCTATAACACATATCTCTTTCTATTTTGTAACATAGTTCTTTGTGGACATTACTGTGGTATCATTGTAGGATAGCGTCTATAATCTAACTTTGTATCCACAGTATTGCCTAACTGTGCTAATACCGATAAGAGGGCCAGTGAAAAATTGTTTAGCAGGAACTGCTGAAAAAAATTAAACTCTGAACTGAAAAAGTAGTACTGAGGCAGGATAGGCAGTCAAGGAAGTGCCCATATCCTCAGGACGCAGCAACCATGGTGACCCCAACAGTCAACACAATAAGCCTCAGCATTTGAATTGTGATTGAACTCAGTCGAGCAAAGCTATCTTCAGTAGGAAATTTCTTCTATAGAGAGCATGAGCACTTTGATTTTACCTGTCCTCAAACTGACCTTTTGCTCATTATAATAGCAAAAAACATGCCCTTGGGTGGAGATTTACAATGCTAATGGGACACCTGAGGGAGGAACATGGGTGCACAGCTACTGCACATGTGCAGCCAGAGGACCAACCAGAAGATGCTTACTACTAGGTTGGTGCAAAAGTAATTGTGGTTTTTGCATTTAAAGTAATGGCCAAAACCGCGATTACTCTTGCACGAACCTAACGGTAACACTTCTTCCCACCTCCTTATGAATAATCATGCAAATAATACATGATTAGCAATAACCTCCAGCAATAATCAATGTTGTCTCATCCTTACGAGCAGCCTGCCCTGAATTCTCTCTCTCTCTCAGGGTGTGATGTCTATTTTGTACTTAGCTTTCAAAATTTTTTTTTCTTTTGCAATAAATTATGCTGCATCTCTTTTGCTGTATGTCTCTTGTTTAAATTCTTTTAAACTAAGAAGACAAGAACCAAGGTCTTGCAACAGCCTCCAACACTACCACATTATTTTTTGAATGGCTGAAGTCCCATCAAATTATGTTCCCCAATCGCTCTCTCTTCTTGTGAATGTTTTTCTTTCTTTTTTTAAAAAATTAAATATCTAATTTTAAAGGAGAACAGTGAATATTCTTTAAAACCTAAATTTAGTGTATCTTCCTTTCTTCTTTTTGTCGTATTTTTTTCACCATACGTAAGATTTCTCATTTCAACATAGTGAGTCCCACCATTTGACTATTGCAAGTTGTTTTATTCATTAATGAGGGTGACAGTTTTCTGTGTGAATATGCCCATCAAAAGAGTTTCCTATACAAGTATTTGCTCATGAAGCACTAACATTTTTATTTGGTCTTTCAATTTATGAAGAAAATGTAAGGGATGCCCATTTCTTTACCTGGGTGAAATATTAGTCTCTAAATCCCAGGCACCCCCAAATCAATCAGAGCAAAGAAAATATGGCACGTCTACTGTCTACTACACAATGGCTTTCACTTTTATCACATTATAAAACAGTGTTTCTCTATGTGGATGGATTTCTTCCCAGATTCACATGAAGAGCTTGTTACGAAAGTATATTCCCAAGCCCCATCTACATTCAGAATCTTTGGGGCTAGATCTCCAAGAATCTTCCTTTTTAATTAATCTCACAGATGATTCTTCGCCATGTTGGAGTTTATGAATCACAGGCTAAATTTGTGTCTTCTTCTAAAAATGCAAAGAGAAGCAGAGACCCCTAGAGAATTGCATAAGTGTGCCCTAAACAAACCAAGAGGGTTGACGAAGTCTGTTCATCTTCTCTCTTGTCTCAAAGTATCCTTGTTTCTTTGTAACTTCCTCCCAATACTTTATTTTGAAAATGTTCAAACATACAGAAATGCTGAAATAATTGTACAGTGGACACCCGTATACTTCACCTAAATATTACCATTAATATGTTACTGCAGTTGCTTTATTAGAGATCCTTGTTGTTGTTGTTTTTTTAACAATGATTTTTTTTTTTGAGACGGAGTCTCGGTCTGTCGCCCAGGCTGGAGTGCAATGGTGTGATCTCGGCTCACTGCAAGCTCCGCCTCCCAGGTTCACGCCATTCTCCTGCCTCAGCCTCCCGAGTAGCTGGGACTACAGGCGCCCGCCACCACGCCCGGCTAATTTTTTGTATTTTTAGTAGAGATGGAGTTTCACCGTGTTAGCCAGGATGGTCTTGATTTCCTGACCTCGTGATCCGTCCCCCTCGGCCTCCCAGAGTGTTGGGATTACAGGCGTGAGCTACCGCGACCGGCCTGCTTTTTTTTTTTTTTGAGACGGAGTCTCACTCTGTTGCCCAGACCGGAGTGCCGTAGCGCGATCTCAGCTCACTGCCACCTCCACCTCCCGGGTTTGAGCGATTCTCCTGCCTCAGCCTCCCGAGTAGCTGGGATTACAGGCACACGCCACCACGCCCGGCTAATTTTTGTATTTTTAGTAGAGACGGGGTTTCACCATGTTGGTCAGTCTGGTTTCGAACCCCTGACTTCAGGTGATCCACCTGCCTCGGCCTCCCGAAGTGCTGGAATTACAGGCGTGAGCCACTGCGCCTGGCCTATCACAAATCTTTTATCCATCTCTCTAGTCATCAACTCATCTTAATTTTGGATGAATTTCAAAGGAACTTTTAGACATCAGTAGTGTCTAATTTGGGATGATAGTGACTTGAAGAATAATGGGGCAATGAATCCTTGTAGCCCTGGTGAAAATACAGTGGCCTTCCTTGTTGGACAGAATTGGTGGCATCTTGGCCTTGGGAGGACATTCAGAGTGCATGTAATCAGAGACAGAAGGGTAGTTCTGGCTGGTTGTAGGTGGCCCCTGCAGGGCAGTATCTACTTGTCTCTATTCATTTGAATGGGAGCTTTTGTTTGTTACTGGAAGAAGAAAGGGAGGTTTGGGGCCACGGAGAAGATGTAGCAGCTGATGGCAGCAGAAACCCCTTCTCTCTTCCATGGGTTTTGAGACTCCAATGGAGAGATGAGTTAGAAGCTGACGTTTTCTGGGTTAGCGTTTAGCAGCAAGGTTTCGAGTCAGACTGCTTAGGCCTGCATTCCAGCTGCTCCTGGCTGTTTGACCTTGGATATGATTTCAGCCTCTTGGCCTCAGTTTTCTCATTTGAAAATGAATGTAACCGACTTTATACTGTCGAACCTACTTTATATTGTTGTGAACATCCTGTAACTCAATCAACTTCAGTTGCTAAAATATAATTACATTCCTTGACAAGTTCACACAAAATTAACATATGTGACTGTAGCAGTTGGTGACCAAGAAAGAGAAAAAGGAAATGATTTTGAAAAGTGAGCCTAAATGGAATTTCGGGAGACGCGGGAGGGAGCGATTCTGAAAGTCCTTACAGACAACTCATTGTACTTCAAATGAAATACGAATTCTTCCCTTGGTCTGCAAGGCCTCCACATTATCTGGCCTTTGCCTACATCTCCAACATCTCCTTTCCTCCCGTACTTATTCCTAGCGACACAGGCCTTTGGGCTTCAGATTGAGTCAAACTCATTTGGTCCTCGGGACATTTGCACTTTCGTGAAAGGCTCTCCCCAGAACTTTACAAGCCTGGCTTCTCACACTTTGAGTCTCATTCAATTCAAAGATCATGGTCCTCAGAGAGGCCTTTCCTGACCACTCAGTTTAGTAGTGGCCATTTAAGTAGAGCACCCAATTCTCCATCCTTTTTTCCTTCTCCTTCCTCTTCTCCTCCTCCTCCATCTTCTTTTTTTTTTTAATAAATTTATCAAGCCACCAGAAATGCTGAATCCATTATTTTCGTATCATATTTTCACGTCACTTATCACTATCTGAAATTGCTATCCATCTGTTTTCTTGTTTATTGTCTGTCTCTGTTACTAGGGATCCTGTGATTTTGGGTAGTACTTGGCTGTCACCCAAGTACCTAGAACGGGGTTCACTGCACACCGAAAGTACGCAAAAATACTAAGTGAATGAATGTCAGGAGGATGAAAGATGGAGGGAGGTGAGAAATCCATCAAAGGCTCACAGAAAGAACTCAATTCTTGGATGAAAGTCGGAAGAATCCCAACAGCTAACAAGCAAATTTGCTGAGAGGGGGCGGGGCGGGCCAAGGGCGGGGGCGGGAAGGGGCGGAGTCAGGCGGAAGCCGGGGAGAAGGCCCAGGAAGTGACGGCCGCCTCCCGGCTACCGGGGACTTCTGGAGTCCGAGAAGTCAACGGCGCGGTTGCTGCGGCCGCCGCGCTCCCCGGCCCGAGGCGATGGAGAACGGAGCGGTGTACAGCCCCACTACGGAGGAGGACCCGGGCCCCGCCAGAGGCCCCCGGAGCGGCCTCGCTGCCTACTTTTTCATGGGCCGGCTCCCATTGCTCCGGCGCGTTCTCAAGGGCTTGCAGCTGGTGAGTCCGCGGTCAGGGAGGGCGAGCCCGGGCTGGGGAGCGGGGTCTGGCCCGGGCTTGGGAGGCCGCCGAGCTCCTTCGTTTCAGCTTGGTTGTTCAGTAAAAGGAGGTTTCCACACCTCTAGTTCCTTCCCTCTCAGCCTGGGGAAGGGGGCGTTACCCTCCGCCCTTCCGCCGGGCGGCCCCTCAGTCCCAAGGCTCTCCCCATCGGGATCCCACGAACTGGGGCCACCCAGCCTGTTAGGCGGGCTCAGGAAATGCGTCGGAGACCCAAGTCAGCCACTTCAACATCTTTCACTCATCCTCTATGGCGACTTTCCTCTCTTCTCTCTGCTGCTACCCTGCATTATCGCCCACAGTGCCTGTATTTAGACTGTGAAGCGCTGTTTATCTTTCTCTGGCTCTTGCGGTTTTCCTGCTGCGAGCCCATGGGGGCAGTTTAACTTGCTGGACAAAGTCCTGCGATACCACGCGTGGCATTGAGATGTGTGTGTATGTGTGTCCGGTAAATTGTCTTCTAAAAGTTTTATATTGACTGGAAAAGAATTATTTCAAAATTGAGCAATATGGGTTCTAAGTGGAAAGTCAAAAGGACAGCTTTTTGTAAGTATGTGCGGATAGCTGAACTAGGACATGGTATGCATCTTTCCATTTTATTGAGTTTATTTTAAGCAGTTGAAGTACCATAAACCTGTTCGTGAAAACATCAAAGCATCTTTGAGATTTAAATTATTCACTTTACAGTCGTGTTGGCTCCTATGTACTGTTCCAACCACTGATGGTTGAACCAGTTTAGGAAAAATAGAAACAGTTTAGGTTCTATTTCTGCAATAGAACCAGTTTAGGAAAAATCCGAATGCTTATGATGTTTATGAGTTTTGTCTTACTTTGTTTTGTTTTTTAACCATTCTAAGTAAAAATTAGCTCATTGGTTTCCTTGGAAAGAACTTAAATTCTTACAACTCAAATGACCCGAAGTTAAATTCTTAGAACTCTAGTGACCTACTTTTATTGAATAGAAAAACAGAAGTCGGAAAATCGGCACTGCTGTTTAGCGATCAAAATGATCACATCTGCTGATGACTGGGAAATCATTTGAAAGCAAGTGATAATGTGGCCTATGGAACCCAGTAGGATCTGGCCTTATCTTTCTCCCAGTCTCCCTCTAGGTGGTTCCACACTGGCCACCTTTAATTTATTACGAGGCATCAGGGGCTCTTTCCTGCCACTGTTCCTTTGCATAAGCTGTTCCTTCTACCTTCTTCCTTCTTCCTTCTCTTCTCTTGTCAGCTGTCACATGATGATTTTTAGGTATTAGCTGTATTTCTCTGCAGTAAAGCTAAAATTTTCTACGTGAATAGTAGAACTCTTTAGAACAGAAAAGAATATTCATCTGAAGCTTTTTTTTTTTTTTTTTTTGAGACCGAGTCTTGCTCTATCGCCAAGGCTGGGGGCAGTGGCGCAATCTCGGCTCACTGAAACCTCCGCCTCCCGGGTTCAGGCAATTCTCGTGCCGAGTAGTTGGGACTACAGGCACGCACCTCCATGCCCGGCTGATTTTTTTTTTTTTTTTTGGTAGAGACGGGGTTTCGCCGTGTTGACCAGCCTGGTCTCAAACTCCTGACTTCAGGTGATTTTCGCCCTCCGGGCCTCCCAAAGTGCTGGGATTACAGGCGTAAGCCACTGCGCCCAGCCCATCTGAAGCATTCTTGCTGCTCGAAAAAAATCATCTGTATTGGTTTGCTGCCCACAAAATCTCCTGTTTTCAGTTGCCTTTATTATTTTCTTTCTAATAAAAAGTGGCAAAGCTAAAGTAAATTTTCTGATTACCTTCTTATAGTTTAGTAAACTGTAGTTTCGTATCTTTGGAATAGAACATAACCAGTTTCCTTCCTTATTGCTGTTATAGAAGAAAACATGGAACACAACCAGAAATTTTTGTGGTAAATGTTATACTTGGACACAGAGAAGATGAATTTGCCTTAAAAGATCGTTAGACTATTATTAGTTCTCCATCATTCATAAGAAGAAATGGAGAAAAAATAAAAACTAATATCTCTTTATGAAATCCATTTATTTGTTTATGGGGAAATTGTCATGTTACAGGAATGCTTTCTTTAATGTGGAGATTTAAAAGTACTTTTTCATTACTGCCTTTCACTTTGATGGTTGTCTTTTTGTTCCTTTGTTTGTTTTGATAATGTCTTATCTCTTCACAGTAACAGTATATTACAGGAATTATCCAGCAAGTCCCAAGAAGGTTACATATGAAGTCGGTAAAAGTTGTCTTCCAGCCTGGGGCTATAGGCAAGGTCTTTGCCTTAACTCAAATTCTTCCTTTAGATAGATTGGTTGTTTTACTTTAAATGTTTAATTTTTTTAAAAAACTAAACAGAATTGCGAGCTCCAGTAAGGAAACAACTGTAATGGAGAAACCCGTAATCAGAAGAGGAGGTGTTTTAACAAGGGACCTGCAAACCCTGTGAAATTTTATTCAAAATATTGTACACTTATATGTTTGAGTATATTATTCTGGACCCATAAATCTTAACAGAATCTCAAAGATCCTACAAGAGAAAAGCCTGCTCTAAAACTTAAAAACCAGACATTGTGTATATACTTAGGAAATTCTTACATTAGAGTCTTCGGAGGTTGAATTGAATTACCTCTGAGGTTCTTTGCACTCTTAAGGTTTTTTTTTTTTTTTCAAACCTCTGAGGCTCCATGGGGTTTGCTATTACAGAACTGAATTGAATATTGAAGGGATAGAGAGTGGAGCCTGTACACAGAGGAGATTAGAGATAAAAGAACGTAACTTCTCTATCTCTTGAAGTTAACATAGCTGTGTCTGCCATTTAGATATGACCTAAGTTTTGTTAAAACCCTAAGCATCCCCCAACTACCATCCACCCTTCCAGAGCTTAAGAAGAAATACTCAGTTGAGAATTTAGTGTAAGGAGTTACTGGAGTCCTAACTTTATGCAGTTTTTCAGTTTATACTATCCTTAGATTTGTCCACATGTTCATGTTTTATTTTGTGAATGTTTTTGAGGGAGTTTTTGTTTTAAGGGGAGAATTGACGTTTGGTAACCTAATTGCTTGCTGATACGCTGGTGCAGTGACCTAAATATGTGGAATTTTCTGTGCAACAAGCTCCACATTGTATCCATGCTGTCAGTTGACTATCCTGATAGCTGCACAGTACTGGAATTCTAGTCGCTCATCTGGCAAGCAGTTTTAGAAATCGCCAGTGATTTTTCAATATATTACATTATAAATAATGTTACCCTATAAGTACCAAGAAACAGATTACTTGGAAGCATTTCTTATATTGATGCTCTTTTCATTATTTAAATATGAAAACTGATGTATAGTAAATTGAAATGTTCTATTTTTACCTTGAGGAAGATCCCGTAATGTCAGCAAATTATATCTGAACCTTTGTAAGAGTAAATATTTGCCTAAGGCAAGGGAGGCCTGGCCTGTTTCTTCAGACCAATGGATTTTTAAATTTGAACTTTACTTATAACTACAAAGTTTTTAATAGTAAAGTTCATTAATTTATAATTCATATCATTTTGTAGATGGAGCTTTATAATTAATGGCAAACATTTAAAAGTTCTTTTTATAAAATATAAGTAGTAGACTGTTAAATTAATGGAGAATTCGTATTTAATATAGTGACCGTTTTAAGGAACACTTGAAATTTCAGAAAAGGTAGTGAAACTGAGGCCGGGTGCGGTGGCTCATGCCTGTAATCCCAGCACTTTGGGAGGCCGAGGTGAGCGGATCACAAGGTCAGGAGATAGAGACCATCCTGGCCAACATGGTGAAACCCCGTCTCTACTAAAAATACAAAAATTAGCTGGGTATTGTGGCGTGCACCTGTAATCCCAGCTACTCAGGAGGCTGAGGCAGGAGGTGGAGATTGCAGTGAGCCAAGATCGTGCCACTGCACTCCAGCCTGGCAACAGAGCGAGACTCCATCTCAGAAAAAAAAAAAAAAAAAAGAAGGGGTAGTGAAACTGAAATGGAGAGATAGAGGCAGGATAGTAATTATCCAGTGTTTAAATCACCAGAACTGTAAGATCATGTTTTAGTCACTGAGACTTCCCAAATCTGTTGATGTTAGCAAATTGTTTTTAATGTATGATTTAATACATTAAAGGAAATATACAGAACTGTGGGTTTAACTTCAAAAAGCCAGTCTTACAGGGAAGACCTACACAAACATACATACTCGTAAAAGGAATTTAACAAACAGTATTTCATGGGGAGAGAGGAAGTACAGAGTGGGAGTCAGAGACTTGGGTTCTTGTCTGTGCCGAGCTAACTTGGGGCTTAACCTGTCAGTAGCTTAATTCCATCTTTGTAAACGTGGGAGTGGGAGACTATATCCGCTAAGGGCCCTCCTGACATTAAAAGCTTGATAATTCTCTTAATTATATTTGGGTAAAATTTTATGTCATTAGAAGGAGTTACATTGGGTATACAGTTGTTAAGTACTTAGCTTAATATTCAGTAAGCAATATTTAGTATGATGACTTCATGCTATTAAGAACAAAACTGTTTACCAAAAAATAATAATTGAGCCTTTTTACTTATGGGTTATGTTTACCATGAATTTCTTAGCTAATTCAGTGACATTTTTTCTCTCTTCCTATTTTTGACCACTTTGGCATTTAATGCTGGTGACCACTCATTTCTCGAAATTGTTCCTTCAGCTTTTACACTTTTTTTTTTTTTTTTTGAGACGAAGCCTCGCTCTGTCACCCAAGCTGGAGTGCAGTGGTGCAGTCTCGGCTCATTGCAACCTCTGCCTCCCAGGTTCAAGCAATTCTCCTGCCTCAGCCTCCTGAGTAGCTGGGACTACAGGCGTGCACCACCATGCCCGGCTAATTTTTGTATTTTTGATAGAGACGGGGTTTCATTATGTTGGCCAGGCTGGTCTCAAATTCCTGACCTCGTGATCCACCCGCCTTGGCCTCCCAAAGTGCTGGGATTACAGGCGTGAGCCACCGCGCCCGGCCAACTTTTACACTTTTTTCTTTTTAATACAAGAAAGTGTCTGCTTACCAAAAAAAAAAAAATCAACTAAAAATATTAAAATAAAACCACTTTCCCACCCCTCACACTACCAGGTGTCACGGTATGAGTAACAGTTTGGAGTATGTTTACTTGCTGCTTTTTAAGGAGTTTTTTCTTTCTTTTTTTTTTTTTTTTTTGAGACAGAGTCTCGCTGTTGCCCAGGCTGGAGTGCAGTGGTGCGATCTCGGCTCACTGAAAGCTCTGCCTCCTGGGTTTACGCCATTCTCCTGCCTCAGCCTCCCGAGTAGCTGGGACTACAGGCGCCCGCCACCACGCCCGGCTAATTTTTTTTGTATTTTTAGTAGAGACGGGGTTTCACCATGTTAGCCAGGATGGTCTTGATCTCCTGACCTCGTGATCCGCCCACCTCGGCCTCCCAGAGTGCTGGGATTACAGGCGTGAGCCACCGCGCCCGGTGTAGGAGTTTTCTTTTTTTAAAAACACTTCCTGTGGCTTGCTGATAAGAAGTTAGTTGCTCTTTTCCCTCCTACACTCGGAACTGTAGAATTCCTTTAGGCCCCACCCAATCCTCTGTTCCTCCTGTTTTCTAACCTACTAAACCAGACAGGTGTTCCCTCCTGCCTTCATCTAAACATCCATATTCCCTTGCATGATCATCACACAACCACACCCAACTCCTAAACCATTTTTTTCTTCATCCCCATCCAGTTAGGTCAGTTGCCTTATTATCATTTTTGGATTTACTATGCAAATTCTTGCCCTTATGAATATGTTCTTTTTCATCCTCCACCTAGAATTAGAATGTCCTCTGTCTATCCAGGTTCTGTTTGTGTCTCTGCCTGGTTTGAGTCCTGCTTTTCCACTCATCCTTCTCCGGCTCCTTCGAACATTTTCTTGAGATTTTCTAACCTACATATAATGAATGCTCAGTTAATGTGGTATAAAATATATTGTTATTATTGTTTCTTGTACATTGAGCTTATTACTCCATCATTTGTATCTTCCTATACGTAGAACAGTGTTGGAGTGTTGCTAGTTCAAGTACACTTTGAGCTAGCAATTGCATAATGCTGTGGGAGCTTACAAAGGTTAGTAGCCTCAGAGATGGGTAGGCAGAGAATTTTTTTTCTTTTTTTTTTGGTAGAGATGGGGTTTCACCATGTTGCCCAGGCTGGTCTCAAACTCCTGAGTCCAAGCAATCCTCCCGCCTTGGCTTCCTAAAGTGCTGGGATTACAGATGTGAGCCATCGCATCTGGCCGACAGAATTTCATATTGACTATAGCTTGTAGTGCCAATTTGTTGGCCTTTAACTTGAGATGGGAGCTAGTAAATGTCCACACTTTTTTTTTTTTTTTTTTTGAGATAGTCTCGCTTTGTCACCCAGGCTGGAGTGTAGTAGCGCCATCTTGGCTCACTGGAACCTCTGCCTCCTGGGTTCAAGCAATTCTCATGCTTCAGCCACCCAAGTAGCTGGGATTACAGGCATGCGCCACCATGCCCAGCTAATTTTTCTATTTTTAGTAGAGATGGGGTTTTGCCATGTTGGCCAGGCTGGTCTTGAACCAGGTTGGCCAGAAGGCCTCAAGTGATCTGCCCGCCTTGGCCTCCCAGAGTGCTGGGATTACAGGTGTGAGCCACTGTGCCCTGCCAGATGTCCATACTTAATATTGTACTCCTTGATTCTCTTAAGATGTCCAGGCAGAACCTGCTTCCTGCTATTGCTCTGAGGCAATAGGTCAGTAAGGTCAGTAGGAATGCCACCTGTTAATACGTTTGGAATAGGACTTGTAATGACTTGAGACTGACTGCTTCTGGACAAGCTGGATCCTGTCTTTTTTTACTGAAAGTAGACAAGCAGCCTATGTCTGTCCTACAGATAACCTTTTATTGCCATATAGCCTTCACACATGAGTGTGCCTAATAGTCTAATTGTAAAATGAGTGGTTCAGCTATTCCCAGACCCTAATTAGAGTTTTAGGCTGGTATCTTCTCTCAGTTAATTGACTTTTATACAACCGAGGTATATTTTGTAAATTTCTCAGAGAGAAACTTTTAAAACTTGGACAAGATTTAACATAGAGGCAAGAAAAAGGCAAGTGAAATGTTAGATATTTAGTATTTTATTAGACTATAGTCATGTTAGAACTCATCCTGTAAGTATGATTATAGGAGACTAAGGAAGTATCTTTACACAGTGGCCCTCTGGGATTTATCTTGGTGTTGTCACTTTATATCCTGTGGTGTAATGATTGGGAATGCCTTACCTAACACCTGTCTGAAGGAAGTTGTTTGGGACATGCTGGGCTATTTCATGCTTCACTAACTTACAGGAAATCAGAGAATGTAACCATTCATGTTACAATTAGACTATTTTTTTTCTTTTATATAAATTCTTTGCAGTTGTGGGGATGTATACATTTTGTATAGCCAGTAGAAGGGAGAGGAAATCCCTTAAAGGTTTGGATACCAGTATAGATTTGAATTACTATTTTTTAACTTTTTATTTTGAAATTATTATAGATTCACAGGAATTGCAAAAAAAAAAAGTACAGGGAGGTCCCACATTTGTATGTGCATGTGTGTGTAATTCTATGTAATTTTACCATGTGGATAGCTTTCTATAATTACCACCACAATCAAGACACAGAACTGTGCCATCAGCAGAGGCTTCCCTGTGCTACCCCTTTGTAGCCACACCTTTCCCCTTTCTCTTGGCTGCCACTAATTTGTTAGCCATCATTATTATTTTTATTATTCTAAGAATGGGCTATGAATGGAATCATGCAATATGTAACCTTTTGAGATTGGATTTTTTTTTTCCTTTGAATAATTCTCTGGAGATTCATCTAGGACATTACATATATCAAGTTTGCTCCTTTTTATTGCTAATATTCCATGGTATGGATGTACCACAGTTTGTTTTAACCATTGGACATCTGGAATGTTTCTAGTTTGGGGCTACTATGAATAAAATTGTTATAAACATTCACGTACCGGTTTTTGTACAAATGTTAAGTTTTCATTTCTCTGAGATAGTTGCCCAAGAGTTCTATTTCTGGGTCATATGGTAGATATATGCTTAGTTTTTAAAGAAACCGCTGAACTGTTGTTTGTCCCTTTTTAATGAAAATGTTTTGTAGGATAAGATATTTACTATTACTATGAAATGTATCTGTTGATTTTGGTAGCAATCTTGTTGCCATTAACCTGTCTGGTTGCTTCTACTGGCCTGACTGGAGTGAGAAGGGAATTCCCTTTAGCCTCTGACTTAGGTCATCAGTCATTTTGATGGTTTCGGCCCTCAGCAGGAAATTCCCTCAGCTTCCACAAAACCCACACAAACTGCCCAAGCAAAATACTCTTCTTCACTCTCTTCCCTTCTATTTCTAGAGAAGAGTTAGCCCCAAACCTGAGCCCTGAATCCTATCTTTAGAGAGCCATTTTTCTACCTATGTCTTTAGACCCACCCATCTTACTGGTTTCTGCCTAAGTATTTAAACATGCTCAGTTCTCCCATGTTGAAATTCCCTTCTCTTTGACCTCATCCACTACTGCCCTATCTGGCCATTCTTTCCCAGCCACACTTATTGCCTATGCTGTCTCTCCTTCACTGCCTTACCCTCCCCTTACTTCCCAATATACAGTATTGTAATCGAGCTTCTCTCCCTGACTACCCTGGAACTTTTCTTGCTAATGTCACTGGCAACCTTCTTATAGCTCAGTCTAAGGTAGGTGTTTCAGTGTTGTTCTTACTTGACCTTTAAGTAGCATTTAGCACTCTTGATTACTTGTGTGTTTGTGCATGTGTGTGTAAATACTTTTTTCTTGTTTACTACCCCTTTGATTGCTGCTGCTAGTTGTCCTTTGCTGGTTTCTTCCCCTCTGCATATCCCGTAAATCTTCAGATTCCTCAGATTTCCACATAAGGCTATCTTTCCTCATTTGAGTCATCTCACCCTCCCACTCTGCCAGCTCCCACATCTTTATCTGCATCTTAGACCTCTCCTTTGAGCTCCAGACCTTATATTCATTTGCTTTCCAACTACATCTTCACCAAACTCTTCCACAGACCTCCTCAATCACAGCATATTTAAAACTGAATTTCTTCTCTCCCTAGCACCCTTGCCTTTTAAAAAGAAAAAAACCTGACTCTTTTTTCAGTGAGGACCAGTATGTTAGTACCACATATACAGCAGTTGGAAGTAGTTAAAACCCACTTGCGTGTAATTGAGTTGCCAATTTAACCAGAGTTAACATTCTCCACTCACCATACCAAGCATCCTGACCTCACACCAGTCACCCACAGCCTGCCATGGCCAGTAGGCATCTCATTAGCACTCTAGAACTCTTGCTTCTGTCATCAGTTGAGTTGTGTTGTTCCCATACTGGTTTATGCTAACTATACTTTTATGGCCATACAGTTAAATATTACAAAGCTGAAACTGAGTGTTAAAATGAATTGTTTCTTTAAAACTAAATTGAATGCTTTGGAAAGACTGAAAGATAACTTACTACAAGATTTATCTGCCATGGAATTAAGGAAGAGCAAGGCAACTGTAAAAGGCTGGTAAAATAGTCTGACTCTAGAAAGATTCTGAACTCTGTTTCTCAAGTGTTTAAGATCTCACTTCACTTCAGATAACATCAGTCTGGAAGTAGTAGTCCATAGATGATGAAAGTGATTAATGCAGAAAACATGTGGAATTCGTCAGTAGACCCATAAAGAAAATACTCACTTCAGCAGATTGTTAATAAATGTGCGTTTTTAAGTTAAAATGTTTAAGGTACACATGTGTTATCTTGTGTTCCATATTATTTGTATGCATCTTGTCTGATATGAGCTTTTGCATCTTGTCTGATAAGAGCTTCTGCTGCATCTCTCAGTGATTGCCACTCTTCTCTATTGCTGCTCCCTAGTCGCTATTATTTGCCCTGATTTCCTACATCAGCTTCCCAGTTGGATGTCCGCCCCAAGGTTTGCCTTACCTCTGGTCCCTTCTCCATATTGTAGCCAGTGAGAACTACTGAAAGCATACACCTGATCATTGTCAACCTTTACTTTAAAATCCAGACTCTTAATTAACGAGGACATTTAGATCTGGCCTCAGCTTACCTCTCTAGCCTCATATACTAATTTTTGTGCTGCCATTCTCTTCCCTTAAACTCTATACTTAAGCCATGTTGATTTGACTCACTTTGACAGTTAAGTTGGAGGTCGGGGTGTGTGTTGTCTGTATGTTGGGTCAGAGGGCAGGTGCCATGCTCCCTCATTTCTGGCCTTTCTATATACTGCTTCTCTGCTGGGAATTTCTTTCCTTAATCTTTCATCCCCCAAACTGACTCTGTTCTTCAGGTCTCAGCTTTCTCCTTCAGGAAGCCTTTCCTGACCCCGCAGTTGAGCGTCTCTCCTGTGTGCTTTTATAACAATATTATATATTTCCCCTTTGCTGGCATTAGTACACGATAGGTTAATTAATTCTTTATTTACCTGTATTTCCTTCAAGGCGGCCAAACTGTAAGTTCTGTGTAGATAAGGTTTATTCATTAATCTTGTTTGCCATAGTCTCCTCATTGTAAATATTTGAGTAAACGTATTATTCAGAAACAGCTTTCTAAATACTGTAGATTCTCTGAAAAAACACTTAAGTAAAATGTTTTGCTTCATTTGTAGTTGCTGTCTCTGCTGGCCTTCATCTGTGAAGAAGTTGTATCACAATGTACTTTATGTGGAGGACTTTATTTTTTTGAGTTTGTAAGCTGCAGTGCCTTTCTTCTGAGTCTCCTTATACTGATTGTGTATTGCACTCCATTTTATGAGAGAGTTGATACCACAAAAGTAAAATCATCGGTAAGCATGAGAAAATATCATCCCTGTATTAATAGCTGTTTTGTAATCTGGCATAATTTTATTGTTCAAAGCAGTAATGTTTTCAAAACTCAGCAACATGAAAAGACAGTATCCCTTGTTCCAACTCGCTCTGCTTCTAAGCACCTCATTTTTTCCTACCAAGGGGATGGTAGAGAGGGAAAGTGAGATTAGAATGAGAGTGACAGACACTGCCAATAGTTTACAGTTATTGGTGGTTTAATGTAATTCACATTAGACTTAAAAAAGCCTAGGATTTTGTCACTTCTGATTTCTCACTTTTGAGTGTCACTCATTGGTTCTACAATTATTAATTGTGTGCCTTTATTATATGCCAGGCATTTATATGCTAGACATTGGAGATAGAGTAATGAACTAATGTGAAATATTTCTGGAGCTTTAAAATAAAACAACATTTAAAGCTTAAAGCTTCAGTGATTGGGGAAAATAAAACAACATGTAATTCTTCCTATATTTTGCTTTAATGGTATTATGAAAAGTTGTCTATAAGTGAATTAAGAATGCATTTGTTCCTGTGTTAGTTTGCTAGGAGCAGAATCCTGTTAGAACCAATGCCCTACCATCTTGAGGTGCTGTCATGGCTAATGCCATCACTATAGGAATTTCTATGACAATGACAACAGGACTCATTTGTTTTATGAAATATATATTAAGAGGATACAGATAATCCTTAGAATTTTTGTTAATTATATTTGTAGTCTTTGGACATTTTTCTTTTTTACAGATTAATATGCCATAAGATTTGGACTAGGGAAAAGTTCTCAAGTGTCTGAGCTGGTTGATTTATAGTTTGAATGTGTAAAAAAAAATGTATATATTCCAAATTCTGGCTGGAAAAATTTATATTAAAAAAATTACAGATTGAAATCATTTTGTCATTTCTTAACAGTGAAACAATATCACCATAAAAATATTTTTAGAAATGTTTAGTTTTTATTTTAATGCTGCATCTGTAGTGTTTAAAGCACACTGATCATTTTGACAAGAAATGGTATTATAATATTGTCCAGTGTAGTATAATGGTGTAACGTAAAAAAAGTAAAACCTTTATTATATCAAACTTGAGCATTTAAAAAGTCATTTTAGAGTAAATACTGGTTTAAAAATACTGAGAAAAAAGAAAAATTAGTCCATCCTAAAATAGCTTTTGTATTATTTTGCTGTATTCCTTTCAAGTCTTTTTATTCCATTCATAGTTTTAAAATTTAAAATATTTGTAATCATAGAACATATATTCTACTTTTTACCTAATATAAGGATTTCATGTTTGTTTGCAGGGTTTCAAAATCACTTTTTACTGTCTGCATATTAATACACTTAGGTTTTAAATATTTTTTCATGCAAGAGAGGTTTTCTGTTTTAGAGGAATGTGTTTTGAGTGTGTGGTACTGGTGGTGCCTAAAGAAGAATAACTTTTTTTTTTTTTTTGAGAAGTCTTGCTGTGTTACCCAGGCTGGAGTGCAGTGGCGCAATAGCAGCTCACTGCATCTTCCACCTCCCGGGTTCAAACGATTCTCCTGCTTCAGCCTCCCGAATAGCTGGGATTACAGGCGTGTGCCACCACACCCAGCAAATTTTTGTACTTTTAGTAGAGATGGGGTTTCGCCATATTGGCCAGGCTGGTCTCAAACTCCTGACCTCAGGTGATCCGCCCACCTCGGCCTCCCAAAGGAATAATATTTTTTAAGAGAGAATGTCTTCTATCCCATGCTATTGCAGTCGGAGTCTATTAAGAACAACAGTAGCCAACATTTTTGGGACGTTTACATTTATTAGTGGTATAGCTCAGATTTGAACTCAGGTAGACTGGCTCTAGAACCCGTTTATTGAACACTACATTATGGTCTAAAAATGATTGTCTTGTTTCAATTAACTTGAATGTATTCCAAATATTAGTAAATAGAATTTTATATTTATATGTAATAAATTTGAAATAATCAAAAGGATTAAAAAATAAAGTACTACAGGGAAACACCTTTTAGAAGCAGAGAAAACCTCTTTTTTTTTTTTTCTTTTTTGAGACAGAGTTTCGTTCTTGTCACCCAGGCTGGAGTGCAATGGCACGATCTCGGCTCACTGCAACCTTGTGCTTCCTGGGTTTAAGTGATTCTCCTGCCTCAGCCTCCCAAGTAGCTGGGATTACAGGTGCCTGCCACCACACCCAGCTAATTTTTGTATTTTTAATAGAGATAGGGTTTCACCATGTTGGCCATGGTGTTCTTGAACTCCTGACCTCAGGTGATCCACCTGTCTTGGCCTCCCAAAGTGCTGGGATTACAGGTGTGAACCACCGTGCCCGGCAAGAAAACCTCTTACATTTTATATAAATGTTAAGTGAATGATTGACAATTTAGGAATTCTGTGTTAAATAGTTTTATTGATTTTTTTTTTTTTTTTTTTTGAGATGGAGTCTCGCTCTGTCGCCCAGGCTGGAATGCAGTGGTGTGACCTTGGCTCACTGCAACCTCTGCCTCCTGGGTTCAAGTGATTCTCTTGCCTCAGCCTCCAGAATAGCTGGGACTACAGGCACCCACCACCACGCCCAGCTAATTTTTTTTGTATTTTTAGTAGAGACAGGGTTTCACCATGTTGGTCAGGCTGGTCTCGAACTCCTGACCTCGTGATCTGCCCGTCTCGGCCTCCCAAAGTGCTGAGATTACAGGCGTGAGCCACCGTGCCTGGCCAGTTTTATTGATATTAGGTTTAGTGGAGTTTGCAGTTCAGAAAACTCAAAAAGTATCAGACTTAAAACCCTTTGGAGTGGCTATCATTTTACCAAGTTTCCCTTTCTGAATCAAGTATATATGTCATTACTGTTTTCAGTTGGCATATGAGAGCCTTGTGAGGTAATGCCTGAGAGAGCACTTGGAAACCCATGAAACATCTCATGATTGTAAGCTGCATTATGATAAGATATGGAAGCTTTTATGTAGTAGATAAACTCATCATATAAGCTCACTGTAGATTACCCACTTGGAACAGTTGAAGGCAATGTGTTATTCCAGAAAGCTTCAGTGTCTAAAAAACACACTATTGGCATACTTCTATTTAATAACGGGTGGTTTTTAAAATTCTTTCTTTTAGAAAGTGCTTTCAAAGCATTGGAGTGCTCTCAGAGATGTCATCCTACCATAAAATACTTTGAAAGGAAAGAAAAATGCTTTTTTGCTGGAAGTAAGATGGAATTGTAATAAATGCTTTGGCTTAGATAATTTTAATATGTCCCAGAGAAAAAGAGGACACACACAAACACTTGCACGAGATACACACGAGATCTTTTCCGGGACTGTTTTTTTTTTTTTTTCTTTTTTTGGACTGGATAATAAAAAATGTCCCAGTTAGCTGGGACTACAGGCTCATGCCACCTCTCCTGGCATAGGGGATTGTTGTTATTAAAAGTTTATCTTGTAATGTGTTCTCTCAATAATCCCAGCCCAGTGTGGATACTGTTTTTTTACAGGGTATTTATTGAATGCCAGGCTTATTGAAAAGTTAGAAGTTTGGGTATGTAAGTTTGGGTTGTATCAAGAAAAACAAGTAAGTAGCCAGAGCTTTTTAAAGTTAAAAATGAAAAAGTTCATTTCCATGAATCTAACTGTATTGTATTCCTTTTGTGTTTTGTATGTATGCATAGGATTTTTATATTACTTTGGGAACAGGATGTGTGTTTTTGTTGGCATCCATCATTTTTGTTTCCACACATGACAGGACTTCAGCTGAGATTGCTGCAATTGTAAGTACCTTGTATTTTTAACATTGCTTATTTTTGTTTCCTTAGAAATATGGAATTTGGAGAGTACTTGACAAGTTATACAGCATGTTAGAGTTGTTTTTCTTATAACTTACTTTTTAGTGTAATTTTGAATAGAAGACCTACAAGCAAATCAATATGATAGCCTTTAAAACCTAGAGCCTATAGAATTTGACTGAATTTTGTTTAAAAAAAATCCACTTACTCCACATACCGTGTGTTATTGCTAATGGAAGTGGTAAAATTGACTTTATTATTTTATATTTCTCCACTTTCAGTTCAATAAATGCACACCTACATGCCAGGTGTTTTCTAGGTATGGAGAATATATGGGAGAAATGATTCAGAGACTCAGTCTAGAAAAGGAGACGGAAAAGTAAAATTGTAATGGAGTTTGTTAAATGAACCAATAGCAGTTGTTCTGAGACTGGGTGCCGTGGCTCAGGCTTGTAATCCCAGCACTTTGGGAGGCCAAGGTGAGAGAATCACTTGAAGCCAGGAGTTCAAGACCAGCCTGGGCAAGCAACATAGTGAGACCTCATCTCTATAAGAAGAAAAAAAAAAATAATAGAAAAAAAAGTTGGTCTAGACAGCAGTTTTCAGTGGGTTATACATATCCTTAAAGTTTCATCAGACTTTTCAAGGAGTATGAGGCAGAGATAGTGTTGAGGAAATTAATTTCCAGCTTTTAAACCTCCATATGTAATCTTTTTTAAAACTTGTATGTCTGAGAATTTATCTCTGGTGAAGGAGTCTCACCGGCACTTTTCCACCTTCCCATTCACAGTCGCCACCTACCTTGCCCCTCAAAAAGAAAAAAAACTTGCTTGTCCTGAATCTTGCTGGATTAGTTCCTTCTTGCCCTGCTATATAGAAATACCTGACACTGGGTAACTTATAAAGAAAAGAGGTTTAATTGCCTCATGGTTCTGACAGCTCTATAGGAAGCATAGCAAGGGAGGCCTCAGGAAATTTACAGTCATGGCAGAAGGCGAGGCGGAAGCAGGCACATCTTACATGGCCAGAGCAGGAGGAATAGAGAGAGTGGGGAGGTGCTACACACTTTTAAACAAGCAGATCTTGCAGTAACTCACTATTACAAGAACAGCGCCAGAGGGGGAGTCTGCCCCATGATCCTGTCACTTCCAGCTAGGCTCCACCCCCAACATTGGGGATTATAATTTGACATGAGAATTGGGTGGGGACACAAACCCAAGCCATATCACTTATTATGGTGGATTACCCTGAATTGTAAAACAAAAAAACCCTTGAGTACAACAAAGAGACAGTTGAAAATAAAGATCCAATTTTTCTCTGAAATTCTTGGGGCCAGAATTTTTTTCTTTTGGATTCAGAATATTCTGGATTTTAGAAAGGTAGTGCTGTACATATGCTATATTACACAACACCACTTGAGGGCCTGCGACAGTACCCTGTAATCTAACATTGGTATATCTGAAGTAAAACATATGAATATTTATAGTAAAAGGGATAAGAAAAGACTAAGTAGTCTTACTCCATGTAAATAGGCTTACTTTGTGTCAATTTTGAGCCAAGTGAATCATGAAAACCTTGAGTTAATGTAGTTCTTTGGGTTTCGGAATTGTAAATTAAGGATCATGGCCTTGGACTGGTAGCAGTGCTGTGAACTTGAATGACTAGCAACTGGACAACAAATCATCTTGCAAGTCAGCTGGTTTCCAATTAATACTTTGTTTTTAACAAAATTGAAGTTAGGCCGGGCGTGGTGGGTGGTGGGTCAACGCCTGTAATCCCAGCACTTTGGGAGGCCAAGGCGGGCGGATCAGGAGGTCAGAAGTTTGAGACCAGCTTGGCCAATATAGTGAAAGCTTGTCTCTACTAAAAATACAAAACTTAGCCGGGCATGGTGGCAGGCGCCTGTAGTCCCAGCTACTCGAGAGGCTGAGGCAGGAAAATCGCTTGAACCGAGGAGGCGGAGGTTGCAGTGAGCCAAGATTGTGCCACTGCACTCCAGTGTAAGTGACAGAGTGAGACTCCATCTCAAAAACCAAAAACAAAATTGAAGTTGTAATTAATAGAGTTGTCAGCTAATACATCATTAAAACTGCATTTTATGATAGAAAACTCAAAAGGAGTTCAGAGAATTGCATGGCTATATTTATCTATTCATATGACAACAGTTTCTTAGCACTTACATGTGTAAAAACAAAACATAGAAATAAAATTAACACTGAATCTTGATTCATTCTAGCAATAAGCAATATTTATTCATGGGTACATGAACCAATAGAAGAGAAAAATCAAAGTTTTAATAGGGCTTTATGGTTAATTTCAGTTTAGAAACATTTTTGTTGCAGAGGAGTATGAGATGGTGATCAATAAAATAATGAGTTTTTTAACTCATTTTTAATTTTAAAAAGCTCTGGCTACTTATTTGTATAAAAATACATTACTATAAAATTCTGTGGGGAAAGTGAAATGAAGTTGAGGAAAAATTGAGTTCCAGGGAAAAAATTTACAGCTATAAAAAAAATTTTTATATTTTAATTAGACTGTCCCAGTATTTATATTTCATTGGATATATTTAATAGTGACAGGTAGTTTAAAAAGCTGATATTTATAATATGCTGGAAATTACCTTTTGTAACTATTTAAATTATGAAAAGTTTTATAGACTTAAATGCATGAGGAAGTTCTTTTTTTTTTTTTAATTCAGAAGTGTGTGAACAAAAGAGCTAGAAGATGACTTGTGGTGATCAGAGACAGCTTCAAAAACAAGGGTGACATTTGGTCTGAGTTTGATGTATTTAAGAAAGTTGCCAGGAAAATAAGGGGATAAATGCCATCAAGTCAAAAATAAAGATTCCAGAGGGAAAAAGACTTGGCTTTTGTGGCGGGGGATGGGAGGGTGGGAGGCGTTGATAATTAAATTTAGATTGGATATGTTGGGGATATCTGGGGGACTTAATGAATTTGGAGCTCAGTTTACTTTGTGGTAAAATGAGGTGGAATGCTTATTCTTTAGAGGGGGGAGGAGAGGTCAGGAGACTGCAACAGACTGTAAGAGAATGTTATTAATAAAAATCGTGGAGATAGGGAGTTTAGATTTGGAAGAGACTTTAGCCATCACCTACATCA
This sequence comes from Homo sapiens, assembly GCF_000001405.40. Classification (NCBI taxonomy): domain Eukaryota; kingdom Metazoa; phylum Chordata; class Mammalia; order Primates; family Hominidae; genus Homo; species Homo sapiens. Next base: position 32,484,799 of record NC_000003.12, on the reverse strand, counting down.
ATTTTCTCTTTTTTACAGAGAACTTATCTGGCCCCCATATCCTTAAGGGTTTTGCTAGTGGAGAAGCTAAATTTGAAGCAGACGCATGGTCTTCTGTCTCTTGATAGAATTCTCAGAACGTATGATCGTATTTTAGAAGAGAACAGTTGAGGAAGTGATTTAAGGAAGAGGAAGTAGGTAGTGGCGTCATGTCACTGTGTCATTGCAGTGTGACAACTGGAACATTATTTAAGTAATTTAACCTAATAGTATCTTCAAAATGGAATTTCTGTTTTGATATTAATAACTTTTTTCATTTTCACCTAGGCTGAGTTGCCTAGTCACGTATTTTCCTTATCGCATCTGTGGGTCAATCTAACCATGCAAATATTTTTGTTTTGTATCATTTTATAGGATTTAATGTTTATCTGTTAACCCTACTTTCATATATTAGCCCTCCACATATAAACATGCACACATAAGGCAGAACATTAATATTTTGTGAGACTTTGACTAATAGCCATTATTCTGGAAGTTTTTCTTTTATAACTTCTTTCCATTTTTTGATGACTTAAAAAAATTTTTTTTACCATTAAAGAGTAGTCGTGTATAAGATAAAATTCATGAACATCTTGTTTATATGAAACATTCTCCAAGCCAAGTAGGAAATGTAAGATTATATTCCAAAATTCTCATATAACCTTTCCTCCTTTTTTTCCTCAGGTGTTTGGATTTATAGCAAGTTTTATGTTCCTACTTGACTTTATCACTATGCTGTATGAAAAACGACAGGAGTCCCAGCTGAGAAAACCTGAAAATACCACTAGGGCTGAAGCCCTCACTGAGCCACTTAATGCCTAAAGACTCTGGGGAGCAGATGTTACCTAAGGTAGTGACCCTGCATTGTGGTGCCTGAGCCCTGGCAGAAGCTCTTGTAAAATTTGTTAATTGTTTAAACCACTTCTTTTGGAGAGCAAGGGGAAGGTCAAGAAGGCAGTTTTATCAATATTGTGTCAGTCACCACAAAGTAGGCCAGATAAGTTAAAAAAAATTTTTTTTTAAATAATAATTGAAACTTATCTCAAATGGAGATTTTGGTGGGAGGAGGAGAAAACAATTGTTTTTAAATCACACAGCTCAACGGTTGATAAATGATTCTGTCATTCTGTTACAGGTCATTCTTTTACTAGGCTTAGCTTCCAAATTATGCTTTATAGCTGTATAAACATCGTGATTATATTCATCTACTTAGAAATTGTTTTATTTTTAAATTAATTTGCTTAGCTGTTTGTTTTGATGCTTAGATTATGTTCTGTTAATGGGAATTTAACATATTTAAGAAACCAATATTTAAAATGTTGGTCTAGGTTTTTTTCCTTAACATATATTACCAGGCTTTACTGTATTTCACTCAGCCTTAAATGTTATAATATTTTTGGATAACGGTTATTAATTCTTTGAGACCTTCGTATAGCCTATAAAATGTATGGGAGATGTTGGTATTTTATGTGTATAAAAGCAACAATATCAGCAACTTCGTGTTTATACTGCACCTTGGTTGTTGATGTCAAGTAAAAAAAAGATTGTTTTGTAACACATAAAAAAATGGAAGAAACTGATACCACACCTAAGGACCAAAGATAAGAAAGACTTTTTGCCCAAGACAGTGAAAGTAATTATAAAAACAAGCTTTGACCACTTACCAAGTATCTGAAGAGATGAGTTCATACTATGATTTAGAAAGTGGTTCAATTCCCCTGTTGGCATATGATTATTTTTACTAAAATTAATACAGCTCTGTGGGTCTTCCTTAGTGTTTTCTTTGAAGCCAATCTGTTTTTTTTAGGACACCAGCCTTTGGTTTTTCATCTGTTCGAGATGCCTCTTCTCTGTCTCCTTATCAGATAGAAATGGAGTCATGTGCTGCTGCTTCATCTAGCAGAGGTTGGCCTCTGGCTCTGACACTTTTTGTCAGTTGTCTTTAGGTGGTCCTGAATCTTGGGCCCTTTTGATTGTGAATACTGTGTAGCAGGATCTTGAGAGTCCTTGTTCTTACATAGGCATTGCTCTAGTTTGTCTTTGGCAAAAAAAAAAAAAAAAAAAAGTAAATATCCAGGGAACCCTGCCCAGACTAATACTGTTGGTGGCATAAGAGAATCAAGCCATTCTCAAGAGATAACTTCATAACCAGAATTGTCTGTTGGCTAGCAGCTGTCACAGATAGGCAGGGCACTTGGGATATGACCTTTCTGTCCAGGTGATTCACAGACTAGACCTTTCTTATCCTCCTCCTAGAGTTTTGACTTGGGACTCTAGTGTTAAGATGATGAGCCCGTGCATCAGGTCCTTCTGCACTTTGGTGGAAGTCTCCCAGGGTAGGTTTCCTATTTGAAACAGTGGAATCATGTTTCCAGTGATAAAGTTTAATGACCTCATCCTTTTTTTTTTTTCTCATCTGCCATTTGTGTGTCTTAGATGGGTTTTAATTGCATGAATGTGGCTAATGTGGTTCTCAGAAATTGGTCAGTATGGCCCAACATAGCTTCTGCTCTGTCTTACTGACTCAATACCTTTAGGATTTGTATCAGAGTTTGGATACTAGTGTTAGTGGTGGTGTCACCACTACTTAATTGGGAGATAATGAAACCAATCATGGATGCTGTTTTTATTGGGCATGTCATCTAAGAGAGGAGAAATAGCTGGGTTTTGGGTCTAATTATGAATAAGGACTGATTCAGAAAACGAGTTTATGGTAGGTAGACTAAAGTTTCACATCAGACTGTACCATTGTGATTTAGACCTATCTAAAATTCAGAGCATATCATCTGGGCTACCTCAGGGTCACCACCCATGTATTGGGCTTAGTCAGGATTGACAGATACATTCTCAGCTGGCCTGTCATATAAAACATACTGTCATTGAGCTTAAGCTCCGCTTGTTCTGAGGTTTCACCTCCATGTGTTTCATTGGTGCAAAAGTGGATCTCTTAGTTGGTCACTTAATTCTTTCTTTTTCAGAAAGATAGTATGTTCACTGGTATATTTGGTCACTCTTAGAACCTTCCTTCACATTGTTTTTTATGGGACCCATGAATGGTTAGCCTTTCTTTTCTATTGTAGAAGGAAATAAATAGGAGTAAAAAGACCATTGTAGTAAATAAGTTCAAGGGGAACTTGGGACCAGAAACCACTGTTATGTACAAAAAAATGGCAAATTCAATAAACTCAAATTTAAAATAATTTTTAAATTAACAGTTATGATAAATTTTATATTTTATACAAATAGATTGCTTAGAATGGTTCTCAAGAATTATAAGAGAAATGAACTCACAGTACAAAAATTTTATAATTACTATACTTGTGTTTTGTTTGGGGGCTGGGAAATGTATTTTTACATTGTAGCCAATCATTTTATATTTGTCAATTTAAATCTTATGGGTCTTTTTTTTTTATCTCTCTTGATGTCAGATTTTATAGTCTTTTTAAATAAATCCATTTAATTAAAACGTTCTTACCTTTGTAAGTGTTTATTACAGAAGTGTGATGTTTAAATGAAAAGCTGTCTCTGTAGTTGTGGGAGTTGGCTGCACAATCTTGTTGAGTGCCTATATAGAATACTAGATTTTAGATATATCTAGGATAGAAAAGAAACAAATCCATTTCCCATCCATAAACTGTCCCTCTTGTTGGAAAGTTAGAATACACATTTAAACAACATTTTTAGGGAACCACAGAGGAAGACTTACAAATGGCTTTAAATACTTCCAAAGAAGCAATTTAGACTCCTTGTCACATTTCTAGATGTGGCTAACAATGCTAAAAACAAAATAGGCACATTATCTTAGGAACTGTTCAATGATTGGGAAAGTGTGAAGCAAAATTATTAGGGTGGTGCTGGTAAAACTACAGCTATTTGTGTAGTTTGCGAAATTCCTGCCTCCACCCTGTGTGAGAATAACAGGGTCTTTATAGTCATCAAGAACTCACTGGAATTTGTACATTCTTCAGAGTTTAGAGTTGAGTTTTGTTTTGATAAAGAGCATTGTATCAATATGCAATAAGCTGCAAGAAGCAGAAAATCTAATTAAATGTGTCTTAAACAGTAAGAAAAACTTATTTCATAAGACATCTGGGTACATTGGTGAATTCAGTGGCCAAATTTTTCTACAAGTACAGTAATGTGTGTCATAGAAATTGATATAATAAAGGGGGAGGCTGGGCGCAGTGGCTCACTCCTGTAATCCCAGCACTTTGGGAGGCCAAGGCAGGCGGATCAGCTAAGGTCAGGAGTTCGAAACCAGCCAGGCCAATGTGGTGAAACCCCATCTCTAGTAAAAATACAAAATTTAGCTGGGTGTGGTGGCACATGACTGTAACCCCAGCTACTTTGGAGGCTGAGGCAGGAGAATCGCTCAAACCCCAGAGGCGGAGGTTGCAGTGAGCCGAGGTCATGCCATTGCACTCCAGCCTGGGAAACAAGCGCAAAACTCCATCTCAAAAAAACAAACAAACAAACAAAAAAACAACGGGGTGGGGGGAGAAGTATTGTCTTTTCCCCAACATTTTTATATTTAGCTACTTTTTAAAATTTTTGAATTTGTTTGTTTGTTTTGGAGACAGAGTCTTGCTCTATCCTTCAGGCTGGAGTGCAGTGGCGCCATCTTGGCTCACTGCAACCTCTGCCTCCCGGGTTCAAGCGATTCTCCTGCTTCAACCTCCTGAGTAGCTGGGATTACAGGCGCATGCCACCAAACCCTGCTAATTTTTTTGTGTTTTTAGTAGAGATGCGGTTTCACCATGTTGGTCAGGCTGGTCTCAAACTCCTGACCTCAGGTGATCCACCTGCCTTGCCTCCCAAAGTGCTGGGATTACAGGCATGAGCCACGGCGCCTGGCCTGAAATATTTCAAGTACTGGAAGCACAGAGGATAATACCTGTTGTAGACTCCACTCACTCACCTTTAATAGATTATAACATTTTGCCATATTTGCTTCAAGGTTGTAACTCTGGTTCATTCATTTTAAATGCTGTTTGGTATTTCATTGTATGGATATGTCACAATTTACTTATTCTCCTACTGATAGAAAAATTCTAACAGCATTTTCAGCTTTTGACCATCTTAACATTACAGGGAACAAATGTATTTGAACATCTCTTCTTGTGCACATGTGAGAATTTACATGGTGGGTAACTACTTAGAAGTTAAATTGTCTGGTGGGTCAGAAGGTACGTTATGATTTCAGCATGGCTAAATATTTCCAGATGGATCTCCAAAGGGTAGACCCAGTTTATATTTCCCTCAGCAGTGAATGAGGTGCTGGTTTCCCCACTCTTGTAATGCACTTAATATTAGTTCAACTTAACATTTTTGCTCGTCTGGTACTGAAATGGTGCCTCTTTTTTTTTTTTTTTTTGTATTCTTCCTGTTTCTGGTGAACCTGATTGTCTTTTCACTTGTTTGTTGACCTTTATTTCTCAGAAATAGAAAAAATAATCTGAAAATTCATATGGAAGTGCAAAAGACTCTGGATTGCCAAAGCAATCTTGAGGAAAAAGAACAGATCTGAAATTAGCCAGGCGCAGTGGCCTGCACCTGTGGTCCAATCCACTAAGGAGGCTAAAGTGGGAGGATCGCTAGAGGATCCTAACAGCATTTTCTCCCAGGAGTGTGAGGCTGAAATGAGCTGTGATTGTGCCACTGCACTCCAGAGTGGGTGACACAGTGAGACCCCATCTTAAAAAAAAAAAAAAGCCAAGCATAAAACAATTTTGAAATTGCACTATCAGAAATTAAGGTTTGATCAAGTCTGTGTTATTAACATAGGTAATAAAAAATAGCCCAAGAAAGCCAGCAACAGACCTATACATATATATCCACTTAAACAGAAGCAACATTGTATGTCAGAGAAGGGGCCACCCATTGAAACAATAAACTAGATGGTGTGAGGCATTCACACAATACATCAAAACCAAAGTAGCATCAAGTACTAAATATAAGATGTAAACCTTTAAACATTTTAGGAAGTATAGAATATTCCTTTTTTAAATTAATTTTTTATTTATAATTGACAATTATACATATTTATGGAGTACAGTATGATGTTTCAATATATGTGTACATTGTATCAAATCAGGGTTTGTCATATCCATCACTTTAAACATTTATTATTTCTTAGTAGTGATAACATTCAAAGTCTTCTAGCTATCTTGAAATATACACTACATTGTTGTTGTTTGAGACAGGGTTGTTTTGTCGCCCAGGCTGGAGCACAGTGCAGCCTTGACCGTCTGGGTTCAAGCGTTCCTCCCACCTCAGTGCCCCCGAGTAGCTAATTTTTGTAGTTTTTGTAGAGACGAGTTTTGCCATGTTGCCCCAGCTGGTCTTGAATTGCTGGGCTCAAGCGATCCTCCCAAAGTGTTGGAATTACAAGGGTGAGCCACCACTGGCCCGCCTACATTATTCATTTCTACAGTCACTCTGCTGTATAATAGAACACCAGAATTTATTCTTCCTAACTGTAACTTTGTATCCATTGGCCAACCTCTCCCAGTCCCCACTCCTGCAAACTCACTACCCTCCCCAGACACTGGTAACCGTTATTCTACTCTCTCATTCTGTGAAATCAACTTTTTTAGATTCCACAGATGAATGAGATCATGTGGTGTTTGTCTTTCTGTGCCTGGCTTATTTCACTTAACATAATGTCCTCCAGGTTCATCCATGTTGCTGCAAAAAAAAGCAGGATTTCATTGTTTTATGATTGAACAATATTCTATCGTGTATTTCTGTACACACATGCCACATTTTCTTTATCCAGTCATCTGTAGATGGACATTTGGATTGATTTTGTATCTTGGCTATTGTGAATAGCACTGCAATAAATATGGGAGTGCAGATAGCTCTTTGACATACTGATTTCACCACCATTGAATGTATTCTCAGTAATTAGACTGCTGGATCATATATGGTAGTTCTGTTTTTAATTTTTGAGGAACCTCCATACTGTTTTTCATAATGGCTGTACTAATTTACATTTCCACCCACAGTGCATAAGAGTTTCCCTTTCTCTAAATCCTTGCCAACATTTGATATTTTTGGTCTTTTTTTTTTTTTTGAGACAGAGTCTTGCACTGTCGCCCAGGCTGGAGTGCAGTGGCGTGATCTTGGCTCACTGCAACCTCCACCTCCCAGGTTCAAGTGATTCTCCTGCCTCAGCCTCCCGAGTAGCTGGGACTACAGGCATGCGCCACCACGCCCAGCTAATTTTTGTATTTTTAGTAGAGATGGGGTTTCACAATGTTGGCCAGGATGATCTCGATCTCTTGACCTTGTGATCCACCTGCCTTGGCCTCCCAAAATGCTGGGATTACCGGCGTGGGCCATTGGCGCCTAGCCCTATTTTTTGTCTTTTTAATAGTCGCCAATGAGCTCATAGTTCATTGTGGTTTGATTTGCATTTCTCTGATGAATGGTGATATTGAACATTTTTTTCATGTATCTGTTGGCCATTTGTATGTCTTTTCTTTGAGAAATGTCTATTTAGGTGTTTTGGGCATTAGGTTTTTTTTTTGGCAGGGGAGGCTATTGAGCTGTTTGAGTTTCTTGTATATTCTGGATATTAACATCTTGTCAGATGGATGGTTTGCAAATACTTTTCTCCCATTCTATAGATTGTCTCTTCACTCTATTGATTGTTTCCTTTGCTGGGCCACAGCCTTTTGGTTTAATGTAATTCCATCTGTCTATTTTTGCTTTCATTGCCTGTGCTTTTGAGGTCTTATTAAAAAAATCCTTGCCCAGTCCAATTTCATGAAGCATTTCCCGTTTTCTTCTTGTAGTTTCAGATCTTTTAGGTCTACGATCCATTTTGAGTTGATTTTCATATATGGTGAGAGAGAGGGGTCTATTTCATTTTTCTGCATATGGATATCCAGTTTTCCCAGCACTATATTCATTTCCCAAGTTACCATTAACCAGCACCATTTATTTAAGAGATTGTCTTTTCCCCAACGTACGTTCTTGGTACCTTTCTCAAATACCAGTTGGCAGTAAATGCATGGATTTATTTCTGGGTTCTCTGTTCTATTTCCTTGGTTTATGTACCAACCTCCAAATTTGTCCTTCCTTCCCTCCTTCCCTCCCTCCCTCTGTCCTTTCCTTCCTTCCTCCCTCTCTCCCTCCCTCCATGTCTCCCTTGCCCCCTCTCTCCCTCCCCTCCCTCTCAACAGGGTCTTACTCTATTGCCCATGCTGGAGTGCAGTGGTGTGCTCTAGCTCACTGCATCACTGCAGCCTTCAACTCCTGGACTCAAGCGATCCTCCCACCTCAGTCTCCCAAGTAGCTGGGACTACTGGTACACACCACCATACCTGGCCACCTTTTAAAAATTTTTTGTAGCGATAGACCTCACCTATCTCTTGCTTTTTTCTTGGAATTGCATTGAATTGGAAGATTAATTTTGGGGGAAATGGCATCTTACTGGTTGAACTTCATATTCATGAACATAGAATCTCCATTGATTTAGGTCTTTTATTGTTTTTCAGTAATTTTCTTTTGTTTTCATAAAGGTCTTACATATCTTTAGTCAGATTTATCCTAGATACTTATTTTTATAGTTACCTAGAATGGGATATTTATAAGAAATTACATATTCTGATTAGCAAATTACATATTCTGATATGCATACTAGCATATTACTAGTAGAAGTAACAGAATACGTCAGCAAGTTTGCTGAATGTAAGATCAATAATCAAAAATCAATTGCATTCCTAATACTCTACACACCTCTACTAGTTTGTCTGTGGATTTCTGTCAGATATCTCACATTTTGGATTTATTAATTTCTGTTATGTTATTTAACTTATTCCTTTATTTCCAGTATTTTCTGTAAACTGAAAGCCCTAAAGGCATGCTTAAATTCAGATTAAACTTTTTTTTTTTTTTTTTTTTTTGTAGGTGGTGCTGTATTCTCTGGTAATACCACATTCAGTGCACACTTAGTGGGTTCAGGCACTGACCATGTGTTCCCCACTCACTGTGAAGTTTCCCATCAACTTTTTAGCTAAAAGGTTTCATCCATTGATCTTTGCCTAAATCAGTTACTTTGTTAGCAGTTGCAAAATAGCAACTTTATAATTCTGTCATTCCTGCCACTTTGCTAGAATTCCTCAGAATCTAGGAATATGCATCAAATTTTTAGCATGCATATTTGATTTTATAAAGATTTGTAATATTAATCAGAACTCCTACTCATGTCCTCAATGATACTAAGACATTAGAATTAATGGTCATCCAGGAGAATGGCGTGAACCCGGGAGATGGAGCTTGCAGTGAGCCGAGATAGTGCCTCTGCACTCCAGCCTGGGCGATAGAGCGAGACTCCATCTCAAAAAAAAAAAAAAAAAAAAGAATTAATGGCCATCAATTCTTCTCATGTACTATGTTGTTATTGCCTAGTATTTTACATTTATCTTAACAACTTCCTAAGTTAACTATTAATGTTGTTTTATGCAGTCATTGCTGATTTAGATTTACCAACATATTTTAGTCTTTGAGTCCCACCTTATTTTTGGTTACTGTTTTCTAACTCTAGAGTTGGGTGTCCTTTCTGCAAGAGTGAAATTTTATTTTACCCTTACTCTTAAAAATAGCTAAGGTGGGTATAGAATTCTAGATTGATATTTTTTCTCATTACTTCAAAGATATTACTTTATTCCATTGTCATCTGGCCCCTGATGTTGCAAAAAACATGATGTCAGTCTGCATTCATACTAGGTAATCTTTGGTTCTTTTAAGATTGTATCTTTGAATTTGGTATTGAGTTTCACTGGAGATGTCTGTGGATTTATTTTTATTTAACTTGCTGGGGATGTGTTGTGCTTCTTTAATTTGAGGAATGAAATTGAATTTCTGGAAAATTCTCATCTATTTTCATTTTGAAATTAGTTTTCTTATTTTCTCTCTTGTTCTAGATTCCTTATGAGATGTATGTGGGACTTTCTCATTCAGTCCTCCAATATTTAACCTTCCTATAATTTTTTCTACTTTTTTTATCTCTTTATGCTACAGAGAGATAAAAGGCTGGATGTTTGAGGCTCATGGCAGCCTCAAACGCTAATTCTTTTCTTAAGCTGTTTTTAACTTATTCATTGAATTTTAACTAATTTGCTATTTAGCAAGTCCATTGAGCTTTTGACTTCATATACTACATTTTCTTTGAAACCATTCTGTTAAGATCTTAAGTTCTTTTGGTGCTAATTCTCCTGTTTGTTGGATTTACGGAGTCTTCCTCCTCATATTGGTTCCATTTTGTCATTTGGGAGTGTGACTCTAGGTTTCCAGTGGCTGAGCCCTTTTTATTTGATCCTCAGGTACTTAATCACCTCTGCACGTGGTATAGCCTCTGGATCCTTGCCTAGCCACCTGTTGCCCTCCTTCTCTCATCTGAAGTCAGAGCATTTAAAATGCCCAGAAAGATTGTTCCACTAGAAGCAGAATGGGACCTGCTGTTGGCACTGGACAAACCCATGTCAACCCATTGCTTTCCCCTTGGAATCCTCTTAAGTCAAGTTAAATCTCAGGTTTATGTGGGCAACAGAGAAAGAAACCAGCTGTTAATAAAGCCAGCCTCTGTGGGTAGGTGGCATGGATGGAGACCCTGAAGTTTTAAATGACCCTTGGGTCCAGGCACGGTGACTCACGCCTGTAATCCCAGCACTTTGGGAGGCCAAGGTGGGCAGATCACTTGAAGTCAGGAGTTTGAGACCAGCCTGGGCAATATGGCGAAACCCCATCTCTATCAAAGATACAAAAAACTAGCTACTTTTATCACATTCATTAGCATTCCCAAGCCCAGGGGCAGACGGAGGAGGTACTACAGAGTGAGGGGGCGAAGGGCATGGTAAAGGGAGGGATGGAGGATGGGGCCATTCTTCAGCAGGCACTTATTCCTTATATCCCACCCATCTATTTCCTTGAACTTGTGCCCTCAAAATCAAGAGCAGTCGCTCCTGCCATCAATGAGCATTCTCTGATTAAAGAATATTTTTACTGAACAAGGGAATATGTTCACACAGTGAAATACAGAAATTCTCTACTGACAGGGAAAGCTGTCTAGCTTAATATGACACTGTGCTTCGTGGTACAGATAAAATTAATATGCTGGGGGAAAGGAGCAGATTAGAAGTTGAGTATGCAGCCTAGGCAGCATGGCAAAACCCTGTCTCTACAAAAAATGTTTAAAAATTAGCCAGGTATGGTGGCATGCGCCTATAGACCTTGCTACTTGGGAGACTGAGGTGGGAGGATCACCTGAGCCTGGGAGTTTGAGGCTGCAATGAGCCGAGATCATGCCACTGCACTCCAGCCTGGGTGACGGTGTGAGACCTTGTCTCAAAAAAAAAAAAAAAAAAAAAAAAAATGTTGAGTACGCATGGTTCCCCAAGCTTTCATTATCCCACAATTTATGCTGGACATAAAGAGACTACATGCAGAGAGGGACCTGCCCCATGGTGCTCTACATGTTTATAGGGAAGTTGGAGGGGGCAACAGTGATTATGCAATTTTATAAGAATGAAAGTCCCTGTTATAGTAAGTGGCCTTATTCAAAAAAGGGCTCTTCAAAGGTTCAGGGGCTAGACTCAGTATGTTAGTGCACTGCGCTGATATGGACCTTTTGAGCCATCTCTCCAACAAGCTACTAAAATGAGGGAGGAAACAAACCTCCATGCCATCCAAATTTGTCTTAACCCCTGACCCTTGGGGTTCTACAGCTGGGCTGGGCCAGGGGTGACATATTTAACAACATGAGAACTAGAAGAGTCGTAGAAGGACATTTGGGACTGTTGTTCATGCCTGTAATAGAAAAAGAGAGAGTGATTCACTTCCCCTTGGCCTCCATGCACTTCTAGGGTCAAGACATTTATACCAGATCAGTTGGGATCTGTCATCCTGTCTTAGGGATGACTCAAGTTGTCCTTTTTCTGGACCCACGAGTTGCCATTTTGTTATCATAAGTACATAGCAGGCAGAGGAAGGTGGCCATAGAACACCTGATACAGAGTATCCAAGTTTTAGTCTATCCACAGAGATCTGAACAAAATGAACCATTCATCTATTTATCCATTGAAGGGAGCTCGGGTAAGCAGAGGTGATTATCATCAGCTTGTGCAGCTTGTAAGTAGATGAAGGTGGACCAGCTGTCCCTGTGGAAGTCAGCATTGAAGGGTCTGGTATAGCTGGCAAATAATATAGTCTTTGCAGTTAAACCTGGCCTCCGGCCAGGTGCGGTGGCTCACGCCTGTAAGCCCAGCACTTTGGGAGGCCGAGGTGGGCAGATCACGAGGTCAGGAGATCAAAACCATCCTGGTGAACACGGTGTAACCCTGTCTCTACTAAAAAAAAAAAAAAATACAAAAAATTAGCTGGGTGTGATACGGGCGCCTGTAGTCCAGTTACTCAGGAGGCTGAGGCAGGAGAATGGCATGACCCCGGGAGGCGGACCTTGCAGTGAGCTGAGGTTGCACCACTACACTCCAGCCTGGGTGACAAAGCGAGACTCCGTCTCAAAAAAACAAACAAAAAACAATGGCCTCCATAATTGATCACTGGGCATCTCAATCCTTTATGGTGGTTCCATGCATATGGTGGATTTGAGCACAGGTTGATTGGTCTGTAGTGGAGGTGATGGCCACATATGTTTGACTTTTTCACTTTAAATGCTTTTCACTAGATGTGTTTGCTTCATATAACCATATAGATAGATACTGAGTTTGTAATTAAATAGTTACATGTCCCCAAGGTAGGGGCCATCCAATATTCGGTATGTCTTTTCTGGTCCAGTCCTGGTTGGCCCAAAGATCTGACCATACAGATGGGCCATTCGTGACAGCCCATGTGGCATGTTTAATCTTAGGGCAGTACTCTCTGTGGCCAGAAATCCCTTCTGGAGTTCAGCCCATTGCACAGAGTGCCCAAAGCTGTGGGCCATCACCCTTGCGCCATCACTAGATGGCTGTAGCATTCCAAAGGCCCTGCTTGCTCAGAGGTGGGTGGGCTCTTTCTTCAGTGATGCTTTCTTGTCAGGTGGCCTGTTTCATAGGTGGCATCTTCATAAAACCAGCAGTTTTTGTAAAACAGTAGGAAAGACACTATTTCTGTCTCCTGGGTGGGCCACCACCTGTTTGACCCACCCTGAAGATGGCTAAAGGCTGAGGAGCTGGGTTTGGCCCTTAATTGGAAGATCCATTTTCTTCTCGTGATGGGATGTTCTGGAGCTTGTCCCACCCATTTGTGAAACTTAGTTCAGAATTGCAGGATGAGAATGTCAAGTTGAAGACTGTTTTGCGTAGGCAGGGCTCAGTGATGCTGGCCGTTGTTTCTCAGCAGCAGGAAGAAGTCCTCAAGTTCAAAAGGTCAAAGTCTAGAAGAAGAACCAGAGAAGTCTGGTTTGCCAAAGGCTCTAATCAACTGTGCAGTTAGTCCCAGACCCCTGTAGTTCCTTGACCCAAAGGAAATAAAGGCTCTAGGGCAAGGCTTCTGTTACTGCTGTCTGGGCTGATTCTTAGGTTCTTTGTTGTTCAGGCTCTTGGGCAAATGTGGCCACATGTCTGATGACTTGGGGGATGGAAGCTGTAGGAATATTCTTAGGTTTGGGATGTACCATCCAGCGGCCAATTTTGCTGTAGGGCCACTTTTCTTCTTCTTCTTCTTTCTTTTTTCTTCTTTTCTCCTCCTCCTCCCCCTCCCCCTCCTCTCCTCCTCTCCTCCTTGTCCTTCTTCTATCTTCTTCTTCTTCTTCTTCCTCTTCCTCTTCCTCCTCCTCCTCCTTCTTCTTCTTTTGTAGTTGGTGGCTATTACAAAGTTTTCCTTATTTAATTGTGAAATATCTATTTGAGCTGTGACACAGCCCCCAAGATGACCACTTGAAAGGCAGAGCGCCTGGGTTTTGTCCTTGCTCAGGGCCCACCTGTCTTTCGTCAGTGGTGCTTGGGTGGCATGTAACGCCCTGAAAGCAGTCTTCTTTGTGCAGACATGATGGAAATGCCTGCCCATACACCAGCAGTTCACACTGTGCTGGGTTTGTCCAACCCACTGATGCCACATCACTGGGAAATTCAGGGCAATAAAAGTGTGCTATATGCTGTGCTCGTGAAAGCAAACTGACATTCCCCACAGGGAGATCTAAAATAATGCATTAGCAATACCCTAGGTTGCAAACCAAGTACCAGGTAGGATGGCAGCAAAACATTCATTCATTTTTATTATGTCAGCACAATTGAAACAAAAGATGGCCACACTCTTTTTGAAGCTTCCCTAATCCACAGTAGAGTTCCCAGCATCCATTCGACAGACAGGGATGTTCAGCTAAAGAAAGCTCTGTATAGGCTGGGCACGGTGGCTCCTTTGGGACGCTGAAGCAGGTGGGTCACCTGAGGTCGGTAGTTCAAGACCAGCCTGACCAACATGGAGAAACCCTGTCTCTAGTAAAAATACAAAAAAATTAGCCAGGTGTGGTGGCTCATGTCTGTAATCCCAGCTACTCGGGAGGCTGAGGCAGGAGAATCGTTTGAACCTGGGAGGCGGAGGTTGTGGTGAGCTGAGATCACGCCATTGCACTCCAGCTGGGCAATAAAAGCGGAACTCCATCTCAAAAAAAGAAAGCGCTGTATAGCACCTCTGTTGGTATAAAACCTGTGTGAGAAGACCAAATACTTTTTCTTCTCCCAGAAAGAGGCATTGTTTCAAATGTTATGCTTGGCAAGCTTTATGAGTAAACACCATTCTTGGGCATGCATCTGACTGCTCCTGATATGAGTCACCAACAGGGGTCACAATAAATGTATCCAGTGAACAGGTTCTTGCAAAAGAGAAGCACAATCCAGGCAAACACACACACACACAGACACACACACACACACAACACACCACCTCACAAAACCACAGCAAGTATGTAGTAAGTTTAGGAATATTTGGGACTTCCTCCTGGGTAGGAATGAATCTGGGGATGCAACCCCACATCTAAGTCTTGTCCCTCTGCTGTCGTTTGCCCCAGACTGAGTTGTATCAGCTGAGACTTAGATCTTTGCTCCACAGGAACTGTGACATCCACTCCAGGTTTTGTATCAGGTCATCTGCTGTTCTGAGCACCCTTACAGCCCCCTAGCTAGTCCAGCTCTGCCTGTCCCTTTCATTCCATCCATACCTGGCTTTCAGTCATAACATGTATTATGCAGGTTTTTTTCTGGGCTTTTTTTCTGATATGCAGTGGCCTCATTACTCAGAGTTTGCATTTTGTAAGAAATCCACCTCTTGTTCAAATGACTTGCTTGTTTGAGAAGTTTAGTGGCTGAAGACTCGTTTTGTCTCACTCATCCCTCTGGGGCCTTGCGGTCTTTCTCTTTCCAGTCCCCTGGCCAATCAGCCAAGCCGTTCACCACTCCCTGAGTCTGTATATTTTCTTTCCAGCGGATGATCAGATGCACTGCCCAGAGCTTTGCCCATTGGGAGTGTTTCCTTTCACTGCTGTCTTTCAAGGCTACCCCTGAAATAACACTATTAGTGCAGCCAGCACACATTTTCAGCTTGTATCCACGTGGCCCGCTGAGCCATCATCATGAGTGAACCAGGGAAGGAGAGTGAGCCAATATGAGGATATTACTGAGTTAGCCACCACTGTGTGATTGGTTGCTCGATTCCACAGGACTGTCCTCTGAGAAGCTGTGTAAAATGTGCCTCAGGGTGGTCTGGTCCAGGAGAGGAGGAGGAAGAATGCACGCACTGGTTCCTGTGTCCCATTGGTCAGTGTTACCTCACAGGGAGTGAATTCCCCTGCAGCACTTGCAAGTTGCACTGTGTGGCCGCTGAGCAGGTCCCATGGCAGTGTCCACAGGAAAGCGCCAAGGTGACAGTTGAAGGCCCAAATCACAGCTATCAGGTTATGCTGGCATGACATGGTCGTAGGCCTTGCAGGGCTAGCACTGCAGTGGTGGCTGGATCAAGGGATAGGTGAGGCCAAGAGGATGTAACATGTTGCATAATGGTAAGTGAATAAAGTCCTGAAAGATTACATACAGTGTGGTATCTTTTCCATTTAATTATAAACTACCAAGATTACAAGAAATGCAAGCCCGTGATCAATGGGGGATTTGGGAGGTTACCTTGGGAGGAAAAAGATGGGAGGGTGATGAACTGAAGAAGCATATTGTTACAGTTGAATGCAGGTTGTCACGACTAGCTTCAGTGCTGACTATAAACAAAAAATAGGGAAGGAGGGAGGAAGGAGGCCATGCATGGACCATGATTAGAGTGTAAGAGTGTTATGAACTCAGGATGATGATTAATCTGTGTACCTGAGGTTCAAATAAAACGTGCAGGCCGGGCGCGGTGGCTCACGCCTGTAATCCTAGCACTTTGAGAGGCCGAGGTGGGCGGATCATGAGGTCAGGAGTTTGAGACCAGCCTGGCCAACATGGTGAAACCCCGTCTCTACTAAAATACAAAAATTAGCCGGGCGTGGCGGTGGGCGCCTGTAATCCCAGCTACTGGGTAGGCTGAGGCAAGAGAATTGCTTGAACCTGGGAGTTGGAGGTTGCAGTGAGCCGAGATCGTGCCGCCACTGGACTCCAGCCTGGGTGACAGAGTTAGACTCTGTCTCAAAAAGAAAAAGAAACCCACAAAACAACAACAACAAAACCCCCCAAAAAACAGCAACAAAAAAACCGTGCAAGTGGATGCTTCTAATGTGAACAGTTCTTAGCTTTCCCAGAGGCGTGGCTCTCCCCAAGGAACGCGGCGGCGATGCTTCCCGATGGCCGCCAGGGGGCGTGCGCGGCCAGGAGCGGGCGCGTTGCGCGCGGGCTCCTGCAGCCACCTGCTTGGTGGGTTTTGTTTTCGCTACAGGAGAGCTGTGTCCAGCTGGGAGGTGTGGCAGCAGGCACAGCTGTTGGCCGGGGACCCCGGGGGCTCCCCAGGGAGGGCCTCCGCCCAGCGCGCTGCCCCTGGGTTCGCTAGGAAGCATCTGCCAGACCGGCGGGGCCCCGACTTTCCGGAGAACTGCCAAGACCCTGGGGCAAGCGCTTGAGGGCCCTCCTGGGCAGGATCGCAAACTGGGGCTGGCTGCTTCAGCTAGCCCCCAGCAGGTGTGTTTGGCCTGAAGTGTATCTTTGAAAAGATACTTGGCAGCATTTAAAAATCGGGAAATGTTTAGCGTGGAAATCCAGATGACCATTTCTCTGGGTCACTTGGGGCATCTGGCAGCACTTGGCCAGCGGCTCGCTCCACACGCATCCCTGCCCGGCTGATGAGGTTTGTCACAGTTTCGGTTAAATCAGTATTCCGCGTGACCATTATTCTGGCTGTTATCACTATTCACAACTGAGCCAAGCGGCACACTTCATGCTGTGGTAACATTTCCTTTTTTGCATAACTCTACGTGGAGTATTTTTTATTTTATTTTTATTTTATTTTTTTGAGAAGGAGTTTCGCTCTTTTTGCCCAGGCTGGAGTGCAATGGTGCAATCTCGCCTCATCACAACCTCTCCGCCTCCTGGGTTCAAGTGATTCTCCTGCCTCAGCCTCCCGAGTAGCTGGGATTACAGGCATGCACTACCACGCCCAGCTAATTTTGTATTTTTAGTAGAGACAGGGTTTCACCATGTTGGTCAGGCTGGTCTTGAGGTCTTGAACTCCCGACCTCAGGTGATCTGCCCGCTTCAGCCTCCCAAAGTGCTGAGATTACAGGCGTGAGCCACCGCACCCGGCCTATGTTGTTTTTTATGTACACAGAATATGGCAATAAAACCCAAACAGTCCACCAGTTGTCTCCCCAGCCCTCCTCCAACCTGGGCCCTTTCCATCCACCTGGTGCCCAGTGGTTCCTGGCATCTCCCTTTATGTCAGTGGTTTCTGTCAGGCCTCTAAGCCCAAGCTAAGCCATCATATCCCCTGTGACCTGCACGTACACATCCAGATGGCCAGTTCCTGCCTTAACTGATGACATTCCACCACAAAAGAAGTGAAAATGGCCTGTTCCTGCCTTAACTGATGATATTATCTTGAGAAATTCCTTCTCCTGGCTCATCCTGGCTCAAAAGCTCCCCTACTGAGCACCTTGTGACCCCCACTCCTGCCCGCCAGAGAACCCCCCTTTGACTGTAATTTTCCTTTACCTACCCAAATCTTATAAAACGGCCCCACCCCATCTTCCTTCGCTGACTCCCTTTTCGGACTCAGCCCGCCTGCACCCAGGTGATTAAAAGCTTTATTGCTCACACAAAGCCTGTTTGGTGGTCTCTTCACACGGACGCACATGAAATTTGGTGCTGTGACTCGGATCGGGGGACCTCCCTTGGGAGATCAATCCCCTGTCCTCCTGCTCTTTGCTCCGTGAAAAAGATCCACCTATGACCTCAGGTCCTCAGACCCACCAGCCCAAGGAACATCTCACCAATTTTAAATCAGGTAAGCAGCCTCTTTTTACTCTCTTCTCCAACCTCCCTCACTATTCCTCAACCTTTCTCCTCTCAATCTTGATGCCACACTTCAATCTCTGCCTTCTCTTAATTTCAATTCTTTTCATTTTCTGGTAGAGACAAAGGAGACACGTTTTATCTATGGACCTAAAACTCTGGCGCCGGTCATGGACTGGGAAGGCAGCCTTCCCTTGGTGTTTAATCATTGCAGGGACGCCTGATTATTCACCCACGTTTCAGAGGTGTCAGACCACGCAGGGACGCCTGCCTTGGTCCTTCACCCTTTGAGGCAAGTCCCACTTTCCTGGAGGAGGGACAAGAACCCCAACCTCTTATCTCTGTGCCCCATCCCTTTTTTCCGTGCCCTGACCCCTTTTCCACTTTTCTGGAGGGTAAGAATCCCCCACCCCTTCTCCGTGTCTCTACTCTCCTTTCTCTGGGCTTGCCTCCTTCACTATGGGCAAGCTTCCACCTTCCATTCCTCCTTCTTCTCCCTTAGCCCGTGTTCTTAAGAACTTAAAACCTCTTCAACTCACTCCTGACCTAAAACCTAAATGCCTTATTTTCTTCTGCAATGCCGCTTGACCCCAATACAAACTCGACAGTAGTTCCAAATAGCCGGAAAACGGCACTTTCAATTTTTCCATCCTACAAGATCTAAATAATTCTTGTCGTAAAATAGGCAAATGGTCTGAGGTGCCTGATGTCCAGGCATTCTTTTACACATCGGTCCCTCCCTAGTCTCTGTTCCCAATGTGACTCGTCCCAAATCTTCCTTCTTTCCCTCCCACCTGTCCCCAGTCCCAACCCCAAGCGTCGCTGAGTCTGTCTAATCTTCCTTTTCTACAGACCCATCTGACCTCTCCCCTCACCAGGCCAAGCGAGGTCTCAATTCTTCCTCAGCCTCCGCTCCTCCACCCTATAATCCTTTTATCCCCTCCCCTCCTCACACCCAGTCCAGCTTATAGTTTCGTTCCGTGACTAGCCCTCCCCAACCTGCCCAGCAATTTACTCTTAGAAAAGTGGCTGGAGCTAAAGGCATAGTCAAGGTTAATGCTCCTTTTTCTTTATCCCAAATCAGAGAGCGTTTAGGCTCTTCTTCATCAAATATAAAAACCCAGCCCAGTTCATGGCTCGTTCGGCAGCAACCCTGAGATGCTTTATAGCCCTAGATCCTAAAAGGTCAAAAGGCCGTCTTATTCTCAATATACATTGTATTACCCAATCTGCTCCCAACATTAAATAAAGCTCCAAAAATTAAATTCCGGCCCTCAAACCCCACAACAGGACTTACTTAACCTTGCCTTCAAGGTGTACAATAATAGAGTAGAGGCAGCCAAGTAGCAACATATTTCCGAGTTGCAATTCCTTGCCTCCACTGTGAGACAAACTCCAGCCACATCTCCAGCACACAAGAACTTCCAAACGCCTGAACCGCAGTGGCTAGGTGTACATCCAGAACTGCCTCCCCCAGGAGCTTGCTACAAGTGCCAGAAATCTGGCCACCAGGCCAAGGAATGCCCGCAGCCCAGGATTCCTCCTAAGCCGTGTCCCATCTGTGCAGGACCCCACTGGAAATCGGACTGTTCAACTCACCTGGCAGCCACTCCCAGAGCCCCTGGAACTCTGGCTGAAGGCTCTCTGACTCCTTCCCAGATCTTCTCGGCTTAGCAGCTGAAGACTGACACCGCCTGATTGCCTCAGAAGCTTACAGGACCATCACAGACGCTCTAAGTAACTCTCACAGTGGAGAGTAAGTCCGTCCCCTTCTTAATACGGAGGCTACCCACTCCACATTACCTTCTTTTCAAGGGCCTGTTTCTCTTGCCTCCATAACTGTTGTAGGTATTGACAGTCAAGCTTCTAAACCTCTTAAAACTCCTCAAATCTGGTGCCAACTTAGACAATACTCTTTTAAGCACTCCTTTTTAGTTATCCCCACCTGCCCAGTTCCCTTATTAGGCCGAGACACTTTAACTAAACTATCTGCTTCCCTGACTATTCCTGGACTAAGGCTACATCTCATTGCTGCCCTTCTTCCCAATCCAAAGCCTCCTTTGCGTCCTCCTCTTGTATCCCCCCACCTTAACCCACAAGTATAATATACCTCTACTCCCTCCTTGGTGACCGATCATGGACCCCTTACCATCTCATTAAAACCTAATCACCCTTACCCCGCTCAATGCCAATATCCCATCCCACAGCATGCTTTAAAAAGATTAAAGCCTGTTATCACTCGCCTGCTACAGCATGGCCTTTTAAAGCCTATAAACTCTACTTACAATTCCCCCATTTCACCTGTCCTCGAACCAGACAAGCCTTACAGGTTAGTTCAGGATCTGAGCCTTATCAACCAAATTGTTTTGCCTACCCATCCTGTGGTGCCAAACCCATATACTCTCCTATCCTCAATATCTCCCTCTACTACCCATTATTCTGTTCTGGATCTCAAACACGCTTTCTTTACTATTCCTTTGCACCCTTCATCCCAGCCTCTCTTCGCTTTCACTTGGACTGACCCTGACACTCATTAGGCTCAGCAAATTACCTGGGCTGTACTGCCGCAAGGCTTCACAGACAGGTCCCATTACTTCAGTCAAGCCCAAATTTCATCCCCATCTGTTACCTATCTGGGCATAATTCTCATAAAAACACACGTGCTCTCCCTGCTGATCGTATCTGACTAATCTCCCAAACCTCAATCCCTTACAAAACAACAACTCCTTTCCTTCCTAGGCATGCTTAGTGCGGTCAGAATTCTTACACAAGGACCAGGACCGCACCCTGTAGCCTTTTTATCCAAACAACTTGACCTTACTGTTTTAGCCTAGCCCTCAAGTCTGCGTATGGCGGCTACCACTGCCCTAATACTTTTAGAGGCCCTTAAAATCACAAACTATGCTCAACTCACTCTCTACAGTTCTCATAACTTCCAAAATCTATTTTCTTCCTCACACCTGACACATATACTGTCTGCTTCCCGGCTCCTTCAGCTGTACTCACTCTTTGTTGAGTCTCCCACATTATTCCGGATACCACACCTGACCCTCATGACTGCCTCTCTCTGATCCACCTGACGTTCACCCCATTTCCCCACATTTCTTTCTTTCATGTTCCTCACCCTGAACACACTTAGCTTATTGATGGCAGTTCCACCAAGCCTAATCTCCACTCACCAGCAAAGGCAGGCTATGCTATAGTATCTTCCACATCTATCATTGAGGCTACCGCTCTTTCCCCCTCCACTACCTCTCAGCAAGCCGAACTCATTGCCTTAAGTCAAGCCCTCACTCCTGCAAAAGGACTAAATGTCAATATTTATACTGACTCTAAATATGCCTTCCATATCCTGCACCTCCATGCAAGAGGTTTCCTCACTACACAAATGTCCTCTATCATTAATGCCTCTTTAATAAAAATGCTTCTCAAAGCTGCTTTACTTCCAAAGGAAGCTAGAGTCATTCACTGCAAAGGCCATCAAAGGGCATCAGATCCCATCGCTCAGGACAATGCTTATGCTGATAAGATAGCTAAAAAAGCAGCTAGCATTCCAACTTATATCCCTCACTTTCACTTTTTCTCCTTCCCCTCAGTCACTCCCACCTACTCCCCTGCTGAAACTTCCACCTATCAATCTCTTCCCACACAAGGCAAATAGTTCTTAGACCAAGGAAAATATCTCCTTCCAGCCTCACAGGCCCATTCTATTCTGTCGTCATTTCATAACCTCTTCCATGTAGGTTACAAGCCGCTAGCCCGTCTCTTAGAACCTCTCATTTCCTTTCCATCCTGGAAATCTATCCTCAAGGAGATCACTTCTCAGTGTTCCATCTGCTATTCTACTACCCCTCAGGGATTGTTCAGGCCCCCTCCCTTCCCTACACATCAAGCTCAAGGATTTGTCCCTGCCCAGGACTGGCAAGTTGACTTTACTCACATGCCCCGAGTCAGAAAACGAAAGTATCTCTTAGTCTAGGTAGACACTTTCACTGGATATGTAGAGGCCTTTCCTACAAGGTCTGAGAAGGCCACTGCGGTCATTTCTTCCTTTCTGTCAGACATAATTCCTTGGTTTAGCCTTCCCACCTCTATACAGTCCGATAGCAGACCGGCCTTTATTAGTCAAATCAGCCAAGCATTTTTTCAGGCTCTTAGTATTCAGTGAAACCTTTATCTCCCTTACAGTCCTCAGTCTTCAGGAAAGGTAAACGGACTAAAGGTCTTTTAAAAACACACCTCACCAAGCTCAGCCACCAACTTAAAAAAGACTAGACCATACTTTTACCACTTTCCCTTCTCAGAATTCAGGCTTGTCCTCGGAATGCTACAAAGTACAGCCCATTTAAGCTCCTGTTTAGACGCTCCTTTTTATTAGGCCCCAGTCTCATTCCAGACACCAGACCAACTTAGACTGTGCCCCAAAAAACTTGTCATCCCTACTATGTTCTGTCTAGTCATACTCCTATTCACCGTTCTCAACTACTCATACATGCCCTGCTCTTGTTTACACTGGCAGTTTACACTGTTTCTCCAAGCCATCACAGCTGATATCTCCTGGTGCTATCCCCAAACTGCCACTCTTAACTCTTAAAGTAAATAAATAATCTTTGCTGGCAGGACTATGCTGAATCTCTTTAGGCACTCTCTAATTAAATGTCCTAGGTCCTCCCAATTCTTAGACCTTTAATACCTGTTTTTCTCCTTCTCTTATTCTGTTTAGTTTTCCAATTCATACAAAACTGTATCCAGGCCATCACCAATAATTCTAAATGACAAATGTTTCTTCTAACAGTCCCACAATATCGCCCCTTACCACAAAATCTTCCTTCAGCTTAATCTCTCCCACTCTAGGTCCCCACACCACCCCTAATCCCGCTCGAAGCAGCCCATTATCTCTCCATACCATCCCCCAAAATTTTCGCCATCCCAACACTTTACCACTATTTCGTTTTATTTTTCTTATTAATATAAGAAGACAGGAATGTCAGGCCTCTGAGCCCAAGCTAAGCCATCATATCCCAGATGGCCAGTTCCTGCCTTAACTGATGACATTCCACCACAAAAGTGAAAATGGCCTGTTCCTGCCTTAACTGATGACATTCCACCGCAAAAGTGAAAACGGCCTGTTCCTGCCTTAACTGATGACATTATCTTGAGAAATTCCTTCTCCTGGCTCATCCTGGCTCAAAAGCTCCCCTACTGAGCACCTTGTGACCCCCACTCCTGCCCATCAGAGAACAACCCCCCTTTGACTGTAATTTTCCTTTAACTACCCAAATCTTATAAAACGGCCCCACCCCTATCTCCCTTTGCTGACTCTTTTCGGACTCAGCCCGCCTGCACTCAGGTGATTAAAAGCTTTATTGCTCACACAAAGCCTGTTTGGTGGTCTCTTCACACGGACACTCATGAAAGTTTCCACACTTTTTTTTCAGGAGAGAAATCCCCCTTTTCAATCTAAATTATGCATGAAACTCCATTATGTCAAATGGGAAATATGGTATGAATATCAATGACTAATTTACATTGATAACATTTACTTATTATAAAGTCAGTGCATAGGAACAATGGGATTAATTTGGAAAGCCCACAATTTGGATAAGTAAGGAGATAACTGCAGCTGCAGCTTCACGGTCAGATTTGTTCTGCTGCTGCATCTGGGTTGCGCAGGATGGAGGAGCCCAGGCTTGCCCAGTGAGGTGGTGGCGGGGTTTTTAGCAGCTTGCTTCACACTCTGGGTGGCCTTGCACTGACGGCGGCTGCACGAGCTGAGTTACCCTGGGCAGACGGCATGGAGGCCGAGGGGCTCCCAGTGTCCGTGTTTGCTATTGAAGGCTGGAGAGTGTTTTAAGTGTTTGCATATATTTTACTCATAAAATCGGGTATCTGTGAGTCTGAAGCACCTCTGAGAGTTCACAGGATGCAGTTCAGAAACTGCCACAAAGGAGGGAAGTGGTGGTTGCTGAGGAGGGGCCCCAAAGACCTGCTGTGTTTCCATGGCAACAGAAGTTTGCTTTTCATGCTAGTGTAGAGGCTTGCAGGTGGGTGGCCCAGAGAATGGGCCAGCTCTGGGTCTGTCTTCCCCTACCTGGGGCCTCTTCAGTGGCCTGGCTGGAAGCCAGGCTGAGCTCAGCACAGGGCAGTGGCACAGGGGGTGCCTCAGGCCGGGGTTAAGGGGGCCTCCTTCAGGAACACACTTGTTCTCCCTCTGGGTCCGTCTGCAGACATCCAGCTCTGGCCCTGCCCTGTCATCCCAGCAGCCCGCAGTGGGGTGGTCCTAGGCCACGCCCAGAAGACAGCCAGGCCTGGGCGTCTTCACCGGGCTCCATCACTAATCTCCCTTCCACTTGGCTTTCTCCTCCGGTCTCCCCGCTACACTGTCCTCAAAGATTGGGGGTTCTATTGCCACGGGCCTCCCTATTACAGAAAACCCCACAGATGCTGTAGTCTTCCAGAGCCTGGCTGAGCAACAGTTTTCTGCCACTCTTGTGGGTAATGAGAAAACCTGGCAGAGGTGTGCCCAAGGGATGGCACCCCCCCTCAGCCTTCCTCCCTACCTCCCCAAGAGCAAGGCCAGGGAACGGGCTGGTTGTGGTGGGGGATGTGAGCAGATGGCCGTCGGCCTCATCTCCCAGTGCCCCTTGCGGCCACCGGTGCCAACACCCTTTCCTGGGGCCTCAGGTTGCCAGGATGGCTCCCCTGGCTCCCTGCTCCTCCCCCATGGGTGCATCCTTCCCTCCTCTCACATCTTTGCTTGGATCCACCTGGCTGTAACTGCTCTGGGAGCAGGGGTGGTGGGTACACAGTTTGGGTTCCACAAGGCCCCTGGGTTGAACAGCTCCCAGAGAGCCTGGATTAGAGAAGACAAACATACCCTACAGCTGTGTTCTCCAGGACCCATAATGCTTAGCTGTTAGAACATGGGGTGGCCACTGTTGGGCTGTGGGTTGCCATTTTGGGTTGGTGTAATTTTTGCTCTTTCAGCTACTGAGGTGCCTAGACATAGGTCCTGAATTGACTTTTTCTTTTCTTTTTTTTCTTTTTTTTTTTTTTTAGACAGAATCTTGCTCTGTTGTCCAGGCTGGAGTGTGGTGCTGTGATCTTGGCTTACTGCAACCTCCACCTCCCAGGATCAAGGAATTCTCGTGCCTCAGCCTCCTGAGTAGCTGGGACTACAGGCGTGCGCCACCATGCCCAGTTAATTTTTGTGTTTTTAGTACAGATGGGGTTTCACCATGTTGGCCAGGCTGGTCTTGAACTCCCGACCTCAGGTGATCTGCCTGCCTCAGCCCCGCAAAGTGCTGAGATTATAGGCATGAACTGCTGAACCTGGCCCTGAATTGCTTTTTAAAAAATTATGGTGGCCAGGCGCGGTGGCTCACGCCTGTAATCCCAGCACTTTGGGAAGCCGAGGCGCGTGGATCACGAGGTCAGGAGATCGAGACCATCCTGGCTAACATGGTGAAACCCCGTCTCTACTAAAAATACAAAAAAAATTAGTTGGGCGTGGTGGCAGGTGCCTGTAGTCCCAGCTACTCAGGAGGCTGAGGCAGGAGAATGGCTTGAACCTGGGAGGCAAAGCTTGCAGTGAGCCTAGATCGCGCCACTGCACTCCAGCCTGGGTGACAGAGCAAGACTCCGTCTCAAGAAAAAAAAAAATTATGGTAAAATAAATAAAATTGACCATCTTAACTATTTTTAGATGTACAGTTCAGTAGCATTAAGTGCATTCATTCATACTGTTGCAGAACCACCATGGCCATCCATCTCCAGAATTTTTCATCTTCCCAAACTGAAACTGTACCCATTAAATAATAACTCCCATTCCCCCTTCCCCTGGCCCTGGCAACCGCCCTTCTAGATTTTGTCTCCGTGATTTTGACCACCCTAGGTACCTCCTGTAAGTGGAATCACGCAGTATCTGTCTGTCCATGTCTGGCTTATTTCACTTGGCATAATGTCCTCGGGTTTCATCTGTATCATACCATGTGGCAGAACTTCCTTCCTCTTTAAGGCTGTCTGTATTGCTTTTGAGTAGTGCTTTACGTATTGTACAAACAGTACAAAACACGGAAATCTCGAGATCAGTATCTTCTTCAAACTCTACTCTTCTTAACTCCAGTGGGGCACAGAAACTCAGGGGTTCCCCCAGGTAGCATGAAGCAGCCCCTTCATTTCCGCAGCTGCTCCTCCCTGGGGCAGCAGGAGTACAGTCACCCTCCTTCCAGTGAGCTCCCTCTTCCTAGTTCACAAAGCTCTGCGATATCTGGCCTCAGTGGGAGGGGAGTGGAGCACGTTATTTTCTCACCTGTCCCCTGGGGCTAGAGTGTGGCTGTATGTGCCTCACCCCAGGCCCCAGAGCTCTGGCCAGCCTTCCTCGAAAGCTCCCAGGATCCAGGGACTATGAGGTTCCCCACACCCTCTGCTCTGCCTCTGGGTCCCCACAGTGCCCAGAGGGGCAAGGGTCTCTGAGGGCTGAAGCCAGAATATGGGAAGGGTCAGGAATTCGAAAATGCCAAGACAGGAGGCAGTGGAGGTGCTTTTTAAATTTTTTTAATCAACTTTTATTTTAAGTTCCGGGGTCCATGTGAAGGATGCACATCATAGGTAAACGTGTGCCATGGTGGTTTGCTGCACAGATTAACCCATCACCTAGGTACTAAGCCCAGCATCCATCATCCATTAGCTACTACTTCTTTTTTTTTTTTTTTTTTTTTCCTGAGATGGAGTTTTGCTCTTGTTGCCCAGGCTGGAGTGCGATGGCGCCGCAATCTCGGCTCACTGCAACCTCCGCCTCCCGGGTTCAAGTGATTCTTCTGCCTCAGCCTCCCAAGTAGCTGGGATTACAGGCATATGCCATCACGCCCAGCTAATTTTTTGTATTTAGTAGAGAAGAGGTTTCGCCATGTTGGCCAGGCTGGTCTGGAACTCCTGACCTCAGGTGATCCACCTACCTAGGCCTCGCAAAGTGCTAGGATTACGGGCATGAGCCACCGCGCCCGGCCCATTAACTACTTCTTAAAAGGAATCTTTCTTCCAATGCAGCTGTGGATCCAGTGAGAAGTAGGGTTTGCTTCAGAAACCCGCCAACTGACACCATTTCTCATCTCCTTCCCCCTTTGGTGAAATCAGCCTCAGAGTTGCACCCACTTTACAGCATCTTTGATTCCAACAGTGTCTCACAAATACTGCAATGCACACACACCACTGGGACTCGGTTATGATGCAGATGATTCTATTTTAGTTGGTCTTTGTGGGGCTGGGATCCTGCAATTCTAACCAGCTGCCAGGTGATATCCACTTTGTGGACAAGGCTTAGGAATTCCTGGCTCTCATTTCAGACCTATTGCATCTCAATTTCTTGGAGGAAGGCTGGTCGGCTTCCCCAGGCCGTGCTGCACTGTGATGAGTTAATGCCTGGGTTTAGGGGCTGGTCCTCCATGGGGCAGCTGAATGGCACTGCCCCCCGGCTTAGATATTCACTCCCTAGGGTTGAAGCTGTGTCCAGGAGGAGTGAGTCACCATAGGGAAACCAGAGGGTCTCCTTCTCCCTACTGTCAACAGCATCCTCAATTGCCAATGGAGAGCCAGCTGTGTGCAGAGGTTGCCAAGATGACTGGGGCTCAAAGGTGCTGGCCCTGCTTCTAGAACGTACCTGAGTGGCTGGGGCGCCACTGGGGCTAAAAGAACTGGAGAAGCAGAGGATCTGAAGGTCATTGTCATACTTCAAAAGTGAAAAGCCAGTGTCCCCTTCACCAGGTTAGACGAGGTTAGTGGGCCTCTGGCAGGGAGGACCCCCACGACTCAGCTCAGAGCCGGCTGCTGGGGATGCGTTCACCCACCCAGTTCCCTACAGGTGTTTCATCATGCCCTCTGTCCACCATGGGTCCCAGCGCCCGGCTGAAAACTGCCCTCAGCTTCCAATCTTGACTTTAACAAAATTTAAGGTCCAGGAAACTGAAAGTAAATTATGTTCTCCAGCTCCCTTGCACCCAGGTGATTCGATCACTTTTGCAACATTAACCTGCTCATTTCCTGTCATTCTGGTACCTCTCTGGGGATTAAGATTAGAAAGATAACGATAAGTAAGCACGCTGCTCTGTTACTGAATTCCAAGGAGGTCACAGACAGGCCAGGATGGGCTTATTCTCTCCGTTATACAAAGGGGGAACTAAGGTTCAGCAAGATGACCCGTGCCAAGTCGGGGGCTAGTCAATGGCAGAGCTGGGCTCAACCCCACGTCTGCGGCTCCCAGCCTGACTGTCTTTCCACCATCCTTAGCTCTTTGCTTAAACATTTACTCCCTGGTGCTGGAGATGTGGCCATTTAGAAGGGATGGTTTTACCAGACAGTTTTTGGGAGGTCACAGAAACCCCAGTTTCTAAAAAGGCCCTGTGGTCTCAAACAGCCACCCCTCAGCCAAGCCACTGGCTGCATGGTCCACTGCTCGCTGTCTGTGGAGGCCTCACTTGGCTCTGCGTTTTGCTTTCCTTCCTCACTGAGCAGACTCTGGCTCCTGCTACTATTCCTCCAACTGTCCTCCACCCACCTTTGCCCTCCTAGGGGGATGCTCAAATGGTCAAACCCGGATCCTCGTTGCTTGGCGAGGCCTGCATTGTCACTACACAGGCAGGGGGCTCCCAGACCCAATGCCTCACCTGGACCGTGCCCTCCTCAGCTGAGACTCCTCCATTCCATTGCCCTGGAGGAGCCGACTGTGCCAGGGTCAGCTCAGCCATGTTCCCGCTCCAGCCCAGCTGGTACACAGGATCCCCTCCCATCAGCAGCACTCG
The DNA here is from genome assembly GCF_000001405.40 of Homo sapiens. Taxonomy (NCBI): domain Eukaryota; kingdom Metazoa; phylum Chordata; class Mammalia; order Primates; family Hominidae; genus Homo; species Homo sapiens. Next base: position 32,455,557 of record NC_000003.12, on the reverse strand, counting down.
GCTCCAGATACACCACGGGTGCTGCTTCCTTAGATCATCCCAGACAGAACCCGATGCCCCGAGCTGGCCAGCAGCCACAAGAGTAGCCCCAGAGCTCCAGCTCAAAGCCCACAGGGGCTGCTTCCATTTCCGGCAACACTCAGCAGAGGCAAGGATGGGGCTGGGAGTCAGGCAGACCTAGATCCTGAGCCCAGCTCCTCACTGGCTTGCCCTGTGCCTGGGGATGGAGCCCCGATTTCATTTCTAAAAATGTGGTCCTATAACCTGCCCCCTTGCAGTCACTACCATCGCTATTAGATGTGGTTGTGAATGTAGGTCCTTGCACACGGGGTTGCTCAAACATTGTTCCATCCCTCCTTTTTCTAGCCAACTGAGCAGCTCAAGATCAGCGAAACAGCACATTTAGGCCGAGATCATTAATCATCATAGTGTAAACACAACCCTTAGCTTGCTCTAAAGCTCTTTCCAAAATGAGAAGATTGGTATTGCAGGAGAAGGAGGACGTGAATATAATTGAGAACCTGCACATGTTTACCTAAAACTCTGCCCTGCTATACTATCCCCCAAGATGGAGAGAAAACCTGAAGTCCAGCAGTTCAGCAAGGGGCACACACAGAGCACGGGTGGAGGGCCATGGGCCAGACACAAGCTCGAATGGAAACTGTTTCAGGCCAGGTTTTACAGCCTTCATCTGGTTCAATAAGAAATCCTTGTGCAACTGGCCGAGTCAATATTTTATTAAAAAACACACAAACACATGCACACTGGTAACAAAGGCAGAGATGGAGAGGAGACACAAGATCTCCTTGGGGACAGGCTGACCACATAGTGTTTCTACAGGCACGCCTCACTTCAGGAAAGAGGGTATCTCTAAGACCGGACTGACAAGCTAGATAAATTAGGACAGGGCTTTGTTTCTTAAGGCACTTCACTCCCCTGAGGAGTGAAGTAGAAGGGATTTAGGCGGGAGTATTCACAAACCCCTTCAGCTGTGCTAAGTGGGGTTCATCAGTACCTGAGGTGGTTCTAGAAGCAGGAAGGCAGAAAACATTTCCCTGGAGGCTGCTTTCCTTTCCCAGAATGGGAGGGATGTTCTCCCCGGAAGGCTGGAGGAAGAGTTTCCGGCTGGCTCAGGAGCTCAGGGAGCTGGCTTCCTGGGAGAGCAGGAAGAGGGTGCAGGCCTTTCCTGGTGCCCACCAGCCTGACAGGACTTTGGCACAGGAACACAGGTCCAGAGGCCTCGCCTGGAGTACACGTCCTCCTCTCTGCAAAGCTCCTGAGGGGCCTAGGGGTTGTGGCCTCATCAGACGGCTGCATCTTGGGAAGGAAATGGCAGTCAGGACAGCTTGCCAGGGATGTGGCCCACCCACAAGCCACACTCCACAGGTTTGACTCCAAGTTCTGCTCAGGGGGGCACCTGTGTCCTCCACCCAGTGCCGACTTGCACTGAGATTATTCCATTTTTTAAAAATACATTTCCAAACAAGGAAAAAACTTCGGTAGTGCAGAGGTGACTCCCATCCGCACTCCCCCGACCTCAGTCTTACTCCTCAGCAGCAACCTCCCAAGCCTTTTAGCCATTTCTTTTGGTGATTCTTCCATAATTCAAAAAACCAATTTATACCAATATTTATAGATTTATCCTGTTAGACACCACCTATTAACTTCTCTTTTCCCCTATATTCTCTACGTTTAAAAATCATTCTTTTTTTTCTTAAACAGCTTTACTGGGATATTTTAATAATTCACATACCATACAATTCTCCCATCTAAAGTGTTTTTCAGTATATTCACAGGACTGTGCAACCACAATTTTAGAGCCTTTTCATCACCTCAAAAAGAAGCCTCATCCTCATTAGCAGTCACACCTGAGTCCTCTCCCAGCAGCCCCAGGCCGCCATGGGTCTACCTTGTGTCTCTATGAATCTGCCTGCTCTAGACGATTCTTATTAGTGGAATCCTACACTACATGGGCTCAGTGTAGGATTCCATGAGTAATGCCCTCAAAGAGGAGGCAAGTTAAATAAACTGCACAGTCATGCGATGGACTTAATGCTGCAACCCACGGAGTTGCTAAGAATTCCTAATGATGTTGGGAAAATGTTTGGTCAGTGGCTAAGTAGGAGAAAAAACATATTATGAAACAGCACATGAAGTTTGATCCTTTTAATAAAAGCAACAGATATATATATTTTCAGAGAGAAAATATCGAAAGGATACTCAGTGCTACTTCTGGGTAGTGTGATGACAGATGGCTTTTTCTTATTTTATTTTATTTTTTAAGAGACGGAGTCTGACTATGTTGCTCAGATTGGTCTCAAACTCCTGGGCTCAGGTGATCCTCTTGCCTCAGCCACCTGAGTAGCTGGTACTATGGGTACACACCACTGTCCCTGGTTCAGACGGTTTCTATTAAACATATTTTTTATCTGTATTTTCTAAAAACCTACATTTTATTTTTGTCATTAGGAAACTTAAGAAAAAGCTGGCTGGGTGCGGTGGTTCATGTCTATAATCCCAGCACTTTCAGAGGCTGAGGTGGGAGGACTGCTTGAGCCCAGGAGTTTGAGACCAGCCTGGGCAACATGGTGAGACTCCAACTCTAAAAAAAAAAAAAAAAAAAAAAAAAAAAAAAAAATTGAAATTAGGCATGGTGGTGCACACCTGTAGTCCCAGGTACTCAGGAGGCTGAGGTTGGAGGATCACTTGAGCCTGGGAGGCGGAGGCTGCAGTGAGCTCTGATCGTACCACTGCACCAGCCTGGACAACAGGGCAAAACCCAATCTCAAAAAAAAAAAAAGAAAAGTAAAGAAAAAGAAAGAAAGGAAGCAAGAAAGAGAAAAAAGCTTGGCCACCCGAGGCTGAAATGTTAGGGCATCCTTGGATGTGTGGAGATGGGAATGTGAGGGGAGATTCTGGGGTCACATCTTCCCCTTTGCTGGCCCCTGTGCTCTAATACTACTTCTAAAGTCCCCTTGGAACACAGCCTTCTCAACAGCAGGGTTTGTCCCTATGGCTGAAGTCAAGAACAAGCCATCCCCCTGTTCCTGAGAGATCCTCTGTGCACAGATAACCAGAACTCACCTGTGGACTGGGTTACACACGAGATCTTATAGGACAGCCATATGCTTGCCATGCAGAGGAAGGTGGCCATGAAACCAAAGATCTGCAGTGGAGAGAGGGGAGAGGAAGTTCACAGGCCATAGGGCTAATTACTCGGGCAATCCTGTCTGCTTCTCATCTCTGTGCTTGTTCCCTTCATGTCTCTGGCCAGAAAGGAGCTTGGAGAGTCATCTAACCCAACCACCTCATCCTGGATCAGGTGCAGAGAGGAAGCCCCGCGAGGCCCAGCCACTGGCCCCAGTCCTCCAGGTTGGGCCAGGTCAGGGCTGGCAGCCAGGCCTCTCGGTCTTCACTCTTGGCAGCTTCAGTGCCTGGTCTGGGTTTACATTTACAAGCAAGCTGGGGCTAAGCCAATGGACTTTGATTATCCTGGACCAAAAGAGAAGAAAAGGATGAAATTTTAATTTGGGTTAAAAAAATCTGAACGTTCCCATGATTTGTGGTGTAGTGGCGTTGTTCGCATTTCATTTGTAATGACTTTCTGTTCCATTCTGGCTTCATAGCCGTATTAGAGCCAGAAGCCGAGGCCTTTACATCTAGGTTTACGTTTGTACATATTAAACAATATTAGACTCAACTAAGTCAAGGCAGCACCCTTTCCCTTTCTCAGGGTCATCCAGCGCTCAAGTGTGAGGAAGGCTGACCTAGCCCAGCCCCCTCACTTGTAGATGAGATTCGGGTGCTGGGAGACGAAGAGTGCCTGTGGGAGGCTCATCAAATGGTCGAGGAAGAGGCAGTAGCTTCTTCTGGAATCTCTGGGCTTTGAAGCCTGCAGCCATTTTCCTTGCTTGTGAACAACACCGGCAGCTGCAGTGGTGAAAACTTACTGACCACTTTACTACATCCCTACCAGGGTGTGAGGCCCTGTGGGTGTATTGATTCCTTTAACCCTCACAACTCTGCTGGGTGGGTGCTAGGATTACCCACCCTGCTCCTCCATTTCACAGCTAAAGAAACAGAGGTACAGGCGGTCATCTGTTTTGCCGAAGGCCACAGAGCCAGCAAGGGCCAGATATGGGATGGGAGCCCAGGGAGCCTGGCTCCAGAGTCCGCACTCTGCAGTACCGGGTGCCTAGGTGTTCTCAGACCCACACAAAGGCCTCCACTTCACTACACCGCCACTGGTGTCCAGTGAGAATGGCGCAGGGGCAGCTAAGGGTAGGATTTTCAACAAGGTTTGGTTTTCTTTTCAAGCCCAGATGCTGCTTTACATAAACAGCTGCCCCCACCAGCCCACATCCACTTCTTCCCCGGGTTTCTTTTCCTGGGCTCCTTTTGTACCAATTGTCTACAGCACATAATTAGCCTATTAGAGCCTGTCCCGGCCTCTCATTGTCTGTTCTGCACAATTAGCACGTTATATACCATCCCGGTCCCCAACTGTCTGCACTGCATAATTGAACAGTTTATTATATCGCTACAGAATGCTATTCTAGACTACAACGCCTTGTTTACTAATTGTTTCATGTGTCTTGTCTCCTAAGCTAGATGACCACTTTCTTATAAGCAGGGACCATATTTTAAAAATTTCTTCTAACTTCCTCATAGCCCAGGTTTGGTCCTAGGCACACAGACAGCATATGATGAATGTTAGCTATAGAGATTCCAGGGCTAAACAGTTATGTGCAACCTGAATTACTAAACACAGTGGGAATCTCCTCAAGTGGGCCCGGAAACACAGTGGGCACAGGTCTCCTGTGTGCCTCTTCCAGTACCCTGCACTGTAGCTGGGCAGGTGTTAAGCTTCAGGGGGCAACCATCCCTCTCTTCAGAGACAGCAGAGAGAGGGGGCAGAGAGGTGTGATGGTGGGCTGTGGGAGGGCCATGTGGAGCATCAGTGTTGGGAGGTTTGGCCACCCTCTACAGTGACCTTCTGCCCCCATGCTGACCTTCAGAGGAGAGACTCCATCCCTCAGTGGAATTCCAGGAGCCAACCCACTCCCAGGCCAAAGTCTGGAAAATTTTGGTAATATACGTAAGTGAAAGACAATGAATGTCACATACAGAGAGAGCTTTTCTTTTTCTCTTTTTCTTTTTTTAAGACACAGGGTCTCAGTACGTTGCCCAGGCCAGACCGAACTCCTGGGCACAAGCATTCCTGCCGAGTGCCTGGGACTACAGGTGCATGCTAGCTACCACATCTGGCTTGAGAGAGCTTTTCTCAAAACTCATTTTTAAAATCTTGTCTGCTCATCAGTGAAGCAAATCAGTGTTGGCCCACAGGCCACTGAACTATAAATAGTTAGCTAAATCAGAAATCAGATGACAGGAATCTATGAATCTTTAAAAAAATAGCATATACATCTGTATGTATATACATATATATGTATGTATATATCTCACAGGACTGTATTTTTGTATATTTCCATCTACTTCTATTTATGGCTATCAGATGGATCAATTTTTGCCTCTGAAAGATACAGGAGTATTATTTCCTGGCCTGAATACTGTTAAAAATCAGGAATGGCAAAGCTCAGGCTCATGGCATGTATCTCTAATTGATCACAGTACATTTCCCACTGGGCCCAAAAGAGGCTCCAGCATCTGTCTCTGCATAGTGCTGAGGCAGCCAACGAGCAAATGATCAGAGTGGGTGTGTGAATTAAAACCCGCCTGGCCCCCTGATTTCAGTAGTGCCTGTAAGAGAGAGAGGCCTGGGCTGCTGGGGTCTATGAATTTGCTGGCAGCCCTGACAATCCACCTTCTGGGACTGTACGCCTCTGCTTAAGGCTCTTTGGAGAGAGCTGATGGCTGGATCAAGGTAGGTATTGATTCTATGAAGGGAATGCCCCAGAAACCAAGCCCTTCTCTTCCCCCATCAGGAAGAAAATGAGCATTTTAAATAAGAATTCATTCCTAAAGGCTCCCCAAAACATCCTCACCGCTCCGGCTACCAGTCCGCTCTGGTTGTAACTCTTGGAAGCTGCCACAATGGAGGCGATGAGGAGGAGCAGGGTACCGATTAAATAGTGCAGAAGTTCCTGGGGGCAGAAACAAAGCAAATAAGTGGGTAGGGCCGTCCATTTCTGGTCCGGGAAGAGCAACTGGGCATCAGAAGACATGAAAAGAAAGGGAGAGAGTGACGCTTCCTCTTCTCCCTTGCAACACGCAAATGGGATGAGCAGAGCCGCTCGCAGGCAGCCAACATGCGGGCTGACCAGGAAGAGGCCAAGCAAGACAGAAGTGATGCCGGGCAGGCAGGAAGGGAAGAGGACAGAGAGAAAGGAAGCTTCTGGTGTGAGCAGAGATAGCCACTAAGGACTCCTCTACTCCTGAGAGCAATCTGTGGACAGTGCCTTAACCTCTGGCTAAAGCTACTAAAAAGCAAACGAGCTTCTTGCAACTTCCCGGCTGGAGAGTTTAAACAAAGCTCCAGCTCGGAGAAGCAAAGTACCTTAAAGAGATATTTGCCTTTCTCTTCTGCTTCGGAGAAAGTTCTGGGCTAACAATGTGCTGGTCTTGTGTGACTGATGGGAGTGTCAGCCCACTCTGTGAATGGCCCCAAGTGTGGACTTGAGAGGTATTCATTCCCAGGGTCCCGTCAGACTCAGACTCTAGAATGAGGTCAGTGGCACTTCTGTGAAGTGCCTGTGGATGTGTGGTGGCAGCTGGCTTTCTCACTCCTGAGCCTTCCTGCCTTTTTTTTTTTTTTTCCTGTCATTCCCTCTTCTCTTTTCTCCAGAAGAGTGCCCTCCCGGCCAAGCTCTGCCAATGAATCCACTGGCAGGACTGGTTCCACCTTTGCTTCTCGCCTTGGCCCATGGGCCATGCATTTCCACCCCACTCACTCATCATGATTAATCAGCATCCTTGCAGGCCCTGGATGAGATGGGCCTTTCAGTGGCGAGGGAAAGCTTCCATCTCACCCTTTCTCTTCCCCATTAAACATCAGATCCGAGAAGAACTGAGGCTGGGGGCCACTTCCAGTGCTTGCTCTGAATCCAGGGTGCATCCATTTTCAGTTGTCTTCAATGAGAATCTAGAAATCATTCCTTCATGAAGTTCTGCCCCTTAGGGCAGGCAGCTATTAAATTTTGGAAAAGCATTCCAATTTAAAGCTGTAGCTCCTCTCAAAGCTATGTAAAATCAAAGACCCTGGTTTCTCCCTTAGTGACTAGAAAGGAATATCACAAGATAGATCACAGAGATTTTAACTGAAGAACAGATGAGTAACTGCAAGTTCCCCACCTCCAAGATTCTCAACTATTAAGACAGAGGAGGATGACATGGGGCAGAGAAAACCAACTTGAGAGAATCCTAACCGGAAGTACTTAAATAGTATCTCAGCCAAAAATGTGTGGCTGAGTCTGTCCTTCCAACTTTCACTCCTCATGCAGCCCACTCTTGTGCTTGTCCCTGAGCTTTTGTTCTCTCCTTTGCTTGTTCAGTATCTGCATCAGGTAAGCCCCAGAGGAATTTGTTCTCAAAAGAAGCAGAAAAAAATGCCATAACTTTGAAAGGGGCCTTAGAACTTAGAAACACAAAAGAAATTTCTCTCAAAATAACAGTGGGTAATAGTGTTAAGTGTGAACAATTAAACAATCTAATCAAGATGCAGAGGTGGTCAGATTGGATTAAAAAACCAAAGCAAAACGAGAAATAACTACAGTATGTGCTGTCTATGGGAGAGAGACTTTATATTCAAAGATAAGGAAATGGCACGCAAACAACAACCAAAAGAAAGCCAGGGTGTCTACACTGCATCAGACAAAATAGAATCGAACACAAAAAAAAGTTACTAGAAATAAAGAGGGACATTTTATAACAATGAAAAGCTGAATCCGTAAGTAAGATATAACAATTATAAACGTATATGCACCTAATAAAAGAGCCAAAACACATGAAGTGAAAAATGAGAAAAATGAAGGAGAAAAACAGACAATTCAAAAATAATAGTTGGAGAATTCAATATCCCTACTTTCAGCAATGTATAGAACAACCAGGTAGAAGGTCAACAAGGAAATAGAAGATTCAAACAACACCATAAAATGACTAGACCTAAAAATCCTCTATAAAAACTCTATCCAGCAAAAGTATAATATACAAATATACAATGTATAAAAGTACATTCTTCTCAGATGTACACAGAACATTGTCCAGGATAGACGATATATCAGACCATAAAACAAACTTCAATAAAGGTAAGAAGGACTACAAAATATGTTCTCTGAACACAATGGAATCAAATTAGAAATCAAGAGCAGAGGGAAATCAGGGAAATATATAGAGATTAAACAACATATTCCTAAATAATGAATGGATCAAAGAAAAAAAATCATAAGAGAAATCAGAAAATACCTGGAGATGTATGAAAATGAAGACACAATATACCAAAATTATGGAATACAAGTAAAACAGTTATCAGAGGGAGATTTATAGCTGTAAATGCCAATATTAAAGGAGAAGGAAGGTCTCAAATTAGATGATGACCTTCCACATCATCTTAGTCTGTTTTGCGTTGTTTTAATAAAGGAATACCCAAGGCTGGGCAACAAATAAAGAAAAGAGGTTTATTTGCCTCATGGTTCTGTAGGCTGTACAAGAAGCATGGCACCTGTATCTGCTTCTGGTGAGGGCTTCAGGGAGCTTCTACTTTCTGAAGCAAAGGTGAAGGTGAGCAGGCATCACACAGCCAAGAGGAAGGAAGCAAGAGAGAGGGGAGGAAGGTGCCAGCCTCTCTTTAATAATCAGTTCTCATGGGAACTAACAGAGCAAGAACTCACTTATTACCACTAGAACAGCACCAAGTCATTCACAAGGGATCTGCCCCCATGATCCAAACACCTCCCACTAGGCCCCACCTCCAACACTGGGAATCAAATTTTAACATGAGATTTGGAGGGGACAGATATCCAAACTATATTATACATTAAGACACTAGGAAAAGAAGATCAAACTAAACCTAAGGCAAGAAGAGGAAAGAAAAAAAATAAAGATTAAAGCAACATTTATTAAGATAATAGGAAAACAATAAAAAAATCAATGAAACCAAAAGCTGGTTCTTGAAAAGATCAACAAGATTGACAAATCTTCAGCTAGATTGATCAAAGAGAAAGAGAGAGAGAAGATGCAAACGAAAGAGGAAACATTACTACTGCACTTACAGAAATAAAAAGAATGTAAGAAATACAATAAACAATTGCATGCCAATAAATTCAATGACTTAGATGAAATGGACAAATTCCTAGACATATATACTACTAAAATTGACTCCAGAATAAATGATGCAATCTGAAAAGATGGTAAAATTAGAGTTCGAATTAACAATAAAAAAAATTACCCACAAGAAAAGCTGAGACCCAGTGTCACTGCTAAATTCTACCAAATAGTTAAGGAATAATTAATACCAATTCTGCACAAACTCTTTCAAAAGATAAAAAAGGAGGGAATATTTCCTAAATTATTCTGTGAGGCCAGTATTAACTTGATACCAGAACCAGATGGACATCAGAAAAAAAGAGAACTACAGACCAATATCTCTTTTAAATACAGATGCAAAAAATCCTCAACAAAATATTAGCAAACTGAATATACCAGCATATAAAATGGGTTATACATTATGGCCAAATGGAATTTACCCCAGGAATGCAAGGTTGGCCCAACATATACAAACAAACCAGGCCAGGTGTGGGGGCTCATGCCTGTAATCGCCACACTTTCAGAGGCCGAGGAAGGAGGATCACTTGAGCCCAAGAGTTCAAGACCAGCCTGGGCAACATAGGGAGACCTTATCTCTACCAAAAACAAAAAAAAAATTAGCCAGGCATGGTGGTGCACACTTGTGGTCCCAGCTACTCAAGAGGCTGAGGTGGGAGGATCGCTTGAGCCTGAGAAATAAAGGCTGCAGTGAGCCATAATTATACCACTGCACTCCAGCCTGGATGATAGACCAAGATCCTGTCTAAAAAAACAAAACAAAAAAAACAAAAAACAATGTAAGACACCATACTAATAATGGGAGAAAAACTCATCACCTCAGTAGATACGGAAAAAGCATTTGACAAAATCTAATACTCTTTTATGATAAAAACACTCAACAAAGTAATGCTAGAAGGGAACTTCAACTTGATAAAGGGCTTCTACAAAACACTCACACCCAATGTTATATTTAATGATGAAAGAAGGAATGCTTTCCTCCTAACATGAGGAAAAAGATAATGATGGCTGCTCTGCCATTTCTATTCAATATTTGTCTAATTTAGTCAACTAATTTCTTGCAATAAGGCAAGACAATGAAATAAATGGCATCCAGATTATAAAGGAAGAAGTAAAAATATCTCTATTTGCAGATCATGTTTACAGAATATCCTATGGAATCCACTAAAAATATATTAGAAAAATATATTAGAACTACTAAGTAGTTCAGCACAGTTGAGGACACAAATCAATATGCAAAAAGTAATTGGATTCCTATGCACTTGCAATGAACAATCTGGAAATAAAATTAAGAAAAAAATTGATTTAAAATAGCATCAAAAAGAATAAAATGCTCAGACACAAATTTAATTTAAAAAGTTCAGGCCAGGCACAGTGGCTCATGCCTGTAGTCCCAGCATTTTGGGAGGCTGAGGCAAGAGGATTGCTTGAGCCCAGGAGTTTGAGGATGCAGGGAGCTATGATCTTGCCACTGCACTCCAGCCTGGGTAACAGAGCAAGAACCTGTTTCAAACAAAGCAACAAACAAAAAACACTTTTACTCTGAAAACTACAAAACATTGAAAGAAATAACAGATTATCTAAAAAAATGGAAAAACTTCCCATGTTCATGGATAAGACAATATTATTAGGATAGCAATATTCTCCAAATTGATCTATGGATTCAACATAATTCCTATTATAATCCCAGCTGATTTTTGTAGAAATTGAAAACCCGATTCTAAAATTCACATGGAATTGTAACGATCCAAATCAATCCTAAAAAAGAAGAATAATTGGGAGGCTGCATATTTGCTAGTTTTACAACTTACTACAAGGCTACAGTAATCAAAATAGTGTGATAATGGCATAACGACAGACACATAGATCAATGGAATAGAATTGAGAGTCCAGAACTAAATCCATGTATTTAATGGTCAACTGATTTCAACAAGGGTGCCAATGCCATTCAATGGGGGAAAGAATAGTCTTTTCAACATATGATGCTGGGATAATTGGATATCTACATGCAATAGAATGAAATTGAACCCTTACCTCACACCCTATGCAAAAAACATTAACTCAAAATGGATCAAATACCTAAATGTATAAACTAAAACTATAAAACTCTTGGAAGAAAACATAGAAGTAAATTTTCACAATCTGAATTTGGAAATGGCTTCTTATATGTAAGAAAAGCGTGAGCTAAAAAAGAAAAAAAATAAATAAACTAAATTTATCAAAATTAAAAACTTGTGCTTTAAAGGACACCATCAAAAAAGTGAAAAACATCAGAATGGGAGAAAATATTTTCAAGTCATATAGCTGATAAGGGACTTTTATCCAGACTATAGAAGGAATTCTCACAACTCAATAATGAAAAGACAAATAACCTAATTAAAAAATAGGCAAAGGACTCGAATAGACATTTCTTCAAAGAAAATATACAAATGGCCAAAAGCACATGAAAAGATGATTAACATCATTAGTCACTGGAGAAATGAAAATCAAAACCACAGGAAATAACACTTTACACTCACTAGAATGGCTGGAATCAGAAAGTCAGATAATAAGTGTTGGCAAAGATGTTGTGAAACTGGAACCTTCATACACTCCTGGTGGGAATGTAAAACAGTGAGCCACTTTGGCATACAGTCTGGCGGTTCCTCAAACAATTAAACACAAAGTGACCATATGACTCAGTAATTCCCCTCCTAGATACATACCAGAGAAAAATGAAAATATGTCCACACAAAAAACTTGTATATGAATGCTCATAGCAGCATTATTCATAATAGCCAAAAGGTAAAAACAACCCAAAGGTCCACTGAAGATGAATGAAAAACAAAATGCAGTCTGGTCTATCCACACAATGGAATAAAATTTGGTTATAAAAAGGCTGGCATGGTGGCTCATGTCTGTAATCCCAGCACTTTGGGAGGCCAAAGTGGGAGGATTGCTTAAGGCCAGGAGTTTGAAACCAGCCTGGGCAACACAATGAAACCTCATCTCTGTAAAAAAAAAAACACAAAAATTATCCAGGTGTGGTGGCATGCACCTGTAGTCTCAGCTACTCGGGAGGCTGAGGTGGGAAGATCACCTGAGCCTGGGAGGTTGAGGCTGCAGTGAGTCGCGATCACGTCACTGCACTCTAGCCTGGGTGACAGAGTGAGACCCTGTCTCTAAAAAGAAAAAAAGGAATGAAATACTGATACCTGCTACAACATGGATGAACCATGAAAACATTCAGCTAAGTGAAAGATGCCAGTTACAAAAGACCACATATACAATTCCATTTACATGAGACGTTCAGAGTAGAAAAATTTTAGAGACAGAAGATTAGTGATTGCTTAGGACTGGAGGGATGAGTGGTAGGGAGGTGACAGCTAAAAGGTATGGAATTTCTTTCTGAAATGATGAAAATGTTCTCAAGTTGACTGTAGTAATGGTTGGACAACTCTGGAAATATACTAAACTCCATTGAATTGTACCCTTGAAATGGGTGAACAATACGGCATATGAACTGCATCTCAATGAAGCTTTAAAAAATAATACAGTGGGAAGAAAAAGTCTGGCAACTTCTGACTGTCTCCTCAGCCCCCACTAGTCTCTTTTAGCCAGAAAATCCTATCATTCAATCCTCACAACAGCATCAATACCCATCATCTTCACCTACAATTTCCTTCCGTGTTCCTTTTCCCAACTCATACACACACAGCCATTCTCTGTTGCTTGAGAAAGTAAGCATGGGGCAATAGCCACAGCCTTCTTCTTTTTTTTTTTTTTTTTTTTTTTTTTTTTGAGAGGAGTCTCGCTCTGTCACCCAGGCTGGAGTGCAGTGGCTCGATCTCGGCTCACTGCAAGCTCCGCCTCCCGGGTTCACGCCATTCTCCTGCCTCAGCCTCTCTGAGTAGCTGGGACTACAGGCACCCGCCACCACGCCCGGCTGATTTTTTGTATTTTTTAGTAGAGACGGGGTTTCACCGTGGTCTCGAACTCCTGACCTCGTGATCCGCCCGCCTCAGCCTCCCAAAGTGCTGGGATTACCAGCGTGAGCCACCGCGCCCGGCCAGCCACAGCCTTCTTGTAGCTGGAAAGTGAGTTTTAAAAACCAGCAGGACATCAAGCAGAGATGTCCACCAAACAATAGGAAATTCAGGGCAGAGGCAGCAAAGAATGGTTAAAGAGGTGAGATGGGCAGACGGGAAAAACTCTGTCAGGTCTCAGTACTCTAGCTAACATCCTGACTTGTGCATGCGGAGGACAGGGCCAGACCACTCTCTTACCGACAGGGGCCAGCTGATACAGGTGAGCACGCGGTAGAAGCGGAAGAGGTGGACCAGGTAAAAGGCGAGGATCATTATCAAGTCGCAAATGGTGACCACTTCAAAGTAGCTGTAGGCGCTGTAGTTGGTCCACAGGGAGCTCCGCACACAGATGAAGGCAATCAGCAGGGTGACCTGCCACATAAATAGAGACATCAGAGAAATGCTTGCCCAAGACGGGCACCCAGGGAACAAACAACGGAAAACAACCAAGCATCCCCCAGCAGGCCCACATTGAAGAACTGCTATTAATACAATTCAGGTTATTTCCATACACACTGGCTGGAAGGTTGGAAGACTGCAACTTCATGTGGTACACACTTTGAAACTACTGTCTGTGAACACTGATGACAGCAGAGACTGACTTCGTCCTCTCTGAAGTTTGTTAGATTGTGCCAGCGGGAAGCCCCCTCAGAAGAAGCAGGAAAACAAGAAAATAACAAAGCAGAACCATCCCTTTCATCTGCTGGATATCCATAGAGCAAAGAGGACAGCGTGATGGTGACCTGGGGTTTACATATTAGGCCCAATTGTACGAAGTTGCCAATATTTGATGGTTTTTGACCTACAAAGATGGTAATTCATACCTTACAGCTATCAACTGACAGATAACAAGTTACCATTTACTGATGTCTGACATACGTGATCTCGCTAAGGCCATGCAGAACCCTGCCAGGTAGACAAAATCATCCCCATGTTCATAAGGGGAAACGGAGGCATGCAGGTTCAATCATCAGTCCAAGGCTATCTGGCTTGTAAGCAGAAGTGGGATTTGAATCCAGGTCTGTCTGACTCTAAGGACCATGTTCCTCCATGTCAGATGCAGTTCTACCTCCCAAAAGTGTAAGCTCTGATCATAACAAGCCGAGAAAGGTGGACGGGTTCTCAACCATGCAGGAATCCTGTTTAAGAGGTGAGGCTGCTCACCATCAGGGCATGTGGTGAGAGCTCACTAAGAAATATCTCAGCACGAGTGAACATGCTTAACGGCCTGCTACTGAATTAATAACCAGATGAAAACTATTAGCAATGCATGAGTACAAGAAAGTAGAATGAGTAACAGTCTGAGCTTCCGTGAAGGCCAAAGAGAAAACCTGTCTACTCCATGTAGGGAACAAACCAGTAACACACGGGATTCAATGTGTGTAAAATCTTAGAATCTACTTATTTATTTAGTTATTTAGTTTTTGTTTTTCTGAGATAGAGTCTGGCTCTGTTCCCCAGGCAGGAGTGCAGTGAACCAATCTCAGCTCACTGCAACCTCTGCTTCCTGGGCTCAAGTCATCCTCCCACCTTAGCTTCTCAAGTAGCTAGGATTACAGGCGTGTGCCATCATGCCTGGCTAATTTTCATATTTGTAGTAGAGACGGGGTTTTGCCATGTGGCCCAGGCTGGTTTCAAACTCCTGAGCTCAAGCAATCCCCCTGCCTTGGCCTCCCAAAGTGCTGGGATTATGGACGTAAGCCATTGTTTCCAGCCAGGAATCTATTTAAAATGCACAACCAATTTAGAAAAAAGATTATTTTATACACTGCCTCTCTCCTATGGAGGAGTGATTCTTTTTTTTTTGAGATGGAGTCTCACTCTGTTGCCCAGGCTGGAGTGCAGTAGCATGATCTTGGCTCACTGCAACTCTGCCTACGAGATTCAAGCGATTCTCTTGCCTCAGCCTCCAGAGTAGCTGGGACTACAGGTATGCACCACCATGCCCAGCTAATTTTTGCATTTTTAGTAGAGAGGGGGTTCCACCATGTTGGCCAGACTGGTCTTAAACTCCTGAACTCAAGTAATCTGCCTGCCCCAGCTCCCCAAAGTGCTGTGATTACAGGTGTGAGCCACCACGCCTGGCCAGAGCAGCGAGTCTTAAAGTGTGTGTGTGTGTGTGTGTGTGTGTGTGTGTGTGTATGCGTGTGGTGTTAGTGTATGGGTGTGTTAGCGTATGGGTATATGATTTTGTGTCCTATGGGACATTTGGCAATGTGTGTATATATTTTTGGTTTACACAATTTGCGGGGATGGGGGTTGCTACTGGCATTTAGTGGGTAGAGGCCCAGGGTGCTGCTAAGCACCCTGCAATAAATAGGAGAGCTCCCATAGTAAAGAGTTACCCATCTCCAGCCCCAAATGTGGCCCCTCAACTACAGTACTACTGTTGAAAAATTCTGCTATAGAAAATGTCAGTCTACAATGAGAATTAAATCACAAAATGGGGCCTGGTGCATGCCTGGCATCCCAGGCTCACGCCTGCAATCCCAGCACTTTGGGAGGCCAAGGCGGGTGGATCACCTGAAGCCAGGAGTTTGAGACCAGCCTGGGCAACAAGCAAGACCCTGTCTCTACAAAAAATACAAAAACTAGCTGGGCGTGGTGGCATGCACCTGTGGTCTCAGCAACTTGGGAGGCTGAGGTGGGAGGATCAATTGAGCCTAGGAGGTTGAGGTTGCAGTGAGCTATTATCACGTCACTGCACTCCAGCCTGCAAGACAGAGTGAAAGTCTGTCTCTAAAAAAATAAAAATCAAATCAAATCACAAAATGGATCTTACTCCAGTTAAAACAGTTGATGCTGAAATGCTCTTATTTTCTAAAGCCCCTTGTTGCTAGCCCACTATCAAGATCCTCAGCAATAGGTACAACAGCTAAAAGAGAACTCTCAGCTGGAAGCTTGAAGCAGGTATGGAGAGTGCTCTGCTTACCAGATCGAAACAGAAGAGTGTGGCTGTGACACAAAGAGTCCCTCAACATTTGTGTATTTCCCTTTGCTAATGAGCAACGCAAGTGTTTTCATTTTTTCGGTTCCTCTGAAGCTAGCCAGCCATGGTGATATAATGATTCACACCTCTGCCTTACTCAGGAGTGTGCATGATCGCCAGGGCTTTGCTGCTACGTTAGTCTTACTTCCAGGCCACATCTACATGGGGAAGTCTAGGGGTCTTCCCAGCCCCACAATGACCTCCTCAAGAACTCAAGTATCATTATTCAAGGCATGACTGAAAATGCAGATAATGTGGGATTATGCAGCGTGATTCCTAGGTAGAGAGGCAATTTTGCATCTAGTTTAATGCAGAGATTAAAATAATTTTCCAACTCGTCGTTGAAGACAAAGTTAGCTCTTTTTCATGGTGACACAGGGATGTGGAAGTTTCCCAGCCAACAAAAGGGGCCTGTGCAGGTCAGGTCTTCCTGCTCTGAGCCTCCAGGGCTGAGTACTGTGTAGTAGGAAGTACATTCCTGCTCTATCAGAAACATCTCGAACCTTTCTGGGAAACTTGCTCATGAAATAACACTTTCTGAATTCGGTTCACTGGGCCTATGGCCATCTACCATATGACTTTCTTTAGGAAAGCCCAATTTTAGAAAATCTAATTTAGCCAGAGTATGGTGTGTGCTTATGCGTGCTCCTAAAAGCTTCCTTTTTGCCCAGGGATTCATTCATTCCAACTTTAAATAGCCAGCATCTTAGCCAGCATATTAAGTTAAAAAAAAAAAAAAGATTTGACTGACATCAAACTTTTCAGAAATTCTTCTAAAGCCAGTAGGTAACTTCTGCAAATGCTGGGGCCCCCTGAATTATTTAGAAGCTTAATTCCTGGGTGACAAAATAATCTGTACAACAACCCCCTCCCATGACACAAGTTTACCATATAAGAAACCTACACAAGTACCCCTGAACTTAATATACAAGTTAAAAAAGAAAGCAAAGGTGAAGTGGAAGAAAGAACAAGACAATAGTGGGGAAAAGGCGCTGGGGTGTTTATCCCTGCCCTCCTCCCGCCAGCTCCAACCCTCTCAGGTGTCTTCGTGTTCCCAGTTAGAAAAGCAAATGCACAAACACGCCTGAATTCAGAGAGGACTGGAGGTAGGGGTTCTGACTTCAGGACGGAGTGAAGCAGCTGGGAGGCTCCTGGAAGACAGATGTTTCTGTGTAGAGTAACTTCAAAGTGATGCTGTCCAAAGGGTTCACTTGCCTCTTAAGGTGCCTTCTAGCTCCTCTCGTAACGGTTTGTTCTTTTATATTGAACTGTCATAAAAATAAAATATCTAACATAAATGTCCAGGGGTTTATTTTATTTATTTTATTTTTTTGAGATGGAGTCTCACTCTGTCGCTAGGCAGGAGTGCAGTGGCAACATCTCAGCTCACTGCAACCTCCACCTCCCTGGTTCAAGGGATTCTCCTACCTCAGCCTCACAAGTAGCTGGGATTACATGTATGCGCCACCATGCCCAGCTAATTTTTGTATTTTTAGTAGAGACAGGGTTTCACCATGTTGGCCAGGAGAGTCTCGATCTCCTGACCTTGCGATCTGCATGCCTTGGCCTCCCAAAGTGTCGAGAGTACAGGCGTGAGCCACCGCGCCCGGCCTATTTTTTTCTTTTGAGACAGAGTCTCACTCTGTCACCCAGGCTGGAGTGCAGTGGCGCTATCCCCACTCACTGCAACCTCTGCCTTCTGGGTTCAAGCGATTCTCCTGCCTCAGCTTCCTGAGTAGCTGGGACTACAGGTGTGCACCACCACGGCCGGCTAATTTTTATATTTTTAGTAGAGACAGGGTTTCACCATATTGGTCAGGCTGGTCTCGAACTCCTGACCTCAAGTGATCCACCCGTCTCAGCCTCCCAAAGTGCTGGGATTACAGGTGTGAGCCACGGTGCCCAGCCATGTCCAGGGGTTTAAAAGTAACACTGCAAGAGCCCTCAACTCAAAGCAAGGGTCCCACAGACCAGCCATGATACCACAGAATCACTGGAATTAGAATTCCAGATAAGAAACATCACTCCCTGGAACCTGTGTCCTTTCTGACTCCATTCTGTCAGAATTCTTACTAGAAAGAAGACATGATTTTTTGGAAGGAGCAGAGGGTTTAAATTTCACAAGAGATGAAGGAAGCTGACATGATCTGAGAAAAGTGATGGTCCCCTGAGGACTCTGGAACCAAACTAGTCTGGTTGCAGCTTGAGTGTACACCCGCAACCAGCCAGGTGCCAGAAAGTTTGCCCAGGTTCTCAGCCTGGCTGAGCATCCTTCCAGAAAGAAATGAGATTTTGAGGTCTACGATGAAAAATCTCTACAGAAAACTCAAGAGGCAGTTTTCAAGAGACGTCGGCTTCTGATTGGGCTGGGGAGGTGTCTGGTGGTCTCAGGACCCTGTCTCCTGCCACCCATGCTTGGGAACATTTCCTCAGCAGACCTGAGCCCTCGTGCCTCTGCCAAGTCTGGTCCACTGAGTGTGCCTGTGTCTGGCTAAAGATGGCACCAGACACCTTTCCTTTTGGAAGCCCTGGACTGGATGCTGGTAGGTCACCCAACCCCACTGTCCCTGCATCTGACCTTGGAATGATACTTCAGTGAGAGAAAGCAGGAGCAGGAGAAGTAACTGATGAAAGCTAACATCAAAAGCCTCAGACCCAACTCTAAGAGGCTTTCCAGGAAATCCCCAGGAGATGAAAGCCAGGCTTGTTCAGAAAGTCAGAGATGCAGATGAGGATGCAGTGCCTGGAACCTGCATTTGTAAATGTTAGTGGGCCCATAAATGACTGCTTGGCAGTGGCAGACAGGAAGAGGAATGTGGTATGCTCCCAACTTTGGCTGAATTTTGCACTGAGTGTAAGGAGATTCACCCGTGCCTCCCTGTTAAAGTCACCATCATCTAATAGCCTTTGTGCAATCTCATTGACACCCACTGGCTGAGAAACCTGCCCCATGGCTTCCTCTAGGTCCTGTCTCACTCACCAACATCAGAATCTTGCTCCAGAGTCCTGCCCATGCTCCTATTCCCCCCAGCACATAGTTTTGTTTTGTATCTATAAATGAAAATGCCATAGAAACCCAAGGGAGGGAGAATAATCTAGGAAATATGTCCGGGGTCCTGAGCTCCAGGCCTTGGGCAGCTCAATGATGCACCACTGGTTTCTGAATGTAACTGCACAGCAGAGTCACCTGTTTGCAGCATACCGAAAACCAGATTCTATGTTTGTCCATGCTGGGGGTAATTCTGGAAGGACACATAGGAAGCTGGTAACAGCACTTGCCTCTGGGGAGGGGAAGTGATATTTAGTAGTTTTAAAATCCACTTGTTTTGTTTTCTTATATTGTAAGAATCACATATTAAGTTTCAAAAAAGCAGTTTTAAAATGATACATCTTAGAGATCTTTAATGTCATACAAATATAATTTTACCTTTTTCTTTTCATTGGCTATATAGTATTCCCCAGTATGGCAGTGGCTTTATTTAACCCAGGGTTTCTCAACCTTGGCATTACTGACATTCGGGGCTGGATAATTCTTTGTTGTAGGTGGCTGTCCTATAGGTGGTCTTATCACAGCATCCTGGCCTTTACCTACGAGATGCCAGCCTTTACCCACTGCCCACTTACAACAACCAAAAATGTCTCTAGACATTGCTGTAGGTCCCCTGGGGGGCAAAATTGCCTCTGGTGGAGAATGACCTACTTAATCTTTTATTGGTGGGCATTCAGCACATCTCCAGTTTTTCATTAATACAAACAGCGCTGCAAAGAATTAGATGTACTTCTTTGTATCTGTATGA
Organism: Homo sapiens; assembly: GCF_000001405.40. Taxonomy (NCBI): domain Eukaryota; kingdom Metazoa; phylum Chordata; class Mammalia; order Primates; family Hominidae; genus Homo; species Homo sapiens. Next base: position 32,435,425 of record NC_000003.12, on the reverse strand, counting down.
ATATTTCTTTCTTTTTTCTTTTGAGATGGAGTCTCTCCCAGTCGCCCAGGCTGGAGTGCAGTGGCACAAGCTCCGCTCACTGCAAGCTCTGCCTGCCGGGTTCACACCATTCTCCTGCCTCAGCCTCCCGTGTAGCTGGGACTACAAGCATGCACCACCACGCCCGGCTAATTTTTTTGTATTTGTAGTAGAGATGGGGTTTCACCGTGTTGGCCAGGATGGTCTCGATCTCCTGACCTCGTGATCCACCCGCCTCGGCCTCCCAAAGTGTTGAGATTACAGGCGTGAGCCACCGTGCCTGGTCTCTGTATGAATATTTCTGATAGACTCCTAGAAGTGAAATTACTGAGTGAAAGCATATGCACGTTTAAGATTTTGTTGTTTATTACCAAAATGTTATCCAAAAGAGATACCTGTCTCCCTCCACAGGGAATCTTGCCAACACAGATTAACAGTATTTAAAAAGAATGGAAATAGTATCGTACTATTTAAATTTTCATTTCCTTAATTACTAGTGGATTGGATATCTTTTCATATGTTTATTGGCTACTGCCTTTTCACGTTCTTGGCCTAATTTTCTATTGCTTCCATTTTTATTATGGATTCAAAGAACTCTTTATATTCTAAATACTAACTTACTTAGTCTCTTATAGACATTGCAAATATATTCTCTCCATCTCTCATTTGCCTTTATTTTTAGTCTTTTGTTTGACTAAAGTTAAAAGTTTTTATACAGTCAAATCTATGCATCATTTTTTATAGTTTCTGGGTTTTGTGTCTTGTTTTCTATCTCAAAATTACTTAAAAAAAAAAAAAAAAGAAAAGAAAAGAGGCAATAGGTGTAATCTCAGTGCTTTGGGAGGCCAAGACAGGCAGGAGGATTACTTGAAGCCAAGGGTTCGAGACCAGCCTGGGCAACATAGTGAGACCCGCATCTCTACAAAAAAAAAAAATTTTTAAAATTGGCCAGGCATGGTGGTATGCACCTGTAGTCCCAGCTACTCAGGAGGCCGAGGCTGGAGGATCACCTGAGCCTAGGAGTTAGAGGTTGCAGTAAGCTGTGATTGGGCCACTGCACTCCAGCCTGGGTGACGAAGTGAGAACCTAATTCATAAATAAGTAAAATAGTCCCCTACATTAAAAATAAATATTTGCTTCCTTTAAAAATATACATACAATTTTTAGTTCTTTAGTCATCTGGGATTTATTTTTGTATTATTATTGTTATTATTTTTTGAGACGGAGCTTCACTCTTGTTGCCCAGGCTGGAGTTTAATGGCATGATCTCGGCTCACTGCAACCTCTGCCTCCCAGGTTCAAGTAATTCTCCCACCTCAGCCTCCCACGTAGCTCGGATTACAGGCACCCACCACCAGGCCCAGCTATTTTTTTTGTATTTTAGTAGAGATAGGATTTCACCACGTTGGCCAGGCTGATCTCAAACTCCTGACCTCAGGTGATTCACCCGCCTCGGCCTCCCAAAATGCTGGAATTATAGGTGTGAGCCACTGCGCCCAGCCTGGGATTTATTTTTGTAGATGGCATGAACTAGGGCAAATAGTAGGGTTCTGATTGTATCCAATCAGTCAATCGATTGTATTAACCTATCTTCTGGACAGCTCACTTTTTCCCCATTGGTTGAAATGCCAACTTCAACACTGGGTGAATGAATGGTTCCTGGGCTCATCCTGCCATCCTCTGTGACAGCTCCATGACACTCTTGCATTTAAAAAGCCCATCTCCTTCCTTCACTGGTCTGTAGGCCTTTAGGAGAGAACCATGCTGTGTTTTTGCCAAACATCAATTAGGGACCCAGCACAAGGTCCCTTGTGACCAGGAGAAGAGGTGACTTTTGGAGGCTGCCCTCAGAACATCTTTACACTTGGTAGAATGTACTCATCAAATGCCCCCGGAGGGTGCCATTCAGGCTCTCCAGGCAGACTACCAGGGTGTGGCTGTGATGTAGGGATTCAGGTTCCAGATTCTTGGCTCGTGATGGGGCCAGAACATTCTCTGCTTGTTATTCAAGCCAGGCCATGTTCTTTTCATCCCCAACCGATTTCTCACAACAGGTGCAGCCCAGACCGATGGTCTGTACCACAATCACATCACTGATTCACCACCGTACTTCACTGGCAAAGGTCATCAGGATCACATTTAGAAAGTTCGGGCTAGAAAGCTCAACTTGTCAAAAATGTCACTGCATCCAAAAGGGCAAGAAGCAAAATTGACACTTATTGTGTAGCAAACCTGGTGGTTTGGTGCTTGTGTTGAACTGAACTGAAATCACAAATTTTGGTTTGCAACAAGCAATGGTTTTTCTCTAGCTTGTTTCTCTTTCAGTGTCTGACGCAATTTCCTGGTTTCTTTTGGGGCTGACTAAATTTCAAGACTGCAAAAAGAGCATTTTCTGCTGCTCACTCTTGTCATCACTACAGGAGGACATAATTCTTTAGATAGGCATGGGAGCGAAAGGACGGGGCTGTGGACGGTCATCTCCACAAGAAAATCCCTGGAGGAGTAGGTCATCAGAGGGGACCAAGGGCAGCTGACACAATGTGGGGATGGCACAGGGCATTGAGGGTTGAACCCCAAAGAGAAGGGTATCTGCTATGGCTATCAGCATGAATCCTAGGATGACAAGAAGAGCAAAAGTAATCACTAACCCTGATTGTACGCTCACCGTGCACCAAGCTCTATGTGCCTTACATCTGTGTGGCCATCTTATCCTCACAAGCTTACAAGGTAGGCACTATTACTCTCCTCACTGTACAAAAAGGAAGGTGAGACACAGAGACATTGAGTGATTTGAGCTGATCCTACAACTAGTGCATCCGGAGCCAGAGCTGGGACCCAGGCAGCCCGGCTCAGCAGGCACCTCTTCAGGGCTGCTGCCTCTTGTTGCCATAGCAATGATGTCCCGCACCATAGAGGCTGTGGCTCCAAAGGGTACCCCAGCCTCACCACTGGTTATTGACATGTGGTCACCAAAAGTGAACAGCATAGAGAGGAATGGGCGGGGAAGATGTCTGGGGGTCAGGGCCATGGGAACCCCCAGGGGTGAAGGAAGCACTCGCTGAGGCAGGGCAGAAGGTATGGAAGGCCAGGAAGTGATTTGGGAAGCCTGTGGTGGGAGGAGGCAAGTGGAGTGGCAACCATCTACTGAATACCCGCTAGGTACCAGGCAGTGCAATGCTGGTACATTTAATCCTCACAACTGTGGCCAGGTGGCACTCTGCCCAATTCACAGATCTAAAGAAAGTGAGAACCAAGGGCAGGTCACTTGCCCAAGGAAGATCACCTAGATGGCAAATGGTGGAACCAAGAAGCAAATCCAGGTCTATCTGAATCCAAGGCTCAGAAGAGGGAGCATATCCCAGAGGGAGGCCTCAAGAAGCGAGCTTGGGCTGAAACAACTCGGTGGTTTGAGCTTGTACCCACCCCCAGGGTAGGAGGTGTCTCCTCTGAAGTCAGCAATGTTGACCGGGCTGGTCTTGAACTCCTGGCCTCAAGTTATTTGCTCACCTCGGTCTCCCAAAGTGTTGGGATTACAGGCGTGAGCCACTGTGCCCGGCCTGAAATTTTTAACTAAGTTCATCACAACAGTCCTAGGAGGTAAGTACTACTATCATCTTTTTATGTGGAAACTGAGGCACACAAGGTCAAGTAATTTGCTCAAAGTCACACAGCCAGGTTAAGGAGCCAGGCCTGGGACCCTGGCCTGCAGCTGCAGAGTCCTTGTTCCTAACCACTATGCTGCTCCATTGCAGGCTGCACTTGCTTGTATACAGAGCCCCCTGTCCCAGCTTCTGGCCTCTGTTTTCAGTCGAGGGCCTAAATTCTGTCTGGTCCCACCTGGGAGTGAGCACTGAGAGCTGGGTGACAGAAGGCAAGTCCATAGTTTAACACTGCCTCAGATTCCCTCACACTGGCCAGCAGGGCTCTGGGACTCCAACTCACAAGGCTCAGCCCATTAGATATGTTGCTCATGTCAAGTCTCTTGCTTAAAAAAAAAAAGTGTTACTCCAATTATAGAATCAATACTTGCTCATTATAGAAATTAATTCAGGCAGGTGTCTATTTAAGAAAACAAAAATTACCCATAATGCTACTCCTCAGAGATAACCACCTCCCCTGGCATTTCGAGGTATTTCTTTCCATGTTTGTATGTTTCAAGCACATACGTACTATTTCCTCTTTTCAAAAACGGGATCATACTGTACATATAGTTTTATCCTCTGCCTCTTAAAAAGACATTTTCTCATTTGTAGGTGCCACTCAATTCAATCATTCTGCTTCAAAGCCCTTATCACTGCCCAGGAAGTTGTATATTTTACCTGTCTGCTTACTGTCTGTCACCCCTGAACGTAAGTTCCATGATGATCTGTTGTGTTCACTGTTGTTTTCCCATGCCAGAAACCTTGAATGGTATATTGGTTCTCCATAGATATTTGCTGAATAAGTGAATGAATGAACAAATGCAATTTTATATCCTTTTATGGCCCAGGCATTGTGCTAGGCGATGTTCTTACTCCCTCTCCACGTACTGTCTAGAGGAGAGGTGAGTAAAGAAACACAAAACCATCACCCTGGTGCAAAGTCTTATCTCTAACACGTGGGATGACAGCAGCACGTTCACTCTCTCCTGTCCATCCTGAAACAAGTAGGGGCTTTACACTCAGAAGCAAAGGGTCATCAGGAGAGCTGTGTCACACACACACACACACACACACACACACACACATTCAGATGTAGATCAGGCCAGAATGATGCTTCAGTTGGAGACAAGCAGGCTACTAAGCGCACATCCCATCGAGGCTGCCTCTGACCCACTGCATCATCAACTGTGTGTACAGTCTGACCTTAAGTGCACACAGCAGAGACTACATGGATTCACTGTGGTGTCCCTAGTGCCCAGCACATAGTAGGATGTCAATAAGTCATGTAGAACTGAATCTGGGGTTGAATCGAATTCTCAACAGTAAAAATGGCCAGCAGGCTCAGTGCAGGCTCTCTGGGGTTTGTAATAGGGAGCAGCCCTGAACACATGTGATTTTATAAAGGCATAAGCAGAATGGGGATGGCCTGAGCAGGCACCGCCATGACAAGCAGACACGCTGGCCAGCAATTTATACACATTATGTAATGATTGCAGATGAGATGAAACAGCGCAGGATCTGCTTCACAACAATATGGGAGCAAACAAGTACGAGGGATCTTTTGGGGGGGGTGTGACAGAAGTGTCAAAAATTGGATTACAGTGATGGCTGCACAACTCTATCAGTTTACTAAAAATCACTGAATTGCACACACTTAAAAAGAACGACTCTTTTGATATTAAGTTGTATCTCAATAAAGCTGTTAAACAATAACATGGCAGTGGAACCACAGCTCCACAAGGACTGACCATGAGTTGATGATTGTTGTAGTCGGGTGACAGGTACACAAGTGTTCACTGTGCTATTCTCTCTACTTTTGTGCATAGCTGAAATTTTCCATAAAACATTTTTTTAAAAATACACTGCTCGGCTGGGCGCAGTGGCTCATGCCTGCAATCCCAGCAATTTGGGAGGCCGAGGAGGGTGGATCACAAGGTCAGGAGATCAAGACCTTCCTGACTAACACAGTGAAACCCCGTCTCTACTAAAAATACAAAAATTAGCTGGGTGTGGTGGCGGGCGCCTGTAGTCCCAGCTACTCGGGAGGCTGAGGCAGGAGAATGGCGTCAACCTGGGAGACAGAGCTTGCAGTGAGCCAAGATCGCGCCACTGCACTCCAGCCTGGGCGACAGAGTGAGACTCCGTCTCAAAAAAAAAAAAAAAAATACACTGCTCCAGCCAGCCGTGATGGCTCACGCCTGTAATGCCAGCACTTTGGGAGGCCAAGGCAGGTGGATCACTTGGTCAGGAGTTTGAGACCAGCCTAGTCAACATGGTGAAACCCTGTCTCTACCAAAACATAAAAATTAGCTAGGTATGGTGACGCATGCCTGTAGTCCCAGCTACTCGGGAGGCTGAGGTGGGAGGATCACTTGAACCCAGGAGGTGGAGGTTTCAGTGAGCCGAGATCATGCCACTGCACTCCAACCAGGGTGACAGAGTGAAACCGTATCTCAAAAAAAAAAAAAAATACACTACTCAATAAGCTTAGAGAAAGAATTAACAGTCATTAAGACAAAAGAGGGGAGGGGGAAAAAAGGATTCAGATTTGCAGTCATCACTCTTCCCATAAAGGCATGAGAGGAAGTTGTGAAATTATTCTTTTTATTTTTAAAACTATAAAATAATAATTCTGTTTAATAAGCAATTCGAGCAGTGTGATACACAATGGGGCTTCATTCAAGAGTAGACAACGATTTTTGGTTCCTTTCGATAAACTGAATGAAAGTGCAATAGTTCACATTCTGACCACAGCCAGACCAAACGATGAGGCTCTACATTCACAAAAGTTACCAGTGCAAATACCAGCGCAGAGCCTTGGTGGGAGCAGGTCTGGTGCAGTCAAGCAAACCCTGGCTGGTGTCTGAGTGGGGCCAGGTGGGCCACAGGTGGGCAGCTGTTATCTGCGGCTTTCCACGACTCTCAGGTGCAAGGTGGGCTGAACACAGCTCATCTAAGTCTCTGTGAAGAATAGAAGAAACCTTCTGGAGCAATGACGATCAGGATTGGCTGGAAAAACAACCAAGCTGCTTGGATCAACTTGGTAGAGAAAAGAGCCTGAGGTGTCTGGAAATATGTCTGGCATGGTATAATTTTACAAGCCAAACAAAGATGTTATGTAAGCAGAAAAAGGAGCAAAAGGGCTCACACTAAGATGAGACTGACTCCTTACAGCCAAAGCCCAGGCCGGCTTAGCCCCCAACAGGGAAGCCGCCCCACAACACCTCAGCTTCGCTCCTTTCTAAACCTCTTTCCTGCCTGAATCTCACAGACACCCTTGACTTCCTGCTCTCTAGAGGCTCAGCAGACACTTAAACCCCTTCCTAATTGACAGTTCATTGAAACTCCTGTTTATTTTACATTTCTCCTCCATGAGGTACCCCGATCTGGTTAGTATTGAGATGAGGAAATGAAGGAAAAATTCAAGGTCAGGCAGGTGGCCCCAGGAGTCGGACTCTGAGGCTGCAGGGAGGACTGAGGCTGCACTCTGGCCACCTCTGGCAATGGGGTTTGTTGCAAAGGGCCTGGGGAGCCCTCTCAGCACCTCTCAGGCAGGCTTTGGAGAGAGCTGGTGGGCCTTCCTCACTGCTCAGGGTATAGCCACAAGCGGGCATCCTTCTCTCCTGCTCCTGTGTGTCCCTGCCATGTATTCTGGGACCAAGCCCCTCTCACAGCACACTCTCCACAGGAAGGACCGTATTTACCCATCACTTCATGGGCCTCAGACCTTCCTTGTGTCCAGACTATGAACAATGCAGTCTCTGCCCTAGCCAGTTTGGCCCAGGGTTAGGTGATGCCACATACTGGCATAGCTTCCTCAGAAGAGGCTATGGGCATGACAGACACTTAAGAGTTTGATCTAATGAGACTTCCTATCCTAAACACTACAGAGGTCTAATACAAAGTCCACACAAAATGAAGCTCACAGATCACGCCAAGGAATAGCCCCAAACTCCCTTTCCAACGTCTGCTTCTACTTTCCCATGCGTGACCCATGTCCAAATTGAAATAGACTACAGGTCATTCTCTATCCTTTAATCTGCCCCCTGCCAAACTCCTGCTTCTAGATCAGATTTCCAATAGAACTTTCTGTGATGATGGAAATGTTCTCTACTTGTGCTGTCCAATATGGCAGCCCATGGCCTCCTGTGACTACTAAGCCTTTATAATGGGCTAGTGTGACCAAAGAACTGAATTCTTAATTTGATTTTCATTAATCTAAATCTATATAGCCCTCATGTAGCTAGTGGCTATGGTATTATACAGTCCCAGACTGTCTAAGAAGCACTCTCTTGCCCTCCTGGTCCCCATACCGAGGGCACCTCTCCCGCCCACCCTTTCTCTAGCATCTGCCACAGCTCCTTCCAGTCTCATTCTCATGCCCTTCATGAGAAGAAACTTCCTTCAGATCCAGGCAGGGTTTGGGTTTCTTTGGATCTCACAAGGCAGCCACTCAATAAAAGAACTCACTACGTGTTTGTCCTGCTCAGTGGGACCAGACCTTTGTCCCTCCTTAGATTAAGTATTGGGCTTCTAGGAAGGGCTACTCAGCTAGTCTGGAGAAGTCAGTAACCTTTCATAAATAGCAGCCAGGGAGTGGTCCCTCCAGCCATGCCCTGAGTTCATTTCTGTGTAAACCCAGTTGTATTTCCACTCAGTTCAATGGCTGGTGCCATTTTCTAGTGGTGTGGCCTTAACTTTATCATGTCTCAATTTCTTCACCTATATAATAGAAGTGATCATATACTCTATTAGGAAGTTATGAGGGTAAAATCAGTCAATACATATAAAGCACTGTGCTTGACACAAAGTAAGTATATAATATAGCACATCATAAAGTATATAATAAGTAGTGAAATAACTACTAACATTTAAGGGTTGATGGTTGAGCTTGGGTCTAAAAGGCACCTCTGGACTTAGCATTAAATTATCAAATAATCTAAAAAAAATGCATATCCTTTGAACCAATAACTTCACCTCTAATAATTTTAAAACACTCATGCATATCGGCCAAGATTTATTTACAAGTCATGACAGTGTTATAAAAGTGGAAAAATTACAAAACCTGTAGATATCAAATAGTACTTGTTAATTAGATAAATTATAGTTTAGCCTTATGACAAAATACTATGTAGCCATTAACAAAAATGTTCACCTAGCAAAGAAAAAAAAAATCAGGCATAGAAGTTGTAACTCCACCCCTTCCGCCACCCTAATAAAACCACAGATAATATATTTGAAGAAAAATACTACAGACAAAATGTCAACTGTGACTCTTTGGGGGTCATGGCATTATGGGTGATTATTTCCCCTTCATGCTTTTTCTGTGTTTTTTAAAATTCTGTATTAAAAATATTACTATTTTGTAATTATGAAAAATGTAGCTTTAAATAATCTTGCTTTCATAACATGGGAAAATATTCATGACATAAATATTAAAAAGGTTAAGAAAGACTCATGGTGTGAAAATATAACCACTGAGAGAAGAAAATGGAAGCCAAGTGCCTGGTGTGTTAACTGTGGTTAGCTCTAGTTTTAACTCAGGGTTTTAGGTTAGGGGAGCAGATATTCTAGTTTGCTCAGGCAAATCCCAGTTTTTGTTTTGTTTTTTTGTTTTTTTTGAGACGGAGTTTCACTCCTGTTGCCCAGGCTGGAGTGCAATGGTGCGATCTTGGCTCACCGCAAACTCTGCCTCCCAGGTTCAAGCGATTCTCCTGCCTTAGCCTCCCAAGTAGCTGGGATTATAGGCGTGCGCCACCATGCCTGGCTAATTTCATATTTTTAGTAGAGATGGGGTTTCTCCATGTTGGTCAGGCTGGTCTCAAACTCCCAACTTCAGGTGATCCGCCCACCTCGGCCTCCCAAAGTGCTAGGATTACAGGCGTGAGCCACCACACCCAGCCAAATCCCAGTTTTATGCTTGTGACCAGGTGCCGACCGGTGTCCTTTCCTGCTCAAAAATATCCTGTTAAAATTACACACCCAACCTAATTATAAGGAGTTCTAAGGTGTTTTTCTAGACTTCTAAATTCTAGTGAACTCAATGTGTTTCCTTAATTCCAATTTGTACCTTTCTACATTTTAATGTTGTTGAGACTGGAATGTACTATATATACAACAGATTGGCACTCTTCCCCCACCAACCGAACAAGTTATAAAAATCAATGGTCTTAAGGTTGGTGGGAGCTTAGAATTGAGGAAACAGAGCATGTTAATTTACAAATGGGAAAAATTTAGAAAATACATTAAATGCTCTTTTATTTTTTTTTTTTTCCTGGAAAGTCAAGATTCTAAGACCTGGGTAACTAGATAAAATCAGACAAATGAAATCCCTATATACAGCTAGGGTCTTACTGGGATTAGGAGCTCATGTTTCCCACAGGCTCCCTGATGAGGTCAATAACAAAATAAAAGGGTGTGACTGCCAAGAAATCTTCTCCAGGACTGGCAGGAGTGGGGCAGGATCTACAGCCCTTGCTGAGACATAAGCTTTTTTTATAAGGAGCCGAAATAATACCAATAATGATAATTATTTTCATAAATGGCTAATACTCATTACGCACTTATGTGCCAGGCATAGGGCTGTCAAATTATTATGACAACCCTATTATGCCCCTCATTCTACAGATGAGGACACTGAGGCACAGAGAGGCACCTGCTCTAGACCACAGAGCTGTTTACACAGAACTGGGATTCAGTCCTTTCCATCTGGCTGCAAGGTCTGCTTCTTAACCACTGACACTGCTTCCTGCCTCTTCTATGTTTTTTCTACGTTTTTTGCCTCTGGCCTCTGTTTTCAGCAAAGCTCTAACTATAAAGGTTTCCCAGGACAGTGGCTCATGCCTATAATCCCTGCACTTTGGGAGGCCGAGGTGGACAGATCTTTTGAGCTCAGGACTTTGAGACCAGCCTGGGCAACACGGCAAAACCCCATCTCTACAAAAAATTGAAAAGTTAGCTGGGTGCAGTGGCGCACACCTGTGGTCCAGCTACTCGGAAGGCCGAGGCTGGGAGGATTGCTGGAGGCCTGGGAGGTTGAGACTGCAGTGAGCCATGATCAAGCCACTGCACTCCAGCCTGGGCGACAGAGTGAGACCATGTATCCCCCCAGCCGCAAAAAAAAAAAAAACCTTTCCCCAAGGGCTCAGTGGTCTGGGAGAGGGGGCAAGAGGCTTAAACAAGCTCCCTGCAACCAGATATTCTGAATCCTTTGGCCTTGGTAATGGGGTATAAAAGAACACCCAACACTGCGTTCATGTACTGTGGCTGTGTTTTCCAAAAATGGCCACAGCGATACTTCTAGTCTCATATGCTCTTGCAGAACCTTGCCACTCCCCATCAGGAAGTATAATCTGTTTCCTCTCCCCTTGAAGCTGGGCAGGCCTTGGTGGCCGCCTGTAATGTGATGGAAGTGACACGACGTGATCTGCAAGGTGAGGTCGCAGCCTACAATACCAGTTCTTTCTGGTCCGCACTCTCAGGCTGCTCGCCCTAGGAACCCTGGCACCATGTTATGAGAGGCTTAGAGCACTGGAGAGGCCATGTGTAGGTGTTACAGCCCATAAGGCCGCCAGCCAGCATCAACTGCAATGTGAGACAGTAAGCCTTCAGATGACTCTGGCCCCAGCTTTCAAGTCTTCTCAGCTGAGGCCTCAGGCATTGTGGAGTAGAGATAAGCCTTCTCCACTGCGCCCTGTCTGGATTCCCGACCTGCAGAATTTGTAAGAATAAGTGGTTGTTTTACACCATTAAATTTTTGAGTAATCCGTTATGGAACAAGCACTTAAAGAGAAAAAGGTCCTATCTGGCCTCTATTGAAAGTAACATATGCACTGTTCTGGGTTTCATGTTTTGATTCTTTGCACAGGGAAGCTGAAATCTATCCAGAGGACAGTGACGGGCACAGGTGAAAGAGACACCATCTGTGACCTGCACCTGGGGGGCTGGCTTAAAAATGTGTCCTCAGCAGATACTCTTAGGATGGCTCAGCTAAAAGGCAGCTGTCACCTCTGAGAAGCTTGTTACTGAATATTATAGAATGAAACCACCCTGGTGGCCAAACCTTGAGAATAGCTTGATAAACCCCCACCTCCATACTACATCACTGCAGTTCTGCTCATTCTGAATCCCCTGCAGGCTAGAGGCTCTGACGGGGCTAACTGCTGGGCCTGGGGGCTCCACGCTCTGCTTCAGGTCAATGAAGAATGTCAGTGACAGAGACACTTTGGAGAGCTCTTGGTTTTGGCTTCCCAGTAGCCACAGAAACCGAGAAGGAGCAGTAGGAAGACACACAACTTCTGCCTCCACCCTCCTCTCGGCCCCTACCCCTGAGCAGCTTATAAGAATCATTTACTCATGTTCTCTGTAAGATTCCATTTGAAAAGAGAGTTCTACCAGCAAATATATCTACATATTGATTTTTCTTAAAATGAAATGTGGCCACTCTTCAGTGCCACAGCAAAGGTAGGTCCTTTTGAGTTTGGTGTGCTCATACCACCCAATGTGTGCTTTGTGACAATGCAATTATCTGACCACTTTTCTCTACTCGAGCTACTAGCCTGCTGGCCTCAGAAGGATGAGAGGCACGTGGACAGTGCTGTCACTGCAGTTACCCCAGGAGAAGCCAGCCCAGATCAGATGACAGCAGCCAACCCCCAGCCACAGAAGCAAGCCTAATTTATAATGAGCAGAGCCAATCCCCAGCTGACCTCAGTCATGTCAGCAATGAACTTTTATTGCTGTATGCCACTGAGGTTTTGTGCCTACAGTTATGATGGCTGGACTTATGATAGTTCAACTTATGATTTTTCAACTTTACAATGGTATGGAAGTGATATACATTCAGTAGAACATCAATAAATTACTTGGGTTATTCAACACTTTATTACCAAATAGGCTTTGTACTAAATGATTTTGCCAAACTGTAGGCTAATGTAAGTGTTCTGGGCATGTTTCAGGTGGGCCAGGCTAAGCTATAATGTTTGGTAGGTTGAGGGTATTAAATGCGTTTTTGACTTAACAGTACTTTCAACTTGCAATGGATTTCTCAGGAGTAACCTCACCATAAGTTGAGAAGTGTCTGTATTTGTTATCTAGCAAAAGCTAACTGATACATCTGTTTTCAGAATTTTCCTGGTTTCCCAGTCAGGCAACCCTAGCTTTTAAAAAGGAAAGGAGAATGAAGTTATTCATTCAAGGATTATCTACTGATGGCCAAATACACGTCCAGCTCTGTGCTTGGCATTAGGGCTACGAGACGGCACTGGTTGCCATTTTGCCAAAGATAATCCTAAGGAACCTTGACACAGAAGAAATAGTTCTGCTGCTGAGTACTTTTGCCACTATCCTGGGGAAATAAATATTTGGAGAAGCTGTGGGGCCAGTCCCAGCAGGAGGCCTGGCACCCAGCCCTGGGCCCGTGCCAGAAGTGAGTGCCTGTTGAGTTTCACAATGTGGGTGTAGGCCGCCTTGATTAAAACCCCAGGCAGCACAATGCCAAATAAGTGCCAGCCTGGGGAAGAAGAAATTAGTCTGGGATAAAAAACGACAAAACAAGAATAGAAAAGCCATTAAGGGATTTGTAAGCATGTGTCACGGATGAAAAATCACTATTGTTGAGAACGTGTGATCATCACGTTGTGCCCTGTGGGGCCTGGGGAAGGAAGTATGAGTGTTAGCCAAAGGCTTGCCTTCCATCAGAGGAAGGAAGGCCAAACAGGAGCAATAAAGCATGGCTAGCAACCCCCACAGGTCAGACAGTCACTCAACACAGACAGTAGGGGCTAGTTCACCCCGTTGGGCCTCAGTTTCCTCATCTTTGGCATGAGGGATAATAATCAAATATACTACAAAGAGTTAATGAGTTAATACAAGGATTAAATGAACTAATTCAGGCAAAATATTTAGAACAGCCTGGTACTGCTCCAGTAAATGCTCAACAAATGTTAGGTATTAAAACTTCTTTCAGAAGTTTCTTGGGAGGAACAAATAGGATAATGTTTGAGGTCTTGGCACAAAGTAGCACAAAAATGATGATTCCTCTAAGTGCAGTGTGTTGTCACCAGGAGATGAGCAAGATATGAGGACAGCTTAGACACGGACCCTGTCCTAAAGGGTAAGGAGCTTAAGATCCAGACACAAGTAACGACAACAAAACAGGGGATAAATACCACCAGAGAGCTACAATTTGTGAGGAATAGAGGAAGGAGAAGGTCAGGCATGTCCCGTATGAAGAGCAGACATGGCCCTGGTGTGGACTCCACAAAAGCATTCCAACACACAGAGAAGGGGAATCAGAGGCTTCTGGCAGTGGGAACACAGCCACAGAAGGCATAGGGGTGGGAAAGCACAAGAGTATATTTGGGAACAAGAGGGTTGTTGTCCATGTTAGGCAAACTGCACAGGTATGTGAAGAGGTGTGATGGGAAGCAAAGCTGGCGGGATGGGGTGGGGATCAGATTCCAGGCTGAGGAAGTAGATATGCTAGGTGGGCGATGGGGAGCCAGTGAAGGTTATTGAGCAGAGAAGAGCCACAGCAGAATTGTTCTTCAGGAAAATGAATCTAGTAGCAGGTGGACTGGAGATGGGAGAGAAAAGACACAGAAGTCAGTTTGTAGGAGGCTGTGTCAGTTCTAGCAAGGCAATGGGGACTGAAATCAGAATAGTGGCCAGAAGAAAAGGGAGAGGAGCTGGGTGGGAGAGGAGGGCAGCAGGTGGCAGGAATGTCCCAGGGAGCCTCCAGGGACCCAGGCTGCACGGTGAGGTGGGGAGCAGGGTCGCCTCCAGTGGGAGGGTCCAGACAGCCGGTGAGACCAACAAAAAAACTTCCCTGGCTGGCTTGGCTGCCTCAGATTGTTGACAACATGGTCAAGCGATTCCGTCTGTGCAAACTCTGCCATAAACTAAACCGCTGAGTCAAGCAAGCAGGCAGCAGGCCTTGCCACTTCTGCAGGCCATTAGCTGGCCCCCTCTCCTGCCCCCAGACCCAGTTCTGAGGAACAACTCCCCAGAGAGGGCCTCTCCCACCTGCTCTCTGGCCGCTGCATTTTTTAGGGAACAAAAAGCCAGCTGTGGTAAACCGCCCTTCAGTCAGGCAGACAGTGGGACTATGGCGTGGACACCTTGCCCCTTTCTTCCTCCTCCAGCCTTTTCAACCGTGTCCCCAGTTCAAAGGCATGATCATTGTGACCTGCAGGCCCAGGTACAGCTGAAGTCATTTCAGAAGGCTGGCGTAGAGTCAGCCCTCCCCTGCTGCCTGCATTCTCCTTTGCTTTCTCACTTTTGAGTCATCTGAGTGCCAAGTGAAAACAAAGACCTCCCTTCAGAAAGTTCCCCACCTCATTGGGCTTCACTTTTTAAAAATAACCTGTTAGGCTGGAACCTGGCCACTCCCTACATTTCCCCTCACCCGGCCTGCGGGGTCATTCTCAGGCCTCCTTGCCACTGCAAAAGCCTCCTGGTGGAAAGACAAAGAAGGCCTTTCAGTCCCCATGAAGCAGGCTCTGCTTCTGCCCTGATCTGGATGCATCTGGAGGAAACAGGGAGGCCACAAAGAGACATGGACGAAAGGTTCATCCTCAACAATACCTCCTCTCATGTGCCTGCTAATGGAGAACTAGACTGCTCAGATAAACACAAATAAACTGTTCTTCTAAGGTGACAACAGGGACCCAGCACTTGGTAGGACCTCAATAATGTGACGCAAATCAATTTGAATCTAGCTACTGGACTCAAATACTTCTTCCTACATCCTGTTCCTGAATTGAGCTGCATAACTTCAAGTTTTTCTAACATGTAGGCAAAAAGGAGAAACAGATAAACCCAAAAGAACACCAACCACACAGAGAGGAAAGAGAGACCAGGATTCAGAATAACCCACACTAGACCATGAATACATGAATATCTCAAAAGGAAGGACGCAAAGTGGGTTGAGTCATTAACAAGCTTACAGAGAAACTCCAGGCTATCAAAAACCCTCCATAAAATATTAGCATATCATATCCAACATATATAAGAAATACAAATGTACCACAGCTAAGGTTTATCACAGGAATGCATGAGTAGTTCAGTACTTCCAAATGTTTCAAATGTATATGCCTTATGAACAGACAAAACAAGAAAAGCCATATATTCGTATCAACTGAGACAGAAAAAGCGGCATTTGACAAAATTCAATATCCAGTCATGATTAAACAAAACAAAACAAAACTTTCAGCAAGCAAGGATAGGAGGGAACTTCCTTGACTGAGAAAGGGCATCTAAAAACCAACCCACAGCTAACATGATACTTGATGAGATACTGCATGCTTTCCCCCAACACAGGGAACAAGGAAAAGATGTCTTTTCTCACATTCTTATACTGCTGGAAGTTGCAATAAGGTAAGAAAAAGAAATAGAGGCATATGGATTGAAAAGGAAGAAACAAAACTACTTCATTGGTAGACAACATAATGATCTATGTAGAAAATCCCAAAGAATCTACTAAAAACCTCCTTAGAACTAATAAATAACTTTAGTAATGTCATGAGATACAAAACCAATTTACAAAAATCAACTGCATTTCAATATCTTAGCAATGAACAACTGAAGTTAAAAATTAAACACAAAGGAGAGGACTATTTACAATAGCAGCAAAAAGGGAAATATTTATTAGGTATAAATCTAACTTTACAATATGGTGAAAATGATAGAACACTGGTGAAAGAAATCAAAGACCTAAATAATTGGAAGGGCTCACCGTGTTCATAGATATTATTAATTCATGATATTATTAATGAGCCAATTCTCCCCAAATGGATATGCAGGTTCAACACAATTTCAATCAAATCCCAGTGATAGGCTTTATTACTGTTATTTTTGTAATATTGGAAAACTGATTCTAAAATTCATATGAAAAGGGCAAGGAATGAGAATAACCAAAAACAACTTTGCAAAAGAGCACTATCCAATTTCAAGATTTACTATTAAGTTACAGTAATCAAGACAGTGTGGTACTGGTGAAAGCTTAGACAAATAGACGAATGCAGCAAAACAGAGTCCAGAAATAGACCCATATGAATATAATCAGCTGGTCTTTTGAGAGAAGTGTAAAGTAATTCAGTGGAGAAAGGATATCCTTGTCAACAAGTAGTGCTAGAAAAACTTGATATCCATATATAAAACAACGACCCCTGGCCCATACTTAACCCTTATGCAAAAATTAATTCAAAACGGATCACAGACCTAAAATATAAAACTGTAAAACGTCTGGAAGAAAACGTAGGAGAAAATCTTTGTGACTTGGATTAGGAAAAGAGTTTTTAGATAAGATACTGAAAACACAATCCATAAGGAAAAAAAACTGATAAATTAGACTTTATCAGAGTTAACTTTTGCCCTGCTCTTTCGAGAGACTAAGAGAAAGAAAAGGCAAGATATAGAGCAGTGGAAACATTTTGTAAATCCCATTTCTGACAAAGAACTTTATCCAGAATATACGAACAATACTCAAAACCTAAAAATAAAAAACCAACAAGCCTATTTTTAAAAATGGGCAAAAAATGTGAATAGATACTTCACCAAAGAGGCTATGTGGATGGCAAATAAGCACATGAAAAGATGTTCAACATTATAGTCTTTAGGGAAATGGAAATTAAAACCACAATAAGGACAGGCGCGGTGGCTCGCAACTGTAATCCCAGCACTTTGGGAGGCTGACGCAGGTGGAGCTCTTAAGCCCAGGAGTTCGAGACCAGCCTTAGCAACACAGGGAAACCTGGTCTCTACAAAAAATACAAAAATTAGCTAGGTGTGGTGTTACACGCCTATAGTCCCAGCTATTCAGGAGGCTGAGATGGGAGGATTGCTTGAACCCAGAAGGTGGAGGTTGCAGTGAGCTGAGATCATGCTACTGCACTTCAGCCTGGACACCAGGTGAGAACCTGTCTAAAATAAATAAACAAACAAAAAAAAAACCAAAAACAAACCACAGTAAGATATCATTACCTACCTATTTGGATAGCTAAAATTAAGCAAAACCCAAACTAGAAAATACTGATAATATCAAATGCTGGCAAGTGTGGTAAACAACAAGAACTCTCATACACTGCTGTGGGAATGCAAAATGGTATAGCCACTGTAAAAAACAACTTTGCAGTTTCTTATACATTTGAATATATACTTAACGTACGACCCAACAAAACTACAGATAGGTATTTACTTAAGAAAAATGGAAACTTACATTTATACACCCAAGAAAAACCTGTAAATGAATGTTTATAGCAACTTCATTCATAATCGCCAAAATCTGGAAACAGATGTCCTTCAACTGGTGAACACACACATATCCATATCATGGAACACTACTCAGTAATAGAAAGAATATTTTTATTATCCAAGTGATAACATGGATTAATTTAAACCCCTTTTCCTAAGTGAAAGAAGCCACTCCCAAAGCTACATGTTATATTATTCCATTTATACGACATTCTGGAAACAGTAAAACTATAGGGATGGAAGACAGATCAATGGTTGCCAGGAGTTACAAGGTGGGGAAAGGATTGACTATGAAGGGGCAGCATGAGGGAATTTAGGGTGATGGAACTGTTCTGTACACACTGTGGTGACGGATCTATAACTCTATGCATTTGTCAAAACCCACAGAACTGTTCTAAGTGTTCCGAAATTGATTGTGGTGATGACGGTACACACTCTGTGAACAGACTAAAAACTTCTGAATTGTCACTTTGAATAGATGATTTCTATAGTATGTGAATTCTATCTCAATAATGCTCTTATTTAAAAAACTTAAAAGAAAAAGACATCTGCTGAGAAACCACACAATGACACTGCTGTGGAATGACAGTTAGATTGTGAAGAAGAGATGAAATTCAGAGGTCCCAGCCCTTAGTACACTTTGTAAAAAGTTCACTTCATTTCCATAGAAATGACTTTCTCTGACTTTCTCTGCCCTGGAATTTCTTAATACCAAAAGAAAAACCTTAAAGCAATACCACAGCCCCCAACACTCACAGTTCATCTACACCAGAGCCCAGGCTTTTTTGAGCTTGCCCAGCAATTCATTCTTAACAAGTACATATGGTTGGGCGTGGTGGCTCACGCCTGTAATCCCAGCACTTTGGGAGGCCGAGGCGGTTGGATCATGAGGTCAGGAGATCAAGACCATCCTGGCTAACAAGGCGAAACCCCGTCTCTACTAAAAATACAAAAAATTAGCCGGGCGCGGTGGCGGGCGCCTGTAGTCCCAGCTACTCGGGAGGCTGAGGCAGGAGAATGGAGTGAACCCGGGAAGCGGAGCTTGCAGTGAGCCGAGATTGCGCCACTGCAGTCAGTCCGCAGTCCGGCCTGGGGGACAGAGCGAGACTCCGTCTCAAAAAAAAAAAAAAAAAAAAAAAAAAAAAAAAAAAATTAGCCCGGATGGTGGCGCACGTCTGTAATCCCAGCTACTCAGGAGGCTGAGGCAGAATTGCTTGAACCTGGGAGGTGGAGGCTGCAGTGAGTCAAGATCGCACCATTGCACTCCAGCCTGGTTTACAAGAGCAAGACTCTGTCTCAAAAACAAAACAAAACACAAAAAAGTACTTATGTGCACATATATATCATAATTAGAACAATGCTGATCTCAAAAACTTTTCCCCTACTTCACAAGAGAAAACTGAGACCAAGAGAAGGGACGTGATTTACCCAAGATTACCTACCCATGTAGTGGGCAGCAGAGCCAAGAGCCAACCCAATAGTCTTTCTTCATCACCTTGATGTCTATGCTAAGTCAAAAACACAGGCCTGGCATGTATGACATGCTCTACAGATGACAGCTAAATACAAAATGAAACGTCTGAGAAACCTTGGACAAAGACCAAGTGGGCTCTCTCCTCATGCAGACACAGACCTGTGCTAATCTAATATTCTTATCAAAGGGACTAGCATAGATTTGCAGAGGCAAGTTGGAGATGTGCAAAGGGAAAAAGGAAATGAAGACCTTGTAGAAAATATTATGAATATGGAATAGCAAGAACAGACCCAGCTAACTTCTGGAGAAAAGATTAAAGATCTCACTAGACTACTGAAAGGAGGTAATAAAAAAATAACTAACATTCACTCAGAGCTTAAATACTTCAGAGAAGATCTGCACAGTAACCCTGAGCAGGTAATATTATCACCCCCATCTCACGGAAGAGGGAACTGAGGCATAGAGAAGGCAGGTGATGTACCCAAGATTTCACTGAGGAGTAGGAATCCAGCAGTTCCACTGCCTCAGTTTCCCTCCCTTATCAGGAGATGAAGAGTAGCATGAAAGAAAGTACTTAATCCCAACGGGAGGGCCTACTGAAAAGGCAGCATGACAGTGGAAGACGACCTGCAGGTGTCACAAAGGTGCTGATGGTCTCAGGTCCCTGCTGGTTTGCTTGACACAAGGCAAGGGAAGTTATGAAGGTGGCCTGTGATCTGTATGGCAGTGAGAAAGTCACTACTTGACATTCTCATCCTTTAGAGAGTGTATCCACAAGGGGATGCGTTAAAATGCAGGTCCCTGGGCCCCTCAGCCAAAGTTTATTATTATTATTATTATTATTTTGAGACAGAGTCTTGCTCTGTCACCCAGGCTGGAGTGCAGTGGCGTGATCTCGTCAGCCAGAGGAGTTTTTAATCCAGTGGGTCTGAGCTGGGGCCCAGGAATCTGCGTTTTGAACAGGTTTACTTCCATCCCCAGCTAAAGTACTTTGGCTGGTCCCTGGGCTAGACTGTGGACAACCTTGGCCTCTACAGAAGAGAGGCAAGACAATACAGATTAAGAGCTTGGCTTTGGAGTCAAACAGTTCTGGGGTCAAATTCCCATTGCCTCTTAGCTGTGTAACCTGGAAAGGCTATGTAACCTCCCAGGGCCTGTTTTCCACCTGGAAAGTGGAGGTGACAAATAGTACCCCACTTAGAGAGCTCTTCCAATACCTGAAAAGCACTACGCACAGTTCCTGGCATGCATCACATGCTCTGCCCACAAGAGCTAAATGCAAAAGTAAAACTCTCACTGGGTCCCTGCAGCACTTCCGTTGTCGTAAAGAATTGGCAGGCTCCATATCATAACATTCTTGGGTTATCATTTCCTCTTCCTTAGCTAAATTTTCTGGAAGGAATCTCTTCCTGTGTATGAATCAGAAACTCAAGAGAAGCCACACTTCCCCAGCATCCCTTTTCCTCCCATGAAGCTTCAATGGTAAAGTTTCTTCACCTCTCCCCTTGCCCCAGGGATGGAGATTGACATTGACTTAGAGTGGACATCTGTTCAGGGGCAGATGGTCTGTGCAATTTGAATATTTATTATCTTGGTAATTTGTACTTCACCTCTTCCTAAAGTAATGAGGCAATAAAAGGAGCCTTAGTAAGAAATGTCAAAGATGAGGGGACGAGCAGAGACTTGCACCAAACAGAAGCTGTGAACGCAGTGCTGAAATACAGCGGTAAAGAAGGTGCAAATTTTCAACGTCAGTGGAACGTGGAGAATGAAAACTGAACCAAGAAAATGTAGCTTGGTCATTTGGTCCTGGGGTGGTGGAATTCCCTGGAAATAGACTCTGAGAAAGAGATTTGCATGCAAAAAGTTAACTGGGGAGTGCTCTCCAAGAGATTACAGTGGGAGAGTAAGCAAGACAGGACCAGGTGGAGGGAGGATTTGAGCAGTCATAACAAAGGCCTTGGCTGATACTCCGAGGAGCACTGAAGCTAGGACCGCTCTTCAGAGTTTTCTCTGTTGAAGCAAGCAGACCAGGCCTTCCTGACTCTCCACTGACCACTGGATACAGGCTGCCCCCAGGGAGAGGTTAGGCATCATCTTGGGTGAGGCGAGTCCCTTTGGTGGACATCAATTTGTGGGGAGGGACTCAGCAGGCCACATTCTTGGAACCTGCGGCGGATGAATGCCTCAGCAATAAAGGGGATATTTGGGCACACACCAGTATGGCCACTGCAACTGTTTAAGTGGGCTCTTTCCCCAAAAAAGTAGTTTAAAAAGAATAGAAAAATCTTGGCCCAAACTTGAATAGCCACATAGGAAAAAAGCTGCCTACTGACCAGGAACCCCCATGCTGGGGTTCCTAAATGGCTGAGGGAGAAAGCTATCGTGTCAAACCAGTAACATTTGAGAGTTATTTGTTACAGCAGCTAGTGTTGCACTAATAAAAAAATCTAAAACTATGAGAAACACTGTGAATGAAAAGAACTGGGTGCTATTAGAGGAGTTATAATGGAGATGAAGATTAGTTACCTCTGAGTACAAATGAAATGGACCAAAGGTGTGTTAATAATATCTTCTAATCACTCTAATCTTATAACAGTTAATAAATGAATGTATCAATGAATCAGCTAATTCATTTGTTCTGATATGTCACTGTCTTTAAGGTCATAATCATGTTACAAATAGAGGTTATTTTGAAATCAACAAACTAAGTTATATATCCTGTGAATAAATATCCATCTCTCAGAATTTATCTTAAGGAAAATAATCTAAGTCAAAAGAAAACTCTACTGCATACCGTAAAACAGCGATTGGCCATTTCTTTTTGGTAAATGACCAAATAGGACATATTTTAGGCTTTGCGGGCCACACAATCTTTATTGCAACTCCACTCTGCAGTGCTAGTGTGAAAGTGACCATATGTAATACATGAATGAATGGGTTTGGCTGTGTTCCAATACAACTTTATTTACAAAAACAGGTGGCAGGCCAGATTTGGTCTGTGGGCTGTAGTTTGCCAACCCCTGAAAATGTTCAATGTAATATCATTTATAGTAGCTAAAAGCTCAAAAGCAAACCTACATGTTTAAAAGTGAGTGGTCACATAAATTTAAAAATATCCACTTAGATGATTGTACATATTATGTGCAATTATGAAGCTTTTATAGCAACAGGGACATTACCAAATATTAAATTTTGTAATAGAAAAATAAGCAACAAAGCAGAATCTATTATTGTCAGTAGGGTAACAGCCCTGCAAACTTTACACATATTCTTAAACAAGGGCCAAAATATAACATTGTAGAAACTGTGGAATGGTGGGCGCATGGGTGAATTTAGTTGTTTCAAATAACTTTCAGATTTAATTATATTAATGTTTCCCTATTCATATTTGTGTAGTAACAAACATCTCAAAAACTTAAAAAAAAACGCTAGGTCTATAAAATCCCTTCAACTTAAGACCCAGATGAAAAAAACTGCTGGAGGAATTAATGATGCAGTGTGTGTGTGTGTGTGTGTGTGTGTGTGTGTGTGTGTGTGTGTGTGTGTGTGTGTGTGTCAGTCTCAATCTGTTGCCCAGGCTGGAGTGCAGTGGCATGATCTCAGCTCGCTGCAACCTCTGCCTCCTGGGTTCAAGCAATTCTCCTGCCTCAGCCTCCCGAGTAGCTGGGACTAGAGGCGTGCGCCACCATACCCGGCTAATATTTTTGCATTTTTGGTAGAGATGGGGTTTCACCATGTTGGCCAGGATGGTCTCAAACTCCTGACCTCAGGTGATCTGTCTGCCTCGGCCTCCCAAAGTGCTGGGATTACAGGTGTGAGCCACCACACCCAGGCTGCAATGAATATTTTAATTTAGGTATATTAACATGCCCACTGCATCATTAATTCCTCCAGCAGCTTCTACGAGACAGTTAGCTATGGTGCGGATGTTGGCAAAGCCCAATGGAACCACTAACATTTTTGTGGCTAACAGATCCTCCATACTTCACCACTACCAAAAAGCCTACTTTATGAACTGACCAAGAAGATTGCAAACCTTGTACTTTTTCTCCCAACTCTGGGACTTTGCAGAGACTGTTCTCTTCTCCAGGACACCCTTCCACCTTTCCCTCCTGCCTTGCCCCTTCCCGTGCATTAGGTCTCAGCCTGGAGCTTCGTTCGAACTCCTGACCTCAAATGATCCGCCTGCCTCGGCCTCCCAAAGTGTTGGGATTAGAGGCGTGAGCCACTGCGCCTGGCCAAGTCGGGGTGTTTCAATGACCACTGGAAAAACAGTTGTGTAGTTATCACTGCCTATGCATGTGGCAAGGTCAGACACACCAGCATCAAAACGTGTGTCATAGGTGCCAGCAGGAGGAAGAAAATCTCAGAGACAAGAGTAGAGCACCTTGACCCCCAGGGTATGGGACTGATGGCGGGGACAGTGACTCAGGGGGTCACTTAGCAACATTCCCAAAGTGGGAGTCAAAAGCCAGTGCACAAACCCAGCACTGATGGCTTTTAGTTTTTGTGTGGATTCTTCTGAGAAATGCTGCATGGCTCACACTCTTGATAGCATAGAGGACAATAGCTTGTGTAGAAATATTCTAAAAATAAAAAGATTTAGAAGAGGAAGGCTCTGACTGTAAAAAAATTTTAGGGATATCTTAACCAATTTATTTTTCTTCACCTATTTTCCTTTTTATATATTCACAAAAATATGTAAAATTTATATTTAATTAAATCTAAAAGAGTTCTTTCAATAAGCATAAGACAAAAATCCTGAACGATAAGAGAGATTTGTGTTACCACATAATTATTATTTTTCTTTGTTTCTTAGGGAGTGCCTAAAACAATGGTGCCTTCGAGGTGATGAAATACCATCCTTGTTTAGGGTCTTGATTTTCAGCGACAGGGAAGCCGGCTCTGCCTCATTCACAGCTGTATCCCCTGCGGCTGACACAGAGCTGGGACAGAGCAGCCATTCAATAAACATCTGATGAAGTGACTTAAGGTAGCGCCTCTGCCAGGCAAAGGGCCACACCAAATGGCTAACACTCGAGTGAGGAAAGGTATCACAAACTGAGCTTGCCACTTCTGGCATTTGATTCTTTTAGCCTTTAATCCAATATAGTAATCCCACTATTCAGTGTTTCCTGGTGTTGCTTTAAATTAGAAACCCTGCCCTGAGAGCTTGATGAGCTGACAGACACTTCTGTCATCCCTCTGCTTGTCTCTGTTTGCTTCTGTTGTTTTGATTGTGAGTCTGTCGAAACCTGTCAACTCAACTAAAGAAAAAAGAAAGGTGCTATCACAACAGGCTAACAGCTACTACGAAAACTGCATCTCTATCGCAAACTGTGGGGGGTGGGAGTGGGCTGCTCCAGGACAGGAATCCTAGCCTCTCTTTGCTAGGCATCCTAGCCTCTCTGTGACTTTTCCCAGCTTCTTGGCCCGCAGGCTTGAAGATATGTGCCCCAGGCCCCATGGCCTGTTCTGGGCCTGGCAGAAGGGCTCTTTCCACTGCTGGGCCCACACCCCAGCCCCCTCCCTCAGCAGGTGTCTGACACAGCATTATTTCCTCTTCTGGAGAAGACCCAAGTCTCTCAAGCACTTCATCCATGCTGACTCTTTGGAAAGGAGTGCTATTACCAAAGGCTTTGTCAAAGAAAATATGCATGTGTTCATTTGAAAAAAGATGATGAGTATTTCCTGTGTTCCAGGCACCACCTTACGAACTGGACACTCCGTGGTGACCTGAACAGAAAGGTGGCTGCCCCTCTGCAGCTCAGGTCTTGGTAGAGAAGATCTACCATAAACAGGTAATTAAGTGAACAAAGGGATTCTGGCTGGCAAAGTGCTGTAATGAAATCAGAACCGGGAAACAGGATAGAGTGATGGTAGCAGGGTGGTGCAGGGGACTACTTTAGCTGAGGGGCTGACGAAGGCCCTCCTAAGGCAGGAGAGGGGGCAGTCCAGAGGGGAAGCAGAGCACCCTAGACCTGGGTTTGTTTTTGTTTCCTCACTATAAAATACGCAAAATAAGAGTACCTAAATGATAGGGCTATTGTGAGGATTAAATGAGGTGATTCACATCAAATTCATACAATAAGACTTGCTAGTTAGCCACTATCCCAAGGAGGTGACATCTGAGCTAAGGCTTTTTAAAAGAACAGGACATCCAGCAAAGCTCAACTTGAACTACTAACTATTAACTTCAGATAAGACATTTGCAAAAGGGACTTTTGTGAAAACAAAAGCATTCAAATTGAGACAAGTTATGCCAAACATGATTTCTTTTCTTTCTTTGTCTTCTGCCTCCAGTGTAGCTACAAAATGCTGAGAATCAGAGGGTCCCACCAAACTGACTTTAATATCCAATGAAGGGACAGCTGTGTCCTGGACTCTCCACAAATGTTGACGTCATGAAGAACAAGAAAGACTGAAAACCTGTTCCAGATTGAAGGAAATTAGAGATGTGACAACTGAATACACCTTATGATCTGGGATGGGATCCTAGACCCAAGGACATTAGTGGGTCAATGGCAAAATCTGAGTAAGGCTTGTAGATAAGTTAATAGCATTTGTATCATTAATTTCCTGATTTAAGTAACTGTACTGCAATTATGTAAGAAAGGGTCTTTCTTCTTACAAAATGCATGCTGAAGCACTCATGGACAAAAGAGCATGATGTCTGCAACTCACTCTCAAATGGTTCCAAGAAAAAAATAATAGCATGCATACAAATGGAAAACGATCAAACAAATGTAAAATGGTAACAAACGGAGAACCTGGGGCAAGGGGATATGGGGAGTTCTTTGTCCTGTTCTTCAAAAGTTTTTGTAAACCTGGGATTATTTATAAATAAAAAGTTACGGCCCAGGCACAGTGGCTCATGCCTGTAATCCCAGCACTTTGGGAGGCCCAGGCGGGCGTATCATGAGGGAAAGAGATGGAGACCATCCTGGTCAACATGGAGAAACCCCGCCTCTATTAAAAATACAAAAAATTAGCTGGGCATGGTGGCGCGTGACTGTAGTCCCAGCTACTCAGGAGGTGAGGCAAGAGAACCGCTTGAACCCGGGAGGTGGAAGTTGCAGTGAGCCAAGATTGCACCACTGCACTCCAGCCTGGCGACAGAGCGAGACTTTGTCTCAAAAAAAAAAAAAGTTACAAAAATATATAATTAAGAGACTTAAAATCATCTGATACTTCTACAAACACTAAAAAGATAGCACCCAATTCACAAGTACTAGATTAAGCAATGCTAATTTGACCACTTTAATACATATGTTTTTGGGCTGCAGTAGCTCATCTTTAAAGATTCTACTAGGATGCAGTAAGATTTATTTGGCATTCTGATGGTTTGGGGGAATCTGGGGATACTTTATTCATCATCTGTGGAAGGCTAGAAGCAATGCTTCTTTGGAACGTCCTTTCCATCTTTTGCCCCCACCCTGCCATCTGAGAACCACTCTCTGATGTTTTCTTCTGTCTTTATTGTTCCGTTTTTCTCAGCAGAAATTCAAGGACTGCTTCTCTCATTAAATAAGCTATCAAGGAAAAAAGATGTACTCAAAGTGGATGAGATGTCATTGCCATTCTGAGAGGCAGACAGCGTGGCCATCACCTCTCCGAAAGTTAATTCCTAGAAATGAGCAAAGCACCTCTAAAAGGAGAAAATATTAAATGTCTACAGTCTACAATGTTGAAGATTTTTAGCATCTGATTGTAATGGAAAATATTTAATTGGTTGTATTCATTTCTTGTGGCTACTGTAGCAAGCTTACAGATTTGGTGGCTTAGAACAACAGAAATCTATTCTCTCACAGTTCTCAAGGCCAGAAGTCTGAAATCGCTATCATTGGGCTGAAGTCAACGCATCAGCAGGACAGTGCTCCCTCCGGAGACTCTGGGAGAGACTTCCTTGACGCATCGCCACTCTCTGCCTGGCCTTCATGTCACCATCACCTTCTCTGTGTGTCTCTTACAAGGGCACTTGTCATTGGATTTAGGGTCCACCCATATAATCCAGGGTGATCCCCTTATTTCAAGATCCTTAACTTAATTACATGTGAGAAGACGGTTTTTCCAAGTAAGGGAACATTCTCAGGTTCTGGGAAGTAAGATACATATTTTGAGGGGCCATCACTCAACACACTACATCTAGAAAATAATCTTTTATCCTTAAACTACAGTAAGGCAACTATAAGTTACAGTAGTGATCACATCCATAAATTCAGGATATATGTCATCACAAACCTCGTAGACTTCCCGTCAGCACGCAGACCCCCATCAGGCCCAGGGGATGCATGTTATGCTACAGAGTTCTTTCCTCTGCTCAACATGGTAGCCAGAAAACAAGACGCACTGCTTGATAATGGGGACACTGAGGAACCCTTGAAAAACCAATGTCACATTATCAACACAAGGGTCTGTGTTGCCTCTTTCACCTTTCCCAGGTGAAAACAGTATGTGTCACGAAGGCCCCCACTCCAGAAATCAAATATCTGATCTGCAGGAAACTTTTTCTGTGGTTGTGGCCTTACGGCTTTCCAAGGAGTTACAAAAGATGTGGTCGAGTTATTTGTGTTACTGTGACATTTCTTGTAACTCTCCCATAAAAGGCTGCAGAAATAATTTGGCTTCCCATTAACTTTTATTTTCTGTTCAGTAAACATTTTTTTCCCTTCCCTTGTTTCAAATGAGAGTTGAAAAATATAACACAACTCTTTCAGTGGACAGGAAAAAGTAACATCAAAAATCTTATGAGATCTGTAAGGCAGCTGCCTGGCATGGCAGATCCAGGGGCATGCCTGGGCAAGAAAACAAATAAGCCAGGTTTGCAAGCGGAAGGAAGGTGCGGTCAGATTTGTATGTCCCCAAAGTACAACAGCTTAAAGCCTTGGCAGACACCAGATAGATGGGAGGCAATTCTACAATTCAAATGGCTCCTATGGAATACCAGCAGGGACTCCCTTGGTGCCCTGTTCAGATTCCCAGGTTCCCTT
This sequence comes from Homo sapiens, assembly GCF_000001405.40. Lineage (NCBI taxonomy): Eukaryota > Metazoa > Chordata > Mammalia > Primates > Hominidae > Homo > Homo sapiens. The sequence continues at coordinate 32,407,046 of NC_000003.12, read as the reverse complement.
TCACCAGGTCTGTGCATCCATCCCCCAGCTACTGCGGGTGCTGCTGCTAACTCATTATGCTTGCAGCCTTCTGCTAGTGATTTCCCTTGGACAACTAGAGCTGTCTGATTCAGAGATCCCTGGGAGTTTATGTACCCTCCTTTCTGGTCTGTAGGCAATGAAAGGTGTACAAAAGCCCAGCTCCCTTGCCTCAAAATAGGGCAATCTTTGTGGTGCAGTTCACTCTCCAGTGTTCCCCATAGAATCAGGCTGAGGCTGGGCTTCTGAAACTCGTCTTTGTCCTGCTCTTTCTACCCTTGCTTACTTTCCTCGCTCAATAAACCAGTTGCACAAGAATCCCCATATCTACTAGTTCTGCTTTTAGGGAAGCTGACTTGAACACTCCCTGTAACGAACCTTGGGAAACACTAAGAAAAATGCTAGTTAAGCAGGTCTTCTTGTTCCCTACTTAGACTCCGCTGGTTCCTAATATGCTAAAGAAATTTGAGTGGGATATGAGAGCAGTGGAACTCTGAACACTGTCCCAACACTAAGTAGAGTCCTTCTCCATGACAGCAGACATGGAAGACCCCTAAAGCCCGCTGGGAGAAGATCACAAGTTGATGTTTGAGAAGCTGAGTTTCAGAACACATGCAAAAATGTTGAAAAGCATGCAACATTGGGTGCAGGTCCTCTACTTCCAGGAGTTGCTCCTTCTCATATTCTTGTACATACACAAGACTATGATATGTACAAGAGTAACCATTACAGCACGGCTAGATAACAAAAGGGAGAAATACCCTAAACGGCTGTCAGTAGGGGACTAGTTAAATAAATATAGTAAATCCATTCTCTGGAATACAATGCAGCTATAAAAAAGGAGGAGAATGCGGACACCTTCTGAATGGATATGGAATTACCTCCAAGTCAGAAAGTTAGGTAATAAAAGTATAGAGCAGTGGGCGTAGGTATGCTCTTATCTGGCACAGGAGGAGAGGCACACACAGAAGTGTGAAATAACTCCTAAAGGTTACACAAGAAACTGGTATCACCAGTAGCCTCCTGTATATTTCCAGAGAGGAAAACTGACAACTGGGGGACTTTTGGTACATTCTGAATCTTGATCGTGTAAACGTTATCTATTCAAAAAAGTAAATACAACTTAACAATGTACAACCATAGTTACTGTTTGCATCAGGATTTTGCTTTGGACTTGCTCCAAGAAAACACCACGGAGAAGAGGCTGACAGCTTGGAGATGGAGTCAGTTTGTATAACTTACAAGATATTTATTTGTTTATTTAATTTTTCAAGAAATGGGTTCTTGCTCTGTCACCCAGGCTGAAGTGCAGTGGCATAGATCATAGGTCACTGCAGCCTTGAACTCCTGGGCTCAAGCAATCTTCATGCCTCAGCCTCTTGAGTAGATAGGCCCACAGGCGCGAGCCACCACACTTGGCTCAGACAAGATATTTAAACTCCCTGCCTCAGTTTCCTCATCTGTAAAGTAGGAATACTAACATCTCATAGGGATATGGTAATGATGAATGAGCTCCTGCATGTAAAACAGGCCACAGGATGCCAAGAGCAATAACTTAACACATGGATTTACTCCACAGGAATCTAATGACATGTGACCACAGCCCAGTGATAAACATGGCCACTGAGCCTGCTGCCCCCTGCACTGCTATTGCTCCATCTTCCCTTGCTAAGGAGCAGCCATCAGAGATCCAGCTTTGATGCAGGATAAAAAGGCTTTTGTGACTGCGTTAGTTATCTACTGCTGCACAACCAATTACCACAAACTTGGCACCTTAACACAACATTCATTTATCTTCTCACAGTTTCCACGGAGCAGGAGTCTGGGGAGAAGTCCACTGTTCAGAGTCTCACAAGACTGCAACAAGAGGTTGGCCAGGCTTGGGGTCCTCTTCCGAGCTCACATGGCTGTTAGTGGCTTTCAGTTTCTTGTAACCATAGGTCTGAAGGCCCGTTTTCTTGCTGGCTGTCAGCTGAGGGCTGCTCTGGCTTCTAGGCATGACCCTTGGATGCTTGTGACATGGCCCCTCACAGGCCCTCTCTCAACAAGGCAGTTCACTTCTTCAGAGCCAGCAGGAGACTCTCTCCCTTTGGGAAGGACCCAGTACTTCTTCTAAGGCTTTTACCTGATGAGGGCAGGCCCACCTGGAGAAAATCTTTTAACTCACAATCAACTCCTTTGGGACTCTAACTGCTTCTGTAACATCCCTTCACCTTGGCATATGACATCCTGCCACCTGTGCCATATTCCATTGGTTAGAAGCAAGTCAGAGATTCCACTCACACTCAAGAGGATGGAATTACACAGGATGTGACTGACTGGGAGTCACCCTCAGGTGTGCATACCATGGTGGGCTAGTGTGGGAGACGGCTTTCCATACATGGAGAGATAGCACACCACGGTGGAAAAAGAAGACTTGCTGGACCTGGGTTCAAATGCTGGCTCCACAACTTAACAGATGTATTCAACTTTGGACAGCTATGTATTTAACTTTTAACCTCTCAGCTTCTGTTCAAGCAAAAGGAGGAAAAACTGAATACTCCACAGAGTCATTAGAAGAGTTAAACAGGCTGGGCGCGGTGGCTCACACCTGTAATCCCAGCACTTTGGGAGGCCAAGGAGGGGGGATTACTTGAGGTCAGGAGTTCGAGCCCAGCCTGGCCAACATGGTGAAACCCCGTTATCTACAAAATTACAAAAATTAGCAGGGCATGGTGGCATGCACCTGTAATCCCAGCTACTCAGGAGGCTGAAGCAAGATAATTGCTTGAACCTGGGAGGTGGAGGTTGCAGTGGGCCGAGATTGAGCCACTGCACTCCAGTCTAGGCAACAGAGTGAGACTCTGTCTCCAAAAAAAAAAAAAAAGAAAAAAAAAGAAAAAAAAAGAAAGAAAGAAAAGATTAAACAAAGGGAAATTGCATGTAAAATCAGCAGACATAATAGAGCAGGAATTGAAACTTTAGATCCTCTCTCTCTTCCCAGTCCTTCCTGGAGGAACTTAGAAATAAAAATGAAGATAATAATAACGTTGGGTAATGTGAAAATGCTTCCTAAAATATGGTGTATACTTAGTCCGTTCAATACCCCAGTGAGGAGTTTTCCCCACTCCAGCTGAATTCATCTCTGGCAAAGGATGAAGTCATCACTAGCACCTGCTGTTATGTCTCATAGCACCTCCTTCTAGATCTGCCACAGCCTGCCCATCAAGGAAGAGCCAAATGAACAAATTATATAGTACGACCAAATAATGGACTGAATGCAGTGATCACAACATCATTTTCAGTGTTTAATGACACAGGAAAATATACACAACATAATGATCATGAAAAAAAGACCCCAAATTGTCCTTTTAAGAGCTCAAGTGGTGGACTTGGACCACCTGGCCCCAAATCCACCTTCAGTATTTATGACTCTGTGCCTCAGTTTCCTCGATGAGTTGGGGATAATGATACGACCCACCTCATAATATTGTTGTGAGGATTAAACAAGGTAACACATATAAAAAACACCTAGCCCGGCCGGCACCATGGCTCATGCCTGCAATCCCAGCACTTTGGGAGGCCGAGGTGAGCTGATTGCTTGAGCCTAGGAGTTCAAGAGTAGCCTTAGCAACACGGCAAAACCGTGTCTCTACAAAAAATTAGACAGGCGTGGTGGCCTGCACCTGTAGCCCCAATTGTTAATACTTGGGAGGCTGAGCCAGGAAGATCGCTTGAGCCCAGGAAGTCAAGACTGCAGTGAGCAGAGATAGCACCACTGCACTCCAGCCTGGGTGGCAAAGTGAGACCCTGTCTCAAAAACAAACAACAAGAACAACAAAAAGCAAAACAAAACAAAACATAAACCACCTAGCCTAGTGGCTGTCACCTAAGGAGGTCAAAGTGCTATTATTTAGTTAAGTACCACTCTCATAACTTAAGAGGAAACGTTTAAAGTGTAGATTTTTTCACAAACAATGTTGAGAGCTGACGCTGGCTTCTCAGGGAATAAGGAAATCTGAAGAGGAAAAAGAGACAAAGTATTCAGAAGTCACGATACAGTAATTCTCTCTGCTTTCCAGAAGGCTCCACTTCACTCTGTACCCAAAAGCATTTAATTAACTTCTCCTTTTCCCCTTCCCATTTATTTCAGAAGGATCTTCATTTTTCTCTTTAAAAAAATGAGTGGCCGGCCATAGTGGCTCACGCCTGTAATCCCAACACTTTGGGAGGCCAAGGTGGGCGGAACACAAGGTCAGGAGTTCGATACCAGCCTGGCCACATGGTGAAACCTGTCTCTAGTAAAAATACAAAAGTTAGCCGGGCGCAGTAGCGGGAGCCTGTAATCCCAGCTACTTGGGAGGCTGAGGCAGGATAATTAATTGCTTGAACCCAGGAGGCGAAGGTTACAGTGAGCCGAGATCATGCCACTGCACTCCAGCCTGGGCGACAAAGTGAGACTCTGTCTCGAAAAATAAAATAAAATAAAATAAACAAAATAGAATAAAATAAAACAAATGAGCATGACACAGCTTTTTTCTGAAGCTTCAGGGCAACCCTTTGGGAGTAGTAAGTGGAAACTGCGGGTTACCGCCTCTCTGGTTATCAATCGGTCTTTCTAACTATCTAAAGTAAACTGGCCGGGCACAGTGGCTGGTGCCTGTAATCCCAGCACTTTGGGAGGCCAAGGCGGGTGGATCACTTGAGGTCAGGAGTTCGAGATCACCTTGGCCAACATGGAGAAACCCCGTCTCTACTAAAAATACAAAAATTAGCTGGGCGTGGTGGCGCGCGCCTGTAGCCCCAGCCACCTGGGAGGCTGAGGTAGGAGAATCATTTTAACCCGGGAGGAGGAGGCTGCAGTGAGCCAAGATTGCACCACTGCACTCCAGTCTGGGCCACAGACTGAAGACTTTTTAGACTCCGTCTCAAAAAAACCAAAACCAAACAAACAAATAAACAAACAAAACCTTTGCTTAAAGTAAACTAAAGAGAGCGGGCTCAGCAGAGGGAGGAGAGTGACTGCCCCAGGAAAAGGAAGAGCCGCGTCACTGCCCTTGCTGATTTAAACACAAGTCAGGTGAGGCGCGTTTTCTGCAGGAGGCTGAGAAGGGCTCTGCTCGCGATTTCCGCCCAGGAGCGCCGGGTGGCTGGAGCAGTGACCGCGTCCCAGCCCCCTTTCCGCTCCGCAGCCCCCGGGCTGCTGCCGGCGCTGGGCTGGAAGCCAGGCCCCTGCCGATCCCAGGAGTCGCCGCGGACGCCGCGAGCCCTGCCAGGGAATGAGCAGCGAGCCCAGGAAACCACTGAGCCAAAGTAGTAACAAAGAAGGCCAGCGTGCGCGGGCGGCGGCCGAGCCAGGCTTCCAGGGCCGCACGCTGGGCCCGGCGCGAGGCAGATGGCAGAGGGGAGGAAACAGATGGCTGTCCAGTGGCGCTGCACAGGAAGCGCCAGGGCTGGCAGGAAGACAGAAGGGCGGCCTTCGCTGCAACGGGAATTTAAATAAATACACCGGCCCACACAGGGAATCCCCTAGGATTCCAGGGTCCTGGCGTGCTTGCGGGGCCGGGGTCTCTAGGGCCCCTGCAGTGCCAGAAAACCTATGGGGCTCACACCGACCCCGAACCCCTCCTCTACCCACTTACGCCCTGGCTGCCTGCAGCCTGGAGGACTTTGGGCTGGTATTTCCATCCCTATCGCCTCACTCGGGCCAGTGATTCCCAGTCGGGCTGTAAGTGGTTATTTGAGGTGTCCTGGATGGGAATTCTTGCCGGTGATTACAAAAGCCTTAAGCTCTGCAGCCTGAATAGGTAAGGCCTTCCGCAAGAGTGGAACTTCCATTCTTCAAATATATGCAGATACTGTGGCCATCACTTAAATACAAGAGCATTTAAAAGCATTTTTGAATTTTCTAGTCTGTCTGTCACTGTTCCTTTTCTAAATCATCAGACACCAAAAATATGATTACAGCTTAAATACTATTACTATCACACTTGGCTCCTTGAAACTCTTGGATGATAAAGGGGCACTCATTAATTTCTAGATGTTAAAAAGTCTAGAGAATTGTTTTATGCCAGCCACCTAAGAAGGGCAAGAGACACTTCATTTCTCTCTCTGGAAAAGGTCAGTGCCAATTATCCTGAAGAAGTATTTACAGATTTGTACACCAGGATTCTCTACATGGAGGTTCATCACAGCCTCCTTTGTATGCAGGTAGAACTGGAAGCTCCCAGAGCCACAGTGTACCATGGTACACACAACCAGGGTACCTCCATGACTGGCTATGACAGCACTGTTAGAAACCAAACTGCAGACGAACAAAATGCACCACATACTAAACAAACAGCAAGAAAAGCATTTACAGCCAGGCATGGTGGGTCACACCTGTAATCCCAGCACTTTGGGAGGCCGAGGCAGGTGGATCACGAAGTCAGGAGATTAAGACCATCCTGGCTAACACGGTGAAACCCCGTCTCTACTAAAAATACAATAATTAGCTGGGCATGGTGGCACATATCTGTAGTCCCAGCTACTCGGGAGGCTAAGGCAGGGGAATCACTTGAACCCGGGAGGTGGAGGTTGCAGTGAGCCCGCGCCACTGCACTCCAGCCTGGGCAACAGAGTGAGACTCCACCTCAAAAAAAAAAAAAAAAGAAGAAGAAGAAAAAAAAAGAAAAGCATTTACAAAATATGTATAGAATCATCCTAGTTTTGTTTAAAGAAAAACACCACCAGCCGGGCAAGGTGGCTCCCGCCTGTAATCCTAGCACTTTGCGAGGCCAAGGCAGGTGGATCACCTGAGGTCAGGGGTTTGAGACCAGCCTGGCCAACATGGAGAAACCCCGTCTCTACTAAAAATACAAAAATTAGCCGGGTGTGGTGGCACATGGCTGTAATCCCAGCTACTTGGGAGGCTAAGGCAGGAAAATCGCTTGGTCCTGGGAGGCAGAGGTTGCAGTGAGCTGAAACCGCACCACTGCACTCCAACCTGGGCAACTGAGACTCTGTCTCAATTAAAAAAGAAAAACAAACCACCACCAAAATTATGTGTATCTACTATAAAATACTTTAGTTTTACTTTTTAATCTTGGGGAAGAGGGAGTGGGTGAGTCTATTTTCTTCTTGTGCTCCCCAAAGTTTCCACAATGAACAAGTATTACTTTTGTTAGGAATAAAGCCAATAACTTATTTTATTATATTTTATTTTTGCATTTGTTTGGTCACTGACAGTAGTTTCTTGTCAGGAATGGGCTGAGGTCAAAGAATCTTGGCAGTGAGGTTCTTTGCTGCTTTTTACTCTCCAACTTCCAGGAAGTAGGACATGGGTGTGCAGACTGCACTTGGGAACCAAACTAGACCCCCTCCTCGCCCTCCGCCATACACATCTAAAGCAGAACATAAAGGGATGGGCCCTTCTGGATGATGCTGGGCTATTCTGTGCTAACAGGTCTATTCACAGCTAGACCAGAGGCTGACATCCCCCACAGCTGAATTCCACTTGGCACCTAACCTGTGAATTCTCAAAGTGAAGCCTGGAATTGCCCAGGCCTCTTAGAGGGTCTCCAGGACCCGCTCTCCTGCCAAGAAACCTTAGTGTACTCCCCCCAGCACCCAGTCTGGGAAGGCTCCTTCAATCTTATTTCAGACAAAACATCCTTTTAGGATATAAAGTATTTTGCACTGTCAAAATTGCACTGTCAAAATTCCAGTTTGCATTACTATTCTGAAATGAATAAGATGTATATGTAATATAACCCTAATCCCTGTGACAACCAAAAAAAAAAAAAAACAAAAGGTTCCATAAAATTCCAAAATAACCCCTAGGGGGCGGTACAGCCCCTAGTTAAGAGTCACCTCATGAATGGTGAGTTGATATGATGCTTTGCTGATTTTTCTTAGACTAAGGACTATATATTCACCAAGATTTGGCAGACCCTGGAGTCTGGTCCCTGCATACCTCCAGTCTCATCCCCAATACTCCCACCCTGTTCTCTCCCCTCCAGCCCTAGAGATACTCCTCCCTCCACTAACAGCCAGGGTCCGTGCTCTTTCTTTTCTTTTTGGGGGGATGGGAGGACAGGGTCTTGTTCTGTCACCTAGGCTGTATGGAGTGCCGTGGCGATCACCACTCACTGCAGCCTAGACCTCCAAGAGATCCTCCCATCTCAACCTCCCGAGTAGCTGGGACTACAGGCACGTGCTACCACACCCATCTAATTTTTGTATTTTTTTGTAGAGACCGGGTTTCACCATGTTGCCCAGGATGGTCTCAAACTCCTGGGCTCAAGCCATCCGCCCGCCTCGGCCTCCCAAACTGCTGAGATTACAGGCATGAGCCACTGCGCCGGCCAACGCTCTTTCTTCTGCTTGTGATGCAATTTCCTCATGCTCACATCAGATGTCCCTTCCTCAGAAACACCCTTCCTAATCCCCAAAAGGTCACACTCCCTAGTATATGCTCTATACCACTGAGTACTTCTCCTTCATAATTTCGAACCTGTTTGTAATTACATATTCATAACCATTTTGATTAATGTTTATTTTCTCTATTTGAGTATAAAGAGGCAGGGGCTCATCTGTCTTCTTTCCACAGTTCCCTAGCACACAGTCGTGATCACCTACTAGTTAGCTGATCACAGTAGGTGATCAACAAATATTTGCCAAATAAATAAATGAACCTCCCAGAAGATATTTAGATTTCCATCATTGCCGCTTGTGAAATACATTCTGATTCTCTGTCCATGTTATGGTTATGTAAACGTCACAGTCTGTTTTTCTGCACAGGCAGAAAGAGTCTATCCTGTTAATAGCTGTATTTCACATAGCGTAAGATTAACAGCATAGCAGATGCTCAGTGGATAAGATGGCACCCATTTCTAAATGTCTGGGGTGGGAAGATTAAGATAATTACCCCAATTCTGGCTCATTTCTTGCTACATCTTTTTCCTTCCCAACCCTAACATACCACTTATCTCTAACTTAAACATATATTGAATAAAGGCACCAAAGGGGTAAATGAGCCACTCCCAACCTGAAAACTTACACTCATCTGTCAAGATGCAATTTAAATATCACCTTTGCCCTCTGATCCTCTTCCATAAGGTGGGCAACTATCAGAACGTTTACCTTCCTGAGCAGCCAATTTTGGTACTTGTTCATCCCCTCAGCTTGTCAGAGGCATCCTAACCAGAGTGACTCCATCTTGAATAAAGGCCGAGAGAAAGCCAAATCTGCTGGATTACATTCCCAGGGGGTTGGGCAGTCTTGGTCACATGATGTTTATGGTTGAGGGAATGAGTTAATAATTTTTTTTTTTTTTTGAGACAGAGTCTCACTTTGTTGCCAGGCTGGAGTGCAATGCTGCGATCTCGGCTCACCGCAACCTCTGCCTCCCGGGTTCAAGAGATTCCCCTGCCTCAGCCTCCCGAGTAGCTGGGACTACAGGCGTGTGCCACCACGCCTGGCTAATATTTTGTATTTTTAGTAGAGATGGGGTTTCACCATGTTAGCCAGGATGGTCTCGATCTCCTGACCTCGTGATCCGCCCACCTCAGCCTCCCAAAGTGCTGGGATTACAGGCGTGAGCCACCACACCCGGCCCGAGTTAATAATATTAACTAACTAAATAAAGACCCAGAACTTACGGAAATGTCCCAGTTCTTCAAGAAGAAAAAGTATTCTTAGTTTAAGAATAGGTTCTGCTTTTAAAATAATGGTACACTCATAAGTTCTTGCTAAAATCAATAATCACATAGGAAAGTAACAATATTAATAGCTTGTCACAAGCTGATCGCAAGCTTTTGTAATAAAGTACACTATTTTTAATAACCTATATAAGCAAGCATTGTATTTGCAATGGGTGCGTTCCTCCTCTTGCTTTCTGAAGAGTCTCTACTCTGTAATTGAGTGGCGTCTAGTAAACTACTTTGACTTCACTATACTCTACAACTTGCCCTGAAGTTTTTTCTGCACGAGATCCAAGAACTGTCTCTTGGGGTCTGGGACAAGACCCCTCTTCCCATGACAAGCTGAACCACAGATTACTTGAGGGCAAGAACTTTGTCACAGTCATCTGATTCTGCACAAATGGAGATGAATGTGGCAGTTATAAATGTCTGCTGAATGAACAAATAGATAGGACGTGTTGGTAGGGCCACAAGCCCCATCCTGGGGTCTCCTTAATCCCACAGCAAGGATATCTAGACCCCTTCAGACCCCAGGGCATCCCTTTCAGCTCAGACCCTTCAGGCACTCAGGGGATGCCTTTCAGCCCAGCTTTTGTGACTCCTGCAGGGGACACTCCTTCTTCTAGGAGTGGATGTGGTGGGAACACCACAGGGATTTCCTGAAGTGTAGCTGTAGCCTCCCCACACCCAGTGGCTGCATGCAGAGCACCTTGCCCCCTCACACTCATCCACAGGTCTACTTACATAATTACATACCAACCAGTTACTTATTTAAAGTATAAATCTCGGTGGTTTTTAATATATTCACAGAGTTGTGCAACATCACCATCACCAATTTTGTTGTTGTTGTTGTTGTTTTTGTGACGGAGTCTCGCTGTGTCACCCAGGTTAGAGTACAGTCACGCAATCTCAGCTCACTGCAACCTCTGCCTCCTGGATTCAAGCAATTCTCCTGCCTCAGCTTCCCCAGTAGCTGGGATTACAGGCACCTGCCACCACATCCAGCTAATTTTTGTATTTTTTAGTAGAGACAGGGCTTCACCATATTGGCCAGGCTGGTCTCGAACTCCTGACCTCAGGTGATCCACCCACCTCAGCCTCCCAAAGTGCTGGGATTACAGGCATGACCCACCGCACCTGGCACCATCACCAATTTTTTGAACATTTTCATCACCCCCTAAAGAAACCCCATACCCCTTACAGCAGTCACGTCCCATTTCCTTTCAACCCCTGCTCCCTGACCTAGGCAACCACTAATCTATTTTTGTGTCTACGCATTTGCCTATTCTGGACATTTCATATAAATGGAATCATATAATGTGGTCTTTTGTGGTTGGCTTTTTTTCACAGCTTAGTGTTTTCATGGTTATCTATATGGTTACACGCATCAGTACTTCATTCTCCCTTTTTATGACTGAATAATATTCAATTGTATGAATGTAGCACTTAGTTTTAGTTGCTGTTTATACATTCATCATTTGATGGGCAACTGTGTTGTTTTCATTTTCTGGTTATTATGAATAATGCTGTTATGAACACATATGAATGTGTAAGTCTTCATGTGGACATCTGTTTTCATTTTCTTGGGTAGAGCTGGGAGTAGAATTGCTGGGTCACATGGTAACTTTTGAGAAACTGCACAGTTTCCCAAAGTGGCTGTACCATTTTGCATTCTCATCAGCACTGTATCAGAGTTCCAATTTCTTCACATCCTCCACATCTTCATCACTTGTTGTTTTCTATTGTTGTCATCTCCGTGGGTGTGAAGTGTTATCTCACTGTGGCTTTTATATCCCTAGAACTATTAACAAGCAACAACTCTGCCAGAGTTATGAGTTTTGGAGATCAGGCCATTAGGCCTGGATCGGTTCCACCACTACTGCTAAGAGCTGTGTGACTTTAGTGTCTCTTTAACTCTTTAGCCCGTTTCCTTATCTATCAAACATGTTACTTCACTGGATTCTTAGAAACATTTAATGAGATTATACACACATGGTATATAGTATGTAATTACTAGAACAATAATAGGGCTAAAAAAAAATAGCTATTAAAAAAAAGAGTCTCATGCAGGCGCAGTGGCTCACCTGTAATCCCAGCACTTGGGGAGGCCGAGGTGGACAGATCCCTTGAATCTCTAAGTTCAAGACCAGTCTGGGCAACATAGCAAAACCCCGTCTGTATCAAAAAATACAAAATTTAGCTGGGCATCGTGGTGGGTGCCTATAGTCCCAGCTACTCGGGAGGCTGAGGTGGGACAATCGCCGAGCCCAGGAGGTTAAGGCTGCAGTAAGCCATGATAACACCACTGTCCTCCAGCCTGGGTGACAGAGCAAGACCCTCTCTGTCTCGCTCAAAAAAAAAAAAGTCATTTAGCCGAGCGCGGCAGCTCACACCTGTAATACCAGCGCTTTGGGAGGCAGAGGCGGGGGCGGATCATGAGGTCAAGAGATCAAGACCATCCTGGCCAACATGGTGAAACCCCATCTCTACTAAAAATACAAAAATTAGCTGGGTGTGGTGGCACGTGCCTGTAGTCCCAGCTACTCGTGAGGCTGAGACAGGAGATTTGATTGAACTCGGGAGGCAGAGGTTGCAGTGAGCTGAGATCGTTCCACTGCACTCCAGCCTGGTGACAGAGCAAGACTCCCTCTCAAGAAAGAAAGAAAAAAAAGAGTGCTTTAAAGTCAAAAGTCAAAACCTGTGACTGTGTCTCTACTCCAAAAAGGAAGACCAAAGAAACTGAATTATCATGGCCAGAGGATTATAAAAATTACACATGTATAAATGACATGTCAAGTACACACATTCACTCAGAAACTCATTTTCTAGTAATGGTGGACCCAGAAGAGGCCAAGACAAGGGAAGTCATTCTCCAGTGGAACAGCCTTTGCAATGATTTCTTAAGACAACGTGTTGGCAGATCTATTGATCAGATCATGATGAAAACATTTCATGAGAAGCTGAGGACAAAAGGGTCAACCTGTTCAGTATGAAACTGAGAAACTGATGGTCAAAATGAGAGACCCATAGAAAGAAAGCCCCAATGGGTGGCATTAATTTAGCTGCTTCTGCCCTTCCCCAATGTTAAAACTTGGCTAAACAAGCATTTTCCAGCAAAGAAGACAAATGAACCTCAAATGCCCAAGCAGAGTCTTAGAAAAGAGGAGAAGTGGGAAAATAGGGAGGAGTTAGATAAGAGGCCCAAGTAGATAGCCCTAACTAGGACTAATACAGCCATCCTGCAAGGGCAACTTTGCTCCCAGAGGGTCTGATCAAACAAGCCTGCAGCAGTGATGGGGAATCCTCCAGGGCAGGTGTAAGACTCCTCAGCATGGTTTTAAGAGGAGCACATAGAGAATAAGCAACCAGATAAAGAAATTATTCAAGTCTTTGTTCTCTTTTTTGGAACAACAGGCCCCACTCTTGCCACTTGCAAATTGGCCCAAGGACCACAGGCCAGAGGCTAGCTGAGGAGCTTAAGATGAGATGGAGATTTCTCATCTCCCAGTATCTTTATTCATCAAAATCATGGACCACATGAAGGCTTCTCATCTCCATTACCTTTTCTTTGTACCTTTTTTTTTTTTTTTTTTTGAGACAGGCCTCCCTCCGTCACGCAGACTAGTGCAGTGGCACAGTTCACTGACCTTCTCAGTTCAATCAATCCTCTCACCTCAGCCTCCCAAGTAACTGGGACTAGAGGCCCATGCCAACCACACAAGGTTTTAAAATTTTTTTTGTAGAGATGGGGTCTCGCTATGTTGCCGAGGTTTCATCTCCATTATGTTTGTGTACCAAACTCATAGACCAACAAGAAGACTTTTCATCCCACAATATCTTTGTCCAGCAAACTCAGGGGCCAAGATGGAGGCTTCTGATCCCATTCTCTGTCTACCAAACTCATCCCTTCCAATGCTCAGGTAGGATATGTCTCACCCCAGCCCATCTTTTAAGGATGGTGAGATGGGCTGGTCTCTTCTATTTGGCTGATCAAATCTCTTAGCCTGGGCCAAAAAATGCCCTGCTCAAACCCAACAATGCTCAGCACCAGATTTTTTTGTACGTTGCTGAAATGGCTCTTCCTAGTTTTTGGTCTATCTAGACACCGTTCTTAGGGAGGCAGGAACTCAGCGCCCCTTCTCTTTAGGTCTGGCCCAAGCAAGACATGAGGGCCACCTCATGCACACTCAGTGTCTGGAATGGCAGTGCTATAGATGCACAGACGTCCTGTGCCCAACCCCCTGGGGCCAGGCCACCTTAGCAGGCCCCAGCTTCTGGGTGTGTGACCTTGTCCAGCCCCACACTCCTTTCCCCACACCTCTTTTTGAAACTTACCGCTCCCCTCCCCACCGTTCTTGGTGCAAACATTACAATGGTGGAGACTCACAAACAGCCCAACCCAGTTTCAAAACACATCATACAAACGGAAAAGTTGTTTCAGATTACAAACTTTTAAAGAAGAAAAAAACGGGAGGGGAGAAAAGAAAAGAGTGGGGAACAAGAGAATCGGCCAGGCAACGTCTGCCCTGGTAGGAGGCCCTTGTGCTGAGTTGGTCACAATCCAAGCCCAGACACTCATCCTGCCTGGCTCCACGGGTGACTCCCATTCAACAGTCTGGCTCCCCTACATGAGTACCAGCCCCTGACAACAGGCCTTTCCCAACTGACCCCCTGCCCTCCAGAGCCCCCTGAGACCCGGGCCCTCCCTCGGAACTTGAGGGCGCAGGGGACCAGGACGGCCGTCTCAACGGTCCCAGTTCTTTTTCCCCACTATGGAACACAAGACCCTCTGACCTCCTCCTTCGAGCGAAACTGCACACAGAGCAGGGAAGCCCTGCCGCGCTGGGTTCGGAGGAAAGAGGAGGCCGTGGACGGGGAAGAGGTCGGGTTTCGCTCCCTCAGCGCCGCCGCCTGGGCGACTCTTCCACCCCCGGCTCGGGTTCGAAGCGGCGCGGCCCAGAGAAGAGGAAGAAAGACGAAAAGGAACTTTGCCCGTGGTTTCAGTCAGTAGGCGGGTCAGGCTTCGCAGGGGGGTGGCCGGAGAAACTTGCGACCCTGGCGACCTGGGTCCGCGGGAGCAAGGGCCGGGGCGGCTCTGGGGACTGAGCTCCAGCGCGGGGGCTGCGGCAGCAACTTTCCCGGAGGAAGCCTGCCGCGAACTTTAGCGACGCGGTGCCCCGCCCGCTGCGCGATGCTCCCTGGGCTCCGGCCGGGTCCAGACGCCCGGCGCGTCCGCTCCCGGACCCCTGCTTTCCCGGGACGCCCTGTAGAACCTCGGCCTCGCGCCCCGCGCTCACTTACCATTTGCGCCACTTTCAGCAGGGCCGCGTGGGTGCGGGGGTAGCTGAGGTCCAGCAGCCCCTCCAAGGGGCTCGCGCTGGGCTGGGCCGCGCCGGCCCCGGGTCCGAGCGCGCTGCCGCTGCTGCACGTGGTGCGGACGAGCCCGGCTCCGTGCGACATTGCGCGGCCCCAGCTCGCTGGCCGCCTCCCCGGGCAGCTGCCCAGGGGCCAGATACAGAGGGCGGGCCGGGGGCGGGCGGGGGCGGGCGCTGGCGAGGGCGGGGCGCCCGGGTCCCTGCCCCGCTGCTGGAGACGCGGAGCCGCCTCTGGCGGGATCCCTCCGGTGACTGGCCGGCCGGCGCCTTCCAGAAAGGTAGCGGCAGTCCCGGCCCTCGTAGATGCGCGGAAGTTAGACTGGAGCGAGAGGAAACCGGATGCCTTGGGTCGTGGCCTCTCCGAGGTGGGCAAGGCCCGGACCACAGCTGGTACTGAGCCTCCTGGGATTTTGTGTGGGTGCGGCTGCGGATGTGTGCTGAGAGCACTTTACTGAAGTTTAACTTACATAAAGTGTGATGCCCAGACCTTACGTGTTCAGCTCCACTAATTTTTATATATGTGTACACCTGTGTAACCGTCGCCCAGATCAACAAATAGAACGTGCCCATCACCCCAGAAAGTTCCGTGGTGGGCCTTCCTGACCTACCTTCCTTCCCTGGCCCCATCCTTATCCAGCCTCAGGCAACCACTACAGTGTATTCTGCTTTCTGTCACTGTAGGTTCATTTTGCCTGTTCTTGGACTTCATAAACTTGAAGTAATACAGAATATTCTCCTTCAACATAACAAATTAGAAGATCCATCCTGTTGGGAATATAAGTAGTTCATATCAGTTCCTTCCTTTTTATTGCTGAGTAGTACTCCACTGTGCAAAGATACCGTATTTTTTAAACGTTTACCCAGTTGATGGACACCAAGCTTGCTTCCTTCCTACCTGCTTGCCTGCCTCCTTCCCTCCTTCCGGCCTTTCCCCCCTCCCTCATCTCTTTTCTGGCTATAGTCACTATTATGGTACACGTTTTTTTGGTGGATACAAACTCTCATTTCTCTGGGACAAATATCTGCAAGTGAACGCACTGGTTACAAGGGGAGCATATGTTTGCTTCTGTTAGAAGCTGTCAGCCTGGGGAACATGGCCAGACCTCATTTCTACAAAAAACAAAAAATAAAAATAAATTAGCTGGGCCGGGCGCGGTGGCTCACGCCTGTAATTCCAGCACTTTGGGAGGCCGAGGCGGGCGGATCACGAGGTCAGGAGATCGAGACCATTCTGGCTAACACGGTGAAACCCCGTCTCTACTAAAAATACAAAAAATTAGCTGGGCGTGGTGGCGGGCGCCTGCAGTCACAGCTACTCGGGATGCTGAGAATGGCGTGAACCCGGGAGGCGGAGCTTGCAGTGAGCAGAGCTTGCGCCACTGCATTCGAGCCTGGGCGACAGAGCGAGACTCTGTCTCAAAATAAAAATAAAAATAAAAATAAATAAATAAATAAATTAGCTGGGTGCAGTGGCACATGCCTGTTCAGGAGGCTGAGTCTGGAGGAGCCTTGGAGCCCAGGAGGTTGAGGCTGCAGTGAGCCATGACAGTGGCATTGCACTCCAGCCTGGGCCACAGAGCAAGACCTTGTCTCAATTAAAAAAAAAAAAAAAGACAAGAAAAAGAAAAAGCTGTCAAACAGCTATCCAAGTGACATTCTATTCTGTATCCCTTTTGGGTTGTTTTAAAAATGAAGAGGCCAGGCGTGGTGGCTCACACCTATAATCCCAGCACTTTGGGAAGTCAAGGCATGAAGATCCCTGGAGGCCAGGAGTCCGAGATTGCAGTGAGCTATGATCTTGCCACCGCACTCTTGTCTGGGTGACAGAGTGAGACACTGTCTCTTAAAAAAAGAAAAAGAAAAAGAAAAGGAAAAAAACATAAAAATGAAGACAGGCCCAAACGGGACTACCAAAACGAGGTATGTTATCATGTTCCTTTTGAGCAGTGTCCCTGTGGCCATACTTACATTTATTCATTTGGAGATAACATCAAAAAATCTGGCTGGGCACGGTGGCTCATGTCTGTAATCCCAAAATCAAGCTCACAAGCCCAAGTTTGACACCAGCAAGGGCAACATGGAGAAACCCCATCTCTACAAAAAAATACAAAAATTAACTGGGCATGGTGGCACATGCCTGTAGTCCCAGCTACTCAGGAGGCTGAGGTGGGAGGATTGCTTGAGCCCGGGAGGTTGAAGCTGCAGTGAGTCATGATTACAACACTGTACTCCAGGCTGGGTGACAGAGCAAGACCCTGCCTCAAGAACAAAACAAAGCAAAGTGAAACATAAAACTATCTTTGTGAGTTTATTCCCTGCCAGTGCTGTCTTGTCATCAGAAGAGTTTTCGATGTGGCAAAGTCCTAATAATTCTTGTTGGTGGATGATACCCATGCAATATCTGTTTTGGCAAGTCTCTTAGGTGATTCTGATGCACACTCAAATTTGAGAACCACTGTCATTGCCAGAGTCCACTGCAGTTGAAACATTTGGGGATTTATTACACTATTTATTTCACCTTTATGTACATTTGACAATTTTCATGACCAAGAAAAATTGCCTTCCACGTGTGTCTTCTCTGTAGACAACAGTCACAGCTGCCTGGTACCTCCATTTGTTTCTCTGTAATTCAGGAATAATTGCATCTAGGGGCTGCTGTGACAATGTGATAGATATGCAGGTGTGCTGTGACATTTCTGGCTCTATACCCACAGGCATGAAGTTAGTACTGTGTATCATTTTTTTATGTAGATGTACATTTCACTTCTGTACTTGTCTAAGGCTTCAGGACCCACAGTGGAGATAACAGGGCATCTTTGTTGAGATGAGGGTTTCAGGGAAGCAGAAAAACCAAGTGCTGGATCATTTCTCCTTTGAGGGGCCTTTGTCCAATTCAGCAGTCTTCTAACAGTGATTTTCAGTGTATAGCCCCCCAACCAGCAGTACCTGCGAACTTGTGAGAAATGCAGATTCTAGGGGCCCACTCTGACCTGCTGAATCAGAAACTCTAGGGGTAGGGCTCAGCAGTGTGTGTCTTAACAAGTCTTCCCAACCCCACCCTCACTCCCCACCCCCCTTCACCATCATTCTGTGATTCTGATGCATACTCAAGTTTGAGAACAACTATCTCTTCCTGAGTCTGCTCAGAAACATTGCTGGGCTTTTCTGCCTGGTGTTGACTAATGCACCACCCACCTCTAATCAGAAGTAATCACTGTGCTGGGCACTCTGTGTTAATCACTTTATTATGATCACTTAAGAGCTTGAGCAAGATGCTTGCCAGTGCAAGGGCCATTGCTGGCCTGACTTACAAGAAGAGGCTTCAGAGGCTTGCCAAGTGCACTGAGATGTCTACACTAGTGTGTTGTCTGCTAGATGTGAATAGCTGCCCCTTGGGAAAGCAAGGTCTTAGGCAAAGGGCTTCATAGCCCACTTTAAAGATGTCACACTCTAAGAGGGAACCAACCAGGTAGGTGACCTCTGAATACCTGGTGAGAAATCAAGATGTCCAAGTTCTCCTTTTCTCTACACCGAGGGATTGCAGGTGGCTTATTGACAGTTTAAAGCTTCAATTCGAGTGGTACTCTGACTATAACTCTTCTTCACCAGTGTGTTTATGATGTTATATCTGATCAGATATAATGAAAAAAGTAATAAAATTAGAGTTGACTCTGTATTAGTCACAGTGCTTTTGATGAGACAAACTAAAATCAAGCAAAAAGAAGAGTTCATTCAAGCTGGGAGCAGTGGTGCATGCCTGTAGTCCCAGCTACTCAGGAGACTGGGGTAGGAAGATTTCTTGAGCCCTGAAGTTCCAGGCCAGCCTGGGCAACATAGCAAGACCCTGTCTTTAAAAACAAAACAAAACAAAAAACAAAATAGGCTTGGCACGGTGGCTCATGCCTATAATCCCAATATTTTGGAAGGCCGAGGCAGGAGGATCATTTGAGGCCAGGATTTTGTGACCAGCCTGGGCAGCATAGTGAGACCCCCATCTCTACAAAAAATGAAAAAATTGGCCAGATGTGTAGTCCAAGCAACTTAAGAAGCTGAGCGGGGGGAAGATCACTTGAGCCCAAGAGTTCAATGTTACAGTGAGCCATAATCGTGCCACTACACTCCAGCCTGGGCAACAGAGTGAGACCTTGTCTCAAAAACAAACAAACAAACTAATAAAAAGCAAAACAAAATAATTCATTGGCTTGAGTAA
Source organism: Homo sapiens (assembly GCF_000001405.40). NCBI lineage: Eukaryota > Metazoa > Chordata > Mammalia > Primates > Hominidae > Homo > Homo sapiens. The sequence continues at coordinate 32,387,781 of NC_000003.12, read as the reverse complement.
CTGTGATATGCAGAGGTATACACCCACTTCAGGCATGGCTGGATCCAGGTGCTCCTCAGGCACAGTCAGGACCTCCATCTCCTGGCTTCACTCTGCTCTGTGTTGGCTTTTCAGGCAGGCCCTCTCATGAGCTCTGACAGCTCAGGCTTACACAATAATCCTGCCTTCGTTATTTCAGCCTGTCTTTTCCAGTGGCTCTGGTACTGTCTTAGGCTGCCATAACAAAATATCACATACTGGGTGGCTTCTCAACAAGAATTCACTTCTCACAATTCTGGAGACTAGAAGTTCAAAATCCAGTTGCCATCAGGGCTGGTTTCTGGTGAGGCCTCTCTTCATGACTTTAGATGGCCACCTTCTTGCTGTGTCCACACATGGCCTTTTCTCTGTGTACATGGAAAGAGAGAGAGAGATCTCTGGTGTCTCTTCCTAAAGGGACACCAGTCCTATTGGATTCTGGCCCCACTCTTATGACCTCATTTAACCATATTATCTCCCCAAAGAGTCCATCTCCAAATACAGTCACACTTGGGGGTAAGGCTGCCACCTATGTATTTGGGGCAGGGAGGACACACAATTCAGTCCATAATAGGCACTATCTCTCATTAGTCCAAATATGGGTCATGGTTCCATCTTTCAACGAATTACTATGGCCAGAGGAGTGGAACATTTTTGGTGGCCAGGTCAAGTTCTACCTACCCATGAAGCTGGGGGTGGGATAGGTTCAGCCCAGTAGAACCACAGGAGCTGAGTGAGGAAGGGGTGGTTCCCAAAAGGAAAACCAGGGTGCGAGTATCAGAAAGCGGAGTGAATATTAGGCAGTGTTATGCACTGAATGTTTGTGTCCCCCCATCATTTAAAAGTTGAAGACTTAACGCCCAATGTGATGACATTTGGAGATGGGGCCTGTGGGCAATAGTTAGACTTAGGTGAGATCATGAGGGTGGGGCCCTCAGGGGGGGATTGGTGTCCTTATAAAAAAGACACCAGAGAACCTGCTGGCATTCTCTCCACCATGTGAGAATACAACGAGAAGGTAGCTTTCTGCAAGCTAGGAAGAGAGCCCTCAACAGGAACCAAATCGATCAGCACCTTGATCTTGTACTCCCCAGACTCTAGAACTCTGAGAAAATAAATTTCTGGTGTTTAAGCCACCTGGCCATGGCATTTTGTTAGGAAGTCTGAGCTATGCCAGGCAGACAAAGGCATCAGGTGTCCATGAAACTCTTCCAATATCAGCCTTTAAAATCCTTTTCCAGTGAATTTCTTTATTTGTTTGTTTATTTATTTATTTATTTATTTATTTATTTATTTATTTTTGAGATGGAGTCTCACTCTGTCGCCCAAGCTGGAGTGCAGTGGCGCGATCTCGCCTCACTGCAAGCTCCGCCTCCTGGGTTCATGCCATTCTCCTGCCTCAGCCTCCTGAGTAGCTGGGACTACAGGCACCCGACACCATGCCCAGCTAATTTTTTGAATTTTTAGTAGAGACGGGGTTTCACCGTGTTAGCCAGGATGGTCTCAATCTCCTGACCTTGTGATCCGTCCGCCTCGGCCTCCCAAAGTGCTGGGATTACAGGTGTGAGCCACCGCGCCTGGCCTCCAGTGAATTTTTAAAAAGTTTATTAGGTTCCGTAAACCAGTCAAACTCTCAGGTCCTTCTGAGAATCACCAATCAGCTGCCTTATATCCATTGGAAATTTATTGCATCAGGCTGGCTCCTGAGCCAAGGGCAGCCCATCAGTGGGTTGGCCAGTAGTGTTTGGAGTGGCCTTATAAGGGAACTTTGCCTAGTAAGAGTGGGAGCTCCACTGATGATCCTCTGTCCTGCGGAGTTTGAATGTGAGGCATTGAGAGGGGTTTAGCAATTGGGACATAGAGAGAAGGTGGAAGCCAGGAGGCTGGTTGGGCCATGAGAGGAAATAAGGAGAGGCAGAGCAGAAGAGAGTGGCTGAGGCCCAGCAGAGGGAGAGCGGCATGTACTCACCACAGCGGGGCCAGCCAGGATACCTGGTCTTTAGCGCCAGGTGGGACCCTGAAACCTTTGTCTTTGTGCTGCCTGGCTGTGTGGCTGAGAGGCAGGACTCTGGAACCAAACTGCCTGGGTTTGGCCCTTAGTTCCATCACTTGCTAGATGTGCAACCTTGGGCAAGCCTCTCTCAGCCTCCATTTCCTTCTCTGTAAAGAGGAACAACAATAGAAATGACCCCTCAGGGTAACTGCGAGATCTAAATGGGATAAGACATATGGAAACGGTCTAGAGTAGCATCTGGCTCATAGTAGTAAATGTTACCTATTTTATCATTTTTCCTAAGTCCTTATGTATCGAACAATGAGGCTTCATTATCTGAGGGCTGAGGGACTCCTGTACGTTGCCATTTCCATAACCATAAGCATCAAAGACCATCTTCAAGGGTGAAATAAAAGATTTCTTGGATTTAGGTAATCCAAGGAATTTTGAGAGCTGCTGGGGAAAAGTTTTACTGAGAGAGGAAGGGAGGAGAGGAGGATTCACCTTGTTATTTGCTCACAACCCTCACTCAGCAAATGTTACGGAGAGCCTTCCACATGCCTGACTGAACACTTCCCAGAAGAGGAACTCCCTCCCCCAGGGAGTTTGTAACCATAGCAACACAGGGAAATAGAGTCAGATAACCGAGGAGGCTGTGGTCGTCATCTCTGTCATCTCTGTTGGGAGGAGTCGAGGTCTGGGTTAGACGGCTCCCTGTTTGTGTCCAGTATTTAGCAGAGTGCCTGGCCCAAAGTAGTACTCAGTTTATATTTGTGGGATTAATGCAGAGCTGTAGCATCCCTGTAAGGGATGGCCCAAAGCTGGGAGTAACCAGCTTGTCTTGAACTGGGAGGAGAAAGTTTCAAAAAAGAATATGTGCTTGGAACTAGGTCTTGAAGGGCGATTAAAAATTTATGGGGTGGGCAAAAGAGGGAATGACATATGTCAAGAAAGGAGGCATGAAACCGCACCACGGATTCCAGGAATTCCCAGTCCTTTGGCGTGGCTGGAGTGTGGGGACTTGGGGAAAAGGGCTGGGGACCTTGGCTGGAGAGATACCACAGGACTGTGGATGCCCACCTTAGGATTTGTGCTTTATGTAGACAATGAACACTGTGAGGATCAAAGGGGTTAAGATATGTCAAATGCTGAGAACTGTTGCTGACAGTAAGATGATGAGTATGATGATGATAATGAGATCTCTTTTTTATCTTTCCTTAGCCCATGCTGTCATTTGCAATCACCTGTGAAACCTATGAAAACTATACCTGCCCAGGCTCAGCCTTGGAGATTCTGATTCAGTGTGCTCAGGCGGGGCTGGACATCCATGTTTGGGAAGAGTTGCGCGGGTGATTTCGATGCGTATATGACCCTGGTTGAAAACTGCTAACCTGGCAAATGCCCGCCAGTCTCACAAAGTCCAGCCAAAATGTTACGGCCTCTGAGAAGCCTTCTGTGAGTGATGAGCAATCCCCATGGCAATATTTATTGAGCACTGACAAAGTGCCAGGACCTGTGTCAGGCACAGGAGTACATGTTCTTTGCCCAGACTGAGAAAACAGGCAATATGTATGAAAAATGCTAATGATAGAATAAAAGTGGGGTACTATGGGAGCCCATGGGGAGATACCTTACCCTGTCAGGGATGTGATGGGGAAGTCAGGGAAGGCTTCCTGGAGGAGGGGCCATCTTAGCTGCATACTGAAGGATAAAGAGGTGTTAACCAGCCTTGGGTGGGTGGAGAAGAGAGTTCCAGGTAAGTACTCGGGCATGACAGATTAGAGGGGATGAAGTTCATGCAGGCTTAAGCATGAGGTCCAAAGAAGTGGGAGATGCTACATGAGGCTAGATAGGTGGCAAGACAATATGGCAAATGTGGGTGAGTTACCTGACTCCTGTATGTGCACCCAGCCCTTTGCCCACACTGGAAGTGTGTGACATATCTCACTTTAGTTGACTCTTTTGAGACTGGGAGCTCATAGAAAGAAGTCATGTGTGGAAACTCGGCAGTCAGGGTCATGCTGCCTTGGGTTTAAATCCTAAATCTGCCACCTACCAGCTCTGTGAAGCTGGGAAATTTCTAAACCCAGATGGGACAGATGGGTCAACCTTTCCCATCTGTCCCAATGGGAATGAAAACTCATACCAATGTTTGCTAATCCAATTATTTTCTGCTGCATATCAAAGCAACCCAAAGGTTTGTGGCTTAAAATAATCTATTGTTATCTCTCATGGCTCTGTGATTTGACTGGGCTCAGCTGGTTGGTTCTCATTTGGAGTCTCATGCTGTTGTAGTCAGAATGCAGCTGGGGATACAGTCATCTGAAGGCTCAGCTGGGTTGGACATCCAAGATGGCTCTCACATGGCTGACAGCTGATGCTGGCAGTTGGCTGGGAGCTCAGTGAGGGCTGTCACTGGAATGCCCACATACAGCCTCTCCACACGGCTTGGGCTTCTCAGAACATGATAGCTGGGTTCTGAGAGGAAGCATTGCAGAATAGGTATTCCAGGAAGCAAGAAGAAGCTGCCAAGACAGATAAGGACTACGCCTGGAACTGAACATCTTTACTCCCTCTGTATGCTACTAGTCAGGGCCTGCCCACATTGAAGGGGATGCTGAAATAAACTCCACCACTGGATTAGGAAGGTGCATGATGATATTGTTGTGATCATCTTTGGAAAATACAATCTGTAAAGCCTTCTGTGAGGATTCAATAAATTAAGGCATGGAAAGTCCTCAGCACAGTGCCTGGCACATACTAAGTCTTCTAAAGTGTGCAGGCTCTTCTTGGCCTTCATCCTGACATCCTCAGCACCAATCACAATGCCTGGTATGCAGTAGTGGAGCTTTATAATTTTTAAATTAGACAGGGGGAGACCTGTTTACTACTTCGTTATGCTTAATTGCTATGCAGCCCACAAATAATTGTGACTGTCATTAAACAGGGAAGATCAACTTCACTCTTCTATTAAATTCTTACTCTAAACATGAAAGCTCAGTCTGCATTATCTGTTGAGCAAGCAGAATAACCGTCTACTTAAAAGTGGGGAACAGGCTGGGTGTGGTGGCTTATGCCTGTAGTCCCAGCACTTTGGGAGGCCCAGGCAGGTGAATCACCTGAGGTCAGGAGTTCGAGACCAGCCTGGCCAACATGGCGAAACCCCACCTCTACTAACAATAAAAAATTAGCTGGGCGTGGTGGTGTGCACCTGTAATCTCAGGTACTCGGGAGGCTGAGACAGGAGAATTGCTTGAACCCGGGAGGCGGAGGTTGCAGTGAGCCGAGATCGCGCCACTGCACTCCAGCTTAGGTGACAGAGCAAGACTCTACCTCAAAAAAAAAAAAAAAAAAAAAAAAAAAAAGAGGGGGGGAATACATTAGAGGAAACATCTGGGAATTCAAGAAAAAAAGTGGAAAGAGCACTGGATTCAGATTTAGAAGACCTGGATTGGAATTTAGGGGCCTCAGAGCCATTCTGCACATCAGTCTCCACATCTGCAAAATGGGGTTCACATAGCTTACCTCATTGGGCTAAGGACTAAATGAAATTATACTTATTCAGGTATTTGGTTCCTGTTAGTGGCCTCTGAAATAGGCTGGGATGAAAGTGGTTGGGCTTGGCATGTTGGGAGCATTGGCAGACAAGTGCAAACAGCACTTTGAGCAAGAATCTAGCAAAACAAAACAAACCAAAACAAAACACCCCTCTGGGTTGCCCTTGGCTTAGTCCCACCCTCTTTTGCGTCGCCCTCGCCCAGCTTACGTGCATTGTCCGATATCCCGTCAGGTTCCCAAAACAGAGCTCTGTGCACAGTTGCGGGTGGACAATAAAATTTGCTAACAATTATTTCCTGGCTGTGGCCACTTGTACTTAGTTCCAGCCGGCAAGAGATAATTTGGTGCTGAATTGCACAGGTGGTCCCTGCATTACCCCATCTCCCCACAATGTATCTCTAGAAAAACCACCATAAAGTTGACTGTCAACCAGCACTGATGTTTGTGTGCTTCAACATGATTGACAAAAAGAGAAGGTTTGACATTGGCCAGTGAGGGAATGGTGACATTTGATGGATCAGGCAGTGAAGCTTTAGACAGTCGACTCTCATTTTCTGATAACTTCCTGTGTGATTATTTGCCATATCTCCCCAGGTAGACAGACTGTGGCCTCCCTGTGGACATTCCGCTTTGTGAGTGCTCTCTATTGGTTATAACTTGCAGGTGGGTTGCTTCCTCATGCTTTTGGCTGTACCCGTAGAAAGGATGGGACAAGGGGAGGAGCCCCTAATTCCTTAAGCAGTGAGAAGGTCTGCGTTAAGGCCAGTTTGGCTTTTCTCGACCTCTGGAATAAGCAAATGGGACTCCAGTTGCTGGTCTGCCTGCAAGTGACATTGTCCGGACCTCAGTGATTGCATTTGTGAAATGTTCACCCAGAAATGGGTTTGAAATGTTGAGAAAGGCCATCGAACACCACACAAGTGTGGGGCATCATTAGTCTTTGTGCTAATGCTTTCTGCCAGAACTGGTACTTCTTTATGAAGCTACCAGCAGAGAAAGGAGAGAAAAAAGTGGAGACAGAGAGACAGGGAGACAGACAGAGACAGAGGGAAAATACATTTATCTGGGGAGAAAAAAGCATTGCCATTTGTTATGGGCTGTATTATGCCTCCCCTGGCCCCCCACCAAATTCATATGCTGAAGTCCAAACCTTCAGTACCTCGGAATATGACTGTATTTGGGGACAGGGCCTTTAAATAGGTAATTAAGTTAGAATGAGGTTGGTAAGGTGTGCCCTAATTCAATATGACTGGTGTCTTTGTAAGAAGAGGAGATTAGGAACAGGCGACACAGTGAGAAGGTGACTAAGTGAGGACACAGTGAGACGGTGGCCATCTACAAGCCAAAGAGCGAGGCCTCAGAAGAAACTCAATCCGCCGACACCTTGATCTTGGGCTTCTAGTCAGAAGTGTGAGAAAATAGATTTCTGTTGATTAAGCCACCCAGTCTGTGGTATTGTGTTATGGCAGCCCCAGCAAACGAATACACCATTTATGTTTTGCATTCAGAACCAATAAATAATTCTTTCAGAAGACAAATCTCTTGACCATTCTCAAAATATCAAAAGCATTTCTTCAAAAATTAAAAACTGTTTTTATCCTTAAAACTTGGGGATACCTCTTTGCCTTATTTCTGAATGTAAATATATTTAAAAACTGTAAACGTTATAGTAACAATAAAAAGGAAACAAGCACGAAAAATAAAAGCCTTTTAACCAAGGCTTCAACTTTTTTCCCCCTGTCTATCTGAAGCTTTGTGCCCTTTGACCAACATTCCTCTCTCCTCCCATCAGGCTCTGGCAACCACCGTTCTATTCTGCTTCTATGGAGTGTGACTTCTTTAGATTCCGCATATAAGTGAGATCCTGCGGTATTTGTCTTTCTGGTGCCTGACATTTCACTTAGCATAATGTCATCCAGGTTCATCCTTGTTGTTGCAAATGACAGGATTTCCTTCTTTTTTTTAAGCCGAACAGCATTCCATTGTATGCCCACATTTTCTTTATCCCTTTGTCTGTTGATGGACATTTAGGTTGCTTCCACTTCTCGGTTATTGTGAATAATGCTGCAATGAACACGAAACTGCAGATACCTCTTTGACATGCTGAGTTATTTTCCTTTGGGTATATACCTAGAAGTGGGATTGTTGGATCATAGGGTTGTTCTATTTTTAACTTTTTGAGGAACTTCCGTACTGTTCTCCGTAATGGCTGGACTAATTTACATTTCCACCAAGCGTGCAAGGTTCCCTTTTCTCCTTATCCTTCCCAATGCTTATCTTTTTTGAGAATGGCTGTTCTAGTAAGTGAGAGGCGATACCCAATTGTGGTTTTGATTTGCATTTCCTTGATGATTAGTGATGTTGAGCATTTTTTCATATACCTGTTGGCCATTTGTATATCTTCTTTTGAGAAATGTCTGTTCGGGTGCTTTGCCCGTTTTAAAACTGTGTTGTTTTTTTCTTGAGTTCCTTATATATTTTATTATATTTACCCCCTTATTAGATTTGCACTTTGCTAATATTTTCTCTCTAAACTTAAACGTTTAGTTAAGACCAAGTTTAAGTGCTCAAGCATTAAGGATCATGCCCTTAACTTGTAGGAGAGGCTGCCCTTCAGCCTGTGCCAGCTCTCATTTTATATACCATTCCAACGAGTCTAGTGAAAATTAAGAACACTTCATTAGAAGGGGTTAGGCTGCTGCAGAGGGGAGATGTACGATCATAAAAGACAGACTGTACTGTCAGTCTGGACAGTGAGGAAAGAGCCTATAAATCTATGAAAAGTAGACACAGGAATTAAGAATGAGGCCATTTGGGGTGGGACTTTGCTGGATTACAGCACTATTCTTAATGACCATCATCCCTTATTTTATTTTTTAAATTTTATTTATTTTTTAGAGACAAGGTCTTGCTCTGCCGCCCAGGCCGGAGTGCAGTGGCATGGTCAGAGCTCACTGCAGCCTCGAACTCCTGGGCTCAAGCAATCCTCCCATCTCAGCCTCTCAAGTAGTTGAGACTATAGGCGTGTGCTACCGCACTAGGCTAATTTTTCTGTTGTAATTATTTTTTTTTTTATAGAGACAGGGTCTTGCTATGCTGCCCAGGCTGGTCTCGAATTCCTGGACTCAAGCAATCCTCTCACCTCAGCCTCCCAAATTGCTGGGACTACAGGCACATGCCATCATGCTCAGCTACCCCTTATTTTTAAAAAGTTAAAGTCCAGTGCTATTTAAGAAATCACAGAAGACTATTACATGTTATACCTTCTCTAAGTATGGTGAACGAATGTTCTGGAATTGTGTAAGACAGCAGAATAGTGTGAATGCAAGAACTTCTCTCCATGTAGGCTAGAAATACAAATGTAAATTCTCATAGTTTTTTTTTTTTCCTACTATAAGTAAGTATACAGATGTAAATTTTCACAATAATCTTGTTATTCAAAATTTGTAAATGAGTGATTTGCAGGCAGGCAGACTCTCTTTCTTACTTTATCCATGAAATCTTTCATAAATGAGATAAATGATGACCAAAGCTGACTATACTTCCTGCCGAAAAAAAGGCAAAGGCAACAGGTGCAGTCCCCTCAGTGGTCCTCATGCAATTGCCCAGGCTGCTTGTTTGTCTTTGCAAAGAGGCTGGAAGATTTTAATTTTTCCACAAATAGGATACTGATTGTTTCAACCTACTAAGACTACTGCTTTATCTTGTCTTTTAGTTAAAAATATTTATTTCCAGATTATGAATGTATTTTATGCTTACTGGAGAAAATTGGGAGAAATACAGAAAAACAAAATAAAAAATCACCTTGCGATCCTGCCACTCTTTACTACTCAAGTTTGCTCTGCCTTTTGTAAATTCAAAGTTACACCATAAACATTTTCTACTAAAAACTCCTTGTAAACAGTTTTCAGTGCCACTGATATTTTTGTGTGCACAACTTTTCTCCATCACGTATTTTTAGAAAGACAACATGTTAACTGATCTTCGATTTAATGACCAATCTAGCAACCACGGTTCAGCACAGCTTGAGAAGTGTATCTGTTAAAAATACAAAGTGGAGTCATTAATAATGGTGTTAGCCGATTCTGATTCTGAATAATCTTGGGAGGGGATATTGGGAGTACATTAATTTCTAAAGGCTCATTGAGTAGATGTAAGTACTTACTTCGGCTTTCTCCTACTGTTAGGGTTTTAGGCTGACTCCAGTTGTTTTCCCTGGATTAAAGACAGGATTAACATTTTTGTGCATGAATCTTAAACTCCTAAGAGATACATCCCCAAATCAAGGGAACAAACATATATACGGCTTTTCATATATAATGCCAAATAGATTTCTGGAAATGTACTACCTTATCCCCACACCTTGCAGTTTTCACCTGGTTCCTTTCCTCACAGTCCAGATGTTTTCAGTAAACTAGGCTGGAGGAGTTGGGACGGAGTGAGAAAATCTCAGTGCCAGCCCAAGCTATTCTAACTGAGTAACCATGGGCAAGTCATTGACAACTCAGTGGAGCCTCCATTGTCTCTACGAGATAAATGGAGCGATGGACACCTGCCTAATGTAAGGCAAAGATTTTTTTTTTTTTTTTTTGAGATGGAATCTTGCTGTGTTACCCAGGCTGGAGTGCAGTGGCACGATCTTGGCCTACTGCAACCTCCGCCTCCCGGGTTCAAGAGATTCTTCTGCCTCAGCCTCCCGAGTAGCTGGGATTACAGGCGCCCAACACCATGCCCGGCTGATTTTTTGTATTTTTAGTAGAGATGGGGTTTCACCATGTTGGCCAGGCTGGTCTCGAACTCCAGACCTCAGGTAATCCAACCGCCTCGGCCTCCCAAACTGCTGGGATTTACGTGAGCCACTGCGCCCGGCCAGGGCAAAGATTGAGGATCAACTAATATTATGTGTGAAACTCAAGTATAAAGTTGTAGGTCGAATTGTATGAAATTGCCATTTTTGTAGGACAGAGTCTAATAGTGACCATTTCACATGGCTAAACCTAGTACCGTATCATTAAATGGTTGGAGGTTATTAGGCCCCACAGCTCATAAACAGTCATTTCTATGTTCTAGAAACCTATGTACTGGTTGTGTGTTTTCCCAGGTACCCAGTTCATTAGCCACCTGGTAGCTGCTATTTATCAAGCACTGTTCTGACAATCATTTCTGGGTAACACAGATGCATCAGCTCTTCACTTCCAGGTCCCTGCTGGCCTCATCACCCAGCTGTAGCCTCCTGCATCTCCTGGCAGTCTCCCATCCCCACAGCTCTCATTTCACAGACCTCTCTTAAGCTTGCCCTCTCTATTGGTTTACCTCTATTGTCTTCTAACTCACCCTTCACGGTGTTCTAGGACTCTTCATTAACTTCCCAGTCTTTTCACTACAGTAGACATTTAATTGAACACATACTACATTCCAGGCACTGTGCTGAGCTCCAGAGGGAAGACGGGGATGAAACCTCACCTTCCCAACTCTCCAAAAGATCACAAACCAGATGGGATATAGGAGGTAATAAACAATTCAACAGCATGGCAGATGGGAGAAGGGCAAGAGTGGACATTTTTAAATATTCCACTTTTTTTCTTTTAAAATCAACTTTATCAAGCTATAATGTATATTAAAATACACCCATTTTACGTGAATAGTTTGTGAGTTTTGACAAATGTATACACCCATGCAATCCCCACCACAATCAAGATGTAGAATATTCCTGTCACCTCAGAACATCTCCGTGTGCCTCTTTGTAAGCCAACTGCTCCAGCCCTATTTCCAGGCAACCACTGATCTGCTTCCTGTCACTATAGCTTTGTTTTGCCTTTTCTAGGGTTTCATATAAATAGAATCAAATGATTTTTTTTGGTCTGGCTTCTTTTATTCAGCATAACGTTTTGGTGATTCATCCACATTGTTGCCTATATCAGTAGTTTGTTCCCTTTTATTGCTGAGCAGTATTCCATTGTAGAGATACACAATGTATTCATTCACCATTTGATAGCCATTTGGGTTGTTTCCAGTTTGGGGCAACTATGAATACAGCTGCTATGCATATTCTTGCTCAATATTTTTGTGGATATATTTCTCATGGGTGGATATCTAGGACTGGAATTGCTGGGTTACAAGTATTGTTTAACTTTGTAAGTAATTATACCATTTTACACTCCCACCAGCGGTGTATAAAAATTCCAGATGCTGCATAACCTCGCCAACACCTGGTATTTTTTTTTTTTAATTTACCCCTTCTAGAGGGTGTGAAGTAGTATCTCATTGTGGATTTAATTGCACCATATGTGATATCTAAGTTCTTTTTCCTAAATGCCAAGAGTTTAGGTCTAGTCCTCATTCTCAACGTTCTTTGGCACTTAATGCTCAACTTACCTAGAGAGAGAGAAGCCACCTCTCCAGTGACTATTTGCCTTTACGACAACACGGTGGAATTCTCCTAAGTTAAAATGGCTGGAGGCCAGATGGTTCATGTTCCTCCTCCACACTCAGCTTTCCTATTGCAATGGCCAAAGATAGGTCATGCGGTACTCCTTTGAGTACCCATCCTCCCAGCTCTTTCTTTTTCTAGGATTTTCCCACGCTATTGCCACCTTCAGCAATAACTTTAGGAAGGCCCGAGTCACTGTCAAATGGGCTTTCAAAATTTCCCTTTTTCTACCCTTCTACTGCTAAATAGCATTGGTGCTAAAGTTGGCTCCTCTCATCATCACTACCGTCTATACAGGCCCTTGTGGTGACTTGCTTGAAAGGTGTTTGCCAGGATGTCCTGAGTAATGGTTATGATGCCTGTTGTTGCAAGTAATGGAAATTAGTTTAAGTGGGCAGAATTGCTCATGTAATTGCAAAGTCAGAGCTTGGTAGCATTCAGGGCTGAATTGATTCAATGGTTCAATGATGTTATCATTGATGAAGTTTCTTTCCACCTCTTAACTCTTCGTTACTGTTAGCCTATGACTGGCTCCCCCTTGTGGTCACAAAATTTTTACAAACGACTTCCTGGCTACATATTTTCTCACCCAAGGAGAGGACTGTTGCTTCTAAGAGTTCCATCAAAAGAGCTGCAGGCCAGGGGCAGTGGCTCTCATCTGTAATCCTAGCGCTTTGGGAGGCAGAGGCAGGTGGATCGCTTGAGCCTGAGAGGTTGAGACCAGCGAAACCCTGTTTCTACAGAAAATACAAAATTAGCCAGGCGTGGTGACACATGCCTGTAGCCCCAGCTAGTCGGGAAGCTGAGGTGGGAGGATCATCTGAGTCCCGGGAAGTCTAGGCTTCAATGAGCCGTGATTCTGCCACTGCAACTCCAGCCTGGGTGACAGAGTGAGACCCTGTCTCAAAAGAAGAAGAAGAAGAAGAAGAAAAAAAAGAGTAAGCACGGATTTAATAATTCCACAATGTATACAAAAATCAAAACATCACATTGTGGCCAGGCACAGCTCATGCCTGTAATCCCAGCACTTTGGGAGGCTGAGGCACAAAGATCGTTTAAGCTCAGGAGTTCGAGACCAGCCTGGGCAATGTAGTGACACCTCATGTCTATGAAAAAAATAAAAAATTAACCAGGTGTGGTTGGTTGGTAGTAGACGACTGTGGTCTCAGTGGTCCCAGCTAGGCTGAGGTGAGAGGATTGCTTGAGCCCTGGAGGTTGAGGCTGCAGTGAGCCTATTATTGTGCCACTGTACTCTGGGTAACAGAGTGAGACCCTGTCTCAAAAAATATAAATAAATAAATAAAAAGTAAGAAAACCCCCCAAAGCCACATAACATTATAACCACAAAATACATGCAATTATTGTCAATTAAAACATTAAAAAAAGAAGGGAAATCATTTATTGAGCACCAATTGTGTGCCAGGTGCTTTAAATACATAATACATTAACACCAGCAGTTAATATGCTTGCTCTCCACACTTGCTAGCTAGATGACTTTTATAACATTTTATAAAATTGCTTAACCTCTTTGTACCTCAGTTTCCTCCTCTGTAAAGTGAGGATAATCTAGTATCTACTGCGCAGGGTTCCCCTTCTGAGAGTTAAATGAGATAATAGATGGAAAGCCCTTTAGTACAGTGCCTGGCATAAAGGGTCAATGTATATTAGATAACACACACGTACACAGCATGCCTCTTTCCCAGAACTCCCAAGCAAGCCGTGGGTCACATGACCATCTCTGAACCAATCACTGTGGTGGAGGAGGAGGGTGGTCTCATGCTGATGAGCTGAGGCAGAGCCGTAGGCTCCATTCCTAGAGTCCTAATGGAGTCGGCCTCTCACAAAACACTGGGGCTATAAGAGGGTGGTCTGGATACTGAATAAAAACTAGGGCAGTTTGAGAATATGAGGAGGAAGAAAAGATGCTGGGGAGGCAGCCACAAGGTTCCCTATGCCCTGGGTTCATTTAGCTATTCTGAATATTCTAGCAAAAACAATTCTGCCATAGATAGGAAAGTTTTCTCAAAACATATCTTCCAGATGGAATATCTTTTTAATCAGCACCTTTCTTCCCACTTACCTTCCTAAGTTTCTGAAAAGTCATCACTCTGTGATGCCAAGCACTTTCTCCCAAACCCTATCTTCTTTTACATATACCAAGAACCCAAGTTTATATACCCCCCAACTTATAACAACATGCATTATAATCTTCCCCATTATTCTAGGTCATCATCAACACTGGAAGTTATCTTACCTTCCTTCACAGCTGTCTGCTTACGATTCACATTTGGCAGCAGATGTTGCCAGCAGAACATTAATGTGCAGCCAAGTTAACAAACGCTCAGGCTGCCACCTTTCAGAGTGTGTGTGCTTGTGTGTGTGCGCGCATGTGCTTGCATGTATCATATGTCCAGATTTTTTTCGGTGAAAATTTATCTTTTCAATTAAATTTCAATAAAACCAATTTTTTCTGTGAAAACTCATCTTTTCAAAATAATAATTGTCTAGAAAACAAAAATATGGACTTTAAGTTGATTTTCTACCCAGGGCTGCATCTTCAGTTAGCATTTCTAAACGTCTACCTTCTATTACAGAGATATTTCATGTATTTATAATCTTTTGTGTGCTGATGCCCCGAAGGGATTTTCCTATGAAGGGAGCAACTTAAAAATAAAAAATAAATACTGATATCGAACATCCTCTTCTCTAGATTTTCTTGTAGTTTTCAAAGGTTGGCCAAATATTTATCTTTTGGGAGCAGTAAGTTGGAAATAGCAATAAAGAGAGATTAATTGCCTAAAGCACTTTATTGATTTGCCATGAGTGGGTAAATATATCAAGTTAAAAACTCACTCTGCTCCACCAAAGAGGACGTGAAGGTTTTGGAATGGCTGAGAGGTGAATGCAGATGGCAAGCGCAGATGGCAGAGATGAGTTTAAGTACCTTGTACACTATCCCTGTAATAATATTTTTCAAGCCCCCAGAAACCTATTTTTATGTTGACTGTATTGTGTGTGGCTTTGTTTTCTCTTGTTTTTTAAGAGAAAAAAATTAAAGCAAACCCAATTCACAACTTACAGCTCCAATCTGAACAACAGAGAATCATTTTGTTGTCTAAAAACCTACACTTAAAGCTTATTCATGAACGAAGTCTCAGTATTCAAAAGATGAAATAATAATTTCTTTTCAGTGAAAAATAAATGCTTTTTGCTGTTATTGTTTTAGTGAACTCTCAGGGTAACATAAAGGATCATGCTTCTGAAGAAACACCAATAAAGACAAGACAGCAAGTGCCCCTGCATGGACACAAACTAGGCATTGCTCTTTTGAAACAGATGCCTTTGGTGCTACCAGTTCAAGAAAGAACTAAAATTACAGTCTACTTGAAGGACATTTCAGAGTGTGGTTTACGGCACTTTTCACCCCAGAAGTTACGTTCTATAAATGTGGCCGTGATTATAGAAATGACACACACATGCTTGCGTGGAGCATAAAAGCAGGCTTCTTTCTGTTTCCAGAAGCAGGCCTCTGTAGGTTACTGTTTTTTCTGACTTTTATGGAGTGTTGTTTGCAACATAAAGTACTTGAAAAACCCACAGGGTATGTGGAAGGTGCACATGCTTTGGTGAGTGTGAGAGGGAGAGCTGGACGGAAGGGCAGAGCATGCCAACTGTGACTAGTTATTTCAGCTTTTCTGCAAAATCAGTGATGACTGGGAATCAGCTCCCCAAAGATCACATCACCAGTTGCCTACAGGTCTGTGTTATGGAAGTTCAGCCTTCCATGGCTTGCTACATTTTGGGCACAGAGTGGCCTTGTGTGCCCCCCGACACCACCTGCTCACACATCCATACCCTACACTCACCTCTCATTTTTGGAGCTTCCTTCCCCACTACCTCTTTGGGCGGGCCTAGTCCACAACCCCAGAACATTCTTCATTGGTACTTTCAAAGGTCTGGGGTGGGTATGACTAGACACTGAAGAAATCTCAACTCTCCTATGTAGGGGTAATCAGAGCTTGGATATGGAATTAGAAAAAGAGAACCAGCACAAACAGAAAAAAACAGCACTGCTAAACAGGTGAGAGATCAAGAGGCAGAGGCCATGGGAGTCATATCAACAGAGCGCACAGCTTCAGCTTTGTTCACGCTCATCAACTACACTAACGTTTCTGTGGTTTTTTGTTTTTCAAAAGCTCATATTGAAAAATCATCCAAGATACACTGCTGTACTAGCAAGAATCGTCCTATCTAAAAACACTTCCTCTAAGTTCATACTGTCTTGCTGATGTGAGTTCTTCTCCTTAACTGATAATATCTAATAATGATGTTATAATATTTTTGCACTGGAGATTTGGAATATTGAAACCTTTTGGTCCAGCAGTGTCTTATTATTAGTTTTTTTTTTTTTTTTGAGACAGGGCCCCACTCTGTTGCTCAAGCTGGAGTGCAGTGGCATGATCACGGCTAGCTGCAGCCTCCTCCTCCCAGGTCCAAGGGATCCTCCTATCTCAGCCTTCCAATTAGCTGGGACCACAGGGGTGCACCACCATGCCTGGCTTATTTTTTTGTATTTTTGGTACAGATGGAGTTTTGCCATCTTGTCCAAGCTGATCTCGAACTCCTGGCCTCAAGTGATCTGCCCACCTCAGTCAGGCTCCCAAAGTGCTGGGATTATAGGCATGAGCCACTGTGCCTGGCCTGGCCCAGTAGTTTTCACAAAAGATAGCACACATGTTACTGTGGTCAGCAATTTTTTTTTTTTTTTTTGAGACACAGTCTTGCTCTGTCAGCAGGCTGGAGTGCAGTGGTGTGATCTTGGCTCACTGCAACCTCTGCCTCCTGGGTTCAAGTGATTCTCCTGCCTCAGCCTCCCAAGTAGCTGGGATTACAGGCACCCGCCACCACGCCCAGCTAATTTTTGTATTTGTAGTAGAGACGGGGTTTCACCATGTTGGCCAGGCTGGTCTCGATCTCCTGACCTCGTGATCCACCTGCCTCGGCCTCCCAAAGTGCTGGGATTACAAGGCATGAGCCACGGCGCCCAGCCAGCAAGATAATTTTAAGATATATTCAATATATTCAGATATTTATCCTTTTAATAGTTATATATTTTTTTATAATGCATATTAGAAAAAATATCACAAGCACGTCAGTCACTGCACTTAGTAGCATAACTTCCCATGAGCTTATCACTGATGTCCAAGGCCAGGTCTGAATAGATGCTTTCTGGGGCAACCTGTTAGCATATGAAAATCATGAACACTGATCTATGATCCCCAGAATTGGGGAGATGAATCTCCCGCCTCTTTGCCCTAAGACTATGGATAAGTGTCACCTGACAATATCATACGATGCAGCCCTGTGAAGAGGGAGACTTCCCAGCCTCCCACCAGCCTTGACAGCCTAGCCTCTGGCTTCAACAGGTAGGTCTCCTTTCTCCAATCAAACACAACATTACTTGGGATTTTGCAACATTTAATCAAAAAAGAATCTGGCATCTTAAAAGTTAGGTTTACAAACTTGACACATTCTCAATATTAGCAATTTATCTATTTAAACATTGTCTAAGAAAATATGATCTATGAAGACATTAATACATTAATAAGATACTTAAGAGTTCATTATAAGCTACAACACTTTGCAAATAAGTATCCAGTTTAATTGTAACAAACCACAATTTGTGAGCAAATTTAAGAATATAAAAAACATTAATTAGTTAAATACAATTCTCTGGGAATATACATTATACCTACAGCTGTTTTTACAGTGAGAGTCTTCCTTTTTTTTTCCTTTTAATTATCAAAATGGTAAATCACTGTATGGTCCTGGATCTCCATGCTATAAAACTGAAATATGTATTTCCAGCGTAGCAGATGGTGACCAGGAAGGCAAAGAACTGGAGAAAACAAAGCATAATAGAAGTGGGGTTTAGGGCACATCCTAATTAGCAAAAGTTATCATTTCACCTCCATTGAATCACCCACTCACTACCTTTTCTTGATACCAGGCTTTGCCATCTAAAACTACTTTATTGGTTCAATTACTATCCTTCTCAAATGATTTCTGGTTATGCTGTTTTTATTTCGGAGAACATCTGAAAGCCTGTAGTTTTGCTCAAATAACCTCAGGGAGTTCACTTAGGAGTGAATACGGCGGCAGTGCATCTGAGGAAAGTGTATCATTTCTAATGTAGCACAGGCAATCTAGGTCCGGGGTACAATCTCGGATTGCTACAGTGTCAGTTCACATAAATGAGTCGAGTGGGCCAGAGTAAGCAATGAGCCCACATGGTATGTGAGGTGTGAACAGGGAGGAGGAAAATGCAGGCCCTTCTTAATTAATGGGGCAGCCTCCACCTAGTTCTAGTCCATTCTTGCTACGTGTTAACTTGAGCCCAGTCTTGACGAAGCTTGTGATTTTTAATGTCACCGGCATCCATATGCTCTACTTTTATTTTGTTTTTTCGAGACGGAGTTTCGCTCTTGTTGCCCAAGCTGGAGTGCAATGGCGTGATCTTGGCTCACTGCAACCTCTGCCTCCTGGGTTCAAGCAATTCTCCTGCCTCAGCATCCCAAGTAGCTGGGATTACAGGTGCCCGCCACCACCCCCGGCTCATTTTTTTTTTGTATTTTTAGTAGAGATGGGGTTTCACCATGTTGGTCAGGCTGGCCTTGAACTCCTGACCTCAGGTGATCCACCCACCTAGGCCTCCCAGAGTGCTGGGATTACAGGCATGTGCCACTGTGCCCGACCAATCTACTTTTAAATAGAGATCTTCAAACAGAAATAAAAGTAAAGAATATGATGAACCCCCATGTACCATCAATCAGCTTTGACATAATCATTTTGGCATTTCTGTCTAACTGCCTCCCTCCTTCCCCCGATAGGCTTCTTTTGGAGATGGGCTATTTTAAGGCCAATCTCAGAGAGATTCTTAATACCAGTTTTTTTTAATTAGAAAAATAATACACACTTATGGTTTAAAAATGCAAACAGAAGTATATAAATTAAAAAGTAAGGTCAGGCGCAGTGGCTCATGCCTGTAATTCCAGCACTTTGGGAGGCCAAGGCAGGAAGCTCACTTGAGCCCAGGAAATCCAGACCAGCCTGTGCAACATAGTGAGACTTAGTCTCTACAAAAAAGTTAAAACATTAGCTGGGCATGGTGGTGCAGGATTCTAGTCCCAGCTATTCAGGAGGCTGAGGTAGGAGGATGGCTCAAGCTGAGGAGTTCCAGGTTGCAGTGAGCTATAATTATGCCACTGCACTCCAGCCTGGGTGATGGAGCAAGACCCCTTCTCTAAAAAAAAAAAAAAAAAAAAATAGAAGTTTCTTGTCTCACTCCCCTCATTTCCCGATCCCAGTCTCTAGAAGGAACCTCTACTGGTATATATTTTTCTAGGCATTCTCAATGCATAAACAAATATTTTCACTTAAAAAAAACTAAATGGAATTATATTCTGTTCATTTTCTGCAACCTTCCCCCACTTACTAAATTATAGGCAGTAGAATTATTCTTAGCATGCTTTAAACAGCTTTTCTCCCTTGAATACTTATCTTGTTCCAGTCATTCGGCATTCACTCAAGCAGTCTCCCAGCCTTTTCCCACTTCGGGCCAGGAGGGCCCTCTGCCCCCTGCCAGTTTTAGATATTTTCAAATCAATAAGCCAATTGCTAATTTGTCACTACTGCAAGCGCTGCTTTTTCCTGCAGATGACTCTGTCTTCCCCAATCCCAAGCAAGCCTTGGAGAGGGAAGAGGAGGATCATGTGGGGATGGAGGGCTACTCACCGATGAGGCCGCCCAGCTGTTGAAGTTGTGACTGTCCCTCTCAGGGGAGACGGAAGATGCATCTACAACAGCGGCAGAGAGGTACAAGACGAAGGCACTGCCGTTAAAGCACAGGCCCTGGGGGGACACAGGGGCAGAGTGTTTAGGGAGAGGGGAGGGTCTGCATACCTCTGGACTTCAGAAGTGATGAGGGCTGTACCTCTGGTGTGGGGAGGGGCCCAAGTGGACACCTGTGGGAGGGTGGGGGAGAAGGCTGTGGGAAGGCAGCTCTAAGTGCGAGAGGAGAGGGTTTTACGGCAGCTCATACCAGATGCCAACCCCTGCCCCCACGAGACACTGAGACTGCATGCCGCCCCTTCAGTCATTTTGCTTCTTCGGTTTGCTCCTGAGCCTCATCTCATCCAGATGTCAGCCAAGCTGATGCTGTCTGAGGATGGCAGGCAGCAGTGGCGCCCACTCGGTGGGCTCAGCCTCAGCCCCTGGCCCTCAGCCGCAGCTGTAGCCCTTGCATGTGTCCCTGACGTAGAGGCGCAATACAGTGTCCCCCAAAACAGGCCCAGCTGATTCCCTAACCCCCCATTCCAAACAGGGAGGGATATTTAAATGAGCTCCTCTGTCCTAGCTGCAAGTTCTTAAAAAGGCGGTTACAGCCCTTTGGGAACTAATGTTACCCTTGGCTTTACCTTATTTGTTCCTATTTTTAGAGAAGATATGTAAGTCCCGGTAGGTATTTGGTTTTCAGTTATGTCTAAACTCTAAGAAACCATGCTCTGAACCATGCATAGGAAACCATGCAAAGCTGGGTCCTGCCTGAACACAGGGGAGAGGCAGGGGTGAGGTGAAACCAGAGCAGAAACCAACTGGGGAGGAAGGGGGATGCCTCTCAGGAGTGGGCCCTCTGTGGTCTAACATCTTTCCCTCAGTAACTTGGAGACAGAGGAAGGGGTAGGGGAAAGGGAGGAAGCAATCTCTTTCTTCTCAGAGAAAAAAAAGCTACATAGAATTTTCCCACTGCAGGCCCTGGCCTTGTGGCAGAGGTTGTATGTTCCTGTCGCCACCTCCACCTGTGCTCACACTGTCTTCAGGTCAGGGCACTTAACCTTTAAGACAAGGGCTTCATCACAGTCAGACCCAGGGTCAGGCTGCCGAAACTGTCCCCTAAGAAGCCCTGGTCTCACTAAATGACTCATTAGGAATGTCGGTTGTGTTCTTTTGTTTACTTTTTGGTCTAGAAACACATCTGTGCATTAACACAAAAGCTCTTACTGGTATTATTTCCCCATATCACCTCTTAGAATATAGAGTCACGCAAATTTAATACTTGCCAAGCCATTTAGTCTTGTCTTGCCACTAATACTTCATAATTTAACTTTTCCCCTATTGATGGGCATTTCAATGTTGCTAATTTTTCAAGGATTACAAATGCTACTGCAACGAACATCTTTGAGGATGGGTTTCAGGGCTCTCATGCATGTCTAGTTCTTTATACAAGGAAAGAATGAATGAGAATGAATGAAAGAGAATTCAGGGAAAGCTCAGCCTGGCCAGAACTGCCCTGACGTCCTGGGCCTTGTGCACGAGCCCATGTGGACGAGGGGGCCAGAGAGGAGATGGGGAAAGAAAGACTCTCTGAGTCTACGACCTGTGAACATGCAATGATCCCATCTCTCAGTAAGTATGGCCCATTTTTTCTGAACTCTAAAGAAACAAGAAACTGCTATTTCCCTTGGAAAGAAATGGGGAAGGGGAAGAGGGTTGGTAGAGACGTGAGTAGAAGGCAGGGGCATTCTCCCTCTGTGCGCCCCCCACACTGGGGGCTCTGCCAGTTTATTACAAGCCTCTCTCAGGCACTATCTCACAATGCCTAACTTTGTGACTTCCCTAGTCTTGTTTAACACTCCCAAAAGTAAACATGTCCGGGGAATGCCTGGGTTGGAGGAAATGTAGTGAAAATAAGTGGAGAGATGAAAGAAAAGAGAAGAGCAAAGAAACCAGGATCGTCATAAAGGTTAAAAAAAGAAATCTGGGCTACAGAAATGAAGGAGGGATATGTGAAGCTTCAGAGGGTTCTAGAATGTTACTGAGTTTCATAGAAACATGAGGTCTTGTTGCTATAGAGAAATAGGCCCTGGATCAGAGACTATTCAAGTTGAAAAATCTTATAGCTCCTCCAACTGAAATGCCAGTTCCCTGGGCCACAGTGAAAGAGAGCTACAAGGACAATATAGTAATTTAAAAATTCCGCTGGGTGCAGTGGCTCACACCTGTAATCCCAACACTCTGGGAGGCCGAGGCGAGTAGATCACCTGAGATGTCAGGAGTTCGAGACCAGCCTGGCCAACATGGTGAAATCCCATCTCTACTAAAAATACAAAAATTAGGCAAATGTGGCGATGGGCCCTGTAATCCCAGCTACTCAGGAGGCTGAGGCTTGAGAATCACTTGAACCTGGGAGAGGGAGGTTGCAGTGAGCCGAGATCACGCCACTGCACTCCAGCCTGGGTGACAGAGTGAGACTCCATCTCAAAAACAAAAACAAACAAAGAACAACCAAAAACACACACACAAAAACAGAAGGTTTCCAACTTCTTTTTTTGGAGGAAGGGAGGAGAGAGAAGTCTACTCTTTTCTGAAAGTCAATCCCTCCTTGGTATAAAAATGTTCTCTTTCTCTCTTTTTTTTTTTCTCAAATACCGGCTTATTTTTACCCAGCTATGCATAGTACTTGTGGACATATTAAGATAAATCTCAGATCTCAAGATAATGGAAAGAAGCCCTGAGATAATATACAGTTAGTAAATTTGGCTGTGGTGACATGACCCAAGACGGTGGCTTAGGAAAGAGAGTTTACTCCTATCTAAGGCTTAGGCAGCCAGAGCTGGTCTGGCAGCCTCGGGGTGACAGGGACACAGGCTCCATCCACAATACTTGGCCATCTCCAGGGTCTCACCATTCTCCACATGGCCCAGGAGGTGTCCCACTACCACAGCAGAATCCCAGCTGCTAGGAAGGGGAGGAGGGGGAGAAGAAAAAAAAGCAGCCCCACTTTAGGGCCATGGTGCTTCACACATCACTGCTGCGAACATCCCCTCAGCTGGAACTCAGTCCCAGGGCCCACCCAGTGGCAGAGGGGCCAAGGCTCAACTGAAACTTCTATTACTACAGAAGAAAATGGATAGTGGGGGATAATGAGCAGCTCCTGTCCCTAGTGTTACATCTATTCAGACAGCTAAGAAGGCAAGATTTTCAGGCATCTGATATCCTCAAGAGTCCTCAAGAGTTTAAAGACATAGCTACCTAGGTTCACCATCTGGCATACCCAAACCGCTGAAAATTTAAGTGAACATTTGGGAAGGATGGCTCCCCTGGAGCTTCACCTGCCTCTCTTCTTAGCATTTATTTAAATATCCCTCTGCTTAGTATAATCAGCCTTGTACACATCTTTTCCATCAGAGTCCATTTCTTTTCTGTCTTTTTTTTTCTTTTGAGACAGAATCTTACTCTGTCACCCAGGCTGACTGCAGTAGCGTGATTTTGGCTCACTGCAACCTCTGCCTCTCAGGTTCAAGCGATTCTCGTGCCTCAGCCTCCTGAGTAGCTGGGACTACAGGCGCATGCTACCACGCCTGGCTAATTTTTTGTATTTTTAGTAGAGATGGGGTTTCACTGGGTTAGCCAAGATGGTCTCGATCTCCTGACTTCATGATCCACCCGCCTCAGCCTCCCAAAGTGCTGGGATTACAGGCGTGAGCCACCGCACCCGGCCTAATTTTTATTTTTAGTAGAGACAGGTCTTGCTATGTTGCCCAGGCTGGTCTTGAACTCCTGGGCTCAAGTGATCCTCCTGCCTTGAACTCCTAAAGTGCTGGGATTACAAGGCATGAGCCACTGCACCTGGCCCAGAGTCCATTTCTTAAGGGTGGTAGGGATGTCCGCTTCACCTGCGGCTTGCCTTTCTGGCTCTCTAGTCCCTATTACCACACATTGGTGGAAGAGACACTCATGCTTGACAGAAGAGATTGGGTCTGGGCAAAGGCTGAGGAAAAGGTACAGGCTGATGCTGGCTAAGAATCCCCTTTTCCCTCCCCACCTTGTCTACAACCAGCTAGTAAAGGAGCTCAGTGCTACTCAAAGTGCAGGAGTGGTATCAGCACTATCTGGAAATCTGTCAGAAAAGCATGTTCCCAGGCCCTACCCCAGACACACTGAATCAGGTCTGTTGGGAATCTCCATGTAGGTTTCATCTAAAAAGCTGTATTTTGAATCCACAACCAAAAAAGAAAGAAGGAAGATATGATAAGCAACTAGAAGAAGGGCTGCAGGATACAGGAGATGGGCCAATGCAGCGCTCACAGCTATGTGGCTTTGGGGAAATAACCTCTTCAGCTGCTTCGTCTGTGGCAGAGCTGCTGGCTGTCTCCTGCTATGTTTCTCTCTTATTATATGGTAACGGAGTTTCCAGCTGAGCACATGGCCACCTAAAGATTCCACCTTCCAGCCTCCTTTGGAAGGAGATGTGGTCAGGTGACCACGTTTAGGCTAACAGAATGTGAGCAGATGTAACATATACAATGTCAACACTGTGCCTTAAAGGGAAGAAGTACCCTCCACTGCCCACTTTTTACCTTCTCTCCCCCTGACTAGGAATCTAGATGTGATGGCAGGTGCTGAAGCTGCCACCTTGGACCACAGGCCAACTGTTAAAGATGGCAGAGTCACAAGAAAGGAGGAACCTGGGGCACAGGTGATCTTATAGAACAGGTGACTTACTTCTGGACTATCACAGGAGAGAGAAATAAGTTTTAAACCAATGTTGTTTTGGACCTCTCTTATAGGGATTAAACCTACCATCAAACTGATTGTACTCAATTTACAAAATGGGAAAAACTATACAAGTCTCACCCATCTCAAAGGAGACCATATTGTTAAAGAGTTGTGTAAACTATAAAGTATACACAGTAACTTACTTTTCTTATTCCTGTTTAATGATTGTATCAGCTAGAGGCCAGAGGCAGTCATTTAGAAATTGACTGTGCCCGTCAGGCTAAGGCATTTGGATTGACTGGTTAAGAGGAGACAGGAAGACTCAGTGGATCCTGGTTATAACATGATCCCACCAGGTGACAGCAGGGACTTAGGCCTGTAGGTTCAGGCAGGCTGGCTGGAGACAGAGCAACAGGAAGGTCCCATTTTCTGACTCTCAGCCCCTGCCAATAAGTCATGTGCTCAGTTCTGGCACCATCATTAGAAGAAGGGTCTTTTGGAAGATTTACAATAACAAATGGGACTCTTTAGAACTGCTATGCTGAAAAGACTGCCAAGACCCAACATCTGGGCTGGCACTTCCTGCTCAGGATGGCACAGTGGAAATGGCTACTTCCAAGGGCAAGAGAAACTGGAATATCTGTGTATACTGGGAGCCAAACAGACTCCAAGGTTCACAACTGTGGTTGGTATTAGAAGACCTGCCTCCCATTCCTGGCTCTCAAGCATCCTCTCAGTGCCCCAGTTTCTTCATCTGCAAAATGGAAATAATGCATTCTATCTTTGCAGAGTTACTGTAAGGATTAAATGAAATGATGTAAAATATAAAGGACCCAGTGTGACATCTAGCACATAGTATGTACTTAAGAAATAGTAACTGCCGGCCAGGTGCGGTGGCTCTCGCCTGTAATCCCAGCACTTTGGGAGACGAAGACGGGCAGATTACCTGAGGTCAGGAGTTCAAGACCAGCCTGGCTAACACGGTGAAACCCCGTCTCTACTAAAAAAATACAAAAATTAGCTGGGCGTGGTGGTGAGCGCCTGTAATCCCAGATACTCAGGAGGCTGAAGCAGGAGAATTGTTTGAACCCGGGAGGCGGAGGGTGTAGTGAGCCGAGATTGCACCACTATACTCCAGCCTGGGCAATAAAGTAAGACTCCATCTCCAAAAAAAAAAAGAAAAGAAAATAGTAGCTGCTTTAACCGGTAAAAGGAGACAAACATCTCTGCTCTCTGGAGCTCACAAGGCTTGCAGTGAGGTCAGCAGGGATGAGCTACAGAGGACGAATCCTCAGGAAACACATGCATGTAGACCCTAGTGCTTGGTGCTATGAAGAAGGCAAATTTTATTGCTTTGAACTTTTAGCTTAAATCAGATTTGTTGGAAAACCTATCCAAGTCTCCCTGAATAAATGGTATCATAACAGTTGTAGCCCAGGAGCTCAGAGGTGCTAGTAGGAACCAGCTGTGGTTTCTGCTGCATATTAAAAATGGATATAGGTCACTTTCTACCTCCCCAGACACATTAAGGGGATGAGCTATTGTTAAGATAAGATTCCAATGCAAAGTTCATGCCTTATCAATGAAGGCACTACACGCAAGATTATAAAACTCTGGTTTCTGCAGTGGTCTCCCAGACAAGTTCCCAGGGGACTAAAACCAAGTCTACCAATCCCTTCTCTACAATCTTAGATTCCCTAAATGCTCTGAAAAGCAAGACTAAATTCAAAAGTCATTTGGTAGTAAAAGCTGACCTGAGCTGACATGGTAGCAATGTGGTCTTCATTATCCCTCTTAGCAGGAAAATCCACGTGTTGTTGCAGAAACATTAATTTGTCTCATTACAGTACAGCCCCAGACTCAGGGGTACATGTCACATATTGTTGTAAATGCACCAAATTACCTTATTACCTTTCCAAAATTTGAAAGAAAAAAAAACTCTTAGGCTGGGCGCCGTGGCTCACACCTGTAATCCCAGTACTTTGGGAGACCGAGGCGGGTGGATCACCTGAGTTGGGGAGTTTGAGACCAGCCTGACCAACATGGAGAAACCCTGTCTCTACTAAAAATATAAAATTAGCTGGGCGTGGTGGCGCATGCCTTTAATCCCAGCTACGCGGGAGGCTGAGGCAGGAGAATCGCTTGAACCCGGGAGGTGGAAGTTGCAGTGAGCTGAGATCGCGCCATTGCACTCCAGCCTGGGCAACAAGAGTGAAACTCCATCTCAAAACGAAACAAAACAAACTCTTAATTCACATCTGACCCAAAGGTTTTGACTCAGAGATTATGGATCTATAACTATTTTTAAACCAGTGTTTCCCACATTTTAGATGCCTAAGAATTATCTGGAAATCTTGTCATAATGGAGATTCTGAAGCCCTCTACAGAATTTCTGATTCAGTCAGTACAAATCAGAATTAGAGTAGGGCCTAACATTCTGTATTCCTAATAATCTCCCAGTGATGCTGCTGGTCCAGGGACCACACTTTGAGCAGCAAGAGTTTAGGCAGTCCAACTCGGCAGCAGGAGCCTGTCAGCTGCCTCAGCACAAAGTCCCAGCCTGACACTTGCTATGCTCCTGATTTGTGCTGGGACACGACAGTTGGGCTGGCATCTGAATCCCCCACAGGCTGTTCTGTAAGAGATTCTGCTGGGCAGTGGAAAATATGGAAGTTTAGTCAGAGCCTTTAGTTGTTAACAGACGGAAACTTTTTCCAGTCTCCGCTCTGGATATTTGGTTAACACCATGTACCCAACTCACAAATGCTTTGAGAAGTTACAAAGGTGTATTTAGTTGTAACAGTAAACATAAACCCCAACCAGAAGTCAGACATGTTTGACCTGTAGCTTCTGCCAGCAGCAAACGAATTCTAAGAATATGGCTGTAAGCATTTTAAAATTGGGAGAGTTCACACCAAAGCCCAGATTTCTAGATTGCCTTAGAAAACAAATAGAAAATTTAGCAATCCTGGCAGCACATTTCCAGCTTATTTATTTGTGAAGTGAAGAATATTCTCAAGTTGTTTAAGATGCTAAGAAAGTGTGTCTGGGTGGCAAGGTTCAATACCATGCTGAGTTTACTCACTTGTACAACCTGACTGGTGCCTCACATATGTGAGTGTGCAACCCCTGACCTGGAGGCTGACAGCCTTGCTTAAGGGGGATAAATGATTAAACCCTTCTAAAGGGATTAGGAGTCCTGGTTTCCTGGTGTCTGGTTGTAGTTCCTACCTACCGCTCAGGCAGAGGGGGCCTGGAGCAGGATGAGATCAGAAAACAAATGCTGATGGAATTCGAGAGATGTGGACCCCTGCTGTGTGTAAATCTGTGCAAAGTCACAAGACTCCAAACCTCAGTTTCCTTATCTATAAAATGGGGACACACCTTACGATAATAAATTCTGATAATGCAAATCAAAGCATTTTAAAACCAGGGGTGCCGGAAGAAGGCATTGTTAATATTCTTTTTAAAAGTCCAATTAAAGGCAATATTTTAAAATTTTTAATGTAATAAATCAGTGAAGGAGTTTTAGGCTTGGAGAAGAGAAAGACTACATATGATCAACACAAGAGGTCTGTAAACTATGGCCTGTGGGTCAAATCTGGCCCATCACTAGTTTTGTTTTGTTTTGTTTTGAGACAGAGTCTCACTCTGTCGCCCAAGCTGGAGTGCAGTGGCGTGATCTCAGCTTATTACAACCTCCGTCTCCTGGGTTCGAGCGATTCTCCTGCCTCAGCCTCCCGAGTAGCTGGGATTACAGGCATGTGCCACTACGCCAGGCTAATTTTTGTATTTATAGTAGAGACGGGATTTCGCCATGTTGGCCAGGCTGGTCTCAAACCCCTGACCTCTGGTGTCTACCCAAAATGCTAAGATTACAGGTGTGAGCCACCATGCCCGGCCACCACCAGTTTTTGTAAATAAAGTTTTACTGGAACACAGCCATGCTCATTCATTTACAAATTGCCTATGGCTTCTCTCAATGCTGCAGGCAGAGTTGAGTGGCTGGGCCGTAGGCGTGTGGCCCAAGACGACTACAGTACTTACTATCTGGTCCTTTACAGAGACAGCATGCCAATTGCTGATCTAGATAACATAACTAGAAATTGAGACTCATGCAAAAGGGGAAATAAGGGTACTGTCCATTCCTCCATCCCAACAATTTGCTCCCCTACTACACTGTCCAAGTTCCTCTTCTTCCAAGTTCACAGTCACTTTCTTCAAGACCCACCCTAGGACACAACTTTGTCCAAAATGGCATTCCTTAAATTCCAACCTACTTTGATTATTCCCTCATCCTGTGTTCCTATAGTTACTATTACTTCAAGGTGCTAACTTTTTTTGAATCTAGCATCTAAGCGAGTCTTTCCCTCCTGATGCCCATCTGAGGCAGCAAAACACCAATTCTAACAAGGCTGTTTCCACCACCCTAGACAGTGATTAAGCACCTTATTTGGAATTACTTTTCAAACTTGCAACGCTTTCTTGAAAATCTTAATAAAGAGTCCTTACTTTTGGATTTGGGGAAATGGTCAAGAGTCAGTCAATCTGCCTTGTGAAATAAAGTAAGACTTGTTTTCCTGGGGGACTTAGCTTAGCAACACAGAAAGAACAAAGCCAGGTGCGTTTTGAACAATGATAGTGTTGTCTGAAAGTGTGCCAACTTAACTTAGTCTATAACCACAAATAGACTATATTTCAAATTTGGTTCATAAGTCAGTTATTTGGAACTAAATATTTTTTCTCACATATTGGTTGAAAACAGACAAAAAAATAGTATCACTGGAGAGCTCTGTTTTATACATAAACACATGTGGTACCACTGGGATTTTTTTTGTAAATCATTTAGCTACTTTGAATTTGCCAACCAGATTGTCAATGCTCTTAAGGCAAGGGGAACCCACTTTCCATCTCTGTGAATCCACTTAGGATGTGTGTGTTCGATCTCCAGGATGAAGCTAAATGTCACTTCCTCTCTGAAGAGTTCCCAGCCATCCTAAGCTGAGGTGGCAGCCTCCATCACACTTTCTACACAGCTTCACTGCAGTGTATGCCACAGGGTCTCGTATCTACTCATTTTCTTATCTATTTACCCTGGACCACATGTTCACCATCCTGCATCCAGCATGGTGCCAGAGCCAGGATGAGAATCCAGTCATTCCTGACAATTCTCCTTTTCAAATATATAAGAACACCTATGTTTTCTAATAGCAATTTTCATTTGCATTCTAACTCCATACACAATGTGCTCCAACATCATAAGAGCTGTGATGTACAAAGGGTTAAGGCCACAGCCCCAGGAGAGGTTTATAGGAAGCACGATCTGCAGAGGTTGGCGCCCTGGCATATTTATTTCCAGTTGACATTGTTCACAGGGAAATAATAAAATGAGAATCTAATGGAGAGAACCTGGCTTTTCTTGATTCAGTCTTCTGAGAATTGGTTTGCAATTCTGCCTGAAAGGAATTTCTGGACCTTCTAATGTGCCCAGTTTCACACCCAGGTGTAAGCCACTTGAAAGGCAATTAGATGATGCTGAGATTATCTGCTGTGTTGAGTTCTCCATGGTATGGCCCCACCTTTTCTGGGCAGAGAGACAGTCTTGGATTGACTAGTAGAGGACTAATGCCATCTACCGAGTGGGCACTGGACAAGACCACCACCCACAGCTTCCTTACCACTGTTGTCCAGGGCACCTGGGGAATCCTGGTGTAGGTCATTGTTATGTAGATAATGAGGAAGAAGACGGTGAGGACCCAGTAAAATACAGCTACAAACATGACCCAGCCAAATGCGGGGACCCGGAAGTACTCAGTTCCAGCAATAAGCGTCCATACCAGCAGCCCCAGAACCTGTAAAGTGGTAGAAGCAGTGGAGAGAGGAGGGGACAGTAGAAGATAAAGAAAAAGAAGGAAGGAGGGACAAAGAAAAAAAAATAATTATACAGAATGTCAATTACAACTTATTTATTTATTTATTTGAGATGGAGTCTCGCTCCCGTCGCCCAGGCTAGAGTGCCATGGAGCAATCTTGGCTCACTGCAACCTCCACCTCCCGGGTTCAAGGGATTCTCCTTCCTTAGCCTCCCAAGTAGCTAGGATTACAGGCGTGCAGCACCATGCCTGGCTAAGTCAATTACAACTTTCATGCATATACCCCACCTTCCCCTGCCATGACTTAAAAATATTACAGGGTTTGCAAACTCATGTGCCTACAAATGCCAGGAAGGTAACCATGGCAGTCCAGGCAGGGACCAACAATATCTTGTTTTAGGGGGTTCTCTTAAAATTCAGCTCTAGCTGATAGTTGTGGGCTGGTTTTGCCAGGTCTTCTCCATCCCAGGAGAACACAGAAACTCAAGCTTGTACATAATAATCTTGATTTTAAATATTAGTACTAATCAGGGGTTTTAAAACACCACTTGGTGAGAAACAACATCCATGGCTGGAATTTGCTCCCAGGCTGGTATTTGTCAAGGAAATGAGACTGCAGGTGTACTTGGAGGTGGTCCCTGGAGCTGATCTGCTTTCAAGGGACGAACCTCTGGGCATTCCCTGCTCTTCTCACAGATGGCCAGTAACATGTGGTCTGAGACAGCTTTCAGAAGAGAGAATGAACAGCGGCCCAGTCCAGATGTGGACACTCAGTATTTTACCACACGTTGTGCATTTACCCTAGCAATAGTCATCCAACTGCTGACAAGTAAGACCATACCCAAAGCCAAAGTAACACTACTCATTGACTAAAGGAAGACTTCATCAAGCAAAAGGAAACTGACCTAAACTGTAGGTGTCTTGAGTCCTGGACAAAGGAAGGCTAGAGCAAGGTATGCACTCACATTCTAGCACCTTCCAGGTGGACTTTATTCCTAAGTCACAAAAAAGTTGAGATGTGAACCACATGCCCAGGACACAGCAACAGGAGTCCAGGGTGGGCTCTAGCCCTGCAAGTCCTGGCTCGCTGTGTGACTCAGGACAAAGAATTTCATTTCTGGTTTAGCTTTCTTTGTGGTATATGAATCAAAATACTAAAGTAACTCTAATCAAGAGGCTCGGAAGACAGATTTCCTTTATTTGTTTAACACGGGAGCACCTACAATATCTGGGCTTCCTGCTATCAGGCCCCAAGGACAGTGGTATACAAATTGTACATATCCTGCTTGTAGAGCACTAAAGTCTAGTGGAGGGAAATACCTGACCGATTACAACTGTGGCAAATGTTATGAAGAAGGTAAACGGTATGATAAGGGTCTATGATGGGGGAAATGACCTTGCTGGCAGGCACAGGAAGCATCGGAGAAGTCCAGGCTGAAGAATAACCAGAAGGCTGAAAGCACTAGCGAGACAGAAGCAGGAAGGCAACATTATAGGCAGAGGACACAGCGTGGGCAAAGGTCTGAAGGTGGGAAGGGCTCTGCTACCTTCTAGAACCTGTAAGAATGTGTAGTAAGTTAGGATATTGGTGCAAAGTGTTAGAGAGCTGGGGAAGGTCAGATGATATGAGCCCAGGAGGCCTAGGGATTTTGTGCTTTATCCGAAGGGCAGTGGGAGAGTTTTAAGCAAGAGAATGTTAAGATTAGGCTAGATTTTTTTATAAAGCCACTCTGGCTGCAGGTAGAGAATGGACATGTGGAGGGGAAAGGGGGAGCAGTGGTGTGGAGACAAATTTAGAGAGCGTGCAATAATCCAAGTGGAAGAATATGAAGTCTTCAAGACCAATATGGTGGCAGTGAATATCGAGAAGTGAGTAAATTCAAGACAAATTTCAGCAGATGGTACTTTAATGGATTAGACATGGGGTTGGGGGAGGAGAAGGGAGCGGATACAATGGAATGATCTCCAGGTATCTAGAAAGATTTCTGGAGTAGATCAGGGTTGGACTTGTTCTGTTGGAACAATGGAAGAGGAACAGGCTAAAGGAGTGTTGTTCATGAGTTGAATTTTCAACCTACTCAGTCTGAGGTAGTTGGGGACCTTCAAATAGGGATTAGAAGAAGTAGATGTTGAAGAGAGACTTCAGGCCCTTCTTTAAGAAGACTTCCTGTGAAGATCTTGAAGCCATCAGACAGGTTTCCAAGGGACATGTTAAACTGCTTCCCGAGAGAAGCCACTTTCCTGGTACAGTTTTGGTGCCTGTGCCAGGGAGCAGCTAAGACTCTAAATGTTGCTGTTTCTGCTCTTTAGAGTTGAGCATCAACATTCTTTTATCTGCTTGATGTTAGTATATGAATTCCAGAGACAAGATGCTTAATGGAGATGTGCTTTTGTGTTTACATCCGTGGCAACAACACTTACTGAAAGTGAAGATACACAAAATGGGATATAATTCCAGAAAGTGCTAAGCCTCACACTAATGAGGTTTTTGGCCCGAATTGACTCTGACAGGTAATCTATACACATGTATTTGACATTCTGTTGGATCAGTAAGACTGGTAATAGATGTAATGCAGCATGGCAGCGTCTGAAACATTTCAGGCTTCTTGACTGAGATAGGGTCAGAACGGCCCTTTGTGGATGATTCACATAGGAAACATAACAGTGAGTGAAGAGGCACTGTAGATGTGTTGATAGTGTCTCTCTGTGTGATCACAAGGGCTTAAGAGTTTCCATCACAAGTCTGTATCCAGCTAAACAGGCTCAACTCACAGTTCTTGGCTCTGAATGCAAAAACGTTTTTCATTATTAACGCGAGTGAAGCCTGCTGTCCAGGTCTGCATTGTCTAGTTTGCTGGCTGTGGTCGTCTTTTACACAAAGGCACAATATTGTTAACTGAGCCGTCTTTCAAAGAACGGGAATACTTGACCCATGACCTCACAAGCAAACAAAGTAAAAAGAATGTCTCTGTCAAGAAAAGAATTGTTCTACCCAAGTGAATTTCCTAGGTAACTGAAATATATCAAGAAGCAAACCTTTTGTCTCCACTATAACCACTACTGATAAAAACCAGTCTTCAAAAATGTTACTCATCTTTTGCTTTGTGTTTAAGATAAACCTGAATCTGTATTTGCTTAGACTACAAAAATACTGTTTGTTTTCCCTGATAAGCATTTTTTTTTTAGGCTAAGACTTTTTTTTTTAATGGCAAAACTAAGACTTATAAAACATTTCAGTGATAAATGCAGGTAAAAAATTAACACAGTGAGCCGGGCATGGTGGCTCACACCTGTAAATCCCAGCACTTTGGGAGGCTGAGGTGGGCGGATCATGAGGTCAAGAGATCAAGACCATCCTGGCCAACATGGTGAAACCCCGTCTCTACTAAAAATACAAAAATTAGCTGGGCGTCGTGGTACCTGCCTGTAGTCCCAGCTACTCGGGAGGCTGAGGCAGGAGAATCGCTTGAACCCAGGAGGCAGAGGCTGCAGTGAGCCGAGATCGTGCCACTGCACTCCAACCTGGGTGACAGAGGGAGACTCCGTCTCAAAAAAAAAAAAAAAAAATTAACACAGAAGTATATTAAGAAATGACAACGCCCTTCCCTATCCGCCAGTTATAAAAATGCAAGAAAAACCAACATAAACAATTTTGTATTTACCCTTTCTGGCCTCTTTCCTTGCATTTATAACCACCGCCTGCACATCTTTCTCTTTCTTCCTTATAAATATGGATCACTCTGTTCACAGAGTCTATAACTTGCTTCTTTCAGTCAGTAATACCATGGAGGACAACCTTCCACACTACTACACATGCATCTCTGCCAATTTTAACAGTTGCTCAGTCTTCCATAATTCATGTAACCAATCCCCTATTGATAGAAATTTAGGTTGTCTTCTTTATGTTTGTACAAAAATGCTCAGAAACATTTTTATAACCTATGCCTTTGTATACCTGAATTCCAGGACAGACTTCTAGGAGGAAAATTTCTAGAATACACATTTTAAGCTTTAGAGGTACTACCAAATTGTTCAGCAAAAGCTTGTACTAATTTACTGACCAGGCACAGCTGCTCACGCCTATAATCCCAGCATTTTGGGCGGCTGAGGCAGGCGGATCACTTGAGGCCAGGAGCTTGAGACAAGCCTGGCTAACATGGTAAAACCCCATCTCCACTAAGAATACAAAAATTAGCTGGGCATGGTGGTGCATGCCTGTAATCCCAGCTACTAGGGAGGCTGAGGCAGGAGAATAGCTTGAACTGGGAAAGTGGAGGTTGCAGTGAGCTGAGATTGCACCACTATACTCCAGCACAGGCGCAGAGCCTGGGTGCAGAGCGAGACTCTGTCTCAAAAACACAAACAAACAAAAAACCTTAGTTTACTCTGTTATCAGTATATGCATGCTTTTGCACCTTCACCAGACTAAATTTCTATGTTTTAAATGGCTAAAAACCTGATTAAAAAAAAAAAAAACAGAACCTATGTTTTAACTTTCACTGCTGTATTGAAATACAGTATAAAGAAAAGTACACAAATCCTAAGTGAACAGCTTGGGGAAGTTTCACTAACTGAACAAACCTGTGTAACCAGCATCCAAATCAAGAAACACAACACTGCCAGCACCTGAAAACCTTATCCCCATTTCTAGTTACTCCTCTCCTCTAAGGGTGACAATTGCCCTGATCTCTATCATCCTAGATTAGTTTCTGCTTTTGATCTTCATATAAATGGACCCTGTAGTATTCAGTCTTATGTCTGACATCTGTTGCTCAATACTGTGAGAGTCATCTGCAATACCGAAGGTAGTTCCTTCTTTCCTCTGATTTCTCAAATTTGACCATCAGAATCACCTGGAGGGCTTGTTGAACCAAATGGCTAGGCCTACCGCTTGCCTGTGATTCAGGTCTAGGATGGACCTGAGAATCTGCACTTCTAACAAGTTCTCAGGTGATGCTGATGCTGCTGGCTCAGGGACTACACATGAAGAACCACTGATGAATAGCATCTTGTTTCTACTTTAATTTGCATTTTTCTTCATCAGTGTCGAGGACAGTAGAGCATTTTTTTGAATGCTTATAATGCTTATCAACCACTTAGAGTTCTCCTCTTATTTCTTGATAGTTTTTTTTCTTTTTTTTTTTTTTGTGAGTGTGTGTGTGTGTGTGTTTTTTTTCAGACAGTCTCACTCCATCACCCAGGCTGGAGTGCAGTGGTGTGATCTTGGCTCACTGCAACCTCCGCCTCCCGGGTTCAAGCGATTCTCATGCTGCAGCCTCCCGAGTAGCTGTAATTACAGGAATGCACCACCATGCTTGGCTAATTTTTTGTATTTTTAGTATAAACGGGGTTTCACCATGTGGGCCGGGCTGGTCTCGAATTCCTGACCTCAAGTGATCTGCTCGCCTCATCCTCCCAAAGTACTAGGATTACAGGTGTGAGCCACTGCACCTGGCCAGCCACTGTGCCTGGCCTGATAGATTTTTAAAAGTCACTTTCTGATTTGTAGAGATCTTTACATAAGAGAGATGGTAACCAACTATATATGTGGCAAATATTTTCCCCACCCAGTTTTATTTTTCAAAGTCATAGAGTCTTTTGTCTATGGAAGTTTTAAGTTTTTACATATTTTTTTTTTTTGAGACAGGGTCTCACTCTGTTGCCCAGGCTGGAGTGCAGTGGTGTGATCAAGAGTCACTGCAGCCTCTACCTCCTGGGCTCAAGAGATCTTTCTATCTCAGCCTCCTGAGTAGCTGGGATTACAGGAATACACCACATCTGGCTAACTTTTTGATTTTCATTTCTTTGTAGAGATGAGGTCTCGCTATGTTGCCCAGGCTGGTCTCGAACTCCTGGGCTCAAGTGATCCTCCTGCCATGGTCTCCCAAAGTGCTGGGATTATAGGTGTGAACCACCATGCCTGGCCGACATAATTGGTTTTCTTTAACTCTTTTATTTTTACCTTCTTAGCAAGGTCATTCTCAACAGAAGATTATAAAAACATTCTCCTGTATTTTTGTAGTTTTGTATATATGCTTACATCTTTAATCCACTAGCATTGAGTTCTATATATGGGGTAAAGAAAGGCAAATTTTATTTTTTTCTAGCAGATAGACAATTGACCCAATATCACTTATCAGTGTCTTCAGTGTCTTCCAATATATTGTGGCAGTTTCCGGAATCTTTATTCAATTCCATTCACCCATGTTCATCTGCTGTGTCAGTGCCAATGACTGTAGCTTCAACATGTATTTCATGTATTTTAGCATTATTGGAAAGTATATCAGACTGAACACCTAATTTTGCTCCCTCCAAAAACCCTTCTAAAATTTTCAAGAGGATGGTTTGAATAGGAAAAGAGACAACAGTAACATTTTTAGAAGCTTAGAACAGAGCCAGGTGCGGTGGCTCACACCTGTAATTCCAGCACTTTGGGAGGCTGAGGCGGGTGGATCACTTGAGGTCAGGAGTTCGAGACCAGCCTGGCTAACATGGTGAAACCCCGCCTCTACTAAAAATACAAAAATTAGGCTTGACGTGGTGGCTCACGCCTGTATTCCCAACACT
The DNA here is from genome assembly GCF_000001405.40 of Homo sapiens. Taxonomy (NCBI): domain Eukaryota; kingdom Metazoa; phylum Chordata; class Mammalia; order Primates; family Hominidae; genus Homo; species Homo sapiens. Next base: position 32,350,784 of record NC_000003.12, on the reverse strand, counting down.
TTGGGAGGCTGAGGCGGCTGGATCACGAGGTCAGGAGTTCGAGACCAGCCTGGCCAATATGGTGAAACCCCGTCTCTACTAAAAATACAAAAATTACCTGGGCATGGTGGCATGTGCCTCTATCTAGTCCCAGCTACTCGGGAGGCTGAGGCAGAAGAATCACTTGAACCTGGGAGGCAGAGATTGTAGTGAGCCAAGATCACACCACTGCACTCCAGCCTGGGTGACAGAGCGAGACTCCGTCTCAAAAAAAAAAAAAATTAGCTGGGCCTGGTGGCACGCACCTGTAATCCCAGCTACTCGGGAGGCTGAGGCAGAAGAATTGCTTGAACCTGGCAGGCGGAGGTTGCAGTGAGCTGAGATCATGCCGTTGCACTCCAGCCTGGGTGACAGAGCAACACTCTGTCTCAAAAAAAAAAAAAAAAGCTTAGAACACATATGAACAATGGATAACTGACTTAATGACCCTAAGAAAGCTGAGTTCTAAGGTGGTTAACAGGTAAGTCAAGAAACAAACCAACTTCACTGCAAAGTCTAAAAAGACTCAGGTAGCTCTAGGACAGGAAGCAAAGGTTGGGGGTGGGAGAGGAGCGGCTAAAATAAGGAGGATTGGTGGGAAGCTGTTTGAAAGTCGCTAAGTCCTTACCCTTTGCTCTACTGCAAGCTGCTGGGTGATTGCCCCACTTCTGTCATTAGTGTGAAAGTTTATTCTCTAGATTAGGATTCCTCAACCTCAGGCATATTGACATTTTGTGCCAATAAGATTCTTTTTTTTTTGAGACAAAGTCTTGCTCTGTCACTCAGGCTAGAGTACAGTGCTGCGATCTTGGCTCACTGCAACCTCCGTCTCCCAGGTTCAAGTGATTCTCCTGCCTCAGCCTCCTGAGTAGCTGGGATTACAAGCGTGCGCCACCACACCCAGCTAATTTTTGTATTTTTAGTAGAGATGGGGTTTCACCATGTTGGCCAGGCTGGTCTCGAACTCCTGACCTCCAGTGATCTGCCTGCCTTGGCCTCCTAAAGTGCTGGGATTACAGGTGTGAGCCACCGGGCCTGGCCTGGCCAATAAAATTATTGATCTGGAGTGCTGCCCTGTGCACTGTACACTGTAGGATGTGTATAGCAGCTTCCCTGTCCTCTACGTACTTGATGCCAGCAGCTGTGCTCCACCTCCCCACTCTTAATGGCAATCAAAAATGTCTCTGGATATTGCCAATTGTTCTCTGGGAGGCAAAATTACTTCTGATTGAGAAACACTGTAAATAAGGTAAAACGAAACAGTCTCTGGATTGAGGCGCACAGTTGAAGGTCTGAACATTATAGTGGAAACAAAGGCCTTAAATGACTAAGTATTCAGTATGAAGACTTCCTCATCTGTCCAATCCCTAACCTTTCCCTCTGCTTGGTTCTAAGAATACTGGCAGCCAGGTCTTCATTAGCATAAGAAAAAAGACAAAGATACTGACTTTGGGGATTCCCCAACACACAGCCCAGCCAGGTCAATCTTCAATGAAGTTCAAGGTTCATAAGCCCCATCCACATGCTCAGAGCATCCAGAGAGCTTTGCACTCTTAAAGCATAGGCAGATAACCAAGATTATTGGATCTATGAAGAAAGCAAAGCCTATATAACAGGGCAGAGAGCAAAAACCAAAAAACAAACTGGAAGAAAGTAACTTTGAAGGGGTAGAAGAAAACATTTCCCACCCCAAAATCATCAGTATCTTAGAGAGAAAAGATATTACAAAAGTGATAAAGAAACAGGAGGTTGCAAGAAGGACATAAAAATAGTCCTTCAAAACAAAAATAGTTTTTTAAATTAAAAATGGAATAGTAGAAATTAAAAATCAATAGAAATGCTGCATGATAAAATCGAGAAAACCTAGAAAAGATAAAAACAACGAAAAGAAAAAAACAGGTGAGATAAAGTAAAAAAGTTAGAGGATGGGTTCAGAAGGTCAAACATCTGATTAGTAGGTTCCAGGGGCCAGAAGAGGTGGCTCATGTCTGTAATCACAGCACTTTGGGAGGCCGAGGTGGATGGACTGCTTGAGCCCAGGAGTTCAAAACCAGCCTGGGTAACATGGCAAAACCCCATCTCTACCAAAAAAATACAAAAATTAGCTGGGTGTGATGGCACGTGCCTGTAGTCCTAGCTACTTGGGAGGCTGAGGTAGGAGGATTGCTTGAGCCTAGGAGGTCAAGGCTGTAGTGAGCTGAGATCAGAGTCAGATCTTGTCTCCAAAAAAAAAAAAAGTTCCAGGAAGAGAGAGTGAAGAAAATGGAGGGAAAGAAATCAGCTACTCAAGAAAACTCAAATCAGATAACTCAAGAAAACTCAGAATTTCTGGATGTGAATTTCTACATAAAAGGACTCCTCTAAGTACCCAGCACAGTGGATGAAATAGACCCAAATCAAGGTACATCATGAAGTTTCAGATCATCAGGTACAAAGAGAAGGTTCTTTAAACCACCAGAGAACAAACAGGTTGCCTAATAAAAGAGGCAGAAACAAGAATGGTTTTTAATCTTTTCTAAAAGTAAATAGAATGTTAGAAGACAATGACCAATGATTTCAAATTACTGAAAGAAAATTATTTTTGATCTAGAAATTACTTGGCAAAAATTATCAATGAAGGGCAAGTGGAGAATATATTTTTTTCAGATATGTAATATCTGAAAAATTTACCTTCCATGCACCCTTTCTTAGGAATCTACTGAAGGACATGACTCACCAAAAGGAGAGCATAAACTTTAAAAAAGGCAACATGGAATAAACCAACAAGAGAACTACAGAGAGAGGTGAAGGTCATCCCCAGGATGAAGGGAAATCCAAGCATGACAGATGCCTCAGACATAGAAGGTAACCAGACTGGAACAGAGTGACTCGAAAGACAGCCAAACCACGTTAAAGGCTCTCATCACCATGCCTGATGTCATTTTACTTTCTTTTTATCGATTGAAGCTGTTAGGGAACTTCTCCATCACAATGTGGGAGGAAAGCAAGAAAGAGGACAATAAGGAAGATAAGAAAACAAGGAATTCAACCCAACAGAAAGGCAAAAGGAATTCCACAGATGACAGTGAAGGGAGGGCCCCAGGAGAAATACATCCAAGATAAAAATGGGAACTCTGATTATGTGACGTGATTGGCCTTGTGGGAAACTTCACTGAGAGGCAATTGGAAAAAATGTGAGACAAAATTAGCTACAAAGCCCGGCCCTTGAGAGTACTGAGGCCCCAAGCCCCCCAGCACTTGTGTGTAAAGCCCCCGTCCCTGCCCCCTCCAAGCCCTGCCCGGCTGGACCTAACTTATTTTATTGTCACAGTTGAGTGCTGTGCCGGGGGGTGGCCAAAGTACAGCCCACAATAGGCCTGTAAATAGTCCAGCCCCGTCAGCGTGTGCTGGTCCAGCCAGCCAGCTGCAGGCGAGTTGTTTCTAGAAACAGAGTGTCTATAAAGAGAGAACTAACGCCAAAAAAAAAAAACCTAAGCAAAAAAAACCAAAAACCAAAAAACAAAACAAAACAAACCCACTCTATTATTAACCTTAGTAAAAATCAAAAGAAATCATTGTTCACTACAACACTCAGCTCTAAATAATATTTATGTAAGGATAATAAACACAGAATATTGACTTAAATCATAAACGAATAGGCTGAGCACAGTGGCTCATACCTTGGAATCCCAGCACTTTGGATGGCTGAGGCGGGAGGATTGCTTGAGCCCAGGAGTTCAAGACTAGCCTGGGCAACATAGGAAGACTCTGTCTCTACATTAAGTAAATAAGCAAGCAAGCAAGCCAGGCATGGTGGTGCATGCCTATAGTCCCAGCTACTCAGGAGCCTGAGGTGGGAGGGTTGCTTGAGCCCAGGAGGTTGAGGTTGCAATGAGCTGTGATTGTGCCACTGCATTCTAGCTTGGATGACAGAGTGAGACCCTGTCTCAAAAAAAGAAAAAAAAAAAAAAAAGAATTATAACATGGAGAAAGGAAGCTTCAATCATGTAGATGGTGCCACAGACCAAACGTGTGCTTCCCAAATCCATATGTTGAACCCCTAAATCCCAGTGTGATGGTATCAGGACGTAGGGCCTTTGGTAGGTAATAAGGTTTAGATGCAGTCTAAACCTCTCATGATGAGATTAGTACCCTTATAAAAAGGGACACCAAGAGAGCTTCCTCTCATGCTTTCTCCACTGATATGCACCAGAGTGAGGCCATGTAAAGACACAGCAAGAAGGTGGCTGTCTGCAACCAAAGGAGAGAGCCCTCACCAGACACCTACCCTGCTGTCCCCTTAATCTTGGACTTTGTCTACAGCATTATGAGAAATAAATTCCTGTTGTTTAAGCCACCCAGTCTATGGTATTTTGTTATGGCAGCCCAAGCTAAGAGAGAAGGTAACAAGAAGTGACTAGTTAACATGTAGAATTGAATCAGAAGATGACAGCTCACATATTATTTATAACTATAGATACGGGTAAAGCCGGAGTAGCTGTCTCTGAGGAGAAACATGGGGAGTTATGGGAGTAAGAACTTCTGTTTTTCACAAGCCTTTTGGGTCTACAGGTATTTGACCACCCTACTGATGTCAGCTGATTTCTAGAATTTTCTTTTCTTTTCTTTTTTTGAGATGGAGTTTCACTCTTGTTGCCCAGGCTGGAGTGCAATGGCATGATCTTGGTTCACTACAACCTCCACCTCCTGGGTTCAAGCAATTCTCCTGCCTCGGCCTCCCAAGCCTGTGGGACTACAGGCATGAGCCACCACGCCCAGCTAATTTTGTATTTTTAGTAGAGACGGAGTTTCACCATGTTGGTTGGGCTGGTTGCAAACTCCTGACCTCAGGTGATCTGCCCACCTTGGCCTCCCAAAGTGCTGGGATTATAGGTGTGAGGCACTGTGTCTGCCTGATTTCTAGAATTTTCTGGCTAAGCCATCTGCAGTAACAGCAGCTTTGGTCCTTTCCAATATTTATATCACCTGTTTCTTTTTCCTGAATTATTGCATTGGCTTAAATCTCCAGAACCGTCTTCCAGAACACAAGTGATGGTGGCAATCCTTATTTTATTCTGTTTTATCATTTTAATGTTTTACATTTTTATATGTGTTGTTGGTTTTTGATAGATGATGGATATCTTTTATGGAGCTAAAAGTTTCTACTTTTTTAATGACCTAAGGTTTCTTTTCCAACCTCTCCTGTGAACAATAAGTTAATGAGCTCAATTAAATATATTTTCTGTACCTCCTTTTCAAAATTAAATACAGTATTACTAACACAGCTAAACCTTTTGATGACCCAGCGTCATCACAAACATCAAATATTTCAATTGCTGCCTTGTGCTATAGAAGGAAAGTGCTTGCTTCTATTTGGAATGGTACCAGATTATGTGTGTTTTTCTATGAAGAAAAAAAAAATTGTTGTTTTTTGAGACTGGTCTCATTTTGTCGTCCAGGCTGGAGTGCAGTGGCTTGATCACTGCTCGTTGCAGCCTCAACCTCCCTGGGCTCAGGTGATCTTCCTACCTTAGCCTTCTGAGTGGCTGGGACTACAAGTGTAAGTAGGTGAGACTACACCACCACACTCAGGTAATTTTTTAACTTGTAGAAACGAGGTCTTGCCATGCTGCCCAGGCTGGTCTTGAACTCTTAGGCTCAAGTGATCTGCCCACCTCGGCCTCCCAAATCCTATTACAGGATTACAGGCGTGAGCCACCATGCCCAGCCTGAAGAAATTTTTTTAATTGAAAATCAACTCACCACTTGCAGCTCTCAGTGAGCTGATTTCAACTGCCCTCCTCTGTCCTTTGTGTGTACCCTCCTACCCTCACATCATCTTTATTCGAGTATTCTATGGACTAAGAAAACAAATGTCAGGTTTTTTGTTTTTGAGACAGGGTCTTGATCTGTCACTCAGGCTGGAGTCCAGAGGTGCAATTACAGCTCACTGCAGCCTCGACCTCCTGGGCTCAAGCGATTCTCCCACCTCAGCCTCCAAAATAGCTGGAACTACAGGTGCATGCAACCATGCCCAGCTAGGTTTCAAATTTTTTGTAGAGCCGGGGTCTCACTATGTTGCCCGGGCTGACTTCGAACTCCTAGACTCAAGTGATCCTACTGCCTCAGCCTTCCAAAGTGCTGGGATTACTGGTATGAGCCACTGATTCTGGCACAATTTTTAAAATCATCCAGAAAGACAATAAGTTTGTCCCTGAGGACTCCCTGTGGTGTCTATGAGCTTTGTGACAGCAATTCTGCTGCTCAGAGGAATTACCTGATGGCAGTGTTAAAAAGTGTCATTTATTCAAATACCTACTGAGTATTATTGTGACACAGGTTTTCTAGGCACTATTGGTGGGGCAGGAAATGCTACATTGCTATAGGACATAAGTTGGCTGATTTATTTTTGACTTTAGTCTTGACTGGCAGGAGCACCATTATTGAAAATGTACTCTAGCCTTGAAAACAGGTAACTTTTGACAATTAACTAGGCTAACCTAGAAGTAAAGCACCAGCTGTTCCCAGCTGGCTTAGCTCAGGGGATTTGCATTGTTCTGGTGAGATCTCAGCATACCTCTGAAATACCTCATTAGATTTTAAATCATTTATCATACTAATTCCTTGCAATGAAGTGGCATTGGAAATAGTGACTGCAGATTTGCTATTATGTGGCCTGCCAGAAGAGAACTAACCAATATCGCCATATCTTGCTGTTCTACTTCTGGTGTACATTTAATATGGCACATATGTGGCAACATTCATTCATTCAAAAACCTCAGGTCTTGGCCAGGCGAGGTGGCTCACGCCTGTAATCCCAGCACTTTGGGAGGCTGCGAAGGGCAGATCACTCGAGGTCAGGAGTTTGAGACCAGCCTGGCCAACGTGGTGAAACCCTGTCTCTACTAAAAATACAAAAAATTAGCCAGGCGTGGTGGCACATGCTTGTAATCCCAGCTTCCTGAGAGGCTGAGGCAGGAGAATCACTTGAACCTGGGAAGCTGGGGTTGCAGTGACTTGAGATCACGCCATTGCACTCCAGCCTGGGTGACAAGATTGGTGAGATTCCGTCTCAAAAACAAAAACAAAAACAAACCACCTGAGGTCTCAATGGCAGTGCAACGATGGGGAAAAAAAGACATGGTCTCTGCCCCCAGTTGACATTTAATTATAAGCTGTAATAAATCCTATGAAAAGAAACTATGGTGATACAAGAATGCAAAGCACAAGGACACAACCAAGTCTGGAAGGTCAGAGGAAGTGAGAGACAAATAGGTGAATGAGAGTTAGCCAGGCAAAATTTGGGTGGTGGGAGGAATGCCAAATCTCTGAGACAGACACCCCAGCTGGTGACATGGGTCTTTGCAGGTCTTGACTTGACACATGAAGACTTTGCAGGTGGAAATCCACTTGCAAAGGAGGCCTGGCATCAGACAGCAGTCTCCAAGGATGGCACCTTTTCTTAAAGGCAAGACTTATCCCATAGTGGTTTGAAGGCCAGAGAATGTTAGTGTTGGATTGATTAACTCATTTCACAGATGAAGAGATGCTTACAAATGAAGAGAAGTCCAGGACACATTCAGAAGCAACCAGCCTAGGGTCATGGAGCTAGTCAGGGGTCAAAGCAGAACTAGCGTTCAGCGGCATCTTCCAATCTGGTGCTACTTTTATTTATCCCATAGTCTTCATTGTTTGATTCCCTGTTCCTTCCTTCTCCTTCCTCTCTCGCTGAGGTGACACTACCGCACATGGTAATAGCAGACTGAGAGGCAGAGTTTGCTTAGTGGGGAAAATCCTTACTGTGGAGTCAGTCTACCTGAATTCCATTAGCCCTTGGGCAAGTTACTAACCTGAGCTTCAGTTTCCTCAACTGTAAAATGGGGATACAGAGGCTTCCCTCCTAGGGTGTGGGAGGACAAAATGAGTTAATCAATGTATGCACAAGAGTGCTTGCGAGGTGCTGTGTCAATTATTACTACTATGCTAATATTATTGCCAGGGTTTACAATGGCTCTTAGGAGAAACAGCTCTCCTCTTTCTCAGGTAAAAAACCTACTTTTCTCTGTAACTGAAGCTTTTTACACTTGTGTGGAGCCAAGAAGTCTACTTCCAGCTCCCTGCATGTATGGACTGAGCTTGAGAGCTCTCTCATGAGTAATAATGCCAACACGATGTCAGGCTAAGTGAACTGTGAATGTGTAACCCTGAAGCTCTGTCTTCCCTGCCCTGTGTGGACACCTGAATGCCACACGGTCCACCTCAATACCATGGTTAGCATGCCCCTGTTCCTGTTTGGTTAAATGGTATAATCAAGGCCATCTGGCCTGGTAGGAAGAGCTGGGCTTTGAATTCTTACCACCTGTGTGACTAGGCAAATTGCTTTCATCTATTCAACCAATATTTATCGAGGACCTATGTACCCAAGCCCCTGGTAACAGTATAATATCTACTATGGAATAAGGAAACACTTCTTGTACCTTACCTCATTTGACCCACACAGCTAGCCCCCTAAAATAGGTTTTTGTTTTTTGGGTTTTTTTGAGATGGAGTCTCATTCTGTTGCCTACGCTGGACTGCAGTGGTGCGATCTTGGCTCACTGCAACCTCCGCCTCCTGGGTTCAAGCGATTCTCCTGCCTCAGCCTCCTGAGTAGCTGGGATTACAAGCGCATGCCACCACGCCCAGCTAATTTTTATGTTTTTAGTAGAGACGGGGTTTCCCCATGTTGGCCAGGCTGGTCTCAAACTCCTGACCTCAGGTGATCCGCCCACCTCAGCCTCCCAAAGTGCTGGGATTACAGGCGTGAGCCACCATGCCCAGCCTTAAAATAGGTTTTATCATGATGATTTTATAGATAGGAAAACCAAGGCACAGTGAGTTAAAAAACTTAGTCCAAGTTTATTTATTTTTTTTGAGACAGAGTCTTGCTCTGTCGCCCAGGCTAGAGTGCAGCGGCAACCTTGGCTCACTGCAACCTCCGACCCCTGGGTTCAAGTGATTCTTCTGCTTCAGCCTCCAGAGTAGCTGGGATCAAAAGCACATGACACCACACCTGGCTGATTTTTAAATTTTTATTAGAGAGGGGGTTTCGCCATGTTGGCCAGGCTGGTCTTGAACTCCTGACCTCAGGTGATCCACCTGCCTCGGCCTCCCAAAGTGCTGGGATTACAGGTGTGAGCCACCACACCTGGCCTCAAGTTTTTAAACTGTACTACACATCAACATCATGCCGTAAGTAATTTAACTCTTCTGTGCCTCAGTTTCTTCATCAATAAATAGAGATAATACATATTTTCTAAAATCCACATAAGACAATATACTCTACAAAGGATAGTTGCTATTGTGATTAATACCTTAAAAAAAAGAGCAGTTTGGCAGACCATAAGCCTGCCTTAGAGGAATAGGCTGGTGTTTGAGACAGAGAAGCTGGCTCCTGCCGTGTTCTTAGGGATAGGACATTACCTGGAATGCCACCAGCCAGTCCCTTCTCACGTGCAAGGTTCTGGGCATATGGAGATTCTAGTAAAGGCAACAGAAGCCTCTATGCAAATCCACTGTCACGTCTGCAAAACAAGATGCCCGGCAGCTGCCCACCACTGTTGGGCCACTAGGTAGTGCCATCTTCAGGCTGAACAGGGCTGATCACGACAAGGCCTTTTGAAGTGCTGGTCTTTCACATGGCATCTTGGTGAAGGACAAGTACATGGAAAACAGGATGGCAACTAATCCTATTTGCTCTGATGGCTTAAACATCTAAGTTAGAGAGCATGCTGCTCTTAATTCAATGAATTCCAAGAAATCTTGCAAGAAAGGTGATATATTACAGAGTTTGACACAGGAGCCATATTGAGTCAGTAAATAGGCTATGGGCACCTGCCACATGGTAGGCACAATACTGAGTGCCCAGGGTACAAAGGTGAATGAGGCTTGGGTCCCTGCACAGGAGGAATTCGCCATCTAGTGCAAGAGACAAACACAATTCAGTTCTTTCTTTTTCACCAGGGGTTGGCAAACTTTGGCCCAGGGCCACATGCGGCTCACTGTCTGTTTTGTATAGTCAATGAACACAGCCATGCTTATTCATGAATGTATTATCTATGGCTGTTTTCACACTACAACAGAATATGTGGCCTCCTGGCTACATAGCCTGAAATATTTACTATCTGGCCCTTTATAGAAAAAGTTTGCCAATTCCTGTTTACAACCACACACACTCTCTGCACTAGGAAATATACACACATGCACATATATGTGTACTGATGTTTTTGTTACCTGTTTTCCAAATCAGGTTATTAAATATATCAAGCCAGAGAAGATTATACAACGGAAGAGTATACCTCTTTCCTGGAGCATCAAGGAGTTACATTATCCTCAAGCTGACCTCTCCCTACATTTGCTTTCCAGAGTCACAGGGGCTCTTCAAGCCAGTCACCTCCACTCTCATCCCAGGTTCGGAGCCCTTCTGTTTAGCAAGCATGGCGACCATCTTCACTTATCCACTAGAGGGTATCCAAACACTGCTTATGAAGACTAAGGTGATACAACCGGACCCTGTTGAATGGCGAGAGATCAGAGTTTACTGTCTGGATGAGTTCCTACACTTACAACGCCTTGCACAGAGGTGGCAGGGCATGGAAGAATAAACTGGACTCTCACCCATTAGTACCAGACGTTGCCTGGAAACAGATCTGACAAGAAATGCAATCAGCTGGCTGAGATAAGGATGAATTAATACAAAGACTTGGAAGGGCAAATTTAATCCACAAATTCACAGCCTCCTCCTTCTACCCCTGCAAAGTTCTTTTTATTTATTTATTTATTTTTTGAGATGGAGTCTCACTCTGTCGCCCAGGCTGGAGTGCAGTGGTGCGATCTTGGCTGACTGCAAGCTCTGCCTCCCGGGTTCACGCCATTCTCCTGCCTCAGCCTCCCGAGTAGCTGGGACTACAGGCGCCAGCCACATCACCTGGCTAATTTTTTGTATTTTTAGTAGAGATGGGGTTTCTCTGTGTTAGCCAGGATGGTCTTGATCTCCTGACCTCATGATCCGCCCGCCTCGGCCTCCCAAAGTGCTGGGATTACAGGCATGAGCCACCGCGCCCGGCCTACCCCTGCAGAGTTCTTACTGAAGTATGTTTAATACTTTATAGGGGAACTGTGTGGAGCATCAACAAGCACAACCGAAGGGCTTCAGGCCTTGCTGCTTTCTCCAACAAGGCACTTGGCCTCTGGGCTAGAAAGATAGTTTTTAATTGGGAATGGAGAGCTGGCCCTTAGCAGAAGCATGTCTGGATTGCCTGGGAGGATTTCAAACCATGTGGTCGTCTTTCTGTTTTCAAACACAGCATGAAGATGGGCATCTCCTTCCGGTCCTCTCTGACCTTTTCTGAAGTCCAACTGTGTAAGATTCCTTTGGGTACTCTATTCCAGAACAGAACAAAACTTGAGGCCTAGATGTTGCTAGTAATTTGTGAATTACCTTATTCTTGCTTAGGACTTTAGTCTCACGTTCTACGATCAACTAAAGACCGGCACTGTGACAACACCACAGGACCCTGATTTTCCCAGCAGGCAATGGAATGGAAATTGACCTACTGGGCTGGCTTTAAGATATGCCCACAAATTCTTTGATGCTCTTCTTGAAGGTAAGCTGGACTTACTGACTTGCTTTTGATGAACAGAATGTGGCAGAAATTATGCTATGTGACTTGGGAGGCTGTGTCATAAAAAGGAGATAGCATCCATATTGTGAGGACACTCAAGCAGCCTTGCAGGGAGGTCAACATGGAACAGAAATGAAGTTTCCCACCAATAGCCAGCACCAACTTGCCAGCCACGTGAGTGAAGCTGATTCTCCAAGCTGAATCCTTGGAAGTGGATTCTTCAGCCCCAGTTAAACTTTAAGTGACTGCAGCTCTGGCAGACATCTGATGGAACCTTAGGAAAACACCTGAGCCAGAACTGCTCAGCCACGTTGATCCTGAATTCCTTATGTACAGACACCGTGAGTGATAACAAATGTCTTCTGCTGCTTTAGGCTATTACATTTAGGGGTAATTTGTTACACAGAATTAGATGACCAATATACAAAGTACCATCCAATTTTGCCTTATATACAATAGGTAGTGTGTTAGGTGCAAAGCCTGGGAGACCTGGGTTTGTCACTAATTTGCTGTGTGACCACAGACATAACTATTTTCCTGAGCCTTGGTTTGTACCTTCACAAGATGGGTACAGCACCACCTAGGTTGCTGCAGGGTCTTAAGGTGTTTTGTGATCGGCAAAGATAGAGGTAAAAGCAGTGATATCAGTCTCATGTTTTTTCTTCCAGAGAACATGATTTAATGCTTAGCAGAGTTGGTTTCTTAACAGTAGTGGCCCTAGGGTACTCAGTCAGTGAAAGAAAGGAATGGGAGGTGTCCCATGCCTGTAATTAGAACTACTGGGCTAAGGGTGCTGAGGAACCTCAAGAGCAGAGGTTGGCATGCTTTTACTGTAAAAGGCCAGGCCGGGCACGGTGGCTTACACCTGTAATCCCAGCACTTTAGGAGGCCGAGGCGGGCAGATCACAAGGTCAAGAGATCGAGACCATCCCAACCAACATGGTGAAACCCCGTCTCTGCTAAAAATACAAAAATTAGCTGGGCGTGGTGGCACACACCTGTAGTCCTAGCTACTCAGGAGGCTAAGGCAGGAGAATTATTTGAACCTGGGAGGCGGAGGTTGCAGTGAGCCAAGATTGCACCACTGCATTCCAGCCTGGCGACAGAGTGAGACTCCATCTCAATTTAAAAAAAAAAAAAAAAAAAAAGGCCAAATAGTAAATATTTTTGGCTTTGTGGGCCACATGATCTCTGCCACAACTACTCAGTTCTGCCACTGTAGCATGAAAGCAGCCATAAACAATATGTAAATGAATGGGAGCAACTGTGTTCTGGCTGGACTTGGCTGCTGGACTGTAATTTGCCAACCTCTGCCTTGTAGCCTTGGATTCTCCAATGATGTCTGGTCCCAGGCCAGCAGGATCAGTATCCCCCAGGAGCATGTGAGAAATGCAGACTTTTAGGTCACACCCAGACCTGCTGAATCAGCATTTCTGGGAAGGAGCCCAGCAAGGTGTCTTCCCAAGCAGCTCAAGTTTAAGAAGCCCTATTTTCTTCCCTCTTTCTCATGGGCTGCTCCACACACCAGGGATTTAAAAGGAATACTGGATGCTGATGACCCAATCCAAGATCTTCTCAGGACTCACAAAGAACACAAATCTTCCCCCAGAATCAGAGAAAAACACTTGGATCATGGTCCTGGGTCACCATTAAGTAAAGCTGCAGCCAGCCCCAGCCAAACAGCTTAGAGTCTTCAAGAACACTGAACAAACTGTGTGAAAAGAAGACTCTTAGAGTGAGGGGATTGGATTTGGTGATATTCCAGGGCCACCTCTGTCCGTGCAGGCCTGGCTGGTGTTGTCTGTGGTCAGATGCTAACCTGGCTCCCACATTTACTTACTTCTGTCAACACTTTTCCATTTCACATGTTGGTTTCCACTGTGGTTTGAATGTGTCCCCCAAACTTTATGTGTTGGAAACTTGGTCCTCAAATGCAGCAGTGTTGAGAGGTGGGATCTTTGGGAGGTGATTGGATCATGAGGGCTCTGCTCTCACAAATGGATTAATCCATTCATGGATTAATGAGTTATCTCGGGAGGAGGTTTGTTATCACAAGAGGGAGTCTGTTTTAAAAGTCAGTCTGGCTGTCTCTCGTGAGCCTCCTTGCAATGTGATGCCCTGCACCGCCTCAAAACTCTGCAGAGTCCCCACCAGCAAAAAGGCCCTCACCAGCTATGACCCCTTGGCCTTGGACTTCCTGCCTCCAAAACTGGAAGAAACAATGGTTTCCTTAATAGATTACCCAGTCTCAGGTATTCAATCACAGCAACAGAAAACAGACAATTTCCTTCTGTTTTGGTGAAGCATGGGGGAATAAAAGGCAAAGAGGAGAAGAAAAAAATGAACGCTATCTCCCAAGGAACAGAACTGAGATAAAGGCTTACAGGAAAGAGGATGAGAGAGTAGTGAGGAAGAGGCAAGAGTCCCTATAAAAACAGCTCCTTCCATTTCTGTGTGGGAGAGAGACGTTTATTGAATGACAATAAATGTCTTACCTCCAGCACCATCAGTATTTGTATAGGACATCACCAGTTACATCGCTCACATCTCATTTAGCCACACAACAGTTGTATGATGGAGATATGATTATCTTTATTTTACAGAGGGAAACTGAGGCTCACAGCAGTGAAAGGCTATGTTCAAAACCATGTTCTGCAAAGCTGCTGGAGCCCTGGCTGAAAGCCAGGTCTAAGGACTCTTTTCTGCTACAGAGCCTCCCAGCACTGCCTCAGGTCCACAGCCCAGTTTGAGGTCAAGATAAAATCTTACATGTACAAGCCTTGATTTGTGCCGACTCCACTTTATCACAGGTCCCCTGAAGGGACTGCACAGAGCCTGAGAACCGGCTTTACTTGGGATAGCTCCACCTCTGTCCTTCTACCTTTAGGCACTAGGGAGGAAGGTGGGGGAGGGAGGGACATCACACAAAAAGGTTCAGATGCAATTGTACAACTGTGCATGTATCAAAAGTCACACAGCTACTCTTTAATGTCAATCTCAAAAGAAATGAAATAAAAATCAAACAAGGAGGATTATGAAATGCTTGCCTCCACCAAAGACGCCAAGCATTTGCCCCAGTGCTGGCGGGTGTGAGAATCCATGCCCTCATGCTGAGAGTCGCTGCCCTGGAGGGCCTCTCCCACTTGGTCAGGGCTGCTTTCTGGAGTCTGTCATTCCCTCGGTCCACTTGCCCTCCGGATGTTTAACTGCCTCTGAGTGCAGGAAGTAAGACTGTGCGCTTCATCTTCAAGGGAGAGTTCTGATCTCCCGCCCTGCAAGTCTCCTTGCTTTTATGAAACTGAAAGGGCCCTGGCAGACATACATGCCCTTTAGGAATCTATATTCCTTTGTCATGTCCATTCTTAATTCTGAAATTCCCGGGTTATCAGACCTTCTTTCAAACAGAAGAAAATTTGGGAGGGCCTTAAATCATAATGATCAGTCCAGGAAACACATGAGAACAGGTGACCTTCGACACATCTGTTCTACCTAATTAGCCTTTGCCCCCACAGCTGCAAGCTGCACCAGGATCAGTAGGGTCCAATGGCCAAGGTCAGTAAACTCATGGCTGCAGAGATGGAGAGAGTTGACCACCTGGCCCCTGAAAACAAGTTTAGGAATGTCAAGCCCTCCGTGGAGGTGAGTCTACCTGCACACATTTCCATGCTGCCTTTTCCCCAGGCCAGCTGGTCTGCTTCCGACCGGAGATGTACAGCTTACCATAGAGTTCCACCACCCACCACCTAGTGCGCCTGACTCCAACACGCCACAGTGGTCCTTCTTTGTCTACATCCATCAGGAGATGAGCACAAATATGCTCAAGGTAGAGAGGATGACATGTACGGGAAGGCTTCATACTCTCTCAGCTCTCCCAGGAAAGGAGTGGGATGGAGGGCACAGCCTGGTGTCAGCTTGGCAGACCCACTGGTACCCCTGGAGACCAAGCCAGATCCTTCCTTCCATCTCTGACGGAAGAGCCTGGCAGGACAGAGTTCTCGCCCCTGGCCAGGCCTCCCTACTTGGGCAGAGTATGTCAAAGGTATGCTATTACTCAGGAAACAACAGTAGGCACCGAGGCACTCAGGTAGACACTGAGAGACCCAGCCCCCAAATGTGCCAGCAGCTTCTCCCTTTCCTCCCTCCCTCACCAAGACGGCCCAGGGCTAGGGTAGCAAGAGAGCAGGAGACCCTTGGCCTCACCTTCTGGAAGGTAGGAGTTGGCCTAGGATTGCAGTTTTCAACTGAGGCAGTGGAGGGCAGGCATGAGCGGGGGATGTCACAGGGTAGCAACAACACATCTTCCTGCAGCTTTCACTTTACACAATTTTTTTTAACTGTGGGAGGGGAGGTGAACTTTAAGTATAAAGAAATTAAAATTGATTGTCACATTAAGGCAAAAGAATATGGCAAATACAAATTTGAATGTATTTTTAAGAGAAAACACGAGTTGGCTTCAAAAAGTTCAAATTGTGCCGAGTTGGGGAGCTTCTGGGACATGCTCCTTCACTTTTTTTTTTTTGAGATGGAGTCTTGCTCTGTCGCCCAGGCTGGAGTGCAGTGGTGCGATCTCAGCTCACTACAAGCTCTGCCTCCTGGGTTCACACCATTCTCTTGCCTCAGCCTCCCGAGTGTCTGGGACTACAGGCGCCCACCACCACGCCCAGCTAATTTTTTGTATTTTTAGTAGAGACGGGGTTTCACCATGTTAGCCAGGATGGTCTTGATCTCCTGACCTCGTGATCTGCCTGCCTGGGCCTCCCAAAGTGCTGGGATTACAGGCGTGAGCCACCACGCTCGGTCAATAGACTATTTTTTAGAGCAGTTTTAGGTTTACAGAAAATTGATTGGGCCAGGTGTGGTGGCTCACGCCTGTAGTCCCAGCACTTTGGGAGGCAGAGGCGGGTGGATCACCTGAGGCCAGGAGTTTGAGACCAGCCTGGCCAAGATGGTGAAACCCCATCTCTACTGAAAATACAAAATTAGCTGGGCATGGTGGTGCGTGCCTGTAATCCCAGCTACTCCGGAGGCTTAGGCAGGAGAATCGCTTAGAACCTGGGAGGTGGAGGTTGCAGTGAGCTGAGATTGCACCACTGCACCCCAGCCTCGGTGACAGAGGGACACTCTGTCTTGAAGAAAAAAAAAAAGAAAAGAAAAATTGATTGGAACATGCAGAGTTCCCACATATCCCCTTCTCTCCTCCCTGAGCTCCCCTATAATTTATATAATTGATAAGCCAATTAATGACACATTATTATTGACCAAAGCCCATAGTTTACATTAGGGTTCACTCATGGTGGTAGGCATTCTATGGGTTTAGACAAATGTATAATGACATGTATCCATCATCAGAGCCAGCACACAGTATTTTCACCACCTGAAACCATCCGTGCTCTGCCTATTCATCTTTCACCTGCATCATTTCTAACCCTTGGCAACCAGTAATCTTTCCAATGTCTCGGTACCTTTTCTTTTCCTTTTTTTTTTTTTTTTTTTGGTGGAAAAGTGAATATGGAAATACTGTGCTGCAGTTACAAGCAATGGGTTAGATCTAGCGAAATGGTTCGGTCTTTAGAAGAGTGCTAAATGAGAAAGGATAAAAAAAATGAAACATTGCCCAGTGCTTCCCAAACATCAGTGTATACACAATCACCAGGGGTCTTGTTAAAATGCAGGTGCTGACCCAGCAGGTCTGGGATGAGGCCTAAGATCTGCATTTCTAACAAGCTTTCTGGTGATGCCCGTGCTGTTGGTCCACAGAACATACTGAGCAGCAAGGAGCTAGATGAGGAATCACACAATTACAACCCAGTAGCCAAATCTGGCCACAGTGTTTTTGTATGGTCCACAAGCTACAAGGGGTTTTAAACAGTTGGAAAAAATCAAAAGAATATTTTGTGACATATAAAAATTACATGACATTCAAATTTCAGTGTCCATAAATACAGTTTTATTAGAACACAGCCATGCTCACTCATTTGCATATGTCGTTGGCTGCTTTTGTGCTACAATGACACAGTGGAGTAGTTGCAACAGAGTCCATATGGTCCATAAAGTCTAAAATATTTACTATTCTGGCCCTTTACAGTTTGCCAACTGCTGTTCTAGACTGCTACCATCTATGTACATTAAAAACACACACATTCCAAACCTTCTTGTTTTATAAGAATACATACAAACAGCATATACATCAAACACATATTAATAACGGTAGCCCATGGGAGAAGGGGAGAGGATAACAGTAAGAAATGAGGATAAAAGGCAACAAACCAAACAAGGGGGGCCTTTTGAGGACCAATGAGGGTACAGTGCCATGAACTGGGTGGGGAAGGTAACTCTTTTCCCAAGTCCAACAGAGTTTGAGAATCACTGACCAAGGCTGTCTCACTAAGCATCTCTCTCCTCTTACAGGAGGCCCCCAGAGGCCCCATCGAGTGGTCTCTATTTTCAGAGACTGGCTGCTTTATACAGATTCAAGAAGGATTGAGGCGGCTGAGCGTGCTAAGGACAGCATTAGAAGGCACTTCCCTAATCAGCCCAAATTCATGTCTCAGCAACCTTGTTTCTCAGCCCCTCCCCATGAGGCCTTTACCCTACAGGCCAGATCTCCTTTCCCATCGCCTCCTTCTGTGCCCTTCTCCAAGCTCCCCACCCCTCACCTCCTGACTCCTCTCTGCCACTCCCCAGGTATCAAAACCCACTGTGATTTTGCTTGAGATTCTATCCCAGCTAAGAAGCCCCCTCTCTCTTCCAGCTGGGTCTCACATGGCAGAGGTCACCCTCCTTATCTACGCCTGAGGCTACTGATGCTCAGAGGTAACTGTCCCCACTGCAGGTCTGCAGCAGGTGGAACTAGCAACCAGCACCCCAGCTTTACATCCTGTGCTGCGTCCACTGCGACGGGCTGCAGCTAACCCAGCCCCATATGGACAATGCCTTGCTTTTCTAATTGTACTATGCTTCTGTAGGATTTCAACTTTTCCATCCAAAATTTGCTTGAATTCTCATTTATTTTACAGTTGCCTCACAATTAAGGTGTTGCTTTTTTTTCCTTTTTATTCATGACTTACTTGTGTGTGTGTGTGTGTGCGCGTGTGGTCAAAAGAACGTAACATTTAATACCTTAATCATTTTTAAATACACAGTAGTGTTGACTGCACACTGCTGTGCAGAAGATCTCTAGAACTTTTTCATCTTGTAAAAGTGAAACTGTAGATGCACTGAATAGGAACTCCCCCTTGCACCCTCTCTTTATCCCTTGGCATTCTACTTTTCATTCTACTTTCTAGGAGTTTGATTACTTTAGATACCTTATATAAGTGAAAGCATGCAGTATTTGACTTTCTATGACTGGCTTATTTCACTTAGCATGATGTCCTCAAGGTTTATCCATGTGTAGCATATGACAGAATTTCCTTTTTTAGGCTGAATAATTCTCCATTGTCTGCATATCCCACATTTTGTTTACCCATTAATCTGTTGATGTGCATTCAGGTTGCTTCTAACTCTTGGTTATTGTGAATAATGCTGCAATGAACATGAGTGTGCAAATATCTCAAGATCCTTTTTTTTTTTTGTATGGTTTATTTGTTCATTGTTTTTTTTTTAATCAGCTGAATTTAAGATTCAAAGATCCTGTCTTTAATTCTTTTGGATCTATACCCAGAAGTGGGATTGTTGGGTCATATAGTACATTTTATTTTTAATTTTTTGAGGACCCCCCGTACTGTTTTCCAGAGCGGCCTCATCATTTTACATTCCCATGTGCAAGGCACAAAGGTCCCAATTTCACCACATTCTTGTCAATACTTGTTATTTTCTGTTTATTTGATAGTGGCCATCCTAACAGGTGTGAGGTAATAGCTCATTATGGTTTTGATTTGCATTTTCCTAATGACTGGTAATATTGCTCATATTACCATATGCTTGTTGGCATTTGCATATCTTTTTCTGAGAAATGTCTACTCAAGTCCTTTCCCCGTTTTTACATTTGATTTTTATTGTTGTTGTTGTTGAGTTGTAGGAGTTCTTTATATATTCTGGATATTAACCTCTTATCAGATTCATGGCTTGCAGGTATCTTTTCCCTTTCTGTAATGATTGTTTCCTTTGCTGGGTAGATGTTTTAAGTTTGGTATAGTCCTATTTGTCTACTGTTGCTTTTGTCATCTGTGCTTTTGTTGTCATATGCAAGAAATAACTGCCAAATCCAATGTCATGAAGCTTTTCTCATTTTCTTCTAGGAGTTTGAGTTTCAGGTCTTACATTTAGGTCTATAATTTATTTTAGTTAATTTTTATACATGGTGTCAGGTAAGGATTCATCTTCATTCTTTTGCATGTGGATATCCAGTTTTCCCAACCATTTGTTGAAGAGACTGTCCTTTCTTTCTCATTGTGTAGTCTTGGTATGTTTGTCCATTTTTCCATAGACCATTTGGAAAGTGATCTATTATCCATAAATGACATATATTGATCATAAATTAGGAAAGTCCATAGATCTTTTGACTACATATATGAGCGTATATTACTGGGCTCTCTATTCTGTTCCATTGGTCTATATGTCTATCTTTATGCCAGTACCATACTATTTTGATTACTGTAGCTTTGTTTTATATACATATAAAACAAACATATACATATTTTT
The DNA here is from genome assembly GCF_000001405.40 of Homo sapiens. NCBI lineage: Eukaryota > Metazoa > Chordata > Mammalia > Primates > Hominidae > Homo > Homo sapiens. Next base: position 32,330,481 of record NC_000003.12, on the reverse strand, counting down.
TAAAAGGGCCTTATTATGTTGCCCAGCCTGGAGTGCAGTGGTTATTCATAGGTGAGATTATAGTTCACTACAGCCCAAAACTCCTAGGCTCAAGTCTCCTGCCTTAGCCTCCCAAGTAGCATGCCACTATGCCCAGCTTGTATCACCTTTTAAAATCAGGAAGCATGGGGCCTGTGGCTTTATTCTTCTTTCTTACTACTGTTTTGGCTCTCTGGGGTCCTTTGTGGTTCCATAGGAATTTTAGGATTTTTTTTCTATTTCTGCAAAAAAAAAAAAAAAAAAAATGCCACTGGGATTTTGACTGGGATTGCACTGAATCTGTGAATCATCTTTGATAATATGAACATTTTAACAATATTACATTTTCCACTCTATGAACATAGAATGTCTTTCTATTTATGTCTCCTTTAATTTCTTTCAGCAGTGTTTTGTAGTTTTCAGTGTAAACATCTTTTACCTAAGTGTTTTATTCTTTTTGATTCTATTGTAAATAGAATTTTCTTAACTTCCTTTTTTGATTGCTCATTGTTAGTGCAGAGAAATGCCAACTGATTTTTTTGTGTGTTGAATTTGTATCCTGCAACTGTGCTGAATTTATTAGTTGAGCAGCTTTTTTGGTAGAATCTTTAGTGTTTCCTACGTACTAGGTCATGTCATTGGTTAACATAGATAATCACTCTTTTCCTATTTGGATGTCTTTTATTTCTCTTTCTCGCCTGGATAGGACTTCTGGTCTTATGTTGAATAGAGGTGGTCAGAGTAGACATCCTTGCCCTATTCCTAGTCTTAGACAAAAAGCTTTTTTATACCACTGAATATGATATTAGCTGTTGGCTTATCATATATGGTCTTTAGTATGTTGAGGTAATTTCCTTCTATTCCAAGTGTGTTTAGTGTTTTTATCATGAAACGGTGTTGAATTTTGCCAAGTACTTTTTCTGCATCAATTGAGATGATCATGTGGTTTTATCTTTCGTTCCATTAATGTGGTGTATTACATCAGTCTTCATGTTGAACCATCTTTGCATTTCAGAAATAAATCCCAGTTGAACACATATAATCCTTTTACTACGTTGAATTTGGTTTACTAGTATTTTGTTCAGAATTTTTTAACGAGGCCAGGCATGGTGGCTCACTCCTGTAATCCCAGCACTTTGGGAAGCTGAGGTGGGTGGATCACTTGAGGTCAGGAGTTCAAGACCGGGCTGGTCAACATGGTGAAACTCCACCTCTACTAAAAATACAAAAATTAGCCGGGCTTGGTGGCGGGCACCCGTAATCCCAGCTACTCAGGAGGCTGAGGCAAGAGAATCGCTTAAACCTGCGAAGTGGAGGTTGCAGTGATTGCACCACTGCACTCCAGCCTGGGTGACAGAGCTAGACTCTGTATTGGAAAAAAAAAATTTTTTTTTGAATCAATATTGATATTGGTTTGTAGTATAGTATCTTTGTTTACTTACAGTATCTTTATCTCATTTTGGTATCAAGGTAATGATGGCCTTGTAGAATAAGTTTGAAAGCATTCTCTCTTCAATTTTTTGTAAGAGTTTTACAAGGACTGGTGTTAATTCTTCTTTAAACATTTGGTAGAATTTTCTAGTGAAGCCATCTGGCCTTGGGCTTTTCTTTGTTGGGAAGTTTTTGGTTACTGATTCCATCTTTTTACTAGTTATGGGTCTGTTCAGATTTTTCATGATTCAGTCTTGGTAGGTCGTAGGTTTCTAGAAGTTTATCTGTTCTTCTAGATTATCCAATTTGTTGGCATATAATTGTTCATAGTAGTCTTTTATGATACTTTGACTTTTTTTAGCAATGTCTTTTCTTTCACTTCTGATAGTTGTTATTTTTGTTTTTTCATAGTTGAGCTAAGGGTTTGTCAATTCTGTCAATCTTTTCAAAAAACCAACTAAGTGTTGCTTTTTTTTTTTTTTTCTTTTTTGGTCCTGCTCTGTTGCCAAGGCTGGAGTGCAGTGGCACGATCAGAGCTCACTGCAGCGGCACGATCAGAGCTCACTGCAGCCTTGAGCCTTGACCTCCTGAGCTCAAGTGATTCTCCTACCTCTGCCTCCCAAGTAGCCGGGATTACTTTTTTTTTTTTTTTTTTTTTTTTTGGAGACAGGGTCTCACTCCATCACCCAGGCTGGAGTGCAGTGGTGTGATCTCAGCTCACTCCACCTCCTGGGTTCAATGAATTCTCATGCCTCAGTCTTCTGAGTAGCTGGGATTACAGGTGTGTGCCACCATACCTGGCTAATTTTTTGTATTTTTAGTAGAGATGGGGTTTTACCATGTTGGCCAGGCTAGTCTTGGCAAACCCTGCCTCAAGTGATCCACGTGCCTTGGGCTCCCAAAGTGCTGGGATTACAGGCATGGGCCACTGTGCCGTCACTTAAAAATTTTTTTTGTAGAAATGAGGCTAATTTTTAAATTTTTTGTAGAGATGAGGTTCTACTATGTTTTCTAAGCTTGTCTCAAACCCCTGAGCTCAAGCAGTCCTCCTGCCTCAGCCTCCCAAAATGTTGGGATTACAGGCACGAGCCATTGCACCCAGCCAAGTATTGCTTTCTTGATTGCAAAAATCACATACCCTTATAGCATACAAATGTATATATGTATTCATGGGTTCTCATATTCACTGATTATAAGTTCACCTATTACTATAATCGAAAAGAATCTGCATGGAGAAGGTGGCCAATCTGCCATAATACTGAAGAGGGTGCAGGCAGTTTCTCCTCTCACTATATTCTACACTTCAATCTTTTTGACCTGCCACATAAAAAATGAAATTTCTACCTACATTAAATACTAGGAGAGGCTGCAGCACAGTTTATACAATTTGGCAGATGGGAATGGAACTCTCCAGTTACCCTCTGAAAGCCCTATATGCTGAATCTGGTATTTTGCAACTGAGAAAAATCCAATTTTGCTTGGGAGTCTCAAATTCAAATTCATTCCAAGAGGAGAAGAATCAAAACCTTCAGGCAATCAAAGTAGGGCAATTCCTTAAAAATAAAATCCTCCTTGGAGGATGATGAATTATTGAGTTGTAGGAATATGTTTTATTTTTAAATTTAACAGCCATCAATATTGCCTTTCTAATATCTTTTAAAAATGCATCAACAACCACATTTTTAAACCTAGGTGAGCCCCAACATTTTAAGGGATTTTTTTCTAAAAGATGTTATCAAGTTGCTGTAAATCAAAATTTATTTTAAAAGCCTCAGAGAAGTACTATTCAGAAGAGAATGCATACAATCCTATTTGGAAGGACAATCATTTTCTAATTTAGTTTCCATGTAAACTTGAGTTTTCCTGGATTATACCTGTTTACAGCACCTTTGTGAAAAACTCCATTTTTTTTTTTTTTTAACTCTTCTAGCAGCTGAATGAGGGTCACTAAGGTTACTGGACACCAGGACAACTAAGGAAGCCATGCACAAGGCCAGTGTATACAAGAAAGACGACATAGCTCCTTCCCTTGAAGAATGTTCAGTGTGGCCAGGGAGATAAATAGAAAACTAGCACTGCAAATGCAGCCAGTGGCAAAGGTCCAGGAAGTGGAATCCCATCAAGACATGTTGAGAGATTCATTCTTGGGTTATCGGGGAAACCAATAAATGACTCTGGGTGCTCAGAGAGAACTCACTGCCTCAAAAAGACCAGACTGACTGTGCCTGGTGGCTCACACCTGAAATCCTAGCACTTTGGGAGGCCAAGGTAGGTGGATCACTTGAGGTCAGGAGTTTGAGACCAGCCTGGCCAACACGGTGAAACCCCGTCTCTACTAAAAATACAAAAATTAGTGGGCATGATGGTACGCACCTGTAGTCCCAGCTACTTGGGAGGCTGAGGCAAGAGAATCATCTGAACCTGGAAGGCAGAGGTTGCAGTGAGCCAAGATCACGCCACTGCACTCCAGCCTGGGCGACAGAGCGAGACTCTGTCAAAAAAAAAAAAAAAAAAAAAGAAAGAAAGAAAAGTCAGGACCTCAGTGTAAGCAGTTGTACTCCAGGCCGGGATGAGGCTGGGATTTGGCACCTAACTGCTTTGAGGACAGGGTAAAAGGCCATAGAGTTAGCAACACTTTGGATGGTAATGTGAGATATAGAGGGAGAGGGTGGTTGGGGCCACCCTGGAGTGCTCAGAATGGCAGGTTAAGGAGTTCAGATTTTATTCACTGAGCAGGCAGTGATAGAACTAGAGGCATTTTTGAAAACCTATTCTGGCATCAGTGTTTCAGAGTTGGCACATCTTCAAGATCTCCTTTGCCAATGGCTGTATGGGGAGACCCAGTCATGCGATCGAGTGTGACGAGTCAGCAGGATTTGCTTCAATGCAATGTTGCCTAGAAGGCCAGCAGATGAGTGGTATAGTGGGGAGGGCCCTGCCAGGCTGGGTTCTGCACCTTTCCTGGCTGCCTTTGCCCCCTCTTGGGAGCAGACCTGCATTCCTGAGAGAAGGTTTCATGCCAGTCATCCTGAGCTGGCTGCTTCACAAGTCTCATTAATAAATGCCCCCATCCTGGTTGAAGCCACTGACAGCACTGCTCCTGGGAGAGGAATATCCCTCCCCTTGGTGGGTTCGAAAGCTCCACTGGCATTTCAGTTAGCTGCTCACCCCTTTGGGCTTCCTTTGTGACTAATGAATGATGAGAAGGAAAACTGCAGTGCACAACTAATTTTGGAGATCTGCTGGACTATGGGGAATCAGTTTTATTCAAAAATGTGGGAGATAGGTAGGGAAGAAGCACTGTCACAGAGAAATAAATAAATACCTTTTCATTGAAAATCACAACCAGAAATATTGTAGGGGAGGAGACAGCTCACAAAAATTTAAAAAGTAAGACAAAACTTCAAACTAAAATTTAACCTGGGTAGTTTCAGGCCTCGCCTTAAGACCCCTGAGAGAGTAAGTTCACTCTCAGAGGCGTGAGATAGTTTGGCTGAAAAGCTTAGAAAGTCCAGGCTTACAGAAACAAGAGTTGTTAATTTAGATGCCTACTGTGACGTTTCTGTTCCATTGAGTCTTAAAAAAAGAGAGGTCCCCTCCCCTACTCTAGGAGCAAGTGATTATTCATGGCTCAGCATGGCCTTTTATCTGCACTGACAATTGTGGAGGCTTTTTAAGCATGCAAATAATAATGCACCTCTATTATTGGAACTTTCCCCCCTGTAACTGAGTTGCACAGAAGCACCCCTTGGTCTATTTCACAATTTAAATAGGCATGTAATGACCCACCGGGGATGGTCATAAATCAATGCCCCCACTAAAACTGGAATAAGTGCTGCTGCCAAATGAGCTAAAATTTTAAATAGTTCACTGAAGGATGGCAGAATATGCTACCCTGAAATATGCCACTTTGGCATAGGATTAATTTGAGCTAAAGACACTTCAAAAACAACAGGTGCAAGAGGGGTGCTCTGACTGCCCCCTTTTCTTCCTGAAAGCAGGAGATAAAAAGATGCCCTCCCTGCACCAGAAGGAAAGGGAACATTCTCATCACCAGAAGTGGGGAGCTGAGGCCAAGAGAATTCTGTGCAAACAGAACTTCTTAACATAACTCTGCTCTTCCTTTGGTCTCCCCTTATGTTACTTTTCCACGATTGCCTCTTTTTGTCCAACCTAGTATATAAGCACTTGGGCTTTGCCATTTCCTTGGGTCTTTGTTTTCCTATGGGGGCTCCCACATATGTGTAAAAATCTATACACTTCCCTCCTGTTAACCTGTCTGATGTCAGTTTGATTCTCAGGCCCAGCCAGATGCAGGGGGTTGGTAGGTAATTCTGCCTCCTCTACATCACTGAGCTCCTTCCTGGGTAAGATGCTGCCAAAAGGCCCTGCCATCTTTGTCCTTAGACAAGTTTAACAGTAATAATTCCCTAAATGAGGAAAAAAAGGACCATCTGCTACCTTTTCACCCTCTTAGAGAAGCATGGCATAGTTTTATGTAAGGGAAGGACGTACCCAAAACAAGCCAATAAACCTGAGATAATTACACGAAATCAGCAGCTTGTGCACTGTAGACAAAAAACCTTCCTCTCAAATGTTAACAGACAGGTATTGATAATATTGATAACAAGTCTGCATTCTCTTTTGGAAGGAAAGGCCCAGGGAACCCTTTTTCTCTGGGAATAACTTGAAAGCATTTTTGGATGGAAGCAGATTTTCTGAACTCACCAGATTCAGCTACCAGACTGGAAAAAGTTTTTTTTTTAATGTTATAAGCATACGACTTCACAACCAGACCTCTACTTTGTTGTTCTTAAATAAATGGGGTAATAGGTCATGTTGCAAACCACCAATGAAATTAAAAGTCTGATAATTGTGAAAGACATGGAAATTAACAAAGGGGTTCAAACAGAAAAACAAAGCTCAGCCGACTCAACTAGCTGTAGAAACAGGAGGGCTGGCATATCAAAGTTTACCATCAATCTCCCAAATTCACTTTAACAGATTCAAAGTCATTTACTCCTTCTTCCACCCAATTTTTTACAGAGTTGTTGGCAACTAGCAGAACTGGTCAGTTTTGGCCCTGGCCTGCATCATTTTGCAGGGGAGAAAAAGAGAAACAGCTAACATCCTTCGAGTCCCTAGCATGGGCGTCCTAAGTATCACCATTAATCTCTGCAACAACTTGATAGTGTTGATTTTATCCACGTTTTCAAAGTGGAGAAACGCTTTGGCAACTTGCCCAAAGCAGGCAAGTAGAGGCAGAATCTGTACCTTCTTTTCTGACTTCCAGAGGTTTTACTCATTTATAAGATCTTTGGCCATCTCTAGAGTTATGCTCAAAATGCCAAAGGAGATTCAGCAGTTCAAGGTCACAGACATCTTCTGTGTGAACCTGAGCAGGAAAGGGGCTTTGCTACAAAGCTCTGGGAATCTCATAAGCTCCAAGGAAGCTTGTGATGATTCGGTCTCTGGTCCAAGAACAACAGGTAACTGTTTATATGGAAAGACTATTGGGGGTAAAAGTTACAAGGTTACCTTATAGGTAGAAGTTAAAAAGTATGAGAGCCAAAATCTGGCCATGCCCACATTAACTTGAAAAAAATATTTTTTTATACATGGAGTAAAACAAGCTTGTTTTTGTAAACTACATAAGATAGAGATGGTGAGTTGGGGGAGAATGTGAAAACGGTTGTTTCACTGCTGCTGCTTGCTCCCAGAAATCCATGAAGGCATCTCAAGGAAGTGAACTGGGGACAGGAAGCTAGACGGATGCGTGGCTAGTAGAAAGCTACCCGAACAGGCCCTCAATAGTTGTCCAGCTGTCCCCATCCTTCCTGCCCCCAGCCAGGCTGGCCTCAGGAGCTCAAAAGCTGCCAGATGTGCAATTGGAAGGACTCACTCCTAGTCTTGCCACCAAAGCATCTGAATATCATCTCCCCTTGGCTGCAGCATCCCTGGTCCTCCAGCTGCTAGGCTGACCTCACTGCCTCCTTGCTTGTAGGAAAGGCCAGGCCTCAGGACCAGCACCTGGGCCAGGGTCTATGGAGAGAGCCTATACAGCATCCCATGAGGTCCCACCCCGCCCAAGCCATAAAACGCCTACTCTGGAGAAGCAGGAACCAAGATCTTCCAAGATGTCATGGGGAATGCAAGATGTCCCCCTCTGCTTTCTCTGTCTCTGGATTACTCTGTATCCCAGCCACATGAAAGAAAAAGGCAATCCAAATTGTAAATGTTAGAGCTCCAGTCACTCAGAGACAGACTTACAGCAACTCGGTCTCAGGTCTAATTTCCCAGGGAGTACTATGCCACTATTGGCCCATCTTGGGCCAGGCACCCATTTTTGGACCAACCATCTATGCCATGGCTGGGGTGGGAAGGGGTGGGAGGATATCACAGTAAGTGAACATGCCCTTCCCACTGCCACCATACATGTTAGTCTGTTAGAAGGACTAACAATTCCTAGAAACACTGTGAACAAATAACTCAACAGGTATCCATTACCAGGGCAGCATGAGAAGCAGGCCAGCCAGGAAGCTACTTAGGTTATCAGTCCATGAGGAGATTACTCTCACCGGGAAACATTAAACTTGGTGTCATACAACTTCATCCTTTAGAAGCAAAATGTAAATTAGTCTCATGCCTGCTCCTCACTGACTCCAAATGCTCTTGTAATTAATAAACACACCACTAAAGAATATTTGAAAGATGACCAAATAATTACCTTCTTGACTACTCCAGGGAGGAAAAAAAAACAAAAACAAGCCATCTAATGAATACACAGCCAATGTGCCATGTCAGAATAATCTGAATTGGACTGCACACTCAGTTGGGTTCTTGAACCCCTAGGCATACAGCTCTGGGACCTGTGGTTTTCCTCACACACACAGTAGACTCAGATTCCAAGTACCACCAATAAAGTCCTCTTCAGGGACTCCCATGAGAAGGGAATTCCATCATTTAGCACTGAAGTCAGCAAACTTCCTCTTAGACAGGGCCAGATAATGAACGGTTTAGGCTTCACAGGACAGACAGTGGCGCTAACCCATCTCTGCTGTTGAGGCCCGAAAGTGGCCAACATATAAACAAATGGGCATGGCTGTGTTTGAACAAAAACTTCCAAAATCAGGTGCCAGATGCCATGGCTCACGCCTGTAACTCCCAGCACCTTGGGAGGCCAAGGCGGGTGGATTACTTGAACCCAGGATTTTAAGACAAACCTGGGCAACATAGTGAGACTCTGTCTCTACAAAAAATGGAAAAAAATTACCAGGTGTGGTGGCATGCGCCTGTAGTCCCAGCCACTTGGGAGGCTGAGGTGGGAGGATTGCTTGAGCCCGGGAAGTCAGGGCTGCAGTGAGCCATGATTGCACCACTGTAATCCAGCCTGGGGGATGGGAGTAAGACTCTGTCTTTAAAAAAAGAAAATCTAAAAACAGGCAGCAGGCATGATCTGGTTCCCAGGCTGTAGTTTGCCAACTCCTGATTTAGCAGATTGTGGTTGCAATTTCCCTTCACAACAAATGGAGTCTGGGGGGTCCTAGGGTGGGGGCTCCCACTCGGGAGGGCACACTCATCCTCAGCACAACATGGCACTGAAAAGGTCAGGCCTGCCCTCCCTCCTCCTCACAAGGCTCCACGGAGGCACCAGGGGTCCACATGCACACCCAAGCCCCCGTCGCACGTGCACACCCGGGTGAATGCGTTCCTGCCCCTCTTCCCACCATGGTTTTCTACATTCAGCAGCTTTTCAAGTGAACAAGCTGACATGTGACCCGAGCCTCATCTAGTTAGTCCCCAGTGTTGTTTAACCAGCGTCACGTTTCTCTGGGAAACAATGCTGGCCCCCCCGCCGCTTCACCCCAGGAAAGCACACCGCTGACTTGGTGTTATTTTTAAACCCTGTCTGCTTGATGGGTCGTATAAATAAAAGGGCCTGTCTTTAGCTGATAACCAATACTGTTTTTTGAACACTAAAGCAATTCCTGACCCTGGAAAACTCCAGAAAAAGGAAAGTCATCGACTGTTGCCTATGAAGTACAAAGATGCTTTACATTTAGTTTGAGGGGAGTGGGTAGAGAAGGAAGGAGTTAGTTTATTATCTGTTAAAGTAACTCCAGATGAAGAACTGGAAGCAAAATAAGATCATAGGGGCAAACAAAGTCACCACCGTTTCATGGGTGATTTTTGAGGAGAGAATCTAAGTTTACACAGAGTTTTAAAGATGAAAGGACACCAGTTTTCCTGCACCCTTATATTACCCAGCATATCCCCCACCCCGGTGCTGCACTGCACCCCAACTCCAAGAAAAAGATAAAAATAAATGCCAGTGAAGACCTCTGGGCATATCTTGAGGCATCAGTGTAAATGAATCCTATTTGTTACATAACAGCTTTATTGAGAGATAATTCATATACCATAAATTCAACCACTTAAAGTACACAATAGATTTTAGTGTATTCATAGCCATCATCACAATCAACTTTAGAGCATTTTTATCACCCTAAGGAAATCTCTTCTGCATTAGCAGCTGTTCCCCATTCTCTCCCACCCCTACCACCCTCAGGCCAAGGTAACCACTCATCTATGGTCTCTATGGGTTTGCCTATCCTGGACATTTCACATAAATGGAATCATGCGAGATGTGGCCTTTTGTGTCTGGCTTCTTTCATACAGCTTAAAGTTGTCAAGGTTCCTCCTCGTTGTGGCATGTAACAGTGCTTCGATCTTTTTAATGACTGAACAATATTCCACTGTTTGGTATACCACGTTTTGTTTATAGATTCATCAGGTGACGGGCATTTGGATTGTTTCCACATTTTGGCTATTGTAAATAATGCTGCAAAAGACACTTGTGTACAGTTTTTGTGTGAGCATATGTTTTCATTTCTCTTAAACCAAATACGCTTTCAAATGCACAAGGGAAGCTTGCTCAGGAGCTGAGGGAGTGGCCCAGCAAGGGGTCAATTTAGATTTTTAGATCATAGAATCATCAGGTCTCTAGTCGGAAGGAACACAAGTTTTTCCTGGTGCTGCCTCTCCTAAAAGCTGCATGGAGCAGAGCATACCTACGTAAGAAAATACTCATGGGCCTCAAATTTCAAGTTCAATTTTTGCACAGTACTGACTGCAACCCCCAAAGACTTTTATGTTAAGCATCCTGACATGAGCTGACAAACCAATACTTCCAAGGGTTGTTTCCTCAAGGGCTGTTTTGACAGTTCTGCCATGCCTGTCTTCACAGCAGCACCAGTTTGCACAAATATCTGAATATTTTGCTGCCTTTTACCTTTATTAGCCTATTAAAGTGAGTGGAAGATGGAAAAGCGGAACTGCTGATGCCAGTGATAATATTGTTAATTACATGTTCACAGGATGAAAGTCACTGGACTGTTCAATTGAAAAGGACCACTTAACATGTAGGAAATGCTGGAAGTAATTCTCTAGAGAGCATCTAAAAAGCAAGGTGAAGTGACAGAAGTGAAGAAAACTTTAAAAGTATGCACTGAGGATTCGTGTTTTAAAAAATAACCTAGCACGGCAGATTTTCAAGTATGATAGTATTGTGATTTTGTGGGGGCATAGGGAGAGAGAGGGAGGGGAGGAGGAGGAGGAGAGAAGTTAAGCTTAACTCAAAAATTTATATTTTAAGGCTAGATGTGGTGGCTCAGGCCTGTAATCCCAGGACTTTGGGAGGCCGAGGTGGGCGGATCACCTGAGGTCAGGAGTTCGAGACCAGCCTGGCCAATATGGTGAAACCCTGTCTCTACTAAAAATACAAAAATTAGCCAGGCATGGTGGTGGGTGCCTGTAAGCCCAGCTACTCGGGAGGCTGAGACAGGAGAATCCCTTGAACCCGAGAGGCAGAGGTTGCAGTGAGCTGAGATTGTGCCATTGCACTCCAGCCTGGGCGACAAGAGTGGGACTCTGTCTCAAAAAAAAAAAAAAAAAAAAATATATATATATATATATGTATATACACACATATATATAAATTTAATATTTTCAAAAAAATTAAGGAAAATTCCTATTGTTTAGGGCTACCTATGAAAATATTTATGGACGAAATGATATGCCATCTAGAATTTCACTTAAAATCCTGCTGAAAGAAGAATAGGTAAGGACATAGATGAAACAATACTGACCATAAATTAATAATGACTAGCCGGGCGCGGTGGCTCATGCCTGTAATCCCAGCACTTTGGGAGGCTGAGGCGGGTGGATCACGAGGTCAGGAGATCGAGACCATCCTGGCTAACATGGTGAAACCCCGTCTCTCCTAAAAATACAAAAAAATTAGCCAGGCGTGGTGGCGGGTGCCTGTAGTCCCAGGTACTCGGGAGGCTGAGGCAGGAGAATGGTGTGAACCTGGGAGGCGGAGCTTACAGTGAGCCAAGATCGCACCACCGCACTCCAGGCTGGGTGACAGAGTGAGACTCTGTCTCAAAAAAAAAAAAAAAAAAAATTAATAATGACTAAAGCTAAGTGGTGGGCAGATGTGATTTTATTGTGCGCAGTTTCACATTTCTCACAATAAGATAAAAATAAAACCAGCCATTCCTGAGACCTAAACACAGAAAGAAGCTCCCAGGGTCTCAGCACTGCTAACAGGGCTACTGCTTGCTGCAAACATCTTTATGAGAGGAGGAAGGGTGGGTTGAATTCCTTCTAATTATTTTAATTCTTCAAATAGATAACACACTGACCTGGTTAAAAAATGGAAAAGTATAAGAGGTTAAACAGGGAGAAATCTCTTTGTCCCTGGAATCACCCTTTGGGGTCTTCCTTGCCATGGCTTTTCCTGCCTACTCTCTAGAGGTGGACAATGTTCTTAGTTTCTTGTGTATCTTTCCAAAGTTATACTTAATCCCCGCTGACATCCCACAGGTTGCTTTCCTGATTTAACACATTTGCATTTGGGAGATCTTTTCTAAGAACTTAGAACGCATTCTTTTTTTTTTTTTTTTTTTTTTTGAGACAGAGTTTCGTTCTTGTTGCCCAGGCTGGAGTGCAGTGGCGTGACCTGGGCTCACTGCAACCTCTGTCTTCTGGTTTCAAGCGATTCTCCTGACCCAGCCTCCCAAGTAGCTGGAATTACAGGTGCCTACAACCATGCCCGGCTAATTTTTTATATTTTTAATAGAGACGGGGTTTCACCATGTTGGCCAGGCTGGTCTTGAACTCCTGACCTCATGATCTGCGCGCCTCTGCTTTCCAAAGTGTTGGGATTACAGGCATTAGCCAACCACACCTGGCCCTTATTTCTTTTTAAACTGCTACATAGTTGGTATTCCTGAGTATGACAGTGTGTCTACTAGTTTCCCATTGGTGGACATTTTTGGTTGTTTCCAGTCTCCTCCTATTGCAAACAGTGCTGCATACTATCACCTTTACACACGACACTTTGTATGTGTTTAGGTTCACCTTAGGGTAAGTTTATACAGAAGTACTAGGTCAAAGGGTACCTGCATTCATTATTGTGATGGCTATTGTTAAACTGACTTTCATAAAGTTTAGGCCAATTTATTTTCCCACCAACAATGTGTGAATTCAAATATAAAATCCAAAGTTATGACCATTTACCTCCTTCCCTTTAGCAGTAAGTCTTTCTTCCAACATTAATGTTTATTTTCCTACTAAATGTCATTTCAAGTAAGATGGACCAAGGTAAATGTGAGGAATTTACTTTAGAAAAGTAATCACAATTGTCCATACTTACTGTTTAATCTATGTTTTAAGTATTTATATAAAAAATAAACTAACATTTACTGAGAAGTCCCTGTGGTCCAGGCAGCTCTGAGCCCTTTCCATGTATTGACAGACTTAATCCTAGCCTGGCCCTGAGGTCAATCCTACGACCAACTGTGATTTCAGAAGAGGAAAGCAGCACAGATATGAGTCCCTGTCCCAGGTCCCACAGCTTGCAAGTGACAAGCAGATTTCAGATGCACTTCACCCTTTCCCTTGACTGCCTATCTGTGCAGAGCTCTCTGAAGCGTTTGAAATTTAGATCCCAAGACACTTCCAATACTCAGTTCTCTTAGAGTAATATGTAAGTCTAGGGTTCAATTTCCAAACGCTGGCTTGTCCTGCATTTTTAGGAGTAAATTATATGCAAAAACAACCTCCTATCATAGGAAGATATCTACCATATTGGCAAATTGACTTTCAAGTCTGGACTTACGAACAGTCAGGGATTTGATCCTGCCATGTAATAACTGGTTTCTAAAAACTTCACTGAAAAATTTAGCTTTCAACTCAAGTCATTCAACTCACCTTCCCATCTCACTCCCAAATATTATTTCCCCTGAATAAATCTGGAGTTTCAATGAAAATTGCTGCTGTTTTAGGGGGAAAAAAAAATCCCCAAACAAGCAGGATCTTTTATGTGCAGCTTTCACTTGATATTCAGGTAGCATAGAGCTCAACAATTGATTCAACATCTCCATCAGGCTCTATACGTTTAGCCACAAACCTTTCAACAATAAAGGCTGCATTCTTGTCATGCCTTCTGTCAACTTTTTACTAAGCTGCTCTGAAAAAGTTGCACATCTGTCAAGGCTCAGGACACAATGTGTAAACACCAAGGATCTGGGAAAGTTAGAATTATTCTCAGGGGAACTTTTTTTTTAAGACAATGGCCAAAACTTCATCAAATCTGCTTAACTAGTGAATGGACTTGAGAAAGTAAAAAGGTGGAATTGGCCGGGTGTGGTGGCTCACGCCTGTAATCCCAGCACTTTGGGAGGCTGAGGCAGGCGGATCACGAGGTCAGGAGATCAAGACCATTCTGGCTAACACAGTGAAACCCCGTCTCTACTAAAAATACAAAAAATTAGCCGGGCTTGGTGGCGGGCGCCTGTAGTCCCAGCTACTCGGGAGGCTGAGGCAGGAGAATTGGCGTGATCCCGGGAGGCGGAGCTTGCAGTGAGCCGAGATCGCGCCACTGTACTCCAGCCTGGGCGACAGAGCAAGACTCCATCTCAAAAAAAAAAAAAAAAAAAAAAAAAAAGGTGGAATCACAGAAAAGATCAAGTAAAATTTTAGATCTTGGTAATTTTCTTTTATAACTTTCCAGAGGATGTCTAGTTATTTCAAGGAGTACTAAGAGTTTCTCAAAATGGATCCAATTCATTAAAAAGAGAGGGAATGAGAGGCATCTGGGTTTCTTAAAAGAAATAAAATATAGGTTGTCAACTCCAGATAGTTTAGGAATTAGTATTTAATACTACATAAGCCACCAAAAAATATGCCATCTGCTCCATAAGTCACCTTTTTCAAAGCATGTTCTCAGAAATATTTTATGAAGCAAAGGTTCATGGTCAAATCTGGGAAAAGCTGGACTCAAGCCATCTCTTGGCAATGTGTCATATTAAAGCATGGAGTCACATAGTACAACATTAACTGTGATTAACCTGGCCTTCCAACCTTGCTCAGCCATGGAATCTCTTTTGCTTTAACATTCCAGGGATCCCACTGTGGGTGCCTTCGCTGAGCACCTGGCCAGTGATGCCTCTATTCTAGCAACTGGTTCATCCTGCCCCGTTTTGTGGTTCAGTGTCCGCATCTCTTCCTTGAACTGCAAAGTCTTTGAAAACAGGGCTGGGCGTGGTAGCTCACACCTGTAATCCCAGCACTTTGGGAGGCCGAGGTGGGTGGATCACTTGAGGTGAGGAGTTCGAGACCAGCCTGGCCAACATGGTAAAACCTCGCCTCTAATAAAAATACAAAAATTAGCTGGGTGTGGTGGCATGCGCCTGTAATCCCAGCTACTCGGGAGGCTGAGGCAGGAGAATCACTTGAACCTGGGAGGCAGAGGTTGCGGTGAGCTGAGATCGTGCCACTGCACTCCAGCCTGAGTGACAGAGTGAAACTCCATCTCAAAAAGAAAAAAAAAAAAAGAAGAAGAAGAAGAAGAAAACAGAGGCTGTGGCTTAGTTACCTTTGTTTCCCCACAGCACTTAGTTCACCACTGAACCAATGACCAAAGGCTCACTGGGGCACTCAAAAGTCAGGAAGTATGAACAGGGAAACAGGGACAACTGTGATGGGAATTTTTTTGCCACTTATTAAGTTTTCACCTATGTTCACTAGAACGCAAAAAAAAAATAAAGATCTGTGTACAAGGCTATCAATATCTCCATCAACAAGGCCTCAGTTGGACCCCCCCCGCCACCCAACCCTGAGCCTACCCTAGAAAATTTTCCTTCCTTACCAATAATGGAAAGAAAGAAAGGCATATTAACATTTCTAGCCCTGGCGTGGAGGCTCATGCCTGCAGTCCAAGCACTTTGGGAGGCCAAGACAAGTGGATCCCTTGCCCAGGAGTTTGAGACCAGCCTGGCCCACACAGTAAAACCCTGTCTTACCAAAAACACAAAAATCAGCTGGGTGTGGTGGCATGCGCCTGTAATCCTAGCTACTTGGGAGGCTGAGGCATGAGAATTGATTGAATCCGGGAAGTGGAGGTCACAGTGAGCTGGGATGGTGCCACTGCACTTTAGCCTGGGCAACAGAGTGAGACTCTGTCTTTAAAAAAAAAAAAAAAATTTTCTGGCTTACTCTGCCTACCCACCCTCTCCCCAGTAGGACCTGCCTTCACACCCCTGGTGTCTGAAGGGCTGGCTGCTCTTGAACTAGGAACTTGCATCAACCCTCCCTCAATTTCTGCAGAGCAGCCACTGGTCAGGAGCTTCCAGCACTCCTCAGCAAATCCTCTGGTACCCCAACCAGCCCCTGCAGCCCTGATACACCCAACATTGCTCTCATGTCATAATAACCACAGAATAACAAGGTTGCCCTTTTCTTAACTCACACTGCTCCCCTTTCTCCAGAGGGCCCAATGGTTGATGGAGAACAAAGTAATGATGCTTTACTTTTGTAGGGTGTAGCTGCTACTGCAGCTGTACTAGCCTCCAAAATGAGAAATAGATCCTGTAGAACCCTCTCCAGGAACTAGCCTCGGCAGCTTCTCTGAGACTGAGTCATCTTCCTTTATGATGCTTAGAGAGTACTGGCATCCAGATCTTTTTTTCTGAGACAGGGTCTCGCTCTGTCACCCAGGCTTGAGTGCAGTGGTACGATCATGGCTCACTGTAGCCTCAACCTCCCAGGCTCAAGCAGTAAATTTTCACCCAGTAAATTCCACTCCTCACCCTTCTATGTGTCCACGAGCCTAATCTTTCCTGGTCGTGTGACAAGAACATGGTTTTTTTCTATAACAGCACAATGAGTCATTCTTCCTCCCACTCTTCCCTCTTCACCTGGTCTTTTAAAGCAGTGCTTTGCAAAGTGTATCAGTTACCTGTAACTTGCTAAACACGGATTCCAGAGCACTAAACCCCCAGAGATTCTGACCCAGTAGTTCTGGGATGGGTCCCAGATGTCTGCATTTTTAACAATTTCTCCAAGAGATTTGGATGCTGGGCCAGGCCTGGTGGCTCAAACCTGTAATCTCAGCACTTTGGGAGGCCAAGGTGGGCACCTTGCTTGAGCTCAGGAGTTTGAGACCAGCCTGGGCAACATGGCATAACCCCTTCTCTATTAAAAATACCAAAAAATTAGCCGGGCATAGTGGCATGAGCCTGTAGTTCCAGCTACACAGGAGGCTGAGGTGGGAGCCTGCTAACAGGCTCTCCACCTCACTGACTGAATCCCAGCTCACTACACAGGAATACGAAATGCTAGGCTCCCCCCTGCTGCAAATAGCATGAAATTTCCAAGGCCCCACCCTGTTCTCCCAGTGCTCAGGTGGACATTACTCAGAAAGAATCCGTCGGGAAAGAGCGGGCTTCATTCGGGACCAGCAGTCTGGTTTTTCAGTTTTCAGGCTGTTTTAGGCTTAAGGTGGGGTTTCACCAGGGGCAGGAGTTGGCTGCCTCCTGTCTCCATCAGTGCTAGGCAGAATAATGGCCTCCAAGAGATGTTCATGCCCTGATCCTCAGAACCCATGAATATGTTACCTTACATGGTGTGATACTGTGATATAATAAGATATACATTTTGGTCTTCATCCACAGTTCTTGCCTTATAGCTCCTAAAACCCTTATAATTTCCTAAGTGATTAGAGCAATAGGAATATCTTTTATTATAAGATTTGGTCTTTTGTCCTTGGTTCCTGGAACAGCCCTGGACCAATAAAGGTGAAAAAAAGTCTTGTTATTTAATAACAAGCCCCTTTCAACCACATCTGAGTTTATGTTAATAAGGTGATTTCTGGAAAGCTACTAGATAACCACCACAGGATCGGGGGCGGTTGCTAGGGGGCACAAATCATGTGATTAGAGGGTTAGAACCTTCAGCCCGACATCCCAACCTCTGGGTAGGGAAGAGGGACTGAAGATTGAATTGATCACCAATGGCCAGTGATTTAATCTAGCGTGCTTCTGTCATGCAGCCTCCATAAGAACCTCAAAGGACAGAGTTTGCAGAGCTTCAAGGTTGGTGAGGAAGAACATGTTCACATGCCAGGAGGGTGGTGACCCCCAACTCCATGGGGACACAGCTCCTGCTCCACACCCCTGCCCACATGCCTTGCCCTGGGTACCTCAGCTTCTGGCTGTTCATCTGTATCCTTTGTAATATCCTTTACAGTAAATGTGTTTCCTGAGTTCTGTGAGCTGTTCTAGCAAGTGATTGTACCTGAGGTGGGGGTCACAGGAACTGCCAATTTGTAGCTAAGTCAGACAGAAATTGTGGGATTACCTGGGGACTGAGAAAGAAAAGAAACTTTTTATCTGAGGGATGCGGGCCCCCTTTAAATTATCAAGCCTAGGGAGGCATTGAAATGAGACATTTCATTTCAGGGGTCACATCTTACCCCTCTGCCCTTGAACTAAGTAATCATCTCCGAGTTGCTTGCTATGAGGGCTCTAGACTGACGCCACAAATAGCTATAAATTAACGTAACAATGCCATACACTGGATACCATAACCCATACCCTGTAGTTCAACAAAGTATAGCCAATCTCTCATCAATGTTACTTCCGTAAACCAAGGAGAATTCTTGAAAACAATTTTTATAATCGCCCCTCCTCTGAGTCATCCTTTTTTCTTTAAAAGCTGAAGCCTCTCTTTTGTTCTCCAGAGGACTTCCCAGTGCTTCCCGGGCTGCAGTCATCAACTTATCCCAAAGCAATTCTCTACCTGTGTTAATTTGCCTCAGTTTCTTCCTTTAGGTCAACAGGACCTACTACTTGCAATTGGCGTTTGAAGTGGGCAGGGGCAGTCTGGTGGGACTGAGACTTCAACCTGTGGGATCTGTGCTAACTCCAGTTAGTGTCAGAATTGAATTGATTTATAGGACATCCAGCTGGTGGAGAATCGGTTGGTGTGGGGGGAAAAAGAACTACACATGTGGCCACAGAAGTGGGCTGACTATGAATACTAGAGAGGAAACAGGAGTTTCACATGGCAAAGAGGACATTGCACATGGGATTAAGAATCTTAAAGTGAGGAAGTTCTCCTGGATTACGAGATGAGCCTGATATAGTCACAAGGGTCCACAAAGGTGAAAAACGAGTCGGGAGAGTGGAACGGAGCCATGAGCCCAGGAAGGCAGCTGGAGAGACAAGGGAACCAATTCTCTCCTAGAGCCTCCAGAAGGAGCGAAGTCCTGCCAGATGGCAAATATTTTAAGCTTTGCAGCCATACGGTCTCTGTCACAATGATTCAACTCTGTCCTTGGAGCACAAAGGCAGCTATAGACAGTTCACAAGTGAATGGCTGTGTTCCAATAAAACTATTTGTAGACACTGAAATTTGAATTGCATATAATTTTTTACAAACTGCAAAACAGTATTCTTGTTTTAATTTTTTCCGCAACCGTTAAAAAATATAAAAGTCATTCTTAGCTTGCGGGTCACACAAAAACACGTCATGGGCTGGGTCTGGCCTGTAGGCTGTGGTTTGCTGACCATCCCCGATACCGTATATACTCTTTTGTGTCTGGCTTCTGATTCAACACAATGTCTAAAATTCATCCAGGTCGTTTACATTAGTAATTTACATTGCTGTGCAGTATTGTTGGCTATGCCACAACTGTTTATTCATTCACTTGTTGAAAGACAGGTCCAATTGTTTACCTTGTCTTTATCATAACCATCATTAATTACTGAAATATTAAGCATATGCTCTAAAAATGTCCAGAAAGAAAAGCAAAAATTATAGCAGCATAGGTGTTTAACATTTTTTTCCAACTTTGTGTATTTCCAAATTTCTATGTTTTCCTCCAACTTTCTACAATTCACAATTCTTTATACTTGTATAACCTGAAAATGCAAACCAATCCTATAAAACAAGTCAGAGTATTTCCTAGTTTATTTAGACATTCAGAGTTGCACCTGGCACCACTCAAAAGCATGAGCCCATAGCTGACCATAAGGATAATCCTGGCAGAGAAATTCTCAGGTTCCTGGGAGGAAATGGCACACACGATTGCTGTGTTGAGCCTCGCAGTATGATTTCTTCCTCGCGCTGCAGGAAAATAACCCTAGGAGAAAGTAGTAAACAGCTATTTTTAAGTCCGGCCTAGTTTACTTGAACTCATTTCTTCCTTTGGCACCCCTCATTGGCAAGGACAAGGCCTCCCATTAAGATGTTATTTACTGGATGGGAGATCTCTAAAGCATCTCCAGACAGTGTATCTACAGCTCAGGTATATTTTTTTCTTGGAGCAAAAACACAGCTGAACTGTAAATTTAAGCTGAAGCCTGACAGTGCCAGCAAAATCCCTTTGCTCTAGAATTCTGCCACGCTGGAATCTGATGGGATTCCTTTGGAGAGCCATCTCCCAAATTTGTCCCTACAGTTGAGTACCTAATTTCAAAGCCACACTTTAGCCTTGATAAATTCGATTTACAGAAAAAAAAAACCACAATTTTAAAAATCATCCACAGCCCCACTACTCCTTTCTACACATGAGAACAGTAAAAATCAGAATGGATGGATCTCCTGTGTTCACTTAGTCTCATTTTGAGATGTCCTTAATTTGCTTCCTCTTTTCTAAAAACTGAGCTGTGAAAATAAAGACTGGCTGTGAGAACCTCAAATGGTCCTGCAGAAAGCAGGGCTGACCAGGCAAGGTTGAGGGTGACTGAACTCAGTCATCTGATGCCTGGGGGCAGTGAACAGACATTCCCATCGAAAGTTCAGGATGCCCGCAGTACGAGAGGGCCTCCCTGCATAAAGCTCCCATCCCCTACTGTGACTTAGGAAATCATAAACCCCAAGAGCACAGACAGGGCTAACACAGGGTATGAACATCTGTTCTGGACTTCTGATGAACCACAGGCTCAATCAGAATAGCCAAGTTACTGAAAGCATGACCGACTTTGAGGAAAAGTGAGACACCTAGGTTCTATAAGTCTGGAACACTACATGGACACAAGAGTCCAGCACGGGGGCATAAGAAAAAAAATTGGTTGGCCAGGTATGGTGGCTCATGCCTGCAATCACAGCATTTGGGAAGCCGAGGCAGGTGCATCACCTGAGGTCAGGACATCGAGACCAGCCTGGCCAAGACGGCAAAACACTGTCTCTACTAAAAATACAAAAATTAGCCGGGCGTGGTGGTGCACACCTGTAATCCCAGCTACTCAGGAGGCTGAGACATGAGAATCACTTGAACCCGGGAGGTGGAGGTTGCAGTGAGCTGAGATTGTACCACTGCACTCCAGCCTGGGCGACAGGGCAAGACTCTGTCTCGAAAAAAAAAAAAAAAAAAAAAAAATTGGTAAATTGGTTGAGAGCTCAGCCATGCTTGAGCCCTTCCAAGTTTAAACCCAAATCAGCTGGTCTTCCCACAGCACCAAGTCTAGAAAGGCCCAGGCAATGCTCTGCCCCACCACCCTCCACCCATTTCTGTGAACCAGCAGTGAGTGTGTTAAGGATGCTTGTCTGGAGATGAGCAACTTGGTACACATGCGTACATATGACCCAGACTCAGCACTCCCCAGGACACCCAGTTCTCACTAAGAAACATCCAATGACCTTTCAAACCTCCTGATTCTCCCAACCTCATAGTGCCATAACCTCAAGGACGATGGGTGTCTGAAGACAGGGGCCAATCCCTTTTGGTCATGGTTGATACAGAGCTGCCACGATGACTTTCCAGCATAGGAAGGAGCATCTCTAATGGTAGGGCTGCTGTGACCCCAAATTCTGAGTTTTGAACCTTAGGTTCCTAGAGATGTTACCACCTTATTTTCATGTGACAGTTGCACCATAGGATCTAATGGATAATATATATTAAAGTTCACTAAGCGTCATTGTGTCTATTAACTCATATTAAAATACATTAAGAGCAGATTATGTCTATTTTGAGTACCTCATACATAACTTGCAGTGTTCTAAGGGCTTTCCATGTATTCTTATTTAATCCTCATCATGATTCTGAGGTAGGTACCATAATTAGTCCCATTTTACAGATGGAGAAACTGAGACACAGAGAGGTGAAGTCATGCTGAACTCATGAACGATGATAGAGCCCCGATCTCCTCATGCCAGTGCCCTTTCCAACTCTAGTGCACTCTCCACTGTCCCATCCAAGTAGCTAAGTTCTGGAGAAGAAACTGCGGGCTGGAAATGCTTAGCTGTGTGCTCAAGAGCTCTCCTGCAAATCTGTTTTCTTTTAAGCATAACCATGCAGACATATGGAGGGGGACTTCACATAATTGTTTTTCTCTATAAAGACAACTCAATATATTTTTCTGTAGCTTGATTTTTTATTTCTTCACAATATATCACTAGCATCCCTCACACTGTGGACATGAATCTGCTTCTGTGTTTTCTGATGCTGTGGAAAGCAGGACCATTTAGTCTGAATGTCTCCGCCTCCCTGTGCTAAATTAGAGACATGGAGTCGGTAGAGTGCGAAGGAGGTGTGACTCTTTCATCCTGAAAGGATGCTTAAGTCTCTTATGATAACAATTAAATGGTAAGGAAAAATCCTCAACACCCTGTGGTGTCTTCTATTTTCTGCTCTCTTCTCCTTTTGAATTGAGCCGCTTAAAGGAATGGTCTTAACTGGGTATCTCAGTATTCTCTTGGCTTCTCAGAGCCTAAACTCTCTTAAATGCCTTTGCTGACTTATTTCCCTTTGCCCACTCCTTGAACATGGCCTGCCAGGGCCTTCTCCATTTGTACTTTTGCCCCAGACTGGCTCTCAAAGTGTGGTCCCAGACCAGCAACATCAACGTCACCTGGAAGCTTGTTAGAATGCAAATTCTATGGCTCCACTCCAGATCTACTGACTCAGGAACTCTGGGGGTGGGGCCTGGGGAGCTCCGATTTAACAACCTTCCAGGTGATTCTGATGCAGCTAAAGTTTGAGAACCATTGCCTTAGACAAACCCACCCCTAGCAGTCACCTCCTCCCATTGACTGGAAATTCCCACATCTTCATCTTTAACCTCGACTTCTCTTCAAGCTACATACCTACACATGCAAGTATGCTCTCTGGCCATCTCTGCCTTGCCACTCCACAGTCTCCTATACTGAATGCTGCCCAAAAAGGACTTACTTATCATCTCCCCGAGGATCTGTTCTTTCTCCCTCATTCCCAGCAACTCATGCCAACACCATCTCCCCACCTACCCAAGACAGAAACCAGGAAGTCATCCTAGACTCCTGCTTTTCCCTCATCCAGTCAGCCACCAGGTCAGGTTGATTCTACCTTCTCTTTTTTTTTAAGATGGAGTTTCGCTCTTGTCGGTCAGGCTGGAGTGCAGTGGTGCGATCTCAGCTCACTGAAAACCTCTACCTTCCGGTTTCAAGTGATTCTCTTGCCTCAGCCTCCCGAGTAGCTGGGATTACAGGCATCCACAACCATGCCCAGCTAATTTTTGTATTTTTAGTAGAGACGGGATTTCACCATGTTGGCCAGGCTGGTCTCAAACTCCTGTCCTCATGATCCACCTACCTCGGCCTCCCAAAGTGCTGGGATTACAGGCATCCACAACCATGCCCAGCTAATTTTTGTATTTTTAGTAGAGACGGGATTTCACCATGTTGGCCAGGCTGGTCTCAAACTCCTGTCCTCGTGATCCACCTACCTCGGCCTCCCAAAGTGTTGGGATTACAGGCGTGAGACACTGTGCCTGGCATCTTCTCTCCATTTTTATGACCTTAATTCAGATTCTCAGCTGGCCTAAGTCAGCTTCCAATGAGGCACCCAAGGACCTAATGTAGTACCCGTCTCTTCCAACCCTCACACTATTGCCAAGATAATCCCTCTAAAACATGAGTCTAAATGCATTAACCTTACCTAAAACTCAAGGTTGCCCACTAAACCTTAGCACCAAATCCCAACTTCTCAACAAGGAAGTATCCAGTCTCATCTTCTGCTGTTCCTATAGACATTCCAGGTAGATGTAACCATTTGCCTCAGCAATCTTACTCCTGAGAATATAGCTTCCAAATTATCAAACAGCTCCACAAGGTGACATGTACAAAGATATTTATCACAGCTTCCAGAGTTGGAATCAACTTTGGCTTCCATCACTGGAAGAGTGAATAGGCAAAAGGTGGTGGATGCATACTCTGACTAATCAATGGCTCTAATTAAACTCCCTATAACCATCCCTTTGCAATGTCGCTTTTCAGTTCCTCCCATCAAGTGGTGGAGTCTATTTCCCCACACTTTGAATCCAGACTGGATTTGTGGATTGGACTCGTGCCTTGGTTTAGCCAACAGAATATGGCAGAAATGACTGTGGTCAAGTTCCAAGTATAGGCCTTGCACAATTCTCCTCCCTTGGATTCCTGGCCTTGCCATCAGGTGACCAAGTTTAGGCCAAACTGATGAAGGATGACAACAATGTGCCATGGACCTCTTAAATCATGCAGTCTCCAGCAGATCACAGATGAATGAGTGACACCAGCTGAGATCAGCAGACCCAGACACAAATCAGCCAAACCACTCAACCAACCCCACAGACTCACGAAAAAGGAGTGACCATTGTTTTAAGTCACTAAGTTTGGGATGGTTCATCACAAAGCATACTAACTGCTACACACTCCAAGGAGTACCAGGAAAGCAATTCAAAGCAACAGAATAGATGGATCCATAGCAACATGAATTGATTTTAATAGCATAGGGTTAACTGGAAAAGAACTGAATGAGATATCTTAACACAATTCCATCTACATAAGTTATCTACAGTCAATACACATTTTATTTTTTAAAAACATGCAAAATTAAAGATTTCTGTTATATTTAACCCACGAATATGGTTGCCAGTGGCATGGAGGAAAGGAGGCACAAATGAGGAAACAATAAGAGGCCTCCATGGAACAATGATGATGCTGTATGAACTGAAGAGTGGGATTTCTCAACCCTCCACACTTACTAATGCCTACTCATCTGGTAAGTCCCAGCCCAAATGGGGCTCCTACTTATAGCCTGCTGTGCCATCTCCTCTCAGATCATTAAGGCTCGTAGATGAATAAGAAAGTGTATTTACCATAGTTTTGTGATTGTCAACAGCTGTGATATAACCAGCTTTGAAGGCAGGGTCCAGGACTTCATTTTCTTGGAACACCCAGTATCTCATACACTGCACATATTTGTCAGTAAAATAACTTTCTATCCTGTAAAGCAGTTTTTCCAACCTTGCCATCAGTGACATTTTGTACCTGATGCCAATACCACCCTCCTAGTTGTGACAATCAAAAATGTCTCCAGTCGCAGGAGAATGGCGTGAACCCGGGAGGCTGAGCTTGCAGTGAGCAGAGATCACGCCACTGCACTCCAGCCTGGGTGACAGAGCGAGACTCCGTCTGAAAAAAAAAAAAAAAAGCCTCCAGTCATTACCAAATGTTCCCTAGGGAAAAAAACTGCACCCTGACTGAGAACCACTGCCTTAGCCGCTTGAGTCCATAAAGCCACAACTCGAAGATGGCTTTGTAGAAACATTTAATATGTTTGAAACAAAAATGTTTGAGATTAGGAATTACATCACTCTCTACCTAATGCCGCCCAAGGGAGATTTAGATTGCCAAAATATTTCTGTCTTAAAGAGATGGTTCTCAGCCACTAGCCCAAAACTAATGTTTTAGTTCACTACCCTATGGGGAAAGATTAAATACAAAATTCACTTGAGCTTTCTCATCTATGCAGAAATATTCCTCCTCATAAGCTTTAGTCAAACCTTTTATTTACAAAGTTTAAATCTGTCTCCTTAAGTCAATGGCATAGGCTGCTGATTTCTGTTATACTGCAGAAGCTGTTTATCTAGCTGGACCTGCTAAAGCAGATGTTCCTACTCTGTACTATTAACTGGAACATGAAAAACCAACATGTAACCAAGCTGAAAGAATTCTGCCTCATTTATCTTGTGTGTGCCACCAGGGCAAACACCAGGCATTTTAATAACCTCATCTGGACCTTCGGTAATCATTGCAGGCTACTAACTCCAGACAAATATTTGCCTTGGAGGTTTCTCTATGGAGAGACAGAAGTAAACTAAGCTTCTTTTGTTCATATAGATTGAGTATGACAATCTAGAAAATACAGAGCACTCACATCATTCATTTCTTGTAACTATACAAATAAAGGAGCAATGGAATTGATTCTACAAAGATCTGCTGGAATACATTTCCTTTATACTTTTCCTTTCCCCCATGCCATCTCCAACAACAAATCAAAGTACAGCTGAGAAGAACATCAGTGGATGTTACAATCAGAGAGGCCAAGGCTGTTGGGGGAAAATTCATTCTCCTTGTCTCAGAATAGGACACCCATTTTCAGCCCCCTGCCAACACCCAAACTTTTACATGAGAATAGGGTCCCTTTTATAAGACCTGGCAGATGCTACTGTAACTAAGTGACCAAACTTAGCAACACTGATTTTGGTACAACCAATTATCATGCGATCACAACCAGATACATGCCAGCACCACCTGGGCTGTATTCTTACCCAAATGGTCTAACAGGCTGAGGATTTTTCTAGATTAAAGGTGACTAAAGAAACATGGCAACTAAAAGAAATCTGTCGATCCTTGACTGGATCCTCAAACAAAAGGCTGAAGTAAAGGACATTCTTGGGACAAAGTAGAAAATTTGAATATGGACTGCATCACATATTAGTGAATTGATGCTAAATTCCTTGAGTGTGATGAAGGTATTACAATTAATTTAAATAATTTAATAGTTATTTAATGATTTTTGGTAAATACATACTGAAATACCTAGGGAATAAATGTCAGGCCTGCAACTTCCCAGTGGTTTAACAACAACCACAACAAAAATAAGATCACACACATTCACACAGCGAGAGAAACCAGATGTAAAAAAATGTGAGCTGGCAAATGTAAGTGAGGAGTCTACAAAATTTAAGCGAAGGAGTCTATATTGTTCTACTTTCCTGCAGATTTGAAATTTTTCAAAATTACAGTTGGGAGGGGGAGGGGGGAAGCTCGGTTACCATCAATGTGTAAACAAGCCAGAATGTTTCAGAAATGAAACATACGGGAAGAAAGTATGAGAACCAAACAGTATTTCCTGCCTCAAATTTGAAGATAAGCGACCCAATTTACTTTTAAGTGTTTGGAGGCATAAGATAAAAACAAAAACGAAACACCTGAATCTAAACCAACACATTTGACCCTGTCACCACATTAAGAACGAGCTGAACTCAGACATTTTGATGCATCAGAGTTCTCAAAAATACTAGAAATATCTCACTGATATGATAATGGCCTTGAAGATTTATGCAGATACGAAATGAATTCCAAGCAAAGCATTAAAGTAATCTTCATAACTTGTTAACACAACTGCTCTCAAGAGAATGTTGAGAAATCTTGCCAGGAAAGGCCTACAGTTCCCAGCAAGCAGTAACTATCAGCAACTTAAGAAGACAAAGATCTTTTTTAAAAACCTTACTTATTTGCAACCTACATTTGTTTTGGATCCTAGACGCCTGCAATTTGGACACTCAATTTAGAGTTTATGTAATAGTGATCAAAAAGGATTTGCTGGAAGGGAGAAAGCTGTGCAATCGGGCATGTGATTGTAAGAGCTGGGGGTCAAAGAGACGAAATTGGTTTAATAAAACAAAATGGGGCCACCTGGGTATTTAAGTGTGAGACCAGGTCTCTCTCCAAAGACAACAAAGTTCTACATCTAATGCCCCAGGGTTCCTTTGTTCAAATTCAGCCAATCTCTTCATGCCATGGGTCTTAAAAGATCCTGAAGTTACAGACTTCAGGTACTTGGTGTGTATGCGCACAGGTACTTCATACACTTCGTGTGTGTGCGCACAGGTTTCCAAGGAGAGGGACCTTAGCTTTCTTCTTTTCTCAACAGATCCCTCACCTCCTCAAATAGGTGAAAAACCCATGCCTTGTGAAATTTGCTCCAATTTCTTCTCTGGGCTTGAAAAACCCAGGGAAATCCTAGCACTCACAAGTCCACTTCTAAATTCAAAAGGGCCTCTGATTCCTTCTCTTCTACTTCCATCTGTCTCACCACTGTTCCAGCTTTGTCAGGGGGCCAATCGCCTTTTGGGAGCCTTGTTTCATCTAATCCTCCCTTAGGCAAGGAAATCTTTGCTCTCAGACTTAAAACTAACTTTGAACTGGAAAGTGACCTAAGATGTCGGGAACAACCATAAACTGAACAGCATACAGAGGCAGAAAATTGCATTTTGTACTTTTCTATCCAATGCTGTGCTACTTGTTCCAATAAAGAATTAACTTCAAGGTAGTTATTTTGTGGGGGTATTTTGTTTTGTTTCTGAGACAAGGTCTTTGTCACCCAGGCTAGAGTGCAGTGGTGCAATCATAGCTCACGGCATCTCCAATTCCTGGGCTCAAGCAGTCCTCCCACCTTAGCCCCCACCTCCAAGTAGTTATGACACGTGCCACATTTCAGCTAATTAAATTTTTTTTTTTTTGTAGAGACAGGAATTGCCCATGTTGGTCTCCTGCCTTGGCCCCCCAAAGCGTTGGGATTACAGGCATGAGCCACCATGTCTGGCCTATGCTATTCTTATTAAGAAAAAAAAAAAAGTCAGCAATCAGTGATCACTCTTAATTCCACCGAAAGGAATTTGGGTCTATTCTATTTTTGTTGCAAAAATTTTAGCACCAGAAAGAATATTAATGACTATGAATTCAAGCTTTTCATTTGACATATGCAAAAACAAAAGTACTGTGATTTACCCAATGTCACATGGCTGGTTAGCCAGACTCGAAATGGAAACCTCTTGACACTCAGTCCAATGTTCTCTGACATCACCTGCCTTTTCACACCAATGCCCTCTGAAAAATACTATTTTTCTTTCTTTTTTTTTTTTTGTTTCATATCAATGATAAGAACTGCTGGATGGAAACCAAAATCATTCATGGAAAACTGTATGAGATTTCAGGAATCCCCAGTGCAATGTCACCGATGCCGGGATGAGTCATACTGCAGCTTGATCAAGTCCAGGTAGACAGAGGACCCCTCCCAAGGGCTGTGTCTCCCCTATCCCTCTTCATCCACCACTCTCCCTTGACCACTTTCTGCACCACTGGCAGGAGGGAAAGATAAGGTGGAATCCTTTTGCCCATATATTGAATGATTATTTAATTGCCCTGTTTCTAGTTTTAAAAACAACAGGATAGAAATTTATATATTGTTATTTAAAATGTCTTATGTTGCTTTATATATATATATACAGCTGTCAAAGTATAATTTTTTTTTGAAAAGGTCAGCTCTTGACTCATATAGAGTATGCATATGCTAAAGATTCTGTAACTTGATGAGTTTGTCAACTTAAGCAGAATGACAAAGCTGGCTCAAAGGTGGATGGCACAGAAACCTAAGTAGGGCAAAAAATCTGTGGAAAGATGAATGCCGGGATAAGGCTGGAAACTTAGAAACAAACCGGGTTAATGTCCTACCTGGCATATAGCAGTACCCCTGATGCTCCTTTTCTGCCATAAGAAATCCTTCCCATCTTAACTGGACAAAAATCATTTGCAATTTATTAATCTCAGCCATTTGTTTTTATAAGACCTGCAAGTGAAGGATGATTTTTATATTTTTAAATGGTTGAAAAAAATTAAAAGATTTTTTTTTTTTTTTGAGATGGAGTTTCACTCTTGTTGCCCAGGCTAGAATGCAATGGCAAAATCTCGGCTCACCACAACCTCCGCCTCCCAGGTTCAAGCAATTCTCCTGCCTCAGCCTCCCAAGTAAATGGGATTACAGGCATGTGCCACCACGCCCAGCTAATTTTTTGTATTTTTAGTAGAGATGGGGTTTCTCCATGTTGGTCAGGCTGGTCTTGAACTCCCGACCTCAGGTGATCCACCCACCTCAGCCTCCCAAAGTGCTGGGATTACAGGCGTGAACCACCGTGCCCAGCCTAAAAGAATATTTTATAACATAAAATGAAATATGAAAATGCTATGAAATCCAAATTTCAGTGTCTCTAAATAAAGTTTTATTGGAACAGTGTTAGGGCTCAGAAGACAATACCCTAAAGTAAGGGCTCAGAAGCAGTTTTTCTCTGACCTTGTCCTGCTTGCCTCTCAGCCTCATTCCCCCTTTCCCCCAAAAAGGCAAGCACAGATATTAGAATCCCTCTTCCCCAATGGAGATCATGGAAACCAAAACCCTTTTCCCCAAAGCCAGCCATAAAATCTAAAAATTTCCCCTACTTTTCTGTGTAAGAATTGGCCACAAAGAAATAATCTGACTGACCTTGTTTGGTTGTAGTTCATAAGACCCCCATTCCAGAAAGGGTCCTGCCCCATACCTGGAAGGAAATTATGCTGCAGAGAGTCCAAGAAGAATCTGAACAGACAGCCCTTGCTGGGTTCCCCCGCTCAGCCTATTAGCATTAGATCACACCCTTTTGGTCCAACCACAGTTCCACACAGCTATCCATTCATCATCAAACTGAAGCATAAAAATGGATAGCTTCCCCTGTATCTTTGGGTCTTCGATCTGAAGACTGCTGTGTCACGCAAAAGTATGATCAAAGAAATGTGTTATGCTTTTGTCTGTTAACCTTTTTGTTATAGAGGTGCTGGCCATGATTTTTATGATGGAGAAGAAAGGCATCATCCCTTTTCAGCACCTACAGTGGCTGTATCCATTCAGTTATGTATTACCCGTGGCTGCTTTCACACTATGATGGCAGAGTTAAGTAGCTACAGACAGTACATATTTTGGCCTACAAAGCCCAAAATATTTACTATCTGGCAGTCTGCAGAAAAACATTGCTACATTTTCCCCTAGATTATTAGATGATCTTTGCTGGGTTTGTCAGACAATGTTCTAGTAGGATATTAAAAGGGCACTCAGTCATCTTCCTGAACTTTTTTCTAAGTTTCAAGTACATTTTTCTTGAAGACTACCGTCAATGATAATTTAATTATAAATTTAAAAATAAAGAAGAGTATAACTGAATCATTTGTAACTCAAAGGATAAATGCATGAGGGAATAGATACCTCATTTTCCAAGATGTGATTATTACGCACTGCATGCCTGCATCAAAACATCTCATGTACCCCAGGTACATAAGCACCTACTATGTAGCCACAAAAATTAAAAAATTATTTTTCTTAAAAATGACCTAATACCAGATTATATTTTCCTCTTGAATCAATGACTCCTATAAAAGGAAAGTTGATCTCTGGTGTAGAGACAGTTGAGCTAAATAGAATCTTGGCATTTCAATGGTTAAACCAAGTACTTCAACAAGTTTACAAAATACAGAGTAACCTAAGCCAATATTTTCATTGATTCAAACCAATGGTCCCTTTTAAATTCTTCTCCAAAAGGAAGGAGTAGAAGGAAGAAAAATTAACATTTGGAAATCGTGCCTTGAAATTTTCTCACCTTACACTGTATGATAATACAGGCTCTAGGCCCATGGGCTGTTTTCTATGAAAATACGTCAGGACTCTTTGAGGTGTGATCCCAAGAGGGATTTGAAGCAGCAATCTGAGCGGGGCACAGTGTTTCGTGTCTATAATCCCAACTGTTTGGGAGGCTGAGGTGGGAGGATCATTTGAGCCCAGAAGTCCAAGAGCGGCTTGGGCAACATAGCCTGGACCCCTGTCTCTAAAAAAAAAAAAATATATATATATATACATATATATATATATATGTGTGTGTGTATGTGTGTGTGTGTGTATGTGTGTATATATATGTATGTGTGTGTATATATATGTGTGTGTGTATATACACACACACATATATATACACATACACACGTGTATATATATATATATATTAGCTGGGTGTGGTGGCGCATGCCCCTAGTCCCAGCTGCTTGGGAAGCTGAGGTGGGAGGATTGCTGGAGCTCAGGAGAAGGCTGCAGTGAGCTGAGATCGCACCACTGCACTCCAGCCTGGGTGACAGAGTGAAACCCTGTCTCAAAATTTTTTTTAAAAAGCAGCAATCTGATAAGGAGCCGAATGATAGGAGAGCAAGTGAAATATGAAGTCAGGATTGTTTCAATTTAATTAGCAGAAGCTGGATATAAGAAAAATATCTAGCAAGGATCGCCCTGGAAAGAGACCAAGAGTGCTCATTCTGAAATTTTTTAAAGAGAATGAAAGATTTCAGAAAGTAAAAAAAAAAAAAAAAAAAGGGGGGTATGTTTATAGTATCTCTGTATTTTAGATCCTCAAATATTTATATAGAGTTTTTAATTAGGGGCTGGACGTGATGGCTCACGCCTGTAATCCCAGCACTTAGGGAGGCCAATGCGGGTGGATTGCTTGAGATCAGGAGTTTGAGACCAGCCTGGCCAACATGGCAAAACCTGTCTCTACCAAAAATGCAAAAATTAGCTGGGCATGGTGGTGGGAGCCTGTAGTCCCAGCTACTGGGGAGGCTGAGATAGAATTGCTTGAACCTGGGAGGCAGAGGTTGCAGTGAGCCCAGATTGTGCCACTGCACTCCAGCCTCAGCGACAGAACGAGACTCCAGCCACTGCCCCCCACCCCCAACCAAAAAAAAAAAAAAAGTTTTTAGTTAAGAGATTAGAGAGCTTTTGTTGGAGTTCTGAGCAATGGCTGCTGCTGATGACCATGAAACCAGTTGAAGAACACAAGCCAGACTTCTTTACCTTGGTGCTTGAGTTTCTCATCATCTCCAATTTTTAAAATGTTATTCTTATCCAGGGTTCCCTCATAAACACTTCAAGTCCTTAAATTAACACTCAGTCCATTTTCCCAAATCCTTCCCACACACAAACCTTATTTTCCCACCCACAGACCTGTATTTTAAAATGCCAAATCCCCCTGAGTTTAAGAACTTGTCTTTCCTTAACTTCCACAAGCTGGTAATTAACTTTCCAAATGAGGCTGGTGAGCAATAGAAGAAATTGTTATCTTTCACCATCAATGTTTTGCACAAGATGCTGTGATGACACTGCTGGGATTTCAGACAGACAAAGCAGCCTGGAGTGTCTGCGCCACCCCAGACGGGGCTGCTGCTAGCCACAGCATTCTCTGTGCAAGGTTACCACTGTATTCCCCAAGGTGAGCTTTAGTCACAAATGTTGGTTCACAGATAAGAATAGCCTCATCAAAAGTTTAGGTACAGGCCAGGCACGGTGGCTCACGCCTGTAATCCCAACACTTCGGGAGGCATAGGTGGGTGGATCACCTGAGGTCAGGAGTTGGAGACCAACCTGGCTAACATGGTGAAACCCCACCTCTACTAAAAAATGCAAAAATTAGCTGGGTGCAGTGGCGGGCGCCTGTAATCCCAGCTACTTGGGAGGCTGAGGCAGGAGAATCACTTGAACCCAGGAGGTGGAGGTTGCAGTGAGCCGAGATTGTACCACTGCACTCCAGCCTGGGCAACAAGAGTGAAACTCCATCTCAAAAATAAATAAATTAAAAAAATAAAGTTTAGATATCCCTAGACTGTGTACATTCAAGGTGAGGAAATGATGTAATCTTTCTTTGAACCCAGAGGGCAATTTTTCTAAAATCATCTTTTTGCATCAACACATCCTAAGGGGATGTTTTTCTCTCTGTTCAATGGCTAGACCACAAACCTTCCAGAAAAACAACCATCCTATGAGAGCAAACACACGGGGAGGGAGTGGAGAAGGCATCCTCAGGATCCCTTATTTACAATAACGAAAATGTGGAGGTCATGGTGGACGGCTCTGCTGCCCTCTACTGGCCATGTCAAGCATCATCAGCCACAATAACACACAGTCTGCCGCCCTGGTTTTTCCCTTTGTGGTTTTAATTAGGCACTGCTCTTCCCGAGGAAAACCTGGGTGAGAGAGGCAGGAGGCCCCCACCCATGGAACCTCAGATCTGGATGGAACATCTAATGCAACATGGGCACATTACACAACCCTAAGGGGTGCCATTCCTGTGGAATACATCAACAGAGCTCTTGCACTTAAGCAATCCTGCAGCCCCAGTGGGTCATTTAATAAATGCCCCAGAATGGTAAGTGATCATTCCAGGGTCATCAGACCTGTGATGGACCAGAAGCAGGACCTGTTGCTTGCCTCAAGGGAGTGGCAAAGGGAAACAAGATTCCTACAAAGGAAAACAGGTTCCGACTGGGCTGGCCCCAGTGAGGAGAGCCAAGTCAGAACATGTATCCACTTCCTATTCTACGCTTCAACTATCCATCTGTCTAGCCATAACTCATTGTGCCAGGTACTCATTGCAGATACATACCACCAGATGGGAGAGACAAGCCTACTCCGGAGGGGGCTGAACAATTAGGGAGATTCAGACAAGTAAACCAGCAATTACCCTATAATGCTGTAGAAGTCTGGGTCAGGTGTGGTAGCTCATGCCTGTAATCCCAGCACTTTGGGAGGCCGAGGTGGGAGGATCACTTGAGCTCAGGAATTCAAGACCAGCCTGGGCAACATAGTGAGACCTCATCTTTATTTAAAAAAAAATAAAAAATAAAAGGCTGAAGCAAAGAAGTCCTGATTGTTACTGAGCACAGAGCTGGAGGGGCACACAACACAGACTGAGAGGTGGGAAAATCAAGGATGGTTTCCTGAAGACAGTGACATCCAAGACAGAACAAAAGGATTTAAAGGATATATAGATATTAGCCAGGTGAGGTGGGCATGGAAACCATTACAGGCAAGTGGAATAACAGGTAGAATAAAGCAGAGATGAGACAGCATGGAACATTTTAGGAACTGGAGGTCCAGTGGAGCTGGAACGTAGGGTGGATAGATATCCAGGCAACAAACAAAGCCAGATAGAAAGGCAGGCCCCGGATCACACAGGGCCTTGCAGTCCAGGAAAGGAGTCTGAACCATAGCCCGGAGGCCATGAGGAGCTGCTAGGGGTTTAAGCAGAGGGGAGACATTAATAGATGTGGGTATGGGTTTCCTCCATCATACTAGGCTCTGAAGAGGTTCCATGAAGGGCAGTCATCCTTCCTGCCCCCAAGGAACTTACAGTTCCTCAACTTAACAAAATGATATACAATAGTTGGATCTATGCTTACTACTGAATCATTTACTTCTATTCATTGGGTGTCTATCACCCTAATTGAATGCAAGCTCCACAAAGACAGGGATTTTCTCTTTCCGCTGTTTTGTTTTGTTTTTTTTTTTTTTTTTTTTTTTGAGATGGAGTCTCGCTTTATTGCCCAGGCTGGAACACAGTGTTGCAATCTTGGCTTACTGCAACCTCCGCCTCCTGGATTCAAACAATTCTCCTGTCTCAGCCTCCCGAGTAGCTGAGACTACAGGTGCACGACATTATGCCCAGCTAATTTTTGTATTTTTAACAGAGATGGGGTTTCACCACATTGCTCAGGCTGTTCTCGAACTCCTGACCTCAGGTGATCCACTTGCCTTGGCCTCCCAAAGGGCTGGGATTACAGGCATGAGCTACCGTGCCCAGCCTAAATCCTCAGTTTTGAGATCTATGCCTGGAACAAAATATGTGTTCAAATAATTGCTGAATAAATCACCATTCACTTCCTATAAAGTTTGTTGTTTTGTTTCATTTTGTTTTATTTTTTGAGACAGAGTCTTGCTCTGTCACCCAGGCTGGATTGCAGTGGCATGATATCAGCTCACTACAACCTCCGCCTCCCAAGCTCAAGAGATTCTCCTGCCTCAACCTCCCAAGTAGCTGGGATTATAGGTGTGCACCACCACACCCAGCTAATTTTTGTAGTTTTAGTAGAGATGGGGTTTCACCATGTTGGCCTGGCTGGTCTCAAATTCCTGGCCTTGAGTGATCCGCTCGCCTCGGCCTCCCAAAGTGCTGGGATTACAGGTGTGAGCCACCGCATCTGGCCACAGTTTTGTGTTTTAAAGAATAGACACAATATCTTTATTCACTGCATGCAAGGGCACATGGAAGGCAGGGCAGAAAACAAGAAGACGGATCTGCCCTCGAGGAGCTGATGTTTATTAAATGCCTATCTGCTGCCGCATACTTTATGTGGCTTCTCCTAGAGAAGTATCATTCCCATTTTATAGATGAGAAAACTGAGGCTCCAAGAAGAAATTTGACCAAGGATCCAGAGATAGTAAGTGGTAAGGCTGGAATTCAAAACCAGACCTGCCTGACTGCAGACTCCCACCTGGCTCTGGGCAACAGCTATGTGACTGGCAGCCACACAAGGCAGCAGCACTAAGCCAGAGGGAACGTGGAGAAGGACAAAAATGCAGCGTAAAGCATAATCGGAAAACGTTTCATAGAGAAGAAGGCATCTGGAAGCCTCACAGGATGTGAAAATGTCTAAAGTGAAATGGAAGAGCATTCCTGACAGAGGGACAGCAAGCACAAAGACCTGGACACAGATGTGCACAGGACACTTGCCATTCAGGGAAAAGCAGACTAGGCTGAGTTCACTTAGCTCCTTGTTCACGATATGTAAGGCTGGATCAATGTTACTCAGGTTAAGAAACATGAGGCACTTCTCACCTATGGGATAGGCAAGAATTCAAACGTTTCACAATCCTGTTGGTGAGGCTGTGGAGAAACTGGCCTCTCAAGTCACTGCTGATAAGAGTACCAAAGGGCACGACTCTCATGGAGGAGAAATCTGGAGGTGGCCACCAAAATGAGATGTATTTACCCTTGATCCTGCAACCCCAGTTCTGGGATCTAACCTACAGATACACCTGCACAACCAATACACCTGCACAACAGATACACCTGCACAAAGAAGAATGACACATGAACAGGCTTACTCACAGAGCACAGTTTGTTTATTTATTGAGGCAGAGTCTCCCTCTGTCACCCAGGCTAGAGTGCAGTGGCACAATATCAGCTCACAGCAACCTCTACCTCCTGGTTCAAGTGATTCTTCTGCCTCAGCCTCCCGAGTAGCTGGGACTACAGGTGTGTGCCACTACACCTGGCTAATTTTTGTATTTTTAGTAGAGACGAGGTTTCTCCATGTTGCCCAAGCTGGTCTTGAACTCCTGACCTCAGGTGATCCACCTGCCTTGGCCTCCCAAAGTGCTGGGATTACAGATGTGAGTCACTGCACCTGGCCTATTTATTTCTTGAGACAGAGTCTCACTCACTCTGTTGCCCAGGCTGGAATGCAGTGGCACAATCTTGGCTCACTGCAACCTCCGCCTCCCGGATTCAAGCAATTCTCCCATCTCAGCCTTCCAAGTAGCTGGGATTACAGGTGGGCACCATGCCTGGCTAATTTTTGTACTTTTAGTAGAGATGGGGTTTCGCCATGTTGGCCAGGTTGGTCTCAAACTCCTGACCTCAAGTGATCTGCCCACCTCAGCCTCCCCAAGTGTGGGGATTACAGGCATGAGCCACCACGCCTGGCCTGAGCACAGTTTAATAGCTACAGATTGGAAACAAGTACCCAATTAACCACAGTGGACAAGTTCAATCAATGATGGCACCTCCACACCATGGACTGCTACATAGCCGCCAAAGTGAGGGCAGCCTCCACTGATTCAGAGATCTCTAGGATATCTATACATGTAAAAGTTAAATATATATATATATATATATACACACACATATATACACACATCATATATTCTGGGACACATGTATCAGGATATGGATAGACGTCTATCAGGACATGGATATATATCTATCTATTAGGATATGGATATATGTCTATCAGGATATATGCATGTCAGGAAGAGAAGCTATGTGTATAGATTGCTCAAGGAAAAGGGTGAAAATCAAAATGCACGTTCGCATTTGCCTCTATTTGCATAAAGCAGTGGTTTTCAACTACAGGTGATTTTGCCCTTCACAGAGCATTTGGCAACATCTGGAGACATTTTTGATCACCATGACTCAGGTCAGTGGGTTGCTACTACTGGCATCTAGTAGGTAGAGGTCAGGAATGCTGCTAAGCATCCCACAATGCACACAACAGTCCCCTGCAGCAGAGAATTATCCAGCCCAAAATGTCAACAGTGCCCAGGTTGAGAAATCCGGGCCTAAAGGATAAACAGTATCCTTTGTTTATCCAAAGAAAGAGAAATAAGAACCCTAAAATTGTCATGTGTCAGTGGTAGGGTTAATGGCAGGAAGGCGGGGGAGAGCAAGATTTCTGTGCACAGCTTTTCATACTTTTGAACCATGTAGATGGATTACGCAGTCTATGCCTATTTGAAAATTGAATTTAATTGAGAAAAGAGAAACACAAAGTTGCAACATATGGGAAACAGGAGAGGCTTCAGATCAAGACTCAGCTGGGTTTCCAGAAACTCACAAAGTGTCCTTGTCTCTTGGCCCCTGTCTTATCTGTGAGGCATCTATACGAGAGGAGCTCAAGGTCCCTTTGAAATCTCCAATTTCGCAATCTCCTCTGATTTCAAACTGCCCTGCATGATGAAGGTGGGGACAATCCAAGGTGGCGTGGATTGAATGTGGGAGGCAGACATTTCTACCACACGCAAACTCAAGCTCATGAATACCTGGATTCTTCTGAACATTTTCTCCAATAATCTCTCCTTGAAACACAAAACATTCTGTTTCCAGGCCAGGTTGTTAAAACTCAAACCACAAGGTTGATCCGGATAGAAGGTGATGAGAGCTATAGATCTGTAGGAAGAGTTCAAGTAGATATAGTCTCACCTAATTTATTTTTTCAACTTCCAAGAAAATATTTACATCCTATATGCAATCACCAAGTAACAAAAAACAACAGTAATACAGGCCATGAAACTAGTCACAACTAGTTATACAGAGTGGCAGGAAAGGACTCCCCCTCTAATCATACATTCTAGGAACTAGGTTTAAGGAGGCAGGGCTTGGGACCCAGCCATACAGTACCTAGATCATAGGCTTAACAGACCATACACTAGGCAGGTGCTGGGTATCTCAGGTTTTCTAGTGGGAAAAAGGCAATTCAAAAATAAGGTTTCCAGATTCATTCTTTTTTCTGGATTCCCCTGTGGCCATGCCAAAGTGGCTACTACTCATCCCTGTATTAAAGCTTGGTAGAATGCAGTCTAAACTGACAACCTACCTGCTTCACTTTCTAGCTATGTAGCTTTGGATAAGTTACTTAACATTTCTAAGGCTCAACTTCCTCATTTATATAAGGGAGAAATTATCTCATGGGGTTGTTTTGAGGGGAGTAAGTGCCTAATGACTTGTCAACAATTGACCTTCAATAAATTTTCTTCTCGGCTGGGCACGGTGGCTCACGCCTGTAATCCCAGCACTTTGGGAGGCCGAGGCGGGCGGATCACGAGGTCAGGAGATCGAGACCATCCCGGCTAACACGGTGAAACCCTGTCTCTACTAAAAAAATACAACAACAACAAAAAAATTAGCCAGATGTGGTGGCGGGCACCTGTAGTCCCAGCTACTCAGGAGGCTGAGGCAGGAGAATGGCGTGAACCCGGGGGGCAGAGCTTGCAGTGAGCCAAGATTGTGCCACTGCACTCCAGACTGAGAGAGAGAACGAGACTCTGTATTAAAAAAAAAAAAAATTTCTTCTCTACTCAAACTCACCTTTGCCTCTCATCTCCCATTTATCCTACATATTGCTAGTGGTAAAATCTTGAAAATAAAATTGGCCAGGCACAGCGGTTCACGCCTGTAATCCCAGCACTGTGGGAGGCTGAGGTGGGTGGATCACTTGGGATTCAGAGTTCAAGACCAGCCTGGGCAACATGGCAAAACCCCGTGTCTTGAAAAAATACAAAAATGAGCCAGCCTCGTAATTCTTCGACCATTTCACACTAGCTGCTACAAGCCTTTGCTGGGCTGTGAGATTAGTTGGCCTGCACTTGGTCTAACCAGATGCTTATATAATCAGTCTGCCTTGTTCCTCTGTCATTAGCCCATGACAAATGATTGTAACTCAGTATAAATGTGACTGCAAACACAAACACAAGTGTCTAGCCTGAAATCACCCAGAAGCCCTTGGGCAAATTTTAAATTCCAGAATTTGCTTGTATTGTTAAAATAACAGAAAAATTTGTTTTTAATACTTGAAAATACAAACACCGGCCCTAGCCTGAGAAACAGCAGCAGGTTGGATCAGGTCTAAACTCCATGTTCCAGCACCAAAGTCCTCCAAAGCTGGCCTTGGACTACCTGTTTCACATATAACACATTTTAGAAGCAGCTTAATATACATGTACATTATCCATACTCATACAAAATTGTGATTTGAATTATAATTACATTGAATGTGTTTATTTAGGAACTGACATCTTACAATACTGATGCTTCCCATTCATGAAAATGGTACAGCTTCCCATTTATTTAGATCTTTATCTTTCAATGAAGTTTCTAGGTTTGCTCCATAAAGGTAATATATAAAGTTTTAGAAATATTTGCAAACTGTTTATTGTTTGTGTACAGAAGTGGAATTGACTTTTGTATTATGACTTATATTAAGCAATCATGCTGAACACTATTTTGTAAATTCTCTTGGATTTTTGTCGTAGATAATATGATTATGAATAATGACTGTTTGTTTTTCTTTTCTTTTCTTTTTTTTGAGACAGGGTCTCACTCTGTCATCCAGGCTGCAGTACAATGGCACAATCTCAGCTCACTACAGCCTTGACCAGGCTCATGTGATCCTCCCAAGTAGCTGGGGCTACAGGTGTGCACCACTACACCTGGCTAATTTTTGTATATTTTGTAGAGATGGGGTTTCACCATGTTGCCCAGGCTGACCTTGAACTTCTAAGCTCGAGCAATCTACCGGCCTCGGCCTCCTAAAGTGCTGGGATTACAGGTGTGCACCATCATGACTGGCCTCCTTTTTCCCCCATCCTTGTATTTCTTATTCTTGTCTTACTACACTGGTTAGGGCCTCCAGGGCCTACGATGAATATAAATGGTAATAAGATCCTTATGTTCCTGATTTTATAAAAGAAAGCTTCTAATGTTTCATCACTAAGTATGGTATTTGCTGGAGGTTTGGGTGGCTGGTCCCACATTTTCTATGCATCTATTTCAGTTAGACTGGCTTTCTTGTTAATATACTAGCATACTGGCATCACTGCTAATATTATTACCTCAGGTAATATTTCAGGTATTGTGCTCAATACTTACTGTATATTCTCTCCCCTCTCCTAGCCTGGAAGGATCTCTCCCTTCTTTTCTACTATCCATCCTTCAAGGCTCCTTTCTGATCCCACCTCCTCCAGGAAGCCTTCTTTGACACCATGGCTCTCTGAAGCTTCCTGATTTCCTACTCATTTGGGGAAAAGTCATCAGAGTTTGTCTTAGAGGCCATAGAGTATACAGCAGAGTTCATTCTCAAACTTGAGGCCCAAAAGACAGTTTTGTTTAGCACACATAGTGTTGGTTAATTCAGTGTTCTGAGAATTTTTAAAGAGAAGGTTAATCAGGAGATTTTAAATTAAAATTCAGATTTAGGGCATCTCTGAAAAATTAGATCCGTTATCGTTGGGGCTTTCACTTCTTTATGGGCACAATCAGCTGTAGCCAAGTAGCAGTGACCTCTTCAGACAGAAGTTTCAATCTCTGGTTCATCACAAACCCACTGCTCCCTGTTGCCTTATAACGTGCTTTGCTCATATATTCTGCCTTCCTGGCCCCTGTATGCAGCTGATTTTGTGACTTCCGGTAAAAAAGAAACTGCAAGACACAAAGTACCACATGGTGGCTTTGTCACTTACTGGTATAATCTTAGGCAAGTCACTAACTTTTTGAGCCTTTTCATGGTTTCCTCACCATGAAAATGAGCTAATGGCATGTACCTCAACTAATTCATAGTTATAGGAAATTCGACTGAGATAGCTCACTGGAAACCAAAAGGTGCTTTAGAAATGACAGCTGCGGCCAGATATAGTGGCTCACGCCTGTAATCCCAGCACTTTGGGAGGCCAAGGCGGGCATATCACGAGGTCAGGAGATCGAGAACATCCTGGCTAACATGGTGAAATGCCGTCTCTACTAAAAATACAAAAAATTAGCTGGGCGTGGTGGTGGGCGCCTGTAGTCCTAGCTACTCAGGAGGCTGAGGCAGGGGAGTTGTTTGAACCAGGAAGGTGGAGGTTGCAGTGAGCTGAGATTGTGCCACTGCACTGCAGCCTGGGTGATAGAGCAAGACTCCATTTCAAAAAAAAAATGATAGCTGTATAGCCTACTCAACACAGTGAGACCCCCATCTCTACAAAAAAGTTTTTAAAAAATTAGCTGGGTGTGGTGGGTGCCTGTAGTGCCAGCTACTTGGGAGGCTGAGGTGGGAGGATCACTTGAGTTCAGCAGTTCAAGGTTACGGTGGGCGATCATGTCACTGAACTCTACCCTGAGTGACAGAGTAAGTCCCTGTCTCTAAAAAATAAAGAAATGATAGCTGTATTTTCTTCTACTTACTCTCATATATGAAAGTCAGCTCCTCAATTAAGTTGTAAGCTCCTTGAGAGCAAGGACCCATCATCTAAAATCCTGTGTTAGCAGAGTCCTGAACACAGAGAAACAAAGATGTTGTCAAAAGACCATGGATTGCAAGTCAGGCCAACTGTGTTCAGATTCCAGGTCTACCTATTTGATATCTGGAAAGTGACTTAATCTTCCAGAACTTTAGTTTTATGATCCGTAATAAAACATGTCAAATAAATATAATGTATCGTGTGAATTAAGATTTTGTAAATACTTTTTTTTTAAAGCCATAAACGGATCATCTCTCTCTTGCCAAACTTCAAGCACGGAATACTGTCTTGTGAGGGGCAGCTGGCATATGAACATATTTCCAGATTCTTTAGTGGTTTTCCTTATAATCCTACCAGCAGCCTCCAGATAATTTTCCTATCTCCTTCACTCACAACCAAAGCCTGAATCAATATCTCTTCTGCCATCTCCATATGGTTGAGGGAATACATTAAATAATGGCGGACACATAAAATAA
Source organism: Homo sapiens (assembly GCF_000001405.40). Lineage (NCBI taxonomy): Eukaryota > Metazoa > Chordata > Mammalia > Primates > Hominidae > Homo > Homo sapiens. The sequence continues at coordinate 32,287,728 of NC_000003.12, read as the reverse complement.
TGTGCACTTTTATTCAAATAATAATTTTCTAAAATATTTATTTGGATTCTCACAATCTAATCGACCACAGAAGGCATTTGTGTATTCTAATAAAGCCTTATTTCCCTAACTCTCATGTTTTCATTTAACTTTACTCTGAATTGGCACTTCCTTGTAATTCCTATTATACATAAAGACAAAATATACAACTTTTCTAGATTTCACCCAACCTATATTAAAATTTATTTGAACACTACAAAAATAAATCAGTTAGTAATAGTTTAATGGTATTAACAGCTGAAGGATTTCAAGATTTTAAGAGTGAGGGCAGTATCACATTGGTCCTTAACCTGTTTAGGAGCAAAATATCTGAGGGTTTTAGGTAAAACTTGGAAAACAAAATTTATGACTCTGTAACATTTTAATTCTTATGAAGACAAAAAATTGAAGAAAAACTTCAAATTCAGAGGAGTAAATGGCTGTGTGTCTGAAAGAATGTAGATGATCTTACCTTATGTAGATTCAAACATTATTAAGAAGGTGCCCAATAAAAATGATGGGTAAGTGCCAGACACCTTAAATTGTTTCATTTTAGTCCTCAAAGCAACTTTGTAATGGATTGGGTCAGTATAACCACTTTAGACAAAAAAAGGAACAGCTATTAGCTAACCCCAAATTAAGCAAAGCAGCCACAAATAGGCTGCCACTGCACCTCACCATTCCACCTTTAAAGCAGAAGAAACCAAGTTTCAGAGGGCCTTGAGAGATCTGCCCACGCTCAGAGCCGAGAGGCTATCAGGCAGGGCTGGAGCCCACATCTATCTGCCCTTTCCGGCAGACAAGTGCACCTGGACAACACGCTACAGCAAGCTTGTCCAACCTGCGGCCCTCGGGCTGCATACAGCCCAAGATGGCTTCGAATGCAGCCCAACACAAATTTGTAAGCTTTCTTAAAACATGAGTTTTTTTGCGCCCTTTTTTTTCAGCTCATCAGCTACCGTTAGTGTTAGTGTATTTTATATGTGGCCCAAGACAATTCTTCTTCTTTCAGTGTGGCCCAGGGGAGCCAAAAGATTGGACAGCCCTGCTCTACAGCAAGCTGCCTAGAGCTGAGAACATGTGTGTTACGCCTTCCTATGGGAAATGGTGCCAATCCTACAAAGCCTCCCATGCAAAATGCAGGCTGGGTTTATCTGGGCCACAGGAGCAGCCTTCCTCCCAGCCCAGAGAGAAACTCATTGCACAGATCTGGTTTTGTGGGGAACATTAACTTTGCCACCAAATTATATAGTTTCCACAGCTTCTTCGTTTACCCCAGCGGCCAGCAGTGTGGAGAAGGAGCTTGCCAAAAGTGACAGTGCCCATCACAGTGCACAAACTGTGGACCTGAGGCCACATCTAGCCCACCACCTATAAGCTAAGAGAGATTTTTATATATTGAAATGGTTGGAAAGAATTCAAATTTCAGGTTCATAAAAAAATTATTTTTAATTTGCAATTTAAAAGATTTTAAGTTGCATTTTTAAATGCACCACACTCATTCATGTACCGATTGTCTCTGGCTGCGTTTGTGCTACAGTGGCAGAGGTGGGCCGCTACAACAGAGACTGCATGCTCTGCAAAGCCCAAGCCACTACTATCTGACCCTTGACGGAAAAAGTCTGCCGCCTCCGGAAGTTGAGTGTTTGCTTGCAGAAGGCCCTGAGCTTTAGCTACATTATACACATTTAATTCTCCCATCGTCCTGACAGGGAGGTATTGACCTAACTGCAGACCGCCTGAGAGAATTTAAGTCACCTGTGTCCATAACTATTCTTTCATCCAAACATCTGACTTCAAAACACAGGTGCCACACACTGTGCTAGGAGACAGAGAATTTAGCAGTGAACAAAACAGACTCAGCTTCTGCTTTCTCCTGGGGGAGAAAGGCACAGAGCAAATAGGTAGTTAAGAATTACGTTAAATGCCAGGAGAAAAAAGTCACCTCTCAGCTGGGGTAATGGGGGATTCAACACAACTCTGTTGCCAAGGCCCTGCTTTTTAATTATAGACTCATAAACAGTGCAGAGAGGTGTTATACATCCATCACCCAATTTATCTAATTAGTGGCACCTTATGTAACTACAGTACTTTATCACAACCAGGAAACCAAAATGAGCGCAATACACTTCACATAGATTTCACCCATTTTTACGTGTACTACTAGTATTATTATTAATTTAATTTTTTTTTTTTTTGAGATAGAATCTCGCTCTGTCACCCAGGCTGGAGTGTAGTGGCGTCATCTTGGCTCACCACAACCTGCCTTCCAGGTTCAAGCAATTTTCATGTGTCAGCCTTCTGAGTAGCTTAAATTACACGTGTGTGCCAACACGCCCAGTTGATTTTTGTATTTTTAGTAGAGATGGGGTTTCACCATGTTGCCCAGGCTGGTCTCAAACTCCTGGCCTCAAGTGATCCATCCGCCTCGGCCTCCCAAAGTGCTGAGATTACGGGCGTGAGCCACTGCACCCAGCCACTGCACCACTATTATTTTTTGTGGTATATTTTTGTGTATAATTCTATGCAAGGTCCCTGCTTTTTACTACTATATTACATAATCCCAAATTGAACCACCTCTAGCATGTACCCAAAGTGGCCCTGAAAGCAGTAACATTTAGGGACTGTTCTCTACCCTCCCTGAGGAATTTCCATTTGCTCTTGAACCAGGTCATATGAGGAAAAGGTGTGTACCTTGATCACCTTCGCTGGGGCCTCTCAGACTCTGCATTAAACTGCTCATCAAAGTCAGGACTTCAGTTTTCCCCCTTACAAGGAAAGCCACATGAATCCTGCGTCTGCATTTCTCCCAATTTTCTTGAGAACAAGACCGAGGACACCACTCAAAATTCCTAATATAATCGCCCACATGAGAGAACTCTCAAAATAGAACCAGGAAAAAACAAAAACAAAAACCTTTCCCTCAAACAACTGACAGGCTTCTTCCTTTCTTGTAAGAAGAACTGTAAAGCCATTCATTTATACAGTAAAATATTTATTGAGTTCCTCCTGGCTTCCAGGTACTGGAGTACAAAGATGAACAGACACAGTTCATGCCCTCTGTGAGCTGTGATCACAGGTCGGTGCTGGAGACAGGCACCAATCACCTAGAATGTCTACTCAAAGTCCTATGTCCACTTTTAAATGATACTATATAGTTGGCTACTCGGATTTTTCAATAGATAACCCAATGTGATGACTAAAGGGGAAAAATTATGAGATATAATGCAAAGGCTGGTAGAAGGTGAGGACAAGGTGAGGCAGCCCCACTCCGCTTCCCTGGGCACTGGGCTGGCAGAGGGCATCCAGCTGCATGTGATTCCCCTCGCAGATCCCGACTTAACTCTCAAGACTCCCTCACTGCTTCCTCCTGTTCTTTCAGGCCAGGTTTCTTGTTTTCCACTCTTGTTTTGTTAAATCTAAGTGTATATATTTTTTTGTTATTGTTGTTTATTTTTGAGACGGAGTCTCGCTCTGTTGCCCAGGCTGGAGTGCAGTGGCACAATCTCTGCTCACTGAAACCTCTGCCTCCCGGGCTCAAATGATTCTCATGCCTCAGCCTCCCAAGTAGCTGGGACTACAGGCATGTGCCACCACACCCAGCTGATTTTTTGTACTTTTAGTAGAGACAGGGTTTCACCATGTTGGCCAGGCTGGTCTCGAACTCCTGACCTCAGGTGATCCGCCCACCTCGGCTCCCCCAAAGTGCTGGAATTACAGGCGTGAGGCACTGTGCCCAGCCCTAAGTGTATATTTGTGTGTGGGTTTATGTATACTCATAAAGCTATTTCAAATCCTTTTTGGAAAGAAGTGGGCTATAAATATTTACAAATGGAGTTTCAGAAAAGATACCACAGTCATCTGAACACACCTAGAGCACTGTTTTCTGGCCATAAACTACGAGCACATCTGAGTGCCTGCCTGGATTGCCTCATTTCTTGCTTATTCCTCCTCGGGGCCTTCCTGACATCTTAGTTCTCCAAGTGTGGAGGGTGGGACAGAGGGGAGGGGATGTATGTGTGCATGTAAAAAACAAGTTGTTTTTTGTGTCAAGATAAATCCTGAAAGGCAGACACAGTAAACATCCTGCTATGTAGGAGAGACCCATATGACGGTCAACTGCCCGGCCTGAAATGCCTAGACGTGTCCCGGGATCAATGGCACCTCAGTAAACTGTCGCCATCCTGTTCCGCAGGCTCCAGCTCATGCATGGGGAAGGAAGCTAACTCCCGGGGGACGTGCTGGTCACATTACATGCGCCTGCGATGTGAGCTCCCCGACTGCAGCACAGAAGCCAGATAGCAAGCGCTCAGTCTGAAGAGAAGAAACTCAAATGACTCTTCCCCCAATTGGAGCCAATTCACAAAGTTTTGCTGTATGACACGTTATAACATGATAAAACGGACTATCCCAAGGTGGAAAAGACAGAGAAATGTAAATACAGTAACAACAGTAATAGCAGGGACAAGATGACCACATGCTTCCCAAGGCTAAAGCAGGGATTCTCAACTTTTTTCATTATCATGCTCCCCCTAAGCATTTATAAACATTTCCTCCCCCTGTATGAAAAACTATTTTTCTTTCAACATTTATTTAGTGCGTGTTATGTGCAATTTAAGTACTAGGGATACAGCAATGAAAAATACAGTTTCTACTCTCACATAACTCATGTTCTAGTGGAAGCATCAGACCAAAAAAACAGTACATACATCAGATGGTAACAAATGCTATGGAAAAATACTAGGCAGGCTAAGGAGATAAGGGTTAACTTATTACACAGAATGTTCAGGGAAAGGAGGTGCTGAAATAAGACCTGGAGAAAGTGGGTTCTAGGCAGGGAGAAGAGAAAATACAAACACCTAGAGCTGGAGCATGCTTGCTGTGTCACAAAAGCAGCAAGGGGGCCAGAGCAGCTCACCCAGGAGTGGAGCGCAGGATATAAGGTCAGAGAGGTAAGGGAGGAACCCATGGGGTCTTGCAGACTGAAACTGAACAGACTGGCTCTCTCACTCCAAATGCAATGGGAAGTGGAATATCATGACACATCTTACCAGGATATCTCTGGCTGTTGTGCTGAGAGCAGACCGGTGTAGGGGGTCGGTTATAGGCAGGGAAATCAGCTAAGAGGCAATATAAAAATAATACAAGAGAGGATGTTAGTTTGGCTGAGGGTGATAATACTGCAGGTGGTAAGAATTGATAACATTCTGGGTATATATTTTTTTAATTTTTTTCTAATATCGCCAAATCACCATTCTCATAGCTAAAAATAATTAATGATAATATCCAATATCCAGTCAATATTCAAATAACCCTGATCATCTCATAATTATTTTATGGTTGCTTGGATCAATATCCAAATATGGTACATATATTGCAACTGACTTTTATCTCATAAATCTCTTTTAATCTATAGGCATCTCCTCTATTCCTTTTTCTTTAAAATTTATTTTTTGAAAAAACTGGGTCATTTGTCCCGTACACACAATCTAGATTTTGCTGACTGTGTCCTCATGGGTTCTTTTAATATGTTTCTCTGTTCTCTGTATTAACCCAAAACTGATACTTAGCCTGAGTTGCCTATGAGACATATCAGAAGAGATGGTGAGTGGGCAGATACAAATCTGGGATCCAGGGGAGAAGTCTAGGCTGGGGCTAGAAATGAGGACCTATAGAGAGAGTTGAAAGCCATGATTCTGAGGGAATGAGTGTAGACGGAAAAGAGGAATGTTCTAAGGCCTGAGCCCTGGCACTCTTGTATTTACAGTTGGGGAGATAAGGAGGCACCAGGAAAGAAGATGAGGTACACATCCAGTGAGATAAGAAAAAAAAATTAGGACAGTGACCTTTGAAGCCAAGAAAATAAGATATTTAAAGGATTGAGGGGAGGGGTCAACTGTGTCAATGTGGCCTTCAGGCTCAGTATGATAAGCACTGAAAGTTGACCATTTGGCTTGGCAAAACAGACGTCACTGGTGCCCTTGGTAAGAGCTGTTTGGGTAGACTAGTGACAAGGCTGATTGGAGAGGGTTCAGTCAGGAGCAGGTGGGATGAGAGGAATTAGGAAATAAAGACAACTCATTCAAGAAGTTTTGCTGCAAGGTGGAGCAGAGAAAAAAGGTGACAACTGTTGAAGAATGAGGGACATATCTTCTGGAGGGAAGATATGTTACAGTTTTCAAGATGGCATTCATCACAGCATATTATCTCCAGGAAATTTTAACATCTCAGATAAACTGTCTATTTAGATACTACATGTATATATGTACTTTATTCATTTAAAAAAGGTAAGATTTCCCTCCCTACCCCCAAGAACCAGTTTTTGCTCCCTTGCAAGCAACACCACCCCTTGATGAGAATGCATGTGCTAAATTAATCAAAACGTTCCAAGAGAAGAGACGAATCCAGCTGCCTGACTCTTCCAACTTTTATTAATGTAAAGAGTTCTTTTGATGGGTAAGAGAAATATTTTCAGGTACAGTGTAGCCACTAGAGAGGTGCCAGGGAAAACAGAGCTTACAGCTAAACATGTGCTCCTACACAAAATCCTGCCATGGTGGGCCTACAAGGTATCTCTACATACTAATAGTCATACACAGGAGCATCAAACCTCAGGATTGTCCCCATGCAGAGATGGGGCTTGGGGAGTTCCAGGATAACTCCCTTCAGAAATAGTTGGGTGCACTGAATTAACAGTCTACCATTTAGAGTCAGGAAGATCTGGTGTGAATCCCACTTCTGCCGCCTCCTGGTTGTGACCTTAGGTCACGATAATCTCTCTCACCCTCAGCTGCTTTATTTATAAAATGAGACAAAGGTAGTTCCAAATATAATTGTCACTTTTTTTTTTTTTTTTTTTTTTTTGCCTATTTTCTCTCGTGTTGGAGACCTACCTTTCCTTCAATGTAATTTGAGTAGGGTCGACTCCACCCCAGGTACCAGAAGTAGACAGATGACCCAGGTATGGCCAGACTACTTATGTTACCAGTGACGGGTCTTGACTGTGAGTCATCCAGGTTCTTGGCACTTTGAGCAAAGAATTGGACAAAACACACAAATGAAGCAATGAAACTACAGATTTTTGAAACGAAAGCACACTCCACAGTATGGGAGTGGGCTCAAGCATGCTGGTTATGGAATTTTCTGGGGTTTAAATACCTTCTAGAGGTTTCTCACTGGTTACTTGGTTACAGCCTATGTAAATAAAGAAGTGGCCCATGACCAGTCTGATTGATTGCAGAAGGCAACCAATCAAAGGCTGAAGTGAAGTTACAAAGTTATACCCCTATGCAAATAAAGACTAGGCCCACGACCAGTCTGATTGGTTGCAGAAGGGGACCAATCAGAGTACTTTCCATTTTCCATCTGCCACGAAGAAAAAGTGGGTGGGGGTGCAAAGGAAGTAGCTTATGATCCTTTTGTTACTTGGGCATGGAAAGTTGGGGTTTTCCTTTTAATTCCATTCTAGGAAATCAGCGTGAATCAGCCTTAGGTTCCCTGCTTCCAGACCCTATTCTCCCCCCTCACTTATGCCTGGCCACATTGACTGGACTGAGAATGGCCATGTGACCTGAGCTAGGTCAATCAGGGACTTCCTCCTGATTGGTGGCCACTACGAAGTGCTTGGTTACCACTATGAAGCAATAGATTTATGGTTTCTTAAAAAAATCACTAATTATATTGACAGTGGGGTGTTAAAGTCTCCCATTATTAATAACAGACACTTCTCAAAAGAAGACATTTATGCAGCCAAAAAACACATGAAAAAATGCTCATCATCACTGGCCATCAGAGAAATGCAAATCAAAACCACTATGAGATATCATCTCACACCAGTTAGAATGGCAATCATTAAAAAGTCAGGAAGCAACAGGTGCTGGAGAGGATGTGGAGAAATAGGAACACTTTTACACTGTTGGTGGGACTGTAAACTAGTTCAACCATTGTGGAAGTCAGTGTGGCGATTCCTCAGGGATCTAGAACTAGAAATACCATTTGACCCAGCCATCCCATTACTGGGTATATACCCAAATGACTATAAATCATGCTGCTATAAAGACACATGCACACGTATGTTTATTGCGGCATTATTCACAATAGCAAAGACTTGGAACCAACCCAAATGTCCAACAATGATAGACTGGATTAAGAAAATGTGGCACATATACACCATGGAATACTATGCAGCCAGAAAAAATGATGAGTTCATGTCCTTTGTAGGGACATGGATGAAATTGGAAACCATCATTCTCAGTAAACTATCGCAAGAACAAAAAACCAAACACCGCATATTCTCACTCATAGGTGGGAATTGAACAATGAGATCACAAGGACACAGGAAGGGGAATATCACACTCTGGGGACGGTGGTGGGGTCGGGGGAGGGGGGAGGGATAGCAGTGGGAGATATACCTAATGATAGATGACACGTTGGTGGGTGCAGCGCACCAGCATGGCACATGTATACATATGTAACTAACCTGCACAATGTGCACATGTACCCTAAAACTTAAAGTATAATAAAAAAAAAATTAAAAAAAAAAATCACTAATTATAAGAAAAATACAGAACCGTGGGTGGCATCTTTGTCATCATCATGCAGAGAAACTCTTTCTAAGAATGAAGCTTATTCAGAAGAAAGCACAGCCAAGACACTGAGAAGAGAGACTGAGTCCTGCTATCTATTGAACTCCTGGTTCCAGCCATACCTGAGGCTTGACACATAGCTCAGCTTGTCAGATACACGAGCCAGTAAGTGCTCCTCCTTTTTGTTGTCATGGAAGCCAATTTAGCCACGTTTCCATCATCTACAGCTGTACAGGCTGTGACTAATACACTATTTCACTGTTAGATATTAAAAATGCTTTTAAGTTCTAGGAAGTGTCTTTCACTGAATGAACACTCAGTAAACAGGACTGACCCTTAGTCTGTTATGTACCCAGTGCTGTTCTGGGCATCAAGTATATAAAGGTAAGTAAACTAAAAGGTATTATGTAAAATTGGCAGCTTATATATTAGGATGGTTAACAGAGATAACTCAATTTGGGAAGGGAAGCATGGGGCTGCGTTATCCTGAGAAGGAGTTTGCCAGGCCTGAAAGGGAGGCCAGGTAATTCTAAACAGAGGCGGCAACAAATATAAAAGCATGGAGGTGTGTTGAAAGAGATGATCAGGGCACAGCTGAGAATGCAAACTCAAATGCCTACAGGGACCAAGCAGGTAACATAAATGAGTGAAACACATCAGTTACAAGAAAATAAATGACAATGACTCTTGACCTCAATTACGGGAAGACTGGAGAGAGCTGAGAATAGCAGCAAATAGGTGACTGCAAGGCCCCTCACAGCACAGAATATAGTTTGTCCATACCATCCGCTCTCACATTCTGCCTTTAGTAAGAAGTGGGTTTTAACTATTCACATGGCCACGTAGATGAGGACCACATTTCCCCAGCTTCATCTGCAGTCAGATGTGGCCATGCTGTACATTCTGACCAACAGGATGCCAGAGGAAATGATACATGTAACTTCCAGGTTGGATCTTGAAGAAAGGGATCCTCTACTTCTCCATCCTACTGAAGGCTGGAGCAGACAGGATGGTGGGAAATGAAGCAGTATCTTGGATCAGAAGATGGAACCCACTGCAGAGAACAGGGAAAACCGACAGAAGTGGGCAGCGTCTCTGACACCACGGAGCTATCATGTCTGCCCTGGGCAATTAGTGCTTTGACTGTCATGACAGAAAAACAAGTTTCCACCTTGTTTAAGCCACTTGTTTTGGTCTTTGTCACAACAGTCAAACATGCATCTTGACCAACACTCTTACATGCAGAGGGCAGCCACTTCTTGGCTCCAAAGGATTACTGCCATGAGGAACTATGGGCTCAGTATTGTGCATTTGTCCAATTTTCCAAGAGATCATGGAAATCTAGATTTTCTTATAATATCTGATATTTACTTACTGGCAACTAATTCTGATTTTCAACACTGTATAGGCCAACACAACTGGTCTGGGGCCCAGTATCATTTCTGGTCCACAGGCCTCTCCAAAATAAAGACTTCATTGGAACAAGTAACATAACTTCGGGTAATAGAGTCCTTTGAGTTTGGACAACACAACACAGTTCCCGCAAACTCTCATCACCCTCAAATGCAGTCCCACTCCCTGGAGAATAAGCCAGATGTGGTGGCACACACCTGTAATACCAGCTACTTGGGAGGTTGAGGCAGGAGGATCACCTGAGCCCAGGAGTTTGAGTCTAGCCTGGGTAACATAGTGAGACTCTGTCTCAACAAAAAAAGAAAAAAAAAAGGAAAATAAAAAAAGAAAGAAAGACAAAGGGAGAATCCTTGGAAAATGGACAGACAAAACCTCTAAGTCAGCAGCAGCAACCACCGTGGGGCCTTACTTGCCCACAGCCTCACCATGTAGGGCCTCCCTGGACACCAGTAGCCTTTATCAGGATTAAACTCTGTTCCTTTCTCTTCTCCCTTTCTCTCCTTTTCAAGACTAAATAATTTCTCAGGGCTGGGAGTGTTGGAGCATACCTGTAGCTCCAGCTACGTGGAAGGCTGAGGTGGGAGGATTACTTGAGCCCAGGAGCTCAAGACTGGCCTGGGCAACATGGTGAGACCCCAATCTCTACAAAAAAAATAGTAACTTAGCCGGGGATGGTGGGATGTGCCTGTAGTCCCAGCTTATTGGGAGGTCGAGGCAAGAGGATTCCTTGAGCCAAGTTCAAGGATGCAGGGCACTATGATTGTGCCGCTGCACTCTAGCCTGGGTGACAGAGTGAGACCCCATCTCAAAAAAAAAAAATTTCTCAGGAGACAGGGCTAGATATTAGAATCATGAAGCAAGAAAACAGCAGGTGAAAAAGGCATCCCTCAGTTTGATATGGAAGGTCTGGCAGCCTCACCAAACAAGTTCATCCAGACAAACAGCTTCATGAAGGAGGAGTGGGAGGTGGCATAAAGGAAGACACAGAAGGTGCAACATCCAAAGCTCATTTTGTGGGAACCATTGACGACACGGGTTACAAGAAAACAACCAAAGTGGCATCAGCATTGCCTGGGGCCCCAGCTAATACTCCCCTCCAAAGAACAAAGATCTTGTGTGGCGCAATTTCAGCTGAGCCCAGCTTTCTCCTCTGGATTCAGATAAAGCACCCATGCAAAGGTCCATGGCTAGCCACAGGCAATTACTCTAATTGCCAGCCAAGCAGTGCCAGCATGAAGGTATTTCTCATACAAGTTCAAACCACTTGCTATCCTCTCAAGTCAAAATAAACATCAAGGAAATATCCACGGCATTGCTGTTGCACAATGAGAATAAAAACAATCATGTTACAGGAAAAGAAGTTCCTGTTTATAAGGCCCACTGCCCTCTAGGGAGCTGCTTCTGGTTTGGTGAGAAGTCTTTTCTCTGCACCCCCTCACTGAATTAAGATACACAGTTTGGAGGTAGGAGCTGGAGAGAGTTTCCCTGAACAACAGAAGGAGAAGGATTTGGAGAGGAGGAGGACGAGTAACCCAGGAGGGAAGGGAGACAAAACAGAAGGGGAGAAGAATGGAATAGGAGGTCGGTCTGCATTCTCTAAAAGCCTCTGTACCCGTCATTGGTCAACATCTAAAACCAACCCACCACTGGGACCAGTGAGCTTCTTACGGACACCAGAGATGGATGACAGCAAAGGATAAAGGAGGTGGGTGAGATGGCAGAAAAGGGCAAGAGAATACGGGCTCTTTGGGAATTAACTGAAGTACATACGAGTGGTAACTCACACCTGTGATCCCAGACTTTGGGAGGCTGAGTCAGGCAGATCACTTGAGGCCAGGAGTTTAAGACCAGCCTGGCCAACATAGCGAAACCCCATCTCTCCTAAAAATACAAAAATTAGCCAGGCATGGTGATGCACACCTGTAATCCCAGTTACTCTGGAGGCTGAGGCGTGAGAATTGCTTGAGCCCTGGAGGTGGAGGTTGCAGTGAGCTGTGGTCACACTATCACACTCCAGCCTGGGTGACACAGCAAGACTCTGTCCCCAAAAAAAAAAAAAAAAAAAAAAGGAAGTACATGGGGGGCCTTTGTGCTCCTCACACAGATTCTGAGCGATTTCACCAATACCTTTGAGGGACAGAGCGGCCCCCATGCCATTTGGATACTATCATCTCCCCCAGAACAAGGGTTATGAGTTCTTACAATGCGCCAGTGCTAAACAATTTACATGAATTTGCATTTGATTCTTTCAATAATCTTAAGAAGTGGGTATTATTAGACATATTTTACAGATGCTTTAACATGTTAAATATTTCACTTAAGATCACAGAGCTAATAGCAGCAGGGCCAAGACTCAAAGCCAAGTCTGTTTGTCTCCAAATTCTGTGTCATTCTGCTCAGAAAAAGATCACATTTAGCTTGCAGAAAAGCAGCACTTTGGGAGGCCAAGATGGGTAGACTGCTTGAGCTCAGGAGTTCGAGACCAGCCTGAGTAACATGGCAAAACCCTGTCTCCACAAAAAAAAAAACCAAACACCCAAGTTAGCCAGGTGTGGTGGTGCACACCTGTAGTCCCAGCTACTTGGGAGGCTGAGGTGGGAGGACTGCTTGAGCCTTGGGAGGTTGAGGCTGCAGTGAGCCATGATTGCACCACTGCATTCAAGCCAGGGCGACTGAGTGAGACTCTGTCTTTTAAAAAAGAAAAGTGATTATAGTTTTATTCACTAATCACAATATACACTGACATCCCAAGCCCCTTGATGTATGGTACTAAGAAGGACAAACATCACTTCAGTGGGATTTCTGCCAACAACACATAACCTGAATCTACTCATGAGGAAACACCACACACACATAATTTGCAGAGCATTCCCCAAACAGCTCACTTGGATTCTTCAAAATTGTCAAGGTCATGAAAGACAAAGACTGAGTATTCTAGACTAAAGGACACTAAAGAAGACATGATGACTATATGTAATATGTGATCTTGTGCTCTATCTTGGACAGGGAAAAAGAATATAAGGAACATTATTAGGACAATTTGGTAAAATTTGAGAATGATAGTTACACTGTGGTTATGCAGGAGAATACTTTTGTCCTTTAGAGATGCATGCTGGAATAGCTAGGGTATTTAGGAGTGTGATGTCTGCAACCTACTCTCAATTGGTTCCATAAAATATGAAGCAGACAGACAGGAAGGAGGAAGGATGAAGCAGGATATTTACATTTCAGAAATTACAGTGAAAGTATGAGGAAGGTCACTATACTGTCCTTACAACTTTTCTTAGCGCCTTGAACTTTTTTAAAATAAAAAATTAAAGGAATTCTGACTTCAATTTCTAGCACTGTGACAGACTGGGTATCCTCCCAAATGAAACAAGTATGGGTAAAACATGAAATTTTTTTTTTTTTTTGAGACAGGGTCACCCAGGCTGGAGTGCAGTGGCATGATCACTACTCACTGCAGCCTTAACCTCCTGGGCTCAAGCAATCCTCCCACTTCAGCTTCCCAAGTAGCTGGGACCGCAGGCATGCACCACCATGCCTGGCTAATTTCTGTAATTTTTGTAGAGACCGGGTCTTGCCATGTTGCCCAGGCTGGTCTCAAACTCCTAGGCTCAAGTGATTCGCCTATCTCAGCCTCCCAAAGTGTTGGGATTACAGATGTGAGCCACCGTGCCCAGCTAAAACATTTTTAAACATGTTGCTGAGCTGGCATGAAAAGAAAATATCCCAAGAAGCCAAAAATTAAATAAAACAAGAATCCTGGGAGTCATCAAATGCCAAAACCAGTTTCCACCCTGAGAGTTTGTTAAACCTTGAGGACTCTTAAGCTTCCAGCTTTTTTTAAAACCACTTCAAGATATAATGCATACATCATAAAATTCACCGTTTAAAGTGTAGAATTCAGTAATTTTTAGACTATTCAAAGAGGTATGTAACTACCACAACTATCCGATTTCAGAACATTTTTATCATCCCCAAAAGAAACTCCATATCTATCAGCAATAGCTCTCCATTCCTCCCTCTCCCAGCACGCACTAACGCACTCACCTACTTGCTGTTTCTATGCATGTGCCTATTCTGGACATTTCCCATAAATGGAATTTGACAATACATGGCCTTTTGTGTCTGACTTCTTTCACTTAGCATAATGTTTTCAAGGGTCATCAATACTATAGCATGTATCAATATTTTATTTCTTTTTATTGCCAAATAAGTTTCCATTGTACGGGTATTCTGTTTATCCATTCATTCATCAGTTAGTGGGCAATTGACTTGTTTCTACCTTTTGCCTATTATGAATAATGCTGCGATGAACATTTATGACCTTGAGAAAGCATGTGTGTGTATGTATATATATATGTGTGTGTGTGTGTGTACACATACATACACATATCTTGGGATACTTTCTTTTCATGCCAGCTCAGCAACATGTTTAAAAATGTTTTAGCTGGGCACAGTGGCTCACATCTGTAATCCCAGCACTTTAGGAGGCTGAGATGGGCAAATCACTTGAGCCCAGGAGTTTGAGACCAGCCTGGGCACGTACACACACACACACACACACACACACACACACATTTGTTCCAATTTCTCCACACCCTTGCCAATACTTGTTACTGTCTTTTTAATTATACCCATCCTTATAGGTGTGAAATGGTATCTCATTGTGATTTTGGATTGTATTTCTCTAAAGACTAATGATGTTTAGCAACTTTTCATGTGCTTATTGGCTGTCTGTATATCTTTGGAGAAATATCTACCCAAATCCTTTGTCAAGCTTTCATCTAGGTACAGGGTGGTGGGAGACAAAGCAAAGGGCCCATTTAAGGTGAAAGTCTAACAGGAAACCACCCATGTAAAGCTGGGATCTTAAAAGGCCATCCCTTCAATGTGAGGATGGACAAGAAATTAACTCAGTGTCCAGAGGGAGCAGCAAATTAACTTGAGTATCTCAATCTTGGCAATGAGTGGAGGGTGAAAAGATGTCCCTTTCAATTTATAGCCCCACATATTCTCTCATTTGGGTTGGGTCTGAGTCTATGTAGGCCATAAAGAACACAGTAGATCTGGAAAAGTTCAAGAATTTCTAGAAATGTAAGAGAATTGAAATTCAAAATCCAATGATAGATTAAACAGCTAAAAAAAAGAATTAATAAAATTGAAGTTATATAAATAACTAAAATGCAGCCCAGGAACCCAGAGTTGAAAATTATCAGTTTAAAAGACATGGAAGATAGAGTCTAAGGATCTAACACACATTTAATTAGAGTTTTAGAAGTAGATGAAATAAAATGGGAAAGACAATATTCCCAATGTTTTATGAGATAATGGCTGATAATTTTCCATTATTTGTTGAAAGAGTAGTAATTAGATCTAAGAATCTCAACCAAACCCAAGGATAAATAAAAAGAAAACCTTAGCTAGACATATCATAATGAAGTTGCTGTATACAAAGACAAAAAATTTTTAAAGCTAAAGTAGCTAAATTTAAAAAAAGAATGGCAATCTGCAATTTTGACTGCCAACATCGACAACAACCATGGAGACCAGTAAGATAGAAGAATGATACTTTCAAATGCACTGAGACAAAAATAACTGCCAAGTTAGAATTCTATAACTTGTATAATTATCTTTCAAGAATGAGGAAGAAAAAGATTTCCTGACAAAAATAGGTGTGAGGTGTAAGAAGGAACAATGAGCAAAGAAAGACATCAGGCAACTATGTGGGTTGTGAGTAAAGCTAAATTGTTGACTATGTAAAACAACTAGAATGCCTAATTTGTAGGTGGAAAAGTAGCTAACACTAAACAACAAGAAAATACGATAAATTATGAAGAATTTTACCTGATTTAGAGTTCTGAGGTCTTTGTATTTGTTTAGGAGCAGGATAAAAATACTGTTTAATTTTAGCCTGTATAATAGACTAAGTATGCATGTTAAGACAGCTAAAGATCTACTAAAAGAATACAGCATAGCTTCCAAACAAACAGAAGAAAGAGAATGAGAAACACAAACAGGAAAATTTAATCAGTTCAAAAGATGGCAATACAGGAGGCCATCAACCTAGAAGGGGCAAATTATGGTACGTTCATAAAATAAAATATGGTAAAACTTTAAAAGTTATGGAACAACAGCTACCTATGTCAATATGGAAAAAACACTCAATGATGAATGGAGGAAGCAAGTCAGAGAAGGAAATCCCATGTGATTCCATATTCTGTAAGGTGCAAAATGAGACAAGGTAAACAATATATGGAAAATTTTGAACTTTATAGAATACAGAACGCAGCTGGGCGTGGTGGCTGATGCCTATAATCCCAGCACTTTGGGAGGCCTAGGTAGGCGGGTCACCCGAGGTCGATGAGACCAGCCTGACCAACATGGAGAAATCCCATCTCCACTACAAATACAAAATTACCGGGCGTGGTGGCGCATGCCTATAATCCCAGCTACTCAGGAGGCTGAGGCAGGAGAATCGCTTGAAGCCAGGAGGCAGAGGTTGTGGTGAGCTGAGATCACGCCATTGCACTCCAGCCTGGGCAACAAGAGCGAAACTCTGTCTCAAACAAACAAATAAAAAAACAGGATAGTGGTTACCTCTGCAGAAGAGGGCAGAGGCTACAAGGGGCCTCTGAAATATGGTAATGTTCTATTTCTTTTTTACTTTTTTTTCTGTATGATTTTATTTACATAAAAATAAAATTAGGCAAAATCAATCATTTTAGCAGAAGTTAGGATAGTAGTAGTGACCTTTGGGGAATTTGGAAAAATAATGTCTAAGAGAGCATTTAAGGATGGTTTCTGGGGTGTGGGTAATGTTATTATTATTTTTTTATTATTATACTTTAAGTTTGAGGGTACATGTGCACAACGTGCAGGTTAGTTACATATGTATACATGTGCCATGTTGGTGTGCTGCACCCATTAACTCGTCATTTACATCAGGTATATCTCCTAATGCTATCCCTCCCCGCTCCCCCCACCCCACAACAGGCCCCGGGTTGTGACGTTCCCCTTCCTGTGTCCAAGTGTTCTCACTGTTCAATTCCCACCTATGAGTGAGAACATGTGGTGTTTGGTTTTTTGTCCTTGCGATAGTTTACTGAGAATGATGATTTACAGCTTCATCCATGTCCCTACAAAGGACATGAACTCATCATTTTTTATGGCTGCATAGTATTCCACGGTGTCTATGTGCCACATTTTCTTAATCCAGTCTATCATTGTTGGACATTTGGGTTGGTTCCAAGTCTTTGCTATTGTGAATAGTGCTGCAATAAACATATGTGTGCATGTGTCTTTATAGTAGCATGATTTATACTCCTTTGGGTATATACCCAGTAATGGGATGGCTGGGTCAAATGGTATTTCCAGTTCTAGATCCCTGAGGAATCACCACACTGACTTTCACAATGGTGGTAATGTTCTATTTCTTAACCTCAGTGGCTGCATATGGTTACTTGTTCGAACATGATTTAAATTCTAGGCCAGGCACAGTGGCTTACATCTATAATATCAGAGCTTTGGGAGGCCAAGGCAGGAGGATTGCTTGAGGCCCAGAGTTTGAGACCAGCCTGGGCAACACAGTGAGACCCTATCTCCACACAAAAAAATTTTTTTTAATTAGCCAGGTAGCTTGGTACAATGGCTCATGCCTGTAATCCCAACACTTTGAGAGGCTGAGGCAGGAGGATTACTTGAGTATAGGAGTTTGAGACCAGCCTGGGTAACATAGTGAGACCCCCGTCTCAAAAAAAAAAAATTAGCCAGGCATGGTAGTGCAAGCCTGTAGTCCTAGCTACTCAGGAGGCTGAGACAGGAGGATTGCTTGAGTCCAGGAGTTCAAGTTTAGAGTGAACTATGATCATGCCACTGCACTCCAGCCTGGGCAACACAGCAAGATCCCATCTCTTAAAACAAATAAATTGTATATGGGTTTTAGTACTGTATGATATTTTACACAAAAAAGTTTTAGTGAAACAAAGAAGGAATCTTAGTTCTAGGGGCATGCAGAAGACATCTCCCCACTTCTCAGCTATGTAAATCTGCAACCTAACTCTTGTGGACTGACCTTTTTCATACCTTGGGAGATTGGAAACAAAAGCGTCAGCTCCCACCTGAGTTCTTGTTCCACAGGCTAGCCGCTAAACTAGCCTGGTAGTAACCAGTGACCTAGTTAACTGAGCTTTGGTCTTCCACCTTTCACAAAAGCAACCTAATCACATAAAAGGAAGTTTAAAAATCTGACATTAGCTTCCCAGGGAGGTATGAACATTAGTTCATGATGTGAAAAGTGAATGAAAATGAAAACTGCTCAATATTCATGTCACAATTAAAAGGAATCTTAGACATAATTTCCAAAGTATAAGCTAGTAGAATATTAAATATACCTGTTACAGATCTCTTCAAACATCTCTCTCCCTGAGGAAATTCCCTGAGAACAGAAGAAGGTCAGAGCTTCAAAGCACACAGACATTTCTCCCCTCTAAAACTAAAGTTGAAGGGAGATTAGCTGACAAGTCCTCAATATTGTTTACTCTGAGACTGCTGTGAACAGTGTCAGCCAACATAACTGCTTTCTGTCTCTAAAGTGACTTATCTGAGAATATCCCTTCAAGCCTGCTCAGTGTTTAGTGCTTCAAACAAAGTGATATTTGATGCTTTTCAATTATTGATTGATGTAGATTTCTTGTTGCATCCTTTAAAACCTAAATTTAAAGATTTCTGTCCTACCTGAAGCCCTTTCTGGAAACAAGGCAGGTTATAAACACACAATAAAGATCCCTATTTTCCCCCCAGAAAGCGGCACCTGTTATAATTTTGAATAGATGAAGGAAAGGGCAAGGCAAGATAAGGAATGAGATCAGAGCTTTGCATGTTTTCCAACACAGGTCATTAAACTCAGACTTCTGGAAAACTGACCACCCCATAGCTTTTTAGGACTTCTTTCAATAAAGTCTATAGGAACATAAATCAATGGAATCTTCCCACTCTACCTACAAAGCTGGAATCACTCATGATGGTGTCTAGATCATTCTACTAATCATTTACATAGACTAAATGAACTCGTCATGTTCAAAGTCCAAATAAGCAGGTCTCTGTATTTTTTTTTTTTTATACTTTAAGTTCTAGGGTACATGTGCACAACGTGCAAGTTTGTTACATATGTATACATGTGCCATGTTGGTGTGCTGCATCCATTAACTCATCATTTACATTGGGTATGTCCCCTAATGCTATCCCTCCCTGCTCCCCCTACCCCACAACAGGCCCCGGGGTGTGATGTTCCCCCTCCTGTGTCCAAGTGTTCTCACTGTTCAATTCCCACTTATGAGTGAGAACATGCGGTGTTTGGTTTTTTGTCCTTGCGAGGGTTTGCTGAGAATGATGGTTTCCAGCTTCATCCATGTCCCTGCAAAGGACATGAACTCATCATTTTTTATAGCTGCATAGTATTCCATGGTGTATATGTGCCACATTTTCTTAATCCAGTCTATCATTGTTGGACATTTGGCTTGGTTCGAAGTCTTTGCTACTGTGAATAGTGCTGCAATAAACATACGTGTGCATGTGTCTTTATAGCAGCATGATTTATAATCCTTTGGGTATATACCCAGTAATGGGATGGCTGGGTCAAATGGTATTTCTAGTTCTAGATCCTTGAGGAATCGCCACATTGACTTCTGCAATGGTTGAACTAGTTTACAGTCCCACCAACAGTGTAAAAGTGTTCCTATTTCTCCACATCCTCTCCAGCACCTGTTGTTTCCTGACTTTAATGATCGCCATTCTAACTGGTGTGAGATGGTATCTCATTATGGTTTTGATTTGCATTTCTCTGATGGCCAGTGATGATGAGCATTTTTTCATGTCTTTTGACTGCATAAATGTCTTCTTTTGAGAAGTGTCTGTTCATATCCTTCGCCCACTTTTTGATGGGGTTGTTTTTTTCTTGTAAATTTGTTTGAGTTCCTTGTAGATTCTGGATATTAGCCCTTTGTTAGGTGAGCAGATTGAAAAAATTTTCTCCCATTTTGTGGGTTGCCTGTTCACTCTGATGGTAGTTTCTTTTGCTGTGCAGAAGCTCTTTAGTTTAATTAGATCCCACTTGTGAATTTTGGCTTTTGTTGCCATTGCTTTTGGTGTTTTAGACATGAAGTCCTTGCCCATGCCTATGTCCTGAATGGTAATGCCTAGGTTTTCTTCTAGGGTTTTTATGGTTTTAGGCCTAACATTTAAGTCTTTAATCCATTTTGAATTAATTTTTGTATAAGGTGTAAGGAAGGGGTCCCGTTTCAGCTTTCTACATATGGCTAGTCAGTTTTCCCAGCACCATTTATTAAATAGGGAATCCTTTCCCCATTTCTTGTTTTTGTCAGGTTTGTCAAAGATCAGATAGTTGTAGATGTGTGGCATTATTTCTGAGGGCTCTGTTCTGTTCCATTGGTCTATATCTCTGTTTTGGTACCAGTATCATGCTGTTTTGGTTACTGTAGCCTTGTAGGATAGCTTGAAGTCAGGTAGTGTGATGCCTCCAGCTTTGTTCTTTTGGCTTAGGATTGACTTGGCGATGCGGGCTCCTTTTTGGTTCCATATGAACTTTAAAGTAGTTTTTTCCAATTCTGTGAAGAAAGTCATTGGTAGCTTGATGGGGATGGCATTGAATCTATAAATTACCTTGGGCAGTATGGCCATTTTCACGATATTGATTCTTCCTATCCATGAGCATGGAATGTTCTTCCATTTGTTTGTATCCTCTTTTATTTTGTTGAGCAGTGGTTTGCAGTTCTCCTTGAAGAGGTCCTCCACATCCCTTGTAAGTTGGATTCCTAGGTATTTTATTCTCTTTGAAGCAATTATGAATGGGAGTTCACTCATGATTTGGCTGTTTGTCTGTTATTGGTGTATAAGAATGCCTGTGATTTTTGCACATTGATTTTGTATCCTGAGACTTTGCTGAAGTTGTTTATCAGCTTAAGGAGATTTTGGGCTGAGATGATGGGGTTTTCTAGATATACAATCATGTCATCTGCAAACAGGGACAATTTGACTTCCTCTTTTCCTAATTGAATACCCTTTATTTCCTTCTCCTGCCTGATTGCCCTGGCCAGAACTTCCAACACTATGTTGAATAGGAGTGGTGAGAGAGGGCATCCCTGTCTCGTGCCAGTTTTCAAAGGGAATGCTTCCAGTTTTTGCCCATGCAGTATGATATTGGCTGGGGTTTGTCATATATAGCTCTTATTATTTTGAGATACGTCCCATCAATACCTAATTTATTGAGAGTTTTTAGCATGAAGGGCTGTTGAATTTTGTCAAAGGCCTTTTCTGCATCTATTGAGATAATCATGTGGTTTTTGTCATTGGTTCTGTTTATATGCAGGATTATGTTTATTGATTTGCATATGTTGAACCAGCCTTGCATCCCAGGGATGAAGCCCACTTGATCATGGTGGATAAGCTTTTTGATGTGTTGCTGGATTCGGTTTGCCAGTATTTTATTGAGGATTTTTGCATTGATATTCATCAGGGATATTGGTCTAAAATTCTCTTTTTTTGTTGTGTCTCTGCCAGGCTTTGGTATCAGGATGATGCTGGCCTCATAAAATGAGTTAGGGAGGATTCCCTCTTTTTCTATTGATTGGAATAGTTTCAGAAGGAATGGTACCAGCTCCTCTTTGTACCTCTGGTAGAATTCGGCTGTGAATCCATCTGGTCCTGGACTTTTTTTGGTTGGTAAGCTATTAATTATTGCCTCAATTTCAGAGCCTGTTATTGGTCTATTCAGAGATTCAACTTCTTCCTGGTTTAGTCTTGGGAGGGTGTATGTGTCCAGGAATTTATCCATTTCTTCTAGATTTTCTAGTTTATTTGCGTAGAGGTGTTTATAGTATTCTCTGATGGTAGTTTGTATTTCTGTGGGATCGGTGGTGATATCCTCTTTATCATTTTTTATTGCGTCTATTTGATTCTTCTCTCTTTTTTTCTTTATTAGTCTTGCTAGCGGTCTATCAATTTTGTTGATCTTTTCAAAAAAACAGCTCCTGGATTCATTGATTTTTTGAAGGGTTTTTTGTGTCTCTATTTCCTTCAGTTCTGCTCTGATCTTAGTTATTTCTTGCCTTCTGCTAGCTTTTGAATGTGTTTGCTCTTGCTTCTCTAGTTCTTTTAATTGTGATGTTAGGGTGTCAATTTTAGATCTTTCCTGCTTTCTCTTGTGGGCATTTAGTGCTATAAATTTCCCTCTACACACTGCTTTAAATGTGTCCCAGAGATTCTGGTATGTTGTCTCTTTGTTCTTGTTGGTTTCAAAGAATATCTTTATTTCTGCCTTCATTCCGTTATGTACCCAGTAGTCATTCAGGAGCAGGTTGTTCAGTTTCCATGTAGTTGAGCGGTTTTGAGTGAGTTTCCTAATTCTGAGTTCTAGTTTGATTGCACTGTGGTCTGAGAGACAGTTTGTTATAATTTCTGTTCTTTTACATTTGCTGAGGAGTGCTTTACTTCCAACTATGTGGTCAATTTTGGAGTAAGTGCGGTGTGGTGCTGAGAAGAATGTATATTCTGTTGATTTGGGGCGGAGAGTTTTGTAGATGTCTATTAGGTCTGCTTGGTGCACAGCTGAGTTCAATTCCTGGATATCCTTGTTAACTTTGTGTCTTGTTGATCTGTCTAATGTTGACATTGGGGTGTTAAAGTCTCCCATTATTATTGTGTGGGTGTCTAAGTCTCTATGTAGGTCTCTAAGGACTTGCTTTATGAATCTGGGTGCTCCTGTATTGGGTGCATATATATTTAGGATAGTCAGCTCTTCTTGTTGAATTGATCCCTTTACCATTATGTAATGGCCTTCTTTGTCTCTTTTGATCTTTGTTGGTTTAAAGTCTGTTTTATCAGAGACTAGGATTGCAACACCTGCCTTTTTTTTGCTTTCCATTTGCTTGGTAGATCTTCCTCCACCCCTTTATTTTGAGCCTATGTGTGTCACTGCATGTGAGATGGGTTTCCTGAATACAGCACACTGATGGGTCTTGACTCTTGATCCAATTTGCCAGTCTGTGTCTTTTAATTGGAGCATTTAGCCCATTTACATTTAAGGTTAATATTGTTATGTGTGAATTTGATCCTGTCATTATGATGTTAACTGGTTATTTTGCTTGTTACTTGATGCAGTTTCTTCCTAGCCTCGATGGTCTTTACAATTTGGCATGTTTTTGCAGTGGCTGGTACGGGTTTCCTTTCCACGTTTAGTGCTTCCTTCAGGAGCTCTTGTAGGGCAGGCCTAGTGGTGACAAAATCGCTCAGCATTTGCTTGTCTGTAAAGGATTTTATTTCTCCTTCACTTACGAAGCTTACTTAGTTGGCTGGACATGAAATTCTGGGTTAAAAATTCTTTTCTTTAAGAATTTTGAATATTGACCCCCACTCTCTTCTGGCTTGTAGAGTTTCTGCTGAGAGAGCAGCTGTTAGTCTGATGGGCTTCCCCTCGTGGGTAACCCGACCTTTCTCTCTGGCTGCCCTTAACATTTTTTCCTTCATTTCAACTTTGGTGAATCTGACAATTATGTGTCTTGGAGTTGCTCTTCTCAAGGAGTATCTTTGTGGAGTTCTCTGTATTTCCTGAATTTGAATGTTGGCCTGCCTTGCTAGATTGGGGAAGTTCTCCTGGATAATATCCTGCAGAGTGTTTTCCAACTTGGTTGCATTCTCCTTGTCACTTTCAGGTACACCAATCAGACATAGATTTGGTCTTTTCACATAGTCCCATATTTCTTGGAGGCTTTGTTCGTTTCTTTTTATTCTTTTTTCTCTAAACTTCTCTTCTCGCTTTATTTCATTCATTTGATCTTCCATCACTGATACCCTTTCTTCCGGTTGATCGAATTGGCTACTGAGGCTTGTGCATTCGTCACGTAGTTCTCGTGCCGTGGTTTTCAGCTCCATGAGGTCCTTTAAGGACTTCTCTGCATTGGTTATTCTAGTTAGCCATTCGTCTAATCTTTTTTCAAGGTTTTTAACTTCCTTACCATGGGTTCGAACTTCCTCCTTTAGCTCGGAGAAGTTTGATTGTCTGAAGCCTTCTTCTCTCAACTCGTCAAAGCCATTCTCGGCCCAGCTTTGTTCTGTTGCTGGTGAGGAGCTGCGTTCCTTTGGAGGAGGAGAGGCGCTCTGATTTTTAGAATTTTCAGTTTTTCTGCTCGTTTTTTTCCCCATCTTTGTGGTTTTATCTACCTTTGGTCTTTGATGATGGTGACGTACAGATGGGGTTTTGGTGTGGATGTCCTTTCTGTTTGTTAGTTTTCCTTCTAACAGTCAGGACCCTCAGCTGCAGGTCTGTTGGAGTTTGCCGGAGGTCCACTCCAGACCGTTTGCCTGGGTATCAGCAGCGGAGGCTGCAGAACAGCGAATATTGGTGAAATGCAAACGTTGCTGCCTGATTGTTCCTCTTGAAGTTTTGTCTCAGAGGGGTACCCAGCTGTGTGAGGTGTCAGTCTGCCCCTACTGGGGGGTGCCTCCCAGTTAGGCTACTCAGGGGTCAGGGACCCACTTGAAGAGGCAGTCTGTCCGTTCTCAGATCTCAAGCTGCGTGCTGAGAGAACCGCTACTGTCTTCCAATCTCAGTTGGAAATGCAGAAATCATCTGTCTTCTGCATCGTTCACACTGGGAGCTGTAGATTGGAGCTGTTCCTATTCGGCTATTTTGGAACTGCCCTGCTCTGTGGTTTTTAATATAGCTTTTAAGCTTTCTTTAGTTACAAGTATGATCCTAATCCTAACCCTAGTATGTACCAGAGAGGCTAAATTCTATGTTCCCGCTCATTGCTGAGTGTGTGAAAACTCACTAGAAGCTGATATGACCACTCATTCCAAATACAGCCCAGTCCAGGGGGAATTAATGTACAATATTTGGACCGGCTGATTAAAAAAGGGAAGAAATAAGCCTACAGTAACCCAAGAAATAAGCTAATATTTTCCTCTGAGACAGAGCTTCGGTGTATTTTTGCTCACTTTATCTTCTACTAACATGTGACATCGTCATTATCTTTCTCATTATTACAGATGGAAGTTCAGGAAGTATCAGGTCAGTTGTAAAGGTTGCATAGCTAGAAATCAAATGTGTGTCTTAACTGAAATAGGGCACGTCCTTAGAATGTTTTAGAAGCACCACAAATCACAGATGGCCTTCCACCTCCAACACAGTGATCCAGGTAGAATCCAATGAAGTGGATGTAGTAAATACTCCATGTGGATCCACTCACCTCTGCCACATTCCCCTTGCAGTGTGCCTTACTGCTCACTAGAGGCTGGAAAGCTGGACCACAGCTCAGGTTCCACACAATGATGTAGCTTCAGCAGACACACCCATCCTAGACTTAGAAGGAAAAAGACAATGCCATGGCCCAAAGGACATGCTTTGGATGCCTCTTTGTTCCTGCTGGCAGACATAGCCAAGAAGGTACTTCTTTTTCTGTGGCAGTCCACAGAAAACTGAAATCCCAGCGTCCCATTCCTCGCTTCGTGGTGTTGAGAGGCAAGTCAGGGGGCAGCCATGTGATATCATGACTCGCAATGGGGACAATGGACATCCAGGACCCAGCAGACATGAGAGTAGATCCTGCTTCCTCGTCTTCCTTCTGATGGCAGGCCAGTTCCATGGTATGATTCCAGTAGGTGCTCCTGGAAGCTCAGCCTAGAGCCTGCTCCTCCAACCCTACCAAAAATTTTGGAAGCCAACTAATGATGCATAATAAATCCCTTGCGGCTTCAACCAGCTACAGTAGATTGTCATCTTCAGTTGAACTCTAAGACAATGAATATTCTACTTTCCCATGAAAGGGACATATTACTAGGCTGGCACCATGAATCTCATGGGTGTGTACAGAGGATGGACAAGCAATCGGATGGCATTTGTTTCACACTGAACTCCACAAGGGTGTGGTTGACTCATTCATGTGTTATTTAAGAACTGTTTCCTCAAATCATGGTTCAAGTAGAAATGGAAATGAAAGAAAGGAGGGATTCCCCATAACCTGGGACTGGTTTATTATCAACTGAGACAATGAACGTGAAAACCCTTTAAATGGTAGAGTGCTCATCTAAGGAAAAGTACGGGCACCTTCCTAGAAACAGTGCTACTCATAAATCTTAGCAAAAACAAACAAACAAATGGTATTTTCCTGTCAAATTTTAGATTTAACCCTCTCTATGGGGTGAATAAAGGACCAAATGCCTACAAGGAATAAATGCCTCTTGAATTTCACCTCAAATTTGAAAACTTGAGTTTTTCCTACTATAATTTAATATATTTTTAAGCATATTTTTCTTTACATGTCTTAATTCCTATAATTGATCATTTGTTTAAATAAACATAGAAAGGTGCTATTTACCACTATATTCTAAGGGCTAGACACAGATTCTGGCACACGGTAAATATTTAACACATTTTTATGACAATACACAAGATATGTATTATTAACTTGGATTGTAAAACTCATAGCATTTTGTTTTCTTAGTTTTTATTCTTTTTTTTTTTTTTGAGATGGACACAGTCTCACTCTGTCGCCCAGGCAATCCTCCTGCCTCAGCCTCCCAAGTGTCTGGGACTACAGTCATGCACCGCCACACCTGGCTCATTTTTAAATTTTCTGTAGAGACATGGTCTCGCTACGTTGCTCAGTGTGGTCTCAAACTCCTGGCCTCAAGCAATCCTCTGACTTTGGCCTCCCAAAGTGCTGGGGTTACAGGCATGAGCCACTGTATCCAACCTTCATAGCATTTTAGACTGGGAAAGACCTTGAGGAGCTTAAGAATGAATACTAAGACATAACCTGAGACAAAGAAATAGCTGAAAAGTTTCCCTCTTAGGAACTAGGGTAGTATAAAATGATTTTCCCAAAATTAATCTATGTGTTATATAAAAATCCAATATAATCTAACAAAGGAAAGGAGGCACCAGCTGTGACTGTGAAAAAAATTATAAAGCTC
This sequence comes from Homo sapiens, assembly GCF_000001405.40. Taxonomy (NCBI): domain Eukaryota; kingdom Metazoa; phylum Chordata; class Mammalia; order Primates; family Hominidae; genus Homo; species Homo sapiens. Next base: position 32,260,720 of record NC_000003.12, on the reverse strand, counting down.
TACTTGAAGAAGAAACATATAAACATGTGAAAACAGGGGGAAAAAAAAAAAACTTTAAAAAAATCACAGCTGGGATAGATTATCCTATCAGATGTTAACATGTAATCTAGAACTACAGGTATTAAAACATTGAAACAAAGAGTAGAACAGACTAGAAAGTATACAGTTGAACCCAAGCACATACAAGTAGTAAATGAAAAACAGAAAGCAATCCAGGTAAGGGAATGTACAATGAATTTACCAATATGAAATGTTGGGACAACTGAGTAGACATTTGAAAACAAAATTAGAGCCCAACTTTATATTTCTGCTGAAATGCATTTCAATATTAAAGTTAAATATTTTAAAGCACATGAAAAATATAGGCAAAATATTAACGTATAGTTCATTATATTTAGCTTTGTTAGCGAGATAATACTTTTTTTTTCCAATGACCTCTGAACTTTTTATTGGCCTCCTGATCCCCAAAGGGTACCCTGCTTCTGCTGGCTTAATGTCTCAGAACTTTGGTGTCGTTGGTCTCAGACACCACTTTGCCATCCACTCTCCGGCAGGTGGTGGTCTTTTGGATGGTTTGCATGGAGTTGCTGCTGTCCAGGGCATCACCAAGATTGAAGTCCTCGCCATCTTCCAACAGGCGATGGTAGCTGGCGATCTCAGCCTCCAGCTTGACCTTGATGTTCAGCAGGGCCTTGTACTCCTGGGCCTGGTGCTGTCCCTCTGCCTGGGTCAGTGCCAGCTCTGACTCCAGGTGCAGCAGGATCCCGTTGAGCTGCTCTATCTGCAGGGTGTAGCGGGCCTCCACCTCCCTCAGGCTGTTCTCCAGGCTGGCCTTCACATTTCTCATGGAGTCCAGGTCAATCTCCAAGGACTGGACTGCATGTCTCAGCTCCGTGAGTGGCATCTCAGCAGCTCCAACCTCGGCGGACTGTGTGGTGACCACTGTGGTGCTCTCCTCAATCTGCTGAGACCAGTACTTGTCCAGCTCCTCTCAGTTCTTCCGAGCCAGCTCGTCATATTGGGCCTGGATGTCTGCCATGATCTTGGCAAGGTCCTGAGATTTGGGGGCATCTACCTCCACGGTCAACCCAGAGCTGGCAATCTGGGCTTGTAGGCCTTTTACTTCCTCTTCATGGTTCTTCTTCATGAAGAGCAGTTCCTTCTTGAGAGCCTCGATCTCTGTCTCCAGCTGCAGCCGAGTGACATTGGTGTCATCAATGACCTTGAAGAGCCCATGAATGTCATTCTCCAAAGACTGGCACATGGCCAGTTCTGTCTCATACTTGACTCTAAAGTCATCAGCAGCAAGACAGGCATTGTCAATCTGCAGAACAATGCGGGCATTGTCCACAGTATTTGAGAAGACCTGAGCCCTCAGGTCTTTGATGGTCTTGAAGTAATGGCCCAGTCTCTGACCTGGGGTCCCTTCAGGGGATTTTGCTCTCCAGCCTCCAGTTCACGGTCTCCAGGCTCTTCACTTTGTCCAGGTAGGAGGCCAGGCAGTCGTTCAGGCTGTGCGTGGTCTCCTTCCCGCTCTGGATGCCTCCCATTTCTGCCAGACCCCTGGCCGTCCCTGCGGCCAGGTCCCCGGACCCCATGCCACCCTGGAAGCTGGTGGAGCAGGACACGGTGATCCGGGAACCAGAGCCACCCCCTGCCCTCCGGCGCCTGCATAGATGCTTGCTGCACTGCTGACTGGCTGGATGCCAGTAGCTGGGCCCCTGGACAGAGCCCACGGACTGGCAGTTGGAGGAGAAGGTGGAACGAGTGGTGAAGCTCACGCTGTCCGGGGGCAGTGGGGTGGGGAAGCGAGGGGACAGAACTCAGGCTTTGCCGACATGTAGTGAGATAGTACTTTCTAAGGATGACACCCAACATGGGGAAAACAGTAAGACTGAGAGATTTGAAGATAAACTTTAGATTTTGTAAATAAAGTCACTATGGCTCTTTGGGAGGCCAAAGCAGGAGGATTGCTTGAGCCCGGAAGTTTGAGAATAGCCTGGGCACCAAACTGAGACCCCATCTCCACAAAAAATTAAAAAAATCAGCCAGGCATGGTGGCACATGCCTGTAGTCCCAGCTACTCAGGAGGCTAAAGTGAGAGGCTCACTTGAGCCTGGGAGGTCGAGGCTTTAGTGAACTGTGATCATGCCACTGCACTCCAGCCTGGGTGACAGAGCAAGACTATCACAAACAAAACAAAACAAAACAAAAAAAACAAAGCACTGTAAATAAAACTAAGGGACAAGCTAGAAAAAATATTCACAACACAGAAAGAGGGTCATTATTCCTTATATATGTTCAAAATGTCTATAAGTGAATAACAAAACTACTGAACTTCTTTGTAGCTAGGACCTCTTTATCCTTCCCAAATTCCACTGAAATGTCTCCCACTCCCAAATTAAAAAAATACGTAGTAGTGCCGAAAAGCTAGAAAGCAGCAACAGCAGTCTGGAGCAGTGAGAACTTCCTGGAAGGCACTTGAGAACAAACTATGATAAGCAAGGGAGTTTCTTGTCTGCAGCTCTGGAGCAGAAAATAGAGGACCTACTGAAAAAAACAGTCCTCCAAACAGACCCCCAGATAAACCAAAGATTAGAAGCAATAACCAAAGTTGGAGAGGGAATGAGTTAAGGGTAATCTGCTAAAGAGTACATTTAAAGCCCCCCTCCCTCCAGCAGCGACTTCTGGAAATAGTCCCCAGGATAAAGATTTGAGATTTCCAGATGCTTCAATAAGCTATTTGCACACATCTTAAGAAAGCCCATGCAGCCCCACTACCCTAGCTTCCCCCTCCCAGCCCTGCCAATATTTCCTTTCCTCTGAAAAACCACCAGATGCATATCACACGATGAAAACCTGTATTCACTGCCGAGGTACAGAGATTCTCACTTAAGCTGAGCAAACAGTCTCCAGTCATCTCATCTACTATTACAAACATGGACAACCATTAATCACCAAATGACTGAAGAAAACAGCACAGGAGAAGCAACAGATTCAACAAGCAGAAGTGGTCTCTCGGTAAACAAAGAAAATACACTCAAGATCCTTAAAGTGATTCAATAAAAAAGAGATCAGACTAAAAGCAAACATTTTAGAATGACTAATTGTTGGGAATTAAAACTATTAAAACCATAATAAAGCAATAGATGGGTTGAAAGGCAGAGCATACTTAACTGGAAATTTGAATTTGGGCTTAAAGTGTAATTTTTCTAGAAAATTACACTATTTGCAAAGTACAAAGAGAAATATGAAAGAAAAATTAGGAGATATTGAAGACAGTTTAATCTCTCCTGGACCTCCTGGATTGAATAAAGATTCCTTTAGTGGAGAAAACAAAGAACCAATGCAGAAAATAAGAGAAATCTCCCTATGCCGAAGCTAGATTTGTATAGTACTTATAAAGAGCCCAAAAAGTGGCAAGGAGGACAAATAAAGAATGCCTTTCCAGTGTTGTGGCTCACTCCTGTAATCCCAGCACTTTGGGAGGCTGAGGTGGGTGAATCACTTGAGGTCAGGAGTTTGAGACCAGCTGGGCCAACATGGCAAAAACCCGTCTCTAACAACAATACACAAATTAGCCGGGCATAGTGGCCATGCCTGTAATCCCAGCTACTGGGACATAGAATTGCTTGAACCCAGGAAGCAGAGGTTGCAGTGATCTGAGATCATGCTTCTTCCAGACATACAGTGGTATCTAGGGAGATATCACCATAGATCCCTGAAGATAGGGAAACAATTTCAAAAGCTTCTAGGGAGGGAAAAAAGACCATTTAGTTACTTAAAAGGAAAAGAGAACCTGATTCCCACAGAGGAGTGGATTTGAAGCCCAGTGAAAGCTAGCCCTCTGACAAACATTATAGAAGTTACAGTTTACTGCAATAGATGCAAGGAATATATTCTCAGCAGGGAACACCAGGAAATATCAGGCTAGAGCTGTCTTGAGAGAAGGAACTTTGTCTCCCTAAGTCCTCCCAGATTAGAGTGAGGGCAGGGAGAGATCCCACCAGGACTTGGGAAACTCGAAGGAAGCCTTTAACAATCTTTTATTCCAAACCACATCAACCTGAAGAAACTTCCCTATAATTATCTTACATGGTTACAAAACTGCCTTTCATAAGCCATTTCTCCTGTATATAACACTCCCATTTCACCTACAATTTATTGCTACACCACCAGTGCTACATTTGCATGGGTAGTAGTGCAAGACATCATTCACACAAGACTCTGCTGTAACGAAGTCTGTGGGAATGCACATTCATGAATGGACAAGGTCTGGGAGGTACTGAGCCTAACAGGCCTGTTTAGATACTACCAGACCATCAAGTCTCTTATTAACAACACTGAATGCAGCCAGGTACAGTGACTCACACCTGTAATCCCAGCACTCTGGGAAGCCGAGGCAGAAGGCTTCCTTGAGCCCAGGAATTGGAGACCCGCCTGGGCAACAAAGTGAGACTCCTATCTCTACAAAAAATAAAAAAAAATTATCCAGGCTTGGTGGTGCACACCTGTGATCCCACCTGCACAGGAGGCTGAGGCTGCATTGAGCCATGTTTGAGCCACAGCATTCCAGCCTAGGTGACAGAGTGACACCCTAATAACAACAAAACAAACCAAAAAACAAAAAACACTGGATGTTAGAAGACAATGGAACAATATCCTCAAAGAATTAATTTTAAAAAATTTTCTTGGCTGGGCACGGTGGCTCATACCTGTAACCCCAGCACTTTGGGAGGCCAACGCAGGCGTATTGCTTGAGCCGAGGAGTTTGAGACCAGACTGGGCAATGCGGCGAAATCCTGTCTCTACAAAAAATACAAAAAAATTAGCTGGGCATGGTGGCAAGTACCTGTAGTCCCAGCTACTCGGGAGGCTGAAGTGGGAGGATCACCTGAGCCTGTGGATGTTGAGGCTGCAGTGAGCCAAGATCATGTCACTGCACTCCATCCTGGGTGGCATGGTGAGATCCTGTCCTCACTCCTCCAAAAAAATAACTGAGTAAAAATTAATGAAAAGAAATTTTGAGATCTATAGCTTTATACTAACCAAATTATTATTCAAGTATGAAGGTAAAAGAAAGATGAAATGGATGTGCAATGACTCAAAAAGTTTACCACTTTCAAACCCTTTCTAAAATAATTACTCAAAAAGGTACCTCCAGCAAAATGAAAAATCAAGAAAGTACGTGACACAAAAAATAACATGAAAAGTAATAGTGTGAACAAATTTAAATTTGTGGTTAAGTCTAAATAGTTGTTCAGTAATATGGGTGGGAATCTTAAGATGACTGCCAAGCAATGATTCCTAAGAAATCATTTTTTAAAAAGTAGTACAGGGATTGTAAAACGGCACACACACTTTGAAAAATAGTCTGGCAGTTCCTCAAAAAGTTAAATGGAGGGTTACCATATGATGATAGCGGTTCCACTCTTAACAGCATGAAATATATTCAAGAGAAATAAAAATATGTATCCACACAAAACCTTCTACATAAATATTCTTAACAGCATTATTAATAATAGTTAAAAGGCAGAAACAAACAAATGTCCATGAACAGATGAATAAAATGTGGTATTTCTACACAATGGACTATTAGCTGGTTAAAAAAAAAGAAATGAAATACTGATACATGCCACAACATGGATAAATCTTGAAAATACTATGCTAAGTGAAAGAAGCCACAAAAATAAGTCAAAGAAGACCATATATTATAGGACTCCCTTTATAGGAAATGTCCAAAATAGGCAAATTTATAGAGACAGACAGTAGATTAGTAGCTGACTAGGGATGGTGGAGGGAGGATTTGGGAAGAAATGGAGAATATATGTTAGTGGGTATGGGGTTTCTTTTTAGGGTAATGAAAATGTTCTAAAAGTAGTTGTAGTGTAGATGATTGCACAATGCTATGAATATTCTAAAAGCCACTTAGTTGTATACTTTGAATGGGTGAACTTTACAGTATGTAAACTGTATCTCAATAAAGCTGTCATTTTTTTTTTAATCCAGAGAAAGTTGGCTGACACAAAGTACGTGGCCAGGAATAGGTAAGGAGGAAAGTATTGTCTTTTGAATGGAATCATATAATTATATATCATGATTAATTATCTGGATATTTAGAAAATTATGAGCTTAAAATTTGGGGTAAAAATTTTAAAGTAACTCCAAACAAAATAGAATTTATAACTTTCAATCACTAGAGGAAAAAATAAGGAAAACTAAGAATTCTAAATAATCACAATAAATATAAATGTGTTAAATTTCCATATTGAAAGACACGTTCTCAGACTGGGTATACAAATAAAATCTAACTATATGATACATATAGAAGATGTACTTATAACAAGATGACAAGGAAAGGTAAAAAATAAAAGGGGTGTTTCCTTTTGGAGAACATGAAGTGTTTTGGAATTAGAAGTGGCAATTATACAACATTGTAAATGTAGTAAATGCCACTCAATTGTTCATTTTAAACTGGTTAATTTTATGTTATACAAATCCCACTCAATTAAAAAATAAAGGGACAAGGCCGGGTGCAGTGGCTCACACCTGTAATCCCAGCATTTTGGGAGACCGAGGTGGGTGGATTACCTGAGGTCAGGAGTTTGAGACCAGCCTGGCCAACATGGTAAAACACCATTTCTACTAAAAATACAAAAATTAGCTGGGCATGGTGGTGTGCACCTGTGATCACAGCTACTTGGGAGGCTGAGGCAGGAGGATCACTTGAACCTGGGAGGCAGAGGTTGCAGTGAGCTGAGATTGTGCCACTGCACTCCAGCCTGGGCAACAAGCGTGAAACTCCATCCTCCCCCCTGAAAAAAATAAAAACATAAAGGGACAAGCTGGGCACATTAGTGCTCACCTGCAGTCCCAGCTACTTGGGAGGCTGAGGTGGGAGGATTGTCTGAGGTCATTAGTTCAAAGCTGAAGTGTACTATGATCTCACCTGTGAACAGCCACTGCACTCCAGCTTGGGCAACATAGCAAGACCTGGTCTCTTGAAAAAGAAATTGGAGAAATGCATGGTGAAAATAAATTACCACGATTAGTTTAAAAAGATGAAGAAGCCAGGCATGGTGGCTCACGCCTGTAATCCCAGCACTTTGGGAGGCTGAGGCAGGTGGATCACCTGAGGTCAGGAGTTTGAGACCAGCCTGGCTAGCATGGTGAAACCCTGTCGCTACTAAAATAAAAATACAAAAATAATTAGCCGGGCATGATGGCGGACGACTGTAATCCCAGCTACTAGGGAGGCTGAGGCAGGAGAATCACTTGAACCTTAGAGGCAAAGGTTGCAGTGGGCCAAGATTGCGCCAACTGCACTCCAGCCTGGGTGACAGAGTAAGACTTTGTCTCCAAAAAAAAAAAAAAAAGATAAAGGGACAAGAAAATAAATAAATGCTACAAAAAAAGCTGGTCTGACAGGATTAGAATCAGACAAAATGGAATATAGCAAAGGAAACTAAGGCTGATTTTACATATGCACATAGCCACGATATCCCTAGATGTGATATTAATAAATCAAATCCAAGAGTAAAAAACATTTAAATTCAATAGTTTATCAAAATAATACAACTAAGTAGAGGTTATCCCAAGAGTACAAGAATAATTCAACATTAGGTTTCCTAATACAATTCACTACATTAGCCAATGGAAGTAAACAAACCTCAAATGATCACCTCAATAAAAAGCACTTCCCCACCAAAACAATCCTATCTCCTAGGTCCATTCCCATTCATACTGCTCAAATCATTCCTAATTAAAAAGGGTACACAGTTAACTTCCCTTCCTTAACTCAATAAAGAATAACAGACCCTACAGTTAAAACTGTACTATCATAATATTGGAAATATCCAATTAAAGTTATGAGCAAGCCAAGGATATCTACATCATCCCAATTATTTGACATTATACTGGCAATCTTAGCCTATGCAATAATGGAAAAAAGTATAAAAAGAAAATGAAAACCACCCATATTCAAAAAGTATGAGAATAACTCGAGATAGCTACACACAAGACCAAAATTTAAAAATTAACAGCTTTCTTATAAATCACAAATAATCAGAAATGAGTGAAATCCAATTCATTTTTGACAAATCCCATTTATCAGAAATTGAAAATACTTAAAACTGAGTAAGAAATGCCTAAGATTCATCTGGAAAAAACTCAGCACTTTAAGAACATAAAATAACCTGAATAAATGAAGAGATACAACATTCCCAGATGGTAAGATTTGGCATCAGAAAGTCAACTCCTCAAATTAGTTTATAAATATAATGAAATCACAATCCAAGTTGAAATGGAATTTAAGACACATTGATTCTAAAAATCACCTTGAATGTTAGTATAAGTATACAGCGATAGCAAAGAAATAGAAAATTTTGTATGGCTTACCCTATTGAATATTAAAATACATGATAACACTATAATAATTAAAAGGGCCTGGGAATTCACACAGGAATAGAACAAGATAGGGTTAAGAAATAGTTCTGCATATAAGGAAATAAAATATGATTAATAGTGATGCAACTGGATATCCACTTGGGTAAAGAAGTAAAATTCTTACATTATACACACAAAAAGACTTCTTAAAATTTAAGACGGTAAATTTTTTTTATTTTTTCTGAGACAGGGTCTGGCTCTGTTGCCCAGGCTGGAGTGCAGTGACAGCACGGTCATGGCTCACTGCAACCTCCACTTCCTGGGCTCAAGCCATCCTCCCACCTCAGCCTCCCAAGTAGCTGGGACTACAGGCACATGCCATCATGACCAGCTAATTTTTGTGTTTTTTGTAGAGACCGGGTTTCATCATGTTGCCCAGACTAGTCTCGAACTCCTGAGCTCAAGCCATCCGCCTGCCTCAGCCTCCCAAAATGCTAGGATTACAGGTGTGAGCCACCACACCCAACCAAAAAAGTAAATATTAAAAAAAAAAAAATTCCCCTATATTTTCTTCAAATATTTGTGTAACCTTGTGGCTTGGGAAGCCCTGTTTAGCTAAGTAATGCCCAGAAGGCTAAAGGAAGATAACAGTTTAGATTTCATACAAATTAGAATTTCTGACAAAAAAAGTGGCATGAATAATAATAAAAAGTAACAGATGTGGCTGGGCATGGTGGCTTAGGCATGTAATCCTAGCATTTTGGGAGGCTGAGGCAGGTGGACTGCTTGAGCCCAGGAGTTCAAGACCAATCTGGGCAACATGGCAAAACCTGTCTCCACCAAAAATACAAAAAATTAGCGGGGTGTGGTGGCATGTGTCTGTAGTCCCAGTTACTTGGGAGGCTGAGGTGGGAGGATCACCTGAGCCCAGGAGGTTGAGGCTGCGGTAAGCAATGATCACACCACTGCACTCCAGCCTGGGCAACAGAGTGAGACCCTGTCTCAAAAAAAATGAATGAATTAATTAAAAATAGATGTCTAATAAGCATATTTAAAATGTTCAACTTTAATGATCACAGAAATGCAAATAAAAACAATTTGCTCTTTTTCATATGTTCAGGCTCCCCTGAATATTATTTATAGCTGGTGTTCTCTCTGACCAGTTGGTGCCCATGCCAAATTGGTTTTTATTATTCCAAATATCTCCCACCCCAAACAAGTTGGCAAATATCAAAAGAAAATTTCAGTATTTGCAGAAACAAATCTTGTTATATGCTGAAACACCATTAGGATGCAAACTGGTATGAACTTTTTTGTATAACTTTGGCAGCAACACCAAAAGCCTTAAAAACATATGTCGAACCACAAAATAATTATTAGAACTAGTAAATTAGGTCAACAAAGTTATAGAATACCACAGAAAGGATATAGAACTCATTTGGAGGCTGGGCATGATGGCTGACGGCTGTAATCCCAGCAATTTGGGAGGCCGAGACAGGTGGATCATTTGAGCTCAGGGGTTCGAGACCAGCCTGGGCAACATGGTGAAACCCTATAATTTTTTTGTATAAATTTTTTATATAAAATAAAAGAAAGAAATAAAAAAGAACTCAATTGGAGTTCTATAACCTGGCACTGAACAATCCAAACATGAATTTAAGAAAATACTGCCATCAAAAAGAAATAAAATAGCATCAAAAAGAATAAAATACTTAGAAATAAATTTAACAAAAGAAGGGCAAGACATGTATACTGAAAACTACAAAACATTGTTGAAAGAAATTAGAGAAGACCTAAATAAATATAAAGACATCCCATGTTCATAAATTATAAGACTTGATCTTGTTATGATGGCAGTACTCACCAAATTGATCTATAGATTCAACAGAATCCAGACTGAAATCCCAGCTGCCAGGTTTTTGGTAGTTTGTTTTGGTACTATATGACAAGCTGATCCTAAAATTTATTTGGAAATGCAAGGGGCCCAGAATAGCCAAAACAACTTTAAAAAAGAACCAAGTTGGAGGACTCGCATTTTGAATTTCAAAACTTACTACAAAGTTACAGTAATCAATACAGCATGGTACTGGCATAAGAGTAGAGATGTGCATCAATCAAATATAACTGAGAATCCAGAAATAAACCATTATATTTATGATCATTTGATTTTCAACAAGAGTGCCAAGATAATTCAATGGGAGAAAAACAGTCTTTTAATAAATGGTGCTGGGACAATTGATATCCATATGTGAAAGATTGAGGTTAAACCCTTCCCTCACATCATATACAAAAATGAACTCAAAACGAATCATAGACCTAAATATAAGACCTACAACTTTTAGAAGAAAATAGAGAGTATATCTTTGTGACCCTGGATTAGTCAAAGCCTTCTCAGATATGACATCAAAAGCACAAATGACAAAAGAAAAACTATAAAAATTGGACTTTTTCAAAATTAAGAACCTTTGTACTTCTAAGGACATAGTCTAGAAAAGTGAAAAGATAACAGACAGAATGGGAGAAAAATACTTTCAAATCATATATCTGATAAGGGATTTATCCCAGAATGTATAAAGAACTTGTACAACTCAACAATAAAAGACAAATTAACCCATTTTTAAAATAGGCAAAGGATTTGAATAGTCAGCTCTCTGAAGAAAATGTACAAATGACCACTAAGCACATGAAGATTGCTCAATATCATTAGTCATGATGAAAATGCAAACCCAAACCACAATGAGATACGATCTCACATTCACTAGGATGGTCAGAATCAAAGAAAATAAGTCTTGATGAGGATGTGAAGAATTAGAACTCTCATGTTGCAGCAGGGATTGTAAAGCAGTACGGTCCCTTTGGAAACAGTCTAGCAGTGCTTCAATTTTTTTTTTTTTTTTTCATTTTTTGAGGTAGGATCTTACTTTGTCACCCAGGCTGGAGTGCAGTGGCACAATCTCAGCTCACTGCAGCTTCAACTTCCCTGGCTCAAGTGATCCCCCCACTTCAGCCTCCTGAGTAGCTGGGACTACAGGCACACACCACCGTGCCCAGCTAATTTTTTCTATTTTTTGTAGAAATGGGGTTCCACCATGTTGCCTAGGCTAGTCTTGAACTCCTGGGCTCAAGCGATCTGCCTGCCTTGACCTCCCAAAGTGGTGGGATTACAGGCGTGAGCCACGACACTGAGCCACTTCAATATTAAACATAAAGATTCCACATTACCTTTGGGAGTCCAGGCCTGCAGTGCGGCCTGGGCGAAAGCGTGAGACTCCGTATCAAAAAAAAAAAAAAAAAAAAAAAAAAAAGATTCCACATTACCCAGTAACTCCATTCTTTGCTAAATGCTCAAGAGGACTGAAAACACATGTACACATAAAAGCTCATACATGGGCTGGGCAGAGTGGGCCATGACTGTAATCCAGTACTGTGAGAGGCCAAGGTGGGAGGATCACTTTAGGCCAGGAATTCAAGACCCTGTCTCTACAAAAAATTAAACAATTAGCCAGGCATAGTGGCCCACACCTGTAGTCCTAGCTACTTGGAGGCCTGGGCTCAAGCCCAGGAGTTTGTGGTTACAATGAGTTATGATGATGCCACTGCACTACAGGCTGGCAACAGAGTGAGATCATGTCTCTAAAAAAAAACACTTTTAATTAAAAAAAAAAAAACATGGGCCAGGTGTGGTGGCTCATGCCTGTAATCCCAGCACTTTGGGAGGCCGAGGCAGGTGGATCACCTGAGGTCAGGAGTTCGAGACCAACCTGGCCAATGTGGTGAAACCCAGTTTCTACTAAAACAACACAAAAATTAGCCAGGTGTGGTGGCGGGTGCCTGTAATCCCAGCTACTCAGGAGGCTGAGGCAGGAGAATCGCTTAAACTGGGGAGGCGGAGGTTGCAGTGAGCCAAGATCGCGCTACCGCACCCCAGCCTGGGCAACAAAGTGAGACTGTGTGTCAAAAAAAAAAGCTTATACATGAAAGTTCACAGCAGCATTATTCGTAATAGGCAATATGAACATCCCATGTTCATAGGTTATAAGACTTCATTTTGTTATGATGGCAGTACTCACCAAATTGATCTATAGACGCAACAGAATCCAGATTGAAATCCCAGCTGCCAGGTTTTTGTTTGTTTTAGCAGTATATGAATTTGGCATCCATTATAAGCTGCACCCTGATTCAGATATTAAAACATGAACACGAAGTACCTATTATAAACTCCATCAACTGATGAGTAAATAAAATAATGTATACATCATTGAAATATTTGACAATTTAAAAATAATGAAGTACTGATACATACTACAACAGGGATGACCCTTAAAAACATGATGCTAAGTGAATTAAGTCAGACCAAAAGGGCCACATAGGATTCCATTTATGTGAAATGTCCAGAATAGGCAAATTCATAAAGATAGAAAGTAACTTGGTTGTTACCAAAGGTTGAGGGAAGGGAGGAATGGGGAGTGACTACTAATAGGGATGAGGTTGTTTTTGAGGGATGAAAATGTTCTTTGAATAAGGGTAGTGACAGTAGGAAGACATTTCAAAAAATTTTTAAAAGAGAAAATATTCAGCTGGGTCTGGTGGCTCACGCCTATAATCTCATCTCTTTGGGAGGCCTAGATGGATGGATCACTTGAGGCCAGGAGTTCGAAACCAGCCTGGCCAACATGGTGAAACCTCATCTCTACTAAAAATACAAAAATTAGCTGGGCGTGGTGGTGCACGCCTGTAATCTCAGCACTTGGGGAGGTCGAGGTGGGTGGATCACTTGAGGTCAGGAGTTTGAGACCAGCCTAGCCAACATGGTGAAACTCCATATCTGCTAAAAAGTCAGAAAAAAAAAGAAAAAATTAGCCAGGTGTGGTGGCGCACGCCTGTAATCCCAGCTACTCAGGACACTGATGCAGGTGAACTGCTTGAACCTGGGAGGCGGAAGTTGCAGTGAGCTGAGATTGTGCCACCGCCCTCCAGCCTGGGCGAAAGAGTGAGACTCCATCTCAGGGGAAAAAAAATTCTAAAATAAGACAGTGGTGATAATTATACAACTCTGTGAATATCCTAAAAACCCCTGAGTTGTAGACTTTAAAAAGGTCAATTTTATATGTAATTATATCTCAATAAAGCTATTTTTCAAAAACACAAATGCCAAAACTCATAGAACTCTACACTAAACAATGTGGATTTACTGTATATCTTAATAAACTTATCTTTTTTTAATTTTTATTTTTTGGGACATAGTCTCACTCTGTCACGCAGGTTAGAGTGCAGCGGTGCAATCTCGGCTCACTGCAACCTCTGCCTCCCAGGTTCAAGCGATTCTCCTGCCTCAGTCTCCAGAGTAGCTGGGATTACAGGTGCCTGCCACTACGCCCAGCTGATTTTTGTATTTTTAGTAGAGATGAGTTTTGTTATGTTGGCCAGGCTGCTCTTGAACTCCTGACCTCAGGTGATCCTCCTGCCTCAGCCTCCCAAAGTGCTGGGATTACAGGCATGAGCCACTATGCCCAGCCAATAAACTTATCTTTAAAGAAGATTCATATACCCTCTTATCAATTCTAAGTAATCATCCTCAGAAAACACTAAAGAACATCCAGAAAGATTTAGCTTAAAAGATGTTATGGAACTGGTAAAAGGAGGAAATAAACATACATTGAACAGTAGGAGCCTGGATATTTATGGAATACTATGTGGCCATTATGAATGCCATAAGAAATTAATCATTGATGAAAACAGGTAATATATCAGGTCTCAGCAGGAAAGCAGGCACATTCAGATTGGGTAATCTGAGTAGGGTTTAATAAGGGTGTTGTTTATAAAGCAGGGTACAGGAAAACCACAAGCTATAGGGCAGTACTTGGCAATCAGAAGCAGGGGTGAGCGAATAGTTATCAAACTCAGGGAAAAAAGCAGTGTGCCGAGAGCTGCTAGGTAGCCTGTCTTCTGTGGAGGGACGCAGACAACCAGCAGAGACCCAGCAGGGAGGAACCCTGGGGAATGAATGTCCAGAACCTGCTCTCCTCTCACCCAACAGCCTCATGCTGATGACACCAGTAGATGCGGCCAGTGGGACATCAGATGGCAGGGGGGCCCTTAATAAGTCCATGCAGGATCAGGGTGGAGAGGGAATGTGAAGGACAAATGGAAGGTATCCAGCACAGATGGTCACAGCAGGAAACAAAAAGAGTAGTTTACAAGAGAGTATGCTTTAAAAAACAATTACAGATAATATATAACTTAAATTCTGGAACAACTGTGAGGCCAAGGTGGGTGGATCACCTGAGGCCAGGAGTTCGAGGCCAGCCTAGCTAACTTCGTGAAACCCTGTCTCTACTAAAAATACAAAAATTGGCCAGGCACAGTGGTGTGCATACCTGTAAACCCAGTTACTCAGGAGGCTGAGGCATGAGCATTGCTTGAACCTGAGAGTCAGAGGTTGCAGTGAGCTAAGGTTGCAGTGAGCTAAGATCACGCCACTGCACTCCAGCCTGGGGGACAGAACAAGACTCTATCTCAAAGTAATAATAATAATAAATAAAAGTTTTTTCTACAAATGTCGGGTATTGCTTTTATGAAATGGAAACTATGTTCACTATTTTTTAAAGGAACTCAACAGGGCAACAGAATAATTAAAATTCCAACTCTCAGTAAACCCTATTTATCCTTCCCCAACTAAGTTTGCTCAAGACAGTAAATAAATAAAAGGTGACCTAACATTATTACATGGATACTATAATTCATTTCGAAGTCATCAATAACAGGAAGGGCACAATTTACTAAGATTCTTACAAATCACTTTCATTCTTCAAGTACTTGTAATAGTTATGAGATCACAGCATCCTACAATTCACAGGTCAAGTACTGGATTGCTTCTAGCTTGTTATAAAACTTTAAAAGGAAGGAAACTACCATGATTTGGTTTCCACATGATGTTACATTGGCACAGCCTTGAGTGTTTTAATAGGTACAGCTACTACCACTCACCCCCAAAACCAGAGCAAGCGATTTTGACAAGTGATTTGAAAAAACACTGCTTTGTTCTCTGCCTAATTTCATTTCCCCAGGTTCAGGCAGGAAGTCAGGTTCTTAGTAATTCTTTGTCTCAGTATTTTGTTTTCACAAGGCAGAAAGTAGCATTTTTCTGGGGGTAGGTATATCTTAGTCTCAGGAATGGGATTGCAAAGGTTTGAAACAGACACACTCCTGTATCCCCAGATAAAGAATCAATGGGTCCATATTTCATGACATCCAAGAAACCATCAATTATAAGCAGTATCCTGATTCAGATATTAAAACATGAACAAAAACTACCCATTATAATCAATAAAACACAGTACGTTATTTAAGGTGATCATTAACATTTGGAATTTTTTTAAAGTATTTTTAGTTTAAAAGGCTCATACTACTGATGACAGTTTCAACCAGTAGAACTTTGGGGAAGATAACTTCAGACTATGTCACAAAACCCTTAGATTTATATACCCTTTAGCCCAACAATTCTACCTCAAGGAACTTTTCCTCAAGAAAAGCACTGGACAAATGTGGAAAGACAGACAAAGAAAAAGATTGCTACAGCACTGGTTATGCTAGTAAACCCTAGAAACACATTAGTTTTAAAATAGAAAACTGGGGAAACCAGGTATGGTACTTCTTTACGACAGAAAACGGTAATAATTCAAAAGGTCCAAGACCCTGAAAAATGTTCACGGCATAGTAAAAGCAAACAGCATATCACAGATCAGTTAGAAAAAAATCATGAGAAAATATATGCAAAGAAAAAAGTATAAAAGGAGTTTTAGAAAGAACTGAGAAAATGGAAAGAGAAAATTCGAATTAAACAAAAAATCTTCTGGCCGCAACGGCTCATGCCTGCAATCCCAGTGTTTTTGGAGGCCTAAGGAGGAGAACTGCTTGAGGCCAGGAGCTCAAGGCTAGCCTAGGCAACACAGTGAGACCCCCGTTTCTAAACAAAAAATTAGCTGAGAATTGGCAGTGCATGTCTGTAATCCCAGTTCCTCAGGAGACTGTGGCGGGAGGACTGTTCGAGCCCAGGAGTTCCAGGTTGCAGTGAGCTATGATTGTGCCACTGCACTCTCCAGCCTGGGTGACACAGTGAGACTCTGTCTCAAAAAAACTCCTTAGGTAAGATCTTGGTTGGTGTGCAGGGCAAGTGCAGGTGGTTCTGCAGCCAGAAACTATCAAACCTTCTAGCTCCCTGGACCTGACCTTCCACAGCTCCCTCTCCTCACGTACTTGTCAGGGCGGCGCAGGGGGCAGCTATGTTGATCAGGAGTGAATTCAAAGTTGGTCTACCATGAACTGGAAGATGCTTGAATACTCATCCCTGCTGCTATAATATCTTGGCAGAGAAACCATTAATTCTCTGTCTGGCATTTGCTGGAGTTAAAATATACCAAAGGAAAAGGCTGGAAGCAAAACAGCAAAACTGGAAGCTGAAGAGAGGCATCAATGAGAGAAGGAGATAACTGAAGAGTAATCCAGGGTATTTTGCTAAGCATTTCATGCACAGCTGTGTTGTTTGGGTCCTGACAACTCTATGAGATACTTTCGAATTGAAAGAATGGCTCACACTGTACATGGTGAAGAGCAGAACCAGAAACTGAACACAGGTCAAATGCATTCAACCACAGTGAGCTGTACTGCCTTCCTGAATTCACAATGTAAAAGTCAGTCTGAGTGGACTGCAGCTGAGAAGAGAAGACAATTATCCAAAAATGTGTCCGAGGATACACTCCCAACCTATACTTTTAAAAGAATGTGATTTTTTTTTTTTTTTTTTTTGAGACAGGGTCTCACAATGTTACCCAGGTTGGAATGCAGTGGCGCAATCCCAGCTCACTGCAACCTCGACCTCCTGGGGTCAAATGATCCTTCTGCCTCAGCCTCCCGAGTAGCTGAGACTACAGATGCCCAGCACCATGCTGGGCTAATTTTTGTATTTTCAGTAGAGATGGGTTTTCGCCATGTTGGCTGGGCTGGTCTCAAACTCCTGGGCTCAGGCAATCTGCTGGCCTCAGCCTCCCAAAGTGCTGGGACTGCAGGTGTGAACCACCACGCCTGACCAACAATGTATAAATGTTTATTTTTATAAACTTTTAAGAGAGCTATCATTTTATTTTGGTTAGGTGAGGTGGCTCACACCTGTAATCCCAGCACTTTGGGAGGCTGAGACAGGTGGATCACTTGAGGTCAGGAATTCGAGACCAGCCCAGCCAACATGGCGAAACCCTGTCTCTATGAAAAATACAAAAATTAGGTAGGCTTGGTGGTGCACGCCTATAATCCCAGCTACTTGGGAGGCTAAGGCACCAGAATTGCCTGAACCCAGGAGGCAGAGGTTGCAGTGAGCTGGGATTGCACTACTGCAATTCCAGCCTGAGTGACATTATGAGACCCACTGCACTCCAGCCTGGGCAACTGAACCAGACTCTGTCTCAAAAAAAAAAAAAAATTGTATTTTGTTTACTAAAATACCTTTGTAAAAATGGGGAGGAGTCTCCTGAAACTTACGTGAATTTTCCTTATTTGAGAGAACACACCAGGTGCCCAGTACACTGGGAGAAAACACACTCATATGAAGGCACATCATTGTGATATTTTAGATCTCTGGGAAAAAGAAGGTTCAACACATTTCCAGAAGTCAGGGGGTAGAGGGAGATAAATAATTGAAATAAAAATTTTTACAGCCAGGTGCAGTGGCCCATGCCTATAATCCCAGAACTTTGGGAGGCCGAGGTGGGCAGATCACTTGAGTTCAGGAGTTCGAGACCAGCCTGAGCAACATGGCGAAACCCTGTCTCTACAAAAAATACAAAAAAATCATCCACCAGGCATGGTGGCCCATGCCTGTGGTCACAGCTGGCTTGGGAGGCTGAGGTGGGAGGATCACTTGAGCCCAGGAGGGGTAGGTTGCACTGTGATCATACCACTACACTCCAGCCTGATGACAGAGTAAGACACTGTCTCAAACAAAACAAAACAAAATTAAATCAGAATAGCTAAAGGACAATAAAAGAATACATTTTAAATTCTGAAGAAAAACATTTTCAGTCTAACACTCTCTACCTAGTTGAACTAGGAATTGTGTATAGAATCAAGCTATTCTGAAAGGTGCAAATTTCCATTTCCACATGCATGCTTTCTTAGAAAACTACAAGAGGCTGTGTGTCCCCCCAGTGGGAGCAAAGCAAGACAGAGGACACTGGACATGGGAAGCAGAGGATCCAACCCAGGAAAGAAAGGAAGAGAATCTTCAGAGTGATGGTGCAGGAGAGCCCAGTCGGCCAGCTGTGTGCAGGCCACCAGGCCAGAGGCTCCCAGAGAGGCCAGTCATGAAGACGATTCTGACAGAATACCTGATGTCTCTCAGCTTCTTGATAGGAGACTTAAACAACTAGGGTTAAATTAGTGACTAAATATCTGGAGAAATTATGAAATGAGAAAAGAGAATTACTAACACCAGGGCAAACAAGAAATTGGGCAGGAAAGGAAAAGCATTCATAGTCTACGCACTGGGTCAGTTGTAAGTGGTATTTACAGTGTCATAGGTCAACACTGGCTGCTGATCTAACCCAAATCACCTGAAGACTATACAGATGCCCCTTGACTTAACAATGAGGTTACATCCTGATAAACCCATCCTAAGTGGAAAGTATCCGAAGTCAAAAATGCATTTAATACCCCTAGCCTACCAAACATCATAGCTAAGCCTAGCCTATCTTAAACGTGCTCAGAACACTTAGGTTAGCCTACAGCTGGCAGAATCACCCAGCAGCACAGCATGCTGGAGAGGATGGGTGGTTTGCGCTGGTGATGGCATGGGTGGCTGAGAGCTGACCAGCATCATGAAAAAATATCTACCGAATATCATTAGCCTGGGAAAAGACCAAAATTCAAAATTCGAAGTATGATTTCTACTGAATGCATACTGCTTTTACAACATCTGTAAAGCTGAAAATTCCTAAGTTGAACCATCAGAAGTGTTTGGACCTATATTGGGAGACAGGAAGAGGGTATGTATAATTGGAGGCAGGGAAGAGGGCATCCCAGCTAAAGCCTCATCTTTCAGAGTAGAAAGGCAATGGATAATGTCTATGACTGGGTGGGTGAGGGAACACCAATAAACAGCATTATAAACACGTTGTTTAGAGCTCAAAGAGATGAAGACACTGGGAGAAACTTATATTTCTGCCTGTAGGACCGAATCTTTAAAATATGTGCATAAGGTGGGGCACAGTGGTTCATGCCTACAATCCCAGCACCTTAGGAGGCCAAGGCAGGAGGATTGCTTGAGCCTAGGAGTTTCAGAGCAGCCTGGGCAACACAGAGAGACCCCGTCCCTAGAAAAAAATTAAAAATTATCCAAGTGTGTTGGTGCATGCCTGTGGTCTCAGCTACTTGGGAGGCTGAGATGGGAAGATCGCTTGAGCCCAAGAGGTCAAGGCGGCAGTGAACCATGATGGTGCCACCGCACCTCAGCCTGGGAGACAGAGCAAAACCCTGTCTCAAAACAAAACAAAACAAACAAAAAAGGTGCATAATTAGCTCTGTCAAAAATAAAAACTATAGTAGTAATAAGGGTGATTTTGCTTACATGTTTTCCCATCTTTTTCAAAACGCTTAATGAAATCTAAAAGGATACATGCTAACATGTCAACAGTGATTATTTCTAGTAATGGGATTGTGGGCCACTTACATTTCTTTCACTTTTGTATTTCCTGAAAAAGCGCAGTACACAGAGCATATCGATAATAAATCAGAAAAAAACCCAAAGGCGTTATACTTCATGCCTGGCCCAAATCCACCCCAAGGTAGAAGGCCCATCTCTGTCATTTTAGCTTTTGTTTGCGCTGCTGAAGCAGAGGAGCCTGCCAACTCCTTCATTTGCACAGCAAATATTTGTTGAACTCCTAAAAGCTAGGCCCTGCAAGGCGATTCCAATACCTTCAGCTTTTGAGTCTCCTGAAGTCCTCAATACTCGCTGAGGGAACCAGCTGGGAGAGGAGCTAAGCCAACACTTCTCATACCTTATGTGCATTATGACCACCAGGGGCTTCATAGAGCAGGTCCGGGTGGTATCTGAGACTGGGGGAGCAAGCAAGCTACTTGAGGTACACAAGATTTACTTCAGGTTTCTCAAAGGAACCGCCCAGGTCTTCAGTCACTTCTGCACCATGATGGTGTGCCCATTCTCTAACTCCCACATAGGCTCATTTTCAATTCCCAAATATTTAACAAAAGTCTGTGAGAGATGACAGAGGGGCACTGCTGGGGCAGCTGGAAGCTGTCTCAACTGCTTGCAGTTATGAGCACGGCCCTGCAGAAAGGCAGGCCTGGGTTTGAATCCATGCTTCACCATCCACCGGTGTGATTTACGTCCCCTCTCTAGGCCTTCACAGGGGAGGGTGGTCGTTGGATTACACGAGGGTATGAGGACATCTAAAGGGCTTGACAAGATCCTGGTACACGAAGAAGACTCAAACAGTGACCACCTCTAACTGCTGACAGGACTCCAGTCCTTTCTCAGCTATGAAGGACTGGCTGGGACTTCTGGGAAGATCACGTGAGTTTTCAGCCTCTATGCCCTCCAATGAAGAGAAGAACGCCCATGCCCTGCCTCCTTCCCAGGAATGTTCTGAGCCTAAACCAGGATGTGCACAGCACCATGCAAAAGACCTCTTTGGTCCTAAAATAGGTTATGGCACTCAGATTTTATTCAGTAAAATTTTCCTGACTCACCTCAATGTTACTACCAGGGAGATAATTAGGAAAAGAAAGAAGCCCTTTCCTCTTCCCCTGATCTTAGGAAGCTTTATTTTCAGGGAGGAGGCCATCCACGTGGAGATCAGGTGAGAAAGGCACCAGGTGTCTCTGACACTCAACACAAACTCAATAGCCACTAAGCCAAGCTTCCTGCTCCCAGGATCTGCCGCCGCCACCGAGAGGACCCAACAAGCTGAATTTCTCCCACAGCAAGACATCCTGAGGATCACAACCCTTTCTTCCCAGGACAGCCCGAGTTTCCTGGACCTTGTTTAGAGTCTTTCACTTTGGGAAGAAGGCGAGGCTGAGCAAAAACGGTTCCCTAAAGCCCGCGGGAAGATCTGAGCAGGCTCCATCCCGAGAAGCACGGCGGAAGCACGCGCCGGGGTCCAGCTGAGCCCCCCGCCACCCCCGGCCCGTCGGCACTCACGATCTCGGCCACGATGAGGAAGCCGGGCAGGGTGCGGAGGAACTCCCGGTCGTAGGCGAAGCTGCTGCTGCTGGTGGAGAAGTTCTCTGCGAAGGAGCTGGCGGTGGTGGTGACTGTGTGCGAGCGGGCGCGCTGCGGCTCCTCCATCGTCGAGCCACTGCCGGGCTGGCGCGTCCCCAGGGACCCCGGCGGGTCTGGGGCTGGACGCGCGGCCCTGCGCCCTGGGGACACAGGCGCGGGGGAGGGGAGCGCGGCCCGCGCGGGGCAGGAGGTGCGAGGGGGGCGCCCGCCGGGGGCTGTCCAGGCGCGGCGGGTGTCCCTCTAGTGCGCGGTGCCCCTAGCGCCTCGGTGCGCGGGCTCCCGAGCTGCGCTGGGGCCCTAGAGGAAGAGGAGAGCGAGCGAGGGGAGGCTGCCGGGCAGCCGGGGAAGGCGGTGGAGGCCCGGAGGAGGGGAGGGGGCGGGGAGAGGGGCGGGCGGGAGGCGGGCAGGAGAGGGACCGCCCCGCGGAGGCGCCGCGGACGCCCGCCCTCTTCACCTGTTGCCCGACTCCCAGCGGCGGAGAAGGCGCCGCGTCGCACCCAGGGTGGCTGGGTTGGCAGCCTGGCGGGCGGCGCGGAGGAGAGGGCGCAGGGGTCCTTCTGGCCGTCTTCCGCTCCCCCTCCCGGCCTTTACTTCTGTCAGGCCCCGCCTGGCCCAGGCCCGCAGCCTGTTTCCTTCCACCTGGGCGGGTCGGGGGCTGCGGGCATTGGGGCCCCTTAAGGAAACCCAGGCCTCCAGGGACTCCGCCGCTCCAGGACTCGGCGCGGAGGGAATGACTGAGCGACGACCGAGGCAGGGGGTGATGTGGTACCTCGAATGCTGTGGAAATGGCAGGAATGATGACCCGGCCGGACCTTAGACCCGAGATCGATGAGAGGCCGCCAGCACTGCCCGGGAGACGGCCCGCTCTTCTCCCCCTCCTGCTGCGGCCGCCGCCAGAGCCCGGTGTTATTTCCTGCCCCTCCTGTCGGGAACAATTTGAGGAACCAACTTAATCGCTTGGCTTTGAGGGCGCGACGCTTCCAGGCGCTCTCCGCGGCTCTGTCCCGCGGACCGGTGGAGCCTGGGTGACGGCGCCTGGGCCGGAGGAGGGGAGATGTTTGGGGTCCCTGGCCAGGATGAATCAGCGTAACCGTCCCGTCACCCTCGGGGAAAAAAAATGTTTCAAGAAGGCTTGAAGGGTGTGATTTGTGTAATGTTAACTTTAGGACAAATGAGCTGTGCTTTCCTGGCATGGGAAGGGGATGGGGGTCCTCATTTAGTGAGGCAGTTTGTAACAGGGTCAGGGAAGAACTGAGCTCGGCTGCGTGCGTTTATCGGCTGTATGACCCAGAGCGAGTGGCTCTAGTTTTTGGACCTCAGTAATGCCATCTCTAAAATGCAGGCTTTGACAGATGGACCTCTGAACAAAAAGATTATCTTCCGCTTGGTCCCTCCTTCTATTTTGTGAAAGGGTAGCAAGAAACATTTTATCTGGAAGCCACCAAAAGAAAAGGAAATAATCTTTGGCTATAAATCGAGGGTATCTTTGATTCACAGTGAAGGCATTTCTGCTGATCTGTTCCAAGACAGGTTAAAAACGAGATCAGAAGGGACATTTTCTTCACAGTGTCTTATCAAGTGTGCTGAGAAGAAAGCAAAAACGACAATCTAATAAAATAAAACAAGGAATTAGTGTCTTTTAAGTCTAGGGCCTAGCCAGGAAGACCTCCAGGAGTAAAAGTTAAGGCTTCAAAAGCATGGCAAAGATGTAGATTTGGAGAGATTCCATCCATGTGCATTTGGTAAGCACCTTGGGCTGGTGGGTAAATTCTTAAAATTTAAAATATAGCACTTCTCCCTGGAGCAGTAGTTCTCAAAGTGGTCCTTGGACCAACAGCAGGTAAGTTCCCTGGGAACTTATCAAAAATGCAAGGTCTCAAGCCCCACCCCCAGACCCTCTGAATCAGAAACTCTGAGGGTGGAGCCAGGAAGCTGTGTTTGAACAAGCCCTCCAAAAGACACTGATGCATGCTGAAGTTAGCTGCTGCTTTAGAGAAACTGTTAATGAGTTTGGGGAAATAAGAGATACATACATGAAATGGCTGGAGGAGACTCAAGCATTATGCATGACATTTAGTGAACGTAAAAGACGGAGTCTAGACAACTTTATTTCCATAATATTAACAAAGGACAATCCTCTCTTAAAATTCCTGGGGTCAGATGAATTTCTAAATTCAGATTTTGTTTTTCAATTTAGAAAGGTAAAATGTGCATGTACCATATATTACATAATACCTTTGGTAAGGTCTGGGGTGACACTCTAATATACTAATTTTCTGCAAGGGAAATCATGAATGACATAAGTGTATGCTTGGATTATCTACTGCAATGTAATAAATGTTCACAAAATATTAGTGGCTTAAAATCACCATTTTATTTGCTCAGAAATCTGTTGTGTCAGGAATTTGGGAAGGGCTTGGCTGGCAGGTTCTTCTGCTTTGCATGGTGTGATTGGAGTCATTTACTCAGCTGCTTTCAGTTGGTGACTTGGCAGGGCCAGAAAGTCCAAAAAGTCTTCATTCCCATTTGAGCATTTCAGTGCCCTTTCAACTTGGGCTTTCTAACAGTATGATAAGCTCATGGTGGTTGGACTTCTACCTGGCAGCTGGCTACTGGAAGAGACTTTCTAAGAGGGGCAAATGCAGAAGCAGATCTCTTAAGGCCCAGCCCTGAAGGTTACACGGACTCATTTCCACCACATTCTATTGGTCTAAGCCAATGAATGACAAGGCCAGCCAGAGTCACGCAGAGGGGAAACAGATACCACCTGTGGATGGGAGGAGCAGTAAAGAATTGTGGCTGTCTTTTAATCTAGGTGAGATAAAGACAAAGACAATAAATAGCTTCACATCTGTTTAGGTTATGTTTTTCTACCAAATATGTTTTCTGCAAGCTCAGGAAAAAAAATTTTGGTTTCAGCTTTTGGGATTTCAGAATCACAGAGAAAAAATTATACACTGGTTGCTTGAAAACTAGCTGCCCCTTTCCAACTGCTGCCTACATTTGGGTGATTATCTTCCACCTGAAACTCTACTGATTGGTGCCCATTCTTCCAATAACACCCTTATCCAGTCCACCTTCCGTCTTCCTGCAAGAATTATTGTCCTGAAACCCCAGACTAAGGTACCACTGTGCACAGCATAAGGGCCTATATAAGATATTCAGCCTATCTCTTCTGATCCCTTTTCTCAACCACTTTAGAATGCATACTGTTTCAGCCCCAGATACACTTTGTATATATCACTGTAAGTGTGACCACTTTATGCCCATAGCCAGCTTTTCTCTTAGCCTACAAAGCCTCCCACCTTCACACACAGCTCACAATCTGCAGTCTTCATGGCCCATTTTAAATGCCACCTTTTCTGTGGTTTCTTTGGATTTCCATGAGCTGTTGTTATTTTCTTTTTTGTTTTAGAATTCATTGACTTTATGCACTTCTTTTACAACTTCTCAAGATATATGAATTACCCTTCCTTGTCTGCCCCCTGCTATAGGAGGTATTGAACAAATGCTGAGGCCCAAACTTTTTTTTTTTTTTTTGGAGACAGGGTCTTGTTCTGTCACCCAGGCTGGAGTGCAGTGGCATAGTCACAGCTCACTGCAGCCTTGACCTCCTAGGCTTAAGCAATCCTCCCCACTCAGCCACCTGAGTAGCTGGGACTACAGGCAGGCACAACTACATCCAGCTAATTTGTTTTTTATCCTTTGTAGAGGTGAGGTCCCACTTAGTTGCCCAGGCTGGTCTCAAATTCCTAAACTCAAGTGATCTTCCCACCTCAGCCTCCCAAAGTGCTGGGATTACAGGCATGAGCCACCATGCTGGCTCCAAGCTTCATTCTTAAGTGCAGAAAAATGTCAAAAGAAAAGCTAAGCCCTGGGCTCCCATAATGACTTAACACAGAAGACAGCTTCAAGCTGAGACTTGTGGGAAGTATTTGATTTGTAAAAATGGAGAAGAAAATGGAAACAGGTACAGCCCAAGTGATACCACATGTGCCAGGATGAGCAGGTCCTGTGCAAATTAGTACAGAAAAATCTAAGATCTGTTAGCATGGAGTGTAGGGTTAAGGGTTTATGCAGAGTCTAAAATATGGATGCCACAAGGCCATATTACTCAACCAACCAAAGTCATAAGACACAGCACTCTCAAAGGTCTGTAGGGCCCAGGCCATTCAATGGAAGCCCAGGACTCATTAATAATTGAAAGAAATAAATGGACAGCTTATGACTTCCACCTGCTCTCTGAGAAAGAGAGGATCAAGGGACATTCCCATTTTTTAGGTAATTTTCATAGGTTTATGTTTCTCTTCACTGTTATTCTAATTTTAAATTATGGTGGTTTCATTCAAGAATCATCAATGAATGTTAAAATTAGTGGGTGAAAGTGTGATGAGAAAAAGGATATTTACATCATCTCTTAAAAAATAGAAGTAACAAAATAACAAAAAGATATATCATTTCAAAGTCTTCAGAGGATACTATTCTCCCTTTGAAATTCATAACTGTACAGTGGAGAAACCTTTGGGATATCACCAGACATTATGTACCTCCTAATATGATGTAGTGAGATGGATACAACATCACTTCTGTGATATTCTTACCAAATGCATAACCTGAATTTAATCATGAGGAGGGAGCAGACAGACTGAAATTGAGGGACAGTTTATTAAGTGTCAAGTTCATGAAAGACAAACACTAAGGAACTGTTCCATACTAAAAGAGACTAAGGAGACCTGACAATGAAATGCAATGTGACATCCTGGATTAGAGCCTGGGCTGGAAAAAGAACAATAGTGGGACAATTGGTGAAATTAGAATACATTGTGTAGATCAGATAAACATTGTATCAGTGTTACATTGATACAATGACATTGTATTAGTGTTAATTTCGTGATTTTGATACTTATACTTAAATAAGTGTTAACATTTTGAGTATCAGTAAAAGCTTATATAAAATCTTTTTACTATTTTCCCAACTTTTTTTTTTTTTTGGAGATGGAGTCTCGTTCTGTTGCCCAGGCTGCAACCTCCACCTCCTGGGTTCAAGTAACTCTCCTGCCTCAGCCTCCCGAGTAGCTGGGACTACAGGCGCCCACCACCACGCCCGGCTAATTTTTTGTATTTTCAGTAGAGATGGGGTTTCACCGTGTTGCCCAGGCTGGTCTTGAACTCCTGAGCTCAGGCAATCCGCCCTCCTTGGCCTCCCGAAGTGCTAGGATTACAGGTGTGAGTCACCATGGCCGGCCTATTTTTGCAACTTTTTAAAGACTGAAATTGTTTCAAAAAGAAAAGTTAAGAAAATAAAAATAATTACTCATGATTGATTAAAAATAGAGCTGTCTAATCCAAACAGTAGTTCACACTCTCCAGGCACATTGGATTCTGTGGTTTATCCATCTTAGAACGTCCTGCCTCCCTTCATCTTGCTATTAATACCTGTCTTATAGCGAAAGAAAACAGGAGCTTGGCTGAGAAGTAAGAGTGTTCTTCCCACTCCAGTCCCCAAAGCCACCGGTCAGCCTAGTCCATCTTCAATTTGAAAATAGGAAGAGATGGAACCTAAATCCATTCAGTAATGAACTTTTGGATCTCGGGTGGGTTTGAGTTCCAAGAGGCTCTGTCAATTTGACCAGAGGTTTTAAGCCCAAATGACAACAGGGTTAGGCATATAAGGTAAGAAAATAAGTGATTTGGGCCAGACTGTTTTCAGAATGGCCTCTTGAATTGTATTCTTCTGAACCAGACACATTTGGGCTTACATATTAACTTTGTATCAAATTCTTCACTTACGCAAAGAGTACATTCACTTTATTTTTCTCAAAACATATGACCTCCTGGGTCTCACTCTCATTTTTTTCTTTAGTTTGAGACATAGGGACAAGAAATATTTCACTTTCCTCTTCCTATGAGGAAAATAACACTTGGAGAAACTGTGAATGTCATGAAATCAGCCCCAACGTTTGAACTCAGCTGGGGCAGAATAGGGAGTTGGGGCGGGCGCAGGGGTGTTTGTGGCGAACAGGAGCACGAATGCTCGAAAGGGGCCATCTCAGTTTCTGCCCCACCTGATTATTGCCTTGTAAGAATTTGGGCCTAGTGTTGACAGAAATCCCAATTTTTATTAATTAATATTGGCAGCTAGTATCCTTTATTTTAAAACACAGTGTGTCGCCTTTGTGGGCCAAACAAACATATCTGAGAACCATCAGTTGATGCCTTCTGATTCAGGCAAAGCAAGAAGACTTTCTCTTCTCTCTCCAGCTGCCTCAGACTCCCACCTCCCTGCAAGGCCCTCCAGAGGCCTCAGAGGACACAAAATTTGGGTCAAGAGGGTGACGCTTAAGAGCAGAGTAGCTGGAGGAAATATTTAGAAGAGTGGTGAATAAAACGTGAAACAAATGGGATGCTGCTAATGGCAGAAGAGGGCTTTCTGAACCAGGGAAGTTTCAGATTGGGAGACTATGGAGGGATGTTAAGAATTAACTTATTTAGAAGTAGGCATTCTTAGAAGATGTAATAATAACTAATTTATTGTTGGCCTATTTTGTGCCAAGCACTATCTTAACTCTTTGAATAATTTTATTAGGTAACTGATTTTAAAAAAAATTTTTCTGTGTTGGGGCAGTGGCTCATGCCTGTAATGCCAGCACTTTGGGAAGGCGAGGTGGGCGGATTGCTTGAACCCAGGAGTTCAAGACCAGTCTAGGCAACATGGTGAAACCCTGTCTCTACAGAAAATACAAAAATTAGCTGGATGTGGTGGTGCATACCTGTAGTCCCAGCTACTCACTTGGGAGGCTGAGGTGGGAGGATCTAGCCCGGGAGGTTGAGGCTGCAGTGAGCCATGATTGTGGCATTGCACTCCAGCCTGGGAAACAGAGCAAGACCCTGTCTCTTTAAAAAAAAATTCTTAGGAGTCTTGACCTTAATGAGAAAGATGGATTTCTCAAAGTTCTTAGCTGCATCCATTGGCTCAACATTTATTTATCTAATATGCCACTCACTATTAAAATACACAACTCAATAAGACACTATCCCTTCCCTTAATGAATAGGTCATCAAGTGAATGAGAGAGACCAGTACATCAGTGATGGGTGGGACCCCTGCCAGGCCACAGGTGGGCCCAGGGCCACCCCCATGTAAGGGGAGGACAGTGAGGTCAGCCTGGGGCTCAGGCAGTTTCCTCAAGGAGCAGCCATTTAAACTATTTTCAAGGGCTATTCAAAGTTAGCTAAGGAAAGAACAAGGGGACAGGGGAGGAAATTCTAGAAAGAGGGACACAACCTGTCCCAACAAGATGCATTATGACCAGTGTGTTTGCTGAGAAATGCAGCTAGAGGGAGTTTCAACCCTCTACCCCCGCAGCATAGGAGACAATGGGTCATCCCTGTTCCCTCTCCATTCCTTCAATAAATGTTCAGTAAATTGTACTTGGCAAAGGGCAAGATGTGGAGAAATTCCATGAATGAGCATTTATGAAGCTTGAGGTCAAACCATACTCCCATCCTGTTCCAGATAGGGAAAGGGCACAGGGTATGTGTGTGTATATATATGTGTGTGTGTGTGTGTGTGTGTGTGTGTGTGTATAATCTTAGAAGGGTGAAATACTTGAGTCTTTTCCTGGTCTTCAGACTTTTTACTTTTTTTTAGCAATTACTGTGACAAATCAGTAGAAAATTTAAATTTTTATATATATTTAAATGTATACACACATACATTTTTCCACAAAAATCAATAAGAGGACTAGAGGATGGGGTGGGGGTGGGTGGATACACACAGTTAACTTTGTCCTTTGTAGGGTGGCTTAGTTAACCCCAATCAGGTTGCAGAGCAGAAAATAACTGAGGTTTATTGAAGAAAGGGCATGTTTACCTGAAACAGGTCTTGAAGGGGCCCATTCAAAGAAGGAAACAGCATAAATGACAAAGCAGATGGAAACCCATGAATGACTGTGTTTGAGGATGAAGCCCAAGTGAGATGGACATTGGTTTTAGAGAAAAGATCATCTGAGTTTGGAGGAGCTGCTCTAGGAGTTCTGTGGAATGATGGGAAATCACAAGGCAGTGGCTGCTAAAAATACCTTGTGCATGTTAATAGCACCTTGTCGAAAATCCACGGGCCAAAACCTACAGGCTTTATTTGTATTTTACTCACAAAAATTCTAGGCCCCCTTAAAAGTTCTTGGAAAAGGTGAATATGAAGGTCCTAAAGCTAACGCCTTTTTCTGCCCAAGGAGGAGCAGGAACCTGTCCATCCAAAGCTGACAACTTCTAAAGAAGTGCCACGATAGTTGCAAATTGAAATCAGAAGCACATCAAAAAACTGGACAGCAGACGAGGCATGGCATCTAATGCCTATACTCTCAGCACTTTGGGAGGCTGAGGTGGGCTGATCGCTTGAGCCCAGGAGTTTGAGACCAGCTTGGACAACATGGTGAAACCCCCCATCTTTACAAAAACAAAAAACCCCCAAAAAATTAGCCGGACATGGTGGCACATACCTGTAGTTCCAGCTACTCAGGAGGCTGAGGCAGGAGAATCGCTTGAGCCTGGGAGGTTGAGGTTGCAGTGAGCCACAGTTTCACTACTGCACTCCCTGGTGACAGAGGGAGACCCTGTCTCAAAAAAAAAAAAACAAAAAAACAAAACAGAGTAATTACACCCAAAACATGCCTCACCAGAAGACTCTCCGAAAGGAACACATTAGGCAAGCAGTTTATGGAGTGGTTATTTGCTTACCAGGTTCTTTTGCTGTAGAAAGAATTAATTGGAGGGCTCTTCTGAGCCAAAGGAGCCAACAAACATTTAAGTGTTTGTTTATGGACAGTAAACTATTTGAGGAGACAAGATGGAGCTGAGAAATTTAAAGGTGGCTAGGGTCTTTATCTAAAGAGTCACCACCAAGTAACATCAATAAAACATCAACTTTGTACAAAAGATATATTTAAGTATGCATTCTTGAAGAGTTACTGGCAAATAAAAGGTAAAATGTATTACAAGGTTTTTCTGGAAATTCTATTGCCTATCTTTTATAATGCCAAGAATCACTCCTTTGTTTTTTAATTTCCATGTTCAAATCCACTTTGCTGGAAGGTAAGTAACTGGTCCTTTGGGCCCAGCCTGTGGTTGCTTTGGGAGTTGGGGGAGAGGCTTTGGGCCGGGGTAGCAAGGCCTCCATTGCACAAGCTGAAGTAATGTTAGCATTAGGTGTATGACTGCATGACAAACTGTTCCTCCCCTCTCTTGACGTGGTGAATCTGTAACCAGAAAAGCCAGTTAGATCTCCTGACACATTCGGAGGGTGGAGGCTGGTGGGGAAGGAGCAGGGGATGCCTTCATGGGAGCTGCGCTATCACAGTGGTGAGTCCTGATGCCTTGCCTGTGAGGGCCTTCACAACCTTCAGAGCATGATGGCATTGCCAGAGAGAAGAGAATTCACCATGGACACCTAGCCTAGTGCCTGGCAGATGGTAAGCATTCAACAAGATCTGGAGAGAGAATGGGGTTAAAAAACGTGGTACTTTTCATAAAGTCAGAATATTATGAGGCCTCCAAATATGGCATTGTGGACAGGTGAGATCCAACTGGGCACTGAGCCTCACATATTGTTATTATTTTTCTTCTCTCAATCTCTAGGAATGGTGCACATTCGCTTTATCACACAAGGAGGAGTTTTATGTAGGGTTTTTTTGTTTGTTTTGTGTTTTTTGAGACAGAGTTTCACTCTTGTTGCCCAGGCTGGAGGGCAATGGCGGGATCTCAGCTCACTGCAACCTCTGCTTCTGGATTCAAGTGATTCTCCTGCCTCAGCCTCCCAAGTAGCTGGGATTACAGGTATGCGCCACCAAGCCTGGCTAATTTTTGTATTTTTAGTGGAGACAGGGTTTCACCACATTGGTCAGGCTGCTTTCAAACTCCTGACCTCAGGTGATCCACCCTCCTCAGCCTCCGAAAGTGCTGGGATTACAGGTGTGAGCCACCACGCCTGGCTGTGTTTTGTTTTTGTTTGAGACAGAGTCTCACTTTGTTGCTCAGGCTAGAGTGCAGTGGTGCAATCATAGCTCACTGTAGCCTCGACCTGCTGGGCTTAAGCAATCCTTCCACATCAGCCTCCCAAGCAGCTAGGACCACAGGCATGCACCACCATGCCCAGCTAATTAAAATTTTTTTTTGTTTGTTTTTTGTAGAGACAGGGTCTTACTATGTCACCCAGGCTGGTCTCAAATTACTGGCCTCAAGTGCTCCTCCTGCGTCAGCCTCCCAAAGCACTAGGATTACTGGCATGAGCCCCCATGCCTGGCCTTATGTAGGCTTTTTGTTTTTGTTTGTTTGTGTGTTTTGAGACGGAATTTCGCTCTTGTCACCCAGGCTGGAGTTGAATGGTGCAAGCTCGGCTCGCTGCAACTTCTGCCTCCCAGGTTCAAGTGATTCTTATGCCTCAGTCTTCCGAGTAGCTGGGATTACAGGCACCTGCCACCACGCCCGGCTGATTTTTTGTATTTTTAGTAGAGATGGGGTTTCACCATGTTGGCCAGGCTGGTCTCGAACTCCTGACCTCAGGTGATCCACCCGCCTCAGCCTCCCAAAGTGCTGGGATAATAGGCATCAGCCACCACGCCTAGCCTATGTAGGCTTTTTAAGACCCAAATTAGAGATTACAATCATGTCCCTTCTGTAGTCTTTTCACTTGTTTTAACTACCCAGATATGGCAGAAACTCTGGTTGTTTGCTAGTGTCCACTCTTCCCTCCTTCAAATATAGAATTCTAAAACTTTAGCTGAACAGACAGCCACCTAATTAAAGATATTTCCCAGTGTCCCTCACAATTAGGTGTGGCTAAGTAGCTACACAAATAAAAATATTAATAGTTTATACTTTTATATGTGCTGAGTAATTATCCTAAATGCTTTAGATTTACTAACCCATGTACTTTTCACAATAACTTCATGAAATGTTTAAAAACAGGAGCACAAATATGTTAAGTGACTTGGCCAAGGCCACATAGATAGTAAATGGTAGAGCTGGGGTTTCATCTCAAAAACGGGGCTGCTGCATTTGCAATTAGCTTACATTTAGCCCAACGGATGAGAGCAGAACTTCTACGCCACGCCCTCAAAGAGGAGAGGATTGCTGTCTATTGCCCCTTCTTTCTTTCCTCCTAGCTAAAAATCACCATCTTAAACTACAAGATGGATGCTCCATACTGAAGTTGGCAGGACCGCACGATAGAAAGTGCCTGAGTGCAGCGGGGTGCAGTGGTCTGTAATCCCAGTGCTTTGGGAAGCTGAGGCAGGAGGATCACTTGAGGCCAAGACCAGCCTGGGCAATATGGGAAGACCCCACCTCTACAAAAAACAAACAAACAAAAAATTAGCCAGGTGTGATGGCATCACCATGTAGTCCTAGCTACTTGGAAGGCTGATGCAGGAGGATTGCTTGAGCCTAGGAATTCAACGCTGCTGTGAGCCATGATCATGCCATTGCACTCCAGCCTGAGTGACGGCCTGAGACCCTGTCTCTTAAAAAAAAAAAAAAAAAAGCCTAGGGCTCCCAAAGCCACAGAACTATCCATCAACCTGGATTCCCAATGTTCAGATTGTTACATGAGAAAGAAAGAAATGTTTAGCTGATTTTAGCCATTGTTATTTGGAGAGGAAAGGTAGTCTTTTATCACAGCCATACTGTAACAAGGGGTATATCCTAACTAATCTAGGTCACAGAGGGAAGGGAAACATATCTTTGAACACCTACTGTATATCTGGTGTCTTCATACATTATCTCATTCAATTCCTACAAAAGTTCTGCAAAATAGGCATTGTT
The DNA here is from genome assembly GCF_000001405.40 of Homo sapiens. Lineage (NCBI taxonomy): Eukaryota > Metazoa > Chordata > Mammalia > Primates > Hominidae > Homo > Homo sapiens. The sequence goes on along the minus strand of NC_000003.12, from coordinate 32,227,219 downwards.
AGTCAGTATCTGCAATGAGGAATCTGAAGCCCAGGGCGGTAATTCATCCAAGATCACATAATTGGATAGTTGAATAGGCTGGGATTTCAATAAATCTTCACCAAAGGCCTCTTTTTCACTATTCTACAGCAGTGCCTCCTGGAGATGGTGACTCATTCATAAGAGACATTTCCATGTCTCTAGCATGATTCATAACCCTTTTATTATTCTTCAAAGCAATCCGATCAGATTGGTACTCTTAGTTCCAGTTCATAGATGAGAAAACAGGAAAGACATGCAATTATACCCCCAAAGTCAACAGAGAGCCTAGATTTAGAAGTTGCAGCTGCAGAAATTAAAGACTGATGATTCCTTTACAAATAGAACCAGTTTGAGACCCCAAAAGCCCTTATTCTTGAAGCTTGCAAAATATCTGCTCATTTTTTATAAATTTTAAAGGAGGTGGATGTTGCTATGACACAGAAATGCTGTGTTTAAGCTGATTTTTAGGGATCTTTCCTAAAAGGTTTGACTATTCCAGGTTTGTGGGTCATCTTAGACCTTCTAAGCTGCAGGGACAGTTGCATGAAGCCCCTCAGCCTGGAAACTGGCCCTCTTCCAGAGACAAAGGTGGTAGTTACTGAGATTCTCTCATGCTCTGCCATGTATAACCCCAAGTTGGGAGACCTGGAAACCTCCCCACCACCCAGCCCCGAGTCCCAAGTCCCACTGTTTTTCTTCTTTGGATTCCTGTGGCAGAGCAGCTTTCTCTGTTACCGGTCTACCTGTGGGAAATGGTGACCAACTGCTCCCCACTACATATTTCCTGGGTTAACAGGATGGTATGGTTTGACTGCATCCCCACTCAAATCTCATCTTGAATTGTAACTCCTACAATTCCCACATGTCATAGGAGGAACCCAGTGGGAGGTGATTGAATTATGGGGGTGGGTCTTTCCTGCACTATTCTTGTGATAGTGAATGAGTCTCATGAGATCTGATGGTTTTAAAAATGGGAGTTTCCCTGCACAAGCCCTCTCTTGACCTGCTGCCATCCATGTAAGATATGACTTGCTCCTCCTTGCCTTCCACCATGATTGTGAGGCCTCCCCAGCCATGTGGAAGTGTAAGTCCCATTAAATCTCTTTATTTTGTAAATTGCCCAGTCTCAGGTGTGTCTTTATCAGCAGTGTGAAAACGGACTAATACACAGGAATAGCCAGATCAAGCTGGGTCTCACACCTAATTTCCCAGGGAAGGGGCACAATGTTGTAGCTTAAGCCCACTGCCTGCCCTTCATACAATCAACAATGCCCAGTGAGAATATAGCCATGGGGATTTGGGAAAAGGGCTGTTCTGATAGAAACTGCAGGAGCCAATGACTTAGGACATTGTCACAGGGACTTAGGACAGGGTTCTCAACCCTGGCTGCACATCAGCATCACCTGGGGAATCTTAAAAATCTACCAAAGTCCAAGCCCTACCCCAGAGACTATGATTTTTTGGAGCTTTGTCAAAAGTTGCCCAGGTGATGATTTGTAGGCCATAGTAAGATGTTTGCAATGTATCTTAACAGTACAGAGGAATCCTCTCAGAAAGGTTTTAAGTGGGGAGCTGTGTGTTCTGAAAAGTGGTTTGCTTTGTTCTGTGACTTGTTAGTGGCTCCATTCCCTTCAGGTGTTAAAGAAACATCCGAAGATCGGCTAATTGAAGGTGGTCCACAGACCAGTGACATCATCATCACCCGGGAGCCTATTAGAAATGCAGAATCTCAGGCCCCACCCCTGACCTGCTGAACTGGAATATGCATTTTAACAAAATCCCCAGGTGCTTTGTGTGCACGTTAGATTTAAGAAATGCCACCTTGAGACCCTCATTCTCAAACTTGGTTGCACATTGGAGTCATTTGGGGAGTTTTTTAAAACACTGAAGCCAGATCCCACCTCCAGGGATTCCAATTTAATTGATCTGAAGTATAGTCTGGGAATTGAGCTTTTTTTTTTTTTTCTTTTTTTTTTTTTTGAGACAGAGTCTCACTCTGTCGCCCAGGTTAGAGTGCAGTGGCGTGATCTTGGCTCACTGCAACCTCCGCCTCCCGGGTTCAAGTGGTTCAAGCAATTCTCCTGCCTCAGCCTCCCAAGTAGCTGGGATTACAGGCACCCACCACCATGCCCAGCTAATTTTTTTGTATTTTTAGTAAAGATGGGGTTTCACCATGTTGGCCAGGCTGGTTTCAAACTCCTGACCTCAAGTGATCTCCCCACCTCGGCATTCCAAAGTGCTAGGATTACAGGCATGAGCCACTGCGCCTGGCTGGAATTGAGCTTTTTGAGAGCTTCCTGGGTGACTGTAGAAGGCAGCAAAATTTGAGAACCATGGCCTTATGGGTTTTCCCTTCCCACACTCTCCACTCCACTTCTCTTCCTGCCCCCAAATTAACTAAAGAGTCAGTCCTGAGAATCTCCTTTCTGTTAGGACAGTGAATTCCAAGAAAGCAGTTATCCTAGTTATCCTATTGCGCTATGTGATTTAGGTTTAAGGTAATTAGCTCCAGGCAAAAATACAGCCCTAAAGATTCTATATGAATATTTTCAAGAATTGATTGAAAAATTTGATGCCTGTCTGTTTCTCTACCCCTTCTGTCTCCAGAACCACACCCCTAGGCATCAGCCTGGACTTTTCTCTCTCTTCCAAGCCACTTTTTGAAGGCAGGGAAAGGAAAAAATAAATATTAGGCTTCCTGATGCTCACCTTGGTGTCCACAGCACAGAATGCTATTTGTTATTGATTCGATGTCTCAACCTGGGGAAGTCTTCCATTTTGCTTAAGGTCTCAGCCTTCTGGGCTGCTCAATTTATGCTTTGCCCCTGCTGTGAGCAACTAAACTAAAAAGCTCTCCAGAACCCGTCAAAACCAGTTCAGGTTTAGCTAGATAGCATCAGAGGGAAGTAATTGAAAGCTACTGCAGAACAATTGTCCTTTTATGTCAAGGCAGCTTTCACGGAGGGAGGGGACCCCTTTGCTTTATTATTCTCAAAATTAGCCTCACAGGAAAGGGTCTGTGCTCTCTCCCTGAATGTCAATCATCACCCCAGTCCAGGGCTTTTCAATGTCACCTCTCAATTTCCCCCACTCCTTTTTCTTTTCTTGAGTAATAAGAATCACGTTTCCTAAAATTGATCGAGGGAGATGTTGAAACTCAAAACCAGAGAACTTAAAATCTGTGGGAGGTAGGAGGCTTTTCAGCAAACAGTGACTGGTGAAATATGGCAGAGTCAGACATAGAAGACTGAACCAACCAGGACCTTGGTCATCTCCCCAAATCTAGGGAGCCACCAAATCAAACAACAGCCACCTGGAACTACGAACACATGCCACGGTTCCTCAGAGCCTCCTAAACCACATCTTGAAGTTGAAAGATGAGTTCATGTATGAAAAGAGGGATTTGATAGCCATTGAGATTTCTTCCTCAACATCTATCAACCCCTCCACTATGGGGGCCATCATGGAAGAATGAGTTTGATCCCACCCCCAGCTCCTGGCTGGACCATGATTGGTTCAGGACAGTTGGGGGCTATCCCACTTCCCTTTGCCATCGTGATTGGTATGGAGAAAGCTGGTCTGAGGACCAAGCCAATATGTTGGGGAAAGATAGAAAAAATGGAGATGCAGCCCTCAACGATAACTCTCAATGCTCAGGAGTCAGTGTCTACATACCCTAGCTTCATTATCCTGGAGTGAGATAATTCTGAGCCATGTGTTGTACATGATTTCCCAGAGCTTCCCTGGGGGTTAACCTCCAGGTGCCCAGTGTCTGTAAGTAATTTAGCAATGCCCCCTCTATTGGCTGCCTTCTCTACTCCTCATTACTTCACAGTTCTCTTCCCATACTCCCTTCAGATCCCCAAATAAGTGACTTATGCTCAAATCCTTGATGCAGGTCTGCTTCTAGGGGAAGTCTAAACAAAGACAGTTTTGTTGCAGTTGAATTTTTAGACTAAATGTGTGGCTTTCTCTTTGTGGATGCCAGGATGTTTGCTGGCCCTTTGCCTGTCTCACCCTTTCTCCCTGGTGTCTGCCAGACAAACTCCTACTCGTGCTTCAAGACCCAATTCAAGCCTGTCCTTCTCTGTGGGTTCTTCCTAGGTCACCTAAGAAAAGTTAGTCATGGCATCCCTTAGATCTTCACTGAACGATGCACAACACTTCAGTTTTGAAGTGATCTTATTAGAGTTAGGTGTTTACCTGGTGATGTTTCTTCTGGTCTACGGGCCTTAAGAACAGATACCTCTGTTCCCCTAGCACAGGGGCTAGCACAGAGCTTATCACACAGCTGACACGGAACAAATGTTGGTTGAGTGGATAAAAGAATAATCTAAATAACTAGAGACCTGACTCGAGTCTAATTAGAGATTGACATCCAACTCTCTAGAATTCAGAGGTTAGACTTCCTGCCTTTTGAAACTGTCACTCTAAAGCAGAGGCTCTTAACTTGCATGGACACACGAAATCTGGGGACTCCCAGAAATTGTCTGCAAAACAAGGCCTGTGCAAGTATTGATCTGAGCAGAAGGTCTCTGCTGTCATCAGATTTTTAAGGAAGTCTGTGATTCAATTCATTCAATGACATTTGATAACTATTACAGGCCTATTACACACTAAATATTGTTCTAGGTACTGAGGATAAAGCAGTGAAAAAAAAACAGACAAAATCCCATCCATACAAAGGGGGAGACAGAGAATAAATCATAAATAAAGATGAGTGCCATGTAGAAAGACACAACTCAATAAGGAGGAAAGGTTAAAGGAGGCCTGTGCTGTTTATCTGGGATGGCCAAGAAAGGCCTCTCGGCAGTGGCAGTAGGCAAGGGGGCAGGAGGCAGGGAGACCAGTGAGGAGGTGACTGCAATAATCTAGACAAGCGGTGATGGTAGCTTGATTCTCGTGGTCACAGGGGAGGAAATAAGAAGTGGTTACATTCTGGGTATATTTTCAAGATAGAGTCAACAGGATTTGCTGATGGATTGGATGGGGATATGAAAGAAAGGATTGGTAATGACTCCAAAGTTTTTGGTCTGAACATCAGGATGAATGGAATTGCCATTAACTGAGATGGGAAGTCAGTCTGTAGGCAGGCAGTAAAGGGCACTTTAATCACTGTCCCAGAGAGACTTCACAACTGGTGACAAACATCTCTCTTTCCCCAGCTGTTTTCCCCAGCTGTTTCCTGTCTTTTGTGAACCCCAGAAAGATACAACCAACAAACAGTTTTTTCCAAGACCTTCCTGAAGCTGAGGCTTCAGAAGCTAGGCCACATGTAGGTATCCCACTCAACTGTCCCAGTAGAGCCCAGGCTTCCAGCCATCTCCACCAAGGTGCCAGGCATGCGTGACACCATGTTGGATTCTCACAGCCAATCCATCCGCCAGCTGTGCAACCTCAGCTGACACCACAAGGATCACATAAATGATCCAGCCAAGTCCTGCTTAAGTCCAGCTTCTGGTGGTGGCTGCTGGAGTCTAGCTCTACAGCCTGTGGGAGAGGTATTTGTTTTCATAATTAATTATCTTGGGACCAGCCTGACCCAGACAAAAGCATGAGAGAGACATTGCTTCTCCTTAGCATTCTGCAGACTTTTCATCCAGGTTCTGTCTCGCCCATCAAAAGGAACATGTGTCAGTCAAAGCAGCGGAGATTGCCTGCTCAAAAAGATCCAGGCTATAGCCCTAACTATCAGCTGGCCAGTGCTAGGCAAGTTATTTAATTTCTTCTCCCCTGGTTTCCTAATCTGGAAATAACAATGATTGTCATAAAGATTACAGGAAATGAAGGCGTGTGTTCCATTACACTTGCTGCATGACAAACTACCCCAACAGGTAATGACTTAAGACAACCACCATTTTATTAAATCTCATAGATCCTGTGGGTCAGGAATTTGAGCAGGACTTGGCTGGATCATTTATGTGATCCTTGTGGTGTCAGCTGAGGTTGCACAGCTGGTGGATGGATTGGCTGCGAGAATCCAAGATGGTGTCATGCATGCTTGGCACCTTGGTGGAGTTGGCTGGAAGCCTGGGCTCTACTGGGACAGTTGAGTGGGGTACCTACATGTGGCCTATCTGGAATGACAATCTTAGTTGACTTTTTTTTTTTTTTGAGATGGAGTTTCACTCTTGTTGCCCAGGCTGGAGTGTAATGGCGCACTCTCGGCTCACTGCAACCTCTGCCTCCTGGGTTCAAGCGATTCTCCTGCCTCAGCCTCCCAAGTAGCTAGGATTACAGGCATGCGCCACCATGCCCAGCTAATTTTGCGTTTTTAGTAGAGACAGGGTTTCTCCATGTTGGTCAGGCTGGTCTCGAACTCCCAACCTCAGGTGATCCACCCACCTCTGGCTCCCAAAGTGCTGGGAATATAGGCGTGAGCCACTGCACCCAGCCCTTAGTTGACTTCTTACATGGCAGCTGGGTTATCCTAGAGCAAGCATCCCAAGAGAACCATGTAGAAGCTGTACGGCCTTTTCTGACCTAGCCTGGGGAGTCAGATGGCATAATTTTCTTCACATCCTTTTAGTTGCAAGTGAGTTGTAAAGCCAGCCCAGACTAAAGAGTATGGGAATTAGACCCCAGCTCTCATTAGAAGAGTGACAATATCAGATTGTACAAGAGCATATGGGACGGGAGATAATGTTGTCGTGTCTTTAGAAGTGTTAAATGAAATGAGGAAAATAAAGCACCTGGCATAGCCGCAGGCTCATAGTATGTCTTTCAGTGGTGGCATTTCCTCTCCCTTGACCTTTTTGTCCTTGTCACTTAAGCCCCTTCTGCTTCCCAGCAGGGTTTTGCCTTAAGTCTTGCCCTATGGAGGAGAGACAGGTAATTGTTCATACTCATCTTATGCTATTTGCGTACTGCCAAAAGCAGTGATTCCTTCCAAACCCACAGGAATCAAACTTTAATTGTTAGAAGAGATGTTTTTGAAAAGTGGTTTAACTGGAGCCTCTGAATCACAGCCCAAGCTACTTGCTATAGTCAAGACCAGTGTTTACAGGAGAGAGCCCTAGACTTGGGTTCAGGAGGTCAGAATTACTAGCTATTTGGCTTTAGGCAAGTTACTTAAGTTTCAGAGCTGCTTTAGTTTCCTTAACTGTACAACAGGGATAGAAATACCAGCATAAGTTTCACAAATCAAGCAATTGATTTGTGAAGTGTAAAAGACTATACAAATCTCAGGTGCTGGATTATATTTTTTAGGTCATTCCCAATGAAATGGTGGCTAAACTGAGGCATTGACTAGGGTCAAATTTGTGTTTCACTCTGATGGTTTTTAAACATGGCTGCAAATTCTTTGACCCTCCCCCCATCAAGATGTGAAGTCTATGTCCTGTCATGTATATTGTACCCTTGAATGTGGGCGGGCGGAAGTGATACTATGTGACTTCAGCTAGATCATAAACGGAGATGCTGTTTTTACCTTATTCACTGGAATAGTTACTCCTGAAGCCCTGAGCTACCACATAGGAAGTCTAACTACTCTGAGGGCCTCCATGCTGTGAGGAAGCCCAAGCTACATGAAGAGGTCATATGCAGACACTCTGGTTGGCTGTCCTAGTGAAGCCCAGATGGTCAAGTCATCTCAGCCCGAGTGCCAAACATATGAATAAGAATGCCTTCAGATTATTCTAGCCACCAGCTACCCAAGTCTTCCCAGCTGATAGCAAGACATTATAGAGCAAAGACCAGCCAGTTCTCTGGAGCCCTTGTCTGAATTCCTGACCATTAGAATCCCTGAGCACAAAAAAATGGTGGTTGTTTTACACGAGCAAGTTTTGGAGTGGTTTACTACACAGCAGCAGATAACCAGAACAGCCACTATTAGCATTTTTTGCCTTGTGCATGCTACTTACACATTCAGATCCCCTGTCTGAAAAATGGGGATGTAATAATAGTACTCACTGTCTAACTGGGTTTTTGTGAGCATTGGATAAGTTAAGAGACTTGTGTCTGGCATAGTAAATGCCCAAGGAATACTTTTACTGTTGTTCTTACTGACATTCAGTTACTTAAGGCTATGATCTTGTAGAGCTGTTTGAGAATGAACACTGTCAGTTTTCAGGTGGGATCATTTTAAGCAGCTTCACATCTAACATTAATGCCTCTCCTGGAGGCCCTGCTCCTCACCTGTCACAGGTGTGTTACATCTGCTGGCTTGGGGACTCAGTGATGGTGCCCTTGGGAAGTTTAGGCTTCAGGGGAGGGGCTTGTGGCAGATGTGCAATCTACTCCTTTTCCCTCTCCCTACTGAAAGCCCAGCTGGCTCACTTTAACTATCAGTAGAGAAAGCAATTTTCCAAATTTCCTTTCTCCCTAATTCTCACAACGTCCTAGTTATTAAGATGTCTGTATCAGTCAAGGACCCTCCCAGAAACGGATGGTACCCTCATATTGGGTGATCTGGGAAGGGTTTAATAAAAGAACTATTTGGGAAGTTATGGAAAGGGTGGAAAACCACATGGGGCGGGAGGTGTGCAGTGGCCCAGAGATTTTGCTCCTAGGTCTGGAGGGGAGAGGACACAGAGAGGCTGTGTGGTGGCACTACTAATAGATACTGTCTTACAAAAGGTGAAGCAGCCTCACTTGCAAGGAGGAAGTTGGAAGAATAAACTCCCCGACCTCCAATTTCCTGCTGAGGCCCCCACTGGCCAAAGAGGGCTGTCTGGTACCCAGAGCAGGATGGGAAAGCATAGAGAGGAGATCTGCAGGAGCAAAGGGAGCTCAGCCAGCCCAAAGTCATCATCCTGATTTAATTTACAGAGGAAAAACCGTGAAGGTTCAAACAGGTTAAGTACCTTTCCCAAGGATATAAGGAAATGGATGCCACTTCCTGGAGGGATGGCCCAGTCATTTTCCTTATGAGTAGGTATTTGAATCCAAGTTCCCTGATATTATTGCAAGATGTGGGTGGTGGTGGTGGTGGTGGAGGAAGTGGAATATGACCAAAATACATTTGAATTGGAATCTTTTAAAATTATTTATATCAAGTGGCTTCATTGGGAGAAAGATTCTCTCACTAAGCTGGGCTAATGGCCGCAGGCTGTGAGGAGAGCGAGTGATTAAGGTAACTCCTTCTGAACCCTAGGAATCATCATCTTGAATGGAAAGACATCTAATGTTTTTTTCCTTTTTTCCACTGGGTTTTCAATGTGACTTCAACTCAGTTCTTCCTTTTCTCTTACATTTCAGCGAAGTCTGGGTTCTAATGAAGACTGAGCTGAGAAGTATTTGCTTCCCATGCTAGTAAGCAGGCAATATTTGTGTTATCTAAGAAGTGTATACCAGCCGGGCGCGGTGGCTCATGCCTGTAATCCCAGCACTTTGGGAGGCAGAGGAGGGTGAATCACTTGGGGCCAGGAGTTCAAGACCAGCCAGGGCAACATGGCAAAACCCCGTTTCTTCTAAAAACATATTTAGCTGGGTGTGGTGGCGTGTGCCTGTAATCCCAGCTACTTGGGTGGCTGAGGCATGAGAATCAGTTGAACCCTGGAGGCGGAGGTTGGTGAGCTGAGATTGCACCACTGCACTCCATCCTGGGTGACAGAGCAAGACTGTCAAAAAAAAAAAAAAAAAAAAGCTGTGTAACATAGGCTAATGCAAGAGAGATTTGGGCTGATTTCAGGCATGAACAAAGTTGACTTTTCACTGAATCTCTCTGAGCCTTATCTAGGAGGCTGGAGTGTGGCCAGAAGGACAGATTCTGAAGCCAGACTACCTGGCTTTGAATACCAGCTCTGCCATTTCTAGCTATGTGACCATCAGCAGTGGACTTAACCTCTCTGTGCCTTGGATTCCTTATCAGGAAACCAGGAATTGTAATAAGAGCGCCTGCCTTCTAGTGCTCTTGTCAGAATTACACTGCTAAATATTGTAAAGCACCAAGAGCAGCCAATGCTTGCCGCCAAGTAGCAATAACTATTAGCAATTTTGATCTCATAGTATGGTTGTGAGTACCCAATGAGTTTATAACCTGTAAAGTACTCAGCATAGTTCTTGAGACATAGAAATGTTAGGATTTGTTTTTACTTGTCATTCATTTATGCAACAAGTATTTATTGAACACATAGTAAGAAGCAGACTTACTGTGAAACTAATTTTGCTTAATCTATAAGCCCCTCAATTGCACAGCCCCTTCCAAAGGCCCTAGAAGGACCCCTAAGAATGTCTTTATATTTTTTTGCCTAATTATATATTCTCTTTCTTAAAGGATACTCTCAAAACTGCAAAACTTTCTGACCCTATAAAACCTGGGTCTGCCTTCTTAAAGTTTATTATTAGGAGTAGTAATTATTATTTGGGTGAAAATCATAATTATTTGTTGGAAAATTAGGTGTTGTTATAGGTGACTTACGAGGTCTTATTTTATTACCCTGAATCTTTATGCATTTAAATATCCCAAAGAAAGCCAGCCGTGGTAGACTCAGAGGCCAGCGGCAGAGCCCTGTGTATTCAAACGGGGATGACAGCATTTCCTCCTTTTTCACCTCCTGCTTCCCCTTTGACACATTGTCATCATGGTTGTCCCATCTTGTTAAGCCTGAAAGCTTATATGAAACAAAATGGTTTGCATCAGCTGCTCCCTCTGATGCATTATCTCAAGGCTATGGACTGGGCTAGGATACTTTTGGTAGGGAGGAGGCTTAGAGAGCGTGGAACCCCAGACCTTCGATTCACAGATACAAGAAAAACCTGGATAGATGAGTGCTCAAAGTTAGGACCTAAGCCCAGCAACTCCTTTCCCTACAGACAAGCAATGATCCATATTTGTCCAAATACCACGTAATGGGTGTCCAGATGTTTTTTCACAATGTACCGACTGTTCAGGTATCTGCTGCACACACGCAAATGTCATTTCCAGCCAGCCCCGGTGGAATGGGCTGTTTGGATGGCAAATAAGACTTTGCTCCCTCTGAAAGCCTCTGTACACAGAATGTGTGCAGCCCATCTGACCCTAGGCAGCTGACTCGGGAAAACAAACAAATTTGTCAACAGGGACAGACATTAAAGACACACACAGAAAATTTATTTTACATGGTTATAAGTCCCTCTAGAAAAACCTGTGCTTTTGTGGACTAGAAATACTTACGTGAGTAAGCTAAAAATAATTAGACATTTTAAACCATAGCAAGGTATCATTTCATATATATCTAGTGCTATTTATTGCCATTCTGGGGGAAAAAAGTATAAAATAGAATTGCCCATCATATAGGTCATTGTGGGGAATTACATGCAAAATTAATTTATTCCTTACGCCAGACAAGCACATATATTATCTGCAGTGGCTCGGATTGAAGTTTTAAACAGTGCTGGGAATGGCAATGGGTAAAAAAGGAAAGCTTCGGATGGGAGCTTTCAAATAAATACTCCGTTAGAACCGGTTTATTAACTTTTGATATTAAATGAATATATCTATGACAGACTTGTTCTGGGAATAAATTATCTTTAACCTTCTCTGTGTACCCAAATTTCCATACAACTTTCAAAAATTACACTGGGCAACCTTGCTTTTAATAGTGCCTTTTATACATGGCCATTTGAATAAAGGCTCTTCACAAGTTAAATAATTTAATTGCACATTATTTTTAAAAGCCTAGCTTTAAAAGTACTAGGGGATTGAAATGGATGGTGATTTTTATTTCAGTTGTTTTTTCATCCAGCTCCTTCCTTTTTGTTCCTATAACGTATTATATAAACTTTCATTAGAGCCAGTGACAATCTGAGTGTACATGTTTTTTCCAGCTGTCATATCCATAGTTTCTCCTCTGACTCTTAAAACTGTCCCACCTTGGGGACAGTTGCCTGGTTGTTCTAATTATAGCACAGGTCACACTGAGTTGTGGCATCTCCCTACTGAGATTGTTGGTTCCCTGAGGAAGGGAGCCCTTTATTTTCTTTTTATCTTTGTGTCCTCAGTGCCAAGAACAGAATCCGAGACATGGTAGGTACCCTGGAAATGTTTAATGAGGGACTAACAGCCAGTCATCAAAAGATTGATATTTCCCACTGAGATTTTTTGATTAAGCCCAGTCTTAATTATTTCATTCTAGTTACTGTATTGTGCTTGAGCCTACTCGCTAATCACAATTGGCCACTAGTAATGACTGAAGAAGAAAAAATGAATTGACTTGAAATCCCTTTGATTGAATGATAGAGTTATAAGAAGACACGAGGCAGAGGAAAACAAAGGAGGAGGTAAGTATCACCCAAGGCCTGGGAGTGTTCCACAAACAGCAATGATTTCAAAATTTTCTTATGGAACAGGATCTGCTACTCCAAAACCAAAGTTCGGAAAATGAAATCTCCCTTGCAGTCAACAAGTATTAAGATCTTTCAGTATTTATAGTGATATCACATGCTAAAAAGAAAACTATTTATAGTGCCTGACTTGCGTGTGGCTGTAGAATAATATGTTTTAATCTTGAAAACATAAAAATGATAGTTTATAGAATTATAATAACTAATCCTTTCTGAAAAGGTCTAGAATCCTTAGGGAAATGCATGTTAAGATTCAGTTTTAATATCATGTAGTTCACTTTTATTTAGTAGAGTAGAAGAAATAGTAGTTTTGATTCATAAATTTATTCCTCTGCTGAAATTATTCCCAAAACATAAATATCAGAACCAATGAAAAGGGAATAAGATTTCCCTCTGATAACAAAGGATATTTAGGAAAACTGTCACTGGATAATTTGAGTCTTACAGCTGTTTAAGGAAATGTCTACCGTGAGCACTTTTTACCACCAAATTGTGAAAGCAGTAAGAACTCATTGTCTAACAATAAAGAAATCCAAGAAATGAAAATTGCTTCTTTTCTGTTCTTCTCTCCAGAAGTAACAATAATTTTATTTATTTATTTATTTATTTATTTATTTATTTATTTATTTATTGAGATGGAGTCTTGCTCACTCGCCAGGCTGGAGTGCAGTGATGTGATCTCAGCTTACCAAAAACTCCACCTCCCGGATTCAAGTGATTATCCTGTCTCAGCCTCCCGAGTAGCTGGGATTACAGGCACCTGCCACCACGCCCAGCTAATTTTTGTATTTTTGGTAGAGACGGGGTTTCACCATGTTGGCCAGGCTGGTCTTGAACTCGTGACCTCAGGTGATCCACCCACCTCGGCCTCCCAAAGTGCTGGGATTACAGGCGTGAGCCACTGTGCCCAGGCAATAATTTTATGTTTTAATTTAAGCAAGATTAAAAAAGGTTTTTGGCCAGGCGTGGTGGCTCATGCCTGTATTCCCACCACTTTGGGAGGCCAAGGAGGCTTGAGGCCAGGAGTTTGAGACCAGCCTGGGCAACATAGTGAAATCCCATTTCTACAAAAAATAAAAAATTAGCTGGGCATGGCAATGTGTGCCTGTAATCCTAGCTACTTGGGAGGCTGAGGTAGGAGCATCACCTGAGCCCAGGAGACTACAGTGAGCCATGATTGGACCACTGCACTCCAGCTTGGGTGACGAAGTGAGACACTGTCTAAAAAAAAACAAAACAAAACAAGAAAAAAACCCAAAACAATCCAGGCATGGTGGCTTATGCCTGTAATCCCAGCACTTTGGGAGGCGAAGATAGGCGGATGGCTTGAGCCTAGGAGTTCGAGGGCAGCCCTGGGCAATATGGCGAAACTCTATCTCTATCAAAAATAAAAATAAAATAAGCTGGATGTGGTGGCATGTACCTGTAATCCCAACTACTTGGGAGGCTGAGGTGGGAGGATCGCTTGAGCCTGGAAGGTCGAGGCTGCAGTGACTCTAGCTGGGGTGATAGAGAGAGACCCTGTCTCAAAAAAAAAATTTTTTTTAAGTTAGTATGCTTTGTACACACACACACACAGACACACACACACACACACACACACAAACACATGCATACATCAATGCAAAGATACTTTTTCTGGAGGTCAGTGTCACTTTACTTGTTAATGGAGTATAAATCAGTTACCAGTTATAATCCTAAAATCCAATGATCCAAAAGAGCCTTTCTTTATTTTTAATTTTAAAGAAAAGAAATTGCAAACACAGTACAAAGAGGTGCTTGGAACCCTGAAGCCAGCTTCCCCCGATGGTTACATCTGGTATAACCATAGTATACTATCCAAGCCAGGAAAGTTTTTTTTTTTTTTTCTCACTTCTTTTTGAAACATCAAGTCATCATTTTGGGAAAATCCTGCTGTAAATATGACAAGAGACACTTTGAATTCTTTATACCCACATAAAATTTTTCTACAAGGTTTCTATATAGTAGAAGGACCTATTAACAACTTTAATTAGTGAAAGTAACAAGATATCAGGTCACAGGCCTGGGTAGATGTCAACAACATAACATGTAATGGGCTTTGACGGACAATATTGTTTTAAATTCTACACCTTCCTAGTTTGAATAAACTGAATTTAGAGTAAAAAATGGTATTGATGGCCCAAACACATTTATACTTAGTGGTAATGAGACTGAAAATAAATTTTTCTTAAAGTACTAGGTACTTCATAGTACATCATATATACTTTGGAGCATTGCTCCAAACAGCAATCAGCAGCATCTGTAACAATCATAAGAACGATGGCATCAGTATATTTTAGTTGGAACTTAAAAACTTGCCTTCAAGGCCTCACCCACATTAGTTCCTCAAAAGCTGTGTGTTTTATTTTGGCACCTTCATTTGATACCTCATTCCCTTCACTCTTGAGGTTGCATTTAGCAAAATCAAAGAATGCAAATAACACAGTAATAAGAGTATTCCCAAAATGCAGTTTCATCATTATTAAGCAGGTGGTTTGGGGCTTGGCAAACATAATGACAGTGTATTTCATAAGCTAGAACTATGAAGCAGAGCACAATAGCAAGTCAAAAGAATCTGTAAGATAAAAAAATAATTTATTTAATTAAGAAATACTTACTGAAGGTCACCCGGTGGGCAGCACAGTCCTGGGCACTGGGTATACAATGCTAGATTAGACTTTTTCCCCCAACAGTTTGACATCTCAAAAGTAGAGAGGTAGCTAATGGTGTCTTAAAAACACTATTGGGCCAGGCGTGGTGGCTTACACCTGTAATCCCAGCACTTTGGGAGGCCGAGGCGGGTGGATCCCAAGGTCAGGAGTTTGAGACCAGCCTGGCCAAAATGGTGAAATCCCGTCTCTACTAAAAATACAAAAATGTAACTGGGCATGGTGGCACACGCCTATAATCCCAACTACTCCGGAGGCTGAGGCAGGAGAATCACTTGAACCTGGGAGGCAGAAGTTGCAATGAGCCGAGACCACACCACTGCACTCCAGCCTGGGGCACAGAGTGAGACTCCATCTCAAAAAAAAAAAAAAAAAAAAAATTTAAAGCACTGTCGTCCAGATAGTAGTTGTCACTGCCTACACGTTTGTGAATTTAGTTATAATTCCTTTAATGTTTTGGTCAGACTTAGTCCATTTTGTATGCTATAACAGAATACATAAGACTGGGTAATTTATAATGAACAGAAGTTTAGGCCCAGCATGGTGGCCCATCCCTGTAATCTCAGCACTTTGGGAGGCCAAGGCAGGTGGATCACTTGAGGTTAGGAAATCGAGACCAGCCTGGACAACATGGCAAAACCCCGTCTCTACTAAAAATATAAAAATTAGCTCAGCGTGGTGGCGGGCACCTGTAATCCCAGCTACTCAGGAAGCTGAGGCAGGAGAATCACTTCAACCTGGGAGGAGGAGGCTGCAGTGAGCTGAGATCATGCCCCTACACTCCAGCCTGGGCAACAGAGGGAGACTCCATTTCAAAAACTAAATAAAATGAAAAATAAAAAGTTTATCATTTCTTGGTTCTGGAAGCTGGGAAGTTCAAAATCAAGGGGCCAGCATCTAGCGAGGGCCTTCTTGCTGCATCATCTCATGGTGGAAGGGCAAATAGAAGGTGAGAAGGAGAGAGTGGATAGAACTCATAGCCTCAAGCCCTTTTAGAATTGGCTTTAATCCATTCTTGAGAGCAGAGTCCTCATGACCTAAGCACTTCACATTAGGCCTCACCTCCCAATACTGTTGCATTGGGGATTACGTTTTCAACACATATTTTTTGGGAAGACACACTCAAATTATATCAGTCAACAAATCATTTAAAAAGCATTTAAAGAAGGAATGTGAGTCCTGGTTATTGTCTAAAACCCATCTATTGACCCAGAAAAATCATTAAGACTCACAAAATGGGTGTCAAAGCATTGGGAAAAACCTGGAAACAAGAATGGAGCACTTTTTTAAGAGATCCTGAATATATATGATACTTGTGATGTCTTAGAGGACAATATGATTCATATACAATCTATACATTATATATGTATTAATAAACATATTTTCCTTTTACATATACACAAGAGGAAGATATGATAAAAATTTGTGTAAATAAGTCTACTAAAAAGGCCAAAGTAATCCAATAGGAAAATAAAAATCTTTCAATGGATGGTGCCAGAACAATGGATACCAATGAGAAAAAATAATTTGCTCTCTACCTCATACCGTATCCAAAATTAATTTGAAACCTTAAGGTGGTGGATAATAGGGTATAAAATTTCAACTTTTTTGTATGATTGAAAATTTTCAAAATAAGATGGTGAAAAAAATTTTTAAAAAGAAGTCCAGGCTGGGCACGGTGGCTCATGCCTGTAATCCCAGCACTTGGGGTGGCCAAGGCGGGTGGATCACGAGGTCAGGAGTTCAAGACCAGCCTGGCCAAGATGGTGAAACCCCATCTCTCCTAAAAATATGAAAATTAGCTGGGCTCGGTGATGGGCACCTGTAATCCCAGCTACTCAGGAGGATGAGGCAGGAGAATCGCTTGAACCCGGGAGGCAGAGGTTGCAGTGAGCTAAGATCACGTCGTTGCACTCCAGCCTGGGCGATAGAATGAGACTCCATCTCAAAATAAATAAATCAAAATAAAAAATAAAAATAAGTTCAAAAGAGCTCTTTCAAGAAGTACAAAACAAAAATTTTTAGTGATAAGGAGTCATTGTCTCATAGTTTAATTGACAGGGTTTCTCTCTATTAATTGTACACAAAATAATGATATATCTTACAGTTGATGAAATTTTAGATTTGAAGAAATATAATCGTTCATAGGGTGGAAGAGAATACAATCTTCCCTGACCTTTAGGAGCTTACAGTAGAGAAAGGAACATGAACCTCAGAATGGGTGGCATTGAGTGCTGTAATGGGACCGTAGGAGCGCACCTACAAAGCAGCTCTTATATTTTAGAGCTTTATAGCTTGCATTGGGCTTCCACGTTTATATTTATGGCATCTTCTTAACCATCCTGTAGTAGGCCACATGATTAGCCCAATATACACTGGTTTAATGAACCCATAAAAAGAATGGGGCCCAAAGAAGTTAAATAACTTAACTAGAATCATTTGGCTAGTAAAGGCTCAGTCTCAGACAAGGTTCTTCCAATAATTCTTCCTCCTAAGCCACATTTGTTTTAGGTTGGGTTCCCTAGAAGCAGAGCCTGAGATGGGGATGCCTTTGTGCAAGTGATTTATTGAGGTTGTGATCTCAGGAAATACCTGTAAGGGACTAACGGATGTAGGATAGGGCCAGGGATTGAAGCTAAGTGGAGATGTAGGTTCAGCCCAAGTCCAGCCTCAGTCCGATCTCATGGGCAACCCTGGAGAGGAAGTTTTCCCACTTTGGGGTAAGAGGCTGGGATTACATACCCCTCTATCAGTCTGTCAATGGCGTTGGGTGCCACACCTTCTCATGTTGGGAATATGCATCTCTGAACAAGGTGGTTCTGAGTGCAGTTATCTGTAGAAGGTGGGGAGCTGTGACCCATTAGCAGCCAAAAGTCAGCAGCAGCTAGGGAATGGTTCTGCCAGCCAGGTAAGGCGATCTTGGTGGGGCAGCAACCACATCTACTACACCACCGCCGCTCTCAGTGAGAATTCTATCAGAGACATAGCCTCACATATTATCTTAGGGGAGGGTCATTGTCCTCGCTAATGACTTCCCTGTGAGATATTGTGAACAGGTAGCATTTAGCCATTAGGCCTGCTCTGAGAGTTAGACAATATTTACTGCAAAATAGATATTCCCGTGACATTATGTTCTGCTGGTCTAGAGGTCTTAGTTCCAGAGGGAGGAATGCTGCTATCAAGAGACACAACGATTCCATTAAACTGGAAGTTAAGATTGTCACCTGGTCACTTTGGGCTCCTCCTACTTTTAAGTCAACAGGCTAAGAAGGGAGTTACAGTGTTGGCTGGGGTGATTGACCTGGACTACCAAGATAAAATCAGTCTACTACTCCACAATGGAGGTAAGGAAGAGTATGCGTGGAATACAAGAGATCCATCAGGGTGTCTCTTAGTATTACCATGTCCTGTGATTAAGGTCAATGGGAAACTACAATAGCCCAATCCAGACAGGACTACAAATGGCCCAGAACCTACAGGAATGAAGGTTTGGGTCATTCCACCAGGTTAAAAAAAAAACATGACCTGCTGAGGTGCTTGCTGAAGACAAAGGGAATACAGAATGGGTAGTAGAAGAAGTTAGTCATCAGTATCAGCTACGACCATGTGACCAGTTGCAGAAACAAGGAGCGTAATTGTGAATACTTCCCCTTATTTTGTTAAGAATATGTTTGTGCATGTATACACTTGTACGAAGAAAATATCTTCATTTTAAATTTCCTTTCTTTTTCCTTTATCGTGTGACATAAGATTTTTTGACTTTATATCAGCATTTAAGTGTTGTTAACTTTATATAAAAACATTTAGGTTAAGGATTAGTGAGCTTCTGGTTGTACAAAGGATAGCTGTATTATGTTAGGTGTAATTATGACCTTATTATTGTCTTTATTTGGAAATTATGTATGATTTCAGGAAATGTGTATGGCTTCAAGTTGACAAGGGGTGGACTTGTGATCGTTAATATTGTCAACTTGATTGGATTGAAGGATGCAAAGTATTGTTCCTGGGTGTGTCTGCGAGGGTGTTGCCAAAGGAGATTAACATGTAAGTCAGTGGACTGAGAGAGGCAGACCCACCCTCAGTCTGGGTGGGCACCATTCTCAACAGCCGCCAGCCTAAAAGCAGGAATGGAAAGGGCAGACTTGCTGAGTCTTCCAGCTTCCAACTTTCTCCTGTGCTGGATACTTCCTACCCTCGAACATCTGACTCCAAGTTCTTCAGCTTTCGGACTCTTGGACTTACACCAGTAGTTTGCCAGGGGCTCTTGGGCCTTTGGCCACAGACTGAAAGCTGCATTGTCAGCTTCCCTACTTCTGAGGTTTTGGGACTCGACTGGCTTTCTTGCTCCTCAGCTTGCAGACAGCCTATTGTGGGACTTCACTTTGTGATCCTGTGAGTCAATTCTCCTAATAAACTCCCCTTCATATATACATCTATCCTATTAGTCTGGTCCCTCTAGAGAACCCTGACTAATACAATAGAGTTAAAGACAAACTCCTTGTACTGCTTTATCTCAGCTTACTGTAGAGGTCATAAACCAGGGTCAACAGGCAGGATTTGGCTCGCAGATGCATTTCATCTGGACAGTACAGTGTTTAGATGTTTTAAAAAGTTGGTTGCCAACATTTAAAAATTTGGAGATTCCAAATTGTGGGCTCTCTTGCTTTCACTGATAACTTGAAAGGGCTGAGCGGCTGTGCCAACATTCCAACATGGCAACAATTTGAGTCTCAATGTAAAGCAAGCTGAGCGGTGGCCTCCCATTGCAGACAGGCGTTCTCCCACCTGGTGGGGTCCACCTCTCACTTTCACTGTGTCTGCCCTGAGGGTATTGCAATTAGTGACCCCAGGTATAACCTCCTTGCAAACCCTTTGCATGTATTTTTAAGAAAATTTTATGAAAAGTGTATATACTTGGCCCAGTTCTTCATCTACACAGTATAATTAACTTATTAAACTTGAAGTATAATATACATATAAAAAGTGCCTATTTCACAGTGTACACCTTGATGAGTGTTCACAAATTAAACATATCTGTGTGATAATACCCAAGTCAAGAACCAAAACATTTCTAGCACCACAGAAGCCCCCTTCTGTCCCCTTCTGGTTACCCCTGCCCCTGGGTCACCACTGTCCCGATCTCTATCAACATAGATCAATTTTGTCTGTTTTTGTAGCTTCTAAAAATAGAATTGCCTATCTAGTATAACTTCAGAAATATTTTCGATAGAATATGTTTGACTCCAGTTTGTAATAAAGCGATACACTTTACTGTCCTGCCATACACTTTGCAGAGCCTTCTGCCTCAGCCATAGAATAACTGCATTTCCAGGTGAGCTGGGCACAGTTTAATTCCATTGAGGTTTTCGGTACACTCCTGGGAAGAACTTGGTCAAGAAGACATTGTACACGAAAAGGACCTCTGAGTGTTGGCACCTCAGGAAGTGAGTTGTGCTCTACCAGGGAAGATAATAAGATTTTACCTACAACAATAGCCTTTGTTTTCAGTCTACGTGTAATTAACAAATCCCCTGCTCAATGCCAAACTCTGGGGATATATACAAGAGAAACTTCCCCTTAAGATCTCATAGTCTGGCCTGTAGCTGCTATTTCTAGTTCAGGATGATAAGTGAGTGCATGACTCTGGAGTCAGACTGCCTAGGTTTAAAATCATGTCACCGCCAATCAGCTGTGTGACTTTGGCTCAGTTCCTTAAGCTCTCTGTGCTTCAATTTCCTCACCAGTAAAGATTATTAATAGTACCTGCTTCGTGGGTCTATTTTGTGGCTTAAATGAAATCGTTTGACCGGGTGTGGTGGCTGACACTTGTAATCCAGCACTTTGGGGGGCAATGTGGGAGGATTATTTGAGGCTAGAAGTTCAAGACCAGCCTTAGCAATACAGTGAGACCCTCACCCCACCCCCAGCCCCTTGTCTCTACAAAATAATAATAATAATAAAAAGCCAGGCATGGGGACACATGCCTATAAACCTGTACTCCTAGCTACTTGGGAGATTGAGGCAGGAGGATTGCTTGAGCCTAGGAGTTCGAGGTTGCAATGAGCTGTGATTGTGCCACTGCACTCCAGCCTGGACAAACAGAGTGACAGCCTGTCTCTAAAGATAAAAAATTTAAAACATTTAAAAAATAAATATGAAAGAAAAATGTCAAAAAAAGACCAAAAAAAAAAAAAAGGAAGTCATCTAAGTAAAGCACTTAACACAGTATCCAGAACATGCGGACAGCTCAGTAAATGTCATCATTGTTATTGTAAAGGAACACAGAAACATATGAGGCATACTGAGGAGGGACTCTAACCCAGGCTGGATGGAGTCAGGGGCTGGGGGAGATAGGAAGTGGAGAGGAATGGAAGGAGGTAGAGGAATAATCAGAAAAGCCTCCAATTAGGTGATCCCTTGCTTGAGTTTAAAGGTGCCCTTCAGGAGTTAGCCAAATATTATACAAGTTAACCAAGGGGAGAAAGGACCGGAATGTGGCAGAGAGAGGAAGGGTGTTTAGGAAGGAGGAACAGCCTGTGCAAAAGAAAAAAGGCACGAGTGAGAATTACATGTTCTGGGCATTACACCCCAAAGTGTTTTCCTGAAGAAACCAAGAAGTGGCAGGAAATGAGTTTAGCAAAGTGCATAAGGGTCAGATTATGCAGACTGTTAGGAAAAATTAGAAATAAAACCAAGTGATGATGACTGCATATGACTGCAGTATCATACTGAATTTCTGAGTAAAGGGCCCACCCAAGGGCTATTTATTTCTCTAGGCAAATGTACCATTGTGAGATTTTGCTACTTTTTTTTTTTTTTGAGACAGAGTCCTGTTCTGTCGCCCAGGTTGGAGGGCAGTGGGCTCACTGCAACCTCTGCCTCCTGGGTTCAAGCAATTCTCTTGCCTCAGCCTCCCACATAGCTGGGATTACAGGTGTGTTTCACCACACTCTGGTAATTTTTTTGTATTTTTAGTAGAGACGGGGTTTTGCCATGTTGGCCAGGCTGGTCTCGAACTCCTGACCTCAGGCTATCTGCCTGCCTCAGCCTCCCAAAGTGCTGGGATTATAGGCGTGAGCCACCATGCTCAGCCTTTTCTGTTTTTTGAGACAGAGTCTTGCTTTGTCACCCAGGCTGGAGTGCAGTGGGGTGATCTCGGCTCACTGCAACCTTTGCCTCCTGTGTTCAAGTGATTCTCGTGCCTCAGCCTCCTGAGTAGCTGGAATTACAGGCGTGTGCCACCACGCCTGGCTAATTTTTGTATTTTTAGTAGAGACAGGGGTTCGCCATGTTGACCAGGCTAGTCTCAAACTCCTGGCCTCAAGTGATCCACTCTCCTCGGCCTCCCAAAGTGCTGGGATTACAGGTGTAAGCCACAGTGCCAGCAGATTTTGATACTCACTATTAATTAAGGACTCAGACTTTGTGACGTTCCATGTAAATTAGTAGATTTGGGTCTACCAGAGATGTAAATAATTTCTGTCTGGTAGAAAAATAATCCCGAAGGTTACAATTTTATTGCCTTGCAGGATATTAGCCAGCTTTATGTCTAACCTAGCAAACTTATTCTAATCATTTTTTAAAGGACCATATAAATCCTAGTTCCCCAAGCAGTCCAGCTCTATTTTCTGATTGGTTCCCTCACTAATTAATGAATTCAATAAATTTTAACCTTTTTGTTCTGTATTTGTATGAAAGTCTAATTTTTTCAGTTTTCAAAATTATACTTTGATGAAGGCCATTGCATACCATGATAAGAGGTATGGAATTTATCCTTAAAAGAGGAGGAAAACTTTGAAATATTTATGCACAAGGATGACATGATTATATTGGCATTTGGAAAGGTCATTTTTTCAGCAGTGTCTAAAAGGAGTGAGATAGTCATTGACGTGAAATTTAATTCTGAAAACCAGTGGACATTTGGTGGCAACAGTAGCGATAAGAATTTCTGAATATCCTGGGAGCAGGTAGTAATTTCCATATGGAAATTTTATCATGTACAGAATCAAGAAAGAATGGTATTTACACTGCAGTTTAGGAGGATGTCTTGCATATTAATATCTATTAACAACCACTATGGTAATCAGAGGTCATAAATATTTTAAGTAGATAAAAGAAGTTGTGCTCTAGGGTTACCATCAGAAGCACATTATCAATGTACCCATGGATATGCAGTTAGAAAAATGAGTCATCACTTGCCTTCAGCTGGGAAGAAAGCCAGTTTATCTGCTGTGAAGCTATCTCTAATACCTTTTTCTCTTCTCCTGGTATTCTCTAAACCCAAGAGATGAAGTAGAATAAGGAAACATCTTGGGAAGCTCAAATTATCTGGCAACACTGCCTCTGGTCAGTGAAACCAGGGAAAGGAAGGAGACATACTATTCACATGCCTTTGTGTTTTACACCATTGGAATGAATGCACTGGTGTTCTGCATACTGCTGTACCCGTTGGGCCACCGTCTGTGGGGGCACCATTCATATGGTAGACATTGTAGATCTGGATAAATATGCCTATTTTTTGGTAGTTGTCAGTAAAGTGTCTTGGATCAGGATTGCGTTTTTGCACAAAGGCACCAAATGGGCTAGGAGTGGCCTCATGAATGACTAACTTTTTCACATGTATTTAAAAATGATAACAGGTCAGATTCCTAGGATTTGGGGGGGCTGACATTCTGAAGTGTTTTTCTCATATTACTCATTATTGTACCACTGTTTCTCCCTTAAAATGTACCTATTTCTCCAAAGTTCTGGAAGGTAAGCAGAAGGCACAAGTTCTTCACCCTAATGAGCATGATCTTTCTGTTTTGTGTTACTTTCATATTTAGAATCCTTCCTACAGATGACACTTGTCCGTGTATCTATCTGTCTATCTATCTATCTAGACAGAGTCTTGCTCTGTTGCCCAGGCTGGAGTGCAGTGGCACAATCTGGGCTCACTGCAACCTCCATCTCCTGGGTTTAAGCAATCCTCATACCTCAGCCTCCGAAGTAGCTGGGATTATAGTCATGTGCTATCATGCTGTACTAAAATTTTGTATTTGTAGTAGAGACGGGGTTTTGCCGTTTTGGCCAGGCTGGTCTCGAACTCCTGGCCTCAAGTGATCCACTCTCCTTGGCCTCCCAAAGTGCTGGGATTATAGGAGTGAGCCACCACGCCCAGCTACACTTGTCATTTTAAAAAGCTGCTTAGCATCTACTCTGCCATTAAGATATTACTTTGAATTTAAGACATTACTTTGAATTTCCTTTGGGAAATCACTCTTTCCTCATTCTCAGCCATGTGATTTAGACGGGATTGATTCTAAGGCTGAGCCCCGACTGGCCTAAGTCACCATCTTGGCCACTTGACTGGTTCAGCAAAGGGAATATATCCCAATCAGAACTAGTGAGACAGGAAGGTGTTTTCTGGGGTATTTTGCTGCCACACAGGCGAGAGCCTGATGCTGCTGGAGGGAGAGCAGCTGGTATAGTATGAGAAGAAATCTAAAAGCATAGAAAAAAAAGTCACCCATGGAGACATCATTTGAGTCTTGCATCACATTGATTCTGAAGCCAGCACTGCCTTTGGATATTGTGGTTATGTAAGCCAATGTAGTCCATTTCTTGTTCAAGCAATTTGAGGTTTTTTAGGGAGGTTGGTTTTGTTTTGTTTTGATTTTGGCCACATGAAACACACACACATCCTCAACTAATCTGTTCTATTTCTTATGTGATTTGGATTTAACCATTTTCAGACTAATGACTTAAAGGATGACTCCAGGCTACAGCAGATCATTTTAAAAGTAACTATTTGCTATTAAAAGCACTTAAGTTCAGGCGCGGTGGCTGATGCCTGTAATCCCAGCACTTTGGGAGGCCAAGGTGGGAGGATTGCTTGAGCCCAGGAATTCGAGAGCAGCCTGGGCAACATAGGGAGACCTCATCTCTCCAAAAAATTAAAAAATTAGCTGGGCGTGTTGGCATACACCTGTAGTTCCAGCTACTCAGGAGGCTGAGGTGTGGGAGGTCAAGGTTGCAGTGAGCCATGATTGTGCCACTGCGCTCTAGCCTGGGTAACAAATGAGATCCTGTGTCAAACAAAAAACAAAAAACAAACCAAAAGCAGGGGGTGTGGGGGAGGCACTTCAGCACTTAACACAAATTGCTGATGTGAAAGCCTCATATTATTTGAAATTTACAATTACTTTTTTTTTTGCTCTTAAGCAGAAATGATTACCCTGACTACTCTTTCTTGATGTTTTGCTTTGGATAAATGAACTGTAATATCATGCGTTTCCCAGTATGGGTCCCTTCAGGAGAAAGAACCACAGCATAGGTGAAGTAGAGGAGGCTTTATATAAAGAAGCTTTAACTATGCTAAAAGAGTAACAATAAGATACAAGAAAACGCTATATGGTACCCTAGGCTGAGGGAAAGTACTAAAGGAAGCACAAATTTGGAAGAGGTTCACATCTCACTGGAGAAGGTGTGGTTCAGCCCACCAGGCAGCAGAGTGGTTTCCAATTCTGCTGGGCCAAAGCTGGCCTACAGCTGCTGGAAAGCAAAAGGCCACCTTCCAGAGTGCAGCCTGGGAGCTGGGCTTGGGTGAGCGTGGGAGTCCGCATGGGGACAGGAACCCCTCAGGGCACATAGGCTGCACCGGAGCTTTGGTTTCCATGACAAGAGGGCCATGGAAAGGCTGTCACCAGGCTGAGGCTGTAATGTCCCAGAGGGACTGTGTCCTGGGCTGGGGCAGGCTCTACTGGATGTCCCGGGACCCATTTCCACTCGGGAAATGACAGGAGAGTCTCTTCCTCCTGCAGTTTCCTCCAGCGCCCTGTACAGAGAAGTTTAATAAACATCACACCCTACTTCAAGAAGAAATGCTTAAAAGAATTCTAGGCTGATCCCAGAGCATATACTGAAGGTTGCATTCGGAGCTGAGAAGCAATAAATTGTGTTTTTCCAAGAATACAGCTCTGTCCAATTCATTAGGGACTGTTTGGGGGGAAAGAATAACAGAAGTTGCCTAATCTTACATACTCAAATTCCGAGTTGGGTTAAGGGTTTCCTGAAGGGGTGAACTTAGTCCAGGCACGTGTCCTCTAGAGTGTTCTATGTACTAGTATGAAGCAGAAAAAAATGGAGATACGCTGTGCTGAGCAAAGTGATAAGACTGACTGTTGGACACTCCAGAGCTTTCATATGCTAATGTATAATAACTTCTCTCCAAATTACTCAGACTGATAACCCTTTTTCCTTCAGGGTTATGTACAAGTTGCCTATAGCAGATTTTTTTTTCTCAAAATTCCCACATCTTCCCACATTCTCTTCTTACAATGTGATATTGAAACTCTTCCCATTGAGAATTCAGATCTGTTTTTCTTCCTCTGAAATTTGCGTGAGCATACGACTATGTTGGAAGCGATACTACATGGCTTCCAAGGTTAGATTATAAAAGACAAAACAGCTTCTGCTTGGTTCTCTTGGGACAATTGTTCTTGGAACCTAGCCACCATGCTTTCAGGAAGCCTAAGCAGCCACGTGCAGGTTTTATGTCCAAAAGGCCCAGCTGCAGTCCCAGCCAACAGCCAGAATCAGTCACCATACATGTGAGTGAGTGAGTGTTCAGTTGATTCCAGCTCCCAGCCATTGAGTCACTCCCAGCTTCCAGGTCTTCCCAGTCAAGGCCTCCGACATTGTGCAGCCGAGGCCAGCCAGCCATACAAAGTCCTTCCCAATTCCTGGACAAGTAGGATCCATGAGCGTAATACAATGGTTGTCGTTTGAAGCTACGAAGTTTAGCCTGGTTTGTTACACAGTAATAATTACTGGAGCACACCCTGTAGGAAAGACTTTCTTGCAAATCCCAACTGCGTTACAGTTTTGTCCCATCCTTCAATCCTTCTTTTCACTAATATCAGGCTGTCCACTGGTTAGACCAGATATCCACTGCTCTACCAAAATGGTTGCCAGTGTGCTGCAACTCTGTGAGCAAATTCTTCTCCTCTGTGTGACCCATACTGACCCGGGCACTTTCCAGATTCTTTCTCCATAGTGTAAGATATGTTCTCCTTAGGTCTGGAGAGGAGAGGATGCTTGACTTATCCCAGGTTGTTTAACCTTAGGATTGTGTGTTGGTCACAAAGTGTAAAGAAGTGAGTCTGAGCGTAGCCAGTTCTGTTTCTTCCCTTTCAGAGTGACTGCCCACTGGGGTATTAGCCCTCCCCAGGATAACTCCTCCTGCTTCTTCCCACTCCTCCTCTTCCCTTTCCCCCTTTGTTTTCCTCTCTCCTTCCCCTTCCTCTTCTTCTCCTCCTATTCCTCTTCCTCACTCCCTCCTGCTTCTTAAGCAGTTACCAGAAGCCAGGCACAGCAACATAACGAGGTGTGAGCAGTGCTGTCATCCCCTGGTTGGTGCTGTTCGTATTCCTAATCCCTGTGGATCCCTTTACCATTTCTCTGCACACAGGCTTCCCAGCCAGCACCTGAGTCTCTGGTTTCTTTGTCCTAGAATGGTTCTTGGGCTGCCTAGTTGCAAATGCCTGGCAGTTTACACACCTCCTTCCCCCAGTAGCCCTTAACCCTTGTGGAACTAAACCAAAACTTTCCTCTATGGAATCTGGCTTGACATAGCACTTTAGCTTGGCCCTCTTCCCTTCCCTGTCTCCTGGGAATATTTCCTGATATGTCACTTTTGCATGAATCCTAGTCTCCGGGTCTCTTTCCGAGAAATTCAGCTTAAGATATTTCTATTTAATAATCAGGGAAACTGAGAAGTAAATTGCACAATCTCTGTAAAAAAATAAGTGATTGACATTGAGATTTTAACCTGGCTTCCTTTGGATCTCAAATCTACATACCTGCTCATTACTCAATACCGCTTCCCGAAATAAGGCAGCCAGTTAACACCTAGGTCTCTCCCCAGGACAGCTCTAGGCAAAGCACTGCTAGGAAGAGCCACCCATGCCAAGTCAGCTGCCTGTTTATCCACCACCCCACAGTTCTTTAAAGGTAATCCTTTGAGAGCAGATCGTGCTATATTGAAGTTTGCAGCCCCACAACATTATTATGCTCATGACTCTGCAATTTGGACAGGGTTTGGTGGGGAAGGAAAGGCTCGTCTCTGTTCCATGTGGTGTCAGCTGCAGGCCTCAACTGGGGAAAATCTGCCTCTAAGATGGCGCACTCAGGCTTTCAAGTTGGTGCTGTCAACTAGACGATCAGCCAGGGCTGAGGCTGGAGGGGTCTCTCTAGGTGGGTCTCTCCATGTGGCTTCTCATAGCAGCAGAGCCAGGCTCCAAGGGCAAGCCATCCCCAAAGAGAGCCAGGAAGCTGGGTTGCTTCTGTGGTCTGGGCTCAGAAGTCAGATAGTATCACTTCTGCTCTTCTCTACTGATGGAGGCAGTCACAAAGGCCCACCCAGTGTTTTCAAGGGATGGGGACAGCCACAGGCTCCACCTCTTGTTCGGGAGTGGCCAGGTTCTGGAAAACATGTGTGATGGGAGATATTACTGTGGCCATTTTTTGGAAGCACAATCTGCCACACAGATATTATGTTCATTCTCTTGAGTTAGCTTCTGCCAGGCATGGAAGACACGGGCATCAATAATTCTCAGGTTCCCAGCTTCTGCTCTGCCATCCGAGAGGGATGCCCTTCTTGCCTTTGGCCCAGTTTGGGTTGCATCTTTGTTCCAATTGCTGTGGTATGAGATTGGATAATATTATTGGTTTATTTGGGGTTGGGGCCCTACCTCTGCCAATCCCTGTGGCTTAGGGTGTGAGATCTGAAAGCAGATGGCTCTAAACAAGAGGATAAGGATGAGGGTAAGGAGTAGAGCCAGAAGAGGGGAGGGGTGCTATCCTGAGCAGACACATTAATAGCTGTTCACCATAGGCAAGAGACCCTGACCTTAAGACATGCTGTCTTGGAGGCATTGCTTGTAAAGACTTCTCTTCCCTCCCCTCCACTGGGCGGCAAAGAATGTGGCTGCTTGGATAAATGGGCTCCCAGCCTGCCATCCCAAGGGAGGACTTGTATTACTTTATAGACCCAATTCTGCCAATCTAGCTAGAGGTTTAGGTGGAAGTTGTGGAGCTTTATGATTAAAGAAACAAACCCAGCAGGTTTAGCAATAAATGGGATCCATTTCTTCTTGGAAGTTTCTGCTCTGAGAGGTGTAGAGTTGTAAGTTTTATGATCCTTGATGGTGGCAGTCAACCCACATATGTTTCTCAGAACAATTTCTTTGAACACTTCAGATTTTTGTTTGAATTATTTTGTTTTATTTTGTTTGAAATTATTGTTTATTTAAATGGACAGGTATCATTGTATGTTTTTTATCATGTACCACATGATGTTTTGAAGCGCATGTCTATTGCAGAATGGTGAATCTAGCTGATTAACAAAGGATACCTTCAGATTTTGAATGCCAGCACTGGCCCTAAAAAATGAGAACTGCTTGAGACCATCTGAATACAATTTGGATTTTGGGAGGTCAAATATTCAAGACCTTTTGTAATCTGGATCCAGCTAAAAAAATGATAGCCTTTATTTTCACTACCGATTTAAGCTTCAACAAGTAGAATTTAACATAAGGTTTTAAAAGCCAGGCACAGTGGCACATGCCTGTAGTCCTAGTTACTCAGGAGGCTGAAGGGGGGGGAATCCCTTGAGCCTAGGAGTTCAAGGCCAGACGAGGCAACAAGTGACATCCCATCTCCAAAAAACAAATAAATAAAAATAAAATAATGTCTTAAATATCCCTTTTCTTTTCTTTTCTTCTTTTCTTTCTTTTTGTTTTTTTTTTTTTTTTGAGACAGAGTCTCACTCTATCACCTAGGCTGGAGTGCAGTGGCATGATCTCGGCTCCACCTCCTGTTTTCAAGCAATTATCCTGCCTCAGCTTCCTGAGTAACTGGGATTACAGACATGCGCCACCACGCCTGGCTAATTTTTGTATTTTTAGTAGAGATGGGGTTTCACCATGTTGGCCAGGCTGGTCTTGAACTCCTGACCTCAAGTGATCTGCCTG
Organism: Homo sapiens; assembly: GCF_000001405.40. Classification (NCBI taxonomy): domain Eukaryota; kingdom Metazoa; phylum Chordata; class Mammalia; order Primates; family Hominidae; genus Homo; species Homo sapiens. Next base: position 32,197,230 of record NC_000003.12, on the reverse strand, counting down.
TCTCAGTCTCCCAAAGTGCTGGGATTATAGGCATGGGCCACTGCCCCCAGCCTAAATATTTCTTAATACTTATATTTTTACCTTTGGTGGTTTCCTCGGAAATGGATTATAGGTCTTCTTTTTTGTTTTCTTCCTATATTTTAATATAATTGAGGAAACCCAACAAACATAATTCTGGGGGACATAAAATTCCTCACTCAACAGGATCCCCTCAAAGTCATCAGGTGCTGCTGGAACATGTCTGTGGGAGAAAACACACTGCTGTGAGAGGCTGTCCATCTTCCACCGCCCGACAGTCCTCGCTGTGAGAAGGGTATTACATTAAAGCCCATCCTGCCTGTCTCTCATCCAGCAGTGCATTTCTGGGCTCTGGACCAAGAAGCACAATTCTACTTCTTCCCATGACCGCCCTCTGGATATTTTGAGATGTTACCAGGTTCATTACACATGTTCAGCCCAAACTTTCTGTTGCCTAAGTTAGTGGTACCCAGAATCGAAACCCCACACCATTCTGACTGTCCTCCTCAAGATGGATCTTCATTTTAAATGTTCTCTCTGAAAGGGGAGTGCTGTACTGAATATGGTATTTCTTCATTCTTTCATCAACCAGGCATTGAGCACCTATGTGGGGGGCAGGCACTGCTTGTCATCCAGGGATCTAGAAGGTCACAGGACAGATGTAATCCCTACCTCACGAAGTGTGTCATATCCCGAAGGAGCTGGGCATGGAGAGTGTCAGGTGTTGGGGAGTTGGGCATGCAGATTGTCAGGTGCTGCTTTGATTTTTCCTGACCACCACTCTTTTGTCCTACTCATGCTGCCTAAAACTGTATTATCTGATTTGATTTCCACAACAAACCATGTGTCATACAAACTGGGACAATGCCAGGCACCTGTCATCCCGTACCTGTGCAGCTGTATTTATTTTATGCATAAATACAGCTGTCATTTCTCTTTTATCTTGTTGGCTACACCTCAGGATTCTGATCTGTTGATATCATTTAAATATTGATTATGCAATCTCTTTTATTTGCCATTTCTCTGAGTTTGGGATCATCTGCAAAGTTGATAAGCATGAATTTTAAGGTTTTTGCTTTTAAATTAATAGTTGATTTTTTTCAAAATGGGAAGGATGGAGCAATAAACAGTACCCTATGGAATACCGCATTAGTTCAAAAAGTCTCAATAAAATACTTGAATGAACAGCTAGATATGAAGAATAAGTTCTAATGTTCTATACCAGTGTAGGATGACTACAGTTAACAATAACATATTATACAGGCCAGGCGAGGTGGCGTATGCCTAAAATCCCAGCACTTTGGGAGGCCGAGGCAGGCGGATCACTTGAGGTCAGGAGTTCGAGACCAGCCTGGCCAACATGGTGAAATCCCGTCTCTACTAAAAATACAAAAATTAGCCGGGTGCGGTGGTGTGTGACTGTAATCCCAGCTACTCAGGAGGCTGAGACACGAGAATTTCTTGAACCCGGGAGGTGAAGGCTGCAGTGACCCGAGATCGTGCCATCGCACTCCAGTCTGGGCAACAGAGTGAGACTCTGTCTCAAAAAAAAAAATAAAAATAAAAATAAAAAAAGAAAGAAAAGAAAACAAACAAAAAACCCCCCCACAAAACCCAATAATATTTTATACCATTTCAAATGGCTAGATAGCTAGAAGGAGAATATCGAATGATCCCAACACAAAGGAATAATAAGTCTTTGAGCTGATGGATATGCTAATTACCCTGATCTGATAATTGTACATTAAATGTATTGAAACATCTCTATGTACCCCAGAATATGTACAGTTATTATTTGTCAATTAAAAAAATAAAATAAATACTTGAATGAATGAATATGTCCTTTTCTCTGAAATTTTTAAAATCTGCTTTTCTAAAGTCACATTTACTATTCTCCAAATCAATTGATCACTTTTTTCCAAAGGGTTCCTGGCATTTCAATGTAACCAGGCTGGTTGTAGTTACCTGTTGTTTGGAGGATTGTACAAATTACCATATGCCCACTAATCCTCCCCTTACCCCTCTAGAAAGGAAAACTGGGTTATTTGAATGCAATGTTCAGTTCACCTTTGGTTGTGCCAAAGAGGATAGCCTTTAAAAAATGATCTGAGGTCAAAAAAGACATCTGCTGCACCCTTTTGTTGGTAATTTTAAAACTCTGGGCTAGTCAGGAAGATTCTATTTTTATGCTCATTGTTGAGAGAATCAGGTAAGAACAGGAAAACAACCCTATGGAGTGAAATCAGATAATCCCAGACAATGGGTTGTCTGGCCACTGCCACAAAGCTTCTGGTCCAGCCTGCAGGGAGGTAATGGTCTTCTCGCAACCCTGGAGCAAGTTCTGCTTCCAGAGGCTTCACAGAGCAGAAGTTGGAGCCATATCAAGTAGGCCTCTGATTTATGAGGGTAAGTAAGACAGGAAAATAAACATGGCTCCTGCCTGTGCTGAGCCAGGCTGTGTCATGGGGCTGAGGTGTGTGTGCCTCTGTGTGTGTGGGCATTCCTCATGAGCACAGACCTGGCTGCCCAGGATTTTTGCAGCATGCAGTGCTGGTGAGGTAAAATTCTGAAACCAAATATTGTTTATAATCTTGCTGTTACAGGGACTGACAGATTTATTTTATTATCAAAATGAAAACTCCTTTATGTCTCCCAGGAAGTTTAGGGACCCCCATGCACCAAGGTGTGTGGGAGTGGGTTTGGTGTTGTTGGCCTGGAGAACAAGCAGTCTGGAAATACTTAGAGAAATTAGATGTGCAAATATGTACCTGACAGCCCAGTATTCTCCTCTCCTGGATATATGTCCCAGAGAATCTCATTCCTAGGTACATGAGGACACATGGAAAACAACATTCATTGCAGCATCCTATGTGATAGAGGAGTTGGAAGCAACCTAAGGCGTCCCTCACTAAGGGAGTAGAAAAGTACACTGTTGAAGAGAGACAGACACTTAGACCGGATGGAAGCAATGAACTAAGGTACATAAAGAATACAGACAGACTTTGAAAACATGATGTTGAATGATAATAATTTTTATTACTATCATTTTTATTTTATTTTTTATTTATTTTATAACCAAGGGAGATCTAGAATTGTGCAGCTTGATGTGTGGTGCACTGTCCACAGCCTCAGAATCCCCAGGCAACCTGTTACAAATGTTAACTCTCAGGCCCCATGCAGACCTGCTGAATCAGTCTCTGGTCCAGGAATCTGTGTTTTCTCCGGATCATCCTGATGCAGCTAAAGTTGGATTACCAATTATATGTACTTAAAATGCATACATATACTAAGTTGTGCTCTGTATTTTTCAAAGGTAGGGTCATAGCTAAGGAAATACTACACATTATAATGAGTGCTGATGGGGAGAAGGGTGGAACAGAAATGCAGAACAGAGACCAGGAGCGGTGGCTCACACCTGTAATCCCAGCACTTTGGGAGGCTGAGGTGGGCTGATCACCTGAGGCCAGGAGTTCAAGACCAGTGTGACCAACATGGTGAAAATTTGCCTCTACTAAAAGTACAAAAATTAGCCAGGCATGGTGGTGTGCACCTGTAATCCCAGGTACTTGGGAATCCAGGAGGCAGAGGTTGCAGTGAGCCAGGATCGCATCACTGCACTCCAGCCTGAGTGACAAGAGTGAGACCCTTTCTTAAAAAAAATAGAAAAAGAAAAAAAGAAACAGAACAGAGATGAAGGGGGAAAATCCAATAAAATAAAATAAAATACATATAAAAGTGAGGCACAGCCCAGGCACAGATGATAGTAAGTGATACACTGAATCATAAAAGAACATAATTCTGTAACTGACATTAAAAATATTTGTCTGGTTCAGAAAATCCCAAAGAAAACTGGCATGCATTTGTAGTCCCAGCTACTCAGGAGGCTGAAGTAGGAGGGTGGCTTAATGCCAGGAGTTCAAGATCAGCCTGGGCAACAGAGCAAGACTCTGTCTCTTTTAAAAAAAAAAAAGGAAGAAAGAGAGAAAGAAAGTAAAGAAAGAAAGAAAGAAAAAGACAGAAAGAAAGAAAAAGAAGAAAAGAAAAGCTGGAGAAAGAATTAGGACTTCAGATCCAGGGGAAATTTTTTTGCCCTTTATTTGAAGTCCACTGACTTTGCTCCGGCCAGCAGAGGCATATTCAGTGAATCCAACTGTGTCTATGTATGAACAGAAAACCAATTCTTTCTGCTCCCCATAAACAAATATTTAAGGAACATCAGTTTAAGGGAATGCCAAATTATTAGCTTGCCCAAGATGTCTGCATCTCATATTCTGGTCCTAGAGGATTACCTGATTTTAAGAGACCTGTAAGTCAGGTGAGAGGATGTAGTTGGAAGAAAAACACAGTTTCTCTACTAACCATTTAGCCTACAGACCACATAGGACACATTCAGAGAATCAGGTCTGAGGAGGCCTCGGCCCACCCAACAAGAAAGCGGAAATGACCACAAAAAGGCCAACTTTTCTCCTGTTTTTTTTCCTTTGTTTGAGACTCTTACTTCTGACTGTTGGGAAAAGCTGAGTGGTGGTTTCACTTGGCTGAGACCTTATTAGGGAATTAAGGTGCCAGAGGAACGGAGACACTTTGTGGGTGGACAGGTTGGCATGGTGCTGACAAGGGGTCCTGTGTGTCCCAGGGCATACCAGCCCCTGGCTCATCTGAATGCCCTCTCAGTGGTGAGGAGTTGAGTGGCCATCTGAGGTGGTTGATGGTGACAGGTCCACAGCCTGGGAGTGGAGAGGGCTGGGTTCTCACTGGGTTCTGGGAAGGGAGACCACACCATCACCATTTATCATCCAAACTGTGGCACTTTGAAAAAGCACTAAATACTTCTATGTGTAGTTCCTAAACCTAAGGACATTCTACATTGATAGCAGTGCCGTTATCTAATCTACAGTCTTCAGATTTCACACGGCCTGCTGATGTACTTTTTTTCCATTCAGGATATAATCTTGTACCATGTGTTGCATTTAGTTGTCGTTTCTCTTTAGTGTCCTTTAATCTAGAATGGTTCCTTGGTCTTTCTTGTCTCTCATGACCTTGATATGTTTTGTGGCTCAACTGTTGTGTGGAATGTCCCTCAGTTGGGGTTTGTCTGATATTTCTTAGTGATTAGATTCAGTTTATATATTTCTGGCAACAATATCACAAAAGTGCTGTTGTGTCCCTCTTGGCACATTTTTTTTTTTTTTTTTTGAGACAGAGTCTTACTCTGTTGCCCAGGCTAGAGTGCAGCGGCGCGATCCTTGCTCACTGCAAACTCCACCTCCCGGGTTCAAGCAATTCTCCTGCTTCAACCTCCTGAGTAGCTGGGATTACAGGCGCACGCCACCACGGCCAGCTAATTTTGTATTTTTAGTAAAGATGGGGTTTTACCATGTTAGCCAGGCTGGTCTTGAACTCCCGACCTCATGTGATCTGCCTGCCTTGGCCCCCCAAAGTGCTGGGATTACAGACGTGAGCCACTGTTCCTGCCCCTTCTCAGCACAAATTTTTTCTTTCTCTCTTTTTTTTTTTTTAGAAACTGATGTTTATTTTCCATCAGCCTTATTTCCATGTTGCTTAAGAGCCTGTGCAAGAACAGCTTAAGACCATTCAGTGGTTGCTCCTACCCATTCAGTGGCCTGAGCAGTGGGAGCTGTAGACCAGTCTTCCGTGGCATGCTGAGAGCTCTAGTCTTCAGTAGGGATCTGCTGGATAGGCACAGAGGGCACCTGCACACCTTCAGACCAGTCTGCAACCTCAGGCTGAGTAGCAGTGAACTCAGGAGCTGGAGCAGTCCATTCGCCCTGAAGTTCCTTCTTGGTCACAGCCTTTTCAGCAGCAGCCTGCTCTTCTTTTTCAATCTCTTCAGGATCTCTGTAGAAGCAGAGATCAGGCATGACCTCCTATGGGTGTTCACGGGAAATGGTGCCACGCATGCGCAGAACTTCCCGAGCCAGCATCCACCACATCAGACCCACTGAGTGAGCTCCCTTGTTGTTGCATGGGATGGCAATGTCCACATAGCACAGAGGAGAATCTGTGTTACAGAGCAATGGTAGGTAGGTTAACATAAGATGTCTCCGGGAGAGGCTGGTGGTCAGCTCTGGGGTCAGTAAACACAAGAAGCCATGGCTCCCGGAAAGCTGCCTGGATCTGATTGGTGAAGGTTCCAGGGGTGAAGCGGTCAGCAATTGGAGTGGTTCCAGCAGCAGCAAACTTCAGCACAGCCCTCTGGCCAGTATTCCTGGAGGATATGACACTGACATCAGCAGGGTTTTCAATGGCAACAATGGCACGAGCTGCCAGCAGAAGCTTCTCCCAGGTCCTCTTCAGATTTAGGATGTAGATGCCATCACTTCCTTTTATAGACGTACTGTTCCATCTGGAAGTCAAGATTAGTGCCACCTAAGTGGGTTCCTGCTGCAAGGAACTTAAGGACATCCTCCTCCTTCATTTGTAGGACATCAAGGGCTCCGGACATTGTGAAAGTTTCCGTTTAAGTTACGACTGGAATCCAGAACAATGCTGTATGCACCCCTCTGTGGGTAGCGTGGAAAGTTCTGAGCAAATCTTAACAGGAGGCACATGATGTTCATTGGTACCATCTGTGAAGATATTAATCTTCATTACTGGATTAAGCATCTGCCAGATTTCTCTACTGCAAAGTTACTATTTTTTTCCTTCATAATTCCAACAATTTTTTAGGGAAATACTTTGAAAGCATGCATATATCAAACATGTATTTTGAGAGGAAAAAAGGGTGCTACTGATACTCAAACTGTGACAACAGAAGCAAACATATTATCCTGGGGAAACTAGGACATATGGTCATCCCAGTTCTGAATGACTTTTGTTATTTCCTGCTGTAATGTCCAGGTTGCTCCCAGCCACATTTTAAGGGTCACATTCATGGCGAAACCATTGCTGAACCCCCTCCTCTTTGCCTCCATTTCACCCTGTGAGATGACCATCATAGATTGTTATGTCTCTCTGACTTCCTGTCTCTTTCTGTCTCAGACTGACAGCTCCTTGAAGGCAAGAACCTTGTCATATCTTTATCTCCTAGGGCCTTACATGGGGCTAGTAAGGGAGAAGCATTTCCTAAAAGTTTGAATTCATACTGACCTCTGAACATTGGTTTTCTCATCTTTTGCAAAGAGGGATAATGAACTTTGCTGAATTGCCTCTAAGGATCAACTGTGATGAGATTTTACAAGTGAAAGCACTTTATAACCTACAAAGTGCCAGAGGACTCTGAGGCACCACTGTTTGTTTGGAGCCAAGAACGACTCCAACACCAGTGAGCACTGCTGGGTCTCCTCTCACACTCGGCAGGTGGCCACCCAGACTCTGATCTGAAATCAGCTTGTTCACTCCTTCATCCTGTGGCTGCCTTGTTGGTCTTAGTAGTTTCAGGGCTGAGCACAGAACACAGCCAGGGGTACTCGATAAGTGTTTTGAAAGAATACCCCCATGAATGAATGCATCTAGCCCCTTCCCCTCCTCTTAGTGTCCAAACCTCCCAAAAGAAATTTAAGAACTAGCACTGTACCTGACACAGTATTGTGTAAGCATTCAAGATGAATGCTATGTAGAGAATTACAGCAAGTAAAGAGATTGAATTAGCAAACAAATAACTACTCACAAAGAAAGCCCCAGACTCAGATGGCTTCACTCGGTGAATTCTATCAAACATTTGAAAAAGAATGAATACCAATTTTTTCACAAACTCTTTCAAAAAATAGAAGAGGAGGGAACATTTCCCAACTCATTCTATGATGCCAGTATTATCCCTGATACCAGAGACAACTCAATAAAAGAAAACTCCAGATCAATGTCCCTTATAAATGTAGTCAAAAACCTTTAACAAAATACCAGTGAAATAGAAGAGTTACACACCCTGACCAAGTGGGACTTATCCCAGGAATACAAGGTTGGCAATATTTGAAAATAAATCATGTAATATACCACATGAATGGAAAAAAGGAAAAAAGCCACATGGTCATCTCAGTAGACACAGGAAAAGCATTTGATAAAATTGAACATACTTTCATGACAAAAACACTCCACTAACCAGGACTAGAAGGGAACTTCTTAAACCTGATAAAGGGCATCTACAAAAAGAAAACCGATAGGTAATATCATATATAATGGTGGAAGACAAATACTTTTTTCCTAAAATCAGGAATAAGATAAGAGTGTCTGTGCTCATCACTTCTACTCAACATTCAACTAACTGACAAATTAATTAGGAAAGAAAATAAAATAAAAGGCATCTAGATTTGAAAGGAAGAAATAAACTATATGTTACCTATTGGCAGACATAGGTCTTATATCTATAAAGTTATGAAGTATCCACTAAAACTTACTAGAACTAATAAACAAGTTCAGCAAGGATGTAAAATCAATATACAAAAATCAATTATATTTCTATATGCTGGCAGTAAACAATCTGAAAATGAAATTAATCTAAAAATTCCATTTCCATTTATAATAGTATCAAAAAGAGGAACATACTCGGGAATAAGTTTAACATAAGAAGTATAAGACTAGTACACTCAAATTACAAAACACTGCTGAAAGAAATCAATAAAGACCTAAATAGATGAAAAGACATCCCATGTCCATGGATTGAAAGACTTAATATTGTTCAGATGGGAATACTCTCTAGAGTGATCTATAGTTTCAATGCAGTCCTTATCAAAATCTCACCTGGATTTTTTTTGCAGCAATCGACAAACTGATCTTGAAAATCATATGGATTTGTTAATTAGCTCAATTGAGCCATTTTGTAATGTACGTATTTCAAAACATGTTGTACATGATAAATATATACTATTTTTCTTTGTCAATTAAAAATTAATTAATTAAAAAATAAAACCCAACAGTAATGAGAAAAACTAAAAAAAAAAAAATCATATGGAATTCAAGGTATCCAGAATAACCACAATCATCTTAAAAAGGAAGAATTAAGTTGGAGGACTCACACTCCTCTATTTGACAACTTACTACAAATCTATAGTAGTCCAGACAGTATGGTACTGGTGTAAGGATAGATGTATAGGTCAATGGAATTGAAGTGAGAGTCCTGACAGAAATTTATACATCTAAGCTCAGCTTGTTTGCTAAAAGGGTGCCAAGACCATTCAGTGGACAAGGAAGTTTCTTCAAAAATGATGGTGAAACAACTGGCTAGCCATATGCAAAAGAACGAAATTGAACTCCTGCTTCATGCCATATACAAAACTTCATCAAAATGGAGCAAAGGCCTAAATAAATGTGAGAGCTAAACTATACAACTCTTAAAAGAATGCATAGGCCTAAATCTTCATGATCTTGGATTAGGCAATGGTTTCTTAGCTATAACACCAACAGCACAAGCAACAAAAGAAAAAATAGATAAATGGGACTTCATCAAAATTAAAAACTATTATGCTTCAAGGACATCTTCCGGAAAATGAAAAGAAAACCACTGAATGGAAGAAAATATTTGTAAATCATGTATCTGACAAGGGGCTTATATCTAGAATATGTAAGAACTCTTACAATTCAGTAATAAGAAGATAAATAACCCAGTTTTTAAATGAGCAAAGGATCTGAATACACATTTCTCTAAAAAGATACACAAATGGCCAATAAGCACATGAAAAGATGTTCAACATTGTTAATCATCAGGGAAATGCAAATCAAAGCCACAATGAGATACTACTTCACACCTACTAGGATGGCTAGAATCAAAAGGTAGATAATAACAGGTGCTAGTGAGGCTATGGAGGAATTAGAACCTTCATATTTGTGCTGGTACAAACATAAAATGATACAGACACTTTATTTAACAAAGTCTGGCAGTTCTTCAAAATGTTAAACATAGAGTTACCATATGACCCAGCAATCCCACTCTTAGGTGTATACCCAAGAAAACTAAAGACATATGTCCACACAAAAACCTGCATACAGATGTTCACAGGAGCTATTATTCATAATAGCCCAAAAGTGGAAATGACCCAAATGTCCATCAACAGACGAATGTGGTAAAGCCATATAAGGGAGTGTTATTTAGCCATAAAGAGAAATGAAGTATGTGCACCTGCTACTTCATGAATGAACCTCAAAAACATGCTAAGTGAAATAAGGCAGAAACAAAAGGCCACATATTGTGGGATTCCATTTATATGAACTGTCCAGAGTATGCAAATCCATACAGACAGAAAGTGGATAAATGGTTGCCAGCAGCTGGGGGCAGGGAGGACAAGGAGTGACTGCTAATGGGTTGGAGTTTCTATATAAGGTACAGCCTTTTCGGTTTGCCTGGGACTGAAGGATTTCCCTGGGATGTGGCAGTACTTCCAGTGCTGAAGTTGGGGCAGTCCCAGCTAAACCAGGACGGATTGGTCGCCATATTCCATACCTGGAAATGAATGTGTTGTATTAGATTGTCTCTAAGGTCTCTTCGAGCTCACAAATTCTTTGAGATTTGTGAAAAAAACAACAAAAGCAACAACACACGCTGGAAAACAAGAAAAGCCTGTTTTTCTTTCCCTGTCTGGTAAATGATCCTCTTTGGGCTAGCTTGCTGTCCACACCTGCTGACTGTGTATCACAGCCAGCAGCAAAGTTCCCTGGTTTCAGGAGAAGCGTGGGTACCATGCATCTAAAACAACATGCATACTTAGCCTCTAACCCCAGATCAATTGAATCAGAATCTCTGAGGGTGGGACCCAGGCCGTGGGTATGTTTTTAAAGCTGCGCAGGTGATCCGAATATGCAGCCAGGTGTGAGAATCAGTGCAGGGTGATCTGAGAGCCGCCCAGCTCCTCATTCCCTTTAGTCCCAGCCTGTGTCAGCCCCTCCATTTGATTGGACCAAGTGTTGTGAGACATATGAGATGAGCCAGTCAGAGCCTCTCTCTGGAATTTGAACTAACACATTCGGGGAAGCTTGACAAAGGCTGGAGAGGCCATAGCAGGTCAAAGGCCAGTGTGCTGGGGAGGAGCAGAGGCTGAGGGAAATCAAACAAGACCAAGAGAAACTGAGTAGAGAGAGTGCAAAGCAGACATGCAGAGGTCAGAGACAGAGCAACTGGTCCATTCCAGGGTTTTCCTAATTCTAGTCTTTTGTATTTTTATAATAAATCCTCTTTTTCTTAGCAGTGGAGGAGATTCCATTTTTCAAAGATGGCTACAACACTATCTCCATCCCACATGCTCTCCTCAGTGTGACCTTGCCACTCCCCCATCAGGAGGGGACCTATGATTCCTTTCCCCTTGAATCTGAGCTGACATTACTATAGTCAACAGAATGCAGTGGATGTAACACTATGTGTCTTCCAAGGGTAGGTCAAAAAAATCATGCAGCGTCCATGTAGTTGTGACATATAATAAAATGGTTTTGCTTAATCAACAAAGTTTTAGGGTAGTTTGTTATGCAGTGATAGTAAGTGGGACAGGTAGTCTAAGAAAATCCATGTTCCTTGTCATCAAAAGAGCCTGACGAGCACACCTGACTCCATCTCTCAAGGTCTGTCCTCATTTCTAACTCAGCCTTGGTTTAGTTTTCACCAGGCACCCAACCACCAACCTGTCACCACCAATGGGTAAACTTGAAGTGTGAATAGGAATTGCTGATGCTTTCATAGCCAGAATGGTTCTGAAAAGTACACAATGCAATTATAAAGTATTAAGAGAAAATATCTTTTAAATGTGGTAAAATATACATAAAACTTGCCATTTTAATCATTTGTAAGTGTATAGTTCAGTGGCATTAAGCACATGAACACTGTTACACAGCCATCACCACCATCTACCTCCAAAACTTTTTCATCTTCCTAGAATGAAACTCAGTACTCATTAAACAACTCCCCATCCTCCCCTCCCCTACGTCCCTGGAACTACCACTGTACTTTATGTCTCCATGAATTTGGCTACTCTATGTACCTCATATAAGTGGAGTTATACAGTATTTATCCTTTTGTATCTGGCTTAGTTCACTTAACATAATATCTCCAAAGTTCATCTATGTGGTAGCAGGCGTCGGAATTTCTTTCCTTTTTAAGGTCAAAGAATAGTCCACTGTATGGGCCAGGCGCAGTGGCTCACACCCGTAATCCCAGCACTTTGGGAGGCTGAGGCAGATGGATCATGAGGTCAGGCATTCGAGACCAGCCTGGCCAGCATGGCGAAATCCCATCTCTATTAAAAAATTAGCCAGGCACGGTGGCACATGCCTGTAATCCCAGCTACTCGGGAGGCTGAGGCAGGAGAATCGCTTGAACCCAGGAGGCGGAGGTTGCAGTGAACCGAGATTGCACCATTGCACTCCAGCCTGGGCAATACAACGAGACTCCGTCTCAAAAAAAAAAAAAAAAAAAAAACGAATAGTCCATTGTTGTATGTGTAGACCATATTTTGTTTCTCCATTCATCTCAGCGGACACTTGGATTTCTGCTACTTTTTGGCTATTGTGATTAATATTGCTCTGAATGTCAGCGTACAAATATCTGAATCCTTGCTTTCAATTCTTGTGGGTATATACCCAGAAGTGGAACTACTAGATCATATGCTAATTCTATTTTTAAGTTTTTGACGAACCACTATACTATTTTCCATAGCGGCTGCACCATTTTATGTTCCCACCAACAATGCAAAGCAGTTCCAATTTTCCCACATCCTTACTAACTCTTGTTATTAACTACATATTGTGAAAAAAATAACGTTCCTAATGAGTGAGGTGGTATCTCATTGTGGTTTTGGTTTGCATTTCTCTAGTGATTAGTGATGTTGGGCATCCTTTCATGTGCTTATTGCCATTGTATATCTTTGGAGGAATGCCTATTTAAGCCCTTTGTCAGTTTTTTAATTGAGTGTTTTTGTTGTTGTTGAGTTGTAGGAATTCTTTGTATATTCTGGATATCAATCCTTTATGAGTTATATGATTTGCAAATATGTTCTCCCATTCTGTGGGCTGCCTATAAACAATATAAAAAGAGCTGAAAAAGACTTTCTTTTGTCTTTCTTTCCTTTTTTTTTTTCTTTTTTTTATGAAGTCTCGCTCTGTTGCCCAGGCTGGAGTGCAGTGGTGCAATCTCGGCTCACTGCAGCCTCCGCCTCCCAGGTTCAAGGGATTCTCCTGCCTCAGCCTTCTGAGTAGCTGGGATTACAGATGTGCATCACCACGCCCAGCTAATTTTTGTAATTTTAGTAGTGATGGGGTTTCACCACGTTGGCCAGGTGGTCTCGAACTCCTGACCTCAAGTGATTCGCCCACCTTGACTTCCCAAAGTGCTGGGATTACAGGCATGAGCCACCATGCCCGGCTGAAAAGGACTTTCTAAGTGTGGTGCCAAAGCAGAAATTATAAGGAAACTAATTGAACAATTTGACTACATAAAGATAAAGGTGTTAGTTATGATAAAAATATCATAAACCAAAAGGCAAACGACATTGAAAGTATTTTTTTTACATTTTATCGTAATAGCTTTTTAATATATAGGAAATAAAAATCAATAAGCAAAAGGTACGACCCAGTAAAGTTAAATAGGGCAAAAGACACATACAGTTATACAAGCAGAAATACACAATCCTGTCTACACCTGAAAAGTCTCGTGGAAGCAAAACTGATCTCTTGCCTCCGTTAAGTCCCATGGTTAGAGGAAAACAAACATTTTGAACCCTCTCTAATTCTAGCCCCCCAAATAAATGAACTCTTGAGCATTTCCTGTAAGTTGCTGACTACTTAATGCAAACAACTTTATCCCAGACTTTTGCAAAACTGCTGTCTGAAGACTACCCCAGCCTTTGTAGAAATGATAACCCCGTAAGAAAATTGCCGGTTTTCTGTCATGAACACACCAACTACAAATTCAGTAACCTTGGTAAGTTTGCAGTGTTTGCTGTTAATGACCTGTTGTGTTTTTTATCTGATGAGCAGTTCCTTCTGAGGTCCCTGTATTTCTTGCAAGTAAACTTTTTCCTTTTCTAAATTCTATTATCTCCAAATCTTCAACTTAGTGATACTTAAATGCAAATTGAAAATATGAAGATGCCATTTTCACCTATTAAATGAGCAAAGTTGTATTTTTCCAAGATATTGCTCAATGCCAGATGGATGGGCACTAACCTGGGCACTCATACGTGGCTGGTAGGCAGTTGAGTCATATTTATTGAAAGCTTTCAAAATCTACCCTTCAAATCCTGTAATTCTACCACTAGCAATAGACCAATGGATATAATTAGGTTGTGTATCCCCAAATTAAAATAAAACTCTAAAAATGCCATCAACTTATACATGGTTAAATATATTCCCTAAGGATATTTAATACTATGGGAAAATGCTCTTGGTTTAATACAAAATGAAAAAAAAGATGAGATCATACAGGGTGATTGAAATTTTGACATTGAAACCATATATATGGCATCCAAAAAATCAAGAGGAAAAATAAAGCATTTTAATTACTACCCTTTTCCTTTCTTTAAGAAGAAAAAGAAATCATTCTATTCTGCTGACATTTAATAACAGAGAACAGTAAAACTTCTTAAGTTTAATTAATTTAGAATCACATATAATGTTCTGTGTTAAAGTGGATGAAACTGGATGTGATGGTTAGGAATGAAGAAAATAAACAAGACGGGGCAGAGAAAGAAAAGGGAGAGGTTGGGCACAGCGGCTCACACCTGTAATCCCAGCAATTTGGGAGGCTGAGGCCAGTAGATCACCCGAGGTCAGGAGTTCCAGACCAGCCTGGCCGACATGATGAAACCTCGTCTCTACTAAAAACACACAAAAAGTTAGCTGGGCATGGTGGCACAGGCCTGTAATCCCAGCTACTTGGGATGCTGAGGCACGAGAATAGCTTGAACCTGGGAGGCAGAGGTTGCAATGAGCCGAGATTGCGCCATTGCACTCCAGCCTGGGTGACAGAGTGAGACTCAGTCTCAAAAAAAAAAAAAAAAAAAAAAAAAAGAAAGAAAGAAAGAAAAAAAAAAAAGAAAAGGGAGTGGAAGACAGGCATGATAGTACAGGAATGCAGCAGAGTGACAGACAGACTTGGACACCTAGGCATAATGATCAAATGAAATCAATCCATGGTGTCCTGTTTCTCTCTTTCTCTCTCTCCCCCCTCGTTCTCTCTCTCCTACTCTACACACACACATACACACGTATACACACACACCCCAGCCTGTTGTTTCAGAAAGCTGTCATAGAAACCAATGAAGAAGTCAGCGCTGTGAATCAACAGGAACACAGATTCTTCTGCAGATACATGTACTAAAGTTGAAAGAAATGATGTTCACATCAAATCCTTGTCAATAGAGCACATGCAGGAACATGCACGCTGGAGTTTGCAAAGGACATCAGAGATGTCTCAGAAGTTGCGATCAGTTGTTCTGGAGGAAAAATAAATCACATTGCAAGCGGCTCAATGCCCTTCTGTGGAAATTGCCAATAAGCATTGTGTGCATACTCCCACCTCCAGGAGGCAGGGACCTCAGGCCAGGTTACTCGATTATTTATTGGAGATCTGATTTAAAAGAATGAAACCAGTTTAAAAAATAAAAAAGGCAGGGCAGGGGAGTAGGCAAGGACTAGCTGAAAGAAAAGAACAGGCAGTTATTTACAAAGGACACGCACATGCGCACAGACGCGCAGGTGCAGACCTGTAATGTGATCAGAAAGGCAGTGTACCAGAAAATGAAGCAAAAGTCTTTAGTGAAGATCAAAACCAGAAGTAATTGTCCATGGCAGGCCCGGGGTACTGTAATGCTAAGCAAGCCATGCTGGCTTCTGTGGGCACAGAACTCACCACCCACGAAAGATCTCTGACTTGCTGGGTTAAAGGAGGTCTGTCCTCTCTCAAACTAAGACTCACACCCTGGATTGCCCAGGTTTGAGAACTCTTTATCAGATTAAAAGCCTCTAAGGAATCTGCCTCAAGTAGTAGAAAAATATCCCAGATTTGGAATTAGGAAAGTGTCACAAACACAGGAGAATTAGCACTAGGTATCTGGAAAATAAAGCAGGGTTCTCTGGCCCAGTATGAGAGAAATAGATCAAGTTAACAGCGTAGTCATTTAGGTGCTTGTGGAGAGACCCCAAGAAGCGATTTGACACCTGTATGTGCCCTTCCTGGTGTGGATTTCAGGAACCCCGGGGCCTTTGATTCTCAGGTGGTCACTCCTTTCGGTAAGTCAAGGTGACACAATCTCTGAGGTGGCTGAAAAGACCATAGCCAGAAAGTCCAGAGGATGCACACACATACCTGTGAGTTGGATAATGGCAGGATGCACGGTGCAAACACCACGCATCCCTCTCCTGTTTCCTTTAACTCCAAGAGAAGTGACCTCAATCTGGGGCATTACTGTGCCACTATCTGGAACAGAAATGGGGCAGGGTTGTAAATGACAAGGAAACATAGGCAACCCCCCCCAGTAAGGTGGCAAAGCCTTTTGTGGATACAAAGGGTGGATGCTGAACTCCTCACCCCCACCCATGAGAAGGTTACTGTGGTGACTGCTGTGTGAGCCCAGTGACAGGGAACAGAAACACATGCGTTCAAGGAAATCGTCGGAGGGATGAGAAGGGAGAGAAATTGATTTGACAGCTTGTTGCTGCCACAGCTTCCTTAGCAAAGATAAGATCAGGATGGGGTTTATTTAAAAAGAGACATCCTGATGTCTACCCAAGATGTCCATTCTTATTGTATTTACTCTGTTGGCAGGAGTAAGGAAGAAGTCACTTTTGGGTAAACGCTGCTTAAAGTAGTAGCCATTCCAAATTTGCAGAGCAAATTTGTAAACGGAGAACTGAAAATGAACCAAGAAAAACTAGCACATCCTTGGCAACCTACCCTTCACAGGGCTTCAGCTGTGTTTTCTTAGAAACACAAACCATCTTTGTCAACAGAGCCTTGACACCCACTCATAAGGTGTACTGGCCGTCATACTCCAGTCCCTTTAAAAAGGGGCCTGCAGCTCCTTCACCGAGAACCAGTCAGTTTTGCTTAACAGAATTGCAAATTTGGTGGCTTAAATCATGTAGACTAAACATCCCTAAATGAAAGTGGTTTACAGAAAAAAGTTGGGATTGCTCCTCAAAGATCTCTGCATCAGGTCTGGCTGTTCAGTGGGATCCCGTGGGAGCTCTGGAGACACTCTAAGTCTGGGACCCACTCTAGAGCAGTGAAATCAGAATCTCGGAAAGGCGGGCAGGTCCTTGGCATTGTTCCCAAAGGCTTCCAGGTGATTTCAACACTCACCCGGGTGAGAAAGAGTGGTCCAGGGCGGAGCTTGTCAAAGCAAATGGGCACAGGACTCACCTGGGGATCTCCTTCAAGTTCAGAGTCTAATCCAGACAGGTCTGCGAGACGAGAGTGAGTTTCTAACGAGCTTCAGGTGATGCTGATGCTCTTGATCCCAGGCCACACAGGATAACAAGGGTCCCCAGGCCTACCTCTTTAATTATAGGGATTGGAATGGAGGATTTTCACCAATGAAGTACAGTTCAAAGCCAGTCAGAAACTTTTTGATCATCATGGTAAAAACAAAACAAAACAAACAAAACCAACTTTATTTATGTGTGAGGAGAGGTCAGGGGTAAGCAATCAGATCAGATGAGTAGAAATCAGATGCTATTAAAAACAGTTTTGAATTTCAGTTACATTTTTCAGTAAACATTACTTCAACTGATGAATGGGAAAACAATGTAGCATATCCCTACGATGGAATATTATTTGGTCATAAAAAGGAATGGAGTTCTGATACATACTACAACATGGATAAACCTTGAAAAATTAGGCTAAATGAAAGAAGCCAGTCACAATAGACCACATATTATATGATTCCATTTATATGTCCAGAATAGGCAAATTGATAGAGACAGAAGGTAGGTTGGTGGTTGCTTAGGGTTGGGGATGGGGGAATAGGGAAATGATAGCCAAAAGGTGAAGGTTTTTTTTTTTCAAGTTGGTGAAAATGTTCTAAAATTGTAACAAAAACCCATCGTACACTTTCAATGGTTGAATTGTATGATATATGAACTACATCTCAATAAAACTGTTATAAAATACTGGAAGATCTTTGCAGTGCATATAAGCAACCAAATATACAAAGGATATATATTTTAAATGTATTGCATATACTATATTATAGTCTTTAATATATTATCTTTATATAATATACAAGCATACATTATATATAATATAAAATATTAAGATTATGTAAGGACAGACTTTCAGGAGCAAGTCAACTCAAAAAAAAAAAAAAAAGGAAGAAGAAAAGAAAAGGAAAACAGAGGAAATGCACAGTCAACTCACAAAAGGAAATTGGAAGGCCAACGAACACAAGGAAAGAAGCTCAACATCTTTGGAAATCAGGGAAATGAACATTAAAATATCAACCAGATACCATTTCAGACCTATCAGATTGGCAAAAACCTACACAAATTAGTATGGCAACACCAGGTGATGCCAAATGTGGAGAAATGAGAATTCTTCTATACTAATAATGGTGGGAGAATAGATTGGTCCAAGTTCTTTGAAAAGCAATTTAGTAATATTTTAGTAAATTTGAAGATGTGAGTATCCCATGGCTTCCTAGTATATACCCATGAGAAAGTCTCACTTAGGTACACAAGAGGCATGCACAGAAATATTTCCCATTTTGTTTCTTTATTAGTAAAAAAAAAAAGAGAACCTTCAAACAACCTAAATCCCATCAATAGGGAAATGAATAACTAGAATGGGATTTATTCATATAATGGAAAGTAAGACAGCAGATAAAAAGAAATGAATTTGAGCTATTGTATGCAATAAAAATATTTAAAATAGAATTCATATTTTATCTCCTTCAAAATGAGACTAAATAGAGCAAAAGTATAGGAGAAAGTCGAGTTGATAAATATATATATTGCTTGCATCTGGCACACCATCACTCCTGCCACACTGCATTGGCAAAGCAAGTCACAAGAGCAAAGCCAGATTTGAGGGCCTGGGAGATATACCGTGTCTGTAAAGCCTGTAAAGTCTTGTGGCAAAATGCATGGATTCAGGGAGGGATGAAGTGGAGCCAAGATCTACTACATCACTATGTCATTTGTTCTGCCAAATCGCCATGTCATGTGCCTATTTCCAGACAGGAACCAACTGGAACAGAGCATCCCCTAGTGGTCATCTGTGGGCTAGATACTGAGGACACACAGTATCAGTAGAACCTCTGGCTTAGGGAGAACTGCCCAGTCACCAGAACACGTTGTATGCACAAAATGATCAGTAAGATATTCAACTTGAAGCCACAATTGACCCATGTGTTGAAGGAAAGGTAGGACTAAGTGTCCAGTGGAGACAAGGATGCTCTGGGAAGGAGAGGTGCCTTGAAGAAAGACTGGTGGTAGCCATACCTCTGTGCCTTTGTAAAATGGGACTATTACCACCTTCCCTGAAATAAGTTATAGGAAAGGGCCCGACACATAGTAACCGCTCAGAAAATGTTAATAGGCTCCAGAAACTGAGCTGTAATCCCGATCTGCATCCACATCCCACTCACTTTTCCAGCTACCACGGCACTGTCCCTTCTTCCCCCACTCCCAGGCTTTCTGCCATCACAGAGCCTTAGCACATGCTGCTACCTTTACCTGGAACACCTCTTCCTTCCCTATTTAATTCCACCCCATCCTGCTACATGGGTCGAGGGTCACTTCCTCAGGAAAGCTTTCCTTGACCCTAGTTACAACTTTGCTTAGCACACGACATGTCCTCAATAAGTATCTGTTAAATGAACGTTGTTGGTTGAATAACCCTTGCGCAGTGCTGCCCTCAAGTGATTATCCTGGGTATTGCAATAATTAATTTCAAACGGTTGTCACACTTAGGACGGCAGGATCAATGAGAACAGAGTCCTGAATGAGTAAGTCCTGAGCAATGGGATGCAAGATTCATAAATTACCCGCAAGAAATGAAATGTGAACTTCTGAAGTTCAGGCCTCACCCTGGACACTGTGCTGGGCTTAGACTCCCGCTTCTTCCTTCCTGCCACACAGATACTTCCTTCACCCAACTCTGGCTTCAGTAACTGCCTGGACACTGGCCTCACCCAACATCTCTGCTCCTCATCCCCTTTTGATCTGTTGTCCAGAGTGTCCTCTTGCTTCCTGCACATCTCCCCACAAAGGTCCCAAGCAATTCCATCCAAATATGGATTTGTCATTTTCTCTCTGGGTTCTTTCCATCATGAAGTCCCCTAATATGTTCAGGGAATTGGGAAAAGCAAATGACATGTTTTCTGACTTCTCAAGAAACCCAAGATAAAAGATACTATTTACAGAAAAGAAAATTAAGGCCTAGGGGGAAGTTAGCTCCCCAAGTTCACACAGGTCTAAAATTTGAACCCCCACCTGACTCCAAAGTTCTGAAACTAGAGATGGACTAGTTTTAGGGGGTTATGACTTTAAGAAAAATAAAAATCTATGAAAACAAAGTTTGGTACAGGGCCTTAGAAAGGATTTACACAAGTGAGGGTCTTGAAGCTTACATTTCATTAGCTTCATGATTACACAGCATCCTAGTGAAAATTATGCTGTCTCCAAAGATAACAGACAAGCAAACCAGAAAGATTAGGATGCAAAGAGGTTTTATCTTTCCTACCACTCTCCTTGCTGAAACTGCCTCCTTTAAAAGTATTTCCCAGGTGTGTTCCTGGAATCTTTCCTAAAAGCAGAAAGCAGGAAGCAAGTGTTTTTGCTTTTGTCAGAATGTCAGTGTCAGAATGAGAGACAGAAGAAAACAGAAATTTAGTAAAGATGTTCATAAGTGGGTCTCCGACATCAAGGAAGAGAAAGAGATCAAGAAGCAACAAAAGTCCCCCAGACATCTAGGTGGACACAGGCCAGCAGTGAAAGTAAAGCTGCTGTATGTCAAAATGTGTGGTCTGGGAGTTTCCGGATAGCTGAACACATGGAGGTCCCCGGAGGCTGGCGTGCCCAGGGAGGGCGTAGAAGCTCCATGCCCCTGGCCCCATACCTGACCCTATGCATCTCTTCATTTGTATCCTTTGTATTCTGGGGACTCACATTTTGCTCCAGACCTCTATTTCCCAGGCTTTGTCCCCTTGCAGAGAAAGGCCGCATCAACTCTATTTTTCCTGTTTAAAAAATTTGCCTGCTAACCTAGGGATTGACAGACTTCAAGCCAAATCTGACCCACTGTCTATATTTGTAAATAAAGTTTTATTGGAATAACAAGAAGAAATTGTGGTCTGTTTTGAGTTTAAAAGTCAAAGTGAAACGTAGACACTGGGCGCTTTCTAGTACAAATTTAGTTTAGTTCATAAGAAATACGTGTTCTTCTAAAAACTTGACCAAAATGCCATAGGAATAGTGATGTCTTTCACAGCATGCCAACTGCCTAGGGAAGTTATTCACGAAGAGCGACCTCTAGTGGGCAAGGGTCATAGTTAATTAGAACCTGGAACTCTCCCAGAAAAGCATCTTACCCCCATTTCAGCTTGTTTTGACAACAGCTTGAAGAGGTTTTGAATAAATAGTGAATTTGTGATTAAAAAAATGTTTCTTGTTTTAACATTCGTTATAAACATCTCATTTACATGAACATTTCTGTGACTATAAAAACTTTCAAGGCCAGGTGCGGTGGCTTACACCTGTGATCCCCGCACTTTGGGAGGCCGAGGTGAGTAGATCACCTGAGGTCAGGAGTTCAAGACCAGCCTGACCAACATGGTGAAACCCCGTCTCTACTAAAAATACAAAAAACTAGCTGGGCGTGATGGCGGGTGCCTGTAATCCTAGCTACTTGGGAGGCTGAGGCAGAATTGCTTGAACCTGGGAAGTGGAGGTTGCAGTGAGCCAAGATTGTGCCATTGCACTCCAGCCTGAGTGACAGAGCAAGACCCTGTCTCAAAAAAAAAAAAAAAAAAACTTTCAGTACCAACTATTACAACTATATAGTAAGATGGCTGCTTTAACACAATTGTAGTTTTGAATAACAAAAAATTTTATTTTTTACAGTGAAACTGACAGGAGAGACATAAATTATTAAGTACAAAGGCTCACATTTCTGGGACTTATTTGGTTCAATTTAGGTCTCTGGTTATTATAAAGAATTCCCTAATAGAGGCTGTAGAGGTAATTAGGAACAGAAAGTGAGGTCAGAAGCATAAATTGCAGCCATCTTTGTGAAGGGGGATTTGGCGGTTTCCATTAAAGTATAGAACACACATACCTTTGAGCCAGCAATTCCGCTTCCAGGATTTTATGATGTAGATTCACTCATATAAATGAGCAGAAATCCATGTGCAAGAATGTTTTCTGCACCAGTTATTATAATAAAAAGAAAACAAACATTTATCTGTAATAAACTAAGGAAGAGTCATAGAAAATGATGCAGATATGTAGAATGATGTAGGAGATTATATTGATACAGAAAGTTCAATATTAAAACTATTAAAAAAGTTTTAAAACAGTATTGTCTTAAAATATATCGCATGCATGAACACAGTACATTTATGAAAGTCTGCAAAAGAATTGAATGATTACACTTTCAACCCTTCACATCATTGTTTGCTTTTGCTTAACTATGAACACCCATTACTCAAAGGAGTTAATGTAGTCTTATCTAAGAGTTAAGAACACAGACTTTTAAGCCAAACTCCCCAGGTCCAAAACGTGGCCTCATTAATTACTATCTCTGTTATTTGGACACGTTCTTTATCCTCTTTGTGCCTTAGTTTCCCCATCTGTATATGGGGGTGATACATTTTTATTAATGTTCATCTATGCAAAGCACTTAGAACAGTGCTAAAAGTGGGCCAGGCATGGTGGCTTATACCGATAATCCCAGCACTTTGGGGGGCCAAGGCAGGAGAATCACTTGAGGCCAGGAGTTCAAGATCAGCCTTGGTAACATGGTGAGACCCTGGTTTCACAAAATATTCAGAAATTAGCTGGGTGTGGTGGCTCATGCCTGAAGTCCCAGCTATTGGAAGAAGCTGAGGCAGGAGGAATGCTTCAGCCCAGGAGTTGGAGGCTGCAGTGGGCTAGGATCGAGCCACTGCAGTCCAGCCTGGGCAACAGAGGGAAACCCTGACTAAAAAGAAAGAAAAAGAGCAGTGCTGAAAGTGTTTCGCTACTGTTATTTTAACTTACAATTTTAAAAACTAGGTGTTGATATATTAGGGAAAATTGGGTGAAGGGTACCTTTGCAATTTACTATGAATCCGTAATTATTTCAAAGTAAAAAGTTAAACATGCAGTTATTAAAAATAACTGATATAAAAGATTGTCAAGATGTCATGTTAAGTAAAAAAAGCAAGATGTGTAACAATGCATCAAGTAAGCTCAATTTTATGTAGAGAAATGGGGAAGGGAATGAGAATATATATATTTTGCTTATGTGTGTGAAATGAAATTCTAGAAGAGATTGTTAAAAACTAATAACTACTTGGGAAGCAGGCTTTATTTTTGAACCAAATGACTGTGTTACCTATTGAAAAATTATTTAAAAATAAGACTAGTAACAAAAATGCAAATAACACTTCCATCATAGCATAAAAGCATTTCCATTTGTAACGAGTCAAATAACACCAATTTGACAAATAACAGGGTGCATTGAGTTCAACAGTAAAGTACTTTCCAGTGGCACTATTTCACTCACAATGTGTACAATTCAGACAAGTTTAATTCCTAAGTCTTTGAGGGGGAGCTGAAGAACCACTCCTTCAGGTTTCAGACAGACAGGTTTCAGGAGGTTACAAGTAGCATATGGCCTTATCTAAGATCTAGTGACATTTCTAACTTAAAGCTTTTGAAATGAGGAAGACATCTTAAGGACATCACCACCTGGTGAAGACTTCTCTGATGTTAAGCACATGTTATAAGTCCTGGAACTTGCTGGCATTAGTCCTAGAGAAAGAAGGATGAGGCTGAGCATGGTGGCTCATGCCTATAATCCCAGCACTTTGGGAGGCCGAGGCGGATGGATCACGAGATCAGGGGTTTGAGACCAGCCTGGCCAACATGGTGAAACCCCGTCTCTACTAAAAATACAAAAATTAGCCGGGTGTGGTGGCATGCACCTGTAATCCCAGCTACTCTGGAGGCTGAGGTAGGAGAATCACTTGAACCTGGGAGGCGGAGGTTGCAGTGAGCCTAGACTATGCCATTGCACTCCAGCCTGGGTGACAGAGTAAGACTCTGTCTCAAAAAAAAAAAAAAAAATAGAGTGAGAGGGAGAAAGAAGGACTATTGGATATACAAATTTGGATTTAGCCAGAGTTATCCTGGGTAGGGAAGAGTCAGACAGACATACCCATAGGCACGCCCACACTCATATATAGCCTCCTGTGTCCAAAAAAGTGATGGCAAAACAGACACTGTGATGCTGTAGTGACCAAGGGATTAAAATTTCCCTAATCTCTTGATGTTTCTGCAAGTTCAATTTTTAAATTCCTGAAACATCTATTTTTTTTCATGTCTGATAATAAGCAGATGTTGTGACAAGTTTGATTGGGGGCACATCTCATACATGAGCATGAAAACTGAATCATCACACTTATCAACCACAAAAGGATCTCCTCAAACATCTTTTTAGCAATGTATGAAGTGAAGTTATGCTAGCTGCTATAACAAGTAACTCCTATGTCTCAGTGGCATAATACAATAATTTTTGTACCTATCAATCACAGACCAATGTGATTGGGGGGTACTTTCTCCATATTGTCTTGTAGAATCCTGGCTGAAAAGGGGGTCCATCATCTTCAATGTATGGCTTCCAGAACATACTGGAAATTGATATACAACCAGCACGCACAGAAGAAATAATAAAGAACCAGACAGAACACATGAAAGTGGCACTTTTCTCTCCCTATGCCATTGACTAGAACTCAATCATGTGATGCCACCTAACTGCTGGGGAGGTTGGGAAATGTAATTTAACTGTGTATCTACAAAAAAAAAAAAAAGAAAAGAAAAAATAATTTAGTGAACACATGGCATTGTTTCTGCCACAAGCAGATATCGCCATGATCATTTAATTTTTCTCCTTTAATATGTTGATTTCCTGCTCTTTACGGACCTTAACAGCAATCCTATGAGGTAGGCTGCACAGATATTATTCCCACTTACGAATGAGAAAAATGAACCTCAAAGAGAAGTTAGCTGACTTGGCTAAACAACATGGATATTAAATGTTAAGCAGGAGCTAGAACAAGTCTTCCCACAGTACCAGGCCTGCTGTCTCCCATCCTACCAAAGGTAACATCACTTGCTTCAGTAACTTGAATCAATCACAGCTTCAGTAAATTAGATTATCCACACAGATTCTTCATAAAGCGTATTTCCTCAAAAACGTTCACCATCAACTTAGTTTATATGCAGTCATAAAAAGCTATAAAGACCATGTGATTAAATTTTAATGGAAATACATTATGGAGAATAACATAAAATTGAATGCACATAATTAAATCGGGACAAATTTCAGCCTTTTCTTCAAAAATTGCCTCCTTTTTCTCTCTTCTGTAACTCCTATCAGATGTATGTTCAAGTCCTATTCTATCTTCCACTTAATCTTTAAATTCTCAAATATTTTCTTTGCTACTTTAATATCCTCAGATCTATTTTCCAGTTTGCCAATTCCATCTGCAGCTCTGTCAAATCTAGTCTTTAATCTTTCCATCTGCCTATTTTTAAACTTCAAATGATTATATTCATTCCTAAATGTTTGAATAGGTTCCTTTTCAAATCTGCCTGGCTGGGTTCTTTTTTTTTTTCCTCCCATACAATTTATTTTTTAATCCTTCTTTTATGCCTTTATTTTTAAAAATATCTTTCAAAGCATCTGGCCAGGCTCATGCTTGTAGTACCAGGGCTTTGGGAGGCCAAGACAGGAGGATTGCTTGAGGCCAGGAGTTTGAGACCAGACTGGGCAACATAGCAAGACCCTATCTTTACTTTAAAAAAAAAGCTGGGTGTGGTACCATGCCCCTGGAGTCTTAGCTACTTGGAGGCTGAGGCAGGAGGACTGCTTGGGCCCAGGAGTTGGAGGCTGCAGTGAGCTATGATCACACCACTGCAGTCGAGTCTGGGCAACATAGTAAGACCCCCATCTCTATAAAGGATTTCAAATGATTTTAAAAAAGCATCTATCGTATTACTCAAATTATCTGAAATCCTACGGTTCTAACTCTGTTTTTAAAAATCTGTTGGTTTTCACTCATAATGAATTATTTTTCAACTATTTTATTTATCTTTTCAAGACAGTGTCTCACTGCTCTATCTCCCAGGCTGGAGTGCAGTGGCATGATCTCTGCTCACTGCAGCCTCAACCGTCCTGGGCTCAGGTGATCCTCCCACCTCAGCCCCGAGTAGCTGGGACCACAGGTGTGTGCCACCACTGGGTGACAGAGCAAGACTCTGTAGCAAACAAAACAAAACATTTTTCTCACATGGAGCCCAGCTTCTTTGTTTGTACCTCTACCTGGGTTTTCTTATTTCATTTTTTTCCCTGACAACATAGCCTTTGGTGGGCTCTCGTGTAGCATAAGCTTCACAACTCAATTCTTTCGACTCTGGCAATCAGTCCCCTATTTGTTTCAGGATTCTAGGAATTTCCCTTACATTTTTTTTTTTTTTTATTGATCATTCTTGGGTGTTTCTCGCAGAGGGGGATTTGGCAGGGTCACAGGACAATAGTGGAGGGAAGGTCAGCAGATAAACAAGTGAACAAAGGTCTCTGGTTTTCCTAGGCAGAGGACCCTGCGGCCCTCCGCAGTGTCTGTGTCACTGGGCACTTGAGATTAAGGAGTGGTGATGACTCTTAACGAGCATGCTGCCCTCAAGCATCTGTTCAACAAAGCACATCTTGCACCGCCCTTAATCCATTTAACCCTGAGTGGACACAGCACATGTTTCAGAGAGCACAGGGTTGGGGGTAAGGTCACAGATCAACAGGATCCCAAGGCAGAAGAATTTTTCTTAGTAGAGAACAAAATGAAAAGTCTCCCATGTCTACTTCTTTCTACACAGACACGGCAACCATCCGATTTCTCAATCTTTTCCCCACCTTTCCCCCATTTCCATTCCACAAAACCGCCATTGTCATCATGGCCCATTCTCAATGAGCTGTTGGGTACACCTCCCAGACGGGGTGGTGGCCGGGCAGAGGGGCTCCTCACTTCCCAGTAGGGGTGGCCAGGCAGAGGCACCCCTCACCTCCCGGACGGGGCAGCTGGCCGGGCGGGGGGCTGACCCCCCCACCTCCCTCCCGGACGGGGTGGCTGGCCGGGCCGGGGGCTGACCCCCCCCCCTTCCCGGACGGGGCGGCTGGCCTGGCAAGGGCTGACCCCCACCTCCTTCCCGGACGGGGTGGCTGCCGGGCGGAGACGCTCCTCACTTCCCAGACGGGGTGGCTGCCGGGCGGAGGGGCTCCTCACTTCTCAGACGGGGCGGTTGCCAGGCGGAGGGTCTCCTCACCTCCCAGATGGGGCGGCGGGGCAGAGGCGCTCCCCACATCTCAGACGACGGGCGGCCGGGCAGAGACGCTCCTCACTTCCTAGATGGGATGGCGGCCGGGAAGAGGCGCTCCTCACTGCCTAGATGGGATGGCGGCCGGGCAGAGATGCTCCTCACTTTCCAGACGGGGCAGCCAGGCAGAGGGGCTCCTCACGTCCCAGACGATGGGCGGCCAGGCAGAGACGCTCCTCACTTCCCAGATGGGGTGGCGGCCGGGCAGAGGCTGCACTCTTGGCACTTTGGAAGGCCAAGGCAGGCGGCTGGGAGGTGGAGGTTGTAGCGAGCCGAGATCACGCCACTGCACTCCAGCCTGGGCACCATTGAGCACTGAGTGAACCAGACTCCGTCTGCAATCCTGGCATCTCGGGAGGCCGAGGCTGGCGGATCACTCGCGGTTAGGAGCTGGAGACCAGCCCAGCCAACACAGCGAATCCCCGTCTACACCAAAAAAATACGAAAACCAGTGAGGCGTGGCGGCGCGCGCCTGCAATCGCAGGCACTCGGCAGGCTGAGGCAGGAGAATCAGGCAGGGAGGTTGCAGTGAGCCGAGATGGCAGCAGTACAGTCCAGCTTCGGCTCAGCATCAGAGGGAGACCGTGGAAAGAGAGGGAGACGGAGAGGTAGAGGTAGAGGTAGAGAGGTAGAGAGGTAGAGAGGTAGAGAGGTAGAGAGGTAGAGAGGTAGAGGTAGAGGTAGAGGGAGAGCTCCCTTACATTTTTACGAGATCAGCACTGGTTATATTTTCCCAGCTTTTAAAGGTATACATGGAGTGGGGAGAAGGGGATTTCAAATTCACTAGAAGGTCTCCATCCTAAACTGCAATTGTATAAAAATATCAGTAAACAATAAAAACAGATGCATTTAAGGCCTGGGATTAGAGATGAAGCCCTTCTGTTGAAAACTGTTTTTGATATTGGTAATGAAACACAGTTCAGGAAAAAAGAAAAAGCCGACAAATAAAATGATTACCTAAGCTGATAAAAAGAAAAACAGGATCCACGGTGCAAGTTTAGGGGGTTAAATGTTTATTAAATCAAGCTTTTAAATTATATATCCACCTACAGTCTATAAACAAATATAGTACACATGTATGTAAAAGGCTAGCAGATAAGAACCAGTGGAAAAACTAAAGTTCCCTTTGCACACCGGCACCTCATCACAACACCCTCTTGGTGTGGATGCCATGGGGCCATGCTGTAGTCAAAAGTTAAATGAAAAACCACAAGTTTAGTTTGACTCCGTCTCCTAGGGTGGATTTCATTCAGATATTTGTTCCATATTATAGGAGGGTGGATCCTAGCAAGGCAACAGTGTAGTTTTTACATTCACAGATTGGCTGAAGTAGTACAAATTGAGCTGCTAATCTAGGTGTCTCCCTCCCTGTTACCATACTTCATAAGAAATGTGAATTAAAATGAACAATGGACCACAGGTGGTTATAAAAATAGATAACTCGCAGAGTCATAAATATCTACAGTTAGTAGAGCAGAAACTTCTAAAATTTACCTTTTTCCATAATGTGCAGAATATCCTAAGTATGTTCAAGAGACACAGTCAGCAGACTTCAGAGTGGTAATTACAAGGGCATTTGTAAAGAAATAACACTCGAGTACAAACCCAGAGTAAGAAGCTGAATGCAGATGAAAATACGCAAAACACGCAAAGTTCCAACTCCTCACATCTCATTATGCTACTTACTAGACACCACAATTAGCTTACAGCCCTTTATATATCTTTTAAAGTAACTTTTTGTTACCTGTGTACAAACTTTAACAAAGATTTTTCATGAGACAAGCAAAGTGGGTTAATGGTGGCGCTAAAACTGCTGAAACTTGGAGTGTTTTGTGTGCTTTCGTATACTTCTGTGTATGGGGCTTTAAAATGCTCCAAAAATGTTTTGGATAGAGTTTTTAAAATTCCCATGAAAATCTATTTTATAATCATTTCAAGGTATAGAAAAAAAGAAATCCTAAACTGGCATTGAGGGACAGGCCCAAATCTCACAAAGTAACTTAAATTCTAGGAATATATAAATTACATTCATATGTTCATTTAACACGTATCAAGTGCTATGTAAGGTAACTGTAATGGATTCTGAAGCCAATCTCATTTAAAACAGTACAGTAAATCCCATTCTAATTCTACAATTAAAGCACTTATTCCAGGTAATGTGCGTTTCAGCAAAGCTGACATCTTGTACAACAGTGTCACCTTAAAGCTTCATCAAAGATTCACAGCAGGCCTGAACTGTAAAAGTTCAGAACCAACAATGCCACAGGTAGTTATTCATCCTAATTTCTCGCAGGGAGTGAAGGGTCTACTTGAGTGATCCTAAGGTCACCTAAGCCTAGAACAGTGTTCCCTGAAAACTCCAGCAAGTTTCCTCACCAAAATCTCTTCAGTGTAATGTGTTTGGGACTTGCTAGGCTAGAAAAATGGGTTCCACTGATGTATAAACATACATTCGACACCTTCAAGAGGTGTACAGACATAGTGTTTCCCAGACTCACTTGACCTTTCCAGGGAACACCTGGAATAATCACTGGCTCTTGGGACAGTCATTTCCTAGGGAACACAATTAGAGGAATACCAAGTTAAAGCAGATTTTCTAAAGTAGTGGTTCACATATTGTAGTAAGCATCAGAAACACAGATGCCACACCCCTTCAGAAGTCCAGGGTGGGACCTGGGAACCTGCATTTCTGAGACCGCCCCTTCCCCCACCCCCCCACAAGTGAAGCTGATGCTGCTGCACCGAGGACCGCCCTTGGAGTGGCACTTGTTGAGAGGATGGCCTGCATAGATCTCAGCTGCAGGAAGCCCTCCTATGGCCTCAGGAAAGGCTGCACATGGCATTTGCACAACCAATGAGTCGGAGGTCAAATCAGCCCAGTGACTTCTCAGAGGGTCATGCACCTTGGCACTGCACTTGACTCCTGGCTCTGTCCCTGCTCACTAGGTGACCAGGAGGAGTGACTGCATCTAACAAGAGGACTAACAGTAGCCCCTTGCACCCCCCAGTGGATCTGTGATGTTTAAGATAAATGTTTGCTAAAAAATGCACTAACTAGCCTAAAGCATCATACAAGTGTCTGTTAATCAGAAGAATGTGCCAGCCACAGCAGGAAAATCCCAGATGAATTTTCTGTCTTGTTACCTCTGAGCCTTGACGAAGGCATATTCTGACAACTAACGAAGAGAAAAGAGGCTAAAAATGCAGACAACTGCAGTGAGGGGGAAATACATGAGTGGATTATCTAATTAAAAATGCCTGATTGTTAAAAAAACAAAGGTCAGCCCACAATCAAAGTAGTTAATTATGCTGGCTTTGAGATAGTGTTTAAAAGTTAAATATGTTGATCTTTGAACACACTCACTCCTCCACTCTACCATGTTAATGCTGGTTAAAATTTAACACTAGAAAAATGAGAAAAAAAATCCTCCACTCAAATACATATGAATTACACCTAAAATATTTGGCTGAGATCGTTCCAATCTTATAAGCTACGATTGTGTGGAAATTTCATAAGCAATTTTGAAAAAAAGACATCAAATTTTGGCTCATAGAAACATCCACAGAATGAGGAATAAACCACCATTCACATGTTTGCATGTGTGTTTAGTTACTGCCCAGTACATCTTTGCTAATGAACTGCCTCTCACAATTCAAAAACGAACCTGTAAAAATTCATACATATCCGTGATGAGATTACAGTCAAACATCATGTTGCCAAGTCCTGGTTTCCACGTGAACCCAAAAGATTGATCAGAAAGGCAGAACTTCCCCCAACACGTTGCATGATTCACTTTATGTATGCTCTGGATGGCTCTGAAGACAAGACAACATCTCTTGAACTGGTCTGCTTTCGTAGCAGATCTGATACACTGCAGTAAACAATGGAAACCTAGTTGGGAGGAAATGTGAAAAGACAAAGTTAGGCCACTGGATTTACCTCAGAGAATAAGTTAGGTTTTCTGTCCTAACAGATTGCAGGTTAGTATGTGACTATGGAAAACACAGTGAGCACTTTCTACATTCCTTTATTATTTGGTCTGCAGAGAGCCTCTGGAATGTGGCTGTCAGATCCTGGGGCAACCTAGACCATCCTCTGCCTAATTAAGCTTGGAGCACACTGTCCACAACCAAGTCACACGGTGATCCTACCAGGGCAAACTGTTGTCATTTACATAGGAGCTGTGGCTCCAACTCTTGGTCAAATCTTGGAGGAGTCTATATTCTGTCATTATTTTAAAAGTTGTAAAAATAAATTTTTAAATTGCAAGGAGGCATTGCTCTCCCTTCTCCAAAAAGAATCATCCCAAGGTAACAAATAATGTAGGCTGGAATGCTCCCGCAAGAATCCGAGTGAGGACCCACGATTAGCAAAGCACTCATCTTATGTCAGAAGCTTGATTTATCTTACCTTTTCTTCCAAGATGTGAATACAGATATAAGTGAAAAATCACTAAAGAAATAATTTCATCAGGCTTTTTTTCTTTTTTCTTTTCTTTTGCGACAAAGTCTCACTCTATCGCCCAGGCTGGAGTGCGGTGGCATGATCTTGTCTCACTGCAACCTCTGCCTCCTGGATTCAAGCGATTCTGCTGCCTCAGTCTCCTGAGAGTAGTTGGGATTACAGGTGTGTGCCACCACGCCTGGCTAATTTTTGTATTTTTAGTAGAGACGGGGTTTTACCATGTTGGTCAGGCTGGTCTCAAACTCCTAACCTCATGATCCACCCACCTCGGCCTCCCAAAGTGCTGGGATTACAGGCGTGAGCCACCGCGCCGGCCCAGGCTTTTAAATACACACACACACATAGCTCAAAGTGAGCTTGGCAGAATCAATAGAGTCTTGAAAGGCAATCCTGAAAATTAGCTGGACAGAACCTTATAATGATAATTTTTAAGAAGAACAAATAGTACTAATAGATCACATGTCTTTATGAGAGTCTATCGTTGTAGGGTTGTTTCTTCATTGTAGTTTTTTTAAGGTACGGAATGTTTTGCTACTTTTTTGTGGAATGTTTTATTTTTTTGGAGTCAGGTAGACCTAATCAACTCTGACTCTACAGCCTACTAACTCTGGGCAAGTTTCACAATCCTTCTGACCCTGTTTGCCCATCTGTAAAATGGGACTGGATACACAGCCTTGCTGCAAGTATTAAATGACTTATGTGTGAAGCACACAGTACACACTTGGCAAATGGTGGATGTGCAGTAACAACAGCTTATAATAGCAGCCACAAGATGGATAGTGTGTCCTGGACCGAGAAAGCTCCCTGAGGACTGGGACCAAGTCTGTTTTTTTCACTACTGTATCCTCAGTGCCTGGCACCATGCACGGCAAGGGGCAGGTGCTCCGTGAGAATTCGTTGAATAAATTCCTGTGGATTGGATTTAAAGCCTAGAAACTTCAGCCCCTTTCTTTGTCCTTCCATGCTATGTTTCCCTGTTCCTAAAACAAGAACAATGTATATGTCCCCAAAGCAGTGTGGTAGCAGATGACTGGCCATCCAAAGCCATTTCCAACCTGCTTCTCCCTTTCCCCAAGGTTGGAAGAGACTACTCACCTTCCTAGCCTTTCACCTAGAATTGGTCAAGTAACACAGTCCTAGGCAGCAAGACATAATATATCTGCTGAAGGTTTCTCGAGGAAGATTTCTCGAGAGGCACTAGAGGAAAAATCTGTTACCCCAGACTACTCTTGTTCCCTTCCTGAGTGTAAAAGTGAATGTGATGCCTGGAGCTGCTGCAGCCATCTTGAGGTTCAAGGGAAAGCCAACAGGATCACTGAGATTCTAATCCAGAGCCAGAGCCACTGGGCCAACACTTTAATAATGTTCACCTCCATATTCCCTGTTATAACTGTGTGTTGGTCTTGCAGCTGAAAGCACTCCCAACTTTTAAAACTATCATTTCCAAAGTGCATTCTGTGGAAGGGATGTTAACAAGAGATATGAAGTGTGTGGAAGAGAAATTTCTACAGACGAGTAACTTGTTTAATCCTTACAATCACCCCATGAGGTAGAAAATATTGTCCCCATTCTATATATGAGTAAATTGAACCACAGTTTTGGACTCTGAAGCCAATGATCAACCATTAGGCTACACTGCCCATCTAAATATTATTTTCTATTACATAAAATGCTAAAAGGACAATTAGATCAGTTTGGAAGACTCTCTAAATAAAGTTAGAGGTGAAAGGAAGAAAAAGACAACATTTCATTTAAAAAAATGACAAACCAGAGGCCTGGGTGTGCTGGCTCACGCCTGTAATCTCAGCACTTTGGGAGGTTGAGGCAGGTGGATCACGAGGTCAGGAGATCGAGACCATCTTGGCTAACACAGTGAAACCCCGTCTCTACTAAAAATACAAAAACTTAGCTGGGCGTGGTGGCGGGCGCCTGTAGTCCCAGCTACTCAGGAGGCTGAGGCAGAAGAATGGTGTGAACCTGGGAGGTGGAGGTTGCAGTGAGCCAAGATCGTGCCACTGCACTCCAGCCTGGGCGACAGAGCAAGACTCTGTCTCAAAAAAAAAAAAAAAAAAAAAAAAAGGACAAACCAGTCAGCCAGCTATCCCACTAATCAATACTGAGGGCTTAAGATGTTTCAGACTTCAGACTAAGTGCAGGGATGTGCAGTATTATAAATAAAGCCAGGCCAGGCGTGGTGGCTCATGCCTGTAATCCAGCACTTTGGGAAGCCAAGGTGGGCAGATTGCTTGAGGCCAGGAGTTCGAGACCAGCCTGGGCAACGTGGTAAAAACCAGTCTCTACTAAAAATGCAAAAATTAGCTGGGTATAGGGGCACACGCCTGTAATCCCAGCTACTGGAGAGGCTGAGGCAAGAGAATTACTTAAACATGGGAGGCGGAGATTGCAGTGCTGAGATTGCACCATTGCACTCCAGCCTGGGTGACAGAGTGAGACCCAGGAGCTTGCAACATGCACCTCAGAGAACATGTTGTGTACGGGCTGAATTGTGCCCTCCTCCCAATTAATATGCTTAGGTCCTAACCCCTAGTATCTCAGAATGTGACACGGTCTTTGAAAAGGTAATTAAGGGCACTTTGGGAGGCCGAGGCGGGTGGATCATGAGGTCAGGAGATCGAGACCATCCTGGCTAACAAGGTGAAACCCCGTCTCTACTAAAAATACAAAAAATTAGCCGGGCGCGGTGGCGGGCGCCTGTAGTCCCAGCTACTGGGGAGGCTGAGGCAGGAGAATGGCTTGAACCCGGGAAGCGGAGCTTGCAGTGAGCCGAGATTGCGCCACTGCAGTCCGCAGTCCGGCCTGGGCGACAGAGCGAGACTCCGTCTCAAAAAAAAAAAGAAAAGGTAATTAAGGTAAAATGAGAGGCAAAGAAAAGTTCCATTCAAGAAAAGACGGTACCATAGGGAGTAAGAGGATGTACTGCAGGAAGTTACATTGGTGCTAGATTGAGGGGGGCCACATCTGCCTAAGGACCATGTGCTTCACTCTATAAGAGCAGGAGGCCTCTGAATGTGAATGCTCAAGCTGGTAGGGACCATGGTGTTCATCTGGTCTTCCATCTTAATTTTGTGGATAAGAACACCGGGGCACAGAACAGCTAAATACGTGACTTGCCCAAGGCCACAGGGCTAATAAGCCACAGGGCAGCCTTGAATGCTGCCCTCCTGCTATTTTTTCTATAGCAATGGAGAAGAGAAGGGAGGGAGAAGGAAACAGAGGAAGACCGGAGTAGTGGTGGTCAGAATGAAAAAGGAAAAAGGAATCAAAGTAAGAGGTGGTGCAAAGGGAGCACAATAGGCCTCTGCCTTTGGGAGGCAGGTGGTACAAGGAATGGGGAGGAGTCCCAGGGGATTCTACACTCCAGCCCAGGAGAAGGGTGCTGCCACGTCCAATCCAGCAGCGATGTTATTAAGCACAGGTGGAGCCTGTTCAATCTCTAATCAGAAGAAATAAAATGGGACATGACCAAGGAGAGATGTCTGCTCAGAGCAGAGATTTACCTGCTTGATTACACCTGCTTTTGAAAACAGGGAGCTACTGGCCCCAGAATCGCAATTCTAGTCCATGTCCCCCTGGAGCTAACAGGCTAATGCCCAGCCAACCTGTCCATCCAGAGAATCCTATCAAGGCACCCCATGGTAGCACACTTGGGGTGTGTTTCAAGATGCCACTTGAAAATTCTGGTTGGGAGAGTCTCACTAAACAGCCAAGTATTATTTTTTTTTGAGACTTAAAAAAATTTCTTGATAAATGCTCAGTGGTCATTAAAGTAGTCCAACCACACACAAACATATCACTGTCTGCTGCTAAGTAGGTAAGGAAAACCATGCATGTCAGAGGCATTTTCCTTTTAGCCACAATTTAAAGGTAGTTCTCCTCCTTTGGCAGCCTGTTTGTGAACTTCCATCTCTGCATGGCTGGTTTTAAAAGCCATTTCAGAAAAATAAAGTGCAAATTTAAAAGGTAAGACAAATGCTCCATCCACCCTCATTTTTAACTTTCAGTACAGAACTCCATGGCTGATTAATTTGTTCTGGGTAAAAGGAGGAGGGGTGCTGGGTGCAGGGGGAGGTAAAGATGCATGACTGGGACCAGCAGACACCTAAACTGACAGAACCAGGATAAAGGAGCTGCAACCAGAGATAATAGCAACAACATCCACGACCCTCCTCCCAGCTTGGAGAGAAGCTCATGCTCTAAATTAGCCACAATCAGCATGTCATTCCAGCTGCCCAGCTCCCTTCAGTCCTAGGCAACAAGACCTCCCCTCCCCTAGAGAGTATTACGGGAGAGTTAAGGATACATGCAATATGCTGCATAAGCATTTATGCAGTGGTGTAGTTGGCATCATGATTATGGTCCTCCACAATCATGCTCAGTAAATCGGCAAGAGAAAGTGCTGTGGAGCAGGTAGGGCTGGAGAGTGGCCTCAGGAGAGGCTGGGAAGCTTTTCTGGTGCTACAGGGCTCACTCTCTCAATCAGGTGGCAAATAAACTGACTTAAGCCCACCTTTAACACACAACTGGCCTGGAAGGGCAATGGAGGATGGATGCACCCACCCATCTATCCATCCATTCACCCATCCCACCCATCCACTCACCCATCTATCCATGCACCCATCCATTATCCATCCCTCCGTCTATCTCATCCCATCCCACCCACCCACCCATCATCCATCCATTCACCCATCCCACCCATCCACTCACCCATCTACCCATGCGCCCATCCATCATCCATCCCTCCATCTATCTCATCCCATCCCACCCACCCACCCATCATCCATCCATTCACCCATCCCACCCATCCACTCACCCATCCACCCATGCACCCATCCATAATCCATCCATCCATCCATCCATCCATCCATCTCATCCCATCCCATCCCACCCACCCATCATCCATCCATTCACCCATCCCACCCATCCACTCACCCATCTACCCATGCACCCATCCATCATCCATCCATCCATCTATCTCATCCCATCCCTTCCCACCTGCCAACCCACCCACCCATCATCCATCCCTTCATCCCATTCCATCCCATCCCATCCCATCCTAAGCCCCATCTACCCACCCGATGAAGAGACTGGAAGGCTGTGCACCAAACTTAACAGAGCTACCTTCTAATGGTATAATGTTGGGCTAACTCGTCCTTCCTTCTTTTCTGACTTGACATTTTAATAACATAACCATACTTTTTAATAAAAACAAAAAAGTAATTTTTACAAATTTTAAAACGTATGATATGTAGCTTTTACCAAACACCCTGCGAGACAAACTAGAATCTTAAATTTTGTATTTTATAACATGACTTATAGAATTGAGCTCCTTTCATTGAAGTTGAGCCTGGTTTTGTGTAAACACATGTTTTGGGAGTAGGTAGATGCTTCTCATCACAGACGTTCACATCACACAAAGGACTGAACTAATCCAGATAAGTTCTAAGGGCACTTGTCAAATAGTCTAGCTCATCTCCGTGGGGCTGGAAGTCCTGAGAATAGGAATGATGGACATTTATCTGGTCTCATGGGCGACTGAGAGACTTACTTGTCCAGTAGTCCCTTCTGTTTGAGGATGCGGTACACTTCAGCAGAAGTCTGCGGTCCTTGGAGCTTTTGCCCATTCAGCATCTCCTTCTCCAACTCTTCAATGGTCTTAAAAACAAAGGATTATATATTTAAAAAAACTATGGTAAAGACTAAAGAATCATTTATTTGTTTAATTTTTAAGTGTTTTTTTTCTTTTTTTTTTTTTTTAGAGAATGGGTCTTGCTATGCTGTGCAGGCTGGCCTCGAACTTGCGGCCTAAAGCAATCCTCCCACCTTGGCCTCCCAAAGTGGTGGGATTACAGGCATGAGCCACCACGCCCGGCCTAGCATCAATTATTTCAAGAGCAGAGTGAGAGAAGAGCTTCAGTCCCCTGCTGGAAGCCAAGGAAAGATAAAGACACAAAGATAAAGAACAGAAGAGTCAAGTGAAAAAGCAGCCAGGCAAACGGAACAATCCCAGCAAATAGATGCTGGCATGAAATCTCCACTGGGCTGCAGTTCACCCCAAGCCAGGAGTCTCAAGTGAGGAAGGAGGGGGTGCGGGAGAGCAGGTGAGGGGCTACCTTCCCAGTTCTGGCGAAGGCCTCGGCCACCCTGCGGTTCCGCCCTCCGTAACAGGTGGTGATCAGGTCGGCCACCCCGCAGCTCTCTAGGAAGGTGGCTGTAGACACTTGGCCTTTGCAGAAGATCCTGGCAAAAGCAATCATTTCCATGAGTCCCAGGCGGATGACGGCCGCTTTGGTGTTGTCTCCACAGCGGAGGCCGTCGCAGAACCCAGCTCCCACAGCTACGATGTTCTGCAAAGGAGATGACAAAGCCCAGATGCCGTTACAGCACCCACCACGGGTATGGATGCCAGAGGTGGTGGGGGATGCCGAGGCAGGGGCAGACCAGGGACATTGGCTCCATCTTCAAAATACTCAATGCCGGGCTCTGCTCTTGTACACCTGGGTGAAAGAGATGACGAAAGGAGAGACAGGGCTTCCATATTCCCCTTTCTAGGACAAAGAGCCCATATTTGGGGTCAGCAGTTGAAGAGCATTGGACAGAAAATCAGAACGGCTGATAGTAGTCTTTGGTTAAATAATGTTTGGACAAACTACTTTACTTTTTGTTTTGTTTTAAATGGAATGCTTTATGCAACCATAACATTCATACAGAAAAGTACACAAATCCTAAGTGCACGGATTGAAGAATTTTCACAAACTGAGCATACCCCCATAGCCAGCACACTGATCAAGGAGAAAAGCACAGCCAGTGCTTCAGGAAGCTCCCGAGAACCCCTTCCAGCCCACCTCCACCACCAAAGGTAACCACTCTCCTCACTTCTCACAGCATAGATGTGTTTTACCTGCCTTTCAACTTTTTGTGAATGGAGTCATACAATATGTAATATTTTATGTGTAGCTTCATCTTAATTCAACATCGTGTTTGTGAGATTCATCCATATTTTTACATAGAGCACATTTATTTTAATTGCTGCATAGTATTCCATTTTGTGAATATGCTGCAATTGATTTAATTATCTCCTGTCAACTGGCACTGGGGTAGATTCCAGTTTGGGGCCATGACAAACAGTGCTGCCATGGACACCCTGGCACATGCCCTCCGGTGACTACGTGCAGGCAATCCTGTTGGGTATGACCTAGGAATTGAAACACTGGGTCATGAGGCCTGTATGTGTGCAGCTCAAATTCCAGCCTTTTGCTTCATTTAATAATCCCCAAATGAGTATTTATGGAGCACTCACTCTCTGCATGGCCTCTGCTAGACACAAGGCAAATGAGACACAGAGCCTGCCTTTTCAGAAGCTGAAAATCTGCTAAGGGGGCTGGCAATCTAGGCCAACTGCCTGTTTTGTAAATAATGTTTTACGGGAACCCAGCCATACCCATTCATTTACACATCGTCTATGGTTGCAGATTTGAGTAATTGCAACAGAGACCATATGGTCCACAAGGCCTCTTCTGTCTGGCCCTGATGGAAAACGTTTACCAGCCCTGACCTTACAGGAAAAATAAAACGTGTACAAATAACTGTTAATGCTCAGCAGAAAGTGATATTCCATAAAAGGTACTGAGAATCTGAAATTCCGTTTCAACAGGTATGCACTGAGCATGTACTGTGTGGGGAGC
The DNA here is from genome assembly GCF_000001405.40 of Homo sapiens. Taxonomy (NCBI): domain Eukaryota; kingdom Metazoa; phylum Chordata; class Mammalia; order Primates; family Hominidae; genus Homo; species Homo sapiens. Next base: position 32,157,537 of record NC_000003.12, on the reverse strand, counting down.
ACCCCACTCAGCCCTGGAGGGACACAGTGATTGCAGGGGCTAGCGGGTGGCAGGGGGAATGCAGGGGCTGAAGATGCCCCCAGGGGAGAGCTGCAAAGATGAGAGTTAAGACATAGAGCTTGTCCTCAAGGAGCTGACAATCTGGCTGAGAAAAGAGACACAACAAAGCACATCAAAAGGCAGAGGGGATGGAGTGAACCTGGGAGGTGGAGCTTGCAGTAAGCCGAGATCGCACCACTGCACTCCAGCCTGGGCGAGAGCGAGACTCTGTCTCAAAAAAAAAAAAGGCAGAGGGGAGAGAGTGTGCTGACAAGTGGCAGGAGCCACAAGCTTCCGTTCACAGCAGGGAAGGCCACATGGAGGAGGCGGCATCTGAGCTGGGCCCAAATAATAAGTAAAAGTCAGATTACCACCTATGACAAGTAACACCTGCACAGTTGCACAGGTGGCAACTCAGTTGGAACTTCAGTTGAGCCCCTAGGTTCCTGGCCCCTTCCACTTTTCCAGCTCCTTCACCAAGAACACTCAATGCCCCCCAAAAAGCAAATATCCAACTGTCTAACCACACTAGCAATTCCAGTAATACCTGTGACTGTACAGAGAGCCGTGGGAGATTTTAAAACATGAACTTAGTTTGGGAAATGAGTTAAAATAAGTGTATTTTAATAAAACCAAGTTTTATAGTGAAAGAATAACTTTTCTTAAAACATCAGGCCTATAAAATGTGAGGGATGAGATGAAAAACAGAATGAGCTGGGGAATAAAAATGTCTTCTCTAGTACACAGGCAGTTTTTGATAAAACACATCAAACATATCATTGATGTGGCCGGGCTCACCATGACAAACAGACTTGGTCATTTAGATACAGCTATTGCTTACCAGAAGACCGAGGCGCAAAGATACTTCACATGAAAAAAAACATCCAATTGGGCCTCCTGAAGTTTCTGTCTACTCCCCACAGACCCACAGAACAGAGCCCTCTCTTGCCCTCTCCCACGGGGTGATGTGGAATGAAGAGGGCTAGAGAATAAAGGATGGGGATAGGAAGGCCCCCTAGTGTCTTCTCTTCCTGAGCAATAATGTGAGAGCTTACTGCGGTTGCTGCTTATGCCTCTCATTGCAGTCAACATAGAAAGGAAAAAGTGGAAAAATTCTCTAAAAATGATGCAGGCAGAGCTGATGAGGAATTGGTCCTAGGAACTGACAGCCTGACCAAGTGCATATGTCTTCGTAAGGTACCAACTTGCCTGAACCTGCGAAAGCTTCTCAGCCTCTTCCTACCACACAGGCTATGCGAACTATAGGTTTCATCAGTTCTCATCAGTGTGTAATTCCCGGCTTACACACTCTCAGCAACAGGCAGCATCATGGAAGAGGCAAGGCAGAAGCCGTGTGAAAGGAGCCTGGAGAGATGCTGGGGGGTCGGGTGCGATCTAGTTCTGCAGCTCTGCTTCTAGAAGGGGTGAGTTGCCGAGTCAGGATGGGACAGCCAGACCTTTTAGGATGAGTGCTATGCAGAGGCTAAGAGCAGGGACCATAAGAACACCTGGGGCTGGGCCCACCTAGGTCTGGACGCCCTTCCCAGCATAGCAGCCAGACTAAGGAGGCTACAAGGAGACGGAAGCGGTACACGGCACTGACATCCAGAGAGCCTCTACATTGTCACAGTGTGACCTAGGCCAACCACTCCACCTCTCCGGCCATCTTCACCTCAGATGTAAAATTCAGGGCTTGGACAAGACTTTTCAAGGCCCTTCTAGTATTGACATTCTTTCAGGAAAGTTGGTGCAATTGTAGCCTGCACTGGGGCTGCAACCAGTACTGGGGCAACAGATTGACACCTGGGGACATGCAGCGGGTCTGACTGCCGAAGCCCAGAGGCCAGCCCTTGGGTGAGCTGGCCAAGTGGTTTTATTGAAGTTGCCATGCAATGTGGCGAGGCTTAGGCTGTTGGCCAACTGGTCAGATTCCTGAAATTGCTCTCTGATGCCCCCTGGACTGTGTCCCTATTTCCCCCTCCATCACAACATGAACCATTCTGAAACTGTTATATGAAAAACCAACCCCAGGAAATGTCTATGGGCTGAATGGGAGAGAACATGGACTTCTGTTCAACAAGGGGCTCCTGTCAACAGAGGAGGGGAGGCACTTATTTATTACGTGCCTTCAGCCAGCCCAGGCTAGTTACACACTGCCTCATCATCATTCCCATGACTCAGAAGTATGTACCTATCCTCCTATTTCCCAACTGGCACAACTGAGGCTCAGAGAGGTTTAGTGGCCCACTGAGAACACCTCACTGGTAAAAGATGGAGTCTGGATGTGCCCCTGGTGCCTGGCTTTGCAGCCCGCTCTGTCCCCTGTGCCTTGCTGCTCCAGTGTGGGAAATCTGCCCTTCCTCCAACCTCGGTCAAAAAGACCTGCCTGACCCTTTGCAATTGGTTGTCAAAGGAGAGTGCCTCCCTGGCCTACACCAAGGCTTGGGAGGTAAAAACGGTAGCTTAGGTTGGGCATAATCCTAGCACTTTGGGAGGCTGGGGTGGGTGGATTGCTTGAGCTCAGGAGTTTGAGACCAGCCTGGGCAACATAGTGAAACCCTGTTTCTACCAAAAATACAAAAAATTAGCTGGGCATGGTGGCATGCACCTTTCGTCCCACCTACTTGGGAGGCTGAGGTGGAAGGATCACTTGAGCTGGGGAGGCGGAGGTTGCAGTGAGCCGAGATCATGCCACTGCACTCCAGCCTGGGTGACAGAGTGAGCCTGTCTCAAAAAAAAAAAAGTAGCTTAGGAGAAGAAAAGGTAATAAAAAATAGCAACAGCAAACCTTACTGAACTGTTCTAAGAGCTTCATATATTATTACCTCATTTAAACCTCACAACATTGTCACAGGGCAGGTCCTATTATCATGGGAACATGATAGGAAACTGAAGCACACAGAGTAAGGACCTTGCCCGAGAAGATCACGCCACACCGTGCTGCTCTAGGGTCAGTGAGTGAAAGGCACAGAGAGGCCACCGCAGAGTCCAGATGAGAACTTTCTAACAGGAAGAGCTGACCTCACCCAACAGGAAAGATTTAGCAGGAGCTCTCTGCAACCAGAACCATCCAAGCAGGACTGTATGGACAGGCCCTGAGCTCCAAAGCAGTGTTTCTATGTTGCTGTACTCAGAAAAGCCACATGAGGGTGCCTGGGTGCTCCCTCACAGCTCCTCTGTGGCCCCTTCACTGCAGGGCATGGGAGTCTAGACCACCCCAAAGCTTCTACTAGAAGCTTTTACTAGACATTTAACCTTCCCACCAGGGGAGATCAGGAGACCTAGTGCAGGGTAAACTCCTCTCTTCTAAGAGGACCCTGGGCTGCAACCCAGTTTAGTCGCCTTATGACAGATCTTGAAATCCTCATTCTCTCCCTCCACCACTTACCATTGTCAAAAGAAAAATAAAGATACTGAGCCAGTCAGAGCGTGTTTGAACAGCATCCGAGCAGATGTCCTCCGAGATCGCTCAGATGTGAAAGTTATCATTATCCACTGTGCATTTAAATCTGCTTTAAACTCTTTTGGAGCTAAAAATACCATAATTTTCAGAAAACAGACGTATGTAGCTCTTCCCCATCTCCTGAGTGACGGAATACTCAGAGGCAATCATCCACTCTTGAGTGTACTCTTTCCAGTTCTGAATAGGGGTGGGTTGGATGGGGCTCAATTCCTCTCCCACTTCCACCTTCCCACAAAAAGAATAAAGAACAGGAGAACCAGCCCATGCTACCTGCAGGTTACATAAACATTCTCACCACCCAGCAAGAACTGCCTCCCCAAAACCCAAGTCAGTACTCACTGTTTTCTCTCAGTCCAACAATCCATCCGACTCCTCCTGAGGCTAGCTGCCAAGAGGAGACTGTCTGCAGGGTTTGGGATTACTAAAGGCAAGGTGCCACATATTGTTTGCTGCTGGCCCCTGTCTAAGGCAGCCTGGCTGAGATGTCAAGGAAGGCTGAGGCAGGCCCACACTTGGCCCACCTAGTCGGTCGCACCAATATGAAGCTGCCTTAGCTGGAAGAGCGTTGTCCAATAGAAGTTTCTGCAATGATAGAAATGTTTTATATTTGCTCTATCGAATACAGTAGCCATTAGTCAGCCACTGAGTCTTCAAAATGTAGTTACTGTGACTCCGAAATGGAATTTTTAGTTTTTAAGAATTTTAATTAATTTGAATGTAAATATAAATAGTACATATGTCTAGTGGCTAGCATGTCAGATTATGTAGGCCTTGCTCTCACTCACATAAAGGTGCTTTTGGGCGAGCAGTGGCCCTGACTACAGATGAGACCCAAAGCTGGGCATCCCGGCATGGTTTACCACAGCCAAAGCCCTGGAGCAAACCTACATGCCCAGCAATTAGAACTGCAGAACAGCCCCACAAAGGAACACCACCAGCCTGTACCACGGGCTGCTGCTTTATCCCCAATCTATTCTTTCCTTCTACAATAATAGAATCTCTTATTTTAATGCAAGTATATGGCTATCCAGAAAAAAGATCCCCAAAATGATTTTCCAGCCTGCCTTGTAGCTAGTTATGGTCACACCTAGTGTACCCACTGAGATGAAGCCAAGTGACAAGGTTGATTTTCCAGAACCTTCCTTGAAAGATAGCTGCCACGTGCTCTTTGTCTGTCTTTTTTTTTTTTTCTTTCTTTCTTTCTTCTTTTTTTAACCTCGCTGCTTGGAAGGTAGATGTGACATTGATGCTCTGGTCACTTTCACAGACCATGAAGACAAGGGCCACACCCTATGCTACCCTATGCCATTCAGTGTTTGTCCTCTCCAAAACCCATGTTGAAATTCGGTGGCCACTGTGGCAGTGTTGGGAGGTGGGGCCTAACAGGAAGTGTTTTGGTCATGCGTGTTCTGCCTTCATGAATGGACTGAGGCTTTTCCTTAGAAAAAAGACTCCGGGAGTGGCTCTCTGTTTGCCTCTTCCATTCCTCTGTTGCATGAGGGTCAGCGCTCCTCCCCTCCGGCAGCATTCAAGGTGCCACTTGGAACAGACCGTGCCCTCATGAGACACCAGAACTGCTGGTGCCCGATACTGGATTTTCCAGCCTCCAGAACTGTATGAGCCAATACATTTCTGTTCATTATAAATCACCCAGTCTCAAGTGTTCTGTTATAGCAGCACAAAATGGGCTAAGCACCAAGTGAGCTGGAAGAAGCCTGGATCCCTGCGAATTCTATAGAATAGAATTGTCATATACATTCTGGATTTTACATAAGAAAGAAAGAAACGTCTACCTTGTTCAGCCAGTACAGTTTGAGCATTCCTAATCTGAAAATCCAAAATCCAAAATGCTCCAAAATCTGAGACTTCTGGAGCACCAACATCATGCTCAAAGGAAATAGTCATTGGAGCATTTTGTATTTTCAAATAGGGATGATGAACTGGTAAGTATAATGCAAATATTCCAAAAAAGAAAAAATCCAAAATCCAAAACACTTCTGGTCACAAGTATTTTAGATAAGAGATACTCAACCTGTATTATTTTGGGTCTCTGTTAATGAAACTCAATCCTGATAAAGAATCTATTAAAAATGATAGCCTTCTGGCCAGAATCGCCATCTTCCAGTAATTTACCAAAATGATGAATACAAAAGGGAAAGAGGAGAGAAGTACCTGACATATGTTCTCCAGGCCTTTTAGAAAGCATGAAGTTGCTCCTTTGGCCACATATATGTGAATCTATCAGAAAGGTGATATTGGCAGGGTGTGGTGGCTCAGGTCTATAATCCTAGCACGTTGGGAGGCCAAGGCTGATGGATCACTTGAGTCCAGGAGTTTGAGATCAGACTGGGCAACATGGTGAAACTCTGTCTCCACAAAAAATACAAAAATTAGCAGGCATGGTGGCAAGCACCTATAGTCCCAGTTACTCAGAAGGCTGAGGCGGGAGGATCACTTGAGCCCAGGAGGCAGAGGTTGCACTGAGCTGAGATTGTGCCACTGCACTCCAGCCTGGGCAACAGAGTGAGACCCTGTCTCAAAAAAAATAAAAAATAAATACATAAGCTAAAAAACCTTTTTTTAAAAAAAGATGATATTGTAGACATCAGGGGAATGGTCACTGTTCAAAAAGGAATGCCCCACAAGTGTCACCATGGCTAAACTGGAAGAGTCTACAATGTTACCCAGCATGCTGCTGGCATTGTGGTAAACAAGTTAAGGGCAAGATTCTTGCCAAGAATTAATGGGTGTATGGAGCATATTAAGCTAAGAGCTGAGATAGCTTCCTGAAACACATGAAGGAAAATGATCAGAAAAAGAAGGAAGCCAAAGAGAAAGGTACCTGGATTAGACTGAAGTACCAGCCTGCTCCACCCAGAGAAGCGCACTTTGTGGGAACCAGTGGGAAGGAGCCTGAGCTGCTGGGACTTATTCTCTATGAATTCATGCATAATAGGTGTGAAAAATAGGCTGGGTGTGATGGCTCACGCATGTAACCCCAGCACTTTGGGAAGCTGAGGCAGGCGGATCACTTGAGGCCAGGAGTTCGAGTAGCTGGGACTACAGGCACAAGCCACCACGTCTGACTAATTTTGTTTATTTTTTGTAGAGATGCGGGGGGTCTCACTGTGTTGTCCAGGCTGGTCTTGAACTCGTGGACTCAAGCAGTCTTCCCACCTCGGCCTCCCAAAGTGCTGGGATTACAAGGATGACCCACGACGTCCAGCCATTGATGAGTTTCACTTTTTTAACATTAATCATCTTTAGTAATATTCTCCATAGTAGCCAATTACAAAACGTACATTACAGATGTAATACATCTGTTGGCCAGCTACAGCCTGGCCAACATGGCAAAACCCTATCTCTACTAAAAATACAAAAATTAACTGGGTGTGGTGGAATGCACCTGTAATCCCAGCTACTTGGGAGGCTGAGGCATGAGAATTCCTTGAACCTGGAAGGCAGAGGTTGCAGTAAGCTGAGATCACACCACTGCACTCCAGCCTGGGCAAGACTCTGTCTCAAAAAAAAAAAAAAGTTGTTAAGAAAAAAAAGACCACTAGACTATTTAAAAACACAGAAAACAATAACATAAATCAGGCGCTGTGGTGCATACCTATAATCCCAGCTACTTGGGAGGCTGAGGCAGGAAAACAGCTTGAGCCAAGGAACACAAGACCTCTCTCAGAGGGGAAAAAAAAGATAACATAGATTAAACAATATACTTATGATTTTTGTACTTTTCTATATGAAGTACCTCTTAAAATTTATATTAAAACAAACAAAAAATACACCTCCAATCAAAGAAGCCAGACACAAAAGAGTGCATACTGTACAGTTCCACTTATAAAAATCCTAGAAAATGCAAACGATGGCATATAAAAGCAGATCAGCTGACTGCCCAACTGGAGGCTGGGGTGATGAGGAACCTCAAAGGGACATGTGGAGTTGTTTGGGGATAATGGAAATGTTGTGTACTTTGGTAGTGGTTTTCGCAAGTGCATGCACACAACTCTCAAAACCCATGGTATTATAAACTCTAAATAGATGCAGTTTGATTACATGAATTACATTTTTTTTTTTTTTTGAGACGGAGTCTCACTCTGTCGCCCAGGCTGGAGTGCAGTGGCACGATCTTGGCTCACTGCAGCCTCTGCCTCCCAGATTCAAGTGATTCTCGTGCCTCAGCCTCCCGAGTAGCTGGGATTACAGGCACACACCACCACGCCCAGCTAATTTTTGTATTTTTTAGTAGAGATGCGGTTTCGCCCTATTGGCCAGACTGGTCTAAGACTCCCATACTCACGTGATCCACCCGCCTTGGCCTCCACAAGTGCTGGGATTACAGGTGTGAGCCACCATGCCTGGCCTAATTACATGAATTACACTTAAAGTTGATTTTTAAAAAAGGATATATCCTTACTAAGAGATGAATACAGCTAAGAGTTCATGAAGGACATTCCGAAGGTAGTAAGAGGCACTGGTACAAAATGATTATGCATAAATCCTTTGAATTTTCTATTTTATCCTTGTAGAGAGTTGTTTTCACATTTTTCCTAGTAAGTCAAATGCTCCACATTTTTGAGTACAAAAAAGATAATGTACATTTTGTAAATTGGCTAGTATGGAGAATATTACTAAAGATTGTTAACGTAAAAAAGTAAAACACATCAATGGCTGGATGTGGTGGGTCATGCCTGTAATCCCAGCACTTTGGGAGTCTGAGGTGGGAAGACTGCTTGAGTTCACAAGTTCAAGACCAGCCTGAACAACACAGCGAGGCCCCATCTCTACAAAAAATAAACAAAATTAGTCGGGCATGGCAGCATGTGCCTGTAGTCCCAGCTACTCAGGAGGCAGAGGTGGGAGGACAGCTTGAGCTTGGGAGGCTGAGGTTGCAATGAGCCATGATTGTGCCACTGCACTCAGTCTGGGCAGCACAGCGAGACCTTGTCTCAAAAACAAACAAAACACACACACACAAAATCAAACTACTTGAACACTAATATCTAGTTTTTGTTTTAAAAAGGACCCATACACATAGGTACACACTAAAAACATTGGAAGGGTATACAACAAACATTAACTGAGGTTATTTCAGGATGTAGGATTGTCAGTGATTTGATTTTTACTTCCTTCTTTACACCTTTCTGTTGTGTGAAAACAAGGAATATGACTGTGTTATAGTCGGGGGGAAAAACCCATCACTGTTATTTATGTGATGAAAGCAACATACGGCCATGTGTCCTTGCTCTGGCAGGCTCTGATGAGAGAGGGCTTCGTTTCATTCATGCTGCCTGATTACTAACCAGAAAAGTCAAGTGGTACACAGTAACCAAAGAAACTGGGCTGAGAGTCTTAAAACCCGTGTTCACGCTCCGAGTGTGCCAGTGTTTGCTACCCTAAAGTCATTTGCTCTTTGGATCTCGATTTCCTTATCTGTGCAAGACAATGGTTGGAGTTAATAATTGCTACAAGTGCCTGTTTCTCAGTTTTCAAAAATTTTAACTCTGATGCAAACCCCCAGGAATGATGGTAACTGATCTCGTTTTAAAAGATTGTGTGGGAAGTTGCAGGGAGGATGATTAAGGGCCTTCAACCCCCACCTCCCTGCATCCCCCATGAATCCCTTTCCATCAAGGTAGCTGGCACATCCACTTACAGTCTTCCTGCCAGCAAAAATGAAAGCCATTCTAAGTTCAGACACAAGACCAGCATGGGTTCCCATTAGCAGAAGCTTTTCCAAAGCCCTCACCTCAATCTAGACTCCTTCTTCTCACCCAGCACTCTTTGCTCTGGGCAGGGTTTCACAGCTTCTCCATGACCACCAAAAACATCCAGTCACTTGAAAACAGCTTTGGAGCAGCTCAGGCCAGCACTGAGCAATTAGGCATTCACGATGCCCCCTGCTGTTGAGTGGTAATTAGTTTAATGAAGGACTATTAAAAACACATAAAAATCTCAACCAACAAAAATAAACAAAGCAGCCAAAGTCAGCGTCTTACATGTATAACTGGGCCTGCATGTAATGTAATGCTAATGCAAAGAATGCCCCACACAGGCGCTTAGAAATATGCATGTGTGCTCCCTAGGAGCCCAGGCCTTTAATTGGCTTTAATTTTTTTAAATGCTCATTATATATCATGACCACACATATATACACAATGTTAATTCTAGAGAGTGGTTTTAACTTCTGACTAGAAAAAAACATATACAATTTATGAGAAAGCATAGACAGGCATTCTTTCCACCTTTGCAACTCCCATCCAATAAAGACAGGTGACTGGTGGATTGCCTAACCTCTTCCCTAGATGCTCAAATTTCTGAAGGGTGGCTTTTTGCTGCAAAAGAGATGACTCAGAAGTGGCTCAAAAGGGGCATTCACATTGAGAACTTTTTATTTCCCCTATTCCCCCCACTCTTTTTTGTAGATGATAGTGAAATAAAGGCAACTTAGATAGTGAGGGGGAATGAGCAGGTAGCTGCTGCTGTTCCCTGTTGGTTGTTCCCCCAAGTCACGGCAGAGAGAGGGACAGTGCCTAAGGCTTTAAAAGACAGCAGCCAACAAGTCAGGAGCCCAGGTGTGGAGACCTCCCTTTACCTCAAAAGAGGGGAAAAAAAGATAACATAAACTACATACTTATGATTTTTGTACTTTTCTGTATGAAGTACCTCTTAAAATTTACATTAAAACAAACAAAAATACACCTCCAATCAAAGAAGCCGGACACAAAAGAGTGCATACTGTACAGTTCCACTTACAAAAATCCAGCAAGCCACTGGCCAGTGGAGTGCATTTCTTTAATCACATCTTCTCTCTCTTGAGGGCAAAGACAAAACTATTCTTAGAAAAACCTCTACCAGCAGCAGATTATTTTTTCCCTTAATAAGAACAACCAGCCAAACTAGTAGAGTAGCATAATTCAGAGGAAACAAGTTCCTTTTCCTGCTCAGGATGAAGTGTGGGAGAAAAACATGAATGAATAGAATCATTTGCTCCTGGGTGAAACCCTGTCATCAAGGAACTCCCATGCTTTCCAAATATCAATGCTGCCAACTTCCCAAAGACCAAAACATCACAATTCCCCCATATTTACAAGTTAAAGCAAGCCACGAGTAAGAGAGGAACTGAACCACCCGGGAAAGGCTGCAGCAAAACAGGAAGTTATAAACAAGACTCTCAATTCACTATTCTTCGCTGATGTGGGTGCACAGAACACAGAGCCCATTCTTGAGGATTAGACTCAATGATGCTAACATTTGCCTTGCTTGATGAACTCCTCCCCTGAGGCTGACTTTACCTTAAGCGCACCACAGAGTTCAACAGTGTCTGCATCATCAACCACGGTAATTCGAAAATTTGGAGTCTGCAGAAGTTCTTTGAAGAGAAGGCCGTTCTCCATTACTTTGCTGCCTGTTGAAAGGTTAGACAACAAGGATATTAATAACAGCCTCTAATCTTAATTTTCACACCTAATACACTTTAAAATAAGTTTCTACTTACTATAAAAGTAACATGTTCATGATAGGATATTTAGAAAACACATAGGAGCAGAAATAAAGTAAAAATATCCCGTTTCCAATCGAGGTGATCATTTACAATTTGACATACATTTTTAACTGACCGAATGTGAATCTAAAGTTTTTTTTGGCCAGACACGATGACTCACACCTGTAATCCCAGCACTTTGGGAGGCTGAGGCGGGCAGATCACGAGGTCAAGAGATTGAAGCCATCCTGGCTAACATGGTGAAACCCCATCTCTACTAAAAATACAAAAAATTAGCTGGGCGTGGTGGCACGTACCTGTGGTCCCAGCTACTCAGGAGGTTGAGGCAGGAGCATCGCTTGAACCCAGGAGGTGGAGGCTGTAGTGAGCTGAGATCTCACCACTGCACTCCATCCTGGGCAACAGAGCGAGACTCTGTCTCAAAAAAAAAAAAAAAAAAAAAGAAAAAAGCATGATTGTCAACAAGTAAAACTACACCAAGAAGTGACACAATGTCAAAATAATCCAGGCCATCTGAGGGTTGAGAGAGGGTGGGGAGTGGATGAAATGAGACTGGCCAGGAGTTAATCATTTCTAAAGATGGGTGACGGGCATGTGAGGTTCGTGATACTACTCTACTTTTCTGAAAAGTTTCATAATAAAACACAATATCTACACCCAATACTTAGAAACACAGTCTACTCTGTAGCATTACTGTTCTTTCATTTAGCTGAGTTCCCCTTTTCCAAATGTTAGAACTATGTCAGTTTGTGCAAACTGTTCTCTTCCTTTTTAAACAGTCCACCAGGCTGTCTAGGTGACTCTGTGCAACACTGTTGCATCATCTGGGTTGGGTAAACCAGCCCCTGGCCCCTACATCATATTACAGCCTCATCGTGTCTCCTCCCACTGCTCAGTGCCTCCAACATGAAGCATGCTCCTGAACATTGCAGACCAGCCCCTCCCTCAAGTCACTTTAATCCAGCCATCTGCAGCTGGAAACTTGGGTTGCTGGTGAACAAACTGAGGAATGGGCAGGGGAAGGCACACTCTTGGCTTGCCATAGATACAAGGTAGGGTCTATGGGTTCCTTTGTGGCTGCAAATAACGCAATGCCCATCCAAGAGGTGGGCTTGATTTATAGCAATCTCATATTTTCTCAAAGGTACCTTTTAAAATTTATTACCTTAAATCATGGATAATAGGTAGTAACTTTATTTATTTATTTATGAGACAGAGTTGCTGTGTTGCCCAGGCTAGAGTGCAGTGGCACTATCTCAGCTCACTGCAACCTCCACCTCCCAAGCTCAAGCGATTCTCCCGCCTCAGCCTCCTGAGTAGCTGCAACTATAGGCATGCGCCACCATACTCGGCTAAGTTTTGTATTTTTAGTAAAGATGGGGTTTCGCCATGTTGGCCAGGCTGGTCTCGAACTCCTGACCTCCAGCAATCCACCTGCCTTGGCCTTCCCAAGTGCTGGGATTAAAGGCATGAGCCACCGCACCCGGCCCGCGAATTTTATTATTAATATAATACCAGTCATAAGCCAGCGCGGTGGCTCATGCCTGTAATCCCAGCACTTTGGGAGGCTCAGGTAAGTGGATTACTTGAGGTCAGGAGTTCGAGACCAGCCTGGTCAGCATGGCGAAATCCCATCTCTACAAAAAATTCAAAAATTAGCCTGGCGTGGTGGTGTGTGTGTGTGTGTGTGTGTGTGTGTGTGTTCCCAGCTACTCAGGAGGCTGAGGCATTAGAATCATTTGAGCCCAGGGGGCGGAGGTTGCTGTGAGCCGAGATCACGCCACTGCACTCCAGCCTGGGCAACAGCGTGAGACTCCATCTCAAAAACAACAACAACAACAACAACAAACCCCAGTAATAAACAGTGACATGGCAAGCAGGGACTCAGGGCATCTGTACAGAACAGCTAATGCCGGACAGCCATGTGGGAAGGTTGCCCAAAACTCAATGTAAACCAAAGACAGGAAAATCCCCTTTCTCTGTCACACCAAGTTTTAGAGGCAATTAACCTATGTAATAAAACTCCTTCAAAACCCTTATTTTAGTTTGTGATTCCATATGTGTTTGTGTGCTTACAAGTTCCATAAGGAGCTTATGTATTCTAGACATTTGGCACCATGCCTGATACATAAGAGGGTTTGAAAAATATTTGTGGAATGACTGGATTAAAAGCCTCAGAGTCTGTGGTATGCCCCAAGAACGAAAGGAGACCTTACCACAAGAGGGCACTGTAGTTCACCATGACAGGATTTTGAGGCCTGAAGCTGCCCTATCTTTTCCCTCCACAGAAGATTCAAGTGGGCCACGATTCCTGAACCTACCGCAATTTAAAATAGTCCCTATGCATCAACAAAGGATGTCTGGATAACCACACTGCAATGATCAAATACAGAAAATGTAATGTTTACATAATATTATTATCTAACATATAATCCACATTCAAACCTCACCAATCACCTCTGCATTGTCTTCCACAGCAACCCTCCCTGCCTAATCCAGGACCCCACACTGCACATAGTGCTCATGTCTCCTTTTTGATTTTTAGAGACAAGGTCTTGCTCTGTCACCCAGGCTGGAGTGCCATGGTGCGATCACTGCTCATTGCAGCCTCCACCTCCCACGCTGAAGCAATCCTCTCATCTCAGGCTCTCGAGTACCTGGGACCATAGGCGTGCACCACCACACCTGGCTAATTTTTGTATTTTTAGTAAAGATGAGGTTTCGCTTGTCATGTTGACAAGGCTGGTCTCAAACTCCTAACTTCAGGTGATCCGCCCGCCTCAGCCTCCCAAAGTGCTGGGATTACAGGTGTGCGCCACCACACCTGGCTAATTTTTGTATTTTTTGTAGAGATGGGATCTCATTATGTTGCCCAGGCTGGTCTCAAACTCCTAGGCCCAAGTGATCTCCCACCTTGGCCTCCCAAAGTGCTAAGATAATAAGTGTGAGTCACCACGCCTGGCTCGGTAATATATCTTTAGTCCTTTTTATTCTGGGACACTCCTTTAGCCTTTCATTGTCTTTCATGACACTGACTTTTTTGAAGAGTCAAAGATACCATTGGCCTGTTGTTTTATAACATATCTCTTACTTTGGGCTTGTCTGATATTTTCTCATGATTAAATTCAGGTTATAGGCTGGGCACAGTGGCTCGCACCTGTAATCCCGGTACATCAGCAGGCTGAGGCAGGAGGATCCCATGAGGCCAGGAATTCGAACAAGACTCTACTTTTAAAAATTAATTAATTCAGGTTATATAAAACAATTTTTAAACATCACTTTCATATTCTATCTTACTTTCAATGTTTTACTTAAATTTTTTTTTTTTAAAGAGACAGGGTATTGCTGTCACCCAGGCAGGAGTGCAATGACGTGATCATAGCCACTGCAGTGACTACAGCCTCGCTCAATCTCCTAGCCTCAAGGTGATCCTCCCACAGCAGTCTCCTGAGTAGCTGGGACTACAGGTATGTACTACCATACCAGGCTAATTAAAAAATTTTTTTTTTTCTTTTTTGGAAACTCCCAGCTACATTTCCCAGGGTGATTTCAAACTCTTGGCCTCAGAAGATCCTCGGCTTTAGCCTCACGAGAGCTACTCCACCCAGAAATGCTTTACTTAATTTAATTCAGGTCATCAGTGCTTATCACACTCCACCCCACAGAGAAGGCATAGAAGCACCGGGTAAAGAAATGCCAGAGGGAAAGAAATGCAACTTATGTGCTTTTATCTGTTTTTTAAAACCAAAAAAGCCTAATGTACCCAACTAGAAACTTTCCTACAACAAACAGGGCTAGAGTCCTAGCCAGGATTGGATCAGGGATTGGGATTGCAGATTAAGATTTAGTCTTCCAGAATGAACTGGGAAAGGATTATTGGCAAATAGGATTGAGTTGGAACAAACTAGTTAATCTTTTTGGGAAAATATAAGTAATTACATAACAATTTCACAGGCTATATTAAAACTGCAGATAAATAAAAGAATTTACTGTAAAAGAATAAGACATATTCATATATGTACATACTAGCATACAAATATAAATAAATTTTTTCCAGAAGAATATTTAGAAACTGCTAATAGTAAAAGCCATTAAAAAAGAATGAAATCAGCCGGGCGCGGTGGCTCACATCTGTAATCCCAGCACTTTGGGAGGTTGAGGCAGGTGGATCATGAGGTCAGGAGATCAAGACCATCCTGGCCAACATGGTGAAACCCTGTCTCTACCAAAAATACAAAAATTAGCTGGGCGTGGTGGCGCATGCCTGTAATTCCAGCTACTTGGGAGGCTGAGGCAGGAGAATCGCTTGAACCAGGGAATTGGAGGTTGCAGTGAGCCAAGATAGCACCACTGCGCTCAAGCCTGGCGACAGGGTGAGACTCCATCTCAAAAAAAAAAAAAGAAAATCATGTCCTTTGCAGCATGGATGCAGCTGGAAGCCATTATCCTAAGTGAGTTAACATAGGAACAGAAAACCAAATACTGCATGTTCTCACTTACAAGTGAGGGCTAAACATTGGGTACCCATGAACATAAAGATAGCAACAACAGATACTGGGGACTACTAGAGAGGAGAGAAAGGAGGGAAGGATTGAAAAACTACCTGTGGGGTACTATGCTCACTACCTGGGTGACAGGATTAGTCATAACCCAGACCTCAGCATCATGCAATACACCCATGTAACAAACCTGCACATGTACCCCCGAATCTAAAATAAAAGTTGCAATTATAAAAAACAAAAAAGAAACTGCTAACAGTGATTCCCTCTGGGAAGAGGGAAATGGGTGGGAAATTACAATCTTAGTTCTACTTTTCCACCTTCTCATGGTGCTTGAATTTTTTTTTAAACCTGTGTCTGTATCACTTTCGTAAATGACAACCTGGGCAGGTGGTATCATAGGCTATTCTTTTCTTCTTTGTATTATTTGTGATACTTCTCCTCTCCAACAAATATTATTTTTCAAAAAAAAGTTTTGTATCCAAATATATGGAATTGCTGATGGAATGCTATGCAGTTATGAGGATGTACAGTATGTTAACAGACTCTGAAAGGTTTTTGTTACATATTCAGCGAATAAAGCAATTATTAAACAGCATATGATTCACTACAAACATAATAGTTCATACAAATAGTAAAAAAGGATATATAACAAAATTATCAAAAATTTAAAATGGCTTTCTTTTGATTATCTCTATCTTCCATAATAATCATGTAAAATACCTCCATAATTAAAAATAAAAATTAAGGTAGAAAATTCCAAAAAAATCCTAAAAAGTCCTACGTATAGGCAGGTATAAGAATCTGGAGCTACATTTTCCTGCGCATTCATCTCATGCAAGAGAGCCTGACATCTCTCAGAGCTTCCTTTTACAAAGCTGCCAAGGGGAAATGATTCATATTGCTTGCAGGTTTGATAAGGGTGAAAGTAAGTTCTGCAGTGGTAGATAAACTTTTGCAAAGCATCTGAAAATACAATAATATTACTCTTCCAACAAAGCATCGTTTAATATAGTACACGGACACTTGAGAATTCTCAAAGCCCCTTTCAAAAGAAATGAAAATTTTCATAACGTCAATGTGAGAATAATGTATCTAATGTATAATGTGTAAGAGTAGAAAAGGCTTACTAGTTCAGGAAACAGAAGACTCAAATTTGTTCCTGGCTTCTACATTAGTGTGTGATCTTGGGGCAGGTAATTTATTCTCTGAGTCTTATCATTCACCTGAAAATGGGGGTCATTCAACCAATTTTTAGATCTCACTGGAATCAATGAGGATCCAGATACTAACATTTGTAAGAAAAGAAAATTTGGGCTTCTGAGGCCAGGGGACCCCTACCATGGATGTAGCCACCTGTTTCTTGGTACAAGCAACCTTGCACTTTTGTGTTTAACCTCAGTAATTCATTATTGGATCACAGCAAGTCAGAATGCTCTTCTTGGCTATATTCATTTATATTCATTCTGGAGGTTGTTGAAACACTTCAGTTCCACAAAATAGCCTCCTTAAGTAAAACCCTCGCCCCACTGAATGCCCAACTAAGGAATGTTAAGAGGGACAGGGAAGAGTCTATTACAGAAAATATCAGAAATGGAATATGTACATGTTCAAACATCAAATGTCCAGACTCCTGGGGTCCCTCCCAGGCAGTGCTTACCGATGGTGGTCTCACAGAACTTCTCTGCAGCCACCTCATTGGCAATGTTGGCTCCCATCAGCACACTGATGTCAATACCCATCTTCTCACGGATGATGTCAGAAATGAGCTTCAGCCCCTCGGGGCCCTCGTCTATGCCCTACAAGGATGCCAAGAAGTTAGGAGAGAACA
The DNA here is from genome assembly GCF_000001405.40 of Homo sapiens. Classification (NCBI taxonomy): domain Eukaryota; kingdom Metazoa; phylum Chordata; class Mammalia; order Primates; family Hominidae; genus Homo; species Homo sapiens. Next base: position 32,140,195 of record NC_000003.12, on the reverse strand, counting down.
AACCGCCAAATCAAAGAGGCATGGGATAGTAGATGTCCCATGGCTACACAACTTGAAAAATGTCTCCTACTTACAAGAGTAAAAGCATCTATACTGCCTATGTACAGCTTAAAGAAGAATCAAATGAAGAAAATAAACATGTACTCATCACTCGTGTTAAGAAATAGAACGTGACTGACACCACTGAAGTCCCCTGTGTGTCTCCTCTCAAGTTCATCCTCCTTCTACCCCTGCTCCCCAGGGTGAACCACTGTCCTGAATGCTGTATGCATTGCTCCCTTGCTTTTCTTGACTATTTTACCACATCGGATGGTCCCTAGACAATGTTATACGTCATTATCCCTGGGGTTTCAAGTCTATAAAGAGAGTTGTGCCATTCACCTGTGATGTGCTGTCTTGAACTACAATACCGTTTTAGAGATTCACTCATGTGGCTGCATCAAACTTCTGGTTCGTTTCTGTTCACTTACTGCACAGTATTCCAAAATGAATAGTTCACATTTCATTTGTCTACTCTCTTGCTGATGACATTTGGGTTGCTCTGGTTTGCCTTCATGAACATTCATCTGTAAATGCTCTGGCACAGCCTCTCTTGGGAGTTCTTAATCTTTCCAACGACATGGGCCTTACCCCTGGTAGTCTGGTGAAGTTTATGGACTCATTCTCAGAATTTCATATGCATAAAACAAAACACCTAAAATAACCCAGGAATCCAATTATGTTGAAATTTGTTTAAAAAACAAATTTATGATAAAGTAATATATGCACTGTTTTATTAATGCAATTAGAAAAAGATATCATGGCAGGTCTAACAATTACCACAATTTCCAAGTAGTGATGAGTATAAATGATACCTTGAGATATCAGAAAAAGGTGTAAACTGAAATGAAAGCCCTGCGACTCCTATTGACAAGGTCTCAGATCCTGCTAATACTGCTATTACTGAAACTTTGGCTGTGAGCTGCATTCATAAATGAAGAGAATGCTCATTTCACTTAGAGGTTAAAATGAGTTAGAATGCAAGGATTTTTTTCCACCACATTTAAATGCATGAACTTCCTGTATTCAACCTGTGGACCTTCAGAGGTGGTTCATGGAGTTCTGGTTAAAAACACATGCTTTAGGGTATATATCCAAGAATGGGCACTAATGGTTATTAATTTCCCAGCTAATTCAAACTGCTGGTGCTTTCCAGATGGCAGGCTGAGCCCCGAGAGTGGACTGGAAGGGGCGGCACAGCTCTTCACATCACTGCTGCTGCTAGTCTGCTGCAATGGAAAGCAGCCCACTCTCAATCTGAGCTAAACTAGTCTTATTTTTTTTATGACTTTTGAGCATCTTTAAGAACACAAACGAAAAACCGCCACAACTTCCCCTTCAGCTCCAAATCTCAAGCAGATGAAAGTGTGAGGAAATGAAATTTCCTGATAACCAATGTCTAGCCCTGGGCAGCATGCACTCGAGTTACCTTGATGAGGGTGATTCCCAGCGCTTTCTTGGGCACTCTCCCAGTGATCTCATCACAGATTCTGTGAATGAACTGGTGGGGAATGACAAACACCAGCAGGTCTGCATCCTGCACAGCCTCGCTAAGATTTGACATGGCAACCTGCAACCAAAAGGCAGAGAAGACCGTTTCTCCTCTTATATCAAACCTTGCCTGTCCACAAGGTTTCACTCACTGACCATTTATCAGATGCCTACTATGTGCAGAGCATTGCACAGATAGACAAGGAAGGCAAGTGTGTTTGCTTTGCCTTCCTTATTCCTTATGGGGGTCTGAAGCAGAGGGTTTGCCTCTGTCACCAGCTGGGCAGGTGAGTTATCCTCTCCACCCCTCAACTGCCTTATCTGCAAAAGGCACCTCTAATAACACTATGTGGGTTGCTCTCTGTTGCTCTCCCACCTCACCAGCCCCCTCATCCATTTTCCGCTCTTCTCTGCCCCATTCTGTTCTCAGGAGGCTGCTTTCTCTAAACTATTTCCCCAGGCTCCCTTGTTCTCTGGCTTCCAGTGGGCTTCAGCCAATGGGAGGCATTGTCAGGAGATCAAAGGATGGGAGGAGAGACAGGTCAAGGGTATTTATCAGCCTCCTCGGGCCACTTCTGCCTAGGCTCACAGTGTTTCTGGCTTGGCTTCATTCCACAGCTGTCCCTGCTGCCAGGCAGCCCCTTTCTAAGGCCATGTCTCTAAGCCCTCTTCAGGCTGGTGACATGTTCTTTCCCTGACCCTTTTAGGGGTGGTAATGGCTTCCTGCTGTTGCTAATCTCCGAGCACTTCACCAACCCCTGTTGATTCCCTCGACCCCATGGCCCCTCTGTAAATGATCCCACACTAAACTCTCCTTTGAGAGTGCCACTGTGAGGACTAAATGATATAGAAAACTGCCTGGGACTTGATATACACTCAACACATGTCAGCTATTATGACGATTTCTTTCCTTAAGGGTGAAGATTAGTTTAACACGGCAGAAGTGAAGGCATGCCGTGCGGACTCCAGGGCACATGGTCTCTGGCAAAGGCTTCTTGCTGCACCTAGTATCTGTTCTTCCTTATTCCTCAGCATTAGAACCCCTAGTTTCAAGCTGGGCTCCTGAATGCCAGCAAAGAAGGCTATGTTTCCCTGTGCTCCTTGCAGCTACGTGTACCATGTGACTGAGTTCTGATCAAGGGAGCATCAATGGAAGTGCTGCCTGTGACTTCTAGAAAATGTCCTGGAAGGTCCTTCTCCTTCCTTTTGCCAGTGGGAATGTGAAGGCATGGCGGAAATTCAGACAGTCATCTTAGAGCAGAAGGAGGACAGCACATGCCGAGATGGCAGAACAGTGGAATCAAACAAGTCTCTGCCACCATGATGCTACACCAACCACAAATGTCTTTACATTAGAGAAAAATGCACAAACATTTACCTTGCTTAGACCACTGTTATTTTAGGTTTTCTGTCATATGTATTTAAACCTAACTATAACTGACTTAGTCCCCATTAAGCATTCCTGGTTCCCAAAATGAAAGGCCTTGGATGAAGATTCTTCTCTGAGGAAATCGTGTCTGTCACAGGAACATCATTCGGAATGGGCCAGCCTCTGAGGAAACCTAGTTTGGGGGTTGTGATGGAGATTGCCAACTCCCAGCCAAAATTCCTTCTCCCCTTTCTCTATAATCACAGACCTGTAAGCTGGTCGCTAGTCATCTAGCCAGGGACTGTGTTTCCCAGCAGTCCTTGCAGCTACACATGGCCATGGACCAAGTTCTCATTGTTGGATGTGAGAGGGAGAAGTGGTTTCCACTGACAGCCCAGAGCCCTCAAGACAGTGGGTTGCCTCCTCTACACTTTCTCTTCCCCCTTTCTGTGAGCTGAAAACCTTGGTAACTTAGCCTTGATCACACTGAGGGTTACAAGGCTTAGGAGATGGTACAGGGGAAAAAAAAACAAAAAACATGGGACCAAGAATAATAGTGTAAAGCAAACCACTGGAGTATTTCTATGTGAGAGGAAGACAAGTCTCTTGTTCTTTGTCACATTATTATGTCTTTTGCAGTATCTTAGCCTATTACCTTGACTAATGCCTGTGCTAAGAGTTACTCCCTCACACAAAGGATTCCCCAAAGAAAATGTATCTGAAGTTTAATTCCCTTATCCCTTCAGGAGGTGTGGAGGACTTCCATAATTTATTGCCTAGCCTCCATTCCCCTTCTTTCTAGAAGTTTCCTTAAACTTCCTTTCAAAAGCTACAACTTCCCCATTTTATCCATGCCATTTGGGTGGAATTGGCCCCTACCCCATTTCAGGGGTGGTTCTTAACTTGTTCAAGCTAATGGGCACATTAAACAATCAGAGCCAACAAGAAACCAGTAGATGTCTTCTGGGAAACAGATGCTTCCTTATTCTTCAGGAGTAGCCTGAACAATGTCTTTCCTTGAACAGTGTGGGATGCTGCTGTGAAGTCTGGAACTACTGCAACCATGTTTACAAATGTGAGGGGAGAACCTACGCCACGGGGCTACCATGTGGATGAAGCCAACTTTGCGGATGGCAAAGCAGGGGAACAGAGGGAAAAACAGGGCCCTGTTAATATCATGTAACCTGCTGGTTCAGGCTACACCTGAAGCCAGCACTGCCTGGATCTTTAGTTACAAGAGCCAAAACATTTAGCTTTAAGCTGATTTGAATGACAACCTAGAGTCACTCCCCATAGAGCAGATCAAAACCCAAAGCTCAGCACTTCTCCACCGTTAGTGGCAGATCCAAAGGCAGGGAAGGCCTATTTGCCTATTTTCCTCTTGAAAGGGCTTCTCCAGATTGGTAATCTAGGCTAGGTAGTCCACAAGTGGTGAAGATTTATTAAAAAAATCCACCTGCTACATTATTCCTCTCCCACCTGGAGACTCCACCCCCTCCAACAAAGCATTTTCTGATTCTATTGCATTAATCTCCCGATGAAGGCTGGGCGCCATGCTCATGCCTGTAATAATCCCAGCACTTGGGGAGGCTGAGGTGGGTGGATCGCTTGAGGCCAAGAGTTTGAAACCAGCCTGGCCAACATGGCAAAACCCCATCTCTACTAAAAATATAAAAATTAGCCAGGTGTGGTGGTGCACACCTGTAATCCCAGCTACTTAGGAGGCTGAGGCATGAGAATCACTTGAACCTGGGATGGGGAGGTTGCAGTGAGCCAAGATCGTGCCACTGCACTCCAGCCTGGGCGACAGAGCAAGACTCTGTCTCAAAAAAAACAAAACAAAACAAACAAAAAAACAACCCTCTCGATGCCAACCCACAATTGGCCTGTGTGTCGTTTATTGGCAAAGCTCATTGTTTTGTTCTCATGTGTTTGCCTGTGTCCCACCCATCTTCCCACGGCCTTCACAAGAACTCCGATCACTCCTTCCCCTTCAACACTGGCCTTGCTCAGATGGGCATTTATGCACCCTACTCCCTGGTTCATATGGAGCCTGGCCGCCTGACTTTTAATTAAAACCTATTCCTCTGGACCTACTGTTTCTCCTCTTCCCCATCCACCTCTAACACATACACATTCCTCCCTTTCCCCCTTTGGGGCATTTTCAACATGGTGAAGTGGAAAAAACACCAGAACCAAAGAGAAAAAATATAGGTTTGAAGGTCTGGGTTGCACATCTGCAACTGACCAGCTGTGTGACCTCTGGCAAGCTACTCAGCTTCATCGACCTCAGTCACTCCATATGTAAAATAGAGATAAAAATTACCTTTCCGATCTGGCTACCTCACAGAACCCTTTCCAATTAAGTAATATGAGTGGCAATGTTTTGAAACTACAAAGACCTTAACAAATGAAAGCGTATTCATCAGAAAAATCTACCCGTGTCTTGCAAATCCTTAACTTTTAAGAAATCGGCCTATTCCCATGTCTCTTGCTAAAATACATCCCCAGCCAGGCTCAGTGGCTCATGCCATAATCCCAACACTTTTGGGAGGCTGAGGTGGGAGGACTGCTTGAGCCCAGGAGCTCAAGACCAGCCTAAGCAACACAGTGCGACTTCATCTTTACAAAAAATAAAAAAAATTAACCAGGTGTGGTGGCGAGTGCCTGTGGTCCCAGCTACTTGGGAAGTTGAGGTGGGAGGATCACTTGAGCCCAGGAGGTCGAGGCTGCAAAAAGTTGTGATTGCACCACTGTACTCCAGCCTTGGGGACAGAGTGAGGCCCTGTCACAAGCAAACAAACAAACCATTCTCAAGGAATCTGCTAGCTGGCCAGGATTTCTTCTGTCTCTTACATTTCCTTCTTAATAAATCAAAGAGGAACCTGCAGGTGGTAGGGAATGTGATGGTCTCTAGGACAATGTGGTTGGGGCTTATTCTCCTTGGTGGAATACTTAGGGTTTAACCCACAGAAGCAACGTGTACAATGTGAGCTGTATTTTTATGGTGTGCATGGTCCATTCACAGAACATTATTCCTCTTACACCGTATCAGAACAAGTTCTTATCAGCTAATGAGATCATGTGAATCTCATCTTTCAGAATAAAACCTTTTGCTAAGCCCCTACCCGATTTTCTGCTCTGAAAATAATCAGGAGCTGCTTTGGAAATGGTGACTGATTTTGTGAGCCTCCTGCCAAAACTCTGAAGGTGTCCATCGTTCCAGATTCTGAAATATGCTGGGAAGCAAAACTCAGAACAACAGGTCTTGCCTTTCAATGGCAAGTAGGACAAACAACCCAGAACGAAGGCATCAGGGCTGGTTTGCTTAATGCCCAGACTTTCAGGAGCCCAGTGCTCTTAGTCTAAGTTAATAAAAACCTAATAATAAATAAAAACCATTGGAAACAAAGCTGGTGAAGTCTGTGTGGACAAGTCTGAAGGTTCTTTCGTACTTCCTGGATCCACCATCACTGTCCACAGTGTGTGCTCAATGAGCTTTTACCTGTTAGCAACATCTTATCTGCAGCCATCAGAGTGGGCAAGAAAAAGACCTCACTTTCATCATCACAGACTGATCTCCTCACCCTCCAAAGATGCTATTTTATGGTCTTTAAAACCAATTAGGACTAAAATGCTTTCTCCATTCATTCATGACTATAAATAGGCTCGCTGGATCAAATCTGAAGAAAAAATCTCTAAGTAGGAAAATAAGAACAGCTTCTCCCTGCTGTTCCCAGAAATAATCACTATCAATATTTTGGTACACTCCTTCCAAGGTCTTTTCGAGCCTACAGCAATGTCTAAAATTGTATTTATAGAATTAAAGTAATATTTTATATCTTTTTAATATAGTATTATAAGAATTTTCCTGTTATTCAAATGAAGACTTTTCCCCCTAAAATCCATGAATCTTACTACAAACCTTTTTGTAGCAACATCATAGTAATGACAGATAAAACAAGGATAAGCCAAATAAAAGATACCAAGGCTGTTCTCATTTTTATCTAATCTCTTAGGGCCACTAGTTATGTCTACTTCAAGTCTGTATGAATCTACATGCTGAAACAATTCTGGTTCCTAATGAGAATGGTGTGGTTTAACAACGGTCCAGCTGCCGTGGCTGCACGGAGCATCGTGGCCGGGCTCTAATGCCAGTCAGCTAACCGGACACCATGGCAACTCACCTACATTATCTGGGGGATGTGTGTACTCAGATTCAAGACAATACCAGGAGTAAAACACATAGCAGTGTCATACTTGGGACATAGTAGAGGCTCAAAAATAGCGTAATTTTCCTCTGTCTCTTCATCTCACTTGCAGCCAAGATCTCAGGTGAAATTCACATACTTGGCTCTACATGCAGAAACATGACCCTCAGACAGAGGACCTTATCTGATGATTCTTATGTAAACATGCCACTGCTGGTAAGTAAGGCTACTTCTGGAAAAATAGCTATCCATCGCCTGGATTCCCCAGTACAACACCAATAATATCAATTTATTATGTACCCCCATGGTTCCCAAAGCATGGCTCCTGAACCAACAGCATCCCCATTACCTGGGAACTTGTGAGAAATGCACATTCAGGGACCGCACCTGAAACCTACTGAATCAGAAACTATAGGAGTGGGCCCACATATCCCTGGGAAGCTCTCCCAGTGATCTGATGAACACTAAAATTTGAAGATCACCAGGGAAAACTACTCCTCTAATGAAATCAAAGAGTTAAACCCAGGGAGGAAAGGAGTAACACTGAGGCTTCGCACTGAACTGATATTTTAATTTTCAGAAGGCTTTCAGCAAAAATTAATAGGTATTACCCCAACCCTAGTATCCAAATGTAAATGATTAATTTTTTTTTAAGTCTTGCCCTAAACTTATTTCCCATGTGATACCACCTAAAAAGCACTGAAACAAAACTCTTCATCCTGGTTTGTTCTTCCTCACCACTTCCACTATCCTTGGCATTTATTCAAACCACAAATAATGCCAGGCACTATTCCAGGTGCTGAGGAGACATTAGTGAATAAAGACCTATGCAAGAAACTATACTCAAAGAGTTCACAGCAGAGTAAAAAGGTAAACATTGGACTTCATAATTAAAAACTTTTGTGCTTCAAAGGATACCATCAAGCAAGTAAAAAGAAAACCCACAGAACAGGAGAAAATACTTGTGGAGAAAGGGGACCTGTATCTAGAATATATAAAGAATTTGTATAACTCAATAATAAAAAGACAATCCATTTTTTAAATGGACAAAGGATTTGAATACACATTTCTCCAAAGATATACAAGTGACAATAAGCACAAGATGCTCAACATGGTTAGCCATCAGGCAAATGAAAATCAAAACCATGAATGAGATACTCGCTAGGATTAAAAAGTCAGATAACAGCAAGCACTGGTGAGAATGTGAAGAAACTGGAACATTCACACACTGTTGATAGGAATGTAAAATGGTACAGCCACTTTGTAAAACAGTCTGGCAGTTCCTCAAAAAGTTAACTCTACTCCTAGGTATACACACAAAAGAAATGAAAACATATGTTCATACAAAACATTGTATATAAAGGTTCACATTGTACATAAAGGTATTATTCATAATACCCAAAGAGTGGAAACAGCTCAAATGACCATCAACCAATGAATGGGTAAACAAAATGTGGGACATCCATACAACAGGATCGTATTCAGCCATAAAAAGGAACGAAGTATTGATACATGCTACAACATGGATGGAGCTTCACAGCATTATGCAAAGTGAAAGAAGCCAGTCACAGAAGACCGCATATTGTAAGACGCAATTTACATGAAATATGGAGAACAGGTAAATCTATAGAGATAGAAAGTAGATTAGTAGTCACCTAGGGCTGTGGGACAACTGGGGAAAACAGGAGGTGACTATGAAAGGGTACAAGTTTCTTTTCAAGGTGATGAAAATGTGTTAAAATTGATGGCAGTGATGGCTGCACAGCTATGTAAATATACGAAAAAAGCCACTGAATTGTATGGTCTGTGGATTATATCTCAGTGAAGCAGTTTTTTAAAAAGGAGGCAGGAGATGAGAGGCAACGGCAACTATATTTCATGGGGGTGCTGGAATCTAAATCCTGGTGTCACTGGCTGAAGCTGGAACAGGGAAGCAAAAGAATCCTCTACCTTGATGAGCTCCAAACACAGGCTCTGGAAATAGAGCTAGAAAACAGGATCAACCATTTTGCAATTACAGAAAATAATGAGCATTCTTTTTTTTTTTAAACGGAGCATTCTATTTTTTTTTTAGATGGAGTCTTGCTCTGTTGCCCAGGCTGGAGTGCAGCGGGGCAATCTCGTCTCACTGCAACTTCCGCCTCCTGGGTTCAGGCAATTCTCCTGCCTCAGCCTCCCGAGTATAGCCGGGATTACAGGTGTGCACCACTACACCCGGCTAATTTTTCTTTTTTTAGTAGAGATGAGGTTTTGCCATGTTGGCCAGGGTGGTCTCGAGCTCCTGACCTCAAGTGATCCGCCCCCCTCAGCCTCCCAAAGTGCTGGGATTACAGGCATGAGCCACTGCGCTCGGTCCCAAAGTGCTGGGATTACAGGTGTGAGCCACCGCAACCGGCCTTCAGAAAATAATGAGCATTCTTTTCATTCGGATCTAAAGGGAAATCGCAAATCCAGACGGGCTCAGCTTTTAGTGAGCAGGCAATGACATGGTGAAGTCACTGTAACAGAAGGCTCCTATGTGGGAGGGGCCACATGATGAGTGTGGACCTGGGGAAGGGTCACGTTGGCAGCAGTTTGAGGGTCTCACACAGAAAAGGCTCAGTCTGAAGTCAGCACATCAAATGACAGCATAAACAGTGAGCTTGTGTTGACGGAAATGCAACAAACCTCTCCTGCTTGAATTGGAAAGAAAAACAATGATTAAAAACTGTACTTTTAGGTGGCTACCTGAGGCTGGAGGGTGAGGGACTGGGGACATATTGGTCAAAAATTTCACTTAAACAGGAAGAATAGGTTTGAGAGATCTATCAGACAACAACAGGGTTCTGGGAGTGAATTCTCCTGCCTCTGTCCACACCCAGTGACCAGGGGTGGGTGGTGGAGTCAGTCAAGTGGGGGGCAGGCTCTCTCAACTCCTCTATGTCGATTCCTTCCCTCCCACTCTCCCTGTTCGCAGCACAGGCTCCAGCTTCACAGAACCACTCAGCAGATTCACTTCCCCCAACATTCCTCAAATATCCACTGTAGGAAAAGCACTGTGCTAGGGACTGTGGGTGAATGAAGAACCAGAAAGCAAGGTCACACACTGAGGGCACGTGGAGGTAGACAGACAGGTACACAAGGGACTGGCGCCAGGCAGGGTGGGAGGAATGTAACAATGAAGCATGTAGTTTACCAAAGGGAAGGGGCAACCAATTCTGATAAAAATGAGAAAAGTGAAGCTCAAAAGAATGATCTGCCCCAAGAATGGATTAGAGATGACCCCACAGGCCTTCCATTGCAGGGGGAAGAGCTACCTCTTTTATTCTCTCCAGCAGATATTTGGACAACTTAACTTCTAAGCTCACAACTCTAAAGGTTCTTCTTCCCCCACCAACTACACCAAGAATAACTGTAGGGAAATGCTGGCTCACCCAAGTCCAGAGCAGAAAGTCATCACTGTCTAGAAGGCAACAGATTCGGCATGCTCAGGGATGCGTCCACCAGGAATCAATCTGAACCGTAGCCCTCAGCTGTGTGACCCTGGACAAGTTCATTAGCCTCTTTGAGTCTTGGTTTCCTCCACTATATAATCAAAATAATCACCCTAATAGGAAAACCAGTAGTATCAGCCTAAGAGGGTTATTGAGAGGATTAAATGAGACTAAATGTATTGCTTAGCACAGTGCTTGACACTAACGAACACTGTAACTAAAACTTCCCCACATTTATTGATTTAGAGATCGGTCTCCCCCGCTCAGTTCCTTGAGGAAAGCAACACTGTCTTATTCCTCTTTCTGTCCCCAGCACCCAACACGGTGCTTTGCATGCACAGTGCATGCTCATAAGGTTTGGTGAGTGAATATATGCAGTAAAGGGTATTTCGTTAACAAAGGAGATGAGCTTCTTGGGTTAACCATAGGAATCAGACAGCCACAACTGTCTGTTTTTCAAAGAGATTATGATAGAAAGCCACAAAGGGGTGAATCTGACAACAGAAGAAGTTCATAAATTCCACTCAGACAAGCAGCAGGGTACACCCTTTTCACTCCCCAAGCTCATTTCTTTCTTCCCCTGCAAGTCAATAGAAGGAGGTCAGGCAATAACCTGTATTTTTCTCTCCCAGACTTAATAAGCTTGAATTTAAACTGTCAGTCTTACATTTTCCCATTTTCTTCTATCTCCTTCTGTAATTTAGGCCTTGACCCTGACTTTAATTACAGACCATTGTATTAGCTGTCCTAGCAAGCTGATCTCATGCACTTAGGGTACAGCAGGAGCTACTTGGGGAGCAGGAGCAGCCTAAGGCAAGTTTGTTAGTTCCAGAGGTGGCTGGCACTTTGAATGCCAAGGAGGAAACCTGTTATGGGCTGTACCTCAGAATGTGACTGTATCTGGAAACAGTGTCTTAAAAGAGGTAATTAACTTAAGTCATTGGGGTGGGTCTTTATCCAATATGACTGCTATCTTTATAAGAGGAGATTATGACAGAGACAGGATTAGAGGGAAGACCATGTGAAAATACAGAAGATGCTATCTATAAGCCAAGGAGAGAGGCCTCAGAAGAAATTAACCCTATCAACACCCTGATCTCATGCTCAAAACCTCTAGAATTATAAAAGATAAATTTCTGTTGTTTAAGGTACCCAGTCTGGCACTTTGTTAAGGCATCCTTAGCAACATAATAGGAAACCCATTTTCAGAGTCAGGAAGACCAAAACCAACCAACCAATTGGTAGTGGAAAGGAACTGGGGAAAAGGGAAGCAGCTTTCCCAGTTCCAAAACCCAAGTGCTGCTCAGCCAAGCACAACTTGCAGAATGAACCAATGTACATTTCACCCCAAAGTCTTACCACATTTTCTGGCAGCTTGTGTCCAGGAAGATATTTTACATTTTCATGGTCATTATTTATGATGTCTGTCAGTTTTCTGCCATTCACTGTTTCTTCAAAGACCCACATCTTGACTGTGGAGGCAAATTTCTGAAGTTTCTTGACATTATTACCAATTATTTTTGCAACAGCTGAACCCCTACAAAAGAAATCGTGGAAAAGAAAAACATAAACTCACTTGGGCGGGAGAGAAAAAGCGTTTGATTAAAATTCAGAAGACTTGTGTTTTGATTCTGATTCAAACACTGAGCCTACTCAAGATGTGACGTGTATCAGCCCCAAGCCATTTGAAACTTAGTTGTTTTCACATGGAATACCACCGCCTGTGACTGGGAAAGCACCAGAATTTGGCTTAAGGTCAAAATGCACCACCCCTTGAAACTAGTAAGAATCAACCTATCTTGGAAGACAACGTCACAGGCAGAAGAGAAATCCACCCCAAAGCATGAAAATGACCCTAGAAGGTCTTGAAAGGATATTGAGATGTACCTGTGGTAAGATAAACTGTGTCTTGATGAACTGCAACAGGTGCAAAGCAGAATCACAAAGGAAAGACAAGAACCTGACTGGATTCCAGAAGAGGAGCAAAGGGAGAGCGCAGGGCCCAGTTGTTGAGTACTTTGCACTCCCTCCGCCCTGCAACCAAGCCGGCCTCTGGCCCCCAAGCTCCCTTTTCTCTGCATCTCTATTTAGCAAACATGTTCTAGTGACGGCTCAGTCTCCCACAGGCTTTCCTACAGGGGACAAGAATGACCCTGATTTGTTAACATCTGTCCTCCCGACAGCAGTGCAGGTCTGCACGTGGTTGCCGCAGCAGAGGAGGTTGGACCAGGCACCTGTGTCCATCTCACAGAAGCTGCTGATGGGGCCATGGTGGGCACTTGATCCTAGCTGAGCCTGTCAGCTTTCCCCTCTGGACTTTCAACTGAGAAACAGTTTGTTTCTTAGATGACCTTCCTGGCGTGAGGAGCAAATGAGAGAACGCAGTAAAGAGCATCTTGCAAATTCATGTGTTAGGGCAGTTGCTACTTTTTCTCACAATTATTCTCAAGACAAATTGATGAGATGGAGTAGGGGGTGACAACAAAAGGCGGGGGCGGCCAAGTGGATGCAGAACATGTTGGAGACATTTATTTTCATCCCTGGATGAATCTGTTATTCTAACCCAAATATAATACATCCCAGCATATAAACCTGTATGCTTTAACAACCATAAAATTTCAAGTAATTCTAACAGATTATAAATATTGTCCCTTTCCTGACATAGAAGGGATAAACTGAACCAGTGGTTCTCAACTTTGGCTGCACACAGAGTTACCCGGGAGATTTAAAAATCCTGAGTCCCAGACCACACCCCAGGCCAACGGAACTGGCACTTCTGTGGTGGGATCAGGCATCTGTACTTTTTAAAGCTCCCTGATGACTTGATGTGCAGCCAGGGCTGAGAGCCACTGCTCTGCACAATGATTAGAATTCTGATGCCCTCCTCCCTCACAAAAGAATAGCTGTAGATATCAAGGCTATGCAGCTGTACCTGTGAAATTCTTATTCTATGCCAGCAGGACAGGTTATTAGAAAAATACCCATTAATCTAATTCTCCTACTGACACTTTGTAGAAGGGAGGCCAGGAATCTCCCACCATCACTACCACCTTTATTCTAATCTTGGAAACAGCTGCTCACGTACTCACAGGAAGATAAAGGCTGTGGTTCACAGTGTTCCCTGGCATCAAGTAACTTTCACAAGGTCATAGAGAACAAGTATGGTTCTGGGGGACTGAGCATCAACTGACGAGGGACTATGAGACACCAGGAATCTAAGTCTAGTAAACCAAGTGGAAAAATAAATCAGAACCAGGAATCCCTCCCCATGATCTTACTGGAATACACTTGCTTTCCCCTTTACAGCTGCCTCTTGGGGAAGCCAAACATTTGCAACCAGAAGCAAACCTGTAGTATCTGCTGCAATGAGTTGGGAATATTTATTTATTTATGTATTTATTTATTTATTTAATTTATTGATACAGGATCTCACTCTGTCACCCAGGCTGGAGTGCAGTGGCACAGTCACAATTCACTGCAGCCTCGACCTCCTGGGCTCAGGTGATCCTTCCAACTCAGCCTCCTGAGTGGCTGGGACTACAGGCACATGCCACCACACCTGCCTAGAGTTAGGAAAATTTAAACAAACATTGGTACCATTAAGAACTAAGCCCTCCAGACCATGTCTGTACATCCTTTGGGATTCAATGGGGCTTAAAGTGACAGGATAAAAAATTAATAAGGGGAATTCCAGTTATTTTACTCTTGGGGGGTCATCAAGACCTCATTCTACCTCATTCCTGGTTTCATCAATAATTTCAGTCATTCACTCATTTATCTCAGTCATCAAATATTTACTGAGCACCTACTATGCGTAATGCATTGGGCCAGATGGTGGTAATACAGCAGGGGAAAGGCAATGTGTTATTTGCTCTCAAAAGCTTACCACCCGCTCAGAGAGATAAATAGCTAAAAGGCATTCATGATGCTGTGTGTGGTAAGAGGTGGAAGAAAGTGGAAGCAGATGTGGTTAGAAGGGTAAACTGCAGTGGACTTCAATACAAAGGAACCAACTGCAATACATGTTGATCCATGACAAGTCTCCCAGGCTCAACCTTCTATTAAGAGAACCATAATGGACAGCCCAACCCAGGGTGCAGGGAGAAGACATAAGGATGGTGCTCAGGAAGACCAAACCCCGCTGAGAAGCAAAAAAAGCTTCGCAAATCAGGGCTGGGAAGAGCAGACACAGCAGTGCTTTCCACCCAAATACTCAGCTAACTGCAGACACATGAGTGAGCCTGACCAGCTGATCCATAACTCATAAGCAATCATAAATGCTTGTTATTTTAAGCAGCTGAGTTAGGGGAGAGTGGGCTGTGTTGCAGCAAAAGCTGATAGATGCATAAATACAGCATCTTTGACACAACTAGAGGCCACTCCAAGTGAATTGTTGGCCAAGCTGTTGGATTTGCCACCCAGGGATTGGCAATGTGGTGGGAGGGATTGGGGGCTGCGGTAGTGTTCAGTGCTGAAGGAAGGACTGTGGAATTAAATTCACATATGGAGAGGAACAAAATGATCCTAGTACCTTAAGGCCTAGTTTTGTTCTCTATATATAATTTATACAGTAATTTTTTTGGCAAGGGTGGCGGGGAGGCAGGGCATGGAGGAGGAGGACCAGGACTTAAAACACTATATTTTATTTTGTTTTAACCCCCTTTGGCATACTCTCTCTGTTTGTTTGTTTGAGACAATGTCTTGCTCTGTCCTCCAGGCTGGAGTGCAGTGGTGCAATCATGGCTCACTGCAGCCTTGACCTCCCAGGCTCAAGGGAATCATCCCTGGCCCCTCGAGTAGCTGGACTACATGTGTGCCACCACGCCCAGCTAATTTTTTAAAAAGTTTTTGTAGAGATGAAATCTCTCTATGTTGCCCAGGCTAGTCTTGAACTCCTGGGCTCAAACGATCCTCCCACCTTGGCCTCCCAAGGTGTTAGGATTACAGGCATGAGCCACTGCGCCCAGCCCAATCTCCATGTTGAACTCAATATTTTCTCTGTTGTCCACTTTTATCTGTGTGGTTTATAAAAAATCAAAAAGTATAACCCGCACCCAAAATTCCTTTGTGCCTCTGGAATGGTACTAGATGCATTTGTCCCAAGTGTTACCTCTTCTGACCAATGTGAAAGAGCAGTTTCATTTTTCTTGTGGATGAAATAGAGCAAGGAAAGTGTTTTGGAGGAGCCAGAGGGTTTTGAAGGGAACAGAGTCTACTTATAAGTGGCACACCCTGTTCTAAAGAAATGGGCCGGGGGTGGTGGCTCACGCCTGTAATCCCAGCACTTTGGGAGGCCGAGGCGGGTGGATCACAAGGTCAGGAGATTGAGACCATCCTGGCCAACATGGTGAAACCCTGTCTCTACTAAAAATACAAAAAATTAGCTGAGCATGGTGGCGTGCGCCTGTAGTCCCAGCTACTCAAGAGGCTGAGGCAGGAGAATCGCTTGAACTCAGGAGGCGGAGGTTGCAGTGAGCCGAGATCATGCCACTGTATTCCAGCTTGGGCTACAGAGGAAGACTCTGTCTGGGAAAAAAGAAAGAAAGAAAGAAAGAAATGTGACTGGCCAACAGAAGGCCAGTCCAAAAATGTACATAGATATATTAGAGCTGAGCTTAAAATAAAAGTACTGACTACAGTCCACAAAGGTGGTTTGCATGTGAACAGGTCATAGTTGGGGACCTGCGGCCACACTGCTGGCACTCTCCATGTCTCAGCTGCTTTCTGTAACACTACACAAGCATAGTCAGGCATGGGTCTTATCTGTCTGTCTATCTATCTATCTATCTATCTATCTATCTATCTATCTATCTATCTATCTTTCAATTCCTGCATATCTATCTCTCTGTCTATCTACCTGCCTGCCTATTTTTCAACTCCTGCATATCTATCTATCTATCTATCTGTCTGTCTGTCTTTCGACTCCCGCATTTTGAGAATCGAGGGCACAGGTCTTCACATGGCTGGGTCAAGGGCACGAGCAGCCACCTCCACATCAGGCTCAGCTCATCCATCTACAAAATGATGGGGGGGTCAGGTAATCTTTAAGGTTCCTTCCAGGTCTATGATCGAATCCAGTGCTTCCCAAAGTGAGAAATGGGTACTAGGGATACACACGAAACCAAATGACACTGAATCACTCATGCCCTTTTCAACTCTCATGGTCCTGAGCGAGTGCAGAATGTCTCGCTGCAGTGCCATTAAGTGGTTACCATCTCTCCAGCATGTGCTAATTTCCCTTCTTCACAAAGTCTGAAGAGGCCTCAGACTCTGAGCCTTGGCAGGTAGTAATATCTGGCAAGAATTTTATAACACTGTCTTGTTTTCATTCTACTGGGTTTTGTTGTTGTTACCTTCTACTTGTGATATTTACTATAGTGGTATGAAGTTGTCTTTTAAAGTAAACATTTAGGCTGGACACAGTGGCTTCCACCTGGAATCTCAGCACACTGGGAGGCTAAGGAGGGAGCATTTCTTGAGCCCAGGAGTTTGAGACAGCTTGGGCAACATACTGAGATCCTGTCTCTACAAAAAATAAAAAATTAGCTGGGCATGGCGGCTGCACCTGTAGTCCTAGCGACTCAGGAGGCTGAAGCGAGAGGATCAGTTGAGCCCAGGAGGTCAAGGCTGCAGTAAGCCATGATCATACCACCGCAATCCAGCCTGGGTAATGGCACACAACCCTGTCTCCAAAAAATAAATGAATAAAAATAAACTTTTAAAGAAAGAATAGCAATCAAATAATACTATAGCTATGAAGCAGATAGAGCCAAAGCCATAAGGGTGCTGCCTGCATGATGTGTTTAACCCTACCCAAACTCTTCATCTTGCAGATTAAGATGCATGAGACTCAGTCATGTTCACCTTGCATCCTACGACCAGGTATGGCCTCCAGGTGGGTCTTACCTGGGGAGGAGGTTGGGGAGCCTTCCAGGCAGAAGGAAGGCCCCCGGAGCAAAGGTCAAAAACTAGCTAAGGCAGAACTTGGAGGACTCAGGTCTGCTGATGGCCAGTCCTGGGTCTTTACATAGATGTATAAAATTCTATTACCCATGAAATAATGAATTGTCTTAAGTCTTAGGCCTTAAAGTATACACTATTTCACAAGTCCTGTAATGCTATGCAAATAAAATTTAAAAGGAACTTGAGTAGATGGGTACTTCATATAAGATTTCATTTAAAAAATCTTTATTACAGCCCATAAGAGAGGTGCACATTATCCCCATTTTACAGATGATGAAATTGAGGCCCAAAGAGCATAAATGAATTGCCTAAGTCATGCTGTCCATCTACGGTTAGCAATTCAAACCCAGATCTGAGTGTCTCCAAAGCCTGCACTTGCTGCTAATTCATATTTGCCCTATTGTAGTGTAGAGTCTTTTATTGAAAATATTTATTGAGCACCCATTAATTTCAGACACCATGCTGGGTGCAAGGGACACAAGGGAATGAACGCAGACAAGTCCCCATCCTCATGGAGCTTGGAGACTGGTAAACAGAGACTGACGCTGTTTCAACAAGCACAGAAAAAAATGTAACTGTGCTGCTGCGCACGGTGGCTCACGCCTGTAATCCCAGCACTTTGGGAGGCCAAGGCGGGCAGATCACGAGGTCAGGAGTTCAAGACCAGCCTGACCAACATGGTAAAACACCGTCTCTGCTAAAAATACAAAAATTAGCCGGGCGTGGTGGCGCGTGCCTGTAATCCCAGCTCCTCAGGAGGCTGAGGACAGAGACTCACTTGAAACTGGGAGGCAGAGGTTGCGGTGAGCTGAAATCACACCACTGCACTCCAGCCTCGGCAAAAGAGCAAAACTCTGCCTAAAAAAAATATATATATATATAGAAATATATATATATAGAAATATATATATAGAAATATATATATAGAAATATATGTAGAAATATATATATAAATATATATATAGAAATATACACATAGAAATATATATAGAAATATATATATTATATATATAGAAATATATATAATATATATAGAAATATATATAGAAATATATATATAGAAATATATATATAGAAATATATACATAGAAATATATATATAGAAATATATACATAGAAATATATATAGAGAGAAATATATATAGAGAGAAATATATATAGAGAGAAATATATATAGAGAGA
Organism: Homo sapiens; assembly: GCF_000001405.40. Classification (NCBI taxonomy): domain Eukaryota; kingdom Metazoa; phylum Chordata; class Mammalia; order Primates; family Hominidae; genus Homo; species Homo sapiens. The sequence goes on along the minus strand of NC_000003.12, from coordinate 32,121,467 downwards.
AATATATATAGAGAGAAATATATATATAAAGAAAGCCTAGCCAGGGCGGAGCTCTGAGGCTTAGTGGGCCTTACCCGGGGAGGAGGCTGGGTACCTTCCCGGCAGCAGTAAGGCCCCTGGGGCAAAGCTCACTCATAGCAGGTGGCATGGCCAACAATAGGCACAGATTTTATCTAGAACCAACACATCCAGAGAGGAGAGAAAAGAAGGAAGAGGAGACAGGTTAAGGGAAGGAGAGAAGAGGAGACAGTGCAAGAGAAATGGAAAGGATCAGGGAGACTAAGGGAGGAGAAAAAGAGGAGGGAGGGAAGGTGGAGAAAATGGCGTGGCAGGGGCAAGAGGCAAGGAAGGGACGGGGTGGGCAAAAACAGCACTAATTTGGTGCGTACCAGGTGTCAGGCACTGTTTCAAATACCTTACCCACAGTATCCCTTTTAACCCTTCTGCTCTACGGCCCTGAGTCCCAGCTGGATGGACACCCGCCTGCAGGAGGTCCTAACCCCCAGCTTGGCAATGCCCTCCCCGCCTCCAGCCCCAGCTAACCCTTTGCCATTCACTCTGTCCACAGCCTTCTCACCCCTTTCTCTCTAAAAAGGTGTAGTATTTAATTAGGCTGGGGAGGTACTACTTCAGCCAAGGAATGGACGCCTGTTTTTAAATAAAAATAAAAATTTCAGAACCCTCTAAATTTATTATGCCAAGGGGGAAGTTAGGGCTTGGAGACTGGGTTATGTATAACTTGCATGCTTGCAATTCTGCTTCACTCTCTTCCCCACTGTTCTTGACTTCCTCATTGTAAATGACTAGGAGAGACCAGATCTTCCCGCTTCTAATTGCTGATCTTTGTTGTACATTAACTGCCTCCTTCATTGTCCTGTACCTAACTCGCACCAGATAGCGTCAGTCCAAGACCCAATGATGGTTACATCTGCTGTGTGGAATGTTAAATATACCTCCCCCACCACTCAGAAAGACCACCTTGACTAATCAGATCATTGTAACTATGCATTAAGCCTTACATAGAAACATGCTGAAATCCTATTAAATTTCCCTGAACTTTTTCTATATGAACACTGTCAAATTTCTTGGAATCTGTTCTTTCTGGGCAGGCTCACTTGTTTTTGTTTGTTTGTTTGTTTTTTGTTTTTTTTGAGACAGAGTCTCACTCTGTCGCCAGGCTGGAGTACAGTGGTGCGATCTTGACTCACTGCAACCTCCGTCTCCTGGGTTCAAGCGATTCTCCTGCCTCAGGCTCCCCAGTAGCTGGGACTACAGGCACGCGCCACCACACCCAACTAAATTTTGTATTTTTAGTAGAGACAGGGTTTCACCATGTTGGCTGGCATGGTCTTGATCTCTTTGTGATCCGCCTGCCTCGGCCTCCCAAAGTGCTGGGATTACAGTTGTGAGCCACTGTGTCCGGCCGGCAGGCTCACTTTTAACCTTCGCACTTAATTAAACTCTCTTTAAACTAGATTCTGACCTTTTTGATTATTTTAGGTTGACACTATCAAGTTGGGCCTAAAAACCTGATGAATTTCTTTGAGGCCAGAAAGGACCCTACAGTCCATCCTTCTTTTTACTATGGAGGAAGCGGAGGTCCAGGAAGAATACACCATCAGCTAGATTCTCCACATTCCATGCCCCCATCTCTTCCAGAGCTGACCCGGGCTGGTTCCATGGGCAAAAGCGTGGTCCTTTGTGGTTTAAATAACATGTACTTTTTCACTCATAAGAGCAATACATGAAAAAAATTATGAATAATCTCACCACCCAGGGAGAACCACTATTAACATTTTGCGTAATTCTTTGCAGTCAAAGGGCTTTTAAAGAACAACCAAATGCCAGAGTATTAGATGCAAATGTTAAAAATGAAGTATTTTAAAAATAGATTCAACTTGGCGAATGTTATTTGATCTCTACATAGGGAAGCTTTCTAAGCTTAAAATCAAAGAAAGAAACCACAAAGGAAAAAAGATCAATATGAACAACTTCACTTCAAAGAGGAAGGAGACTGAAAAGGCTTTCTATCAAAATTCAAACTGTAGGGGAAAATGCTTATGATAGAATGTTACATTTAACAAAAAGGATGTAAAATTGTACATACCATATGATTGCAAGTGTGCAATTAATAAATAATACCACCTCAGATCCACTTAGATGGCTACTATCAAAAACACAGAAAATAATAAGTGTTGGTAAGGATGCAGAGAAATCAGGACCCTTGTATACTGTTTGTAGATTTGTAAAATACTGCAGCCACTGTGGAAAACCAAATGGCAGTCCCTCAAAGAATTAAAAATAGAACTAACATATGATCAAGCAATTCTGTTTCTGGGTATATACCCCAAAGAATTGAAAGCAGGGTCTCAAAGAGGTATTTGTACACCCATGTTCATAGCAACACTATTCACAATTGCCAAAAGGTGGAAGCAACCCAAGTGTCCATCAACTGATGTATGGATAAGCAAAAGGTGGTCTACACATGCAATGGGATATTATCCAGCCTTAAAAAGGAAATTCTGACATACGTTACAACATGGATGAACCTTGAAGACATTATGCTAACTGAAATAAGCCAGACACAGAAGGATAAATAATGTATAATTCTACTTATATGAGGTACTTAGAGTAGTCAAATTCATAGAGACAGAAAGTAGAAGCGTGGTTTCCAGGGACTGGGGAAAGAGTGGATTGAGGAACTGTCGTTTAATGAATATAGAGTTTCAGATTTGCAAGATGAAAAGAATTCTGGAGATCTAATTCTTTTCAATATTTTCATTGTTTTCAATACGAACAATGTGAACATTCTTAACCCTACTAAACCGTATGCTTAAAAATGGTTAAGGTGGTAAATTTTATGTTATGTGTATTTTGTCACAATTAAAAAAACATACACACTTAAAAAGGATGGCAAGAAAACACACAAGAACAAGCATAAGACCCAGCCTATGGTCAGATCCTATTAAAAGTGCAGTTCGTGGACCAGCAGTGAATATATCCCTGAGAGCGTGTTAGAAATGCTGAACCTCAGGCCCTACCCCAGACCTGCTGAATCAGAATCTGCTCTGTAACACAATCCCCAAGAGATTCACATGCACATTGAAGTGTTGACATAGTAGATGCACAACAAACATTTGTTGCATGAATACATCCTTTCTTGTTGGTAAGTTTACAAGCAAATGTTATTGTGTTCTTCATACTTGCCTATCTTTTCCAAATTTTCCCAAACAGGCATGTGTTAGTTTATTTTTTTATTCTGATTTTAAATCATTCCCATTTAGATATTTTAACAGACCCCGAATCCAAAGCAGACAAGTTTCAGCAAGTCCCAAGGCCTGTTAGCCAACCAGAAAATAGAAGCTATGGAGGTTTAACTGAAATCCACAGATGCCCCCTAAGTCTCATTTTAGTTGATACTTACTTCAATATGTTTTCAGAGCAGCCAAGTAGGAGCAGTTTGGGATGGACCACACCTCTGTCAGCCTGTACAAAAATGGCTATCCATGACCTGGTCAGCCATGCTATCAACCCCACACACCATGGGAACAATGTTCATCTGAGTGAATGGAGGAATGGTCAGTGATTAATTCAGATCGGAATCAAAGACATAGGTAGCAGGAGAATCTACCTGCCCACTCAGGAGAACAACACACAGGGTCCTGGAGAATGTCTAAGTCACAGTCTCAAATTGCCTTTAAGGACCACCAGTCTTAAGCAAGGATGGCAGAGAACCAAACTGTCCATGGTGCTTCAAACAAGCATATTCTACATCCTAGCACAAACTTTTTAGATAAATACATTCTGCAAGCCCATCTATTGATAATGGAAAGAACCATGCAGTGCAAATTCTAACAGCCACCTGGCACTTGGTCTCTGTTGACATAACAACTGAAAGACTATACACCCCTGCCCGCATTCCTGGATAATGAGAATTACTGAAAACCATTTCCAAACATCCACCAGAGTCTCAACAATGCAAAATCTCAGCTTTCAAACCTGAGCTCTACACCAGACATGCTAGGTAATCCAGAACAAACAAATCTCTTTTCTGCTTATGTTTCTAGGCCCTCTACAGCTGGAATGTTACTGTCCACCTTCCTCATACTTGCTTATTACAAAGTGAAAAATGAAATAAGAAATCATGACTAAATTATTTCTCATGTATTGTTCTGGCTTCCACCAACATATATGCAGATGGTTCAGTATAAGGCTATTCACTGCAGAACTCTTAGAATATCCATCAAGAGGAAACTGATTAAACAAAAGCATACCTATACCCAGCAATATTATACAAGTATAAAAAAGAATGAAGATGTTCTTTATGTATAGATATGGAAAGGGCTTCAAGACACAGTTACATGAAAAAGCAAGGAGAAAATAAGTATGTAGAGCTCCACTGCATACGTAGCTACACATAGTATTTACATTTTAATTAGTTAACATTTAAATGTAGTCCGAATAGCCACATTTCAAGTGGGCAGGAAGGCAGAGAACTTCAACCACTCTACTGCATAGTATCTGTGTAACTTAGAACACATTACATAACTTCTGTAAGCTCAGACTTATTATAAAATAAGGATGATGACAATACAGTACCTCATACTGTGAGGATTAACTCAGATAACACATAAAGTGCTTAAGGGGTTAACCGGGATAGTCCTTACTACTGAATCTAACATTTGTGCAGCTGTGGGCCAAAGCTGAGCATGAGCTGGCTGTGTCAGTCAAGGCCTCACAGATGGGTTCTCCTTTGGTAGAAGTAACTAGTCCAAGTAGTAGTAAATTTAAATATGAGTAGTAGTAAAATTGGTAGTAGTAAATCAGTCCAAGCTAGATGCTGTCAGTCCCCACCCCAATCCCCACCCCAGCTTGCTATCGTAGGTCACAGCACCCTTTCCTGGCAAAGCTACTCTCTTCCCCAGAATCCTTCTCAACACAAAACTCTCTGCAGCCACCATTAATCAACTAGAGTCAGTGCCTGAGATGAAATTTATCTGCCATCATTGCTGGTCCTGGTTGTGAGGATCAGAATCATGTTACTCAAACTCACAAGAGTTCCTTTTAAGCAGGTTACCATAAGATTTGTTGTTTAAAACAAGATCCTTTTGAGAATGCTCTGAAATTAGACTGGGACAAGTATAAACCACAGTTGAAGACAAATGTGAATGCATGGTCACTTAATTATATGTGATAATGCAAATTTATCCATAATCATTTCTAACATTTATATAACATATTACAGTTGTCAAAGTGTTTGCACATGCAGAATTTCAACAGACGACCCACACAATGGAGAACCATGGAGTACAGTCTACAAAAGGCACTTCCTCTCACTGGGTGGATCCACTCAAGAAACCCAACTTAAAAAGTTCAACCTGGCCGGGCACGGTGGCTCACATCTGTAAACCCAGCACTTTGAGAGGCCGAGGCGGGCACATCACGAGGTCAGGAGATCGAGACCATCCTGGCTAACACGGTGAAACCCCGTCTCTACTAAAAATACAAAAAAATTAGCCTGGCGTGGTGGCACATGCCTGCAGTCCCAGCTACTCGGAGGCTGAGGCAGGAGAATTGCTTGAACCCGGGAGGTGGAGGTTGCAGTGAGCCAAGATCGTGCCACTGCACTCCAACCTGTGCAACAGAGCGAGACTCCGTCTCAAAAAAAAAAAAAAAAAAAAAAAAAAAAAAAAAAAAAAAAAAAAAAAAGTTCAACGTACACGAAAAGGGTTTAGATGCTTGAAGACATTTCCATCAAGCTGAGGTAGCTACATGAATTACTAATTTCAGCTTGGGGATATTTCTGTCCAGATGGCCAGTGTTAGGGCTATTAGGTTAGAGTTCTCCTCCTCCTCCAGGACTGGAGAAACACAAATTCTTTGGTTCTTTTTTTGCCTATAACCCATGCAAACCACTTCCTTTCTTCAGCACTGGAAAAACCGGGTAGAGAAAATCCAAATGATGAGGATATAGTTTTCTTAGGACATACATGTGACTCTGGCTGTAATGATAATGAGAGGTGAAGCCAGCTGGACTTCTTGGGTCCAGTGGGGACTTGGAGAACTTTTCTGCCTAGCTAAAGTATTGTAAACGCACCAATCAGCACTCTGTAAAAATGCACCAATCAGCACTCTGTGTCTAGCTAAAGGATTATAAATGCACCAATCAGTACTCTGGAAAAACACACCAGTCAGCACTCTGTGTCTAGCTAAAGGATTGTAAATGCACCAATCAGCACTCTGTGTCTAGCTAAAGGATTGTAAATGCACCAATCAGCACTCTATAAAATGCATCAATCAGCACTCTGTAAAATGGACCAATCAGCACTCTGTAAAACGGACCAATCAGCAGGTTGTGGGCAGGGCCAAATAAAGGAATAGAAGCTGGCCACCCCAGCCAGTGGTGGCAACCGGCTCAGGTCTCCTTCTACTCCGTGGATGCTTTGTTCTTTCGCTCTTCACAATAAATCTTGCTGCTGCTCACTCTTTGGGTCTGTACTACCTTTATGAGCTGTAACACTCACTACAGAGGTCTGCGGCTTCACTCCTGAAGTAAGCGAGACCACAAACCCACCTGGAGGAACAAACAACTCTGAACGCGCCACCTTTAAGAGCTGTAACACTCACTGGGAAGGTCTGTGGCTTCACTCCTGAAGTCAGCGAGACCACGAACCCACTGGAAGGAAGAAACTCCGAACACATCTGAACATCTGAAGGAACAAACTCTGAACACACCATCTTTAAGAACTGTAACACTCACCGTGAGGGTCCGCGGCTTCATTCTCGAAGTCAGCGAGACCAAGAACCCACCGGAAGGAACCAAGTCCGGAAACAATAAGAATGAGAAACTGTTTTACTATCTAGGACAGTGTTTCTCAAACTGAAGGTTATGCAGGCACAAAATAAATATAAGGAGAAGAGATCACAGTTAATCACCCATAGTAACATTTGTTACTGTGAAACATTTGTTTCTGGTTGGATATGAAGTATCCTCCATCATAATATAAAATTGTATGTCAGCTAGTTGCAAGTCAAAAAATTTAAAGCCACAGATTTAGGAAACTATGACTCTTCTGAACACATGGACTAGAAAAGCATCTGGCCCAATTCGTGCTACAGCTTGAAAAGTGCCTATTAAGTTCATGAAGGTTTGCCTTCTCTTACTCTTGTTAGAACCCAACCACCATATGGAGAAGCCTAAGCTAGCCTGCTGAAGGATGAAAGACATGTGGGCTGGTCACCCCTGTCACGCTGGCTGAAGCCTGCCCACTGCCAGACATGAAGGAGGTCATCTAGGACCAAGAGTCCCAGCCAGGCTGGGTGTGGTGGCCCATGCCTGTAATCCCAGTACTTTGGGAGGCCAAGGCAGGAGGATCACTTGAGCCCAGGTGTTCGAAATCAGCTTGGGCAACATAGTGAGACCCCACCTCTATGATGAAATCTGAAGATTAGCCAGGCATGGTGGTGTGTGCCTCTAGTCCCAGCTACTCGGGAGGTTAAGGTGGGAGGATTGCTTGAGCCTTGGAGGTTGAGGCTGCAATGCATTGTGATCATGCCACTGTACTCCAGCCTGGGTGACAGAGTGAGACTCCCAAAAAATAACAACAAAAAAAAGGTGGGTGAGAGTGTCCAACCAAGTCACCAGCCAACCACAGCCATATGAGTGAGCCTAGGCTAGATCAGCAGAAAATCTGCCAGGTTAGTCAGCCCACATTGTTAAACCCCAGAATCATGAGCTAATAAATGATTGCTGTCTGAAGCCACTAAGTTTGGGGGTAGACTGTTAGGCAGTGAGAGATGACTGATTCAGTTCTCCTCTTCCAATTGTGGAAGAGACTGAGCCTCAAAGCAGAATAACTACAAAGTGTCACCAGTATAACCTTATGGGAGCCCAGGACACTTCTGGCACAGTGAGCTTAGTTCCTGACATCACCCAGTTGGGGAGGAGGAAAGGGAAAGGAGAATGGTGACACAGATGGTGAGGATCCCAGAAACTACTGTCCACCTGCAACCACTGAGAGACTTGGGGATGCTACTTGGCCTGCCAGAGACAAGATTTAGGAGATATGTGACTTTTCTGTCCAAAGGGACATGACTTAGAGAAGAGTAGGCTCACCTAAGTGTTGCTCTGGGATTAACAGGTAAAAGTTAGAGGTGATAGATTTTTAGCTTAGATTTTCCTAAGATTTTTCTTCACATACAAAGAAAAAAAAAGATAAGATTTTTTCAACAATTAATCCTCTAATTAATTTTAAGATCAATTGCCTTGAAAATAGTAAACTATAATCATCTGTCATATCTATAGGAGAAGGGATGACTACATTGGTGGGAAACTGAATGAGATGATTTTTAAGGCCTTGCTTCCATTTTATTTCTCAGAAGGAGAATATAAAATTGGATTTTGTTGGGAGGATACTCAACATTTTTATGAAAATGATATTTATCCTCATGTGAAAGTATGCTTCACACTGAAAATGGTAAGAATTTATGGAAACATGGTCTTTGGGGTTAAAAGGATCTGGGTTTCAAGTCCACCTACTAACTGTTGACTTAAGCAAGTTTTCTCTAAATCTTAGTTATGTCATCTAACATAGGGTTATAATAATAGTACCCCACAGGCCTGTCACATGTTTAAACGAAATAACATCATGTACATGACACACAGAAAATGATAAATTATTATATTTATGCCTCTTAAGGAAGAGAAGGAGATAGAATGGAAGAATGAAGCAAGAGGTAAAGGTTAAGAAATGAAAGGTTAAGGTAAGACACTGGGAGCTCTCGACTCATTCCTAGAATAGTAGTCATTATTATATTATATATATTTTTTTGAGATAGGGTTTCCCTCCTGTCACCCAGGCTGGAGTGCAATGGTGCCATCTTGGCTCACTGCAACCTTTGCCTCCTGGGCTCAAGTGATTCTCCTGCCTTAGCCTCCCAAGTGGGTGGGACTACAGGCGCATGCCATCATGCCCAGCTAATTTTTGTATTTTTTTTGTACAGACAGGGTCTCACTAAGTTGTCTAGGCTGGTCTTGAACTCCTAGGCTCAACCAGTCCACCTACCTCAGCCTCCCAAAGTGTTGGGATTACAGGCATGAGCCACTGCGCCCGGCCATGAGTTTTATTTATATTTTATTTATTTATTTTTTAGATTTAGAGACAGGGTCTTGCTATGTTTCTCAGGCTGGACTCAAATTGTGGGGCTCAAATGATTCTCCACCTCAGCCTCCCAAAGTATTGAGGTTATAGGCATGAGCCACTGCACCCAGCCCCACTCATGATTTGTATACCAAACAGGTGGGGGAGATGAAGGAAACAGGTGATTAAATATTACTTTTTAAAAAGCCGTACAAACTTTCTCATCTTAGCCCACAAGGGAACTCTAAGTCTCTTCCCAGTTCATCTCCAGTCCATCCTATCAACTCTCACTCCAACTTCCAAGGCAGAAGTGTGTCCGTGCGCCTGTCCTCAGGGAAGGATTATTTCTGACCATAAAGGAGCTAACTTATAGTCACTCAAATTGTTTCTGAGCTCTCTGTGTGGTGAGAATCACAACAGAAACTGAGTAGCACAGACAAAAGGGTGCCCAGGGCGGATGAACAGCCAGGATGCTGCACCCAGCCAGTTCCAGCAGACCAAAAAAAAAAAAAAGACAGAGTCACAGGTCCAGCTTCAGTCATCAGAGCAAAGTGGGCCAAAGCTCTCCTTGACCTTCGGTATCAGAGAAAATGTCAGGCTGTGGGGTGATGTGAAAACAAGGGCAAGAGATAGGCAACTCCCAAGGACACTCCTCCAGCTGTCTATCAGCCTCTCTCCTCATCTCCTGTCTTCTCTCCTATCCTCTGCCTCTCTACCCCTTGGCCAAACCCCAAACCAGTCCATTTTGTGACTTAATGACAGGTCCATCAAGGATGATGAAACTAATAATACTAATAGCAACTGTCATTTACTGAGTGCTAGTCACCATGCACTCTCCCCAGATCATTTCATTTAATCCTAACCATAATCCCAGACAGCAGGTATCAATACATGATTCTTAGAGAGAAGCGCTTTTCCCAAGGCCTCAGAGCTGCCAAGTGGGAGACCCAGGCAGAAACGTAGGCAGTCAGATTCCCAAGCTCTTTCTTATACCACTGCACTACCCTGCCTCCAAAGGAGATTTAGGATGTGTTTCTGGACATATGCTTCCTATCACAAGGGTTTGGCTGTAAATACAGCCCTGAGGTTTTAACTCTAGAACTTTATTTTGCACTTTGTCTGGGTGATCTTCCCAAGGTGCTGGTTAAAAGAAAGAAACTTTGGGCCAGGCACTGTGGCTGATGCCTATAATCCCAGCACTTTGGGAGGCCAAGGCGGGCAGACTATTTGAGGCCAGGAGTTCAAGACCAACCTGGCCAACACGGCAAAACCCTGTCTGTACTAAAAATATAAAACTTAGCCGGGCATGGTGGTGCCCACCTGTAATCCCAGCTACTCAGAAGGCGGAGGCATGAGAATCGCTAGAACCCAGCAGATGGAGGTTGCAGTGAGCCAAGATGGTGCCATTGCACTCTAGCCTGGGTAACAGAGCTGACTCTGTCTCAACAACAACAAAAACAAAAAAAGAAAAAAGAAACTGTTTCATCTTTGAAAGAACCTGAGAAGCTTTTGTTGTTTTTCCAAATCAAATTTACAGGGTCAGGAAAAGTCATGCAGGTTAGGAAGTCCCTCCCTGCACCTGCGGCAGTGGGCAACACAGCAGGGCTCAGCTGGATGCATGACGGCCCCTCCTCTAGCCTCCTCTCTCTGATCTATGTAGAGAAAATGAGCTTCACCAAAGGACAGGACAAGGGCATGTTATACAACACGTCTACTTTCCTGCCCAGGACCTTCCTGGCTGAAGCTCCCTGGCAAGCCAGCTAGATTCAATATTCTGATAACTGTATTGCAACTGATGACAATTGACTTGGGAGAGGCACTCCATGTGAGAGTTCTCAAATGTGACAAACACCTTTATTTACACAAACAGGCTAAGCTGCCCTAAAGTTCCAAGTATAAACATTGCTTAAGCAACTTGACATTCCTGAGGTAAGAACCAGATCTGGAAGGGTAGGTCTATCTCTTGGTGATCTGTATTAAAATTGGCAAAAGGCTAAAGTTCCTTCAGAAAAAAAAATCTCATTCTCAGGGGATATGATTAAGCAAGTCTAGTTTCAGTGGTAATTCTGACACAAGTGGTCTTGGGACCACAATTTAAGAAACACGATTTAGGCCGGGCGCAGTGGCTTACGCCTGTAATCCCAGCACTTTGGGAGGCCGAGGCAGGCAGATCACGACGTCAGGAGATTGAGACCATCCTAGCTAACACAGTGAAACCTCGTCTCTACTAAAAAACACAAAAAATTAGCTGGGCGTGGTGGCGGGTGCCTGTAGTCCCAGCTACCTGGGAGGCTGAGGCAGGAGAATGGCGTGAACCCGCGAGGCGAAGCTTGCGGTGAGCTGAGATTGCGCCACTGCACTCTAGCCTGGGCGACAGAGCGAGACTCCGTCTCAAGAAAAACAAAAACAAACAAACAAAAAAAGAAACACGATTTAAAGTGTAACAGAGCAGTTACTCCATTCCACTTGGCAATTCCTTCGGTCTTATCTTCCATGTCCTCACTGATCTCAGACCTGAAGGTAAGTTGTTTAAGGACCGGGACTGTGTCCAGCTGTGTCTGCATCCCTGGTCAGACCACAGTCTCTTCACCGGGCAACACTCAAATGTCTACTGACTAGAGCTGAACACTCCTCTGGGGCTTCTCCATGTTGTTTTCAGTTTCTGAGTTCCTGAATCCCTCTGGGGAGGTTGTGATCCTCTCTCTAGGACTGGAGTAACTCTGTACCCAAGGCAGTGGCACAGAAGCCAAGAATTGTTCCCGTCTAATCCCATAATTAATGAAGCCAGGCAGCCAGCCCAAACCATCAGCACATTTCTCAATTGCTCTGCTTCAGTATCACTGGCCAAGTTCTACTCCATTTCCCTGGGCTGGAGTGGGCCAAGGAAACAGTCAAGTACACCAGAATGAAGAAGCCACGGGCAGGCAGCCAAATCCCAGCAGAGGGGGCAGGAGGCTCACTTCACTACTCTTGCTCCAGGCCCAGTTCCAGCATGGCAGAGCTGTGCTACTTGTCCTGCATCTTGCAAATTAGGAAAAGGGGCTGTCATCTGTGGAATTGTACAGACTAAAAAACTAATGTTAAAAAAACATGTGCTAAATGGGTGCCTTTCAAGTGGCATGGCCAACAGGGGAGCTGACACTGCACTCAAGTGAGCTTGACATTAAAACTGGCAAAGCCGGCCGGGTACGGTGGTTCATGCCTGTAATCCCAGCACTTTGGGAGGAAGAGGCAGGCGGATCATGAGGTCAGGAGATTGAGACCATCCTGGCTAACATGGTGAAACCCCGTCTCTACTAAGAATACAAAAAATTAGCCAGGCATGGTGGCGGATGCCTGTAGTCCCAGCTACTCAGGAGGCTGAGGCAGGAGAATGGCATGAACCCAGGAAGCGGAGCTTGCAGTGAGCAGAGATCGCGCCACTGCACTCCAGCCTGGGCGACAGAGGGAGACTCCGTCTAAAAAAATAGTAATAAAAAAAAACAACTGGCAAAGCCAAGCTGAAAGTCCAAATTAAGCTTTGCAGCAGCAAGCTACCAACTCTATTAAATATTGTGTAGAACATTCTGTTGTTGGTTGAAAAATGCAGCTCACAGAAAAGTATGCAATACCCTAGTATTTGCAGCGTGGAGGGCGAAAGGACTATATGTAAGCATTCACTTGCATGGAATTCCTCCAGAAAGGACAGAAGTAATTCATAACACTGGTTTTCCTCCAGGAGGTACTCAGGGGGGATAAATGTGGATGGGTGATGTTTCACTGTTTTTGGTACTCTTTGGTTTTTGTTTTTTATTTTTTGTTTTGTTTTGTTCTTTTGAGACAGGGTTTCACTCCCTTCACACAGACTAGAGTACGATGGTGCAATCTGATTTTGGCTCACTGCAACCTCTGCCTCCCAGGCTCAGGCGATTCTGCTGCCTTAGCATCCCAAGTAGCCGGGACTACAGGCGCCTGCCACCACACCTGGCTAATTTTTTGTATTTTCAGTAGAGACGGGGTTTCACCGTGGTCTCAATCTCCTGACCTCGTGATCCCCCTGCCTCAGCCTCCCAAAGTGCTGGGATTACAAGCGTGAGCCACCATGCCCGACTAATATTTTATTTTTTGTAGAGGCGGGGTTTTGCCGTGTTGCCCAGGCTAGTCTCAAACTCCTGGGCCCACCTCAGCCTCCCAAAGTGCTGGGATTACAGGCATAAGCTACTGCGCCCAGCCCTGGTTGTTAAACAATGTGAATGTATTATTCAATCAAATATCATTATGGTTTTAAAAATTAGTTTTTAGGCAGGGAGCGGTGGCTCACACCTGTAATCCCAGCTACTCAAGTGGATGAGGCACAAGAATCGCTTGAATCCAGGAGGTGGAGGTTGCAGTGAGCCAAGATCGCACCACTGCAACAGAGTCTTAGTATTGACTTAGCATATGCCAGGCACTAGGGTAGATGCCATTCTCAAAAGTTGGGAGACAGATAATCAAATAACTCCTTATAATGCAGTGATGCAGGCCAGCAATAGGGACACAGAGAGAGGCCACTGGCCTTGCTGGGATGGAAAAGTGAAGAACCAGGTAAGGTTTCCTTCAATAAGTACTTTCTGGGCCAAGTCTTGAAAGAGTAAAACTAAGACCAACTACCTAGGACCAGCTGCTGCAGCACTTCTGATGCCTGTCACGCCACAGAAAAACCGGTAAACAGAAGCACTGAAAGGACATCATCACTCTTAACTATTGTACACCAGTCCCTCCAATGTGGCAGAGTGTACAGCAATGAAAAAAGGCTTGGAAACACCAGATGCTACACTTTGCTTCCTTCCCCCTTCACACCCCCACCTCTACATTCACCCAAACACACCAGAGAATCCCACAGTGTACGTTTGATTAAGGGTACTAGAAGAACTGACATTTCTAATGTGCTCTATAAAATGTTAAAGTCAAATAAGGCCCCAAAGAGACGCAAAGCTTCGCAAACATCTCGGCAAGGGAGAATTCTCAACGCCTCAGGGAGAGCGGCCTGTTGAAACTTGGATTTTCTTCCTGATACGACGCGCCTAAGATAGTGGACCTATCAGAAGCGGGGGCGAGACGGGCACCTTGAAGGGCAGAGCATGCCCCGCCCGTGACCTGGGCAGCAAGAGCCCTTTAGCCCTCTCCGCCTCGGTTTCCTCAACACCGAAACTGCAGTAAGAATGCTCGAGCCTCCACCAAGTCCTTGACCCAGGAGATCCGCCGTGGAGAACGGAATACGCCCTTAGGATATTGTGCAAAACACCCAGGCGTGGCAAGCAGGTGGCTTCTGTGCGCTCAGTAACGGGGGCGCAGACAGGTGCCCGCGTGCTCGGGGTGCCCTCTCTCCGCGCTGTCCCCCGCACGCACGCGAGCCCAGCGCCTCCCGAGCGAGTGCCCCGGTGCGGCCTCCTCGGGCGCACGGTGCCCAGCCCAGCAACGAGGTCGCCCACCCCGCCTCCCTGCGCGCAGTGCCCGGTGCCCACGCCGCAGCATGGGGCGCGCAGCCCTCACCGCCCGGGAGAGGCGCTTCCTGGAAGCGGAGCCCCGGCCTCCAGCCCGCCGCCGCTCACCAGTTCCCCGAGCCCACGATGCACACTTTCAGGGGCGCCGCTGCCATGGCCGGGCCGAATGTAGCCGCCTGGACCGTGCTTCCCTGGCCGGCTGCCCACCTCCGCCTGTTCAGCCTTGCCCGCAGCGGCTGGCGGCGGCCCCGCCCCTTTCGCCTCTCCGCCAATGGTCGCGGCCACCCCCGCCCGGCGCCGGGGGCCGCAGCTGACAGCGGGGCAGGACCCGCTTCGCCACTCCCAAGAACCACTGCGCACGCCTGGCCCCGGCCGGCCTCCAGGCCCGGCTCCGGCACCGCCCCGCCCTGCCCGAGGCACGTCGGGACATGTAGTCCTCACCCCCCGTCGCTGCGCGGCCCTAGGCAGCAGCTCCCGCCGCGCCACATGCAGGCCCAGGCCACTGAGCAGCGACTCGCGCCCCTGGTTCCCGGTGGAGGCTGCACTCCATCCTCATGGGTGGAGCAGACCCAACCAGCTTGCCGTGGTGCCCCCTACACGCTCCTTTTTCCCTACTCGGGAAGGGCTGCCACATTGCCATTTGGAGCCGAGAGAGGCTCCTAGGTTGACTCTCAAGCCGACCAGACTTGGGGCAGAGCTCGAAATGCCCACCCGACCTTGTCATCCTCTGTTTCATTTGCACAAACAAGACACAGCCTGGCACCTCTGAACTTCTTAGAGAACTTGGATCTTCAGAGGACTTTGGAATTTGGCTGAACAGTACCTGCATTTCAAGGATGACACCTTTTCTAGTTAGAGTCAAGATAGAAACTTGACCTGGTGCAGTGGCTCACACCTGTAATCCCAGCACTTTTGGAGGCCGAGTCAGGAAGATCACTTGAGCCCAGGAGTTCGAGACCAGCCTGAGCAACATAATTAGGACCCCCCACCCCTCTGTACAAAAATTTAAAAAATTAGCCAAGCATGGTGGCACGCACCTATAGTCCTAGCTACTCAGGAGGCTGAGGCGGGAGAATTGCATGTGCCCAGGAGGTCGAGGCTTCAGTGAGCCAGGATAGGGCCACTGCACTCCAGACTGAAGGACAGTGAGACCCTGTCTCAACAAAAAATAAATACATAAAAATAAAGGGAAAAAGGTAACAACAGCTTGCATTCAGTGGGTGTCACCCTCACACGCTTACTTGGCAGGAATTGCTTTACCATTGTCTTTGCCCAGGGCCTGACTTATCCCTTGCTTGTGGTTTGTTTGCATTTGTGAGTAACACAATGCTCTCCTCCTTGACAAATAGAATCTTAGTTTGTTCATTCTGAGCATCAGTCTCTGCCAGGCACTGTGCTAGACGCTGTCAGAGTAGGACAAAGTCCTTTAAACCAGTGGTTCTCAAACTCTGCTGCATATTAGTCACTGGGGCTTTTAAAAATCCCCATGCCCAGACACCATTGCAGGCCAGTTACATCAGAATGTCCCATGGTGGGATCCAGGCATCAGGATATTTACTTATTGACATATATTTTTTGAGACAGTCTCCTTCTGTTGCCCAGGCTGGAGCAGAATTTTTTAAAGTTCAAGAGGTAGTTGCAAAAGCAAGCCAAGATTGAGAACCAGAAGACTAAAATATCAGTGGATTCTGGCTAAAGAAACAAATACTCTAGTACCTACAAAAAACTAAGCCTAGGCCGGGTGCCGTGGCTCACGCCTATAACCCCAGCACTTCAGGAGGTCGAGGCAGGCAGTTCACCTGAGGTCAGGAGATGGAGACTAGTCTGCCCAACTTGGCAAAACCCCGTCTCTACTGAAAATACAAAAAATTAGCCAGGCATGGTGGCAGATGCCTGTAATCCCAGCTACTCAGGAGGCTGAGACAGGAGAATCTCTTGAACCTGGGAGGCGGAGGTTGCAGTGAGCCGAGATCTTGCCTGGGCGACAAGAGCGACACTCCGTTTCAAAAAAATGATAGTAATACTAAGCCTATTAGTTTGATGCTCAGAGAACTGTTATTTTTGCTTTTTTCTCTACATTGTATGAAATATTTATTTGTGTTACTTATGATATTTACTTAAGGAAATACTTAAAGGGAGCTGGTGAGTCAGAGCAGTCTTTCCATCCCCTCACCAATGGTTTGTTCTCAATTATTTGCACTAATGCAAGGATACATGCAGGGATAATGGGAAAGATGGACTAGTAAAGCTTTATTAATCCTTTCTGTATTTGTGTAACAGAACGCATTTGTCAAATTGAATAATGAAGTCATGTCCTTGGGTAGTACACATACACTGCAAATATTTATGTTATCTAACTGAACTAGGGTCCCTTCACCTGACACAGTAAGGCCAAATACCCACACCAAGGTTTGCAGAGGGAGAAAGAAGGGTGTTTATCTGTAGGGTACCAAGCAAGGAGAATCAGGTAGCTCCTCCTTGATGGCTGGCAAGTAAGGGTTTTTAAAGGCAGCTGGGGGCCAGGCGCGGTGGCTCACACCTGTAATCTCAACACTTTGGGAGGCCGGGGTGGGAAGATTGCTTGAGCTCAGGAGTTCAAGACCAGGCTGGATAACACATACCGTGTCTCTACAAAAAATTAAAATTAGCTGGGTGTCCCAGCTAGTCGGAATAGGCTGAGATGAGGGGATTACTTGAGCCTAGGAGGTCGAGGTTGCAGTGAACTGTAATTGTGCCACTGCACTCCAGCCTGAATGAAAGAGCAAGACCCTGTCTCAAAAATAAAAAGTAAAATAAAGGTGCGTGGGGCAGAGGTTACAGGCAAAGTCATAAATCAATACATGGAGCTACACATTGGTTTGACCTAAAAAAGCAGGACATCTCAAAGTGGGGGAGGGGGACCCACAGGTCATAGGTGAATCAGAGATTTTCTTTTTTGCAATTGGTTAAGGAACTTTAGACAAAGCTTTGTCTAAAAATTTGGGGTCAGTAGAAAAGAACGTTAGTTCTCAGCCTGGGCAGTATAGGGAGACCCCATCTCTACAAAAATAATTTAAAAATTAGCTGACCATGCTGGCACAGACCTGTGGTTCTAGCTACTTGGGAGACTGAGGTGGGAGGATTGCTTGGGCCTGGAAGGTGGAGGTTGCAGTGAGCCATGATTGTGCCACTGCACTCCAGCCTGGGCAACAGAGTGATACACTGTCTCCAAAAAGAAAAAATAAAAGAAAAAAAAAGAATGTTAGTTCTGATTTGCAGACATGACTTTCAGGCCCCTCTGAAAGACGTTGAAGAACAGTGGTCAGAGTTCAATCCTCAGTTCCTCCTTATCTGAGGTCTATATGCCAGTGGATACATTTCGTGAGGGTCTGGGTTTTTAAAAAACAACTCAGGGACATAGTTAAGATGCATCATTAGTTTCTATAGGGACCATCTTCTGACTCTAACTTCCTTGGCTTTTTATTTTTGATTTTTTTTTTTTATTTTGAGGTAGAGTCTTGCTCTGTCATCCAGGCTGGAGTGCAGTGGCACAATCTCAGCTCACTGCAACCTCTGCCTCCCAGCTCAAGTGATCCTCTCCCTCAGCCTCTCAAGTAGTTGGGACTACAGGTACATGTCACAATGCTAATTTTTGTATTTTTTGTAGAGACGGGATTTTGCCATGTTGCCCAGGCTGGTCTCGAACTCCTGAGCTCAAGTGATCTGCCTGCCTCAGCCTCCCAGAGTGCTGGGATTACAGGCGTGAGCCACTGTGCCCGGCCTTGGCTATTGTTTTAAGCTACTATTACCTTCTTGCTTATTAATTTGCTCATTTACTTCTAAAGGCTGGGAAGGTGCCTGGAATTTCCCTTGAAGGAACTCAAGATTTTCTGTTATTTCCATGCTTGGGAGATCCACAGGCCTTTAAGAGAGGTCCCTGCTCTTAAATGATTTTGTAAAGGTCCCTTTACACCAAATGATTCATTTTTAGCAGTTGCCTAAAAGTTTTTAGTTTATTTTAAAAAAGGTTTTTTTTTGGTAGAAACAGGGTCTTGCTACGTTGCTCAGGCTGATCTTGAACTCCAGGTCTCAGGCAATCTTCCTGCCTTGGCCTCTCAAAGTGCTGGGATTATAGGCAAGAGCCACCACGCCTAGCCACCTAAAAGTTTTTTGTTTTTTTTTCTTTTTTTTAAATTTTTTGGGGGTCACGTAAAAGTTTTGTACCTTCTCTGGAAACTCTTATTCCTGAATATTACAACTACATTTGCATGAACGTGAGCTACCCACCTATTCTGTGTGTTGGGGTGATCAGACCCAACACTAAGCTGTGGGTGCTACGAAGTCCAGCAGAGTCAAAGGAATGAGAAAAGACAAGAGAGAAAGTGGGACCAGGGGGCCAACGCTAGTATGGAGGCTGCAAAGGCCCTGAGCTCTGGGAGCCCACGCTATTTATTGGTGATAAAACAAAGAAACAGGTGGTGAGGATGTGGGGGTTGGAAGGAAGTGGCGTATCAAGCGAATGAGCTATAGCTGTGAGAGTTTAGCATTTTCTTTGAAACATATGGCTACTTGAGATAATGGGAGTGCTAAAAGCAAGGAGCCCGCAAGTCTAGACCCATTCCAAAGGCCACGAGGGGTTTTAGACCCTGGACCCCTGACATGTTCCAAGCCCTGCCTCAGGTTCTCTCCCAACACTCAGCTTTTCTCCCAACACTGTGGACATATCCTGCCCAGCATCATCCTACAGTGTTTACTGGTCACCTGATATGCACAGCACATTGTGCCAGAACAGAGAGGATAGTCATTTGGTTTTACAGACTGGTTACAAAGATTAAGACAAAAAACAAATAGGTGAAATTTATGAACTTAATGTTGAGAGAATAAAGCAAGTTTCGGGAGAATACATACAGTGTGATCCCATTTCTGTTAGTTAAGAAACAAGCAAAAATAAATCTATCACTAGGGATTCACATGTAGTGAAACCATAGAGGAAAACAAAGAAAGGAAACACACAAAATGCAGGATCATGGATATGGTGAAGGGCAGGATTAGTTATTTATACATTTTGCACATATTAAATAATTTTTGTGTAGATGTTTAATGAAAATCATGGGGGAAAGGAGAAGCCACAGTACAGAGGACTGAAGAATGCCAGACGAATCACAGTGGATAGGAACTAGTGACCTGCTTTCCAATTTTGAGATAGCTGATCTTCTGCCAGTCCCACTCTCTTTTGTCTAAGATGACAGTGCCAACGATGTTGCCACCTTCTCCAAAAGGGTTGAGTAGCCTGGAAGACAAAAGGTTAGCCATTGTCATTGTGACAGTGCCAACTCTTCGGGGACCTGGAGAAGGCTTAGGGCAGGGGTGTCCAATCTTTTGGCTTCCCTGGGCCACACTGGAAGAACTGTCTTGGGCCACACATAAAACACTAATGATAGCTGATAAACTAAAAAACAAAACAAACAAACAAAAACTTGCAAAAAGAATCTCATAATGCTTTAAGAAAGTTTACGAATTTGTGTTGGGCCGCATGCGGTCCATAGGCTGTGGGTTGGACAAGCTTGGCATAGGGTGTCTATAATTTCATGCATGGAGACAATGTCTTTAACAACATGACTGGTTCATGCATTGTGGTAGAAAGAGGTGCCACTAGCTAGCCAAGTAAAAATCAGGCAGCACTTTGGAAACTCAGCCCAGAAATCTTCTTAGAAAGGTCACTGAGTTCATGAAGTACACTTTTTATTTTCCACATTACAGAAGGCCACGGCAACAGTGTTGCCAAACTTTTCTATGTAACTGGAGTCCCCTTTCCTCTCTCCAGATAACATTTCCCTCACTTTTAAGTCCTCACTCCCAGCCTCCTACACCATTACTAACATGCTCCCAGAGGCGTTTCTGGCTTGTATCTGCTGCCCAGTCCCAAAGCCAGTGCTGCGTGTTATGGTATTATCAATACTCCACTTCCAGGTATCAAAATCTGTCCTGATTATTGCTTGTTGCATAACAAACCATACCAAAATGTAGATCTTAAACAACATTTCTTTATCTCTGGAATCTTACATGGGGGTGGATGTTCAAATGGGGCTGGAAGGTCCACTTCCAAGATGATTTGCTTGGATGGAGCAAGATGGAGGCCAAAATGGCTGCCAAATTGTGGGTGTTGCTGCCTGGGAGCTTGGCAGAAGCTGAGGGCTGGAGGCTGGAGTCCTCTACGTGGGCCTCTCTGGAGCTGCTTCTCCATGGCATAGTGCCTGCGTTCCGCAAGGAAGCATCCCAAGAAAAACAAAATGGAAATTGCCGATTTCTTAAGACTTGAGTCCAGAAATGGCCATGACATCACTTTTGTTGTGATCTTTTGGTCAAGAAATTACAGAGCCCAAATTCTAAAGGAAGGGACATAGGCTCTACCTCTCGTTAAAAGAAGTGTCAAAGAATTTGGGGATTATGTTTTAAAATTGCCATTGCCATGCTCTATATTATATATTCGTATTACAAGTGAGGACACTAAGGTACAGCAACACTAATAAACACTTTCCAAGGGTCCAGTGGTGAGTCAGGACCAGAATTTTTGGATTCATATCCTGCACTTATCAACTGTTCATTTATTCTACATGTACTTACTGAGCACCTACTATGTGCTGGTCACTGTGCTGGGTCCCAAGAATTAAATATTAAACAAAAGCTGGATGAGGTGGCTCACACCTGTAATCCCAGTACTTTGGGAGGCTGAGGTGGGCGGATCACTTGAGCTCAGGAGTTCGAGACCAGCCTGGGCAAGACCCCATCTCTAAAAAAAAAAAAAAAAAAAAATTAGCCAGGTGTGGTGGTGCATGCCTGTAGTCCCACCTATTCAGGAGGCTGAGGCAGGAGAATCACTTGACCCCAGGAGGTGGAGGTTGCAGTCAGCTGAGATCGTGCCATTGCACTCCAGCCTGGACAACAGAGTGAGAGTCTGTCTCAAAAACAAACAAAGAAGAGAGGCAAGGTTCCTGACCTCTTAGATGCTTATATTTAAAGGAAGATGTAGACCAATGAACAGGGAAACACCCTAGTGTGATAAATGGTACCAGCTTACTATGGCAGCTCAGAAAAAGACCCTTGTCCCAGATTTGGGAGTTTAGGGAAGGCTTCCTAGATAAAGTAAGATCTCTGCTGAAACCTGAAGAGAAGGTAGCATCGGCAAAGTAAAGGGGTGGGAGAGCAGCTAATGAGCTGCTCCATGCAGAGGGAACAGCACAGGCCAAAGTTCAGAGTCTAGAGAGAGAATGGGATATTCAGAAGCTAAGAGGAGTTTAGTATGGATGGAGGGAAGAATGAATGAGTGACAGAATATGAGGGGAAAGGGGGAATGGAAATAAATAAAAGCAGAGAGGTAGAGGAGGTACCTGATTATGGTTGGCCTTATAAAGCATATTGAAGAATTAGAACTGAAATCCTGAAGGCCAAAAAAACCATTATAGGGTTTCACCAGGAGCTTAACATCATCAGTCTTGTGTCATAGGAAGCATGCTCTGGATGAATTCACAGGGAAAAGTCCCGAAGGCTGAGGCCAGGAAGGAGCCTGCTGCTGTATTCTATAAGAGCCATCATAATGGCTTAGAGTGAGATGGAGACCAGTGTGGTGGTAACAGTGATGGAGACAGGTGATTGAAAGTCAGACATATCTAGGAAGCAGAAAAAAGAGACTTACTACTTTCTCAGGTGGGAGAGAGAAAAGGGTCTAGGATGACTCCAGCTATCAGTCTTGGGCAACTGAATGAATATCATTTGCTAAAATGGGGAACCCAGGAAGAGAAACCGATCTAGAGAGAAGGATGATGAACTCAGTTCTAGACAAGTTAAGTTTGGGGGAAGGTCGTTTGATATCGAAGTTCAGATTTCAGGGAGGCAGTTGGATATGTGAGCCTGAGATAGACACATTTGTCATTTACCAGCATGTACTTAGAAGTTGCAAGTGGTCAGTGCCTAGAACAATGCCTAGCACAGAGTGGGCACTCAATAAATGTTGAATGAAAGTGATTGGGATCACTCAGAGAGATGGGAAGACAAACCAGGATAGACTCTGGAATGGACTTAATATTAAAGAAGAGAAGCATGAGAGGATGAGAAAGAAACAATGAGAACATTGTGTGGTATCACAGTTGCCAAAGGAAGGCAACATTTCAAGAAGGAAGGATGGTCACAGGGGAGTTGAAAGTGGTCAAATAAAAACTAGGGCTGGGTGCAGTGGCTATTCTATGCTTGTAACCCCAGCACTTGGGGAGGCTGAGATGGGCAGATCGCTTGATCCCAGGAGTTTGAGACCAGCCTGGGCAACACAGCAAGACTGTCATAAAAAAAAAAAAATGGATAGGACTAAAGTATAATGCATCTTTCTTTCTTTCTTTTTTTTTTTTGAGACGGAGTCTCGCTCTGTCACCCAGGCTGGAGTGCATTGGCGCGATCTCTGCTCACTGCAAGCTCCGCCTCCCGGGTTCACGCCATTCTCCTACCTCAGCCTCCCAAGTAGCTGGGACTACAGGCACCCGCCACCACGTCCAGCTAATTTTTTGTATTTTCAGTAGACGGGGTTTCACTATGGTCTGGCTCCTGACCTCGTGATCTGCCCGCCTCGGCCTCCCAAAGTGCTGGGATTACAAGCGTGAGCCACTGAGCCCGGCCGTGTAATGTATCTTTCGGGCTTGGAGGATGTTGGTAGGGTCCTCATATGGTTGTGCAGGTAGCACACTGCACAACACCAGCAGGCACCATGCACATTGCAGACATTGCAGATTGGTATACCTAAGATGACTATTTTCTGATAGATGGAAGCAAGCGTCTTGAAAAAGGGAAATGTTTTTCCAGTCCATATGAAAGCAATATATGGGCTAGCCACAGGCCTGTTTTTTTCTGTATCTGGTCAGAGTAAGTCACTTTCAGTTTTGGGGCAGAGCATAAACTCATTGTGTGGTGGGTGGAGGTATAAATAAATGGAAGGTAGGGAAGTGAGGCTTGAGAAAGTACAGATATCTTAGTCTGTTTGTGCTGCTGTAACAAAATACCTGAAACCAGGCAATTTATAAAGAACAGAATTTTTTTGTTTGTTTGCTTTTTTTTGAGACAGGGTCTCCCTTTGTCGCCCAGGCTGGAGTGCAATGGCAGGATCTTGGCTCACTGCAACCTCCATCTCTCAGGTTCAAGTGGTTCTCGTGTTTCAGCCTCCTGAGTAGCTGGGATTGCAGGCTTGTACCATTATGCCTGGCTATTTTTGTATTTTTAGTAGAGAGAGGGTTTCACCATGTTGGCCAGGCTGGTCTCAAACTCTTGGCCTTAAGTGATCTGCCTGCCTTGGCCTCCCAAACTGCTGGGATTACAGGCATGAGCCACCGAGCTCAGCCCAGAAATTTATGTCTTAGTTCTGGAACCTGGAAAGTCCCAGGTCAAGGTGCTGGCATTCAGTGTCTGGTAAAGGCCTTCTTGCTTGTCCTCACATGATGGAAGAGCAGAGGGAAAAAAAAAAGGGCCTAATTCCCTGTATCGCTTTTATGAAGTCATAATCTGGCCAGGTGCTGTGGTTCATGACTATAATCCCAGCACTTTGGGAGGCTATCATGGGAGGATTGCTTGAGCCCAGGAGTTTGAAACCAGCCTGGACCACTTGGCAAGACCTTGTCTCTACAAAAAAATTTTTAAAATAGCTGGGCATGGCGGTGCACACCTATATCCCCAGCTACTTGGGAGGCTGAGGTGGGAGGCTCCCTTGAGGCCAAGAGGTTAAGGCTTCAGTGATTGTGTCACTGCACTCCAGCCCGGGCAATAGAGCAAGCCTGTCTCAAATAAACAAATAAAGTCATAATTCCCAATTAGAGCCCTCATGACTTAATCACCTCCTAAAGGCCCCACCCCTTAATACTATCAAATTGGGGATTAAGTTTCAACATGAATTTTGGAGAAGACACAGACATTCAAACTGCAGCAGTAGACAGTGTTTTCTAGAAGTTTGGCTGTGAGAAGATGAGAGCTAGGGACACGAGGAAAAGGAGAGGCAAAACTAAAGAGTAGCAAAATAATTTTAGTTTTTTTGTGCTTGTTTGTTTTACATCATGTGGAGGAGGCTAGAATATGTTGAACTAGTCCTGGGGAGGAGCCAACAGAGAGGGAGATATCTAAAATACAGGAGAGGCCAGGTGCAGTGGTTCATACCTGTAATCCCAGTAGGAGGATCTCTTGAGTAGTTGTGATTCCAGCTACTCGGGAGGCTGAGGCAGGGGGATCCCTTGAACCCAACAGTTTGAGGTTGCAGTGAGCTATGATTGTGCCACTGCACTCCAGACAGAGCAAGACTCTGTCTCAAAAGGTAAATAAAATGAAATACAAAAGAGAGACTGAGAATGAGATTGGGAGTAAGAGTGAGAGATAAATTAGTCTTTTTTTTTTTTTAATTGAGACAGAGTTTTGCTCTTGTTGTCCAGGCTGGAGTGCAGTGGCGTGATCTTGGCTCACTGCAACCTCTGCCTTCTGGTTTCAAGTGATTCTCCTGCTTCAGCCTCCCGAGTAGCTGGGATTACAGGCACCCGCCACCATGCCAGGCTAATTTTTGTATTTTTAGTCGAGATGGCATTTCACCATGTTGGCCAGGCTGGTCTCGAACTCCTGACCTTATGATCCGCCTACCTCGGCCTCCCAAAGTGTTGGGATTACAGGCGTGAGCCATGCGCCCAGCCAAGGGATTAGTCTTATATTAGACAAGATGGTCCCAGAAAAATTCTCTGAGAAGGAGACATCTGAACGCATGGAAGGAGCCTGCCATGGGAAGGTGGGAAGAAGACAACTCCAGGGAGGGGGACTGCTAGTGTAAAGGCCCCGAGGCAGTGCAGAGCCTGCATGTTTGAGGAACAGAAAACTATAATTAATAAGTAAGTATGAGAGAGAGGAGCATTTCAGTCAGAGACACAGTCAGCCCAGATTAAATAGCAGGGTCTTGTGGTCCATAGTATTAAAAAAAAAAAAAAAAAGGATTTCCCACTAGGCAAATCTGAGTCAATGCATGCATTAAAATTAATAATAATAGTTATGAATTTAAACTCTTTGAATAAAAGTTCATGAGCCTATACCGATTCAAAGAAACAAGTAAACAAACAAGGCAGAAGGGAAATAAGTAAACAAACAAGGCAGACAAACAAGTCAAATGTCAACCCATAAATATGGAAAGAATGATGGCTCTAGACAATCATCAATGGATGCTAACAATAGTGACGAAAGTTTGATGTGGGACAGGATATTTATTTAGCATTAAAGTGTCCACACAAATTGTTTACAAAGGATAAAACAGTAACTTTACTGTAGAGTAAACTGGCTGACACCACCTTAACCACATGGTCAAAGTCATTGCCAGTGACGGGACAAACTGATACATGCATCTTCTTTAACTAAAATGAGAAGATATTTACTTAATATCAGTGTGTTAGATATTTATTTTTAAAAATAGGACTTCAGGATTTTACAGATTAAAATATTTTTAATTCTTTTGATGTCTGACAGAGACTTGTCCATTTTCTCCAAGTAAGGACATAAGCTATTACCATATCCGATTACCATTTTATTTCATCTTATTTTATTTTAATTCATCTTATTAATCTTACTTTAATTAACTTATATTTTGAATAATTAATGCATCCATTTGGCTCAAAACCCAAAAGTCTTAAAGAGGTATACAGTGAAATCCCTTTCTTTTACAGCAGATGCCCAATTCCCTCCTTTGAAGAAACCCTTGTTCTCAATCCCAATTTCTTTGTGTATCCTTCCAAGAATATTCCATGCATATACAAATACATTTTTTTCCTCTCTCTTTTTTTGTTTTTGAGACAGAGTTTCGCTCTGTTGCCTGGCTGGAGTGCAGAGGCACAAACATGGCTCACAGCAGCCTTGACCTCCTAACTTCAAGCAATTGATCCTCTCACTTCATCCTTCCAACTAGCTGAGACTACAGGTGCGAGCCACCATACCTGGCCAATTTTAAAAAGTTTTTGGTAGAGATGAAGTTTCACTGTGCTGCCCAGGCTGGTCTTGAACTCCTGGGCTCAAGAGATCCTCTGGCCTCAGCCTTTCAAAGTGCTGGGATTACAGGCGTAAACCACTGCGCCTGGCTCCTCTTGTTTTTAATTAGTATGCTATGCACATTGTTCTGTTACTTGCTTTTTCACTAGATGTCATTTCGCATTAAAAATGTCAGTCAACATAAGAAAAGGATGCATATAATGAAAACTTAAAAGAAAACAACTTATCTTTTTGGAAAACACTCCCCCAAAGTCTTTATTTTTCTTATTTCTCTGTGACACTGAAAACTTTTTCACAGGCTGATATTGGTTACATTTATTTCTCTAATTCCAAGTAAAACATACACTTGGACCACCGTAGAGAAACATTTTATCTATTCTGCCTTACCCCACATATATCACAACTTTGCTTCCTCATTACACACCATACAATCTCTGGTGGTGACATTTGTTCTTGGTATAGCGGTTTCAAATGCAATTACCCATCTTCAATATTGTTATTGACAGTCCAGTGATAAATTACAGATTTTTGGCAGAAGAAAACAATGCCTCCTTCTGGAAACTTATATTGGCTTTTATCTCACTTCCTTGGGGAATAGAGACATAATGGATAAAAGGCAGATTTGGCTGCTTGAAAGACCCAAATAGAGACCCAGGCACTTAGCAGTAGCAGGTGTCAATTGTAATCTGTTCACATCAAACTTTATTACATTATCCAAGAGGTCTGTGTACCAGGTTTTATCCAGCAACTGCACGTTTTCACCAGTTCCTTAAATTGGGACAGTGTGAAAATTTGTTGCTTCTTTTATAAACCACACTACCATAATCTACTTTTGGTTTAGAAGCCAGCTCTTAGCCCAGCACTGTGTATTATTATAGATTATGTCTGGGGTGTCAGCCAGCTTGGATCATTTGGAGAACTTGGGAGTTTTAAAGATGAATTTACCAGACTTAGCACTGTAACTGACCAGAGAAAGGCATATCTATTCAGAATTTTTGCTTGATTAAAAGTCAAATATCCACCTGAACTTGGTTTTCTGTGTTTTGTTTTTGAGAGGGAGTCTCCCTCTGTCACCCAGGCTGGAGTGCAGTGGCACGATCTCAGCTCACTGCAACCTCTGACTCCTGGGTTCAGGCGATTCTCCTGCCTCAGCCTCCCGAGTACCTGGGATTACAGGTGCCCGCCACCATGCCTGGCTAATTTTTGTATTTTTAGTAGAGATGGGGTTTCACCATGTTGGCCAGGCTGGTCTCAAACTCCTGACCTCAAGTGATCTGCCCGCCTTGGTCTTCCAAAGTGCTCGTATTACAGGCGTGAGCCACTGTGTCCAGCCTGAACTTGGTTTTTAGTTTGTCTTTTTCATTTGTTTATTCAACACATAGTTACTGAACTCACTATGTGCCAGGAGCTAAGGACACAATGTTGAAGAAAACAAAGTCCCTGCCCTCATGGAACTTACAGTCCAGAAGGGAGACTAGATAAAGAACAAAGCAGGTATCTACAAAACTATCCACCCTTATGTTCCCCTGATGAGAGATGAGGGACGCCAGAACAAATGGGAGGGGCAGCAACCTGGACCCAAGGTGTCAGGTAAGACCTTCTGGATTCCTGAATTGAAGGATGAGTAGGAATTAAGTCGGGGAAGAGTGTTTGAAGCAGAGAGAACAGCATGGGTGAAGGTTAGGAGGCAAAATGAAAATAGTCATCGGTTCTTTTGAGAAAATGAAAATTCAATAAGTTGGAGGATAATTCAAGCCATAAAGACAGATGAACGGCCATGTGCCGTGGTGCACACCTGTAATCCCAGCACTTTAGGGGCTGAGGTGGGAGGATCCCTTGAGCTCAGGAGTTCGAGACCAGCCTGAGAAACATGGTGAAACTGTCTCTACAAAAATTACAAGAATTAGCCAGGCATGGTGGCAAGCACCTGTAGTCCCACCTACTCAGGGGGCTGAGGTGGCAGGATTGCTTGAGCCCCCGGGATTGAGGCTGCAGTGAGCAGAGATCATACCACTGCACTCCAGCCTGGGTGACAGACCTTGCCTCAAGATAGATAGATAGATAGATAGATAGATAGATAGATAGATAGATAAGGTGTTTTTAAAAATCAGAAACAAAGTCAATAAAAAAGAAAAAAGGAGGCCGGGCATGGTGGGTCACGCCTGTAATCCCAGCACTTTGGGAGGCTGAGGTGGGTGGATCACCTGAGGTTGGGAGTTCAAGACCAGCCTGACCTCCATGGAGAAACCCCGTCTCTACTAAAAATACAAAATTAGCCGGAAGTGGTGGCACATGCCTGTAATCCCAGCTACTCGGGAGGCTGAGGCTGGAGAATCGCTTGAACCCAGGAAGCGGAGCTTGCAGTGAGCTGAGATGGTGCCATTGCACTCCAGCCTGGGCAACAAGAGTGAAACTTCATCTCAAAAAAAAAAAAAAAAAAAAAGAAGAAAGAAAGGAAAGAAAAAAGGATTAAGAAAAACAGAATAAAGACAGATAAGGCAGACAGTTTGGTGGAGGCCAGATAATGCAGGCTTCTGTCATAGAGCTTTTGATTTTCTTTTGGAGACACTGAGGGAATATTGAAGTGTTTAGGTTGGTGAGTGAGGTAGCCATATTTGTTTTTAAAAGATTACTCTTGCCCGGGAGCAGTGGCTCACCCCTGTAATCCCAGCACTTTGGGGGGCTGAGGCGAGAGGATCACAAAGTCAGGAGATCAAGACCATCCTGGCTAACACGGTGAAACCCCGTCTCTACTAAAAAAATACAAAAAATTAGCCACGCGTGTGGCTGGCGCCTGTAGTCCCAGCTACTCGGGAGGCTGAGGCAGGAGAATGGCGTGAACCCGGGAGGCGGAGCTTGCAGTGAGCCGAGATCACGCCATTGCACTCTAGCCTGGGCGACAGAGCGAGACTCAGTCTCAAAACAAAACAAAACAAAAAAAGATTACTCGTGTTGCAGCAAAGCAGATGTCCTAGAAGGGGCAAAGTTGGAAGTAACAAGAACAGTTAAGTAAGAGGCTGTTGCATACAAAAGGGATGGAAAAAAGTGGACCAGTTAAAGGAAGAACCTATAGGATCTAGCATTTGAACCTAAGTGATCCAGGACTATAGGTAGAACCCACCAGATCTGGCAATGTTGGGGAGAGTTAACGATGACTTTCAGATTTTTTACTTGGACAGCTAGGTAGGTGGTGGTGGGAGGGGGATAGGACAGAGGATGTTTTGAGGCAGAAGTTGCCTTCTTGGCAAAAGCAAAAGTATCTGTGGCTTTTCTGGTTTTCCTCTTTTCTAAACTATGAAATCAGATACCAATCCTTGCTTTATATTTTATGCCAGACAGCATTCAAGACTGATTGCAGTTTTCCATGAATGACCTGCAAGTATAAGAGATGTGATTTAATTTGTAAAAGATTGGCATTTTGGAGCAGTTCAAAAATTTATATTCTTATGTCACTTCTCAACATATGAGACGTGGATAAAATTTAGCCCTTGCAATATTGCTTCACATGACGTTTGGTTGGTCACTCTCTGGGGTTTTTTCTCTTAATTTTTAAAAATCAAAAATCTAGTACATGCACGTGGTTTTTAAAATGATCTAGTACCAACTACTAAATCTAAGTGGAAATAGTAAATACTAAATGGAAAGCAGCAACCCTCTCTCCAGATTCTACTCCTTAGAAACAACCACTTTCAATATTTCTTCTGGTATTTACTTCCATATTTCTACATAATGTCCTTATGCTTCTATTTATTTTTTTAAATTAAAGTGTCTGAATAAGTAATGAAATCACATTGTTCTAAAATGGAACATATAAAAAGATGTACAGTAAAGAGCAGTTCTCTTCCTCTTGTCCTCTATCCAATTCCTACCCAACTCCATTTCTCAGGTAACCACTATTATTTGTTTTTTGTGTATGCCTGCATATGAGAAAATACCATTATACATTTAGTCCTTTTCCCGTTTGCCCCAAGAATACTTGCTAGTAGTGCTTGCCACTGCAGCATTTGCCCTAAGATAACTATGCCACAAAATATCTTGCTTGTATTATTATTTTTGCATTGCTCTAGTATATCAACTTTGGAAACAAAAGACATAATTCTAATATTTATAGCATTACGTTTTTAGTAGTGGTATTTCCATTTACAAAATATAATATTTCTCAATCACTGAAGGTGGCAAATCCTAAAAAATGTAGCATTCCTATACGTGATGTTAACATTGTTCTCAAAGAGTTGTTGGCTGAAGATTCATTTGATGAATTCAATTTTTCTGAAATAGATGATTCTGGTGATTCAGACAACTCTGATGTTAGCTCTGTTTAGAAATAACTCCAAGAACAGTTTTCATATTTTATATTCGCATTGAAAATCAGTCAGATTTGCTTCAGTCTCTAAGAGCATGTTTATGTAAAATTAAATGAGCACTGGCAGCGAGCTGCACTTTCTTTCTCTTTTCTTTTCTTTTTTTTTTTTTTTTTTTTTTGAGAAGGAGTCTTGCTTTATCACCTAGGCTGGAGTGCAGTGGCGCAATCTTGGCTCACTGCAACCTCCACCTCCCAGGTCCAAGCATTTCTCCTGCCTCAGCCTCGCTAGTAGCTGGGATTACAGGTGGGCATCACCACGCCTGACTAAGTTTTGTATTTTCAGTAGGGATGGGGTTTCGACTTGTTGGCCCAGGCTGGTCTTGAACTCCTGACCTCGGTGATCTGTCCGCTGTTGCCTCCCAGAATGCTCGGATTAGAGGCATAAGCCACCATGCCTGGCCCACTTTGTTTTTCTAAACAAGAAAAGGGTTAATTTTTCTGCCCTTTTCTTTTTTTACACAAAAGGTGCTATACTAGCCTGTACCAGTCACAATAAAGGAGAATATGTTGCAATAACAAAAAATTCATGCATCTTCATGGCTTCTTTCTCCCACATGCTGTGTGTCCATCCTGGGCTGGCTGGGGATTCACATTTTCCTCACCCAGGATTGCAAACCAACTGAGTGTCTACCATCTGGAGGGTCATGTTTGTGATGGGAGTGGGCAGGGAACATGACTAATCACTCACTGGCCCTGAAAGCCTTTCTCCCAGAGTTGACCCATATCTCCTCTGCTCCAGTTCATTGACCAAAGCATGTTACATGGACCTGACAGATTAAAGCCTCACTGGCCCTGAAAGCCTTTCTCCCGGAGTTGACGCATATCTCCTCTGCTCCGGTTCATTGACCAAAGCATGTTACACGGACCTGACAGATTAAAGGTGTTGGAGACCGAAAGAATAAGGGTCATGATAAACTCAGTATACCTCTAGAGGCTATATGAATAAACAGCAAACTGTTCTCGTGAAAGCAGGATGTTGGCAAACTGACAAACTGCATCTGCCACCCAGAAGGAATGCTGAGGGTGGTCATGCCCAAGGAGCAGTGTTTCTTGTGATTAGGCACATGTGAACCTGTGATTAGTCAAGCAGCTGACCAATTGTTACCTCCTCCTCCCTGCTCTTTCTACCCAATAAATACGAAGGGCTGTGGAAGCTCAAGGCCCTTGCTCACTAGAAGCAAGGAGCCCCCTGACCCCTTCTTTAAAACAGATTATTTTGTTTTTGTTTTTCATTTCTGCATTCATCCCCCTTTGTTCAGTCCCATAGTAACCATCACAAGTGGTGCCTAAACAGGGACCTGCAGGGACAAATAGAGATAAATAGAGAAAAATAGAGACAATAGGGAAAAATAGGAACTAGAAGAGACTTGCAGGGACTAACAGGAACCGACAGGGACATACAGGGACATGAATGAAGAAGGTCTGCTGGAGCAGAGAAAGTAAAACTGACCAGATGAACGAGAAACCCCGGGACGAGTCTGCCGGCAGCTGATATAAGGTCAGTGTCCTAAAGAGGTACTGGGAATGGGAAGTTTCTGAATCAAGGTAACATGGGGCAGAATTTATCTATTCTTTCTGTTTTTGTTTGGAGTTTGGCCCATGCTGTTCTTTGCCATTGTTTCCTTCTTATTTAGCGGGACAGCAGGAGTTATGTTCTGAAAATTTGAGAGAGTCTTTTGCCCTACCCACAGCACCTATTGAAAATGGTGAACAGGAGAGGGAGGATGATAATTGGCTTGTACTGTCTTCTTCTGTGGCTGCAGAAATGCTAGCATTGGCTTTGGCTTTTGGGGATGCAAACATGGATTGTAAATGTGCACTGGCATCTGTGAGATGTACAAAAGGCTTAAGAACACCTGGAAGTACAGGATTAGATCTCCCAGTCAGAGAATGGGTTGCATTAGTTGGAGGAGACAAACTCGCCAATATTCCCACTGGTATTTGGGGACCCTTGCCAACAGGATGTATGGGATTAATTTTAGGCAAAAGTCATCTTAACCTACAGGGCATTACTGTAGTCCCAGGAGTTGTTGATTTGAATTATGAAGGAGAAATTCAGGTGATGGTGATGTCACAAGATCTTTGGGTTTTTGAACCGGGAGAATGTATTGCTTGACTGTTGCTTATTCCCTGTAAATTACACCCTTCTCCACTTAAGGAGAAATGAGAGAATAAAGGATTTGGGAGTACAACTAGGAGGGAAATTTATCTATCACAACCCATAGCATCTAATAGACCCACTGTACAGTGCAAATTAAAGGAAAGAAGTTTTATGGGCTTATGGATATGGGAGCTGATGTGTCAGTAATATCTAAAAACAATTGGCCCCCGTCCTGGCCTCTGCAATTAACTTCTACATCCCTAGTGGGAGTAGGAACAGCTCAAAGTGTTCAACAGAGAGCTGCGATTTTGCCCTGTCTTGGAGTGGATGGACAGTCATGTACTTTTCAACGTTATGTTGCAAATATAGCTGTTAATCTATGGGGTCAAGATTTACTTACAGCATGAGATATGAGACTTACAAATGAAACTATTGATAATCTAGGATTTACAATGTTAAAGAAAATGGGATCTCAGAGCAGAAATGTCTTAGGAAAGCCCCTCCAAGGAAACCCTGAATCATTATCAATAACTGAACAGACAGATAGAAAAGGGCTAAGTCATCAGGATTTCTGACGAGGGTCATTGATATTCCTCCTCCACCCACTGCTTTGCCATTAGAGTGGCTGACTAACAAACCTGTATGGGTGGAGCAATGGCCTTTATCACAGGATAAACTGATACCAGTATTTGTGATTCCAAAAAAGTCAGGAAGGTGGCGATTGCTACATGATTTGAGAGCTATTAATGCACAGATTAAACCAGTGGGTGCATTGCAGCAGGGTCTGCCATCCCCCGCGGCCATTCCGAGGGACAGGCTTCTCATAGTGATAGATTTTAAGGATTTTTTTTTGTTGTTGTTATACTATTGCACAAGAAGGATAGGCCTCGATTTGCTTTCTCTGCGCCTTCTGTTAATCAGAAAGAGCCTGTCTCTCATTATCAGTGGAAAGTTTTCAGTGGATTTACTAACATGGGGACAAGGGTATGCTTGAGTTTTTATAGGAGACGGACAAACCTTGTGGGTACCCTCAAGGTGTGTGCGACCATGGAACGGTAGACTGGAGGGACCTATGGATCCCAAGCACAGGCCTGGTTCCCCCAGTATGAGCCATGAGCCAGTTGAATCTGAATGCGAGAAGACAGAGCAAGGACTGACCGGAGTCACGCTGACATCAACCCCCATAACATAGGGACAGATCTTATTCAGTTAATGCAAAAACAAAAAGAGGGAGATGTTGGAGGCCAAAAGAATGAGGGTCGTGATAAACTCAGTTTACCACTGGAGGCTATATGAGTAAACAGCAAACTCTTCTCATGAAAGCAGGATGTTGGCAAACTGACAAACTGCATCTGCTGCCCAGAAGAAACGCTGAGGACAGTCATGCCCCAGGCGCAGGGTTTCTTGTGATTAGGCACATCTGAAGCCTGTTATCAATAATGTGAACCTGTGATCAATCAAGCAGCTGACTAATCATTACCTCCTCCTCCCTGCTCTTTCTACCCAATAAATTTATAGTAATAGTATTATTACCTATACTGTGGAAGGGCTGTGGAAGCTCAAGGCCCTTGCTCACTAGAAACAAGGAGCCCCCTGACACCTTCTTTAAAACAGACTCTTTTGTCTTAAGTTTTCATTTCTGCATTCATCCCCCTTCATTCAGTCCCATAGTAACCATCACACAAAGGGGCAGGGAAGTGGGAACTTATCTTGTGCCCAGGAGTCCAGGGAAGCTGGTGAACAGCGCAGATGATGATGTCATATACACACTGTTCTGCAGCTTACTTTTTTCAGCTAAGAAGATAATCATGCCATTTCAATAAATACAGAGAGCATCTACTGTGGATTGAATGTTTGTGTCTTCCCAAATTATATGTTGAAAACCCAATCCACAGTGTGATGGTATTTAGAGATGGGGCTTTTGGGAGGTAAGTAGATCATGAGGATGGAGCACTCATGATGGGATTAGTGCCCTTGTATGAAGAGACATGAGAGAGCTTCCTTCCTGTCTGTGTGCACCACCAAAGAAAGGCCACGTGAGGACATGACCTCTTGGGCTCTCACCAAGAACCTGCTCATACTAGCACCCTGATCTCAGACTTCCAGTCACTGAACCATGAGAAATAAATGTTTGTTGTTTAAGCCATCCAGTCTAAGGTTGTTTGTTATAGCAAACATATTCAAAAACACCCTTATTCTTTTTTAAAAGCTGATGGACATTTGCATAATTTCCAATATTTTCTTTATAAAAAATGCTGCAGTGAATAAACACATACAGATGTTATTTTGCCCATGTATGACACTGATATGGAAGGGGGGCAGGGAAGTGTTGGGTAGAGGAGGGCATGGCCCCTGGCTAGGGCTCCACCTCCAGGCCTGTGCCCAAGGAGCTAGGTGAGGACAGGCATTCCTGCCTTTGCATGCAAATGTTGCATTTCCCAAGACCACCCTGGCCTGCCATGCTCCCATCCTGTGCCGATAAAAACCCTGAGACCCTAGCAGCCACACACACAAGCCACTGGATGTTGTGAGGAACACATCGGTGGAAGAAGACACAAGTGGCTGGACGTCAAGAGGACATTGAGAGGAGCATGCCAGCGGAAGAGCACACGACAGACGCCAGCACACTTGCATGCCATCGACTGGTGGAACGAGGCAGAGTTTGTCCAGGGTAGCTGGAGGAGAGCCCAAGATGCCAAGCAGCCTGATTCCAGGGGAAAACCATCTCCCTTTTGGCTGCCCCATCTGCTGAGGGCTACTTCCACTCAATAAAACCTTGCACTCATTCTCCAAGCCCATGTGTGATCTGATTCTTCTGGTACACCAAGGCAAGAGGCCTGGGATACTGATAGCCTCTGTCCTTGCCATAAGGCAGGGGTCTAATTGAGCTGACTAACACAAGCTGCCTATGGACGGCTAAACTAAAAGAGCAGCCTGTTAACACACGCCCACTGGGGCTTCAGCTGTACATGCCCCTAGACACTGCTGTGGGGTTGGAGACCCACAGCCTCACTGACTGTATGCTCCCCTAGAGGTTTGAACAGCAGGATACTGAAGAAGTGAGCCACACCCCCATCACATGCCCTGTGAGGGGGACAAGGGAACTTTTCCTGTTTCAAGTGTGTTGCTAAGTGATATGGTTTGGCTGTGTCCCCACCCAAATCTCACCTTGAATTGTAGCTCCCACATGTCATGGGAGGGACCCAGTGGGAATCATGGGGGCAGATCTTTCCTGTGCTGTTCTCGGGATAGTGAATGAGACTCATGAGATCTGATGGTTTTACAAAGGGGAGTTTCCCTGCACAAGTTTTCTCTCTTGTCTGCCACCATGTAAGACATGCCACCTGCCTTCCACCTTGATTGTGAGACCTCCCCAGTCACGTGGAACTGTGAGTCTGTTAAAACTCTTTTTCTTTATAAATTACACAGTCTTGGGTATGTCTTTATCAGCAGCATGAGAACACACTAATACACTAAGATAAATGTCCAGAATGGAACTGTTGGGTCATGGGGTGTACACGTTTGTCATTTTGAGAGGTATGGCTGCATGGACCTCCCCAGGGGCTAGGCCAGTGTGCATTCTTACCAGCAATGTGTGGGCATGACTGCTTTCCCACGGCCTTGCTGAGGGAGTGTACTTTGAACTTTTGGGTTTTCAACAGAATAGGCAAAAATATTCTCTATTTAGTGTAAATTATATTTTGCTTATTATAAATAAAGTGGAGTGTTCTGCTACCTCTTGATTTTTAGGCTTCCTAGAATAGTAAGTGACACTTTACTTCTCCAACACTCACCCTTCCCATGCACACATTCCCTCTCCCTCTCTTCTCCATTTCCAGTTATGCCACAGCTCTGGGTTAATTCAGCGATCAGTCTACATCATTGTGTCATGAAAATATATTTAGTGGCCAGGCGCGGTGGCTCATGCCTGTAATCCCAGCACTTTGGGAGGCCAAGGCAGGTGGATCATGAAGTCAAGAGATCGAGACCATCCTGGCCAACATGGTGAAACCCGGTCTCTACTAAAAATACAAAAATTAGCCAGGAGTGGTGGCGCATGACTGTAGTTCCAGCTACTTGGGAGGCTGAGGCAGGAGAATCACTTGAACCCAGGAGGCAGAGGTTGCAGTGAGCCAAGATTGCACCATTACACTCCAGCCTGGGTGACAGAGCAAGACTCCAACTAAAAAAAAAAAAAAAAAAAAAAGGAAAAAAAGAAAGAAAATATATTTAGCTATAGTGCCAGATCATGTTCTATAATTAAATTTTCTCTAGTGTGCTCTCCCCACACCCCCGCCGACTTGATGATTGCCTTTGCATTTTTTACCCATATACTATTCATCTTTTTATCCTTACAGGTTATTTTTCCCTACTTGTTTTCACTGGATCTAGTACATGTCTGCTAGTAGTTGTTCACAAATGATCAAATACAAATTTATTAGGTAATTTATTGATTTCATTTTTTCCTGGAGACTTCCTTCCCAGAGCCATCCATCTGTCAGCCTGCACTATTTGCCCTCCAGGCCTCCTTCTTAGACCCGCTGTACTCCTCTTTCTTGGATTACTCTGTGTTTAATTAGAGCACACCATTCAGTAATTTTCAGAAAACTCTCTGTTTATGTCTTATTGCCTTACTGAAACTCACTTTTGATAACAGACTAAAATGGCATTCTAGGGTAAGTGTCTTTTACCCACCAAACAATGAAGACATTATTTCATTGACTACTAGTATCACAGTGATGCTGTGAAGAAATATGATTCTGTTTTGATTCCTATTTGTGGCAGAGGCTTCTATTTCTCTTTCAGTATCCATTTTTTTCCTTAGTAAAATAATGCCTAACTTTTAGCCTGGCTGGAGATGACATTCCCTAGCCCTCCTTGCAGCACTTTATGGACATGTAACTAAGTTCGGCCAGTGGAGTGTTGAGTTGAAATGATATTTTCCACTTTCGGATTATGCCTGGAAGGAATCAGCAGCCAATGGCCTTTCCCATTCCCTTCTTCCCCATGGACAGGTGCAGACATGATCGGGGGACCTGGCTGCCACCTTGAATTCTGGGTTGGAAGCTGTGTGATGAGGTTCCCAGAGCTGCCATTCTTGCTCTGGACTTTACCTCTGAACTGTGATATGAGTTCAGAATAAATTTCTGCCTTGATTATGCCACTCCACTTTTATACATATTTCTATATTAACACTGCTTAGATTCTTCATTATTATAGTTTCTTTGTATATGACCTGTTAAACCAAGTTTAACCTAAAGTTTCCTCCTTACATATTTTAAGTTTGAACTAAAGGTTTCTCTGTACATAGTGAACTATAACCTAAATGGAGAGATAAACACTGTAACCTACTCTTGCACCAATCACCGAGTTTTGGCTAATCAAGCTGTTAAACAGTGTTCAAATAAGGCTGGGCTGTAACCAATCCAGCTTTTTGTGTATCTCTTTTTGGTTTTCTGTCCGTCACTTTCCTTTTTCTGTCCATAAATCTTTTTCCACCACGTGGCTGTGCTGGAGCCTCTGAGTCTACTCTGGCTCTGGAGGCTGCCCAATTCACAAATAATTCTTTTGCCCAGTTAAACTCTGCAAAGTTGCTTTGTCTAAGGTTTTTCTTTGAACAGATACCTTGGATTTTTTTTTTCATTTCCTCTGTCTCTGAAAGTTTTAGGATCCTCTTTTTATCCCCTGCTTTCATGCTTAGAGTCCTGTCACAAGCTTTTAAAATTCAGGGTGCTGGGTACTCTGTGTCTTTTAAATCTGAATGATTGTGTTTTTCAGTTTCATAGAATGTTTTGTGTTATTTATTCAAGGAGTAACTCCTTTTCATTTTCTCTGTAGTTTCTATTTGAAATTTTATCATTTAGCATTGTCACCTTTCCTGAAGTCTTTTCTTTTCTTATTTCCAATTGTTTGCTTGTACTCATCTTCACTTTCTGGATTTCATCTTTTAACCCTTTTGGTGCATTTCTCTAAAAAATTAAAGCCATATTATTTTCCATTTCCAAGAGCTCTTTCTCATTATTCTTTTTATTTCTGTGAAGATGTTTATTATAGGTTTTGATTTTCTTTCATGTTTATGTGATCCTGTTTGTGTTGTCTTTTTTATGTTGGAGACTGTCAAATGTTTGGTGATGTGTGGCTGTTGGTATAAGAGTGAAATGGCTCTAAGTGGACTGGCACGACTTGTCAACAGAGGGTGACTGGGTTGCAAGTAAGCCTTAATTTTTTTAAAATTGATGCATAACAAATGTATATAGTTTCAGGCCATTTGTGATAATTTAATACATTCATATAATTTGCAAAGATTAAACCAGCGTAATTGGGATATGCATCACCATAAATATTTATATTTTCTTTCTGCTAAAACCATTCCTATTCTTCTCTCCTAGCTATTTTGAAATGTGCAATAGATTACTGTAACCCATAGATACCTTACTGATCTACAAGCAAGTCTTTTTCAGTGGGGGCACACCCACATGTCAGCATCCTGAAAACTCTTCTCCAGAGCAGAGTAATTCCTCAAGAGGAGAGTTCTATAGTTTACCAGGAGAAGGAGATATCACATGTATACTCCAAACTAGCTTTCACATATAAAGATATTGATTCACTTTAGCAAGCCAATGGTTTTGAATATTTTCCCCTAGC
The DNA here is from genome assembly GCF_000001405.40 of Homo sapiens. Taxonomy (NCBI): domain Eukaryota; kingdom Metazoa; phylum Chordata; class Mammalia; order Primates; family Hominidae; genus Homo; species Homo sapiens. The sequence goes on along the minus strand of NC_000003.12, from coordinate 32,081,739 downwards.
AGTTATGGCATATGTATGTGTGTTTATATACTAATATGGTTTGTCCGTGTCCCCACCCAAATCTCATCTTGAATTGTAGCTCCCATAATTCCCATGGGTTGTGGGAGGGACAGGGTGGGAGATAATTTGAATCATGGAAGCAGTTCCCCTATACTGTTCTTGTGGTAGTGAATAAGTCTCACAAGATCTGATGGTTTTATACTGGGTTTCTCCTTTCACTTGGCTCTCACTCTCTCTTGCCTGCTACCATATAAGATGTGCCTTTCACCTTCCACCATGATTGTGAGGCCTCCCCAGCCATGTGGAATTGCGAGTCTATTAAAGCTCTTTTTCTTTACAAATTACCCAGTTTCAGGTATGTCTTTATTACCAACATGAGAATGGACGAATACATTTACTTAACAAATATTTAGGCTGAGTCCCTCTGTGTGTGTGTATGTTTGTGTGTGAGATACTAGGAGGACAAAATTGAGAAAATCCACATTTTGGCTCTGTCTTGTAGCAGGCAGGATCACAATGTATTTCCAGGTAATGACTGCTGTGATGGGGATGGGGGTGGTGTAGAGGGAAACAGGAACCAAGGGTTCCCATATCAGAAGTGTGGAGTGGGCCAGGTAATGTTACAGCAGCTTGGAGGTCTTCCAGGTGGGGCACTCCTAAGTTAGGTTGAGTATCAAGGGAAGGAGTCAGCCAGGTACAGTGGCTCATGTCTGTAATCCCAGAACTTCCGGAAGCTAAGACAGGAGGATTGTTTGAGCTCAGGAGTTTGGGCCACATGGTGTAACCTCGTATCTACAAAAAATACAAAAATTAGCTGAGTGTGGTGGCATATGTCTGTAGTCCCAGCTACTCTGGAGGCTGAGGTAGGAGGATCGCTTCAGCCCAGGAGGTTGAGGCTGCAGTGAGTCATGGTTGTGCCACTGCACTCCAGCCTGGGTAACAGAGTGAGACACTCTCTCTTAAAAAAAAAAAAAAAAAAAGGGAAGGAAGCCTCTCACAGTGTGAGAAGCTGTGCAGAGAAAGTGTGAAAATAAATACAGTTTTAAAGCTGTTGGGACCTGCTTCCCAGCGCCCCCCCAAAAAAATTAAGCCTAGATAGAGATGACTGTGATCTGAGCCACATATGGTTACAATTTATGGTTCTCAGACTATGGATTAACTTGCTTTCTTATTTTTCTTGTTCTGTACAATGACTAGAGAGAATTAAACAAAATCAGAGACAAAAACTTCCCGCCTTTTTAATGAATAGCACGTGCTAAAGATTAACTTCCCTTTTGTTGTCCTGCTTTGCTTAAACCAGATGACAGAAAATCTGTGACTATCATACCCTCTGCAAAAAGATGTTAAAATATACCCTTCTCAAAAGAAACATTGCCTAAAACCTAATTTCTGTAACTATGTGCCAACCTTGTATGAATAATGTAATCCCACCAAAAACTCCTCTGTCTCCACCCATATACATGAAATCTTAACTTCCCTACATTGCAACACCGACTCCATCCCTTTGGAGTTGGTGTTTCTGGGCGGTCCATCCTCATGCACTTGAATAAACGCTCTTTAAATTAGATTCTGACCCTTTCGATTATATTAGGTTGACAAGAGAAAACTGAGTATCTTAGTAGAAAAAAAGCACAGGGCATGAAAAGACAATTTGCATGAGCAGAAATGACCAATGAGCACATGAAAATTTTCCGGATCAGAGGTAGTTCAAACACTGCAGGAGGAAGCAACACCGAGGTTTGATTTCTTTCTAGTAGCTGACATAAAAGGTAGAGGGGTCTGCTACCATCCAACGTTCATGAAGACAGGGGGAAAGGGGCTCTGTTGTACTCTGTGGATGGAAACATACAGTGCCATGATTTTCAAAGACAATAAATTGGCTTTATTCCACTTCTATTGAAATACCTAGGCTGGGCGCAGTGGCTCACGCCTGTAATCCCAGCACTTTGGGAGGCCGAGGCGGGTGGATCACGAGGTCAGGAGATGGAGACCATCCTGGCTAACAGGGTGAAACCCCGTCTCTACTAAAAATACCAAAAATTAGCCGGGCATGGTGGCGGGCGCCTGTAGTCCCAGCTGCTGGGGAGGCTGAGGCAGGAGAATGGCGTGAACCCAGGAGGCGGAGCTTGCAGATGGCGCCACTGGACTCCAGCCTGGGCAACAGAGCGAGAATCCATCTCAAAAAACAAAAAAAAAGAAATATCGTAAGTGTATACCAAGAGGAATAATAGTCTGTTATACATATATTTAATTTACACAATGTGTGTAAATGATAGATATATAAATATATAATATAATATTTTAAAATTCAGAATAACCTAAATGTCCAACGATAGGTAAATTATATAGTTGTATATTATATAGTTATTAAATGATGTTGCAGAGAATAATTAGTGATATTAAAATAATAAAGATACATTAAATTTTAAAAGTTCACAAAATGATATGTATATATATACACACACATAAAATAATGTGTAAACACACACACCTACTTGCATGTTAATAAAACAACTGAAATATCAAACATCAAAATATTTTAAATGTGGAGGTACAGAAAACTTTTTAAAAACTTATGTATGTTAAATAAAAATTTTAGGAGGCCATTGTTTTAGACTGAGTTTCTGCACTAGGCCCCAACACACTGGACTAAAAATCAACATGGAGTCACCCAAGCTAAAGTTCCACATCACCAAACACAAACTAAGTTGCTATCTGACCTTCTGAGAAGCCAGGAGAAAGAGACAGCCAATTTCCCAAATGGACCAGATTAAATCTTCAATGGGTGTAATAATGCAGTTCCCTCTTCTTTAATCCTTACACCAAAGAAGTAGTCTGAAGTAACCTGATATTAATTAATCAGTTCTTTTTCTATTGTTCTGTCTAAAAGTAACTGATAAACTCTTCGTTCTTTGCTTCTGCTTTCTTCAGCACTCCTCTGTCTATAAAGCCAAACTCTCTTGCTCAGCTCATTGGAACACTTATTCTGTTTTATGGAAAAAAGTCTTGCCTATTCTAGAATTGCAAATAAAGCCAACTGAGATGCTTAAACTTGTTGTAATTCTGTCTTTTGATATCTATCTCTTCTAAATTTTCTATAATAAATATGCATTGTTTCTATAACGAAAGAACAACAGTGAAATATTTTCAAACCAACTGGGATTCACATCCTGCTGGGTTCACCTTGAGTGGAGAGTTGAGGCACACTTTGAAGGTGAACCAAGCAGGACTTGAATTAGTTGTGAAAAGTGGAACAGAAATTATGCATTCACCATTCAAAACTTATTTGCATTTGAAGCGAGGTCCCCAGACCTTAACATAAAGGAACAAAATTTTTTTTTCTTGTTTCATAAGATACAGTAGCACTATTCTCAAAGGACAGAAGATACAGATCACCTTACCAAAAGAGCAAACAAATTTATAATCTTTTTATATTTCATAAGATACAAAATGTCTATTTCCAAAGGGCAGAAGATGTAGACTCACAATTTCTAAAGGTGGTAGTAATGGTGGGAATTTCTGACCCTATTTGAAGAAGGAGGGGAGATACAGAGATCTCTGAGCAGGTGCCTCTGACATTTTAGATCATGCTTTGGGGCAGCTGCCTGCAGAGAGAGCTAAGGACACAGCTGATTTCTGCAAAAGACGCCAGTCTTTCTGTGGATTTCCAGAGGCAGGACCATGACTGGTGAGAAGCCATAAGGCTAGCTGACCACAGAACAGATACTGCAGGAAGAATGGAGGGGTCTTAGTGTTACTGGTGGAAAGAATCCGAGTTGCCGACAGCAAATCCATACAGGTCTGCAGCAACTTCAATTCTTGCCTCCTCAGAAGAAAGAATTCGACTGAGGGGCATAAAGCAGAAAAAAAGACTAAGGCAGGAAGGGCGACTCCTTTCTGAGAAGGAGTGGAAGTTTATTTAAAAGGCTTCAGAACAGGAAAGAAAGGAAAAGAAAGTATGCTGGGAAGAGACCCAAACAGGCACAAAGGTCAAGTGTGACGTTTAACTGCATCCTAGGACTTTATAGGCTCGCCTCTTTCCCATGATTCTTCCGTTAGTGTGGGCTGCCCGCAAATGCAGCGCCCTCCTTACCCTTGGGAGGTGAGCATGTGCAGTGTGTTTAGGAAGTTGTCCACATGCCCACCTGAGGCTTTCTTCCTTTTTCCAGTGGCGTGCCCCTGGAACGTTGTGCACCACCATTTTGACTCTTTTAATGTGCATGCCCAGGAAGCTGCTTCTCCCTGGAGTCAGTATTCAAATCACACTTTACTGCAACAGGTGTGGACCATCAGGAAACGGCCTCTCCCCTGGCGCCTGGCTCCCAATTCACCACTTTTAGAGAGGTAATGTGATAATTACCGAACATTCCTAGTGGGTGGGGGAGAGTGCTCTCCTGCCCTGTTGATGCCTGGTTAACTACCTGTAACATTAGCACAGGCACTCTCAGAGCAGAGTTTAGATGACAGTGAAACATCCATTGCAAAATTATAACTGAGACCGTGAAAGAGATTTGACCTAACCAATTCCATCTTGCTTCTAACTTCTAAGCTATCCTTGTTCATTCCTGGGCTTAGGCTGAACTAACTTTGGGAAGAACTTAGTTTATAGTTTAAAACAAAGACGATAATAGCCCTTTCCCAAAACAAACCCCTTTCTTGCCTGGGGACTAGGCTGACTTTGTAGGGCTAACAAATTGGCCAAAAGATCAGATATTATGGTTTAGGAGTCATACAGCTGGGGGCTACAAGATTCTGACTCTCTCCAAATTGTTCTTGGGGATAATATCAGTGCTTTATTTTGCAAAATATCAGTGGATATTTTGCAGACCCTGCACTTGATGGATCAGCTTGCACCACCCAGATCAATAAACTGGCTCATCTGACCTTGTGGCCCCAACCCAGGAATTGACTCAGCCACAAGAGGACAGCTTGGCTCCCTGTAATTTTGTCTCTGACCTTACCAATCAGCACTTCTGACTCACTGGCCCCCCACCTACCAAATTATCCTTAAAAACTCTGATCCCTGAATGCTCAGGGTGACTAATTTGAGTTACAAAACTCTGGTCTCCCGCACAGCCGGCTTTGTGTGAAATACTCTTTCTTTATTGCAATTCCCCTGTCTTGATAAAACGGCTGTCTAGGTGGTAGGCAAGATGAACCCATTGGACAGTTAAAAAAGTTTGTCAGGCGAACAGGGAAAGGATCCCCTTTCTCTGACCAGATGCCTTAAGGTTGTGTCACGCGTGTCCGTGTGAAGAGACCACCAAACAGGCTTTGTGTGAGCAACGAGGCTGTTTATTTCACCTGGGTGCAGGCAGGCTGAGTCTGAAAAGAGAGTCAGCAAAGGGTGGTGGGATTCTTTTTTTTTTTTTGAGATGGAGTCTCACTCTGTTGCCCAGGTTGGAGTGCAGTGGCGCAATCTCTGCTCACTACAAGCTCTGCCTCCTGGGTTCACGCCATTCTCTTGCCTCAGCCTCCTGAGTAGCTGGGACTACAGGTGCTCGCCACCTTGCCTGGCTAATTTTTGAATTTTTAGTAGAGACGGGGTTTCACCATGTTAGCCAGGATGGTCTCGATCTCCTGACCTCGTGATCCACCCACCTCGGTCTCCCAAAGTGCTGGGATTACAGGCGTGAGCCACCGCGCCTGGCCATATCATTAGTTCTTACAGGTTTTGGGATAGGTGGTGGAGTTAGGAGCAATGTTTTGCAGGCAGGGGGTGGATCTCACAAAGTACATTCTCAAGGATGGGGAGAATTACAAAGAAACTTCTTAAGGGTGGGGGAGATTACGAAGTACATTGATCAGTCAGGCTGGGGCAGAAACAAATCTCAATGGTGGAATGTCATCAATTAAGGCTATTTTCATTTCTTTTGTGGATCTTCAGTTGCTTCAGGCCATCTGGATGTATATGTGCAGGTCACAGGGGATATGATGGCTTAGCTTGGGCTCAGAGGCCTGACATTCCTGTCTTCTTATATTAATAAGAAAAGCAAAACAAAATAGTGGTGAGGTGTTGGAGCGGCAAAAAATTTTGGAGGTGGTATGGAGAGATAATGGGCAATGTCTCTCAGGGCTGCTTCAAGCGGGATTAGGGGCTGTGTGGAAACCTACAGTGGGAAAGATTCAACTGAAGAAAGATTTTGGGGTGAGGGGTGATATTGTGGGTTTCTTAGAAGGAGGATTTGTCATATAGAATTATTGGTGATGGCCTGGATGCTGTTTTGTATGAATTGAGAAACTAAACGAAAGACACAAGGTCTGAATAAAAGAAGGAGATAAAAAGGTATTAAAGGACTAAGAGTTGGGAGTACCCAGGACATCCAATTAAAGAGTGTCCAAGGGGGTTCAATGTTATTGTTTGCTTGGTTGGTGAGTTTTTGGGCTCTATCCTTGAGTTTTTTTATGTTGTCATATACCAGACCAGATTGATTTAGGTAAAAACAACACTCTTCATTTAAAAATATACAGAGTCCTCCTTTTTCAGCAGTGAGTAAATCAAGGCTTTGGCGGTTCTGGAGGACAACTGCAGCTAAAGGGTCAACCTGGGCTTGAGGAACAGATAAAGTTTGTGATACATCTGTAATGCTAGTGGAGAAGTCATTAGAGAGGCTGCAGAATGTTGTGACAGAGGTTGAAATGCCTGCTATTCAAGTTCCAAGTACAATAGTGGAAGCAGAAAGTCGTAGACCCACAAGTAAAGGGATTAGTCGGATGACTCTTTTTGGTCGTGTTGGCGTCATGAGGGGGACCCGCAGTTGTTCATTCCCATCTGCAAACTGGATTTTGGGGGTAAGGAAGACTAGAGTACATGTGCTTGTCCAGTTGGCAGGTAGGCACATGTAGGTGGAAGAGCCGCATAAAAAGAAGAGACCTTGTGTCAGGCAGAACTGGAAATGTAAAGTGAAAAGGTTAGAGGGTGTACTGAAAGAGGAATCCTGCACCCCAAATCCTAGAGATCCAGCAAGGGCAGCAGCTGTTACAGATTGTAATGGGGATTGATGGTGCAACTGCATAGAGGGAGGGGTTCGGTTTTCATGGTATATGAGAAAGTGCATAGTGTCTACAAGTAACCTTTCACTGCTATTCATGGGGCTGGGTATAAGCAAGCAAGAGGAGGGGCTAGGAGGAGATTCAGATGAGCAGGGGGAGGGTAGCGAAGGATGCAGTGAGATGCAGGGTAGGTGTCTTCCTAAACAATAGTGACTGCCAATGTTTTTCAGTTTGTCAGTAATGATAGAGGGCTTATCAGTAACGTGAAGTTGGAATGCTCCCATCTGTTTGGTAATGTGTGTGGCTGGGTTCTGGAGATAAAGAGTAAAGGAACATTTGGACAGTGGAAGGTTGCCTAAAGGGATTCCAGTAGGCTGTTGTCGAGAGATGCATAAAGGAGTGGCAACAGGGATAGTTGTTTGCGTGGTTAGCAGTCCAAATATGGGGGCGTGGAATTGACATAAGGAGAAAGGTGCCGTAAGTAGATGCGGAGAAGTGTGACAGCTTATTGATGTGAAATGTCTGGGGAGTTCTCACCAAATCTGTCTAGAAAGTAAAGAAGTTCCTCAGGCGGGTAAAGTGAGGGCTATTAAAGGAGGTTCTGAGGTGCAGGGAGGTGGGAGAGGTAGCCCAGTCGGCCTGTAGAGCGGGGATGGCTGTGTAAGAGCAGGAAGAAAGGGAAATGCATAGCCAACAATTCTTTGCTAGAGAAGGATTGGCGGCAGTGAGGACAAAGTGGATGAGATTGCTAGTATGCTGGAGGTAACTAGGGAGAGGTAGAGAGTGGCATAAGAATGGGAATGAGAATAAGAGTGAGTATAAAAGTAAAGGATAGAACTTCATCAGGGCGGAAGTATTGGAGGGTGCCCTGTCAGAAAAGATCATCTATCCACTCCAAGAGGGAGTCAAGAGTGGCGGTTTGGGGATAGCACCAGGAGATATCAGCTGTGATGGCTTGGAGAAACAATGTAAACCGGCAGTGTAAACAAGAGCAGGTCATTTATGAGTAGTTGAGAATGGTGAATAGGAGTATGGCTAGACAGAATATAGAAGGGATGACAAGTTTTTTGGGGTGCAGTCCAAGTAGTGGGGGTGACTGCATAAAGCCCCGTTGCAAAGAGTAGCATAAGGATGGATAGACCTAATAAATGAAGGGATGTATTAGGCTCATAAGGGTCATTACTGTTCTTCAGAAATGTGAGTGAGTTTAGGGAAGTAGGGGAGAGTACTTGCAATTTCCAGGAGGAAGAGAAGATATCAGGCTGTCTGTCTGATGGATACAACTTTATTCTGGAACAGTGAACCCAATGGGGAGGGTCCTGCAGGTGGATGGCAGTTGGAGTACTATAGATGACTAAGTGGGGTCCTGTCCATCGAGGTTGTAGAGTTTGAGGGGTCAGATTCTTAACAAGAACTGATCGTCCAGCTAGGGTGTCTTCATATGGCTGGGAATCTGGAGTAGGCAAGAGAAGATTAGCAGCCTGGTGAATGTCCTGTCTAGCCTGCTGGAGGACTGGAAGATAGTTGCCTAGAGGGCTGGTGTCTGGGATGAGGTTTGGGCCGAGTAAGAAAGTGCATCCATATAAAAGTTCAAATGGACTGCACCCTGTAGCGTCTCGAGGACAGGCTCGAATTCTGAGAAGGGCAGAAGGTCAAAGTACTGTCCAGTCCTTTTTAAGATGGAGGCTGAGCTTGGTGAGGTGTGTCTTTAAAAGACCATTAGTCTGTTCTACCTTTCCTGAAGATTGAGGACGGTGAGGGGTATGAAGGTTCCACTGAATACCAAGAGCCTGAGAAACTGCTTGGGTGATTTGACTAGTAAAGGCCGATCCACTATCAGACTGTATAGAGGTGGGAAGGCCAAACTGAGGAATTATGTCTGACAAAAAGGAAGATAGGACCGCGGTGGCCTTCTCAGACCCCGTGGGAAAGGCCTCTACCTATCCAGTGAAAGTGTCTACCCAGACCAAGAGGTATTTTAGTTTCCTGACTCAGGGCATGTGAGTAAAGTCAATTTGCCACTCCTGGGCGAGGGTGAATCCCCGAGCTTGATGTGTAGGGAAGGGAGGGGGCCTGAACAATCCCTGAGGATTAGTAGAATAGCAGATGGAACACTGAGAAGTGATTTCCTTAAGGATAGATTTTCACGATGGAAAGGAAATGAGAGGTTCTAAGAGGCGGGCTAGCAGCTTGTAACCTACATGGAAGAGGTTATGAAATGACAATAGAATAGAATGGGCCTGTGAGGCTGGAAGGAGATATTTTCCTTGGTCCAAGAACAATTTGCTTTGTGTGGGAAGAGATTGATAGATGGAAGTTTCAGTGGGAGAGTAGGTGGGAGTGACTGATGAGAAGGAGAAAAACTGGCCGTGAGGGACAGAAGTTGGAATGCTAGCTGCTTCTTTAGCTACCTTATCAGCATAAGCATTGCCCTGAGCAATGGGATCTGATGCCTTTTGGTGGCCCTTGCAGTGTATGACTCCAGCTTCCTTGGGAAGTAAAGCGGCCTTGAGAAGCATTTTTATTAAAGAGGCTTTGACGATGGAGGACCTTTGTGTAGTAAGGAAACCTCTTTCAGCCCATATAACAGCATGGTGGTGCAGGATATGGAAGGCATATTTAGAGTCAGTATAAATATTGACGCGTAATTCCTTTGCAAGAGTGAGGGCTTGAGTGAAGGCAATGAGTTCGGCTTGCTGAGAGGTAGTAGAGGGGGGCAGAGTGGTAGCCTCAATGATAGATGTGGAAGATACTATAGCATAGTCTGCCTTTGCTGGTGAGTGGCAATTAGGCCTGGTGGAACTGCCATCAATAAACCAGGTGTGATCAGGGTGAGGAACAGGAAAGAAGGAAATATGGGGAAATGCAGTGAATGCCAGGTGTATCAGAGAGATACAGTTATGGGGGTCAGGTGTGGTATCAGGAACAATGTGGGAGGCTGGATTGAAGTCTGGGCCAGGAACAATGGTAACTGTGGGAGACACAACAAAGAGTGAGTACAGCTGAAGGAGCCGGGGAGCAGAAAGTATATGTGTCAGGTGTGAGGAAGAAAATAGATTTTGGAAGTTATGAGAACTGTAGAGAGTGAGTTGAGCATAGTTTGTGATTTTGAGGGCCTCTAAAAGTATTAGGGTGGTGGCAGCCGCCGCATGGAGACATGATGGCCAGCCTAAAACAGTAAGGTCAAGTTGTTTGGACAAAAAGGCTACAAGGCGTGGTCCTGGTCCTTCTGTAAGAATTCCGACTGCACAGCCCTGCACTTCAGCTGTGTGTAATGAAAAGGGTTGGGATGAGTCAGGGAGAGCTAGTGTGGGAGCAGTCTGTAAAGCTGTTTTCAAGGAATGGAAACAGGAGTGGGGAAAGGATTTAGGATTTATGAGGTCAGCTAGGTTTCCTTTTGTGAGTTTATGTAATGGTTTTGTTAGGATGCAAAACCAGGTATCCAAAGGCGAAAGTATCCAACCATGCCCAGGAAGGAAAGGAGTTGTTGTTTTATAGAAGGAGTTGGGGTTTGAGAGATCAGTCAGACCCAATTGGCAGGGAGAGCACATGTGTTTTTATGAAGAACTATACTTAGGTAGGTAACAGAGAAGAAATTTGAGCTTTGGAGGGGGATACCTGATATCCCTTGGAGAATAAATGTTGAAGGAGCAGGAGGGTATCTTGTTGAGAAGATTCAAAGGAGGGGCTACAAAGTAGAAGGTCATCAATATATTGAATAAGGTGAGAAGCAGAGGAGTGGAAAGAAAGTAAATCATGAGAAAAAGCTTGGCTGAAGTAATGAGGGCTGTCCCTGGAGGCTTGCAGCAGTACAGCCCAGGTAAGCTGCTGGGACTGATGGGTGTCAGGGTCAGTCCAGGTAAAAGCAAAGAGAGGCTGGGATGAGGGGTGTAGGGGAAGAGTGAAAAAAACATCTTTAAGATCAAGAACGGAATAGTGAGTTGTGGAGGAAGGTATTGAGGACAAAAGAGTGTATGGGTTGGGCACCACAGGGTGGATAGGCAAAACAATTTGGTTGATAAGGTGCAGATCCTGAACTAACCTGTAAGACTTGTCTAGTTTTTGAACAGGTAAAACGGGAGAATTGGAAGGAGAATTTATAGGTTTTAGAAGCCCATGCTGTAGCAAGCAAGTGATAACAGGATTTAATCCCCTTAAAGCCTGTTGTAGGGTAAGGGTGATTAGGTTTTAATGGGATAGTAATGGGCATGTGATCAGTTGCCAGGGAGGGAGTGGAGGTGTCCCATATTTGTGGATTAAGGTTGGGGGATATGAGAGGAAGACACGAAGGAGGCTTTGGGTTGGGAAGAAGGGTGGAGATAAGATGTGACTGTAGTCCAGGAATAATCAGGGAAGCAGATAATTTGGTTAAAATGTCTTGACCTAATAAGGGAACTGGACAGGTGGGGATAACTGAAAAAGAGTGCATAAAAGAATGTTGTCCAAGCTGGCACCAGAGTGGGGTAGTTTTAAGGGGTTTTGAAGCTTGGCTGTCAATACCCACAACAGTTATGGGGGCAAGGAAAACAGGCCCTTGAAAAGAAGGTAATGTGGAGTGGGTAGCCCCCATATCAATTAAATAGGGGACGGACTTACCCTCCACCATAAGAGTTACCTAAAGCTCGGCGTCCGTGATGGTCCAGGGGGCTTCCAATGTGATCAGGCAGAGTCAGTCTTCAGCTGCTAAGCTGAGGAGATCTGGGAAGGAGTCAGCCAGGGAACACTGGGTTTGGGCTCCAGAGGCTTTAGAAGCAGCGGCGATGTGAGTCGGAGAGTCCAACCTCCAGTGGGGACCCACACAGACAGGGCATGTCTTAGGAAGAATCCTGGGCTGCGGGCATTCTGAGGCCCAGTGGCCAGGCTTTTGGCATTTGAAGCAAGGTCCACGAGGATGTTTTGAAGGAGCCCCTGGGAGCTATGGCTTTGATGTTCTGAAGTTCTTATATGCTGGAGCCGTGGTTGTGGGTTATCTTACATTGGAAGCAAGTAGCTGTAACTCAGAAATGCATTGCTGTCTGGCTACCGCCTCTCTATTATTGTACACCTTGAAGGTGAGGTTGATTAATTCCTGTTGTGGGGTTTGAGGGCCGGATTCCAATTTTTAAAGCTTTTTTCTAATGTCAGGAGCTGACTGGGTGATAAAATGCATGTTAAGAATAAGGCGGCCTTCTGGACCCTCTGGGTCTAGGGCGGTAAAGCGTCTAAGGGTTGCTGTTAAGCGGGCCATGAACTGGGCTGGGTTTTCGTCTTTACCTTGGGTAGTTTCTTTAAGTTTGTCATAATTAACAGCTTATAAGCTGCCTTTTAAAGCCCTTCAACTAGGCAGGAAACCATGTAATCTCGCCTAGCTATACCTGGGGAATCTGCCTGGTAGTTCCATTGGGGATCTTCTCGGGGAACTGCTCTAATGCCTTCCTGGAGGTCTGGCTCATGAAGCTGGTGGTTATCAGCATGAGATTGGGCTACAGAAAAAAACTCTTTCCCGTTCATCTGGGGAGAGGGTAGAAGTCAGGATGACATTTAAGTCACTCTAAGTTAAATTGTAGGACAGAGTTAGATATCGGAATTCCTGTATATATTTAGTGGGGTCTGATGAGAAAGAGCCTAAACACTGGCTGATTTGTGAAAGGTCTGATAGAGAAAAAGGCACATGTACCCTGACTATGCCTTCAACTCCAGCCACCTCTCTAAGAGGAAATTGTTGGGCAGGTGGGGGAGAGCTAGTTGCAGAATGAAACTGTAAACCAGACCGGGTGTGGGGAGGGGAGGTAATAGAAGGGTTATAGGGTAGGGGAGCAGGGGCTGAACAAGAGTTGGAGCCTGATTCAGCCTGACGGGGAGCGACCTGAGGAGGAGCAGTCTGGGGAGGAGGTGAGAGGTCAGATGGGTTAGTAAAAAAGGAAGATTCACAAGACTCAGTGACACTTGGGGTTGGGACTGAAGGGACAGGCAGGAGGGAAAGAAGGAGGCTTTGGGATGAGTTGCATTGGGAACAGAGACTAGGGAGAGAATGAAGTGTGAAAAATGCCTGGATGTAAGGCACCTCAGACCATTTGCCCATTTTTCGACAAAAATGATCTAGGTCTCGTAGGATGGAGAAATCAAAAGTGCCGTTTTCTGGCCATTTAGAACCATTGTCAAGTTTGTATTGGGGCCAAGCAGTGTTGCAAAAGAAAATAAGATGCTTAGATTTTAGGTCAGGCGAGAGTTGAAGAGGTTTTAGGTTCTTGAGAACACAGGCTAAGGGAGAAGAAGGAGGAATGGAGGGTGGAAGGTTGCCCATAGTGAAGGAGGCAAGATTAAAGAGAAGGGTAGAGACACGGAGAAGGGGGGTGGGGAGCAGCCCTGGGCTGCAATGTGGGTGAGCAGCCAAAGCAGGCATCCCTGCAATTGACTTGCCACCAAGGGAATGTGGGTGAATGACCAAGGCAGGCATCCCTGCGGTGATCAGACACCAATGGAATGTGGGTGAATAATCAGGCAGGGGTCCCCGCAGTGATTAAACACCAAGGGAAGACTGTCTTCCCGAGTCCGTGACTGGCGCCGGAGTTTTGGGTCCACAGATAAAATGTGTCTCCTCTGTCTCTACTAGAGAGGAAAACAACTGGAATTGGAAGGAAAGAGAGATTGAAGGGAGTGAGAGAGGCTGGAGAAGAGAGTGAAAAGACCGCTTACCTGATTTGAAATTGGTGAGATGTTCCTTGGGCTGGTTGGTCTGAGGACCGGAGGTTGTAGGTGGATCTCTTCACAGAGTGAGGGTGAGGACAGGGAACTGGTCTCTTGAAGCAGTCCCTCTGACCCTGGTCTTCAGCACCAAATGTCATACGCATCTGTGTGAAGAGACCACTAAACAGGCTTTGTGTGAGCAACAAGACTGTTTATTTCATGTGGGTGCAGGCAGGCTGAGTCTGAAAAGAGAGTCAGCAAAGGGTGGTGGGATTATCATTAGTTCTCATACGTTTCAGGATAGGTGGTGGAGTTAGGAGCAATGTTTTGTGGGTAGTGGGTGGATCTCACAAGGTACATTCTCAAGGGTGGGGAGAATTACAAAGAAACTTCTTAAGGGTTGGGGAGATTACAAGAACCTTCTTAAGGGTGGGGGAGATTACAAAGTACATTGATCAGTTAGGGTGGGGCAGAAACAAATCACAATGGTGGAATGTCATCAGTAAGGCTATTTTTACTTCTTTTGTGGATCTTCAGTTGCTTCAGGCCATCTGGATGTATATGTGCAGGTCACAGGGGATATGATGGCTTAGCTTGGGCTCAGAGGCCTGACAGGTTGTTTTTGTAATACTTAGATTCTATTTGTCAATGCAGATCCCTGAATATCACTAACTCAACCAACTGAAAAGACAAAGCTGAATTTATTGCTCCTCAAGATGAGAGAACACGACCCTCCACAGAGCTTTGGCAGTGGCTCTGGGTTCCACAGAAGGGGTCCCTTCCCAAGGGTCCCACTTGGGAAGGCAAGATATAAATTGACTTAGAATTGAGACTGTCAAAAGACAAAATTACAAAAAAATTTAAATTAAAGATCTAAATGGGTTTTAGATCTTTTAGTCATTGAATTGGCAATTCAACATCTCATCTGAAGATTTTTTTTTTAAAGGTGTTCCATTGGTTATAGAAGAACAGTCAGTTTTTATAAGGTTGCTTAAGCAGGACAAAGGTAACAGCATAATCCAAAAACAGTTTGGTTAACATCAGGTCACTTCAAGTTACTTTCTTTATAAGAGTTAAAGCAGAAGGAGCCTCGTTATCATGCTGTCTAAAACTGGCCCATTTGGGAATTTGGCTATCATCTCTTCTGATCTTTTAGAAGATCAGATAAACAACTTAGTTTCAGAACTTTAGCATGAGTGACTCCATTTTGGTGTGGTTTGTTGGGGCCAATCACAGGAGCTCAGTCCAAATCAATGACCTCCCATAAATTTCATTTTTCAGGAGTTTTGTTTAAGATGGGCCTTTCATTGTGGGTGACGTTATTAGGATTGGATAAAGATAACAATACAACTGTCCAGAATTGGTAAGGAATTTGAAGCAAGAGATTTAAAGAATCTTAGGTTGCAAACTGTCTGTTGATGATTTTCACTGAGGAGGTGATGGATCTTGGTTGGCTTGGGTACTCTCGGCATGGCAGACTTTTCTGGCATGGCCAAGCTGCTCCTGTCACTGAGTTTGCAGGAGGAGGGCAAGTTTCTAATGGAGGTGGTACAGGTTTGCTGTGCTAAAGAAACAATTATTCATGACACTTGTTAAGGATAGTAAGGCTGCCTTTATTCAACGGGACCATGGTGATCGGTATAGGGACCATTACAATGTGAGATTGGCTCAACTCAGACTCCAACAAGGACAAGTGGAGATTTATAACCAAAGAGCAGGGTAGGGGCAGTGGATGGAAAATTACTAAGGGGAAATATCAAGGATAAGAGGTTTCTGGCTAAACTGACTTGAAAGGATTATTGCTGAAGGCAGGCTAGGGTGATAATATAGTGAGGGTGGTCAGATTGCAAGGGTGGGGGATGTCCTTCCTTCCTTCCTTCCTTCCTTCCTTCCTTCCTTCCTTCCTTCCTTCCTTCCTTTCTTCCTTTCTTCCTTTCTTCCCTTTCTCTCTCTCTTTCTTCAGGGTCTTGCTCTGTCGCCCAGGCTGGAGTCTAGTGGCGCAATCTCTGCTCACTGCAACCTTGCAACCTTCTCTTTCTCTTTCTCTCTCTCTCTCTTTCTTTCTTTCTTTCTCTTTCTTTCTTTCTTTCTTTCTTTCTTTCTTTCTTTCTTTCTTTCTTTCTTTCTTTCTTTCTTCTTTCTTCTTTCCTTCTTTCTTTCTTCCTTCTTTCTCTCTCTTTCTGTCTCTCTTTCTCTCTTCTCTTGCTCCGTTGCCCAGGCTGGAGTCTAGTGGTGCAGTCTCTGCTGACTGCAACCTTGCAACCTAGGCCTCCTGGGCTCAAGCGATCCTTTGGCTTCAGCCTCCCAAGTAGCTGGGACCACAGACAGATGCCACCATGCCTGGCTGATTTTTGTATTTTTTGTAGAGATGGAGTTTCACCATGTTGGCAAGGCTGGTCTTGAACTCTGGGCCTCAAGTGATCCACCTGCCTCAGGCTCTCAAAGCGGGGGGATTATAGGAGTGAGCCACTGTGCCTGACCTGGGGATTTTTATTAAACTGACTACACAGGATTCTTGCTCAAACTGGATTCTACAAGGACAGAGAGAGAAGCCCAAGGGCAGGCCTAGTCAAGCAGAGGCCTCAGAGGAGCCTGGCCAAAGTTCTGCTCAAAGGATAGAGTCTTTGTCAGCCCAATGACAGGAGCAAGAAAAACTGTCTTCTGGAGTTATCTGTGTAGGTCACATACCTCCAGCGCTTTATGAAACCCAGATCTGAGCATATTTCTCCAAGTATGACATGATTACAAGATTCAAGCTCTCCAGAAGTGGAAAGCCTGAAAATGCCAAAACTATGCTTTTGTGGAGTTTGAGTCTAATGATATTGCTAAGTTGCCAAAACAATGAACCGCCTTTTTGGTAAAAGACTCTTCAAGTGTCATTTTATACCACTTGAAAAAGTACATGAAGAACTTTTCAGAGAGTGGAGTGTTCCATGTAAAAAGCCATCATATCCAGTGAAATGAAACAGTCAGAATTGAACACTTTTAGAAAAGCTGCAGATAAGGAGCTATTTAAAAAGAAAGAAAAATTACTCAGGAAGAGATTAGCCAAGAAAGAAATTGATTATAATTTTCTTTCACTGATTTAACAGAAAAAGGAAAAAAGAAATGTTTCGAGCACTGATTTTCAGAAATCTGCAAATAGTCATGTTTTACCTAAGAAGAAGAAAAAGGAGATTTTAGGCATGCCTAAGAGAAAGGGGGAAAAAAACAAAAAAACACACATGTATCTAGGAAATGTGAGCCCTTTAAATTATGAGGCCCAGCAAGGCATTTAAAATGTAACAGCAGTTATGTAGCACTTCCCCTTGAGCTAAATCATTACTTCTTGAAGCCACTTGCTATTTGGGCTCTAGACTAACTGACATCAAGTAGCCATAAAATGCCATGCAACCTGTAATTCAACACAAGCCAATCACGAGTCAATGTTATTTCTGTAAACCAATGAGAATGCCTGATGAACAACTTTTATAATCGTCTCCTCTCCTGATTCATCTTTTTTTTTCTTTAAAAACTTGAGATTCTCTTTTGTTTTTCCAAGCATTCACCAAGGCAATTTGGAAGCATGTCCCTAGCTGCAGTCCTCAACATTTGTGCTTGAATACATTCTCTTTAAGCTACATTCTGACCCTTTTGATTATTTCAGGTTGACATCTAACACTCCTGA
Source organism: Homo sapiens (assembly GCF_000001405.40). Lineage (NCBI taxonomy): Eukaryota > Metazoa > Chordata > Mammalia > Primates > Hominidae > Homo > Homo sapiens. The sequence continues at coordinate 32,064,413 of NC_000003.12, read as the reverse complement.
AAAGATGGTGAAATATCAGGGCTTCATATTAGTTTGTATATCAACATGTTTGCAGAGACAGAAATCTGATGTGACATAGGTGAATGATGATGATAAAGATAATGAAATAGTTTTCAAATAGCACATATCTGGTATAAAAAAAGAAATACTGGCCAGGTGTGGTGGCTCATGCCTGTAATCCTAGCACTTTGGGAAGCCAAGGTGGATGGATGGCTTGAGCCCAGGAGTTCGACTCCAGTCTGGGCAACATTGGTGAAACCCTGTCTCTGAAAAAAATACAAAAATTAGCTGTGTGTGGTGGCTCATGCCTGTGGTCCAGCTACTAGGGAGGCTGAGGTGGGAGGATTGCTTGAGCCTAGGAGGTCGACACTGCAGTAAGCTGTGAGCATGCCACTGCATTCCAGCCTGGGCAACACAGTGAGACCCCTGTCCCAGAAAACAAAACAAAACAAAAAACATGAGACTGTATTAGTCCATTTTCACACTGCTATAAAGAACTACCTGAGACTGGGTAATTTACAAAGAAAAGAGGTTTAATTGACTCACGGTTCCACATAGCTAGGGAGGCCTTAGGAAACTTACAATCGTGGCAGAGGATGAACAGGAAGCAAGGCACGTCTTACGTGGCAGCAGGGGAGAGACAGCGAGAAAGTGGGGAACTGCCAAACACTTTTAAACCATCAGATCTTGTGAAAACTCACTCCCTATCATGAAAACAGCATGGGGGAAACTGCCCCCATGATCCAATCACCTCCCACCAGGTCCCTCCCTTCACATATAGGGATTACAATTCAAGATGAGATTTGGGTGGGGACACAGAACCAAACCATATCAGACTCAAACACCTACATGTCACTTGCCTACATCTCCCTGATAGCCCAGGGCCAAATTTGCACTGAATCTTCCTTAAAAATTTGACGAGGAAGGTTCTGCCCTCCACCCCTAGTGTTGGTCTGTTCACCCTGGGCATCAACACTCTTTGATATGTGAAAGCTCAAAGTTCCTGAGCTGTGGAGCCAAGAAGCTGAACTCTGAACTTCTACCTAGAAGCCTTCCTAGTCTTCAACATGTGGCTCTAAACCCCTTGCTTCCCCATCCCTGACCTGTCCCACTGCAGGATTAAATGGGAAGTGGTTCATTCTTCCTGAGGCTGAAAATAGTCAGCAACCACTCTCCCCTGAGAGCTGGATAAGTATTATTCCTCCTCCAGGGGGAATGTAACATTGTGTTATTCTACTCTTGAAACATGTCCAAGTCGATTCAGCTACCAAGAGACAAAGTTGAACCCAGAAATGATTCAGGACTGCAATTCAAGTTTTATTACATCCCACTGCAAGGTCTTGGAAAGATTGCTCTTATGCTCATCAAGACCAGGGAATACATAAATATTTTCAGTACCTAAACTGCTGTGGATTGACGTTATCCAAGATACATGACAATATCAGGATTTGTACTCGGGCAGTACATTAAAAGTAAGAAGTAGTGGAAAAAGGAAGACTTTCTATTTTAAAGGATTGATTATCTTGCGTACCTCTGAAACAGCTTTAAAAATAGCAGGAATGGCTTTTATTTTTAAATTTCAAAGATTTGCAAAACCTGTTGGGGGATAAAAATAGGAGATTAAGGATTTGAACATTGACAAATGCTACTGTCCTGTTTGTCTGGAAATCCATAATACATCCACAAGTCCTTTGCTGGTAGCCTGGCAATGCCAGGCTGTTGGCTACATTAGCACAAATCCAGGTCTGATTCAAGAAGCCCATGCTCCCAGCCCTTGCTGTCCCCTTTTGAGCTCTGTATCCTTAGGCAAGTTTCCCTATCTGCGCTCAGAGTTTTGTCTGGACCAGCATGAAAGGACTTTCTAAATCGTAAAGATAGCTTATATTAAACAAACATCAGAGATTGTGATTGAAAATACAACTGAAATCCTATAGTGAAATTACCATCAGATAAAAACATACCATAGCCATACAAACATACTGGGCCATACAAACATAGCCATATAAACAAACCAGGAGTGGTGGCTCATGCCTATAATCCCAGCACTTTGGGAGGCCAAGGCAGGTGGGTCACCTGAGGTCAGGAATTCAACACCAGCCTGGCCAACATGGTGAAAGCCCATCTCTACTAAAAATACAAAAATTAGCTGGGTGTAATGGTGCATGCCTGTATTCCCAGCTACTTGGGAGGCTGAGGCAGAATCTCTTGAACCTGGGAGGTGGAGGTTGCAGTGAGCCGAGATTGTGCCACTGCATTCCAGCCTGGGCCATAGAGCGAGACTCTGTCTCAAAAACAAAACAAAACAAAAAACAACAACAACAAAAAACCAATAAACCATACCATAGATTAAAGAGAACCTTATAAAAAAGGACCTGTAGTTGGGTCTCCATGTCCGTTGATACTGCATCTGCATATTCAACCAACCATGGTTGGAAAATATTTGAAAAAAAATTAAAAAGTGAAAAATAACAATATAGCTTGACATAGTGGCTCATGTCTGTGATCCCAGCATTTTGGGAGACTGAGGCAGGAGGATTCCTCGAGCTCAAGAGTTTGAGGCCAGCCTGCTCAACACAGTAAGACTCTGGCTCTATAAAAAATAAAAAAATAAGTCAGGCATGGTGGCACAAGCCTGTAGTCCCAGCTACTTAGGAGGCTGAGGTGGGAGGATGGCTTCAGCCTGAGAGGTCAAGGCTGCAGTGAGCTGTGATCATTGTGCCACTGTACTCCAGCCTGGGCCACAGACTGAGACCCTGTCTTAAAAAACAAAAAAGGATTGATCCTCTTTGCTTCTCTTCCTCTTCTCTTCTTTTTTCTCAAAAAAATAAAAAATAAAATAAAAAAGAAGTTGCTAGACCCAGCAACCCGTGTGCAAGACTTGCACCCTCCTTTGGTATGGAGAATGCATTCATTGAACGAGTTTTAGAATGTAGAGGACCTTAAGGTTTTCCTCAAGGGCTTCACCTTAAATAGTGCCCATGAAGTATTTTATCATAATCGATAAATAACTTTCATTAAAGAAGCAGTCATTCATCTCATCTCTCACTTATATAATAAATATATATTGAGCTCCTACCAGGTGGCCTGGGCTGGGTACTAGACATATAGCAGTGCAAGGGAAGATGCCTTCCTTGTACCCACAGTGCTTATAGTTTATCTGAAAGACAGATATTAAACAAAGAGTTACAATAAGGTGAGAGGGGAGCTGTGGGGTGCTCAGGGGACAGAGCAGAAGGGCCTAACTCAGTTTAGCTTCAATAGAGGACTTCTTGAAGAAGTGCCTGAGGAAGCACATGAGTTGGTGAGATAAGAGGAAGAGAGTGATGTGTGAGGTCTGGGAGGGGAAAGAATGGGGCTTGTTTGAGGAACTGAAGAGGGGTGATTGTGTCGAGGGACAGAGCAGGAGCAGGGGGTCCTCTGAGGGTTTTTTTTTTTTTTTTGAGGCGGAGTTTTGCTCTTGTTGCCCAGGCTGGAGTGCAATGGTGTGATCTCGGCTCACCGAAACCTCCGCCTCCCAGGTTCAAGCGGTTCTCCCGCCTCAGCCTCCCGAGTAGCTGAGATTACAGCTGAGATTGCCACCACGGCTGGCTAATTTTGTATTTTGAGTAGAGATGGGGTTTAGTAGAGATGGGGTTTCTCCACGTTGGTCAGGGTGGTTGCGAACTCCCGACCTCAGGTGATCCACCCAGCTCGGCCTCCCAAAGTACTGGGATTACAGGCATGAGCCACTGTGCCTGCCCATGGAAGTGGGTTTTTTTAAAAGCTGGGGAGCAACACAATCAAATTTGCCTGTTTGAACTTAATTCTGGCTGCAATGGAAGAGAATGCTTGGAGACAATTGGAGATGAAGAGTGGGGATATTATTGCTCTGGGAGAATAAAGGTGCCTGTGGCTAGGTTAGAAGTGGAAAGCAGTGGGTGAAGTTTGGATAAACAGTAAAATCAACCATTTTTGGTATATGAGCATTTAAGCAGGGTTAAGAAAGGACAAGAAGTTGAGAATGATGGCGTTCGGCCTGGGCATTTGATGGACAGCGAGACAGAGAAAGATGGATGAGCTTATTGGAGGCACACTGAATTAACCTACTTGTGTAGTAGTTGAGGGCAACAAGATGCAAACTGGTGCCAAGGAGGCCGGATCTTGCCTGCAGAGGAATTTAGCCAGCATTCATTCATCATTCAGTTTGTTTTAAAATTATTTGAAGACATACATACTTCAGTATCATTCTCTATCCATACATATACAGATCTTGCATTCTATTTTTGTAGTTTTTTTGTCAGAAAAGGTGCATACAGAAATGTATATATACCGTAAGTATATATATATATATATAGCTCATTGACTTTTCACGAAGATAATTTCGTACCTGTGTAACCACCAACCAGATCACAGAACATTACCAGTGCTCCCAAAAGCCCCCTCATGCACTTTTTAGTCATTACCTCCACTCTCCTGGCTTCTCGAACCCTATATTAATTTAGCCTGTTTTTTTTCTTTCTTTTGAGACAGGGTCTGGCTCTGTCTCCCAGGCTGGAGTGCAGTGGTGCAGTCTTGGCTCACTTTAACCTCCACCTCCTGGGCTCAATCAATCCACCCATCTCAGCCTCCCAAGTAGCTGGGACTACAGGCATGTGCCACCATGCCTGGCTAATTTTTTTTATAGAGATGGGATCTCACTGTGTTGCCCAGGCTGGTCTCGAACTCCTGGGCTCAAGAAATCCTCCTACCTTGGCCTCCCAGAGTGCTAGGATTACAGATCTGACCCATCATGCCTGGCCTAGCCTGTTGTTGTTGTTTTTTGTTTTGTTTTGTTTTGTTTTTTTGAGATGGAGTCTTGCTCTGTCACCCAGGCTGGAGTGCAGTGGTGCGATCTCGGCTCACTGCAACCTCCACCTCCCGGGTTCAAGCGATTCTCCTGCCTCAGCCTCCGGAGTAGCTGGGATTATAGGTGCCCACCACCACGCCTGGCTAATTTTTTTTTGTATTTTTAGTAGAGGTGGGGTTTCACCACCTTGGCCAGGCTTGTCTTGAACTCCTGACCTAGTGATCCACCCACCTCGGCCTCCCAAAGTGGTGGGATTACAGGCGTGAGCCACTGTGCCCGGCCTGTTGTTGTTTTGAGACAGAGTCTTGCTCTGTTGCCAGGCTGGAGTAGAGTGGCATGATCGTGGCTCACTGCAACCTCCACCTCCCAGGTTCAAGCGATTCTTCTGCCTCAGCCTGCCAAGTAGCTGGGATTACAGGCATATGCCACCATGCCCCACTAATTTTTGTATTTTTGTAGAGACAGGGTTTCATCATGTTGGCCAGGCTGGTCTTAAACTCCTGACCTCGTGATCCACCTGCCTCAGCCTCCCAAAGTGCTGGTATTACAGGTATGAGCCACCACACCCGGCCAGCCTAGCCTGTTTTTAAAATCAACGTAAACCAGGCATGGTGGCACATGCTTGTAGTCCCAGCTACTCTGGAGGCTGAGGCAGGAGGATCCCTTGAGCCCAGGATTTCAAGACCAGCATGGGCAACATAGCGAGAAGCTATCTCTACCAAAAAAATAAATAATTAGTTTGGCATTGTGGTGCATACATGTAGTCCCTATGGCTACTCCACAGACAGAGGCAGCCACTGGGAGGCTAAGGCAGGAAGATGACTTGAGCCCAGGTCAAGGCTGCAGTAAGCTATGATGGCACCACTGTATTCCAGCCTAGGCGACAGAGCATGACTCTGTCTTTAAAAAACAACAACAACAATTCATAAGCATGCATCATTTAAAACATTTTGAATAGTTCAGGCTGGGTGGGGTGGCTCATGCCTGTAATGTCAGCACTTTGGGAGGCCGAGGTGGGCGGATCACTTGAGGTCAGGAGTTCGAGACAAGCCTGGACAACATGGTGAAACCCCATCTCTACTGAAAATACAAAATTAGCCAGGTGTGGTGGTGGGCACCAGTAATCCCAATTACTCAGGAAACTGAGGCAGGAGAATTGCTTGAACCCAAGAGGCAGAGGTTGCAGTGAGCCGAGGTCATGTCTCACTCCAGCCTGGGTGACAGAGCAAAACTCTGTCTCAAAAAAACAAAACAAAACAGAATAGTTCAAAGAATAGTACAGAGAAACCCATATACCTACCAACTAGATTCTATAATTGATAACATTTTGCTAAAGTTGGTTTATCACATATCTATCCCTCTATCTATTTTTCAAATGCATTTTGAAGTTGCAGACATTAGGGCATCTCATCCCTAAACATGTCTGCATTCATATCATTAACTAAAGTTCAAGGTTTCTTTATAATTCTCTTTTATGAGGTAAAACTAAATGCAGTGATATGCACAGATCTTATGAAAACTATTAGATAAGTTTTCAATGTCAATGGTCTTCATTTCCTGATAGTGCCATGAATTATTAATTCTTTGAATTATTCTTATTGTCATACCCATACAAGTCCATGCAGTTAAAAATCAATGTCATTCTTGCCACAGGCCAGTTCCTTTGCATAGGTTGCCCTTCCTCAAGTGCCAGAGCTAAAAGTTTATGTGTCTCAGCTGTGTACTTCCACCTCCTGGGTTGGTCCCCCACCTGAGGGCCTCTATGTTACTCTTGACTCCCATTGTAGGTCTAGATAATCTGAGGCAGCAAACAATCCAGAGTAGTGATATGGTTAGGCTTGTGTCCTCACCCACATCTCATTTGAATTATAATCCTCATAACCCCCACAAGTCAAAGGAGAGACCAGGTGGAGGTAATTGGATCATGGGGGCAGTTTCTCCCATGCTATTCTCATGATAGTGACTGAGTTCTCATGAGATCTGATGGTTTTATAAAGGGCTCTTCCCACTTCGCTTGGCACTTCTTCCTGCTGCCCTGTTAAGAAGGTGCCTTGCTTTCCCTTTGCCTTCTGCCATGATTATAAGTTTTCTGATGCCTCTCCAACCACGCTGAACTGTGAGTCAATTAAACCTCTTTCCTTTATAAATTACCCAGTCTCAGGCAATTCTCTATAGCAGTATGAAAATGGACTAATACAAGTAGATTTTACTAATCCCAGGGTCAATGGCATGACTGTTATGGAAAGGGGTTCTGATCTAGATCCCAGGAGAGGGTTCTTAAACCTCACGCAAAAAAAAATTGGGGGCAAGTCTATAAAGTGAAATCAAGTTTATTAGGAAGGTAAATGAATAAAAGAATGGCTACTCCATAGACACAGCAACCGCATGGGCTGCTCTACTGAGTATACTTACAGTTATTTCTTGATTATATGCTACACAGAGGTGAATTATTCATGAATTTTGCAGGAAATGAGCAAAGATTTCTTGGAACTGAGGGTTCCTTTCCACTTTAGACCATATAGAGTAACTTCCTGATGTTGCCATGGCACTGGTGAGAGTGTCTTTTAGCATGCTAATGCATTATAATTAGCATATAATGAGCACTGAGGATGACCAGAGGTCACTTTCATTACTATCTTGGTTTGGATGGGTTTTAGCCAGCTTCTTTACTGCATCCTGTTTTATCAGCATGGTCTTTATGACCTGTGTCTTGTGTATCTTTATGACCTCTTATCTCATTCCATGACTAAGAATGCCTAACCTTCTGGGAATGCAGCCCAGTAGGTCTCAGACTTATTTTACCCAGCCCCTTTTCAAGATGGAGTTGCTCTGGTTCAAACGGCTCTGACATATGTCCCTCCTCCCTTTTACAAGGGTTGCAGAGGGACGAAGGTCCATCTTCTGTAATTTCTTCGGGCTGAATAGGGGCAATGATATTTCTGCCTAAGTATCAGGGTCTCTTGTATTCAGGGTAGACAGGAGCTCAGTCAGAAAGTGTAGGTATGGCAAGGGCCATTCGTATCTCTTGAGTCTGACCAAAGGTGACATCTGGAAGATTAAAATGTTCAATTTAAGCAAGCATACAGTAAGCTTATCCTGCATTCCTACACAAAGAGTACAACAGCAATATACTCCACAAGAGTAAAGCAAAATAAGCAAACTATCCCAAGTAAACTAAATAAGAAGGCTTTCCATGAACTGGGCAATTGTTGGAACCCGGCTGATATGAAGTCTCTGGCTGATTCCAACATGTACCCAGAATTATAACATTGATTCAGATTTTTACATTACCTATCCCTCTTGTTTCTTCTGAGCTGCAGTCAGAAATCACTAGTTGGTTCACAGAAATAAGCAGGGTGAGTCTAAATTGCAGAAAAAAACTCAAAAACAACTGATAAGACCGGAATCTAATAAACAGGTGTATCATGGTTCTTGAGACATAATTTTTCTCTCTCCAGTTCTTATTTTTATTAAAAGCAAATCATGATAGGACTGATTTGTTTACAAAATAAGCTTTGATCTTATTATACCTGGCTTAATTATTTGTAAAAAGTGCAGCAAGAATAATTATTTGTCACATAGGCTCTTTTTAATTGGTTTTGATGGAACTTTGTTTCATAAGGAATCTCAGATAAGACCTTTTTTAAAGCCAAGGCCAGCCATGGGTTTACACATACAACCATCAAATACCTGTATGAGTTGGTCAAATTCCTTTCCTCTTGAGCTCCCAAGATAACTTGGGGCTCCTGGGCCTGTCAGAAGTGGCATTCTTTACTTACCACAGATTAGGGACCCTGTACAGGAACTGTGTAGATGAGATATGTGGCCAGTTTTCCGAAAGGGCTTTTATTGGTTCTATAAGTCAGGTTTGATTCCTTAAAGGAAAGCAGGCGATTCCAGTCAAAGCCTAGGTAAAATAATCAATGTCTCCAATTGTGTCTTGTTACAAGAGAAAACAGATTCTTATTGCACTTATGCAAATAACTATATTGATAAGAATACTCACAACTAGTTTCCAAATTTTAGAGAAATCAAGTGGAGAGAAATATAATCCAAGTTTTGTTTATAGGAGTATACTTTACTAAAATGTTAAAAGCTATAAATATGGCTCATGCCTGTAATCCCAGCACTTTGGGGGGCTGATGTGGGTGGGTCACGAGGTTAGGAGACCAGCCTGGCCAACATGGTGAAACCCCATCTCTACTAAAAATACAAAAATTAGCCCAGTGTGGTGGCATGCACCTGTAATCCCAGATACTCATGAGGCTGATGCAGGAGAATCACTGGAACCCAGGAGGCAGAGGATGCAGTGAGCCGAGATCCCGCCACTGCACTCCAGCCTGGGCGACAGAGCGAGACTCCGTCTCAAAAAAAAAAAAAAAAAAAAAAAAAAAAAAGCTATAAATAGTTCAAAAGTTTTCTTGGTTCTGAAAAACAAAACAAAGGATCAGCAAAGTTTTAAGCAAAAAGTCATAAAAGGATTATTTCAGTCTTCTATTAGCTTAGTCCATGCAGTTAACTCCTGTTCTTGATATTCATGAACATTTCAGCTCTTCATGAGAGTCCTGAAAGTTTTTTCCTATATTCTAATGTTGCAGTCTCCAAAGTTATCAGAAACCTGCATTCAAGAGCACCTGTCAATGTCCTATACCCGTCAAAGTCCTATAAACCACCTTATGTAGAGGATCAAAACGAGAGAACAATTTTCTGTGAATGACCAAAAGTCTTAGTTAGGACAGCCACTATTAAAGCCACAATTGCTGGGCACAGTGGCTCATGCCTGTAATCCCAGAACTTTGGGAGGCTGAGGCAGGTGGATCATGAGGTCAGGAGTTTGAGACCAGCCTGACCTATGTGGTGAAACCCCATCTCTACTAAAAAATACAAAACTTAGCTGGGCGTAGTGGCCCGCCCCCGTAATCCCAGCTACTTGGGAGGCTGAGGCAGGAGAATCGTTTGAACCTGGGAGGCAGAGGTTGCAGTGAGCCAAGATTATGCCATTGCACTCCAGCCTGGGTGACAGAGTGAGACTCCGTCTCAAAAAAAAAAAAAAAAAAAAAAAGCCACCATTGACCAGGAAATGTTGGTTACTTCTGTGGCATACAACAATTTTATGTAATAATATAACTATTAATAACATACACTAAGTCATATAAGAATTATAGGAGTTTCAAATAATTTTGGAACACATACCAATAACATATACAAATACAACCCAAAGAAAGTCAAATACCATTTCATATTTGACAATGCTTCCTGTGTGATTTTTATACCAAATAAGCCAAATATGTCTCTTTTGGACTTTAGGGGACCTAATATCTAAAAGATTAATTAGATCAGAAAAAGACATAATTTAGAAAATGATTTTGGAAAGTTTATTAAATATCAAAGATTTAAGCACTTGATATTTTAAAATAGAATCCCAGGTTACCATAAGTCATTCACTTGGTCAAAATGATAACTCAAAAATTTTGTTAAAGGCAGAAAGCTTTGCTCATTGATAGAGGGAAGATTTAGCTTTCCAAACAATCTGTCTCTTGTCTTTCCCTTCTTTTTCCTGTAGCTTATTCAAAAGTCAAACAAAACCCAAAAATTTCTTTCTTTCTTTCTTTTGTTTTTTTGAGATGGAGTCTTGCCCTGTTGCCCAGGCTGGAGTGCAGTGGTGCAATCTTGGCTCACTGCAATCTCTGTCTGCCTCCCGTGTTCAAGTGATTCTCTTGCCTCAGCCTTGAGATTACAGGCACATGCCACTACACCCAGCTAATTTTTGTATTTTTAGTAGAGATAGGGTTTCACCATGTTGGCCAGGCTGGTCTCAAACTCCTGACCTCCCGTGATCCACCTGCCTCAGCCTCACAAAGTGCTGGGATTACAGGTGTGAGCCACAGCACCATCCTCATTATTTTTTTTAATATTACATGAAAATCTTATTCAAGAGAGAAAGCCAAGTTTCACCCTTGCATTAGTGTACTACTGATATCAAACCCAGGTCTTAATGAAAATTCATAGACACATCTATCCAATTTTAATGTCTGACCATAAGGTAAGAGCCTCATAAACCTTTGATAACCCTTTACAATTTTTGTAAAAGAGCAGATTAGTGCTCTAAGAAAACCACATTGTGCTTTTATTGCAATGTCCAATTTACAGAAAAACTGAGTAATACCCCTTTAACTTTAGCCAGTATGTTCACACACAGAATTTCTTTTATAAGGTTAATTTTTCACAAACCTTCCACAACTTGCTCAAACCTTCAGCTTTATCCTAATATAACTTAAAACAATCCTTTAACCCTTTAGTTGAAAAATCCACATTCCCATGCCTTCTTATAACCTTTTACCAAAAGGACGTTTCACTTTCCTCACGTGCCTTGCATGTAAAACTGTTTCTTTACACTTTATACTGTTAACTCTTAGCAACTTTTACTTTTGGTGAAAAACCTGGTAAACAAGCAATTAGAATTATGTACTAGGTGTGGAGCCTAGGACACCAGACAGAAGTGCAGATAAGGTCTGACTCTTTCCAGCATAGCCAGGGGGCATAGGTAACTCCACATGTCCCCAGGCCTTACCTAGAATCTACTGGCTCCAAGGCAGGTAAGTCAATCAATTTTTTTTTGATTGTTCTGTAAGTTCTGGGATATATGTGCAGAACGTGCAGGTTTGTTACGTAGGTACACATGTGCCATGGTGGTTTGCTGCACCTATCAACCCATCATCTAGGTTTTAAGCCCCGCATGCTTTAGATATTTGTCCTAATTCTCTCCCTCCCCTTGCCCCCAACTCCTGACAGGCCCCAATGTATGATGTTCCCCTCCCTGCATCCATGTGATCTCATTGTTCAACTCCCACTTGTAAGTGAGAACATGCAGTGTTTGGTTTTCTGTTCCTGTGTTAGTTTGCTGAGAATGATGGTTTCCAGCTTTATCCATGTCCCTGCAAAGGGCATGAACTCATCCTTTTTTATGGCTGCATGGTATTCCGTGGTATATATGTAGCACATTTTTTTTATCTAGTCTATCTTGATGGGCATTTGGGTTGGTTCCAAGTCTTTGCTATTGTAAATAGTGCTGCAATAAGCATATGTGTGCATATGTCTTTATAGTAGAATGATTTATAATCTTTTGGGTATATACCCAGTAATGGGATTGCTGGGTCGACTGGTATTTCTGGTTCTAGATCCTTGATGAATCACCACACTGTCTTCCACAATAAAGTCAACCAATTTTCAAAAGTCAAAGAAGCAGTTTATGACATTAAAGCATTTAGCAAATCTAATCTCTGACCTAATTTAAACCAAATATCTAAATTTTATTAATCTTTATTTTGCTTTTTTTTTTTTTGTGACAGGATCTTATTCTGTCACTCAGGTTGGAGTGGAGTGGTGTGATCTCTGCTCATTCCAACCTCTACCTCCCAGGCTCAAGTGATCCTCCCACCTCAGCCTCCCAAGTAGCTGGGACCACAGGTGCATGCCACCACACCCAGCTAATTTTTTGTATTTTTGGTAAAGGTGGGGTTTTGCCATGTTTCCCAGGCTGGTCTTGAACTCCTGAGCTCAGGTGATCACCTACCTCAGCCTTCCTAATGCTGAGATTACAAGCATGAGCCACTGCACCCGGCCTACCAATAATCTTGAAAACTGTCTTTATTTCCCAAAGCTTACTAAAGTCATGTGAACTAAAAAGCATTACAGTTTTTATTTTTCTGACAAAACATTTGAATTAAGTGCTTATTATTTTTAAGCCAGTTAATTAGATCTCTTTCATACATAGACATCACACACACACCACATATAAATACGCAGACAGACAAGAAGATCTAGTAGTTGTAGGATTTTTCATTTGCCAGTTTTTTAGTTTCTTAGTTGGATTACTGGCTTCAGGGTGGAACCATTCAAGAAACAGGTCTAGGAAAACATGCAGTTTCTAGGACCTAGTAAGCAGGCATGGCTGGAAAGGAAAATAGATCCACAAAAATTAAGGGTCTCATTTTTATACCAGATCCTGGATCTCCAAAGAGAGGGAACTAGCCCATTTCCCATAGGAGTCTTATCTCTCAGTGGGGGGTGAGGACATTTTACCATAACTTCCAGGTGGCCAAGAGCATGCTTCTCTAATCCAAACATCAAAGAGCTGAGTATCCCCTGATAACTGCCATTAGCTATCCCCAAAAGTGTATTTCCTACCTAGTTATTCCACACCAAAGCTTTCTCATAATGAGAATTTCTGATAACGCTCCAAAAGGAAAAAAGTCAGATAACACAATGCAAAACAGAACAGATCCTTAGATTTTGAGAGGGATCTATCCATTTTGAATTCCTGGGGTTTCATGAGGAAAACAGATTTTTCCCAAAATGGAGTCTGTGGTGCCTCCTCTGTTTTCCCCAGCAGTCCCAGCCTGTTAGAAATTATCTTAGGTCCTCTCATGTGTGCATCAAGAGTAGCAAGAAGGCAAAATAGAGACAAACCATTCAGTCAACTGAGAAGAAAATAAAGCCTCTTTTCCAGAAAAACAAGAGCCAAGAAGAGAAAAAACATAAAGGCCTTCTAAATATATGTATAGCTTGGATATCCACTTTTAATTAAGCTGACTTTTAGCCAGTGAGCTTTTAAAAAAAATCCTTTTGTGGCTGGGCATGGTGGCTCACACTTGTCATCCCAGCACTTTGGGAGGCCGAGGTGGGCGGATCACCTGAGGTTGGGAGTTCGAGCCCAGCTGACCAACATGGAGAAACCCCATCTCTACTAAAAATACAAAATTAGCCGGGCATGGTAGCAGGCGCCTGTAATTCTAGCTACTTGGGAGGCTGAGGCAGGAGAATCACTTGAATTAGGGAGGCGGAGGTTGCGGTGAGCTGAGATTGCACCATTGTACTCCAGCCTGGGCAACAAGAGCGAAACTTCATCTCAAAAAAAAAAAAAAAAATCCTTTTGTATCTCTTATTACCTGACTTTAGCCAGGCCAAACAGCCAATATTTCTGGCCTTTGAACTTTACCAAAAGTAATCTCCCAGGTGAAACCAATAAGCCTTAACTAAGGTTATGACTTAACCATGAGTGTATGAGGTATTTTCAAAGATGTGGTTAGAAGTTTTTTCAAGATTTAGAAACACCAAAGGTAGCTCAGAGAAAGGAAGATTCAAGAAGGGAAGTTAGAAGTTGTTCATGGAGGAGAAGAGAATCAACAAATGGCAAAGATCACACAGATATCAAACCAGAAAGGACTCATTCCCAAAGCCAGAAATTGAACCCTGAATTCATGCCACCGTTGTGAAAAGAAAGCCTTAGCTACTAAGCTACAGCACTGGGCAGTCTCTATTGCTCTTCTCAGAAGGAGCCTAGAGCAGTCAATTTTGAGCTTGCAATGGCTTTTAACTGCTCAAGATATGTTTTAGAGCTATGACATAAACTCCAAAATTCCTGTCCTCCAGATGGCGAAGATCAAGAGAAAGTACTGCCCATGGTTACAAGGTCAAGCTCCTAAGGACCTTGGGACAAGAGGGAAACTTCATCCAGTTTTTGCTGCTGTTACACCAGATTCACTACAGCTTAAGACTAGCCTCACAAATCCTTTTTCCCATTAATCAAAACTTTGCAGAGAACACAGTGATTTTTACCATTCCTATAACAAGTTTTCATAGAAAGAGAGGAAAGGGAAGGGAGAAAAGTGTTGACTGCAGCGAGGTGGGGAAGGCAAGGAGCTCGGGGAGGCCAGAGAAAGACCTACCCATTGCACTAACACTGAATCAAAACTTCAGGCAGCTGCTTGCTGATCACCAAGGGATCTTTTCCAGTAGTCCCATCAGCTCTCAAGTTTTCCCATTTGGGGAAAAGAAAAGTTCTCCATGTCCCATAATCTTGTACATGCCTAATCCTGTCACTCATAGCCATCAGCAGAGAGTACAAGGCAGATTAATCCAAAGAGAATAGTGGTTAAGAACTCATAGTGCCAAATCCATTTTTAAGCAAGGGGGACTTTACTGAGAGGGGCCTCTAACCCCCTAAATCTTAGGAAGGATTCTAATCTTCCTAATTTGGGTCTTGCCTCAAACCCAAGTTTAATCAAGCATCCTTGCCTTTTATTAAGAGGAGCCTTTAACCCTCTCTGTCTTTAGAGAGACTCTCCTAAGTTGGGCCTCTAACCCAATCCTATCCTTTACCTGGGTAAAATGTATCCTACCACTTACCCAAAGTTGGCCAATTGGTGCTGCAATCTATGTCCTTGGGGTCAGGAGTCTCCCCAGTATAGTCCCTTCATGGTTGCCAGCAAGATGTTACTAAAAAGGGCTCCTGATCCAGACCCCAAGAGGGCGTTTTTGGACCTCGCACAAGAAAGAATTTGGGGTGAGTCTATACAGTAAAAGCAAGTTTATTAGGAAAGTAAAGGAATAAAGTAATGGCTGCTCCATAGGCAGAGCAGTGGCATGGGCTGCTCAACTGAGTATACTTATAGTTATTTCTTGACTATATGTTAAGTGAGGGGTGGATTATTCATAAGTTTTCTGGGAAATGGGCAGGGATTTCCTGGAACTGAGGGGTCCTTCCCTCTTTAGACCATATAGGGTAACTTCCGGATGTTGCAATGGCATTTGTAAACTGTCATAGCACTGGTAGGAGTGTCTTTTAGCATGCTAATGTTTTCTAATTAGTGTATAATGAGCAGTGATAACAACCAGAGGTCACTTTCATTGCCATGTTGTTTTTGGTGGGTTTTGGGATGCCAGCTTCTTTACTGCATCCTGTTTTATCAGCAAAGTCTTTATGACCTGTATCTTGTGCTGACCTCCTATCTCATCCTGTGACTAAGAATGTCTAAGCTCCTGGGATTATAGGTCTCAGCCTTATTTTACCCAGCCCCTATTCAAAATGGAGTTGCTCTGGTTCAAACACCTCTGACATGACCAGCTGGTAGTTGGATGGGGGGATTTAAAGGGGTATAGAGAAAAAAAACAGCTAGTCTATAGTAATAGTGTCTAAGAGAGGCTGGGCATGGTGGCTAACGCCTGTAATCCCACCACTTTAGGAGGCCAAGGCGGGTGGATCACCTGAGGTCAGGAGTTTGAGACCAGCCTGACCAACATGGTGAAACCCCGCCTCTACTGAAAATACAAAATTAGCCGGGCATGGTGGCGTATGCCTGTAATCGCAGCTATTTGGGAGGCTGAGGCAGGCGAATCACTTGAACCAGGAAGGCAGATGTTGCAGTGAGCGGAGATCGTGCCATTGCACTCCAGCCTGGGCAATGAGTGAAACTGTCTCAAAAAAAAAAAAAAAAAATAGTAGTAGTGTCTAGGAGAGATGACAGTATATAATGAGAATGGATTTTAGGAACAGGGGTCTTGAATATTTTGAGCAGAGGGATGAGAGGGAGAGATATCAGTGTTGGGAAGGGAAAGGAAAGAAAGCAAAATTAATAGGAACTGCCAAGTGCGGTGGTTAGAGGAAGAGATGTGGGGTTGTCAGAGGCATTTGAAGCATAGCAACTCCATCTTTAATAGGGGCTGGGTAAAATAAGCCTCAGGTTTGCTGGGCTGCATTCTTAGTCACAGGATGATATTGGAAGTCGGCAGGACTGGTATCACAAGATACAGGTCACAAGACTTTGTTGATAAAACAGGTTGTAGGCCGGGCGTGGTGGCTTATGCCTGTAATCCCAGCACTTTGGGAGGCCGAGGCGGGTGGATCACAAGGTCAGGAGATTGATACCATCCTGGCTAACATGGTGAAACCCCATCTCTACTAAAAACAATACAAAAAATTAGCCAGGCGTAGTGGCAGGTGCCTGTAGTCCCAGCTACTCGGGAGGCTGAGGCAGGAGAATGGTGTGAACCCGGGAGGCGGAGCTTGCAGTGAGCCGAGATCGCACCACTGCACTCCAGCCTGGGCGACAGAGCAAGACTCCGTCTCAAAAAAAAAAACAAAAAACAAAAAACAGGTTGTAGTAAAGATGCAGGCCAAAACCCACCAAAACCAAGATGGCGACAAAAGTGACCACTGGCTGTCCTCACTTCTCATTATACGCTAATTATAATGTAATAGCATGTTAAAAGACACCCCTACCAGCGCCATGACAGTTTATAAATGCCATGGCAACATCAGGAAGTTCCACTATATGGTCTAAAGAGGGGAGAACCCCTCAGTTCCAGGAAATCCCTGCCCCTTTCCGGGAAAACTCGTGAATAATCCACCGCTTGTTTAGCATATAATCAAGAAATAACCATAAAAATAGCCAACCAGCATCCCTCGGTGCTACTCTGTCTACGGAGTAGCCATTATTTTGTTTCTTTACTTCTCTAATAAACTTGTTTTCAAGGCCAGGCATGGTGGCTCAGCCTGTAATCCTAGCATTTTGGGAGGCTGAGGAGAGTGGATAGCTTGAGCTCAGGGATTCAAGACCAGCCTGGGCAACATGGCAAAACCCTGTCTCTACAAAGAATACGAAAATTAGCTGGGCTGGTGGCACACACCTAGAGTCTCAGCTATCTGGGAGGCAGAGATTAGCAGACGTTGCAGTGAGCCGAGATCGTGCCACTGCACTCCAGCCTGGGTGACAATAAGACCCTGTCTCAAAGAAAAACAAAACAAACTTGCTTTCACTAGACTCTATGGACTTACCCAGAATTCTTTCTTGAGTGAGATCCAAGAACCCTCTCTTGGAGTCTCGATTGGGACCCTTTTTCTGGTAACAGGGTCTGACTTCTTGCATGTCCCTGTTCCACCACTTAGTAGTTGTCTGTTTTAATTTAACTCTCTGTGCCTTAATTTCCTTTTCTGTAAAATGGGGATAATAATAGTAGCTATTCCATTAGATTCTTGTGAGAAGTACATGAAATCATGTAAATGATAGTGAATGCCCTACCTCTTGGTTAATGTATGGCAAATGTTCGCTGAATGGATGAATTGGTGGTTGGTTGGCTTAGCTTTGGGGCCAGTCTTTAACATTTACGATTTATAGTAAGAAAGTCTCTTGCTTTCCTTCCACAGCTATCCCCCATCCTCATCACTTTCCTATCTGGCTGCTGCAGCAGAAACATTTATTTAATAGGAAATAGAACTACTCATTCTGCAAGAAGAGTCTTTAAATTGCAGATGCCTGGGTGAGTTATTATATTTATATAAGTGGATTTTGTTTAAAGTGCAGACAGTGATCTCTGATTTCTTTTTGATTTGACAAAGAAAGGTACAATGAACTTGGAGTCTAAAGGTGGAAGAGCTAAAGCCACTGGGGTTGAGGAAAAAGCAAAAGGAATAGATGGGAGACAACCAGGACACATTTTAACACATTTTGATGAGGGCGTCAATTTTTAAAAGTAAGCAGTATTTTTATATAAGAAGGACCCCATTTTTCTTTTAGAGATAGGATCTCACTGTGTCACACAGGCTGGAGTCCAGTGGTATCACCATAGCTCAGTGCAACCTTGAACTCCTGATCCTCCCTCCTTGGCCTCCCAAAGTGCTAGGATTACAGGTGAGAGCAACTGTGCTGGGCTGAGGGCCCCATTTTTGCAATGCCAAAATATTCTGTATAATAAGTAAGAAATAAGAACCCACAGGAAAGTAGATTCAGGACAAACAACGGAACCGAGATTCTGGTGTTTGTTTGTTGTTTGTTGACTGGTCAAGTGCAGTATTAAGAAGTCAGGAAAGAGTGGAACAAGGAGTTCAACCTGTAACTGAGCAATCATTTGAGATAACTCACTATCTTCAAACAGGCAGAGATTCTGTTCTTTAAAAACATTGAGTAATCACACACACTGATTCTTAGGCTTCATCTGCTCACACCTGGTACACACCCATACAAATCCCTTCCTAGCTTTTTGTTTAATGCTGCTGAGTCAGCCCCGTTGGATGAGAGAGAAGGGAGGAAGCTTAGCTTCACTTTGTGAGCCACCCCCTCCCCCACAGCTTACTTCTAGGCAGATGTGGGAAGCCTTGAGAGGCTGGCATAGTTTCCAAGTTGGATGCCTCCTTTAAAAATGTCTGTTAATTCTGACTACAGGCTAGAGCTGTCAGTTTGGAACCCCTTTAGGTGGAAAGCCAAGCTTACGGTCATTCTATTATCGACCCTGTCTCATTTCCTGGTGACTTTTCACCGTGTACACAAAGCTTTCACCTTTTATGCCCTCTCCCAGCCTCTTGCCCAACAGTCTTGGCTGTCTTTTTGTAAACTGATCTGTTAGCATATACTCTATTATTAGTTTAGTCTTATCATAATCACCGTAACAGCTGCTGTTAAAATTTACTTTCACAACAGACATTAGTGTAATCTAGCTCCTAGTGGCTCAAAAGTGTTTTCTTGCATTTGTGAGAAACCCAGTAGAAGCTACAAGCAAAGGGACTTGGAATGCTTCCTGGTAGAATGCCTGCACCAGATGGGAGCCATACCCTGAATTGCCTTTGGAAAAGCAATCTATGCTCCATCCAGACTGTTTCTCATTCACACTAGCTCATGGCCCCACCCACTATGCCATCTTAAAAGGCAAGGCCTCTTCTATTTTGAAAACTTCCAACAACAAAAAATGTGGGTTAAGCAAAATTAAATGCTGTAAGTTATCTCACACTGCAAATTAATTTTAATAGGAAGACACAATTGATTTTTTCTGGAATCTTTCAAAGTAGAGCATTCATTTTGAGTTAGGCCTAGTTTGCCCTCAAAAATCAAGTTCCCTTCTCTGCAAATTTTAAGTAGAGGCTGCATTGAATTACTATTTCAAATAAGGTTGAGAAATAAGATTCTTTCAGCAAATAATTTTTTTGAGCATTATACAAGTTTATTCCTATTTATACTTAGTATATGGCATCTGTTATTTAGGATTCAGAATCTTTTTTTTTTTTTTTTTTTTTTTGAGATGGAGTTTCGCTCTTGTTGCCCAGGCTGGAGTGCAATGATGCAATCTTGGCTCACTGCAACCTCTGCCTCCCGGGTTCAAGCCATTCTCCTGCCTCAGCCTCCTGAGTAGCTGGGATTATAGGCATGTGCTACCACGCCTGACTAATTTTGTATTTTCAGTAGAGACTGGGTTTCTCCTGTTGGTCAGGCTTGGTCGCTAACTCCCGAGCTCAAGTGATCTGCCCGCCTTGGCCTCCCAAAGTGCTGGGATTACAGGTGTGAGCCACAGCACCCGACCAGGATTCAGAATCTTTATTAGATACAACTGTTTGCCATTAAAATTTTTTTAAATTATGTTATATATTATTATTATTATTTATTATATATATATTATTTCCCAACTAATATTCTTTGTATTGATAGGGGAATTCTTTTTAAGGTTTAGCCAGAAGTGATCAGAATAATATGAATCTTATATTACGAAAGATAGATTTGGAACACAAAATTTAACCTGAATAGCCTAGAAATGTTAAAATTAATACAATATATTTTGTATATTGACTTTACAGGGTGATTATAACATTGCAGAAGACCACAGCTTGGCTTGGTTTCAATATAAATATGTGGAATTTTCTTTTGTTAAAAAGTAATTTCAACTTTTATTTTAGATTTAAGGGATACATGTTCAGGCTTGTTACATTGGTATATTGTATGATGCTGTCACCAAAGTACCCAATAGGTAGTGAGCACAGTACCCAATAGGTAGTGAGCACAGTACCCAATAGGTAGTGAGCATAGTACCCAATAGGTAGTTTTTCAGCCCTTGCCCCCTCCCTCCATTCCCCCTCTAATAGTCCCCAGTGTCTATTGTTGCCATCTTTATGTCCGTGAGTACCCAATGTTTAGCTCTCACTTATAAGAGAACATGCGGTATTTCGTTTTCTGTTCCTACATTAATTCACTTAGGATAATGGCCTCCAGCTGCATCCATGCTGCTGCAAAGAACATGATTTCATTCTTTTTATGGCTGTGTCTTTTAGCAAATTATTTTTGAGTTCCTACTATGTGTAGGGCTCCCTGCTACACGTAGTGCTGGCCTTAGGAGAAAGGAGTGATAGTGTTGTGAGAAGTCAGGGATCCCAAACGGAGGGACCGGCTGGAGCCATGGCAGAGGAACATAAATTATGAAGATTTCATGGACATTTACCAGTTCCCAAATAATACTTTCATAATTTCTTACGCCTGTCTTACTTTAATCTCTTAATCCTGTTATCTTCGTAAGCTGAGGATGTACGTCATCTCAGGACCACTGTGATAATTGTGTTAACTGTACAAATTGATTATAAAACATGTGTGTTTGAACAATACGAAATCAGTGCACCTTGAAAAAGAACAGAAAATCAGCGATTTTCAGGGAACAAGGGAAGACAACCATAAGGTCTGACTGCCTGCAGGGTCGGGCAAAATACAGCCATATTTTTCTTCTTGCAGAGAGCCTATAAACGGACGTGCAAGTAGGGAAGATATCGCTAAATTCTTTTCCTAGCAAGGAATATTAATAATTAATACCCTGGGGAAGGAATGCATTCCTTGGGGGAGGTCTATAAACAGCTGCTCTGGGAGTGTCTGTCTTATGCAGTTGAGATAAGGGCTGAAATGTGCCCTGGTCTCCTGCAGTACCCTCAGACTTACTACGGTGGGGAAAAAACCCGCCCCAGTAAATTTGAGGTCAGACCAGTTCTCTGCTCTCGAACCCTGTTTTCTGTTGTTTAAGATGTTTATCAAGACAATACTTGCACTGCTGAACATAGACCCTTATCAGTAATTCTGCTTTTGCCCTTTGCCTTGTGATCTTTGCTTTTGCCCTTTGCCTTGTGATCTTTGGACCCTTATCAGGAGTTTCTGATTTTGTCCTTGTCCTGTTTCCTCAGAAGCATGTGATCTTTGTTCTCCTTTTTGCCCTTTGAAGCATGTGATCTTGTGACCTACTCCCTGTTCTTGCACCCCCTCCCCTTTTGAAATCCTTAATAAAATTTGCTGGCTTTAAGGCTCAGGTGGGCATCACGGTCCTACCGATATGTGATGTCACCCCCGGTGACCCAGCTGTAAAATTCCTCTCTTTGTACACTTTCTCTTTATTTCTCGGCCGGCCAACACTTATGGAAAATAGAAAGAACCTACATTGAAATATTGGGGGCAGGTTCCCCCAATATGATAGAGCATACAACTAAATCTTACACAAGTCAGACTAAGGGATCCATTCTGACCATGGAACTGAAGGTGGGTTTCAAAAAGGGGATGATGCTTTTGCTGAGCCTTTAAGGATGAATAGACTTTGACCTAGCGAAATAGAGAAGGGCATTGTTTCACTACCACTGCTGCATAATAAACAGCAAATTTAGTGGCAAAAAAACAAACCATGTTATTATGCACACAGATTCTGTGGGTCAGGAATTCAGAAAGGGTGCAACAGGGAAAGCTTGTCTTTGATCTGCCATGTCTGGGTCCTTAACTAGAAAGACTTAAAGGTGGGGGTGACCCCACAGATGGGAGGTGAAATTGTCTGAGAGCATCTTCATTCACATGTCTGGTGGCTAATACTGGCTATTATTGTATGAGGCCTTAGTGGAGCTGTGGGTAGAAAAACCTACCTATGGTCTCTCCACGGGCCTTCCTCATAGCAGGTAACCTTTGGGTGGCCAGATTTCTAATTTGGCAGCTCAGGGATCCCAGAGTGAGTGTCCCAAGAGAACCAGGTGGAAGCTGCATGGTATTTTCTACACTAGTTTCAGAAACTCAGCCAGGTGCAGTGGCTCACACCAGTAATCTTAGCACTTTGGGAGGTTGAGGCAGGCAGATCACCTGAGGTCAGGAGTTCGAGACCAGCCTGGCCAACATGGTGAAACACCCGTCTCTACTAAAAATACAAAAAATTAGCTGGGTGTGGTGGCACATGCCTGAAATCCCAGCTACCTGGGAGATTGAGGCAGGAGAATTGCTGGAACCTGGGAGGTGGAGGCTGCAGTGAGCCAAGATCATGCCACTGCACTCCAGCCTGAGTGACAGCAAGACTCTGTCAAAAAAAGAAAAAAGAAAGAAAGAAAGAAAAAGAAAGAAAGAGAAAGAAAGAAAGAAACTCAGTGGTATCACTTCCACAAGAGAGGCATCAATGTTGGCCAGCTCAGATTCAATAAGAAGTGATACGGACTATGGACTTCAGCCTCTTGATAGGAGGCGTGTGACCATTTTAAAGCCTGTCCTAAGTGTGCTGCAGCAGAAGGAAAGCAGAGACCTCACGGGGTGTTTCCAGCTGGCCTGTAGTCTGATGCTGCTGGCATTGTAGGTGTGAAGTAGAGTGGCAAAAGTGGGGTTGGAAATGTAGACTGGAACCACCATGTGAAAAAGTCTTTACTGCTTTGCGGCAAGTACCATATCTGAAGCCACAAATCACAGAAGAAATGACACTTTGTTTTTCTATGAGTTAATCTACTTTTCCTTTTGAGACATTCCATCAGGGCGTGGGAACTTAATCTCACTCAGTTCTGGGTAATCTCTGCCACCCTGGGTTGCCTGAGTTCAGTCCTCCCTCATTTTTTCTCTTGACACTGTCTCTAGAGTGGCATGGGGTGTATGTGGCACGGAGGAAGCTGGCTCCGGGCTAATTTCTGTCCAAGCGGGCACCTGCCCAGATATACCTGAACCTGTTTGGTTCTAGGCCATTGATTCAAGCAAGTTGCATCTGTGTTATTCCTGACTGCAGAGCTTCTTGAGGTCTAGTTCTATTTTAGCTAAAACTGTCCCCTTCATAGGGACACAGAGATAATCTCCTGTACCTCTCTGGAGCTGCAAGGAACAATGTAAGGTCATCTCAGTTCTTCTCTGTTCCCTACTGCACTTAAAAACAATTTTTAACTTTTATTAGAGATGGAGTCTCACTCTGTCACCAGGGCTGGAGTGCAGTGGCACCATTATAGCTCACTGCAGCCTTGAACTCCTGGGCTCAAGCAATCTTCCCACCTCAGCCTCCTGTTTAGCTAGGACTACAGGTGCATGCCACCACAGCCAGCTAATGTTTAAATTTTTTGGTAGAGACAGGGTCTCTCTATGCTTCCCAGGCTGGTCTCAAACTCCTGGCCTCAACTGATCCTCCCACCTAGGCCTCCCAAAGTGCTTTGCTTACAGGTGTGAGCCACTGTGTCTGGCCTATCTACTGGACTTTACTCCTATGCCAGGCCAGCTGCAAAGAACCCACCTCCTGGGTTCAAGTCATGCTCCTGTCTCAGCCTCCTGAGTGGCTGTGACTACAGGTGCATGCCACCACATCTGGCTAATTTCTATATATATATTTTTTGAGATGGGGTCTTGCTCTGTCGCCTAGGCTGGAGTGCAGTGGTGCAATGTTAGCTCACTGCAACCTCTGCCTCCCAGGTTCAAGCCATTCTCCTGTCTCAGCCTTCCAAGTAGCAGGGACTACAGGCACATGCCACCACACCCAGCCATTTTTTGTATTTTTAGTAGAGACAGGGGTTCACCATGTTGGCCAGGCTGGTCTCGAACTCTTGACCTCAGGTGATCCGCCCTCCTGGGCCTCCCAAAGTACTGGGATTACAGGCATGAGCCACCGTGCCTGGCCTCTGTTTTCAATTCTCTGAGTATACTGCCTTAAACTAGGAGTGGAGTTGTTGAGTCATATTATAATTTGGTTTTACTTATTGACGAACTGCCAAACTTTGTCTCAGGCCCTTAAAACACAAAGCTGGCCCATGTCCTTCCTTGGTCAAGATTCATTGTTCTTTTACCGTACTGTTGAATTTGATCTGCCAGGGTTTTATTTAGGATTTTCACACCTATCCGTGAGTGAGACTGTCTTTGTCAGGCTTTGGTAAAAGGATTATGATTAGTCAGCTTCATAAGTTTCCATCTTCTACATATATTGTATATTATAATATTATAGATTATGGAAATGATCTATTTCTCCAGTTATAGAATACATAACACAAACATGAGTATTTTGAATTATAAACTTTCAATATCACTTTTAATGATTTTGTTTGCTTCTCCTTAAAATAATCTAAGTAATTTATATTTTCTTTTTTTTTGAGACAGAGTCTCACTCTGTCACCCAGGCTGGAGTGCAATGACGTGATCTCAGCTCACTGCAATCTCTGCCTCCCAGGTTCAAGCGATTCTCCTGCCTTAGCCTCCCGGGAAGCTGGGATTACAGGTGCCCACCAACACACCCAGCTAATTTTTTGTATCTTTAGTAGAGACAGGGTTTCACCATGCTGGCCAGGCTGGTCTCGAACTCCTGACCTCCTTGTTATCTGCCCGCCTCGGCCTCCCAAAGTGCTGGGATTATAGGCATGAGCCACCATACCCAGCCCTCTTTTTTTTTTTAATTAACTAATTAATTAATTTATTTATTTATTTTTGCAACAGAGTCTTGCTCTGTTGCCCAGGCTGGAGTGCAGTGGCATGGTCCCGGCTCACTGCAACCTCCACCTCCCAGGTTCAAGCGATTCTTGTGCCTCAGCCTCCTAAGTAGCTGAGATTACAGGCACGTCCCACCATGCCCAGCTAATTTTTCTGTATTTTTGGTAGAGACAGGGTTTCACCATATTGGCCAGGCTGGTCTTGAACTCCTGACCTCTTGATCCACCTGCCTCAACCTCCCAAAAGTGCTAGGATTACAGGCATGAGCCACCATGCCCTGACCCTCTTTATAAACTTTTTAATAGCTCCTAAGTTTTTATTATTCCTTTTATTGTTGTCTAGTTTTTCAATTAATTTTTTTTATTTTGTCTCTGTACTTGACTTGTAACAGTCTTTTAGTCCACCTTAACTTCTAGATAAGGTATTTTGTCCGTTTATTTTACTTTTCTTGCCTAGGATTTGCTTTTCGGAACTGCTTTATTAGGTTATAATTTTCCTACTTAAAATTCATCCATGCTGAGTGTACAATTAAATGATTTTTAGTAAACATACTGAGTTGTGCAAACATCACCACAATCCAGTTTTAGCACATTTCTGGCACTCTGAAAGATCCCTTATGCCCATGTACAGTTGATCTTCATTCCTATCTTCAGCCTCAGACAAGCACTGGTTTGATTTCGGTATCTATAAATTTGCTTTTTCTGGCTGGGTGTGATGACTGACGCCTGTAATCCCAGCACTTTGGGAGACCGAGGTGGATGGATCACTTGAGGCCAGGAGTTTGAGACCAGCCTGACCAACAAGGTGAAACCCTGTTTCTATAAAAAATACAAAAATTAGTTGGGTGTGGTGGCACACGCCTGTAATCCCAGCTACTCCGGAGGCTGAAGCAACAAGAATCACTTGAACCCGGGAGCCGGAGATTGTGCTGAGCCAATATTGCACCATTGCAGCCTGGCTGACAGAGTGAGACGCTGGCTCAAAAGAAAAAAAAGGAAAAATACTTGGTTTTTCTGGATATTTCATTATAAATGGAATCCTGTTATATCATGTGGTCTTTTGCATCTGGCTTTTTCTCCTGGCCGTAATGTTTTTGGGGCTCGCCTGTGTTGTAGCATGTATTGTATGCAGCAGGTAATACATTCTGACTTTTTAGATTGTGCTTATCCACATCTTTCTAAGGGCTCTTTCCCTGGACTCATGTAGCTTCCTCCTAAGACTGTGGAAAGCCATACTTTGCAAAGGCTCGAGGGAACACTGCAGATCTCTGGAACTCTCTCTTGGTACAACTTCCTTATCTCTGGTACATTGCTCCATAAATTGTGGATATTTTCTAAAATCTTTCTCTGTTCTGATATAAAAACATTTCACAGCAGTGTTTTCTCTCTAAGATCTCAGGACAATGCTCCCTTTCCCTTAAGTTGCAGAGTCTTTCCTAGGATATATGAAGTCTGTTTTCACTCCTCCATGAAGCAGTGAGCTCTTTCAAGGCCTGGGATTGTCACTGGGCAGATATGTGGGCTGTTCTTCTCTCCCTCCGCTGCAGAGGAAGTGTCAGATTTCCCCCCTCAGGCTGAGAGACAACTGGGTGGAGGTTGATCTGCACTCTCCCCAGAGCAATTTCTGGTGCCTAGTGGATTCTCTTTTATCATTTTTTTTCTTTTTCTTTTTTCTTATATCTCCTCAAGAAAACATAGCACCATCAAATGCCATGGCATCCTATAGAGAACTTCCATCTTTGGTCGCAGTGTTAAGAGCTCTTGGTTTCACAGCCTCACAAGACCTCTTTGAAATGACCTATCTTTTCTCGTTAAAAAAATTGAAAAAAAAAATTTTTTTAGAAATGGGGGTCTTGCTATGTTGCCCAGTCTGGTCTTGTACTCCTGGCCTCAAACAGTCCTCCCACCCTGGCCTCCCAAAGTGCTGGGATTACAGGCATGAGCCACCACACCTGGCCCTTAGTGGGCTTTCTGAAAGAAGCAAAACTTTTTTCCTGTTTTCATTCTAGGATTTTCTGACTGCAATACCAGTTCAAGAACATGCCTAAACAAATGAAAGCTTCTGCAGAGGGCAGTGCAGTCACAGAAGGCTGACTGCCTCCTGCTTGTGTAACCAGCTCTCCCAGTGAGCCCGCAGTTCCTGTTCTCTCTGTCACACGGGGTACGTAGGGGAGCTTTTCTTCCAGCATGTACTGTTCTAGGGGTACTGCCTGACAGGATACTCATCTCCCAAGATGCCCCTGGGCTAGGCAGTGGATACATCAAGTCCTAGTAATTGTCACTGAATGGTTACAGAAAGAGGCAGGTGGGGGTTGGGGGTAGTAAGGTAAAACTTTGGTTTAGATCAGTTTAGATCAAGCCAGCCTGTCTATACTAGTAGGACTTCTGCCTAGTTGCTTGGTTAGAATGAGGATAAGTAAGCTCCTTGTGGCTGTCCATGGTTCAAGAGCCGAGTGAGTATCATCAGGAATGTGGGTTTTTTTCTTTTTCTTTTTTTTTTTTGAGACACGAGTCTCACTCTGTTGCCCAGGCTGGAGTGCAGTGGTGCCATCGTGGCTCACTGCAGCCTCAAACTCCTGGGCTCAAGCAATCCTCCTGCCTCAGACTCCCAAAGTGGTGGGACTACAGGCATGAGCTACCATCCCTGGCCTATGAATGTGTCTACTGTTAGTGTCCCAACACATTGCATTTAGTGGAAACGTCTCTCAGATTTTGGCAAGTGGTCTTCCTTATCTATCACTCCTTTCAGGGACCAGCATCTTACTAAGTTGGGAAGGCACTGGTGGTTTACCCCATGGTAACCTTGAGGCAATCTAAGGATTTTTTATTTGGTTCTGGAGGAATTGGAAAACCTGTGAGCTTTCCAGGCAGAAGTGGTGAGTTAGGTGGATTATAGGTCAGAATTGTGCCACCTGGGCAGTGGCAATTGGAATGCAGAGGAATCAATAGTTCCTTGTTTTTTCTCTTAAATTTTTTTTGGCTGGGTGCAATGGCTCATGTCTGTAATCCCAGCACTTTTGGAAACCAACGCAGGAGGATGGCTTAAGGCCAGAGGTTTGAGACCAGCCCAGGCAACATAGCGAGATCCATCTCTACTAAAAATTAAAAAGATTAGCCGGGCGTGGTGTCACATGCCTGCCATCCCAGCTACTCAGGAGGCGAAGGCAAGAGGATTGCTTGAGCCCAGGAGATGGAGGCTGCAGCGATCTAGGAATGTGCCACTGCACCCCAGCCTAGGTGACAAAGCAAGAACCTGTCTAAAAAAATTTTTTTAAATTGTGATAAAATATACATAATGAAGTATGCAGAGTAGTTGGATTCATGAAGACAGAAAGTATGACAGTGGTCACCAAAGACTGGGGGGAGGGTGGAATGGGGAGTTACTGTTTGATGGATACAGAGTTTCAATTTGGGAAGATGAAAACAGTTCTGGAGATAGATGGTAGTGATGGTTGCACCATGTGAATGTGACTTAATGCCACCCAATTGTACACTTAAAAATGGTTACAATGATACATTTTATATCATAATATTTTAACTTCTATTATCTGTCTCTATAAATTTGCGTCTAATTTTTTGCTTTTTAAATCTGTGAAGATAGCATAGGTTCTTTTCCTACCAGAAAGTTGGAGGATAGAGGGAAGAGATATTCCTTTAAGATCTCTTCCAAACCTATTATTTTTCTCTATTTTTATTTAAAGAATTAGTGTCTGATCCTATTTTATGAATTAACATGTCTGATTTTTTTTTTTTTTTTTTTTTTGAGACAGAGTTTCACTCTTGTTGACCAGGCTGGAGTGCAGTGGCATGGTATCAGCTCCCTGCATCCTCTGCCTCCCAAGTTCAAGCCATTCTCCTGCCTCAGCTTCCTGAGTAGCTAGGATTACAGGCGTGCACCACCATGTCCAGCTAATTTTTGTATTTTTAGTAGAGACATGATTTTGTCATGTTGGCCAAGCTGGTCTCGAACTCTTGAGCTCCAGTGATCTGCCTGCCTTTGCCTCCAAAAGTGCTGGGATTACAGGCATGAGCCACTGTGCCCAGCCTGATTCTTCAGAGTTGTAAGTTTTTGTTTTATTATATTTTTTCTATAAAGTACATTTTCTTTCTTTCTTTTCTTTTTAAAATAATTTTCTTCAGGCAGGCTCCCAAACCAGAGTAGGCTCAGACTCCTCTATGAAGTACATTTATGGTATATCCTACGGCCCCACTCTCCTATCTCCTCATTCTCTCTGGTGTGGCTAGCTGTATGTGTGATGTGAATGTCTGAGTGTAGACACTGCTGCTTCCATGAAACAACTTCAGTTAACAGTTATGGGAAAACCCCATGTTCATGTATTAAAGTCCTGTTACTAGAATTATCACTCTGTGAATTTATATACATGATAACTTCTTTTTCTCAGCTCTGGAATAATAGCTGTATACTTGATATTTATTTTGATATATTTTGCACATTTATGTAGTTGTAAATTGATTTACCATGTATTGATTAAGCCTGATTTTCATAGACACTGTCTGATATAGTGTGGATAAGTCTAAATTCAGCAATACTGACTTTGCAAAGTGACCATGAAATTGTTACATATTGGCTGATACAATATCTTGACTGACATTGACTCACTGATTATAGCATATTAGGTGATGAATTGGAGACAAATTAGTATCTCCCTTGCAGGTACAGGGCAGTAAAATTATTTATTTTCTTGGAAAGCACTGTGATGAGCATCACTTTCTTCAGCTGGAAATCTTAGTGTTGATTCTTCTTCTGTTCTGGAGCCTGTGATTGATTGGACTCTAATTATTGACAACTTTTCTAGGAAGTCTCAGAGCTTTTAGAGGGGAGAGTATTTACATTTGGTAGAAAATCTTTTTTTTTTTTTTTTCCGCTACAGGGTCTCGCTCTGTCACCGAGGCTGGAGTGCAGTGGTGCCATCTCTGCTCACTGCAGCCTCAGCCTCCCAGACTCAAGTGATCCTCCCATCTCAGACTCCCTCTCAGCTGGGACTACAGGCTGGGGCCACCATACCTGGCTAATCTTTTTATTTTTTGTAGAGATGGAGTCTTGCTAATATGGTTTGGCTCTGTGTCCCCACCCAAATCTCACCTCTAATTGTAATCCCCGTAATCCCTACACGTCAAAGGTGGGATCAGGTGGAGGTAATTGGCTCATGGGGGCAGTTTCCCCTATGCCGTTCTCCTGATAGTGAGTGAGGCTCATGAGATCTGATGGTTTTATAAGCATCTGGCATTTCCCCTGCTTGCACTCACTCCATCCTTCTGCCCTGTGAAGAATTGCCTACTTCTTTGCCAGCCGCCATGATTGTAAGTTTCCTAAGGTGTCCCTAGCAATGTAGAACTGTGAGTCAATTAAACCTCTTCCTTTATAAATTACCCAGTCTTGGATATTTCTTCATAACAGTGTGAGAATGGACTAATATCCTTGCTATGTTGCCCAGGCTGATCTCAAACTCCTGGGCTCAAGCAATCCTCCTGCCTCAGCCTCCCAAAATGCTGGGATCACAGGCATGAGCCACTGCACCTGGCCTGATAGAAATTCTTAATTTCTCACCTTTCCTCTTTCTTTACACTAAAGAATAAGAAAAGCCAATAACAATGGCTGCTATTGGCTTACTGTCTTAAAGGCAGATAAGTCTTCTCACTTTGGGGCCAAATGTCTCATAAAACCTATCATAGAGTGTATGAATACCGTTAATGAAACTCTGTCTCTTTTTTACACAGTCTAGGGAAGTTGATATCACTTGTGGCTGACAATAAATTTGTATCTGGATATTCTTATAAATTTTCTAATACAGCATTTATTGGCTGCAATACAGAGTTATATCACCCTTTTACTAGAAAGGAGATATTTCTCTGCATTCCATGTACTCCTTCAACAAGTATTTTTTGAGTGCCTTCTAGGTGCCAGCTACTTTATAATTAAATTCCTAATCTTAGGACTGGCATCCGTGGTTTGTCAGATTTTAAATTCCACAGGATCATGTAAGTTCAAGTTAATTAATTCTAGGTACTAAAAAATAAGACTTCCTGTTAAGACAACAATTAATTTTACAAGATTAATATAGATATTTGAAAGGCTTCTTGGAATTGAAACAGCTCTTAAGACCTTCAAATTTTGACAAGTTGAACCAAAATGATTCAACAACAGCAAAAAACCACTGAGCTTTAATATACATTTCAAATTGTTTTATGATATCAGAAATAATAGGAGAACTGTTCAGTAACACACAACTTGTAAAATCTAAAAACATTTTAAAGGAAATTCATCACATTATAATTTGACAAGCCCCTAAATATGACTACTGAAAACAGGCATTAATAACTGGAATGACTGTTTTACATTTTATTGCTGATAGCGAATGGGTCTTGAGTAAAGATGTGAATTTTCTTTCAATGGTCCTCCAACAACAACAAATCTTATTTTATAAAATTCCATATTAATGGAGAGTTCATTTGAGAGTAAGCCAACTGTAATTTTTCCTAAGGTTTTCAAACAAGAATCCAAAACATACATCCATTGAATTGAAGTCTAACACAATTCGTTATCCTAGAAACATTAAAGAGCTGGAGATTAACAGTGTTATCACCTCAACTTAAGTCAACTGTTCAATAGAATTAAAAATTGGAGATGTAGTAATTCTCATATTCTTGTTTCTTTTCATATTCACAAAAAAATATCCAGTGTCCTATTTAAGTGGCATTTCAACTTAAGCTAAAACTTAATTCTTCTTCTTTTCCTGCTTTGCTTTCTTTTGGTGGAGGAGGGGTCATGCAAGAAGGAACTTAGTCCTAAAAACAAAATATATAGATTGCCATAGATTTTATTTCATTTTATTGTTTTTTGTCATTTTTCTTTTTACTTATTTAATTTTTAATTAATTAGTTAATTAATTATTTTTAGACAGAGTCTCACTCTGTCGCCCAGGCTGGAGTGGCATGATCTCGGCTCACTGCAACCTCTGCCTCCCGGGTTCAAGAGATTCTCCCACCTTAGCCTCCTGAGTAGCTGGGATTACAGGTGCCCCCCATCATGCCTAATTTTTGTATTTTTAGTAGAGATGGGGTTTTGCCATGTTGGCCAGGCTGGTCTTGAACTCCTGACCTCAAGTGATCCACCTGCCTTGGTCTCCCAAAGTGTTGGGATTACAGGCATGAGCTTTCATGCCTGGCCTATTTATTTTTAAAATAGAGATGGGGTCTTATTATATTGCCCAGGTTGGTCTCAAACTCCTGGGCTTCAGCAATCCTCCTGCCTCAGCCTCCCAAAGTACTGGAATTATAGGCATGAACTACCATGCCTGGTCAGCCTTAAGATTTCAAAGGAGCAATTCTTAAAATGACTCATCTTTCCTAAATATCTGGGTTTAATTCCGAAATATTCTAAGATTTCAAACTCATTTTTCTATTGCATTTATATTTCCTATTTCTCATTGCTTTTAAGAGGAAATGCATTTCCTATGTTAGCTTTATCCTTGAGTCTATTTCTGAATATTTGTTGAAAAAAGTACTAACATCAGAATTTTATGGATTCTTTTAGTATATTAAAAGCCTTTTGGCTGGGCACGGTGGCTTACGCCTGTAATCCCAGCACTTTGGGAGGCCGAGGTGGGTGGATCACATGAGGTCAGGAGTTCGAGACCAGCCTGGCCAACTTAGTGAACTCCCATCTCTACTAAAAATACAAAAATTAGCCGGGCGTATGCCTGTAGTCCCAGCTACTTGGGAGGCTGAGGCAGGAGAATCACTTGAAACTGGGGGGCAGAGGTTGCAGTGAGCCAAGATCACGCCACTGCACTCCAGCTGGGGTGACAGAGTGAGACTCTGTCTCGAAAAAAAAAAAAAAAATTATTTAAGAAGCCTTTCAGGTTAAATAACTGAAGAGAATCTAAAAATATTGTTGCAAGAAGTAGGCTGCTGATTCAAATCACATCTTTAAAAAAAAATCCAACATATGAAAATAAAAAAGTTTTAAATACCAGTGACCTTGATTTCATCTATGGGCTTAAGATACATTTTAGATTCAAATATGATAAACACAGTTACTCTCCCTGAAATTGTAAAATAGTGAAGTCTTTTTCATTCTTGTTTGTCACTTAAGTTCTCCTCAATTGTTTTCTTTTTTCTTTTTCTTTTCTTTTTTTTTTGAGATGGAGTCTCTCTTGGTCGCCCAGGCTAGAGTGCAGTGTCACGACTCAGCTCACTCCAACCTCTGCCTCCCAGGTTCAAGCAATTCTGCCTCAGCCTCTCCAGTAACTGGGATTACAGGCACCTGCCACAACGCCAGGCTAATCTTTTTGTATTTTTAGTAGAGACGAGGTTTTACCATGTTAGGCAGGCTGGTCTCGAACTCCTGACCTCAGGTGATCCACCCGCCTCGGCCTCCCAAAGTGCTGGGATTACAGGTGTGAGCCACCGCGCCCGGCCTCCTCAATTATTTTCAATCTTTCTATTTCCCTTGTCAAAATATTTCATGTAATCTTATCATTCCCTTGAGATAAGGAATTGCTGTTGGAGAAAATGTGTTTCCAAACAGAGAATATTTTATGTAACTTAAGGGTTTTGCTTAGTAATTTTTTATTTATTTATTTATTTTTACAGTCCAGAGGTCTTTTATTTTTTTTAACACCTATTATGCCATGAATTCATAGGGAATAGGTTCCAGCAGCTCAGGCTACTTCCCATTGGTTCTCACAAAGTGTGCTTCTCTGGGTGGAGCAGGCGGGCGCTTCAGTTGAACCCAGGTACGTTTGTCTTTGGCTTCTTTCTTTTTCTGATCATTTTCCTTCACGCATTTTAGGAAGCGATCTCAGCCCTTAGAGTGCTTAATACGCTTAATACGCACATTAATTCTCTTGGCAAGAATCTTGCCCTTAACTTGTTTCTTTACCACAATGCCAGCAGCATGCTGGGTCACATTGTAGACTCTTCCAGTTTAGCCATGGTGCCTCTTGTGGGGCATTCCTTTTTGAACGGCGCCCATTCCCTTGATTTCCACAGTATCACCTTTCTTATAGATTCGCATACACGTGGCCAAAGGAACAACTCCATGTTTTCTAAAAGGCCTGGAGAACATGTATCACGTGTCTCTCCTCTTTCCCTTGGCGTTCGTCATTTTGGCAAATTACTGGAAGATGGCGGTTCTGGCCGAAAGGAAGCAGTAAAATTTTTATCACTTGCTTTCTTAAGAAAATTTAGATATCATAAATTTAGCCTCTAACCTTCTTTGACATATTCTCTATTCTCATTTTATGACTCAGTCTCTTCTGTTTTATTTAATGGCTTAATAGAGTCATGTTTGAAACTGGGTGGAAAGCAATTTCAGGAAATGGTTTACAAGCTACTTTTAATGGGTACTGTTAGAGTGTTTATTGCTTTCAGATATAAAATTATTATTAAAAATTATTTGTTGGTTGCTGGTGGTTGTGCTTGGAGCTATGAGAGACATAAAGAAGCTGCAATCACTGTCCTGTGCCCCATTATGTGGCAAATAAAAACTATGTGTCTTTACGTGGTTTCTCTGGCTCTACCTGAGATATTTTCCCCTCTAGGGAATGGACATTGGTTACAGTGAGATGATGCATTTTCATCTTATTTTTATTGGCTCTCTTTTCATGAGTATTAGATTCCTTGGTAGTCAAGCTGAACTCCCTAAGAGGAAACACTAGGTCAGTGAAGTATATCAATGGCCTTTATAAGAACATGATGTTGATTCATGATTGCGAGACTTGCATTAGGGTTTGCCTTGCTCATATTGTTACCGGCAGAACATATCCGTATCTGTACAGGTCTGCAGCAACCTCAATTCTTGCCTCCTCAGAAGAAAGGATTTCACTGAGGGGGATAATGCAGAAGGAGAGACTGGGGCAAGTTTCTGAGCAGGAGTGAAAGTTTATTAAAAAGCCTTAGAACACCAACATGGCACATGTATACATATGTAACAAACCTGCACGTTGTGCACATGTACCCTAAAACTTAGAGTATAATAATAATAAAATAAAATTAAAAAGCCTTAGAACAGGAATGAAAGGAAGGAAAGTACACTTGGAAGAGGGCCTGGCAGGCAACCTGAAAGGCAAGTGTGTGGTTTGACCTTTTGACCTGGGGTTTTATATGTTGGCATACTTCTGGGGTCTTGAATTTCTTCTTTCATCCCACTTACCTAACTCCTGAGAGCTTATCAGGAAACTGCTGATCACCAGTTTCAGGTGTTACCTATTATGAGGCTGCCTTTCACTGGTGCCGGCTGTGACCAATTATTACCGTAGCAGGGCAGTTAACAACAGCCTGACCATCACCTGATGGCCACCCAACATTCCTGGTGTGTGTGTGTGTGTGTGTGTGTGTGTGTGTGTGTGTGTGTGTGTGTGTGTGTGTGTGTGTCCTGACTAGCTACCTACTGTAACAATATCTGTAAGTAGATGTTTGAAATAATCTTAGAGATTAGAGTCATGAGTTTTGGAGGGGACAAATATTCAAACCTTCCATGTTCTCTCTTTTCTTCTACCTTCCATCAATTATTTCTCACAAAAGGGGCAGATTTCTTAGCCATAGAAAAGGAAAGATGACAAAAATGAAGAGGATACCAAACAAGTTAAAATATAAAACAGGAGAGCAAGAGAGTCTATGGATACCAGAAGTTTCCAAACTCCTTAAAGAGCATAAAATGTAAAACCCACCTCTTTGTAACATTTCTTCCTATTTAAGAAAAGAGGAGAAATCAGTTTCATATTGCAATTTGATGTGTATATTGTGTGTGTATATGTGTATGTATGTATCCAAAACACAGATTTTACAAATCAATACTTGTGATGCATACTATTATCTATTCTGTGATTGATGGCTGGGATTTAAAGGTTGAAGTAAAGAGCCAAGATGACTTCTGGTCTTTGGTTTAAGCAATTGGGTTGGGTGGTAGTACTGTTTACTGAGATAGAGAAAATGCAAGAGGAAATGTTTTGAAAGTTTAGAGAGAAGAAAGTGAATGAAATAATGATTTCTGATTTGGCCTTTTATGTTTGAGTTCCTTAGTATAGTGGTTCTCAGACATTTTGACTGATCCTCAGTACATTTGACATGAAGACCAAGTTGACAGGCACACATTTATGTCTGTAACACATACATTTATATCTATGAGTATGCACATGTGTATGTCCTCCTCCTTTAGCAGGAGCAACAAGAGCTCTGGCCTGAGATGGGGGTTGAAAGATGCCATCTTAAGAGAGGACTCAATGAAGTGTTAGGGCCATCATGAACAAGAAAGAAGTTCTCAATGTTTTCCTCATTTCCAGGTGGCACTCACTTCCAGAACCCAATGGCTAGTTATTTTGAAAAGACCAAGGCAGTGAATGTATTGGAGACAGTTGTTCCAGTCTCTCCATTCCTCTATCAGGAAAGATCAAGAAGGAAGAAGCTCAAGGTCTTCTCTTGCTTTGAGAAAAGCTAAATTGTGGAGTCTGAAGGGTGACCTCCATTTCTTGCTTAAAGTCTGAACACCCCTGCCCCTAACACATGCAAACCTGGGCACAGTGATGTGCACCTGTAGTCCCAGTTACTCTGGGGACTTGGGCAAGGGAATCACTTGAGCCCAGGAATTTGAGTCTGTAGTGGCTATTCATAGCCATAAATAGCCTGGCAACATAGTGAGACCCTGTC
Organism: Homo sapiens; assembly: GCF_000001405.40. NCBI lineage: Eukaryota > Metazoa > Chordata > Mammalia > Primates > Hominidae > Homo > Homo sapiens. Next base: position 32,027,655 of record NC_000003.12, on the reverse strand, counting down.
TGTTAAAATAAAAAATAAAAATAAAATCTGAACACATTCAATTTTATTGATTAATTAAAAATGATTTTGAGTTAAACTTACTGAAAAATAATTGGAAAAGTTTAGCAAACACTTATTTCCAACATCAAGAATTATTAATTGTTAACATTTGTCTTATTTGCTCCTAGTCTTTTCTTTGATGAATATAAAACATTATGGATAAAGCTAATGTCCCCTTGAATCATCACCTCAATCCCATTCCTCTCCCCTTCTCTGTGCCATCACTTCAGTTAGCATTTATGAATTTGATCTGCATCTTCTGACCCATATTTCATTGTTTTCCTACATAATTATAGCCAAGATATAGTATTCGCATTTTTAAGATTAATAAACCAAACATCGCATGTTCTCACTCATAAGTGGGAGTTGAACAGTGAGAACACATGGACACAGGGAGGGGAACATCACACACTGGGGCCTGTCAGGGGGTCGGGGGCAAAGGGAGGGAGAGCATTAGGGCAAATACCTAATGTAGATGATGGGTTGATGGGTGCAGCAAACCACCATGGTATGTGTATACCTATGTAACAAACCTGCATGTTCTGCACGTGTATCCCAGAACTTAAAGTATAATAATAAAAAAAAGAAAAAAAAAGTAATAAATGACTCCTCCACTGGCCACGGCTGTTATTTAGCAAGCTAGGGTCCTAGCATTCAAAGTTATGTCCTCTCTGAGTGAGAACAGACTTTCTGAGGGTGAGGAGATGGTGACTGTGCAAATCTGTATGGATGCCAGTGCAGGCATCTTTGGCCCAGGATGGAGGGCTGTTTCTGAGGAAGTGAAGTGGGCTCTATGGGGAACTGCAGTTCATGCCCGTTTCCTCAGCTTAGAGCTGTCTCAACTAAAAGTAGTAAAAGCTGTTCACCACCTGCAAAATGCAGCTGTGTGGGCTATTTTGAAACAAAGAGAGCGTTAGTATGGCGGTCATTTCCCCAGATCTCTCTTGGTTCACTAGGCAAAAGGTAATGCAGATATTAACGGTAGGGTTTTCTGCGTCTTTCTCTCCCGGCCATTGCTGTGTGTGGTAGGAGGCATCCTGTTGCAATATACATTTAGGGTTTTTTTAGAACCATATAGTTCCTTTAAGGGTTCCTTTAATCATATCAATCTGGATTGTAAGTTGAAGCTAACAGTCCTCCAGCTATAGTAAGAAGAAAGACATTCCTCAAAGAATATTATGGCTTAGCCGGGCATGGTCACATGAACCTATAATTCCACTGCTTTGGGAGGCAGAAGGATTGCTTGACACCAGGAGTTTGAAACTAGCCTGGGCAACACAGTGAGACCCTATCTCTATATAAAATTCAAAAAGTTAGCTGGGCATGGTGGCTCATGTCTGTAGTCCTAGCTACTTGGGAGGTTGAGGCAGGAGGACCACTGAGCCTAGCAGTTTAAGGTTACAGTGAACTATGATTGTGACATTGCACCCCAGCTTGGGGCACAGAGTGGGATCCTGTCTCAAAAAAAAATCTATATATCTCTATCTCTATCTCTGTCTCTATCTCTATCTCTATCTATCTATCATCTATCTATCTATCTATCTATCTATCTATCTATCATCTATCTATCTATCTATCTATCTATCTATCTATCTATCTATCTATGTCTGTATATATAAAGGCTCCATATATCATGTTTAGCCAGAGACTTTGGCATGTATAGCAAAGACCAGAGCAGGTCTGAGCCATCCACACAACCCTGGCTGATGGAGTCTGTGTGTGTGTGCAGCGGATACTCAAGAAAGCCTGATGGCTCTGCTAGACCAAGAAAAGAAGAGACACAAAATCAGGAATGAAAGAGAGGACATTACTACTGACCTTATAGAAGTAAAATGAATTGTAAGGGAATATTATGAATAACTGTTAGACAGCAGATGAATTAGACAAATTCCTAGGAAGATGTAAATTACTGGCTTGGAAAAAATAGAAAAGCTTGATAGACCTACAAGTAAAGAAATTGAACTGGCTTCCCACAAAGAAATGCTCATGCCCAAATAACTTCCCTAGTGAATGCTATCAAATATTTAAATAACAAATACTAGTAGCTTACAAGTTCTTTCAGAAAATAGAGGAGGAAGGAACACTTCCCAGCTCATTCAATGAGGGCAGCATTAACCTGATACAAAAGCCAAAGATGACATGAGAAGAGAAAACTACAGACCAATATTCCTCATGAACATAGGCCCCAAAATTCTTAATAAAATCCTATCAAACCAAGGTCAGCAACATAAAAAAAGGATCATATACCATGACCAATAATATCCCAAGAAATGCAATATTCCTGTATCCCAGAAATGCAAGGTTGAATTAACATTCAAAAATCAATTAATGTGATATACCATATTAATAAAAGTCAAAACTGATATGATCATCTTCACAGATGCAGAAAAAACATTGGAAGAAATTCAGCACCAATTCATGATAAAAACCCTCATCAAACAAGATAGAGGGGTCCTTCCTCATTCTGATAAAGGCATCTACAAATAACCTAGGGCTAATATCATATTTAATGGTGTAGGACTGAATGTTTTCCTCCTAAGATCATGAACAAGGTGAGACTGTCTACTCCCACCACTTCTGTTCAGCTATATACTGGAGGTTCTAGCCAGTATAATGAGGCCAAAAATAAAAAAGACATCCATGTTGCAAAAGAGAAGTAGGACTTTTTAAATTCACAGATGATATAATCCTTTATGTAGAAAATTGGAAGAAATTCACAAAAACACAAATCTAGAACTAATAAATTAGCAATGTTGCAAGAGACAAAAGCAATATACAAAGCTAATTATATTTCCATGTTCTAGCAACAAACTATTCAAAGATGAAATTAAGAAAATAATTCCGGCCGGGCACGGTAGCTCATGCCTGTAATCCCAGCACTTTGGGAGGCCGAGGCAGGTGGTCAGGAGTTCTAGACCAGCCTGGCCAACATGGTAAAACCCTGTCTCTACTAAAAATACAAAAATTCGCCTAGCATGGTGGCAGGCGCGTGTAATCCCAGCTACTGGGGGGGCTGAGGCAGGACTTGAACCTGGGAGGTGGAGGTTGCAGTGAGCCGAGATCATGCCATCGCACTCCAGCCTGAGGGACAAGAGTGAGACTTTGTCTCAAAAAAAAAAAAAAAAAAAAATTCCATTCACAATACGTAAATAAAATCAAAAGGAACAAAATACTTAGGAAAAAATGATCAAAAGTAGTGCTAGATATATACACTGAAAACAACAAAATATTGAAAATATTGCTGAGAGAAATTAAAGAAGATATAAATAAACATCATGTGATGGGTTGGAAGACTCAACTTTGTTAAAGGGTGATTTTCCCTAAATTGATTTACATTCAACAGAATTCTTCTCAAAATCCCAAGCAGGCTATTTTTTTGTAGCAATTGATAAGCTGATCATAAAATTTATATGGAAATACCAAGGACCTTGCAGAGCCCAAACTGTTTTGAGAAGGAAGAATGACACTGGAGAACTTATACAACTCAATGTCAAAATTTACCATTAAAACGACAGTAATCAAGACAGTGTGATATTAGGGTATTGGATAAGCATAGGCATGTACAGTAGGCCTCTCTTTTCTGTGGTTTCAATTTCTGCAGTTACCCATGGTCTACTGTAGCCCAAAAATATTAAGTGGAAAATCCCAGAAATAAACAGTTTATCGGTTTAAGATTCTTATTATAGTATGCTCTTGTAATTGGCCCACTTATTATTATTGTTGTTAGTCTCTTACTGTGCCTAATTTATAAATTAAACTTTACCATAAAGTTTACATATATAGGAAATGCCAGTATAGAAAAAAACATAGAATGTATAGGGTTCTGTACTATCTGCAGTTTCAGGTATCCACTGAGGGGTCTTGGAATATATCCCTTGCCGATGAGAAGAAACTATTGTAAGGCAATGAAGCAGGACTGAGAATGCAGCAATAAACTATATTAAATTAATTTTCACCAGCGGTTCTAAGACAATTTTGTAGGGGAAGTATAGTCTTTTCAACAAATTGAGATGGAGCAGGGGGTTCTTTTAGGGGCTTGTGGGTGGCCCAAGCATGGAAATAAAGAAAAGTCTTGAGTTCCTTCAAGGGACATTCTGGGCACCTATCTAGCTGTATTAGTCAGTCTTCACACCGCTAATAAAGGCATACCTGAGACAGGGTAATTTATAAAGGAAAGAGGTTTAATGGACTCACAGTTTCACATGGCTGGGGAGGCCTCACAATTGTGGCGGAAGATAAAGGAAGAGCACACGGACATCTTACATGGCAGCAGGCAAGAGGGCATGTTCTGGGAAACTCCCCCTTATAAGACCATGAGATCCTGTGAGACTTATTCACTATCACAAATACAGCAAGGGAGAGACTCGCCCCCATGATTCAATTACCTCCCATTGGGTCCCTCCCAGGACACGTGGGAATTATGGGAGCTACAATTCAAGATGAGTTTTGGATGGATCACAGCCAAACCATATCACTAGCCTTGAAAAGTAAATGAACAACTTGATAAGCAAGAAGTTAATAGTAGCTTAAAACAGGAGCCACAGAAGCTAAAGTCAGGAGATGTTTGATTCCCTATAGAAACTAAAGATATCTTAACATATGTACCTGAGTTGTTTTTCAGAAACCCAGACCTCCACCAAACAGATCCACTGGCACACAGATGTCAAATATGAGGGACTTGAGGACTGAACTCTGACCACCGCTATTTGTTTTAGATGTCTTCCTAGGCAGTCTGGCAGAAGTCACACTCCCAGGCCAGAATTAACGTTCTTTTCTGCTGATCCCAAATTTTTAGACAAAGCTTTGTGTCCTTTAATCGCAAATCAGAATTTTTTTTTTTTGCAGCATCTTGCTCTGTCACCCAGGCTGGAGTGCAGTGTGTGCAATCTTGGCTCACTGCAACCTCTGCCTCCCGGGCTCAAGTGATCCTCCCACCTCAGCCTCCCAAATAGTCAAGGTGCCAGCCACCATGCCTAACTAATTTGTGTATTTTTGTAGAGATGGGGTTTCACCACATTGCCTAAGCTAGTCTCAAACTCCTGAGCTCAAGCAATCCATCCGCCTCAGCCTTCCAAAATGCTGGGATTACAGGCGTGAGCCACCATGCCAGGCCTCAAATCAGAAAATCTTTGAATCCACCTATGACCTATGGGCCTCTACTTCAAGATGTCCCACCTTTTTAGGTCAAACCAATGTGTAGCCTCCATGTATTGATTTATGACTTTGCCTGTAACTGCCTCGCCATCCTAAAAAACCCTTACCTGTAAACCATCTGGGAGTTTGGGTCTTAAGTATGAGCTGCCCAATTCTCCCTGTTTGGTGCCCTGCAATACATGCCTCACTTTCTCTTGCTGCAAATCCCAATGTCAGTGTTTGGCTTTGCTGCACCAAGTGAGAGACCCCAGTTCGGTTCCATAACAAAATGGTGCTGGGACAACTGCATATCTATATGCAACACTTCAGAAAAAATAGATAAGCTGGACTTCATTATAGTTGAAAACTTCAGCTCTTCAAAAAACACCACTAACAAAATGAAAAGACAAGTTAAACAGACTGGGTAATAAGATTTGCAAATCATGTACCTGACAAACGACTTATATCTAGAATATACATATTTTGTTTTACTTTTTTTTTTTTCGAGACAGATTATCTCCTGTTGCCCAGGCTGGAGTGCAGTAGCACGACCATGACTCACTGCAGCTTCAACCTCTTCAGGCTCAGGTGATCCTCCCACCTCAGCCTCCCTAGTAGCTGAGACTACAGTCATGCACCACCATGCCCAGCTAATTTTTTTGGTATTTTTTTGTAGAGATGGAGTTTTGCTTATGTTGCCCATGCTGGTCTCAAACTCCTGGGCTCAAGCTATCTGCCCACCTCAGCCTCCCAAAATGCTAGAATTACAGGTGTGAGCCATCATACCCAGCCTAGAATATATTTTTAAAACTCCTAAATGGGCAATGGATTTGAAGAGATATTTCACTAAAGAAGATATACAAATGGTTAACAAGTACATGAAAAAGGTGTTCAACATCATTAATCACTAGAGAAATATAAATTAAAACCACAATGAAATATCCATTTACTTTTACCAGAATGGCTGAAATAAAAAAGAAAGCATTCATGAGCGTAAGGGAGTGGAGAAACTGGAATCCTTTAATATTATTGGTGGGAAGTTAAAACGGTGCAGATATGTTGGCAAATGGCTTCTTAAAATGTTAAACGTAACCCAGTAATTCCAGTTCTAGGAATATACACAAGAGAAATGATAACATCTGTCCTCATGACGTTGAACTTTATTTGAGCCTGTGCTCCTGGAAAGCAGCAACGCGGAGAAAATACCCACACTTTTGTATTTGTAAGAAAGACTACCCACAAAGAATCACTGTTATGGACTTAATTATGTCCCACCCACGCCCCAATTCATATATTGAGGTCTTAACCCACAGTACACCTCAGAATGTGATTATACTTGGACACAGGGCTTTTAAAGAGGTAATTAAGGTTAAATGAGGTAATGAGGATGGGGCTCCAATCCAACAGAACTGGTGTTTTAATGAGAAGAGGAAGCAATATCAGGAAAGCACGTACACACAGGAAAGTCCAAGTGAGGACACAGCAAGAGGCAGCCATCTGCAAGCCAAAAAGAGAGTCCATGGCAGAAACCAACTCTACTGACACCTTGATCTTAGACATCCAGCCTCCAGAACTCTGAGAAAATACGAGTTTTGTTGTTTAAGCCACCCAGTCTGTGGTATTTCATTATGGCAGTCCTAGCGGACTAACACAACCACCTTGCTCTTGCATATTTCCTGCCATCATTCCTTAGGACTCCTATAAGACTCACTGGTGGCTCTCTTGCTTACCCGCTTCTATAAAATCCCAGGTCTTCTTTTTTTTTTTTCTCCTGGAGATGTTTTTCATTAATGAACATTTTGCCTATTATAAAAGCTTGAATGAAATCATCTCCTTAATTGCTCAGCACATTTTGTCTTTTATGTCCATCACAAAGACTTGTACGCAATTACTCATAGCAGCATTATTTGAAAACTGGAAAGAATCCAAATGTCAATTAATTAATGAATTGATAAACAAATGTAGTATGCCCATACAATGGAATTCTATTTAGAAATAAAAAGGAATGATATAGTACTGATACATGCTACAACATAGATGAACCTTGAAAACATTATGCTAAATGAAAAAAGCTAAGTGCAGAAGACTACATATAGTATGACATGAAATGTCCAGAGAGGGCAAATTTAGAGAAAGAGAAAGCAGATCAGGCTAACCTGGAGCTGGATATGGAAGTGGAGTATGTCTGCAAATGGGCTAAAGGAAATTGGGCAGGGTTCTAAAATTGGAATGTGGTGACGATTGTACAACTATACAGATTCTAAAAGTCATGAATTGTATACTTACAATGGGTGAATTTATGGCATATAAATTTTAACAAAGCTATAGAAAATAACAGGAACAAAACATAAAAATCAAATGCTGCAACAAACTATGAAAATTCACTATCAGAACAAATTGTACCCAAAGAGTGGATTAAGCATCCAGACTTCTGGTGTTTTGCATTGTAGGCTCATTGACTCGGCTTCTACAGAGCACTGTGAGTGGAACTGGGAGAGAAATCCCTCCGCAAATTCAGGGTTCGTGTTTGATCCACATATCTAGAACCACCCATCAGAGCAGCACCCTCACCACAATAGTCAAAGATTGATAGTTATACTTTATATGTTCCAGTGTAGTAGAAATAAAGAACAAAGAAACTAACTCGATGAGGAAATAGACTATAGTTGAAGCTATTGATCATGGAGCCAAATAAAGATAACACAATGAAAGACTGCAAACAATTTTACCCTTCTTATTGCGAAGAAACAGAGTTAATAATTTTTTATAATTGCATCATTAAAAATTGTGTTGAATCTTTTTTAAAAAAATTCATTTTTAGTTAGATATTTACAAATGAGGCCAATACCCATTAACTAGTCTGTGGATGTTGAACATATGAAAACAGACTTAAGAAGATGCTTTCTCTTCCAACTGTAATACAAGTTTACTTAAACATTGGCACCGATCTTTCTTCCCATTATACTCCTCTCTTCAGAATCTTCCTCCTACCACACGTCTCTGCTTATTATAAATTCCCATTCAGCCATAAGACTTAGCTCTAATGTGATTTAATAGTTCATTTCTTCTTGAATCATCATTACTTGCATAAATATATTATTGATTGCACTTGAATGTAAGGAATGATGCCTTATTTTTTTTCATGGGGTAGCCTCTAGAGTATGGAGCACTTGGTAAACTTCCCTAAATATGCTTTTTGAATTGAATGGAATGTATTACCCCCTGGTGGCTGAATAGGAGAACAACTTCGGACTTTGTTAAACGACATCACCCCCACTCCCTTGTTCCTCAAACTACTGTGGATTTTGGAGAGCTCCAATTGTGGAAATTAATTCAAGGGAATTTGGGGGGGTGGGTGATGTTGATGTTCTAAAACTGGAATGTGATGATTGCACAGCCTTCAAAATCAAGAGTAGCTTAGGCCGTTGGTGGAGATTGCAATTTCAGAAATTACCTTTTTTTCCTTTTTTCCTCTTTTTTCATTTCTTCCCACTCCTGGTCCTCTTCATTTTTCTCATTTCTCCCTTGTGAATCTTTCCTCCACCTTATCTACTCATTTTAATTTTTTTCTTCTTTCACTTCTTGTTCTTATCTTTTCATTGCTGAGTTCTTTTGCTTCCTTTTGATTTTTGCCTGTTTGTATTCAATTATTTCCAGTGTGATCACACAAAAACACTACCTTTTTTTCTTTTGGTGTGTTTAATGGACACAGTTGGCCAGACTCCAAATTCAGCCACTGATGTCTTCAAATATAATGTCTTGCATTTTTTTCCTTAGGACAGAGTCTTGCTGTGTTGCTGCCCAGGCTGGAGGGCAGTGGTGTGATCATAGCTCACTGTGGCCTTGAGCTCCTGGGCTCAAATGATCTTCCCACCTCAGCCTCCCGAGTAGCTGGAACTACAGGCACACATGACCTCACCCGTGTCTTGCATTTTTACAGCATTTTTATTGTAAACTTTTTTCCAGTGTGGTTTCCCTTTTATGCTCTGGTTTTCCCTTCTATGCTCTGGTTTCTCATCTATTTTAATATCTGGCAAGAAGTCTTCTTAAAGCAAACATACAGGCATTAGAATTATCTCCATTCAACCATAAAGCAAACTAAATCAGAGGAAGAATAAACACTTGTCTGAGATCACAGATACTCAGTCTGAGCTTTGTTCCCACATCTCGTCTATCATTGCACCAATCCTTCTAAAAAGCTGGTTTCTGAAAGGTTGGGATCAAACTTCTTTACCATCATAGTTTAACAATCACATTTGTCCCTGTAATTATTTCATAATTTTTGACATTTTATTTATTTATTTATTTATTTATTTATTTATTTATTTATTTATTGAGATGGAGTTTTACTCTTGTTGCCCAGGTTGGAGTGCAATGGCACCATCTGGGCTCACTGCAACTTCCGCCTCCCAGGTTCAAGTGATTCTCCTGCCTCAGCCCCCTGAGTAGCTGGGATTACAGGCGCCCGCCACCAAGCCCAGCTAATTTTGTATTTTTAGTAGAGACGGGGTTTCACCATGTTGGCCAGGCTGGTCTCGAACTCCTGACCTCAAGTGATCTGCCTGCCTCGGCCTCTCAAAGTGCTGGGATTACAGGCATGAGCCACTGCGCCTGGCTGACATTTTATTTCTTTAAGTTTAGTGACACAATGAATGTGATTGTTCACAATTCACCTGGGATTATAGAAACTTAAAGCCAAAAGAATTAAAAGTGACCTAATTCAAATTATTTCAGCAAATGACAAAACTGAGGCTCAGAGAAGTGAAATGGCTTAACTGATGTCACATAGTTCATTGGTAACACAGCGAACAATAAAACCCAGGTCTCTTGGATTCCAGTTTAGTGTACTTTCCGGGGCTTTGTGCAGTCTACTAAGCACAGTTTGGAAGTGGTAGGGTAGAGCTGTGAAGACACAGAACCCTGGGCCCAAACAGACCAAACAGTAGATTAAGAGAAAATGAATTTTTTTTTTTTTGAATCTCAGCTCAGCCACTTGCCAAACCATATTAGGTAAGTTATTTAAGCATCAGCTTCCTTATCTGTAAACCAATGATAAAATCCAGTACAGTTCTGTTTGAAGATTCAAAATAAAAACTACTTGGTAGAGTAAAAATGTGTAGCTTGATAAAAGGTACCTAGATTCTGAGACCAGTATAGCTAAGAAGATGGTCTTCGGATCAAACAGCTGGTGTTTTTAGCTGTTGGAACTTTGGAAAGCTTTTTAACTTCTTTGAAAGTTATTTCCTCATCTTTAAAATGGGAAAAACAATGCTATTTGCCTCGTAGCGTTTCCAGAAGCTCAAATGAAATCATTCATAAGAAATTAATATGTGTTTGGCATACAAGTCAGAGTTCAATAAATGCATGCTGTGATCAGCCCTCTTCCCACGTTCTAATGGAAGTTCAGATCTCTTAAAGGGCAAAACTTTGAACTAAAAAATTTAGTCTAGAAAACACTTTATTATAAAACATTAGCTTCTTTCCAAAGTAATGATATTTTCAAGGAAATAAGGAGTAAAGACTTTTCATTATCACATGAAGATAATAGCTACCAAGAATGTGCCATGTGGGTGCCAGGTCTTTACATACGGTCTCTCATTTAGGTTTCAGAATACTCATATGCAGACAGATTAAGTACCTGGTCCAGGATCACTCTGCTAATGCGATGTTTAATCCTGGTCCAGATCACTCCAAACTCTCTGGCATTCCACTGTCCCATTTTAATTCTGCCTCCCAAACTGAACTATTTATTGAGAGCATTAAAACTTGAGACTATCAACAATTGCTCTAGCTTTTTGACAACCTATTCTAATTACCAAAAGCAGCAAGAGAGAACATCGATATAAAGCTTTTATGATGCCAGGAAAAACCCTTTTATTTTTTTCTAAATTATACTTTAAGTTTTAGGGTACATGTGCACAACGTACAGGTTTGTTACATATGTATACACGTGCCATGTTGGTGTGCTGCACCCATTAACTTGTCGTTTACATTAGGTATATCTCCTAACGCTATCCCTCCCCATTCCCCCAACCCCACAACAGGCCCCAGTGTGTGATGTTCCCCTTCCTGTGTCCATGTGTTCTCATTGTTCAATTCCCACCTATGAGTGAGAACATGCGGTGTTTGGTTTTTTGTCCTTGCGAGGGTTTGCTGAGAATGATGGTTTCCAGCTTCATCCATGTCCCTGCAAAGGACATGAACTCATCATTTTTTATAGCTGCATAGTATTCCATGGTGTATATGTGCCACATTTTCTTAATCCAGTCTATCATTGTTGGACATTTGGCTTGGTTCCAAATCTTTGCTGTTGTGAATAGTGCTGCAATAAACATACGTGTGCATGTGTCTCTATAGCAGCATGATTTATAATCCTTTGGGTATATACCCAGTAATGGAATGGCTGGGTCAAATGGTATTTCTAGTTCTAGATCCCTGAGGAATCACCACACTGACTTCCACAATGGTTGAACTAGTTTACAGTCCCACCAACAGTGTAAAAGTGTTCCTATTTCTCCACATCCTCTCCAGCACCTGTTGTTCCCTGACTTTTTAATGATCGCCATTCTAACTGTGTGAGATGGTATCTCATTGTGGTTTTGATTTGCATTTCTCTGATGGCCAGTGATGACGAGTATTTTTTCAAGTGTCTTTTGGCTGCATAAATATCTTCTTTTGAGAAGTGTCTGTTCATATCCTTCGCCCACTTGTTGATGGGGTTGTTTTTTTCTTGTAAATTTGTTGGAGTTCATTGTAGGTTCTGGATATTAGCCCTTTGTAAGATGAGTAGATTGCAAACATTTTCTCCCATTCTGTAGGTTGCCTGTTCACTCTGATGGTAGTTTCTTTTGCTGTGCAGAAGCTCTTTAGTTTAATTAGATTCCATTTGTCAATTTTGGCTTTTGTTGCCATTGCTTTTGGTGTTTTAGACATGAAGTCCTTGCCTATGCCTATGTCCTGAATGGTATTGCCCAGGTTTTCTTCTAGAGTTTTTATGGTTTTAGGTCTAACATTTAAGTCTTTAATCCATCCATCTTGAATTAATTTTTGTATAAGGTGTAAGGAAGGGATCCAGTTTCAGCTTTCTATGTATGGCTAGCCAGTTTTCCCTGCACCATTTACTAAATAGGGAATCATTTCCCCATTTCTTATTATTGTCAGGTTTGTCAAAGATCAGATAGTTGTAGATATGTGGCATTATTTCTGAGGGCTCTATTCTGTTCCATTGGTCTATATCTCTGTTTTGGTACCAGTACCATGCTGTTTTGGTTACTGTAGCCTTGTAGTATAGTTTGAAGTCAGGTAGTGTGATGCCTCCAGCTTTGTTCTTTTGGCTTAGGATTGACTTAGCAATGCAGGCTCTTTTTTGGTTCCATATGAACTTTAAAGTGGTTTTTTCCAATTGTGTGAAGAAAGTCATTGGTAGCTTGATGGGGATGGCATTGAATCTATAAATTACCTTGGGCAGTATGGCCATTTTCACGATATTGATTCTTCCTATCCATGAGCAGGAAATGTTCTTCCATTTGTTTGTATCCTCTTTTATTTCCTTGAGCAGTGGTTTGTAGTTCTCCTTGAAGAGGTCCTTCACATCCCTTGTAAGTTGGATTCCTAGGTATTTTATTCTCTTTGAAGCAATTGTGAATGGGAGTTCACTCATGATTTGGATCTCTGTTTGTCTGTTATTGGTGTATAAAATGCTTGTGATTTTTACACATGGATTTTGTATCATGAGACTTTGCTGAAGTTGCTTATCAGCTTATGGAGATTTTGGGCTGAGACCAAGGGGTTTTCTAGATATACAGTCATGTCATCTGCAAACAGGGACAATTTGACTTCCTCTTTTCCTAATTGAATACCCTTTATTTCCTTTTCCTGCCTGATTGCCCTGGCCAGAACTTCCAACACTATGTTGAATAGGAGTGGTGAGAGAGGGCATCCCTGTCTTGTGCCAGTTTTCAAAGGGAATGCTTCCAGTTTTTGCCCATTCAGTATGATATTGGCTGTGGGTTTGTCATAGATAGCTCTTATTATTTTAAGATACATCCCATCGATACCTAATTTATTGAGAGTTTTTAGCATGAAGGACTGTTGAATTTTGTCAAAGGCCTTTTCTGCATCTATTGAGATAATCATGTACTTTTTGTCATTGGTTCTGTTTATATGCTGGATTACGTTTATTGATTTGCATATGTTGAACCAGCGTTGCATCCCAGGGATGAAGCCCACTTGATCATGGTGGATAAGCTTTTTGATGTGCTGCTGGATTCAGTTTGCCAGTATTTTATTGAGGATTTTTGCATTGTTATTCATCAGGGATATTGGTCTAAAATTCTCTTTTTTTGTTGTGTGTCTGCCAGGCTTTGGTATCAGGATGATGCTGGCCTCATAAAATGAGTTAGTGAGGATTCTCTCTTTTTCTATTGATTGGAATAGTTTCAGAAGGAATGGTACCAGCTCCTCCTTGTACCTCTGGTAGAATTCGGCTGTGAATCCATCTGGTCCTGTACTTTTTTTGGTTGCTAAGCTATTAATTATTGCCTCAATTTCAGTGCCTGTTATTGGTCTATTCAGAGATTCTACTTCTTCCTGGTTTAGTCTTGGGAGGGTGTATGTGTCGAGGAATTTATCCATTTCTTCTAGATTTTCAAGTTTATTTGCATAGAGGTGTTTATAGTATTCTCTGATGGTAGTTTGTATTTCTGTGGGATCAGTGGTGATATCCACTTTATCATTTTTTATTGCATCTATTTCATTCTTCTCTCTTTTCTTCTTTATTAGTCTTGCTAGCAGTCTATCAATTTTGTTGATCTTTTCAAAAAACCAGCTCCTGGATTCATTGAATTTTTGAAGGGTTTTTTGTGTCTCTATCTCCTTCAGTTCTGCTCTGATCTTAGTTATTTCTTGCCTTCTGCTAGCTTTTGAATGTGATTACTCTTGCTTCTCTAGTTCTTTTAATTGTGATGTTAGGGTGTCAATTTTAGATCTTTCCTGCTTTCTCTTGTGGGCATTTAGTGCTGTAAATTTCCCTCTACACACTGCTTTAAATGTGTCCCAGAGATTCTGGTATGTTGTGTCTTTGTTCTCGTTGGTTTCAAAGAACATCTTTATTTCTGCCTTCATTTCGTTATGTATGCAGTAGCCATTCAGGAGCAGGTTGTTCAGTTTCCATGTAGTTGAATGGTTTTGAGTGAGTTTCTTAATCCTGAGTTCTAGTTTGTTTGCACCGTGGTCTGAGGGACAGTTTGTTATAATTTCTGTTCTTTTACATTTGCTGAGGAGTGCTTTACTTCCAACTATGTGGTCAATTTTGGAATAAGTGCAGTGTGGTGCTGAGAAGAATGTATATTCTGTTGATTTGGGGTGGAGAGTTCTGTAGATGTCTATTAGGTCCGCTTGGTGCAGAGCTGAGTTCAATTCCTGGATATCCTTGTTAACTTTCTGCCTCGTTGATCTGTTTAATGTTGACAGTGGGGTGTTAAAGTCTCCCATTATTATTGTGTGGGAGTCTTAAGTCTCTTTGTAGGTCTCTAAGGACTTGCTTTATGAATCTGGGTGCTCCTGTATTGGGTGCATATATATTTAGGATAGTTAGCTCTTCTTGTTGAATTGATCCCTTTACCATTATGTAATGGCCTTCTTGGTCTCTTTTGATCTTTGTTGGTTTAAAGTCTGTTTTATCAGAGACTAGGATTGCAACCCCTGCCTTTTTTTGTTTTCCATTTGCTTGGTAGATCTTTCTCCATCCCTTTATTTTGAGCCTAAGTGTGTCTCTGCACGTGAGATAGGTTTCCTGAATACAGCACACTGATGGGTCTTGACTCTTGATCCAATTTGCCAGTCTGTGTCTTTTAATTGGAGCATTTAGCCCATTTACATTTAAGGTTAACATTGTTATGTGTGAATTTAATCCTGTCATTATGATGTTAGCTGGTTATTTTGCTCGTTAGTTGATGCAGTTTCTTCCTAGCATCGATGGACTTTACAATTTGGCATGTTTTTGCAGTGGCTGATACTGGTTGTTCCTTTCCATGTTTAGTGCTTCCTTCAGGAGCTCTTGTAGGGCAGGCCTGGTGGTGACAAAATGTCTCAACATTTGCTTGTCTGTAAAGTATTTTATTTCTCCTTCACTTATGAAGCTTAGTTTGGCTGGATATGAAATTCTGGGTTGAAAATTCTTTTCTTTAAGAATGTTGAATATTGGCCCCCACTCTCTTCTGGCTTGTAGAGTTTCTGCCGAGAGATCAGCTGTTAGTCTGATGGGCTTCCCTTTGTGGTAACCCGACCTTTCTCTCTGGCTGCCTTTAACATTTTTTCCTTTGTTTCAACTTTGGTGAATCTGACAATTATGTGTCTTGGAGTTGCTCTTCCCAAGGAGTATCTTTGTGGCATTCTCTGTATTTCCTGAATTTGAATGTTGGCCTGCCTTGCTAGATTGGGGAAGTTTTCCTGGATAATATCCTGCAGAGTGTTTTCCAACTTTGTTGCATTCTCCCCGTCACTTTCAGGTACACCAATCAGATGTAGATTCGGTCTTTTCACATAGTCCCATATTTCTTGGAGGCTTTGTTCATTTCTTTTTATTCTTTTTTTTCTGACTTCTCTTCTCGCTTCATTTCATTCATTTGATCTTCCATCACTGATAACCTTTCTTCCAGTTGATCAAATCGGCTACTGAAGCTTGTGCATTCATCACGTAGTTCTCGTGCCATGGTTTTCAGCTCCATGAGGTCCTTTAAGGACTTCTCTGCATTGGTTATTATTCTAGTTAGCCATTCATCTAATCTTTTTTCAAGGTTTTTAACTTCTCTGCCATGGGTTCGAACTTTCTCCTTTAGCTCAGAGAAGTTTGATCGTCTGAAGCCTTCTTCTCTCAACTTGTCAAAGTCATTCTCCGTCCAGCTTTGTTCCATTGCTGGTGAGGAGCTGCATTCCTTTGGAGGAGGAGAGGCTCTCTGATTTTCAGAATTTTCAGTTTCTCTGCTCTGTTTTTTCCCCATCTTTGTGGTTTTATCTACTTTTGGTCTTTGATGATGGTGACGTACAGATGGGGTTTTGGTGTGGATGTCCTTTCTGTTTGTTAGTTTTCCTTCTAACAGTCAGGACCCTCAGCTGCAGGTCTGTTGGAGTTTGCTGGAGGTCCACTCCAGACCCTGTTTGCCTGGGTATCAGCAGCGGAGGCTGAAGAACAGTGAATATTGCTGAACAGCAAATATTGCTGCCTGATTGTTCCTCTGGAAGTTTTGTCTCAGAGGAGTACCCGGCTGTGTGAGGTGTCAGTCTGCCCCTACTGGGGGGTGCCTCCCAGTTAGGCTACTCGGGGGTCAGGGACCCACTTGAGGAGGCAGTCTGCCTGTTCTCAGATCTCAAGCTGCGTGCTGGGAGAACCACTACTCTCTTCAAAGCTGTCAGACAGGGACATTTAAGTCTGCAGAGGTTTCTGCTGCCTTTTGTTTGGCTATGCCTTGCCCCCAGAGGTGGAGTCTACAGAGGCAGGCAGGCCTCCTTGAGCTGCGGTGGGCTCCAACCAGTTTGAGCTTCCTGGCCGCTTTGTTTACCTACTCAAGCCTCACCAATGGGGGGCGCCCCTCCTCCAGCCTCGCTGCCACCTTGCAGTTTGGTCTCAGACTGCTGTGCTAGCAATGAGTGAGGCTCCATGGGCACAGGACCCTCTGAGCCAGGCACGGGATGTAATCTCCTGGTGTGCTATTTGCTAAGACTGTCGGAAAATCGCAGTATTAGGGTGGGAGTGACCTGATTTTCCAGGTGCCATCTGTCACCCTGTTCCTTGGCTAGGAAAGGGAATTCCCTGACCCCTTGCACTTCCTGGGTGAAGTGATGCCTCGCCCTGCTTCGGCTCATGCTCAGTGCGCTGCACCCACTGTTCTGCACCCACTGTCCGACAATCCCCAGTGAGATGAACCCAGTACCTCAGTTGGAAATGCAGAAATCATTCATATTCTGCATTGCTCATGCTGGGAGCTGTAGACTGGAGCTGTTCCTGTTCGGCCATCTTGGAACTGCCCCCCCTTTTAACTTTTATTCCTTGAAATCTCTTGGACATTCTCTAGTGAACCTCCTACCACAACTGGCTTTTGAATCCTGTATTAGTCTGCTAGGGCTGCCATGAAAAAATACTGTAGACTGAGAGGCTTAAACAACAGAAATTTATTTTCTCATAGTTCTAGAGGCTGGAGATCCAAGAACAAGGCACTGGCAGTCTTGGTTTCTCCTGCAGCCTCTCTCCTTGGCTTACAGATGGCTCTGGCCCCACTATGCGTTCTCATGCCCTTTCCTCTGTGCACCTGCATTTCTGTCTCTCTTCCTCTTAAAAAAAAAAAAATGGGCAGCCTCCTGAGGTTGAGTAGGCTCAGAGAGACTTCCTCTTTGACTCTTCTTATGAGAATACAAGTCCTGTTAGATTAGGGCCCTACCGTTACAACTTCATTTAAGCTTAAATGCCTTTGCAAAGATCCTGTCTCCAAATACAGTCACATTGGGAGTTAGGGATTCAGCATATGAATCTGAGGCACTGGGGGAAACAATTCAGCCTATAACGAATGCTTCAATAGTTTAGCCTCAAGGCCATAAAGCATTTTCTAGAAATACTCGCAGAGACATGACTGACAAGCACGATCATAAATCATGTCTAAGCCCCCAGAATTATAGAATGTGAGAGCCAGAAGAGACCCTAGAGGTCTATTTCAGTGCCATTATTTTTCAGTTATTGAAACTTGGGCCCAAGATGGGGAA
Organism: Homo sapiens; assembly: GCF_000001405.40. Lineage (NCBI taxonomy): Eukaryota > Metazoa > Chordata > Mammalia > Primates > Hominidae > Homo > Homo sapiens. Next base: position 32,009,730 of record NC_000003.12, on the reverse strand, counting down.
GCAGCTTGTGTGAGGACTACCTCGCATCCGTCCATATTGGAACCCAGAACTTCTCATGTGGTGCAGGGCTTATTCAACTGCAGTGCTGCTGCTAATTCAAATCTGATTTTATATATAATATCATCCTTGCTTTTTCCCCATCTTAAATTTCACCAATGAATTCATTCACACTTGAGAAGATTAGATTCAGCTCAGTCCAAGCACTTAACTTGGAAATGCATTGTTTCATTTATTCCTCCTTGTAGCCCTGTGTGGAAGACTGTATCATTTTATAGATAAGGACACCTGAGAGTTTAAGTGACTTGCTCAAGTTTCCCCAACTAGTGAGAGACAAAGCCTGATGTGGACATGGATTTGAAGACTCATGCGTGATTAATTGAATGGCTCATGTGTTTGCTCACTTTGAAGGCTGATTCATTAGCTTCTTTCCCTATCCCCATTATGACTTACGACTGCAAGTTCAACAACAGGTGGTGAAAGAGGACAACTACAGACCTTCACAGGGCCTTGGAAAAGGATTCCTTTATTGTTCTGCAAAAAGGATCACTGGGGAAAGCCAAGAGTTCCTACTTAGCAGGACTAGGGTCACTTTAGGCAGGAGGGCTAGAGAATATTTTATAACAAAAACACTTTACAGTGACTGTAAAAACACAAACCTGTTCATGATTTTAAAAAACATAAACAGTATAGAAAAGTACAAAGAGTAAATTATCTCGTCTTCCTGGCTCATCCCCAGTTGCATTCTCCAGAGATAACTGTTGTTCTGTGTCTATTCAGACACATTTTAAAAAATATATGTAAGCACTTGCATAATGTATGTAAATTATACTTTAGGGTAATACTATAACTATTGCTCTGAAATTTACTTTTAAAAAATCTCTTAACAGTATGTCTTTGACATGTTTTCATGTAAATATATGTACTTCCATTTCATCCTTCTTTTTTTGTTCTTCTTTTTTTTTTTTTTTTTCCAGTCAGGATCTCACTCTGTCTCCCAGGCTGGAGTGTGGTGGAGTGTAGTAGTGCAATCTTGCCTTACCGCAGCCTCGACTGCCTGGGCTTAAGCGATCCTCTCACTTCAGCCTCCCCAGTAGCCAGGACTGCAGGCATGCGACACCACTCTCTGCTAGCTTTTGTGGGTTTTTTTTTGTCTTTTTTTTTTTGTAGAAACGGGGTTTGGCCATGTTGCCCAGGCTGGTCTTGAACTCCTGGGCTCAAGTAATCTGCCCACCTTGGCCTCTCAAAGTTCATTCTTTTTAATGATGGAAAAATATTTCAGGCTGGACGCGGTGGCTCACACCTGTAATCCCAGCACTGTAGGAAGCCAAGGCGGGTGCATCACTTGATGTCAGGAGTTTGAGACCAGCCTGGCCAACATGGTGAAACCATGTCTTTACTAAAAAAACAAAAATTAGCTGAGCATTGTGGCGGGCACCTGTAATCCCAACTACTCAGGAGGCTGAAGCAGGAGAATTGCTTGAACCTGGGAGGTGGAGCGCCACTGCACTCCAGCCTGGGCAACACGGCGAGACTTGTCTCAAAAAAAAAAAAAATGATAAAAACATTTCATTGTAGGGATATACAATAATTTTAAATTAAATCATTCCCGTAATAGGCTGAGTAATGGCCCCCAAATGTCTACACTGTCTACATCATAATCCCTGGAACCTGTACATGTTACCCTATTTAAAGAAATGATCTTTACAGATGTGTTTAAGAATTTTGAGGCTGGGCGCAGTGGCTCATGCCTGTAATCCCAGCACTTTGGGAGGCTGAGGTGGGCGGATCACCTGAGGTCAGGAGTTTGAGATCAGCCTGGCCAACATGGAGAAACCCTGTCTCTACTAAAAATACAAAATTAGCCAGGGTGGTCGCGGGCACCTGTAATCCCAGCTACTCGGGAGGCTGAGGCAGGAGAATCGCTTGAACTCGGGAGATGGAGGTTGCAGTGAGCTGAGATGGTGCCATTGCACTCTAGCCTGGGCAACAAGAGCAAAACTCTGTCTCAAAAAAAAAAGAAAGAATTTTGAGAAGGGGAGATCATCCTGTATGATTGAGAGGGGGTGTGGGGAGGTGCTAAATGCAATCATTAGTGTCCGTATAAGAGAGAGGCAGAGGGAACTTTGACATATACAGAAAAAGTGAGAAGACAGAGGTTGAGATTGGAGCATGGAGGTTACAAGCTAAGAAATGTGGGCAGTCACCAGGAGCTGGAAGACACAAGAGATGGAGTCTCTTTTTGAGCCTCCAGAGGAAGTGTGGCCCTGCTGGCACCTTGATTTTGGACCAGTGATACTGATTTCAGACTTCTGGCTTCCAGAATGGTGAAAGAATACATTTATTATGTTTTCAGCAAAATAAGTTTGCTTAAAACAAGTTTGGGGTAGTTTGTTATAGCAGCCACAGGAAACATATAGTTCTTTTACTGATGAACATTTAGGATGTTTACAATAAATGTTTAAAATAAATATAACTTTACCCACTTGGACAATTATATTTGTAGGACAAATTCCAAGAACTAGAATATCTGAGGCAAAGCATATGGACATAAAAACAAAAATTTCATCATGCCTAAAGAGAATATTTTATATATTCTAAATGGATTCCAAGTACTATATGTCAAAATGTACACCTTTGAATTTACAAATTTAATTATGTTTGTTGGCTGGGCTCAGTGGCTCACATCTGTAATCCCAGCACTTTAGGAGGATGAGGTGGGAGGATTACTTGAAGCTAGGAGTTTGAGATCAGCCTGGGCCACATAGTGAGACCACATCTCTACAAAAATAGAAATGAAAAAATAAAAATAAATAAAATGTCTATAGAAGAGGAAATATCCATGAATAGGTTCATTTTCATAAAGGAAAGGCAAGAAGGACGACTAGACTCCCAGATATTAACAAATACTGCAAAGCCACAGCAACAAAAGCATTATGGTACATAAGTGTGGGTAAATAGCCCGATGGGGCAGAACAGAGAGCTCAGAAGCAAAGCTGTGTACATGAGAACTTGATATATGAGGTTGACACCACAAGTCAGTGGAGAAAGGCAACAGTGCCTCACTATTGGAGAAAAGTAAAATTAGGTCCTTACTTCATTCTGTGTGAAGGTAAATTTCAGATCAACCAAGATCCAATGGAAAGATAAAACTATAAAGTTAAAAAAAGAAAATGTAGGAAGAGTATCTTTTTGGGGGTAGAAGAGAGGTAGGGTTGAAGGATTTCTACAAAACCCAGAAATCACCAACAATTGGGTAAAAAAGTTCAATGGATTATATTAGACCACGATTAAGAATTCATTTTTAATGTGATATAGTAGACAAAGATGACAACTGGCTTACAGAAAGGGAGATTTTTACATCATCAAAAAGTGACAGAAATAATATCTAAAGTAAATCCAACAGAAAAATACACAAAGTGTATTCAAGGGGAAATCAAAATGGCTAAGATTGCTCAACTTCATTGGATACCAAAATAAAACAAGATGGAGGGGTGCGGTGGCTCACGCCTGTAATCCCAGCACTTTGAGAGGCCGAGGCAGAGGGATCACCTGAGGTCAGGAGTTTGAGACCAGCCTGGCCAACATGGTGAAACCCCCGTCTCTATTAAAAATACAAAAATTAGCTGGGCATGGTGGTGCTCATCTGTAATCGCAGCTACTTGGGAGGCTGAGGTGGGAGAATTGCTAGAACCTGGGAGGCGGAGGCTGCAGTGAGCCAAGATGGTACCACTGCACTCCAGTCTGGGTGACAGAGCAAGACTCTGTCTCAAAAAAACAAAATAAAATAAAAAATAAAATAAATAAATAAAGTAAAACAAGACACCACTTAAAAGCCAAAAACATTGGGCTGGGCACGGTGGCTCACCCTGTAATCCCAGCACTTTGGGAGTCCTGAGGTGGGCGGATCACGAGGTCAGGAGACTGAGACCATGCGGCTAACACGGTGAAACCCCATCTCTACTAAAAATACAAAAAATTAGCTGGGCATGGCGGCAGGTGCCTTTAGTCCCAGCTACTCAGGAGGCTGAGGCAGGAGAATTGCTTGAACCTGGGAGGCAGAGGTTGCAGTGAGCCGAGACAGCGACACTGCACTCCAGCCTGGCAACAGAGTGAAACTCCATCTCAGAGAAAAAGCAACAACAAAAAAAACCCAAAACATTAAAGAGGCAGACAATACCAAGTTTGAGTGTCTGGAGAGCAGTATGCCAATACTTATGGACGTCACATATGCCCCATGACTTATTTAGCCTACTCCTGGGTAAATGCTCCAGAGAAACTTGCTCACAGTCCATAAAGGGACAGGTCTACAGATGCTACGTTAATCTCCAGATTAATGTGGTAGTAGGACAATTGGAGGCATCTGAGCATTTACTGCTCAGGGAATGGATAATACTATGGAATAGATACAACCTGTGGAATACTTTCCAGCAGTTAGGCCCTATGAACTAGATGTGCGTGTGCATCATGGGTAGATCTTAAAAATTAGTGTTGGGGATAGGGGGCAAGGGGAGGGAGAGCATTAGGACAAATACCTAATGCATGCAGGACTTAAAACCTAGATGACGCGTTGATGGGTGCAACAAACCACCATGGCACACGTATACCTATGTAACAAACCTGAACGTTCTGCACATGTACACCAGAACTTAAAGTAAAATAATAAAAAAAAGTGTTGAGTGAAAGAAGCGGCAGATTAAGATCTACGGTGTGATACCACTTCTGTATGATTTTATAAAGATGCCATCCTATCCAAGGATACTTATTAAGTCCATCAAAGTGGGTGCCTATGGGGAGAAACATAAGTGGGAATTGAATTGCAAAAAATAAAACAGGCTGATGACAATAAGCACCATGAAATAAGGACTATAATTTACTTAATTTTATGCACCTGTAAAAATTCTAGCTATCCTTTTCTTTGGTCTAAAACATGGCCTGCATTGTTTTAGAGGCTAAGCCATACACCTGCAAATAACTGCGCATGTGTCTGTCGCTCTGCAAGGCTGTCAGGCAGCCCATGTTTTCTTCTCTGTTGTTCTCTTGGTACCTGACACATAGCAGGTGTTCAATAGTTTTGTTGAAAGAAAACTCAGAACATTTTTGGAAACCAGTTTATACATTCCTCCAAAGCTTAGAAAAATGCAGAGGAACCGAAGAATGTGATGCCTGGAAACAAGATTTTCTAGTTCTCCAGCCGATATCTTGAAGGCTCAAAATTGAAAAGCAAGTACTGTTTTTTGTCCCTGTGTTCTGACTCCCCTTTCTTGTCTTCTCTTCTAGTGCTTAACAGTTGTCTTCCCCATCTGGGCAAGGGAGTCAGGTGACAACAGAATTAATATGCAATCCTTCCTGGTAATGTAAGGGATGGGCAGGGGCTTGCCTATCACAGCATAATCCAGCAAAAGCAGCCAGTACCACATGCTGCTCCCTGCTGGAGGCCCTCCAGGTCCACACTGCCCTCAGGATAAAGTCTCCACCTGACACTCATGTCCTTCCAGACTTGCTTAGGGCTCCAGACTTGGCTGTCACCACTCTAACAGGATCTGCTTCTCTAACAAAGGGTGCCAACATGGACACTCGTTAATTTTTTAAATAAGAAATCATTTAAAATAATATAAGTTAAAACTAGTAAGTTCAATAATTTAAAATTCTTTCTACTGCTTGTCTCCAAAGTGGCAGTTTGTTGAAGACACCAGGTCCACAGTGCTAGGGTCTGCTGTTCCCTGCTGTGCTATAAGTGACAACTCCTTTTATCTCACTTTCCCAAATCCAGCTGTTGTTTTGCAGAGAAAAACCTCTGTGCCAGGGTGAACAAGTCCAAAAGAGCCCTTAGTATTAGCCCGTGTTCTAGAACTTTCTACTTTGTCCCTCCAAATCCACTGTTCTCCCTTTTCCACCTTGCTCTCTGTCCTGGAGGATGACCTCCAGGGACAGCCTTGGCAGCTCTCAGAGAGAGGTGCCCTCAGTGCTGACCACACACTGCAGTGCCCTGCAGAGCTACATGACCTCCGATGCCCAGGTCCACCTGGACCAATTAAATCCTTGCCCTTTGTTCCTGATTGGTTTCGGCCAGTGAAGAGACGAGAAAGAGGATTATCCTGTTTCACTGTGCAGTCTGTTCCCTCCCAGGACCTTGAATGATACCACCCACTGGTATATTCAGTTCTCAGAAACACCCTGTTTCTTCATGGTGGTTTTATTTCTTGGTTGTCCTTGTCCTTTCCTGAAACTCAGCATTGGTTAAAGGCTAGCCTGGTTCCCTAAATGTCCTCAGGAAACAGGATGGGATGGTTCAGGGCAAGTCTACAAATGGCTCCACTTTCCACACAGGGATCAGCTTTGCAAACCAGGTGCCTTAGGAAACCTCGGGGGAACTCCCCCTTAGCACTTCCCCTCTGGGGGCTACTTGCCTTTCATGTGTATATGCATAGGAAGACCACGCTAATGACTCTCCCCTGAACAGAGAACACATACTCCCAGTGACCTGTGCTTTCTAACCTTAGCCAGAGGAGAGTTTGGTCTAAGTTCTGATGTAAGTGTTACGCAGTCCTCCAAAGCATTCTAGACATTCCGTTGATTTGCCTTCAATGACACTTGTGATTCCTCCAATTTACCACCCTCTGCCCCACTCTGGTGCCTCTGCCCAAGTCCTCACTGTGCTGTAACACTCCTCCTTCCCACTTTCGTTCGGCCAGCTTCTGCTTTTCCCAGCTGGGAGGTCTGCCTCCTGCAGACAGTCTTCCCTGACCTAAATGAAGTCTAAATTAAACCCTCATCATAGTTGCTTCTCCCACTGTGTTGTAATGACCTGATTGTCTGTCACCCCCATTGAGACAAGAGAAAGTAAAAATTAGCTTGGACTGTTAAAATCTGCCTGGCCATTCATCAGGCTGGAATAAAAGATAAAAGCAGATTCAAAGTTAACAATAAATAGTATTTCTCCCAAGGGGCACACTGTAGTGGTAAAGGGTCACAACAACCCCCTTCTTGGAGTGAGTAGTGCCTTCTGACTCACTGAGAAACCTTTTTTCTCTAAAATCTTAGACTATCAGAAACATTGCTGTTTGAAATGATGTTAGAGTGAAACATCTCACCCTTGCCTGGAGGATCTAAGTCACCAAGAGAGAAGAAGCCTTGATTCAAACCCTAGGTACAGAGCTTTGGAGGAGGGGTTTTTGGACACAGTATTCCACAGCTATGGATAATAATCTTATTGCTTCCCAGCAAACAGGTTCCTGGGTCTGCTTCATAGTCCAGGACTTAAAATAATACCTTTACATTTAGACCTATCTTGCTTTGAGTCTGTCAAAATACATTTCACTTAAATTCCATTCCTCCCCTTGCCCCATACTGTAATTCTTTTCTTTTCCTTGTTTGGGGAGATACCCTATGGTTCTCCTGGTGTGTGGTCTCTTTGCAATGTGTCAATGAACACAACTTTGTAGGCTTTTTCAGAGTAGGCTTTGTTCCTGCTGGTCTTGGGTTGGTTGAGTGGACAGCAATTCATCATAGCACCTAAAATGCAGGATAAAAGAGAGAAGCAATTTCTGTTGAATGGGCGAGTAAATGAATGAATGAGTAAATGAATGAGTGAGTAATGTTTTCCCCTAGATGGACTTGTATGAGCCAGGAAGTATACCTAGGACCTAGCCAACCTGGGCAGTTTAAACTGGGAATCTGGAGTCAGAGCTGGGTTTGAACCCTAACCTGCCATTTATTAATCATGTGAGCAAAATGAATGTCTTACTTCTGTGTGCCTCAGTGTCCTCATCTCAAAATGAAGATGATATTTTATTAAGCATAATAATCTCTCTTCTTCAGGATTGCTGTAATTGTCAGAAAAAAATTGTCCAAGAGTTGGGATTGGATAATAGAGATTACTGGGTGTTATTTCAATTGAGTGGGGCCATTGTCCTGGGGACCCTCTGGGGATATCTGATTCCAAAGGGGTGTGCACATTTCACTGACTTGCCATTGGCTAGGCTTTTTTTTTTTACACTTGATATTAGCCAAAAGGCTGAGAAGCAATGACTAGCCTTTTTAAAAATTCAACTAACAGTAGAAATTAAGTTATAGAAAACTGATGGTAACAGTTCCTGCTCATAGCAATGCCAATTAATTTTCTCTGGTACAGAATATAAATCTCTGTAATTTAAATTCTTATTTGCACCAGTTTTTACATCTTACTGGTTTCCCTATTAATTAATGAGTTGAATAAAACCCTTGGCATGGGTTCATTTCACATTTGCACGAGAGTCAGGATTTTACCTTTTGAAATTTTAATTTAACACAATGAGAGCAATAATAGATGTAAAATGCTTATTGTACCAGAGACCCTCAAGTAATACCTATGATTATTATTTTATTGATAGACTGAGATGCCAGACAGAATACACCAACAGATCAGCAAGACTGTAGGGGTTAATATAGAGCCCAGCCTTATAGAGTAGGCCAGGGAAGGGTTGGAGACCGGGAAGTTCTCTTGGGACACATCCAGGCTGAATGAATGTTTGCCTCTCCTCTTAGGCATCGCTGCTTGGTTGCAAGCACAGAACCCCACCTGAAACAATGAGGGAGCTTATGCCATAAAGCACAGGTTGATCAGCCAGGCTTCAGGAAGAGTGGACAGACAACAGCGCCCCTAGATGCCTTCACTCATCTCTCAACTCTGCCTGTTTATTAGTTTGATTCTCTGTCCTAGCACATTGACCTTGTCCACACAGCCAGGAACATGGCTGCTAACAGCTCCAAGTCCCCTTCCCCAAGGCTGTTACCACAGGTTAAGGACAGTCTTTTCTTCATTCCAGTTCCAAAGATTTCCAGGAATGTCTCTAAGCTTTCTGGTTTGGAAAGCTGCACGTCTTAGAGTATTCAGTTGTGGCCATGGAAGAGAAAGGTATTTCCCATGTGAACCGCATGGCCGGAGTCAAAGAGCAGTTCCAGGAAGAAGGGGGAGAGTGCTGAGCAGAGAAGGCAGAATATTTTTCTATTCCCTCTCAAAATTGGCTTGGAAACTGAAGTGTAACCTACCTAGAGCTGGCCAGATCACCTTGCAGTGCAGGAGTCAACAATGGTAAAGGGAGGAACAACCGTCACGAGGAAGGGCTGACAAACCGTGCTGAGAACAGCCCCGCAATTTCGCACAGATGTTATAGAAATGCTTTTAGAGTGTGTTAGATAAATGATGGGTTCAAATAGATGCATTGATTATCCTTTATATGGGAGTCAGCATGCTGGCCTCCTTACAATTTCATTTCGCCCTCACAGAGGCCCACTGGTGTGGTGGGGTGATCTTCATATGACCGTTAAGGAGACTGAGGCCCAGAGAGGTCATATAGCTATGAAGTAGCAAAACCAGTTGGAGGCAGTCTGATCCTAAACACTATTTGGAATGGACCTTTGGTCTTTGAGCCCGTATTATAAGCCGAATATAACTCTGATCTTAGTTTTTCTCCTTTATCTAGAGTGCTAACTCTGTCATGTCATTCTGTCACGTCAGCATGACCATGCTACAGTGAAATTATGTGGCGAGAGCAGGGCTTTATACTTGTATAAAACCCAGGAAAATGAACGTTAATTTACCAGGTAGAGGAAGACAGCCTCAAATAGAATAAGCTGGTATGACTAAGACAGAGGAAATGAAGGCTGACTTAGAAACAAACAAAGATAACCATTGGACCATGAGACTCAGACTTTTTGGTTATCTTTGTGGCAAAGATCATCTCCCTGTTATAGCTGAGGCCGCACCACTAGATATTTAAAGTCAAAGGGAATTAGTTTTAGAAGAGGCTCTTATGAACATTTTGGCCCTGACCTAAGGGCAAGGGAATCGAATGACCTTTTTAAGGTTCGGTTTTCAGGCCCGGTTTTGTGACAGCAGTAAAATTACTCTGACTGAAAGTTTAGAGAGTTTCAGTACAAAACAGAATGCTCTCTAGGTCTCATTTCACCGGGCTGTGGGCATGCCTTGGAAAAGGTGATCCCTGACATCTGGGCATAGCAGAGGCAGCCATATTTTCTGAACCCCAAAGCAAAACTTATGAATGGCAAAGAATTTTTAAAAATGATTTTGAGGCCGGGCACGGTGGCTCACACCTGTAATCCCAGCACTTTGGGAGGCCAAGGCAGGCAGATCACCTGAGGTAGGAAGTTCGAGACCAGCCTAAAAAAACATGGAGAAACCGTGTCTCTACTAAAAATACAAAATTAGGTGGGCGTGGTTGTGCATGCCTGTAATCTCAGCTACTCAGGAGGCTGAGGCAGAAGAATCGCTTGAACCCAAGAGGCAGAGGTTGTGGTGAGCCGAGATTGTGCCATTGTACTCCAGCCTGGGCAACAGAGTGAGACCTTGTCTCAAAAAAAAAAAAAAAAAAAGATTTTGATATTTTTATCTGAAAAGTCTCCCAAAGCATAAATAATCACATTCATTGAAAAGAATGAAAACAATCTGGGCCATGTTATCATCACTGACATAGGGGAATCAGGTTAGGGGAGTAGCTGGCAAGACAGGAAAGACTGATACCTTTGCTACATGCCACACCTGATTGCCACTGCAGCTCTTGTGCAGTCTGGAGTTACAGTGATGCCCTCCAGACAGCAGAGGGGAGACAGCTGATCAAGCTAACAGCAGAGATGGGCCAAGTGAAAACTAAAAGCTAGGCTCTCTTCAGGAGATTATTACTGTCTGGCTGATACAAATTTGTAAATTATGTCCCTCCTTTTTTCTCTTTTACACATCTTCTTCGACCTTGTGTTTTCTTATGAATGCAAAATAGCTAAATAGATTTTAAATATCCACTTATACTAAAGTGTGAATGATTGCTCTGAGCCAATGAATGGATAAATTTTATTTATCCAAGATAGTTGAAAAAGAACTGTTTTAGTTGGAAACTCTCCATTAATGGTGCAGATCTACCATAGCCAATGGCAGAAAAACTCAGTAGGGACAGAAAAACCAATAGACGTGGATCTATAAGGAAAATGCAGGAATAGGAGACTACAGCTAGAAAGGGAAAGGGCGGAGTTCTCAGTATGAGCAGAATTGATGGATAGCCAATTGGCAAGAACAGCTATAAAGTGGGGAATTTAAATGACTAGAGGACCATATTTGGTATGTAACCATCAAATTATTTGAAAAAGATCCAATGAAAGGGACAGATAAGGAAACTGGAATTTGATTATGGGTTTTGCTAGTGACAGAATGAAATATCTCCATCATTGCAATCCCAAGTTAATATACAGTAGTTGTGAAGTTCCCTTTCTAAATTGTAAATAAGCCTGATGCTGGGGGACAACCATCTGCTCAAATTCTGACCAATAATTCTCCCTTACTAGCAAGAAATCAACAGACTCAGCACTCACATGGAATTTTTTCTGAGGGGTTTTCATTCAAAGGGTGAGTCGCCAGTGGTGAGATATGCTGATGGGGAGTATACTTTGATGCTGAAGCCATTCCTCATTTCTTCCCTTTCATCTGGGGGCAAAAAAAATGCCACAAGGAAAACAAAACCCCAAATACTCTCTCACACATCATAGTACTTTACCATTTACTAAGTAATACAACTCAAGATGCCTTATTAGAGCCTGACAACAGCACCACAAAGTGGGTGCTGTCATCTTATTTTTCAGATGAAGACACTGAGGCTATAGCTGGGCACGGCTGCTCACACCTGTGGCACTTCAGGAGGCCGAGGCGGGAGGACTGCTTGAGCTCAGGAGTCTGAGACCAGTCTGGGCAACAGAGTGGGACCCAGTCTCTACAAAAAAATAAAACAAAATTAGCTGGGCACGGTGGTGCATACCTGTATAGTCCCAGCTACTCGGGAGGCTAAGGTGGGAGGATTGCTTGAGCCCAGGATGTCGAGGCTGCCATGAGTTGGGATTGTGCCAATGCACTCCCACTCCTGCCTGGGCGACAGAGTAAGACCCTGTCTCAGAAACAAAAACAAAACAAAACAAAAACACTGAGGCTCAGCGAGGCAAGTTGCTCCATGACAAGGAAGAGGCACTAACTCACAGCTGTTCCATCTCCCATCTCCAGATGTTCGCTTGATGAAATTTGTGGTAAGCAGACTATTTGATAAAGGAAAGTAAAAACAAAACAAAAAAAATCCTTCTTCTGCTTGTCATTTGCTAATTCACTAACTCTCCTTTATCTCTTTAACAATGAATGATGTTTGCCCTGGCACGGTGGCTGTAATCCCAGCATTTTGGGAGGCTGAAGCGGGCAGATCATGAGGTCAGGAGATAGAGACCATCCTGGCCAACATGGTGAAACCCTATCTCTACTAAAAATAGAAAAATTAGCTGGGTGTGGTGGCTCGTGCTTGTAATCCCAGTGACTTGGGAGGCTGAGGCACGAGGATCCCTTGAACCCAGGAGGCGGAGGTTGCAGTGAGCCGAAATCGCACCACTGCACTCCAGCCTGGCGACAGAGTGAGGGCGAGACTCCATCTTGAAAAAAAAAAAGAATGATGTTCATAAATGCTCATAGGGAGACTATTAGGACTTAAACACTGCCTATTGACATTGTAATAGTCATATTTACAGGGCTCTGCTGTGCACATAAATCGGGCATGCTTTTTAAAAGCTTTAAGTCAGAAATAATTTACTGCATAATGTGTGCTAGTAAATTTAAGCATATGATGATCTCAAATGTGTCTTGTCAGAAAGCAAGCCATTCAGCTGCAAGAAACGTGTGGTAACTATAAATAAAGGCTCCCACCTTTGCATCAAGATGAATCTCCATGATAATTTCCTTTCCTCTGGCTTCTCTCCCATTGTGAGTGGGGAGCCTTCTGGGAAGAAGGGTAGAAGCTTGGCTTTAGTTCTCCAAGATTCACAACCACATACCATATTGAATGGAGTGCTCACAAAACTGAACTTCCTACCTGTCCAAAGATACTTGTCAAGTTTTTTTTGTTTTAAATTTTATTTTTTTAAGTTCTGCACTCTCTGGAGTTGATAGCGGGATCTTTTTGCTGGTTTTTCGGCTTTTGCTTTCTTTCTTCTATAGTTTCAACCTATAAAAATTGACTTGAATATTAGGTTTGATCCAAAAAGAAACGTCAGCACCCGGCAACAGCTTCTTTCTGAAATTCTCTTTTCAGGACTGGGAGTACAGAGATGTATTAGAGATTTTCTGTAAGTGGTCTTTTCTCTTTTTAAACTTTGGGAAAGTCAATTCTTAAATCTGAAGATAAAAGCCTTAAGGTCCACTAACCCCCTTCTCCCCCTGGCAATTTATATTTAAAAAGACTTCAGATCACACATAGGTTGGCTCATATTTAGATGCAGAGAATGGCTCATATTTAGAGGTTGAGAAACACTCAAAGTGAAACAACCCACAATCATATCATTGTTCCCTTGCACGGGGGGGAGAGTTTAGAGAAATCAAGTCCTCTCTAGCAGGTTGTAACAAAAAGAATGTTACAAGTCTCAGTTAAATTTAAAACATTTCTTTGGACAGAAGTTTCTCTTTACAGGAACATTGAATTGTATTTTCCCCCTTTTATGTCTCTAGAATATTTTGTCCACTTTGGTAATCTTCCATTCTGGTTGTTTGCGTTTACCTGTGGGGAAGTCAGAAGGACTAGTATTTTGCAAACCACTTAAAACTGCCGTTTAAATGGCATCCAGTCAAGAACATTCTGCCTTGAAACTGGCAGCCCCAATTCTACCTCCAGCTCACAGTGTGACCCTGGGAGTCTCCTTTTTTTGAGTTTCATTTTCCTTCTCAGAAAAATGCTGAGATTGGATTCATCCTCCATTTCCAGCCCTCCACAGGGCATTTTGTCAGGTGGCAAATCAGGAAGGGGAGATGTCATGGATGGTTATTAACAGCGGCTTTGCACTGCATTGATCACACTAACTGCATGTCACTTCATCTCTGGATAGGGACTTCCTGTGGCTCTTTAAAAACCTGGGGTGTCACGGGAAGTCAGGGACCCTGAATGGAGGGACCGGCTGGAGCCTCAGCAGAGGAACATAAATTGTGAAGATTTCATGGACATTTATCACTTCCCTAATAATACTTTCATAATTTCTTATGCCTGTCTTTATTTTAATCTCTTAATCCTGTTATCTTCGTAAGCTGAGGATGTACATCACCTAAGGACCACTGTGATGATTGCGTTAACTGTACAAATTGATTGTAAAACATGTGTGTTTGAACAATATGAAGTCAGTGCACCTTGAAAAAGAACAGAATAACAGCGATTTTAGGGAACAAGGGAAGACAACCATAAGGTCTGACTGCCTGCAGGGTTGGGCAAAAAGAGCCATATTTTTCTTCTTGCAGAGAGCCTATAAATGGACATGCAAATAGGGAAGATATCGCTAAATTCTTTTCCTAGCAAGGAATATTAAGACCCTAGGGAAAGAATTGCATTCCTGGGGGCAGGTCTATAAACGGCCGCTCTGGGGATGTCTGTCCTATGTGGTTGAGATAAGGACTGAGATACGCCCTGGTCTCCTGCAGTACTCTCAGGCTTACTAGGATTGGGAAATCCCAGCCTGGTAAATTTGAGGTCAGACCAGTTCTCTGCTCTCAAACTCTGTTTTCTGTTAAGATGTTTATCAAGACAATACGTGCACTGCTGAACATAGACCCTTACCAGGAGTTCTGATTTTGTCCTTGCCCCATTTCCTCAGATGCATATGATCTTTACTCTGCTTTTTGCCCCTTAAAGCATGTGACCTACTCCCTATTCATATACCCCTTCCCCTTTTGAAATCCTGAATAAAAACTTACTGGTTTTGCGGCTCAGGTGGGCATCATGGTCCTACCAATATGTGATGTCACCCCTGGCAGCCCAGCTGTAAAATTCCTCTCTTTGTACTCTTTCTCTTTGTTTCTCAGACCAGCCGACACTTAGGGAAAATAGAAAGAACCTACGTTGAAATATTGGGGGCAAGTTCCCCTGATACTGGGGTATTTGTTTTATGGCCTTTCAGGAGCCTCAATCTTAAGACACATGAATATCTAGACTGTTTCTTCCTTTGGCAGTAACATATCTGGTGTTTGCAGTACACTTTCAATTTATAAAGAATTTTCTGATTTGGTGTCTCATTTAATCAAATGCTCACATTACTGTCACTTGAAGAAGGTGTATAGAAAAGACATCTGCACACCTACCCAAAAGATCTTAGAAATATCACTGAAAATTTTCAGCAGGCATGCAGTTAGGCTGGCAGACCATCCATCCATCCATCCATCCATCCATCCATCCATCCATCCATCCTTTTTTTCCCTGACATAGGGAACTCATCCTCTAACATGAAGGCATACAGGACATTTGACCTCATATACCTTTTTCTTTTTTAAAAATTTGTTTGAGAAGTTCACATTTAATAAATTTCACTATTTTTGGTGGACAGTCTATGAGTTTCTATGAGGCCTGGAGCTCTTGTAACCACTGCCACAAGTAAGTTATAGGACAGTTCCATCACTCCACCCACGTTCAAATACATTTCTGTCTAGCTACCTCTTTCTAGTCAAACACTTGCTCCACTCTTAACTCTTGGCAATCACTACTCTCAACTCTGTTCCTATAGTTTTGCCTTTTCCAGAATGTCATTATCAAGAAAATCATATAGTGTGTGGTTGAGTCTGGCTTCTTTCACTGAACATAATGCATATGAGATTCACTTGCAATATTGCATGTAACAATAGTTTACTCTCATTTATTGCTGAGTACTCATTTATTGTATACATGTACCATAGTTGGTTTACATTTTTAATTCATTCCCCAGTTGAGGGATCTTTGGGTTGTTTCCGGGTTTTGATGATTATGAATAAGGCATCAATAAACATTCACAAACAAGTTTTTTTTTGTACAAACATAGGTTTTCATTATATTTGTATAAATATCTAGAAGTGGAATAACTAGATCATATTGTATGTTTAACTTTAAAAGACACTGTCAAACTGTTTTCCAAAGTGACTGTATTATTTTGCACTCTCACCAGCAATGTGTAAGAGTTCCAATTACTCCACATCCTCACCAGCACTTGGTATCCTCAGTTTTGTGTGTGTGTGTGTGTGTGTGTGTATGTGTGTGTAGTCATGTTAATAGGTATGTAGTAGTATCTCATTGTAGTTTTACTTGTATTTCCCTAATGACTAGTAATGTTGAACATCTCTTGATGTGCTTTTTCGGACATCTGTATATCTTATTTGGTGAAGTGAATGCTCACATTTTTTGTGATTAAAAAAGGGTTTTCTTGTCTGGGCGCGGTGGCTCATGCCTGTAATCCCAGCACTTTGGGAGGCCGAGGCGGGTGGATCACCTGAGGTCAGGAGTTTGAAACCAGCCTGACCAACATGGAGAAACCCTGTCTCTACTAAAAATACAAAATTAGCCGGGCATGGTGGCGCATGCCTGTAATCCCAGCTACCGGGAGGCTGAGGCAGGAGAAGTGCTTGAACCTGGGAGGTGGAAGTTGTGGTGAGCTGAGATCGTGCCATTGCACTCCAGCCTGGTCAACAAGAGTGAACTCTGTCTCAAAAATAAAATAAAATAAAATAAAATAAAATAAAATAAAATAAAATAAAATAAAATAAAATAAGGTTTTCTTACTTCTGCATTTTGAGGGTTCTTTGAATATGCGGGAAACAAGTCCTTGGTCAAACACATGATTTGCAAATATTTTCCCGTCTTTGGCTCACCTTTCATTTCCTTACCCATATCTTTTGTAGAGTAAATATTTTCAGTATTTGTTTATTTTTTAGAGACAGGGTCTTGCTCTATTGCCTGGGCTGGAGTGCAGTGGCATGATCACAGCTCACTGCAGCTTTGAACTTCTGTGTTCAAGTGATACTCCTGCCTCAGCCTCTTGAGTAACTAGGACTACAGGCATGTGCCATCCACACCCAGCTAATATTTTATTTAAAAAACTTTCTGGACAGATGTTACCTTGCTATGTAGCCCAAGCTGGTCTTGAAATCCCAGCCTCAAGTGATGTTCCTGCCTTGGCCTCCCAAAGTGCTGGGATTACAGGCATGAGTCACCATGCCTGGCCAAGGTTTGTTTGTTTTTTGCATATAGATGTCTAGTTCCATCACTTGTTGAAAAGATCATCCAGGTGTGCTCAATGTAATCACAAGGGTCCTTATGAAAAATGCAGGAGGGTCAGAGTCAGAGAAGGAGATGCAATGACAGAACCAGAGATTGGAGTGATGTCCTTGCTGAAAGGGGCCAAAAACCAGGAACCAAGGAATGTGGGCAGCCTCTAGATGCTGGAAAAGGCAAGTAATAGATTCTCCCCTAGAGCCTCCAGAATCAACATGGCTCTACTGATACCTTGATTTTACCATGTAAGACCCATTTTTGGGCTTCTGACTGCCAGAACGGTAAAATAATCAAGTTGTATTGTTTTATAATAACCACTATGTTTATGGTAATATTTTATAGTAGCAATAGGAAACCAATACAAAAAGCTGCATTGAATTGCCTTTGCATTTCTGTCAAAATCAAGTGACTATATTCATATGAAACTATTTCTAGATTATTTATTCTGTTCCATATTTCTATGTGTCCATACTTTTTGCCTACACCACACTGACATATCTTTTTTTTTTTTTTTTTGAGATGGAGTCTCGCTCTGTTGCCTAGGTTGGAGTGCAGTGGGGCGATCCTGGCTCACTGCGACCTCTGCCTCCCAGGTTCAAGTGATTCTCCTGCCTCAGCCTCCCCAGTAGCTGGGACTACTGGTGCGTGCCACTACGCCTGGCTAATTTTTGTATTTTTTGTAGAGGTGGGGTTTTGCCATGTTGACCAGGCTGGTCTCAAACTCCTAACCTCAAGTGATCCACCCAAAGTGCTGGGATTACAGGCATGAGCCACTGCACCTGGCATTTTTTTTTTTTTAGCCTGTCTTGAATTCTCTTATTTTCACTGCTTCATATCTTCAGGATATGAAAAGTTGGTCAGTGGTAGTGAGAAAGATCCCAAAACATAAGGATCAAAAAATGGCATGTTTCAGGGTAGGCATCTGTATTAGTTATCCATTTTTTTTTTCAGAAAGAAAGAAGTAAAATTGTATTTGTTTGTAGATGACATGATCTGCTGTGTAGAAAATCACAGAGTCAACTAAAATACTACTGAAGCTAATAAACACAGTGTATTTGCAGAATACAATATCAGTACCAAAAATTAGTTAAATTTCCATACATTAACAATAAACAATGTTAAAAGAAAATTAAGAAAACACTTCCATTTGCTAGAGAACTTACAGTAAGAAATATTTAGGAATAAACGTAAAAAGGTGAGAAGTTTGTACCTTGAAATCTACAAACATTGATCAAAATGATTAAAAACTTATATAAATAGAGATATGACCCATATTGATGGATTGGAAAGATTAATATTGTTAAATGATTATATAACCCAATGTGATTTAGATTCAACACAATACCCATAAAAATCCCTATCAGAAACAAAAAACAGGCTAGGAAAAGTGGCTCACGTCTTTTGGCCAGGATGGTCTCAAACTCCTGACCTCAAGTGATCTATCCGTCTTGACCTCCCACAGTGCTGGGATTACAGGTATAAGCCACCCTGCCCAGCCCAATCCTCTTAACGTAAACACTTTAATGTCAATTAATGCTTGAACTCAATGTCAAGTCAACTGAAACTCAAGTCAATGCTGAATTGACTCTAATGTCAATTAATGCTTGATGGTTTGCTATACTCATTGCATTTGGAACAATTATCTCAGGAATGAATTTTCTGATGTTTTGCAAGGAGTGACCTCTAACTGAAGACCTTGCCACGCTTATGACATTTGTAAGATTTCTGTCCGGTATGGATTCTCTGATGTCTAATGCGATGTGAATGTGAAGTAAAGGCTTTGCCACAATCATCACACTTGTGATGTTTCTCTCCCATATGAATTCTCCTTTGTTTTGCATAAGATGAAGCTTGACTGAAGGCCTCGTCAAAATCATCACATTTGTAAGGTTTCTCTCCAGTATGAATTCTCTTATGTGTTTCATGGTGTGATTTGCGACTGAAAACTGTGTCACATTCTTCACATTTGTAAGGTTTCTCTCCAGTATGAAGTCTATGATGACGTGCAAGGGTTGCTTGTTGATTAAAAACCTTGCCACATTCATTACACTTGTAAGGTTTCTCTCCAGTATGAATTGCCTTATGAATTACAAGGGCTGAATTGTGACGGAAGGTCTTGCCACACTCATTACACTTGTAAGGTTTCTCTCCAGTATGAATTGCCTTATGAATTACAAGGGCTGAATTGTGATGGAAGGTCTTGCCACACTCATTACACTTGTAAGGTTTCTCTCCAGTATGAGTTCGCCAATGAACTACGAGATATGAACGACGTCTAAAAAATTTGCCACATTTATTACACTTGTAAGATCTCTCTTCATTATGGATTCTCCAATGATTTGCAATGGTTGTAGCATTACTGAAGACTTTGTGACAATCATTACATTTATAAAGTTTCCCTATACCATGGATTGCTTGATGGTGAATAAGTGTTGACTGCCCACTAAAGGCTTTGCCACACTCATTACACTTGTAAGGTTTCTCTCCAGTGTGAATTCTAGTGTGTTGTGTGAGGTGTGAATCACGCCTGAAAGCCTTTTCACAAACCTTACATTTGTATGGTTTCTCTCCAGTATGAATTCTCCTATGTCTTTCAAGATTTGATTTGCGACTAAAAACTTTGTCACATTCTTCACATTTGTAAGGTTTCTCTCCAGTATGAAGTCTATGATGACTTGCAAGGTTTGATTGTTGATTAAAAACCTTGCCACATTCATTACACTTGTAAGGTTTCTCACCAGTGTGACATCTATGATGGCATGCAAGGTATCGCTTCTGATTAAAGACCTTGCCACATACATCACATTTATATTGTTTCCCTCCTAAATAGATTATCTGATGTTTCCTTAAGAGTGAGCTACAATTAAAGGCTTTGCCACTCTCATTACATTGGAAAGATTTTTCTCTTATGTGTACTTCCTGTTTTAGTGTGAGTAATGATGAATGGAAGAAATTATTTTCATAGTTATTAGAAATATGGATTTTGGGCCTAGAAGAAATTCTTTGGGACGTTAGAACTGAGGAAGCATCGTTGATAGACTTCTCAACTTGATTACCAACTTTCCCTTTGGTCTGAAATATGTGGAGTTCAGGAAGATGCGAATGAAAGCTTAATCCAAGCTGATCTTTGATAGGCTTGTTTCCAGGATGCCTTCGATCATATCTGTCGGTGCTACCAGTCAACTTTTTGATTTGTGTCATAGTTGCTTCATGGCTATTTCTTTTGTCTTCTTGCCATTGAAACTCAAAGTCATGAATATCTTTCCCAATTTTCTGGAAGCAAAAATCTCCAATGTGATGACTTTCATGTCTTTCTAATGTCCCTGTGTCCACTTCTGTATTGCCTTGCGCTGTTGATGAGAACTTCTTCATCATGCATTTGGAAGAGATATCCACAGAATGCAGGTTCCTGTAGTTCTCCAACATCATGGCCCTGTATAAAGCCCTCTGCGTAGGGTCCAGGCATTTCCACTCCTCCAAAGAGAATTCTATAGCCACATCCCTAAAAGTCAAGTGTCCCTGAGGAAGAGCCATGCCTGGCTCCTTTTCTTTCCTCTTCTGAGCTGCTTCCTCACGTAACATGAGTCTTTAGAAATCAATAGTGCTGCAGTGTGACCTTCACTGAGGCGATCTGCTTCCTGCTCTGTATTAGTTATCTGTTTCCGAGAAACAAATTATCACAAACTTCGTGGCTTAAGGCAACAAACACTGATTATCTCACAGTCGCTGTGGGTCGGGGTTTGGAGGCACTTCAGCTGGGTGTTCCTGGCTCAGTGTCTCTCTGGGTTGTAGTCAAGCTGTGGGTCATGGCTGCAGTCATCTCAAGGCTTGACTGGTGACAACCTACTTCCAAGGTCACTCACATGGCTGTTAGCAGGTCTCAGAAAATCTGCTTATAAGGTGACTGACACAGTGGCTGGCACACCTTCATGCCTCCTGCCTGGGCTATCCATTGGTGGCCTGAGTATCCTTATGTCATGGCAGCTGGCTTTCCTAGAGTGACTGATGATAGAGAGAGAGAAAGACAGGGGGAGAGAGAAAGAGAGAGAGAGAGCGAGAGTGAACACTCCCCTGTTTATAAGCTGATCTTGGACATGATATACCATGACTTCTGCCATATTGTATTCATTAGAAGTGAGTCACTAAATTCATCCCACACTCAAGAGGGGAGGAATTAAGTTTCACCTCTAAAGGAGAGGAATCTATAGGCATAGCTTTGAAATCACTACAGTCTACCCTCTGGCCACAAATTTTTTTATATTCCTCCCACATGTACAACACACTCATCCTACTCCTCAGTGGCCCCCAGTGTCTCATCCCATTACTGCACTAGCTTCAAGTCCACAATCTCACCATCTAAGTCAGGTCTAGGTAGGAGAGGCTCCTCAGGTTAGTAAGTTTAGCTCCGTAAGTGCCGTTCCTCTGATCTGTGAAACTAAAGAGACTGGTTATCTGCCCCTTCACACTCAAAACACAATGGTGAAGCAGACACAGGATAATTGCTCCAGATATTCTTGTTCAAAGAGGCGGAAACAGGAGGTGCAAAGCGATCAGTGGTCCAAGGCAATTTTGAAAGCCAGTTGGGCAAATGTTGCAATTTCCGTGATTAGGTCTCAAGGCCTGGGAATACTTCTCTGGGGTTCTTGGCTTCCCTGTCTGAACCCTTGGTTTTGCCCTCTTAATCATCCTTCCCTTATCACAAAAGGCAATATGTGTTTGCTCCATTTTCCTAACCCAAGTTCATAAGTATTTTTTCCTATGTTTTCCCCTGAAAATCTAATGGTTTTACATTTCACATTTTGGTTTCTGATCCACTTGGAGGTGACTTTTGCATAAAGTGTGAAGTATAGGTCTTTCAATTTTTTGCTTATAAATGTCCCAGTCTTCTAGCACTGTTAGTTGAAATGTGGCAAAGTGACATTATACCAGTTCCCAGACTAGGCTTCAGGAGGTCCTTCCGGCTTCCTCTCTTTGGAACCCTCCCCATGCCATGAAAACAAGCCTGGGCTGGCCTGCTAGAGGATGAGAGACCCTGTGGATTAGAGAGCCCAGCTCAAACATGGCCAGCCTAGTCCATCCAGCCAATGGTCTGACATGTTAGATCTAGCCAGAACCAGCATAGTAAACATTGGTTCAGACTTTCCGGGGGTTAATTCTGTAGTACATGAGCCACATTTATAAGTGTATGCAGCCTGACCCAGTCATTGGATCTTATTCTAAGGAAATAATTAAACTAATGTAAAAGGTTATTTAAAGAACATTTCTCACAATAGCAAAAGCTTGAAATATGAGTGTTCATCAGTAGTGGAATGATTAAATTAGGGTGCATATAGACAGTGGAATACTCTGAAACTGTTACAAAGGATAATATAGCTCTAAAGGAAATTGTCTATACTATATTCTTCAGTGAACAAGGTAAATTAGAAAGTATTATATGTTTTATAGTATGAACCTGTTTTTGAATAAAATGATATACAACTATGCAGATAGAAGAGTGTCTGGACGAAGGGAAGGAGATGTATATATATGTGTGTGTGTGTGTGTGTATACACATACATATATATGGACATACATATATAAAAGTATATATACACATATATATTTATAAATTATTAGCAGTGGTTTAGAAATAATTTTTTAGTTTCTGTTTTTTTTGAGATAGGGTCTTGCTCTGTCACTCAGGCTGGAGTACAGTGGCACAATCATAGCTCACTGCAGCCTCAAATTTCTGGGCGCAAGCAATCCTCCTGGCTCAGCCTCCTGAGTAGCTGGGACTACAGGTACATGTGCCACTGTGGCTGGCTTATTTTAAAAATTTTTTTGGAGATGGAGTCTCTCCAGGTTGCCCAGGCTGGTCTGGAACTCCTGGGCAATCCTCCCATCTCAGCCTCCCACAGTGCTGGGATTATATGCATGAGCTACTGCACCTGGTCTTCAGTTTTTACTTTATAATTTTGTGTGCAAATCTTTGAAAGTGAGCATCTATTTAATAAAATAATAATAAATAGGCCAGGCGCCTATTTTATTTGTATATTTGTATTTTTTCGTATAAAAAAATATAAACTTTTTTTTGTATTTTTAGTAGAGACAGGGTTTCACTGTGTTAGCCAGGATGGTCTCGATCTCCTGACCTCGTGATCTGCCCGCCTCAGCCTCCCAAAGTGCTGGGATTAGGCGTGAGCCACCGCGCCTGGCCCTCTCAGGGTAATCTTAATGGAGCTGTTTATTCACTGGATAGTGGACTGTCCATACCTTAATTCTGGTATTTTCTTCTTCCCACTGGATGGTAAGGTTGCATGTACACGTCACAGCTGAAGTTCAGGCAGCAAGAACACTGGACTTGGAGTCAGAAGGCCTTGGTTCAGAATCAACTCCTCCTCTTTGAGTTTCTGTTTCTTCCTCAGTAAAATTAGGCTTCATTTATCATGCAATAAACATGTATTGAGTATGATTGTGTTCAGGCCCTGTGGCTGGGTGCTAGAGGCCCAAACACCTGTACTGCTTCTCTCAGAGTGGTAATGAGAGGATCAATTCCTAAATGCATAAAAATATAACAGGAAATGGAATTCCAGGCACTGAGCTGTGCTTTCTGCAGTTTCATTAAGTAGAGGAAATGAAACTGGATTCATTGCAAAGCAAGTGGTATAATACGGTGGCTAAGAACTCACGCTCAGTAGCCAAATTGCCTAAGTTGAAATCCTGGCTCCACCAGAATTTGGGGGATGTTGCTGAACCTCTCTTCAATTCAGTTTCCTCTGCCTGTAAAATGGGAGTAAGAACTGTAGATCTCCTCATGTGGTTGTTGTGAGGATTTAATGAGTTATTATGTGTAAAACACTTAAAGCAGAGTCTAGCACATAGTGCTCAATATACATTAGCTATTATTGTTATTATTATTTGGGACGTACAACACATCAGACCACATGTTTCTAACACAGACATGACCAAGTTGATATCAGAGAGTGATCTGGTTGTGATAATTTTCTCTCTATTCGTGGCCAAGCTTCATTCCTGTCATCTGGCCAATGAAGTCAATGTCCACTCACTTACTTGCTGGTCCATGAACATCCTCCTAAGGCTTTCTAACTAGAGGAGGGAGCCTCAGAAACAACTACTAGAAACTCCAGACCAGCCCTCCAGGTCCATGTGGAGAAGAAGATGGGGTAGTCAGCTCCCTACTAGGAACTACTGATTCTGTCCATTATTTCAAGAGGTATAATGTGTTTATCTTATTGCTCCAATCATGCATAGCTTCATTCCCAAAATCTTTACATGGTCTGTGATGGCTGTCAGATTTCCAGTCATTCTATTTACGTTTAAAATTTTTTCTAAGTGATTTATGCAATCTGGGTAAATTAAGGAAATGGTCCTTATATTGAGCATTTGTGTTTAGCCAATATTTTGTATTTTTAAAACATTTTTTGAGATGGAGTCTTGCTCTGTTGCCCAGGCTGGAGTGCAATGGTGTGATCTTGGCTCACTGCAACCTCTGCCTTCTGGGTTCAAGCGATTTTCCTGCCTCAGCCTCCTGAGTAGCTGGGACTACAGGCGTGTATGACCACGCCCAGCTAATTTTTGTATTTTTAGTAGAGACAGGGTTGTACCATGTTGGCCAGGCTGGTCTTGAACGCCTGACCTCACGTGACCCGCCCACCTTGGCCTCCCAAAGTGCTGGGATTACAGGCTTGAGCCACCGCGCCTGGCCTAGCCAATATTTTTAATCATACCGAAAGTGCCTTTGCAAAATTATGACAGTAAAAAAAATTCGACATAGCTGATTCCATCTTGCTTCTAACCTGTAAGCTGTCCTTGTTCATTCCCGGGCACAGGCCACAGCTAACTTTGGGAGGAATTTAGTTCATAGTCTAACCCTAAAGCAAGGATTGTAATATCCCTTTCCAAAACTATTCCCTCCTTGTTTGAACACCAAACTACCTTTGTAAAACTAATGAAAGGCCACAGGCTTAAGAGAGGTCTGAACTTTGCTAAGATAAAGGCATAGTTAAATGATAATCTGCCATTTTTCCAGAGGTCACAAGATTTCTAACCTCCCCATCACTCCTATAGATAACACCACTATTGTAAAACTTAAGATTTGTGTTTGAGGTGTTTTTCATACCCTGCATTCTGACGGACCAGTTGCCACCACCCAGTCTGGTAAACTGGCTCATCAGGTCCTGTGGCCCTTACTCAGGAACTGACTCAGTGCAAGAAGACAAACTTCGACTCTCTATAATTTCATCCCTCACCCAATCTATCAGCTTCCCCATCCTTAGCCCTCTGCCCACCAAACTATCCTTAAAAAAAAAAAAACCTTAGGTGGGCCCGGTACGGTGGCTCACGCCTGTAATCCCAGCACTTTGGGAGGCCGAGGTGGGCGGATCACGAGGTCACGAGATCGAGACCATCCTGGTGAACACAGTGAAATCCCATCTCTACTAAAAATACAAAAAAATTAGCTGGGCATGGTGGCAGGTGCCTGTAGTCCCAGCTACTGGGGAAGCTGTGAGGCAGGAGAATGACGTGAACCCGGGAGGCAGGGCTTGCAGTGAGCTGAGGTCGTGCCACTACACTCCAGCCTGGGTGACAGAGCGAGACTCCAGTCTCAAAACAAAAACAAAAACAAAAACAAAAAAAACCCCTTAGGCTCTGAATTTTCAGGGAGATTGATTTGAGTAATAATACACTCCTGTGCTCCAGCTTGGCTGGCCCTACAATTGTTAAACTCTTCCTCTATTGCAAAAACCTGCATTGGCTTTTCCGGGTAACAAGCAAGATGAAACTGTTGGGCATTACAGTATGTATTTCAAATACTTTTTGCCAACTTATTATGTATTTTCCAAATTGTTTTTCAAACATAAAGACTTTTTCCTCTCCAAACATAATTCTGCAGGTACCTTTTCCCTATTTGCTATACTACGGTAGGTCAAGGAAAGCTTTCTGGAAGAAGTGACTTGTAATCCATAACTCCATGGGTGAGAAACACAAACCGGGTGAAGAGAGCAGGGAACAGTGTCACCAGCAGGAGGAACAGCATGTGCTTCATCACTCTTTCATGATATAGCCTCTACTTTCAGCACATCTGCTCCACTCACCTCTTGGACATTTTTGATCCCATACGGCTGGCTTGCTCCTGCCCCATCCTGGCCTTGACTATTCCTTTTAGCTTAGTTCCTTCCCCACTTGAACTGGTCTATCTCAAGGGTCTAATTTTTTAGTCCAAGGTGAGAATTTGTTGTGCTAGCTCATTCAGTCTTAGGTTGGCTGCATAAGGTGGAGTAATGGTGGCATAGGTTAGGTAATATGAAATAAAATGACACTTCTCCTCTTTTAGCAGGAGCTTAAGGTGGCAGTCTCCAATAAAAGGCATGTTGTTTTGGTACATAATGCTGACATTTATAGTCCAGTATGCACCTACCTTCCCACCTTCAGTCTGTATGTCAATGCAGGACTCAATGAACACTCATATATGATCAGTAAGTTAGCTTAGGCAAAGCTATGCTGTGGTAAAAAATAATGCTAAAATCTCAATGGCTTCAAACAAACATTTTGTGCATGTTACATGGCCAACACTAACTGGCTTAGGATCTGCTGTATTCCACACCTTCTCACTCCAGGACACAAGCTTAAGGAGAGTCCTTATCCGGGACATGCTGCTCTCCTGGGATAAGGAAAAGAGAAAGATGGTGGAACCATATGACTGCTCTTAAAGCTTATGTTTGGAAGGGGCATTCATTACTTCTGTTCACATTCCATTGCTCAAAGCAATTCCATGGCCAAGCCTAAGGTCCATGTGGAGGAAGGATACTCTTTCCATAGGAAGCGGCAGTAAATATTTTGAACAAATGAACATTCTTGCATAGTTTATTACAGCCGGTATCATTTGTCCCATTTTGCAGTGAGAAAACTAAGGCTAAAAGAGGTAATTTGATCAAGGTCATAGGTTAGAATTCAGCTCTGAATGGCTTCAAATTTGGTCCAGGCAAGCTCTTTTCAGATTTTTTTTTTTTTAACACTATGTAGGCACCTGGAATTGTAATTTACTCAGGGGCACAACCACTTCTCTTCAACTCCAGAAGCTTCTCCGTGCATCTCTAGAGCTAAACCACCCATGAAATCTTCCTGGAAGGATGTGAAGCTAGAAAGGGGTTGGGCTCGGGGAACTGTCCCTTTGAGAGCTGACTTTTCCATTTAGTAATTTTTTTTAACTCTTGAAGTATTTATCTGCTTGATGGGTTTGTAGATCCTTTGGACGGAGATCACCTATCATCTATCACCTTTTGTTTTGTCTGTGTGTGTGTGAGAGAGAGAGTCTGAGTTCCTCAAAGCTTTTTTCTAGGTAATTTTTGATACTTCAGATTACAATGGATATCTATATTCACAAAAAATATTAGTGGGATAGAAAGAGTATCTTTAGGTAGGAAGAGGGGCGCAGAAGTTACAGCCAACACAGAGAATCCTTCAATGTTTGTAAATATCTGTTAATTTCCCTTGCCTCTGGAGCAGTTTTCCCGGTTTCAGAGCCTCTGCTCCTAGGTGCACGTGCAGTGTGGTAGCAATGGATAGGTTTTGACTTGCCAGGTTTATGCGTGCCATTCAGGGCAGGGGATTAGGGTTAGGCCAGTGAGTGACCTAGGACACTCAATTTAAGGAAGCACTCGCACAAACCTGAGAGTTCGCGCGCCTCACCCCAGCCCAGCCGTGTGTCTGTTAAGCATTTATCATAATCCTGCTGCATGAAAATGCCCGGCGAGCTTACCTGTGAGGATCACCTGCCACTCCCCTCCTCCGCCAGACAACGCGGAGGGCCTCCCTGAGCTGTGACTTTGCTCCGCCGGTGATAATTTCCAGGTTACTGTGTAGGAGCGTCTGGCGCAGCATCGTGTGCGGAAGACCGAGAGAGGGAGTGTGCGTGTGAGCCTGTCAGGCCGGGCGGGTCCATATCCGGGTGGACCGGGTGGGTGGGGCTGCCCCTCCCTCCAGGTCCCGAGGTGGATAAGGGGTGGGGAGTGACGTGCAGAGATTCCCTTTCGCCCCTTCGGATCCAAGAGAGGGTGGCAGAAGGAATGCGTGGGTGACTTGGCGTGGATTTAGGGCGTGCCCACCCTGCAGATCGGCCTCCTAGAGTGTCCCGAGGGCCTGAGAGGCCGCAGGGACACGAAGGAAGAGAAGGAGGAACCCGAAGAGGGCTCGCCTAGCCGGCCACCCGCTCCGAACTTGCCCGGGAAACTAGTGCGGAGGGAGGGGCCGGGCCCTGGCCGCGGCGGGAGGAGGGGCGGCCGCAGCTGCATCCAGCCCCGTTGGCTTCCTTCCCAGCTCTCCTTCGCCTCCTCCTCCTCTTCCTCCTGTATGAGTCAGGCATTTCCCGGGGATTTGGAGCAGGCACGCGCGGCCCGGGCGTCCGGAGCTGTAGCAGCAGCAGCAGCCGCCGTGCCGGGGCCGCCACCGCGGCGGGCACCCGCGTCCCGGGCGCCCACGGACCATGGAGAGGGCAGTCCAGGGCACAGACGGCGGCGGGGGTAGCAACAGCAGCAGCCGCAGCAGCAGCCGTGCTACCTCGGCGGGCTCCTCGCCCTCCTGCTCTCTGGCGGGCCGGGGGGTCTCCAGCCGGTCGGCGGCGGCCGGGCTCGGCGGCGGGGGAAGCCGCAGCAGCCCGGGCTCTGTGGCCGCTAGCCCGTCCGGGGGAGGCGGCCGCAGGAGGGAGCCGGCGCTCGAGGGCGTGCTCAGCAAATACACCAACCTCCTCCAGGGCTGGCAGAACAGGTAACGCGCCAGCCGCCCGCGCCACCGCGCGCCGCTGTGTGTGTGTGTGTGTGTGTGCGTGCGTGTGTGTATGTGTGTCTGTGTATGTGTGTGCGCGCGCGATTGTGCCTTCAGCGAACCCAGTGATGCCTCCCAACGGTGCCCTTCCTGCGTCCCTGCTCCCCTCCAGGTGGGGTTCTCAGGATGGGGCGCGCCGTGGCTCCACCCCGGGACCGCACCGCAGTGGCGGGGAGGGAGGCGAGAGCCCTGGTTTTCTTCTATGCTGGCACCTGCAGAGACTGGAGTGGTGGCAGGAGGATCGTGCTGGTCCCCGTGCTCTGCTTGTCCGCGGTTTCCCGCACGCCTGAAGAATGACTGGGAAAGGGAGGCAGAAGGGGCGTGCTTTGTGCCGGGGTGAAAAAGCGTTAGCACGTCCGCTCCGATTACAGTAATTCTCTAAGTAACAGTTCATTTTAAAGTTTGGTGTTTCAGAACACCACCACCATCAACAAAAAACCTGCCACTTGTCATCCTGGGCGACTGTGCATACTCCTGCCCCAGTTTGTGCCTTGCAGCCTCCGATGTTTGTAATGGAAGTTTTGTTTAAAAACAGAAAGAGGCCGGGCGCGGTGGCTCACCTCTGTAATCCCAGTACTTTGGGAGGCCGAGGCGGGCAGATCACGAAGTCAGGAGTTCGAGACCAGCCTCGCCAACATGGTGAAAACCCGTCTCTACTAAAAACAAAAAAAATTAGCCGGGCGTGGCGGCGCGCCTGTAATTCCAGCTACTCCGGAGGCTGAGGCAGGAGAATCGCTTGAACCCCGGAGGCAGAGGTTGCAGTGAGCCGAGATCGCGCCATTGCAATCTAGCCGGGGCGACAGTGCGAGACTCCGACTCAAAAAAAATAAATAAATAAAATAAAATAAAATAAAATAATAAAAAGAAAGAAAAAATACCCTCCCCCTTTTAATATTAGTAGCAATTTACATTATTATCATTATTTCCTCTTCAGGTCCCATTTGAAGTTTCCTGCTCACTTCCCCCTTGCAGTTGAGAAGCCTAGTTATGGACACGTGGAAGGATGGGGCTGTCGAGGAAAGGGGCTCAGGAGGCACTTGGAATGGTGGTAGTGTGTGTGATCTGCCATCGTGAGGAAGACAAGAACAGATGTGGCACTACTGTTTACTTTTTGTTTTTGTTTTTTTTTTCAATTTGTTTTCCAAAAACAAGCCAGAGGGAAATACAAGTGTCAGTGCGAGGAGAACAATGCTTTTTGGAGAGGTGGTTGGTGGGATATTTTGTCCTGCCTATTTAACAGTCTCCAGATCTTAATAGACTTGGGGCTCTTAAGGATGTTTGTGAGATTTGAATTATACCCTGGAAAGTTGCTTATCTCTGCTGCATGGACTATATTACTTGGTTATCTCTTCCTGTAGATTGTTTGGAAATGTTCAGATTTGCTTCCATCTGAAACATATCAGCCAGTTATCTGCACGAAACTCAACTTGGAGGAAGAGGTCTTTTGAAGTATGGAAACTGAGTTGTTTCTATATTGATATTCTACATATAGGACTTTCTGAGTCACCTGGGCTTCCTGGGAGATGTGTTACTATGTTAGTGGAAGTTGCACTTAACTTTTGAATCCTTTTATTTCTCAAAATAGTCCTAGTGTCTGCTGTTGCCTCTCCCTTCCCCTTTCAATTCGTGAAAGCTGAAAAAGAATAGGTAGAATGCGTAGGTAGAGGGAGATATGAGATGACTAAATCTGATTTCAGTTCTTGGTAATTATGTCTCGTTAATGGCAACTCAAGGTGCCTTGTCAGTAACAGCATTTTGTTGGTGTGTTGAGCAATCACTTAATGCTTTTTCTTCAAGTAGATTATGAGGCCAGCAAAGCTTTTACCCTGGATTACAGTTATTTTATTATTTACTTGCTGGGGAACAATATTTTACCTTGCAGTCTGTATTAAAGGATTTGTTATTTGGAGTGGATTTAGGAGGCATTGGAGTAACATTCTTTTGCATTATTTTAAACCCATTGTGGTGTTTAGATTGGAGGCAAGGTTGAGAAGAAGCACATTTAATGCCAATAATAATACCTACGTGATAGCAGGCTACCTAGGTGAAATGTGGTATTAAGTACACTCCTGAGCATGCTTAAGTGATGTCTCATCTTTATTGAGTTTGTTTACTGCAATTTATAGCTGTCTGCCTATGTTTGTTCTTACCACAGTAGACTCACCGTTTTCCAAGTCTACCACTGACTCCATAAGCATCGTCTGTAATTGTTAACATCTCAGTGTCAGGGTTTCTATTTCCCACATTTTGTTCTTTGAACGATGGCTGAGGGTCCATTAGTGGTTTGGAGAAGATTACGATGACTCTGTGCTTGCAAAATTCTCCCTTCTCTAGGGGTCTTATGAAGGGACAGATGGATTAGTGAAAAGGAAGAGAGAAGAGGATAAAAATAGAAACTTTGAAAATGTATTCATTTGTTCAATTATCTATTCACAGACTGTTTTATTGAGCACCTACTATGTGGCAGGAACTGTTCTAGGAGCTGGAGCTACCACCCTTCCCTGGTCCAGGGAAATGCCTTAGTACAAATAGTTAGCCAACTGATTCCTGCTGCCTTTCTTTCTGGGCCTCATAGCATCTTCCTTTGGCAGTTCTTTTCAAAGTGCCCACAGTTAATGACAAATCTATAGCAACCAAGTTCTTGGTTCATCCTCTCAGGCTGCTGTGCAATTGTAGTGCTCTTCACCAGCTCCCAGGACTTAATACCAATCACCCACTAACAGTTTGTACCCTGGTGTCCTCTTGCATGTTCTCAAGTTGCTGTAAAACTTATATTTTAACACTTGGCATCATATTCTGCCTTTATTTGTAGCCTCATCCTCATGCCCTTAGGAAGGCAGTTTGGGCCAGAACACAAAATAAACGACATAAAGAGAGGTCACAGAGAAGAACACTGTATGATGGGAACGTGCTCAACTCAGGAGAGTAAGTTCAGGACATTTGGCTCACACTCACTGGATGAGAATGTGAAATACTTAGAGTATGGGGAAAACATGCATTAAGGGCTTTCTGTCATTCATTATTATAGATATTTAAAGAAAATATTTCAGGCATAATAACATTGTATAGATTTACAGGATGGCACTGAAGAGTAAATACATTGATACAAATGAACAACAATAAAAAATCCAGAAAGTGGCAAGTGCTATGAAGGTTAAAAAAAGGTGATGAGATAAAGCAAGTATTTGCAGGAATAATTTTAAGTGTGAGTCTAGTGTTTTTACTGCTATTCACATTGTCACTTAGAGTACTCTCTTATTACCCATCTTATCACTCATACAGAGTGAACCATGGGGAGAGTAAACCTCGAGAACTTGAGGAGGCAGATGACCTAGCACCTAGTTGGCCAGGATTAGAATTTCAGACTGGGTTCTGGTGGCCCAGAAGGATTTTAGGAAGGGAAGTGACACTTATTAGGTCACTTTGGCTGCTGTGTAGAGATGAGATTTTCAAGGGGCCAAAGCATGAAGCAGGGAGACCAGTTAGGAGCCCATCTGAGTGGTCCAGGAAAGAGATGCTGGCGGCCTGGGCTGGGGGTTGGCAGAGAACTGGAGAGAAGGGATAGATCTGGTGTGGAGAGGATGGAAATCGCTGATGAATTTGATGTGGAGGTGAGAGAGGGGCAAGAATAACTCTTGATTTGTGGGCCTGAGAGGCTGGGAGGTTGAGACGTCCTTTGTGGAGATGAGGATCACAGGAGGGGAATGTGTTTGTGGGGAGGGTGAGGCTTGGCCAAGAGTTCTGTTTGGACTGTGTTCAGTTTGAGGTGCTTACCCCTAGTAAGAAACTGGCTGTATGAACTTTCATTTGCCCTAAGTCAAACTTTACTCTCAAACTAAAATGGAGCTATTTTGGAGTTGCTCATAATATCAAGTATTTGAGGAAATAATTTCTAATTGGATCTAGAAATTGTTATTTAAATATCTAAGGGTTGCCATTGCCATTCACTTTTTCTTATTTGGAGAAAAGAAGACACTGCGAACGTGGAACCAACCTTCAATTCTTTTTTTGGTGATTGGCAGGGTTGTAAGAACTCAATAAAATGCTGAATGACAACAAATCTTGACTAGGATTAAGGAAGACAAGGCTGGGTGCATTGGCTCACATCTGTAATCCCAGCACTTTGGGAGGCCGAGGTGGGAGGATTGCTTGAGCCCAGGAGTTCCAGACCAGCGTGGGAACCATGGTGAAACCCTGTCTCCACAAAATAAAAATATAAAAATTAGCCAGTGGTGGTGGCTTAGGCCTGTAGTCACTGCTGCTCAGGGGTCTGAGTTGGGAGGATTGCTTGAGCACAAGAGGTCAAGGCTGCAGTGAGCTATGATCACACCACTGGACTCCAGCCTGAGCAACAGAGCAAGACTCTGTCTCTAAAGTAGACATTTATTTGGGGAGGAAGAGTAGTGTGAACTTTGGATTCAAATCTTGACACCAACACTTAGCACACATGTGACCGTGGGCTAGCTCTTTAATTGCACTGGGCTTCTGTTTTTCTCTTCTGCTAAATGTGGGAAATGATGTTACTCTTTTCATTAGTTCAATGTGAAGATTAAATGAGATTATTGGTGTATAAGGGACTGAGAATAGTACATAGCAAGATACCAAGAAGTGGTAGCTATTATTAGATCTTCAATTTGTCTGTTTTTAAGTAGGCACTTTCTGGTCCATAAAATTCTTGGTTTTTATTCTGAGTGCTGTGGTTACCCTGGGACCACATTAACATAATTATCATAGAGTTCTTTGGGGAGAAGATGATTACTTCATTTTGAAGGGATCCTTTTAAAACTTGGCACCAAACATTTACAGCTCCCCTTCCCAGCCTCTAAATCCTATCTTCCTTTCCTATTTTATTTCTCTCCATATACCTTGCTATTATCTGACATGCTTTATATTTTACTTTTTTTGGTCTCTCCACACTAGAGTATAAGCTCCCTGAGGACAGATAATTTTGTTTGTCTTTGTTGCTGCTGTTATCTCCAGTGTTGAGAACAGGGTCTGGTATACAGTAAGGGTAGAGTAAGTATTGTCAAATGGATAAAAAAATGAATAAATGTCAGAGAGGGAAACCAGGGCTTAGTTCTATTTGAGCCAGTGTTAGCTATTATTAGTATCAGAAGTCTTGGTTCTGTACCTGCTTGTAACCTTGTCCTTGTGTTGCTGTGTTTATCATCTGTCCTGCTCTCTGCAAACAGTCTTTGGTTCTGGATCAGGGAGTATGACTCTTCCTGTGACGTGCCCACCCTGATTTAGGGCCCACCACAACTCACCCATTGGGGGCCATTAGTGACCAAATATCCAGGGCTTGCTTTTGACTCTATCTGGATTAACAACATACGTTGAGTGTTTAGTGTTTAGCCCCCAGCATTTTGGTGCCACTTATCCCAAATTAAAGCATCACTGGGGTATATATGAATTTTTAAAGCCACCTTGAAGGAAAATAAGTGTTTTTTTGAGTATCCCAATAATTTTAGAGGGAATTGGTGATACCAGGGTTGAAAATCACTGCTCTGGGTTTTGTATTCTTGTCCGCGTGTACATAGGAAATATCTGCATATCTTCCTGTGTAGTCTGCCAGAGTGTTTTGAGGCCGTGTGCTAAAATCCTTTAGGGACACTAACTAGTTTCATTGATGGTAATAATAAAAGGGATGGTTGCCTAGGTTACAAAACACTGTATAATATTGTTTATTCACTTATGGTTCAAAATACGTATTGAGCACCTGCTTCGTATTAACTACTCCCTGCAGAATCTGCCCTCCCCCTCCTTTGAAAGTGTGTGTATATTTGAGGAGATTCACACCAAAATGGTTTTCTTTGGTTGGTGGGATTAT
This sequence comes from Homo sapiens, assembly GCF_000001405.40. Taxonomy (NCBI): domain Eukaryota; kingdom Metazoa; phylum Chordata; class Mammalia; order Primates; family Hominidae; genus Homo; species Homo sapiens. The sequence continues at coordinate 31,975,011 of NC_000003.12, read as the reverse complement.
GGGTGATTTCCATTATCTTCTCTTGTCTGTTTTCCCAAGGTGAATGTGTGTCTGTTTTGCAGTTTGAAAAAGTTGTTGAGGCAAAGAAAAGCTGCTCATGCCTTTTCACGTCATCTGTCTAACTGAGTTTTGCGAGTAAATTTCAAGTCTAATCTACATTCAGAAAAGTACACAAATCATATACATACACAGTTCAATGAATTTTCTTAAATGGAACACACCCAGATTAAGAAACAGCTGCCAAAACATTCCCTGTCCCCCACAGCCCCTTTCCTCATAGTATCTCCCCGCATACGGTAACTGCTATTCTGACCTCAACACCACTGAGTTGTTTGGTCTCCTTTTGAACTGTGTATTGTGTAATATGTGATCTGTGTGTCTGGCTTCTTTCTCTTAACGTTATGTTTGGGAGGCTTACGCATGTTTCTGTGTATAGTTGTGGTCTGTTTATTTTCATTGCTATTTGGTATTCCGTGGTATGAATATACTGAACACATTTGTCTATTGTAGGTTGGTATTTGAGTTCTTTTCAGTTTTTGACCCTATTCATAGGGTCACAATGCTGTGAACATTCTAGTACCTGTGTTTGGAGAACATAGGTATGCATTTCTGTGGATATACACCTAGGAGTGTTTGCTCATGTCCAGCTTATTAGATACTAGCAGAGAGTTTTCCACAGTGGTTGTATGCATTAATACTTCCACCAAAAGTGTGTAGAGAGAGTTCTGTGTGTACCACATTCTCATCCACACTTGATATTGTCTCTTGTTTTCATGTCATCCAATTTTAATTTGCCTTTCCCTGATGACTACTGAGGCTGAACATGTTTTCACGTATTAATCGGCCATTGGGATGTCATGTTTTGCAAGCTGCTCTTTAAGTCCTCTGCCCATTTATCTGTTGGGTGTCTGCCTTTTTCTTCTTGACTTTTACGAGATGTTTATATATTCTGGGTATGCGCCCTTTGCTGGATGCCTGTATACAGGTGCCTGGGCACTGCATATATAGAGACACGGTGTATTATGCAGGCATTATGTCCTGTGGATATACCACAGTTTGTTTATCCATTACCTGTAGGACAACATTTGGGCTGTTTCCAGTTTTTGACTATTACAGATAAAGCTGCTATTTGTGTGTAAGTCTTTGTGTGGTCACATGCTTTTATTTCTTTTGGGTAAATACCTAGCATTAGAATTGCTCGTGTATCCATCCTATGTAGAAAGTGCTAACCTGTTTTCCAAAGTGGCTGAACCATTTCACACTGCCACCAGCAGTGCATAAGTGAATAGATGGCTCCCCATCCTGGCCATCTTCATGTTGCTACCTGGAGAGCTTTTGGAAAACAGGACTGCCACTTCCTCATGTGCATGGCATTGCTTCTGAGAGGGGCAGTCTAGGGAGAAGCTGTGTAGTCCTTCTTACCTTTCCAGCTTTGTCTCCTTTTGGCCAAATGACCTTGGGCAAGTTATTTAACTCTTTGGGCCTTGGTCTCTCCATCTGTAAAATGATATGAACCTCGCAGTGTTGTGAGGCCACCACAGGCACCAGTCCTGTGCTTGGTGCACAGTAGGTCCTCAGCAGAAGTTTGTGAGTGAGAGTCTTGTATTTTAGATAGACTAGTGACTAGCTTTCTGGAACCTAGGGGTTGCATTGGTGGTCACTTAAGCCCCAGCCTTGGCAAATCTGCAGGTGTCTTAGCCCTGCCTCTCATTACATGAGGACCCAGTTGACTTAAGCCATTTGATTTGCCCAGTGGCTGTCTGCGTTTGGTGTGCTTCCTCAGAGGCTGCTTGTGGACAGTTGTCTGAGGACTCTGGGAAGAAAGAAGCCACATGGATGGGCCTTTGTGTCCTGAAAGAAGGGTTGAAATGATTGTGCCGGAAACGTGGGAGGCTTTTTGCAGTTCTGCCTGGCTCCCACTGATGCGATTTGGGGCCAGGCCAAGACAGAATTAAAAAGAAAACCATCCAGAATTTGAATTTTGATAACCTAGACTGGACTGAATATGGTCACAGCCCAGAAAATGCTTTATTTGTGCCTCATGCAATGATATCAATAATAATGATAAAATTAGGAAACATTATATATGGTCTTTTGTTGCAAGTCTGTTCCTTGAAGGTCAGAGAAGGCATTTGCACCATGAATAATCTTTTCTTTTTGTGTTGTAGTTTTTAGGGGACTATTTATGTTTTTGTGTGGTTTAGTCCCTTTCTATAAATATATTGATGAAAATACAAAGAGTTGAAAGGCAACCAATATCAGTTTTTAGTCACTCTTTTCCAGGATGTTTTAAGTATTTATCTGCACGGCCAGCCTTGTGGCCTGTGCAGGCTGCCATGAGTGGTTGGGTGGGATTGGACGTTTTTTGGAAAGTGGTGGGGTTCAGGTTCTCCTTATGTGTGGGTAGAACTGGGGGCTCTGTTCTGGCCTTGTGTTCAGGGCAATCGAGTAGATTAGGTGACTGATGCAAATGATCCTCACTCAGCCGTCTCTGCAGTGCTCACTCCGTCAGAGCTGTGTGGGCTGCTAACAATGCAATGAAAACCACCGCTGCAGCTGATCTGGGCTTTTTGGTTGTTAAGTAGAGTCTGGGCAGAGTCGGGAAACTTTCTTTTTTCTTTTTGAGACAGAGTCTCGCTGTGTCACCCAGGCTGGAGTGCAGTGGCGTGATCTCCACTCACTGCAACTTCCACCTCCTGGGTTCAAGCGATTCTTCTGCCACAGCTTCCTGAGTAGCTGGAATTACAGGCGTCCGCCACCACACCCAGCTAATTTTTGTATTTTTAGTAGAGACGGGGTTTCATCATGTTGGCCAGGCTGGTCTTGATCTCCTGACCTCAGGTGATCCGCCCGCCTTGGCCTCCCGAAGTGCTGGGATTACAGGCGTGAGCCACTGTGCCCGGCCCAGAGTTGGGAAACTTTCTAAGCCCTGAGTGAGGTGGCAGCACCATCCCCCAAACATACTCCTCTTTGCTTGAAATTATGCCTGGTGGAATTTTTATACCCCAAATATTTTTGAGCGCTTTTTATGTATATGTCAAATGCCATGTGAGAAGCAGGAGACAGGAGGAAGAAGCACAGGCCCTACCTTAAGGAGCTGACAGTCCATAACAGAGGGGAGCAGACTTTTCTGTAAAGGGCCAGATAGTAAGTAGGTTAGACTTTGTGGGCTATACAGTCTTCATGGCAACTACCGAGTGCTCCTTTGTAAATAAGTGGATGTATCTGTGTTCTATAAAACTTTATTTATAAAAGCTGGCGGTGGGCTGATATAGCCTGTGAGATGTAGTTTGATCATCCTTTCCCTATAATTACACTTAGATTTCTTATGCAAGTAGTTGAGGCAGCCCAGTGTTGGGGCTAAGAGTGTAGTTTCTGAGGTCCAGTAGCCTGTTTTTAAATCCCAGCTCTACTCTTTGCCTTGGACAAGCTATTTGACCTTTATGTCGCAGTTTCTTTATCTGTAAAATGGGGATAATATGGTGTCTGTGTCATAGAGTTTTGGGGATCAACTGAGAAGCTGTGTATAAAGGGTTTAGGACAATGGGTGGCACATAGAAAGCACTCATTAGGGCCAGGTGCAGTGGCTCATGCCTGTAATCCCAGCACACTGGGAGGCCGAGGTGGGTGGATCACCTGAGGTCAGGAGTTCGAGACCAGCCTGGCCAACATGGCGAAACCCTGTCTCTACTAAAAATGCAACAATTAGCGGGCATGGTGGCATGCGCCCGTAATCCCAGCTACTTGGGAGGCTGAGACAGGAGAATCGCTTGAACCCAGAAGGCAGAGGTTGCAGTGAGCCAAGATTGTGCCACTGCACTCCAGCCTGGGCGACAGAGCAAGACTCCAGCTCAAAAAAAAAAAAAAAAAAAGAAAAAAGAAAAAAAAACAGAAAAAAAAAACCAACTCATTAGATGCAGCAGTACAGGTGGTGAGTGCTACTGCAGAGGAAGCACCTGGGAGTGGGAGCAGCTGCTCCACTTGGGAATAAAGGGCAGAAGTCGCAGGTGGAGGAAGACCTTCTAGAATGTTGAAGAGAAGAGTTCATCATGCAGACAAAGGCTTCAGCAGGGCGTCCCTGGTAGAAGGCTCTGTGAGTACAAATGTTTGGAGGCATGAAAGGAGATAGGTTTAGTATGGCTGGAATGCAGGTTGTATGTGGAGTGTGGCCAGAGATGAGACTGTAAAAGACAGACTAGGCTAAAAAAAGGCTACTTTCTGAAGAAGCTCTTAAGCCGCTGAGACCACAGATCACAAAATGTCTGTGTTACCACAAGGGGAACGCTGGCCCTGTGTATTTGTGGGTCCACGAAGCATCAGACACTTTACGTATATTATCCAATTTAATCTTTAAAATGAGATGGAGGTGGGTGTTGCAAAGCTATCCATTCTCCCCTTTTCCTGTAGCTATAGACCCCAGTTTTTAGCTGGATGCATGGCTGTCAAAAATAAAACTGTATTTTCATCCCTCCCCCTCCTTGCAACTAGGATGGTGATGAGATTATAATCTGGATGTAAGCGCAGAGTTGTCACATAGTAATTTCCTGGAACCTTCTTTGTACTCTTCTTACCTTTTCCTTTCCTGTTGGAATATAGACATGCTGGCCAAAACTAGAATATGGAAATGATGGCTGGAATTTCAGCAGCCGTCTTGAACCTCGAGGTGACTGGGATGAAGGCCATGGAGACAGAAGAAATCTGGCCTCAGAGGACTTTGTGGATCAAAGCCACCTCATAAATCCTAGCTGCAACCTCTGGAATTTTCCTTGTGGGGAGGGGGAGGAATATGCTTCTTTTGCAAGCCCCGAGTCTCAGTCAGATCTAACCCTAATTGATGCAGGTAGAATCGCAGTTTTACAGGTGAAGATGTTGAGGCCTAGAGTGACATAGACTGCACAGTTAATAAATTGTGGAGCACGGAATTTTCGGACTTCAAAGTGTGTTTTCTTTTTCTCTGGAAAGAACTTGGTCTCCTACCCCTTCATTTTATAGATGAGATTACTGAGGGCTTTGGCTTAGGGTAAACTAGGACCAGCTAATTCCACTGCAAGATAATCATTTCCTGCCCCGCGCCCCCCACCCCCGCATACTCTTTCTCTCCATGGCCTTTCCAAAGAAGAGGCCTCGTGTTTTTTTTTTTTCTTTTTTTGTTTTTTTGAGACGGAGTCTCGCTTTGTCGCCCAGGCTGGAGTGCAGTGGTGCGATCTCGGCTCAATGCAACCTCCGCCTCCCAGGTTCAAGCTATTCTCCTGCCTTAGCCTCCGGAGTAGCTGGGATTACAGGTGCCTGCCACCATGCCTGACTAATTTTTTGTATTTTTAGTAGAGACGAGGTTTCCACCATGTTGGCCAGGTTGACCTGGCCTCAAGTAATCAAGTAATCTGGCCTCAAGTAATCCGACCTCATTACGTGAACACCTGACCTCAACTAATCCACCCACCTCAGCCTCCCAAAGTAGTGCTAGGATTACAGGCGTGAGCCACCGTGCCCAGCGAAGCCCCGTGTTTTAACGAGTGATGTTGTAGCCCTCCTTTGGGCAGAATATCTTTCTGTGCATGGGTTGTGTTCGGTGGTTTTTCCTCTTCCAAAACCCTAACTGTTCCAGAGCTGTAAGTGTAGAGCTTTCTCTTTAGACAACCTTGCCAACTCTTGCCACCTCTGGGCTGGTCCTTAGGAATGACTTTCCTTGCCTGGCCTGTCCTTTCTCTGCCTGAGTGTTTAGGGGATGGATGAGGGGTTCCTTGGCCCTGTGATTATTTGTAAGTGCTGACAGATGTCTTGATTTATGCAGAGGCCTCCCAATTCATTAACCTCAGAGTGTGGACTTTGGCTGAAATAGGATCATGCGTTTGCGGAATGTACTTTGCTTTTGGGATTCTTGTGTGTCTGAGTTCCACCCTATTACTAATACCTTAACAATGGGCTTCTTGATCCCCTTGGCTAACCACACAGCACAGAACTTTTTTGTGTGTGTACTGCAGCAGACTCATTTAGTGGCCTCGTCTCTAAAAAGTTTAACAGAACAAAAACCCATTTGTGCTAGTACGTGCCGTTGAGAGAGCATTTGTCGTACATTCATTATATAGCATTTCATATTGATTCCTCTCTTTGCTCCAGCAAATTTCTTTGTGGTAATTTTTATTAGCTTGGCTAATGAGTGCCTTTTTCTTTTTATGAGAAGTCTGCAGCTGATACCTTGGCCCAAAGTACATCATAACACTATTATAGTTGTTTAGTTAATTTGGAATTTCCTGTAACTGGAATTTTTATGTCAAAGATCAGTTTACATGATTGCTTCGAAGTCAGCTAAAATTCAGGAAGATGGTCTTAAAAGCCAGAATGGCATGTTTTCTTTCTCATGTTGATTAATAGGATAGGCCATTTTTATGGGTTGAACGTAAAGGTATGCTTCAGAAAATCTTTGTATCAAAGAAAGTAGACCAAACTTGTATCTGGGAAATCAAGTTTAAGTCTGGGTAAAGTGTTTTTTTTTTTTTTTTCCCCTTCAAAATAGAAGCAAAGCATGACCTAACTTGGATGAAACTAAATTGCAGTGATTCATGTCATGGAATGGTCTGAATTTCTGTTTATCTGAAGGCTTGCTTCCTTTTCCTTTCCAGCATTGTAGTGTTATTGGTATTTTTGATATTTTTGTTTTGTTTCCTTTTTTGTTTTTGCTTCCTTTCTTAGTTTAAGACTTTGAATTCTTTTGTGTAACAACTGCATGTAACTTGTGATCCGATTTTTTTTTCTATAAATGACATGATTGACAACATTTGTATAAAGTCTACAGATTTGATAATAGTACTGTATCCATGTCAAGTATTTATTTTAACATTTACGCACTGAAGTATTTAAGGGTAAAGGGGCATTATGTTGGCTATTTACAGAAAGAAATACACACAGAAAGAAAAAATAATAAAGCAACTGTGGTAAAATGTTAATAGTTCTTTAATAGTAAATACTTATTTGTATTATTTGTGTAACTTCTCTGTAAATTTGAAATTATATTGAAAGATTAACAAAAATTCACTTGACCTATTCAAAACAAAAACCTTGGGGTGTGCACTATATACTTAATCACCGAATAGAGCATATATCTAATAAACATTATCCAATTTGCCTTAATTCTAGTCTTCTAATGTGGCCACTGAAGCATCCATTCTTGAAGCTTCATCCAGACTGGTTTAGAAGATGCCCAGGTGTGATAAAAATGATTGTTAGGCAATTCCAGAGATTAACTACAATGAAATTGCCTGAGTGTGTGAGTGCCTGTGAGCAAATAGGTAAAGCCAGCATATTTGCAGCTTATGAAAGGACCATTAAACCAAAGGTTTGGGAGATTTGTTTTTATCCTTTCACTGTTTTTATCCTTTCCCTATTAAGTTGTTTCATCGTAATATAAATGTCAACTGTCTCTTTCATTTATAAATGAGATGAAGTGGGAAACATTGCTTGTTTCCTCATTACTCCAACATAGGAAAATTATAATGAATTACCATTTATAAGCAACTTTTTTTTTTCATTTTTTTGAGACAGGGTGTTGCTCTGTTGTCCACGCTGGAGTGCAGTGGTGCAATCACAGCTCATTGTAGCCTCAACCTCCTGGGTTCAAGCGATCCTCCTGCCTCAGCCTCCCAAGTGGCTGGGGCTACTACAGGCCAGGGCAGGAGGATCGCTTGAGGCCAAGAGTTTGAGACCAGCCCTGGCAATGGCAAGCTCCCTGCAACGGTGAGACTCTACAAAAAATTACAAACAGAAAACAATCAAACAAAAAACCTGGAGTGGCATGAGCTCTCTGCATTCCTGTCCAGAGCTGGAAAGATGTCTCAGTGAGGGAATGGGATTTTTTTTTTCCTGACCTTGGTTTTGATGTGCAAGATTGATTTGGTTTGTCTTGCATTATCTCATGGAACATGTTATTTATGCTCAGAAGTAACAGCTTAAATCTTTGTTATTTGTGTAGTAAAATGTGTTTTAACCATTTATTAAAAAAAAAAAATCCCCTCAGAGATTGTCCATGAACTTGCTCATACTCACATGAAAGTTCCAGTTCCACATCCTTGTCAGCGCTTGGTATTATGATATTTTTAATTTTAGGCATTTTAGTAAATGTGTGTCATGGTTTTCATTTGTAATTGGCTGATAGCTAATGACACTGAACAGCTTTTCATGTGCTTATTTCCCATCCAGATATCGTGTTTAGTAAGGTTAGCTTTAGCTAAGTCTTTTGCCCATTTTTAAATTGGATTTCAATCAGGTTGTTTGTTTTCTTATGGTTGTGAGAGTTTTCTTCTGAGAGTGGTTCATGCTTTTTAAAGAAGTGATCCATTTTTTATAAGTTGTTGAATTTAGGTATGTAGAGTTGCTTCTAGTATTCCCTTATTATCTTTTTAATGTTCATGAGGCCCCTTTTTCTTCTCCCTGATATTGGTAACTTGTTCGTGTTTCTTTTTGTTTTTATCAGTTTTGCTAGAGGTCAGTCAATTTATTGATCTTTTCTAAGAATCAACTTTTTGTTTCATTTATGATCTTTATTCTTTCTCTGTTTTCAATTTAATTGATTTCTATTCTAATATTTTTTATTTTTTCACTTTATATATAGTTTTTTAGTTTCCTAAGGCAGATGCTTAAATTATTAAATTATCATTTCTTTTCTAATGTAAACATTTAGTGCTATAAATTTCCCTCTAACCATTGCTTTAGTTGCACTCACACATTTTGATATGTTGTATTTCTATTTTAGTTCAGCTTAACCATTTTGTAATTTATCTTGAGACTTTATTTTCGTCCCATGAATTATTTAGAAGTGTGAATACACACACACACACACACACACACACACACACACACACACATAATTTTGTTGTTGTTGTTGTAGTAGAGATGGGGTCTTGCTATGTTGTTCAGGCTGGTCTCAAACTCCTGACCTCAAGCAATCCTCCCACCTTGGCCTCCCAAAGTGCTGGGATTACAGGCATGAGCGACTGAGCCTGGCCTATATATATATATATTATATTTTATATAATATATATTATCTATTTTATATAATATATAATATATATTATCTATTTTATATAATATATATTATATATTATCTATTTTATATAATATATAATATATGTTATCTATTTTATATAATATGTATTATATATTATCTTTTTATATAATATATATTATATATTTATATAATATATATTATATAAATAGATAATATATCTTATCTATTTATATAATATATATTATCTTTTAATATAATATATATTATATAAATAGATAATATATATTATATTATATATTTTATATAATATATTATATATTTTATATAATATATATTATATAAAATATATAATATATAATATATAATTTATATAATATATTATATAATATATAATTTATATAATATATTATATAATATATAATTTATATAATATATTATATAATATATAATTTATATAATATATAATATATAATTTATATAATATAATAGTTTATATATTATCTATTTTATATATTATATAAAATAGATAATATATAATATATATTATATAAATTATATATTATATAATATATATTATATATTATCTATTATATATAATATATATTTTATATTATATATTATACATAATATATATATTTTTTGAGATGGAGTCTTGCTCTGTCACCCAGGCTGGAGTGCAGTAGTGCGATCTCAGCTCCCTGCAAGCTCTGCCTCCTGGGTTCACGCCATTCTCCTGCCTTAGCTTCCCGAGTAGCTGGGACTACAGGTGCCCACCACCACGCCCGGCTAATTTTTTTGTATTTTTAGTAGAGACGGGATTTCACCATGTTAGCCAGGATGGTCACAATCTCCTGACCTCGTGATCCGCCCACCTTGGCCTCCCAAAGTGCGCCCCGGCCGCCTGGCCTACATTTTTTAAGGGTTGTTTTATGACATTGAATATGTTCTATCTTGATGATTGTTCCATGTATACTTGAAAGAATATGTATTTGGTTGTCATTGGATGAATTGTGCTATAAATGTCAGTTTGATTCAGTTGATAATGTTCAGTTCTATATCATGACTGACTTTAAAAATTTTTATTTGATAATTTTGGAGCTGTGGTCTGGAAAGAAAGTACACCCTCTGCTCATAAGCCATTCATATTCAGATTTTCCCCTGAATTTGTGTGTTCTTTTACAGACTAACTTACTTTTACATTTAATTTTCCTGAGTATTGCTACATGAAGTCAGTTAAATGATGAGCCATGAGAACTTGATGTTTGTTCATTGTTTGAAAGCACACAAGTATTTCAGGCCAGGGTGTTGTTTATTTCATTTTATGAGGCACACCTATCATTATTTTAGGTAAATACCTAAAAATCAGCTTCAGGACTACTTGGAGATGCTTTTTCAGACAATTTAATTGACTCCAACTCAGACTTAATGTAAAGATGTTATTTACCTCGTCAAGTGAAGATTGATCTAAGGAAATACATATTGGTTCTAATGAGTGGATGGATGCTGATGAAAGAGGTTCTGAGACCACTGCTTACCCATTAAGAGTGCTGGGTAGGGCAGGTGCCATGGCTGACGCCTGTAATCCCATCACTATGGGAGGCCGAGGCGGGCAGATCACTTGAGGCCAGGAGTTTGAGACTAATCTGGGCAACCTGGCTAAACCCTGTCTGTACCATAAGTACAAAAATTAGCCAGGTGTGGTGGTGCACACCTGTAGTCCCAGTTAGTCGGGAGCCTGAGGCAGGAGAATTGCTTGAACTTGGGAGGCAGAGGTTGCAGTGAGTCTAGATTAAGGCACTGTACTCCAGCCTAGGTGACAGTGTGAGACCCTGTATCAAACAATGAACAACAAAAAAAGAGTGCTGGGTAGATGGAATCATTGGAGAAACATCTGACAGCTATATTGAAGGAATCATTAGACAACCCAGGTTCATCCACCTCCATCTCAATAGGGAGATTTACCTGTGTCTCCCAAGACATTCCCTCTTGGTTTGGATGTGCTTTGGAAATATTGCTTTGAATGGAAGATGCTGAGCAGGAGGGCTACTGAGATTAGAACAATTTCTAATTGGGGCCAGGTGTGGTCATGCATGTCATTAGTCCCAGCTACTCGGGAGGCTGAGGTGGGAGGATGGCTTGAGCCCAGGACCTTGAGATTAAAAAAAAAAAATCTAATTGGGAGGGTGTGGAAGGTGATGCTGCTGAATTTTGTTACAAGAAAGCATTTTTATCCAGAGATTTCATGACTATGGAACAAAATTAGATAGGACTAAGTCATATCTTGGAGAAATCAGGTTAAATGTGATTTGTTCCAGTTAGGGAGCTTCATTAAGTAATAAGGGAAGGAATTTTAATGAGAATTTTCTTCTGCCTGGAGTCCTCTACGAAATGTCCTATGGATAGCAAGGGAGCAAGCCAGGCGCCTCTTTGGGTGGGTGTGTCTCTACAGGTTGTCTCTTTAGTCCATTTGGTGTTTGAAGAGTGAGCCTTCAAATCATTGTTTTAGAATCTGTGCATCACTCCTGCTGTCATCATTTGAAGAACTGGCAGCATTTAAGTATTAAGTAATAGTATTTAATCAGTGTTAAACTGTGAGAACTTGATCATCATATGGTTCTATAAGAAAATGTCCTTGTTCTTGGAAAATACATAAATACATAAATATGAAATATTTAAGAATAAAGGGAGATGTCTACAACTCATTCTCAGATGGTTGAGGAAACACTTTATATAAGGAGAAGGGGATGGGAAAGGGAGGGAGATGGATGGATGTGGGTGGAGGGGAGGAAAGGAAGGAAGGACGGGGAAGGGAGAGAAGGGAGGGGAGAGATGGCTAGAGAGCATGATAAAGCAGATGTACGCAAACATCAATAATTTTTGAATCTGTGTGAAGGGAGATAGAGGAGTTCTTTGTCATATTCTTGCAACTCTTTGGTAAGTTTGAGTCATTTCAAAGTACACATTTAAAAAAACAGAAAACAAGGAAACACATGGCTCCTTTGAGAAACAGGAGTCACACCACTTCCTGTAATATTATTTGAAATTGCCACAAAAGTGAAGTCTTTTGATTGAAAGCAAGTCATTGTATTGCAAGATCCAGGAGATCAGGCATTAGACCTAAGTTCTGGCACAGTGCCTGGCGCATAGTAGGTACTCAATATTTGTTTAGTGAATGCTATCAAAGCAGCAGTGATTTTGGCATTGGCTTTTCCCATTTGTGCATTTACCTTGCACCCAAGTGATTTGGATTTGCTCCCCTAGACAAGACTTTATGTGCTCCTGTGGTCTTTGTGAAAACAGCCAAATGGAAAAGTTTTGTCTCAGGGAGCTTGCGTTACAACTTAGTGTAATGGGAGCGATTGAAACCCTAACTGTACATTTCTTGCGGGTAAAAGCCCCCTGGAATCAGGCAGAGTATTTATGGCACTTCTCCTGTGCTGGTTCCCATTTAAAGATGGTGAAATCTCAAAAAAAAAAATAGTGTTTCATTACTTTTATAATATGTAGAACATATAGTTTACCATTTTAACCATTTGTAAGTGTACAGTTTGGTGGCATAAGTATATTCATACTGTTGTGAAACCAATACCACTTTTCATGTCCGGTACTTTTTTATCATCCCAAATTGAAACTATACCCATGAAATAACTTTATTGTTGTTATTTGCTTAGAAAATCATTTATTCAACAGAATTATAGTTGTTATCTGTGTTAATAGTAGGCTACAGGACCTCGAATCCAAAATTGGTGATGCCGGCCAGGCGCGGTGGCTCCCACCTGTAATCCCAGCATTTTGGGAGGCCAAGGTGGGCAGATCACCTGAGGTCAGGAGTTCAAGACCAGCCTGGCCAACGTGATGAAACCCCATCTCTACTAAAAATACAAAAAAATTAGCTGGGCGTGGTGGTGGGCATCTGTAATCCCAGCTACCCAGGAGGCTGAGGCAGGTGAATTGCTTGAGCCTAGGAGGCAGAGGTTGCAGTGAGCTGAGATCACACCACTGCACTCCAGCCTGGGCGACAGAGCGAGACTCCGTCTCAAAAAATAAAAATAAAAAAAAGCAACCCTCCCCTCTGCCAAAAAAAACTCTTAAAAAAAAAAAAACCAAAACAAAACTGGTGATGCCAAAATTAGAGAACTTATTTAAATGTAATTAATAGCAATTATCTTGAAAGGGAACCTTTAGAAATATAACAGGAACATCTGCTGGTGTACATTAATTAATTTCTGTAAAGATTATAATTATACACTAGAATATATGCCATTTAAAATGAAATTTAATACTCAGGAGGCTGAGATGGGAGGATGGCTTGAGCCCAGGAGTTCAAGGCTGCAGTGAGCTATGATTGCACCACTGCACTCCAGCCTAGGAAATAGAGTGAGACCCTGTCTCTAAAAAATAAATAAATAAAATACAAATGTCAAAAGACACCAATAATTAGCCCAGCCCCCTCCCAGCATTATTAGCATTATTAACATTATTAACACACACACTCTCTAAATAGAGCAGTTTTAGGCTCCCAGCAAAATTGGAAATATAGAGTTCCCATGTCTCCCCTACTCCAACACATGCACAGCCTTTTTAATGATACTTTACATTTTAAAAATAGTATCTGTCTACTAAAATAAAATCAGAGACGCTAGCTTTCCGAGCCCTGGGAGCTCACTTTTCTCCTGAAGCCTTCCCTGGCTTCCTGGGCACTGCAGATCCCTCAAATTTAGGTTCTACCACCACATTCTTGTTTGGTGACTCGTGATCTAGCCTCACCCACAAGGACAGTACAGGGCTCGTGTTTGCTTAGGTGGTGCTCCATATTTGATTGTTGAGCCAAAGAGTGGGTTTGGAGAGCTTCAGAACTTGATTTGTTATAGAATAGCTTCATTCTTTATGGAGTGGGTTGCACATGAAGAATATTTGATGTAGAATGGCTCTGGCAAGTTAAAAAAAAAAAAAAAAAAAAAAAGGCTGTAGCTTCTTGGTTAAACATTGACAGAAGGAGGTCCCTTGGGGAATTTGTGAGCTGCTAGGTGGTTTACACCATTTTTTGGGCAGCTTTGAGGTTCAAGCAGTTTGGTTTTAACCCTTTGTAGGTCAGGTTTTTAGACCTTGTAATCTATTTTCCCTTTTAAAGGAGGAATAAGGATTAAAGAGGATAAAGAGGATGGTTTTTCTGTAAGAGAGAGTGCTGGTAATTCTCTCCTGGTGGTGAGCATTTGTAGGGTGGGGTAGGGGCACAGATGGCACATGGCTGATGGCCTTGAGGGAGAAGTGGGTTGCACAGTCTCTTGCAACAGTTTCCAGAGTGGGGAAGGTTCAGAGATGCTCTTCTGGTTTCTGAGCTTGTGAAGAGAGAGACGTAGAGGAGAAAGGGTTAACTTCCATTTTTACTTGGAAATGGATAGTTTAAGCTGGGGAGGGCCTGTGTTATGTAAACTAGCTTGCAACCTTCTGGTGTCCATTTTAGCCTTGCTTTCTCATTTAGGTCAATTGGATCTGAATAAGGAATTTGGCCAGACAACAAAATATTTAAACTGGTTCCCCTATTGCATCTCATTTCCACAGTCTGTTTATAATCCTAATTGATGCAAATGCCCTTGTTATTGTGAATGTGAATACCCTGAATGCAGGGTTCTGGTTTGTTTCATTTCACATTGTATTACTGAACGTGGTGAGGGAAGCTGAGGGTCTGAGTGACAAGCGGAGTGTGGCTGGATCCAGCCTTATTTTGAAGGATTCCTTTGGCACCCAGGGGCCCAGGGATGAGGTGCTGTTTTGGGAGGCTGGTAAAAGTTCAGAAGCGATCTCTGAGACTCCCTATCTGCCAGATTCCCAGACTGTGAGCTGCTTCAAGATCAGGGAAGTTTTTCGGTACGTAATTTCTTAAGCACTCAGCAAAGTGCTAAGATAGTCTTCCCTGCCTCAGGGAGTTTGGAAGGACATTTTTCCATGGAGTACATCAGACCTAAGAGGGAGAGTTTTGTTTTTCTTCACTGATAGGCAACTTTCATTTTCTGCATTTGAGAGAACCTGATTTTAAGTAGCACAGTGGCCACGTCACAATCCAGGAATAATTTTGGCATTTTTCCTGTATCCTTTTTCTGCAAGTGTTTTTCACAATAAACCAAAATAACCTAGTCAAGGGGAGAGGGAGGCTAACATTTTCTTTCATGGAGCATTATTCTGAGGCTTGAAGGTGCTCAGGTGAACTTGCCCAAGTTCTGTTTTACAGGTGAGGAAACTGCCTCAAATAGATGACATTTAATTCAAAGTTACACACGGAGTTTGTCGCTGAGTTAGAACAAGAAACAGAATATGCTTCTCAGTCAGTTTTGGAAAAACTCCAGAAAGGTGATGCTAAAAATGGTCTTTTTGCCTTGTGTTTTGTTATATAGCAAAGAATACCCGCTGGCTTCTCATTATCTAGCTGATGCCCTGAGACTCATCTGATGTTCTGGCTTATGTATTAGCTGCTTTGAGTGATGGCGAAAACTTCAAAATGTGCAGAGAGCTCTTCCTTGAACCCAGTGATCCTGGGGTATTAACAGATTGTGTTTGGGATATCTTATCTCTGAGTCTCATGCTAATTTCCTCTGATATATAGCAAAAAGACTGGGTTTAACAGTAGTTTTCAGTAGACAAAGTTGCTTTTATTTTATTTTCCAGGTTATGAATACAGAACTGGCCTTTAGGACTGCTTCTGATCTATCAGTAGATAGTACACTGTTTATAGTGCTGCAAAAAGAGAAGGTGGACTTGTAAATTCAGGAAGGGACCTGGCTAAATTTGATTAGACTGCATTAAAAATTTGAGACTTTTCTCTGTGAGCCGATATCTCGTAGCATTTCTTTAGGACAGAGCACTCTTTAATTGAGAGTTGTTCTTGCCTGGACCTTGGCTTGTTGGCAAATGCAGCATGTGTGATTCCATTGCGTGCGTCTCCACTCTTGAACTGCTACTTTGGATCACAATTACTGGAAGTGTCTTCTAGGGCCCTGACCCTTTAGAGATGACATTTGACCTTTGGGAGTCTCTTCCATGGTGCATTAATGAGTTTCCCATGTGCTGGAGTGCTTACTCTTTGGTTTAGTACAGGGGTTAGAAAGGTTTTTTTGTAAAGAGTCAGATAGTAAATAATTCAACTCTGCCATGGCAGCATAAAAGCAGCCCTAGGCAATATGTAAACAAATAGACATGGCTCTGTTCCAATAAAACCTTATTTGCTAAAATAAGTGGTGGGCTGGATTTGGCTCAAAGGCCTGTTCTCTAGTTTAGAGGCTTTTGGAACACAAAGCCGAAACACCCTTGGCTCTTGTGTGAGAGAGAGAAGAATCCAGTATTCAGAACATAAACATCTCAGTTGAAATGTAGCATCCATGGTGAGAAAGATGCTTTGTGTTATTGAAAAGTTGACATAACAAATATAAAGACTTTTTTTGGGAAAAAAATGGGCCCTTGTCCTCCCATCCTAATACAACTGTTACTGATTTTTGTGCATTTCTTTTGAGTCTTGTCCTCCTGCATATGTACCTCTGTGAAGTCCTGATGTGCGCAATACCAGTTGATATTATTAAAAAGCATAACACACCATATATCTGACAGTTGTTACTACATTGGATCTAGTGAGGCCTAAAACATACAAACTAGATTTGTCAGAGAAGATATTTTTAAGGACTAATTTGTGAGGTGTACTGTCATTTTGTGCATTTTTAACTTTTTTCAATTGCAAGAGTAATACTTCACTCATTATTTACTTCAGCCCTAAATATTAGTAGAAATCAGGCCAGAGCTAAAGTAAATCAGGTAATTGGCTATTCAGGGGCTGAAAGATGTTTAGTGGCAAAGTCACGCTTTAGCTCTAAGTTAACATTGTGGTCACAAGGGTATTCTGGTGGCCCGAGAGTTACTGCACCCCTCCTTGCAAATGGCTACAAAGGCTAAGACATAGCACACGTTTAATTTTTTTCTTCCTTCTTAGCTGGTGCACACACAATAAACCAAGAAACAAATGACCATACTTCAGTGTCACTCTATACAATGTGACTTTAAAGATGCATTTTTAAAAACAGGAATCTGGCCGGGTGCGGTGGCTCACGCCTGTAATCCTAGCACTTTGGGAGGCTGAGGTGGGCAGATCACGAGGTCAGGGGTTTAAGATCAGCCTGGCCAACATGGTGAAACCCCCCCTCTACTAAAAATACAAAAATTAGTCAGGCGTGGTGGCATGTGCCTGTAATCCCAGCTATTTAGGAGGCTGAGGCAGGAGAATTGCTTGAACCCCGGAGACGGAGGTTGCAGTGAGCCGAGATTGCACCACTGCACTCCAGCCAGGGCGACAGAGCAAGACTCCTCAAAAAACAAACAAACCAAAACAAACAAACAAAAACAAACCAATAACAACAAAAAACCCCAGGAATCTCCAAGTACATATCTCCACGAATGGCAAGGTTCTTTTTCACAACAGTGCTGCCATTGCTCAAAATATTTCAAGGCTCCTTTTCTGGAATTGCCTTCAGAATAAGTTATAAGCCACAGTAGAGTAGAGGTCTGCCTGCTTCATAGTCTTTTCTCATTTTTGACTAAAAATGGTGTTCGCCAGTGCAGTTCCCTTGCCTCAGCTGCCACTGTGGCTCTGGGTTGCTTTCAGCTGTTTCCAGATCTCATAACTGTGCTCAGGGGAGATGGATTTATCGTAACTGAGTCAAAGGTTGTGGGTAATGACAATAAGTCAGGAGTCTCTGTGGTTATTTCTTTGGAAAGAACAAAAATATTTATGTGTCAGTTGTGATAGTTAAAAAAACAAAAAGTTCTGCCTTTGTACATCCCTGGATCACCATGCCAACATGATTTTATTTATTTTTATTTATTTTTTATTTTTTGAGACAGGGCCTCACTCTGTCGCCCAGGCTGGAGTGCAGTGGCACAGTCTTGGCCCACTGCACCCTCTGCCTCCCGGGCTCAGGTGATCCTCCCACTTCAGTTTCCTGAATAGCTGGGACCACAGGTGTGTACCACCACATCCAGATAACTTTTTTGTATTTTTTATAGAGATGGGGTTTCACCATGTTGCCCAGGCTGGTCTTGAACTTCTGGACTCAAGCAATCTGCCCACCTCAGGCTCCCAAAGTACTGAGATTACAGGCTTGAGCCACCACACCCGGCCCAATGTGGCTTTTGAATGAGATCATTCCTTCACCAAGCAGCATCCAAGATTGACATGCTGTATCCCAAATCCTACTCTAGGGAGCAAGGCCAGGGTCCATGAAAGGCCCCCTTTTTTTTTTTGAGACGGAGTTTCGCTCTTGTCGCCCAGGTTGGAGTGCAATGGCGCAATCTCGGCTCAGTGCAACCTCCACCTCCCAGGTTCAGGTGATTCTCCTGCCTCAGTCTCCTGAGTGGCTGGGAATACAGGTGCCCGCCACCAAGCCCAGCTAATTTTTTTTTGTTTTGTATTTTTAGTAGAGACAGGGTTTCGCCATGTTGGCCAGGCTGGTCTTGAATTCCTGACCTCAGGTGATCCAGCTGCCTCGGCCTCCCAAAATGCTGGGATTACAGGGGTGAGCCACCATGCCCGGCCAAAAGGCCATCATTTTTATGTGCTCTGTTGTCCCTCTTACCTGGAACATTTGGAAAGCTTTGCTCAGTTTGCTTTTCTGGGAGACCCTGCACATACTGATATTAATAGAACCTGATGGACTGTAGGATGTCCCCTCAACTCTCCTTGTCCTCCTTTGCCCTCCCTCTAATGTGGAAAGTGGGACTCTCCTGTACTAAAGAGTTTTACTCTCTAGCAGGCATTTATATAGGCTCAAAATGTGGGAGGCAGGATCAGAGCCATTTAGAAGGGTTGCTGTTTAGGATATTAGTTACAAACAGTAGATTCCTTCTAAGCAGTCTAAGTAGCCAGGGATTTATTAGAGGGTTTTGCAGTGTTTCTGGGAGAACCAAGATCAATGCTACATGTTTAGGAACAACACAGCCTGTCTCTAACCAATTCCCATCTATAGCATGGATATAACCCACTTCTGCCTTAGGGCTGGTGACACTAGAGGCCAAACTTCATAACATCTGCTATAACTGCTCCAAGGAATCAAATACACTTGTCACCATCTGACCAGAAGTTCTGACCTTCTGGTTTGTGGCTACTGCCTCCTGTTGTTCCCCTCTCACTCTCAGATCTTGCATGAGTGTGTCTGCTTAGAAGAATCTAGCTGCAAGGGAGTCAGTGAAATGTAGCTTATAGTTTTCTAGCTTCTGTAGACTAGAAGCTGGGCTGGAAAGCTGCTAGATGGCACTGAATGAGCTGCTTTGCATTATTTGTTATTAAGAGCATGTGCATGGAGATGATGGCTAAATCCCTGGTGGGTAAATTCTCCTTGTGGCAAAAAGAAAAGAGGGAAGAGGATTGAGTGTAGGAGACCCCACAGGGCTTTTGGGAGAATGAAGCGACAGGGAGTCAGTGCAAGTGCCAATGCTGTTACCAAGAGGGTGGCTTCCTACTGCATGATAGGTGGCATTGCTGGGTAGCTGTGGCTGCAGTGCCATGCCTGAGCCTTTGGCACAGTCCTGACCTTTGCAAGAGGGAAGCAGTGTTGGGCTCATATGGTTCTTTTTCTATTGAGGTTGGTAGAGCTGGTTTCAAATTCTAGCCTCGGATAAGTTCCTGCACCATTCTGAGTTTCAGTTTGCTTATCTATAAAATGATGATATGCCTACCTTGCAGGGAAGTTGTGATGGTAAGACCAGATGGCATATGAGTGTCTAGCATATACCTCTGGTGTATAGTAGTGGTTCAACAAATTATTACTGTATTACTGTTATCTTCAATTTTGTCATCTTTCCTTTTTTCTTTTGTCTGAGCAGCTCACGCTGCATTAAACCCCAGTGGATGCCTGGATGCCAGTAGCTTCTATGATTTTTTCTTAGCAATTAGCTTACCTTATCCACCCATCTACCTTCTATGTGGCTAACTGCCCCCTCCCTCATTTTATTATGAAAAATTTCAAATATACAGAAATGTTGAAAGAATTGTACAGTAAACACACAAGTATCTACCACCTGGATTCTACAACTGACATTTTATTATACCTAGTTTTTTACATGTCTGTCCATCTGTCTCATCCATAGATCCATTTTATTTCTTTATACATTTCAGAGCAAACTGCTGACATTAGTATAGTCATAAATATTTTAGCATGCATGTCATTAACACATATCATTAACAATATTTGTTTTCAATTATTTCTCTTGATGTAAAATTTCACAATGAAATGCACAAATCCTAAGTGTACATTGCTAAGTTTTGACAACTGCATGCATTTTTACCCAACCTCTGTCAAGGCATAGAACATTACCATCTCCCCAGAAGCTTCTGTTGTGTCTCTTGCTCCTCCCCACTCCAGGCAACCACCATCCTTCCCCCTGCCCCCAATATAGATTGGTTTTTGCCTACTCTAGCATTTCATATAAATGGAATCACACAATATATACTTACTGTGTCTGGCTTCCTCTAGTCAGCATAACATTTTGGGATTCATTTATGTCGTTGTGTCTTATCAGTCGTGGATTCCTTTTTATTGCTGAGACGGCTAGCTTTAAAATTATGCCTGATTGCTGCAAGTAGAAAGAACCAGAAGCCCTCCTCATGGAACTTGGGATTGTTGCTTCTTTTTCCTTTCCAGCCTAGTGTTAGCAATGCACAAAGGCTCTTTGTAGAGGATTAGAGTTGAGGGGCTTAGAGGCCATTTAATTCAGTACCTCCTCCAGGCCTGTGGCATCTTGGCCAGGCAGCCATCTTTCTGACCCCTTTTTCTTCCCTCTTGGGACTGGTGTTAATGGGAATTCATGTGCAGAAGGAGCAAATGGGCCAATGCACGGGCACCTCACACATTTAATTGTTCTAGGGTTAAAGGATGAACCCAGACTTCTCTTAATGATTTTTGTTGTTGAGGATTTTGACATGCTTTGTGCATGCTAGAAATTATAGGACCAGTCAGCTGCAACAACTGGAGCTGGAAACAAGTTCCTATTTAGCTTTGATGTTAAGGAATCAACCACAGCACTGAAGCTGCTGAACTCTCTGATGGAAAAAGGCGTCATTCTGTTGCCTCTTGCCCCAGTTCCTTCTCTCCTCCTCTTTCATTTCTCTGTCTCTGTCTCTCTGTCACACACACTCCTCACATACACATAGAGCTTTTGAACATCTTCACGTATGGTGACTTGTCTGAAAGTTTAGCTGTCTCTTTTTTGAAGAAAATTGACATGATTGAGAGGGAGAAGGAAAAGGGTTAATGAAGAATGGCCATTGTGGCCAGGTGTGGTGGCTCACACTTGTCATTCCAGCACTTTGGGAGACTGAGGCTGGCAGATTGCTTGAGCCCAGGAGCTTGAGATCAGCCTGGGAAACATGGTAAAACCGTCTTTACAAAAAATACAAAAATTAGCCAGGTGTGGTGGCATGCATCTGTAGTCCCAGTTACTTAGGAGGCTGAGGTGGGAGGATTGCTTGAGCCCAGGAGGCTGAGGCTGCAGTGAGCTGTGATCAAGCCACTGCACTCCAGTCTAGACCCTGTCCTCAACAGCAACAACAACAACAACAGAATCACTTCTGCTTGGTAAGGGGGAAGCAGTGCCCACTCTTTGTGTGTGTGGGGGTATTAAATAATATAATGTGTGGCAACTGAGTGTTGGACACAGCAAGGCTCTGCAGATGTTATTTCCTGCCTTGCTTCTGTCCCGTGGAGAGGTTCTGAAACCTTTCTGCATATTAAAAGTATCTGAGGACCGGGCGCGCTGGCTCACGCCTGTAATCTCAGCACTTTGGGAGGTTGAGGTGGATGGATCACGAGGTCAGGAGTTCAAGACCAGCCTGGCCAAGATGGTGAGACCCCCGTCTCTACTAAAAATACAAAAAAATTAGCCAGGCATGGTGGTGGGCGCCTGTAATCCCAGCTACTCAGGAGGCTGAGGCGGAGCATTGCTTGAACCCTGGAGGCGGAGGTTGCAGTGAGCCGAGATTGCACCATTGCACTCCAGCCTGGGCTACAGAATGAGACTCCGTCTCAAAAAAAAAAAAAAAAAAAAAGTAGGAAGATTTTACAAAAATTTCATCACCAGATCCCATCCTGGACCAGTTGAACCAGAATATAGGACCCTTCCCCGACAGCCACAGTTTAAAGTCACTGATTAGTACCTGAGAGAATCATCTTCACACATATTATCACCACTAATTCTAATAACCACACAAGGCGGGCAGGTTTTAGTAATATTTAATATTTAGTAATATCAGAGCCAACTGATGTTGGGGGGACATTCTAACACAGGTCAGTCTGATTCCAAGTGCCACATCCTTCCTACTATTCTGTGTTCCCTCTGATCCTTTCGTGTGAATGGATTTTACATAGTAGTATGATCATCCCTTCATTCAGTTGTTGATTCCTTCTCATTGCTCCCCATGCTGTGCCTGAAGGTACAGTGGGGACTATTGTAGATGGGTTCCTGCCCCAAGTTGCTGGTGGGCTAGGAAGAAGATGCACAGCAGTGGTTGAACTGCAGCATGCAAAGTGCTCTCACGGAGCGTGACGAGGGATACGCCTGGATGTAGGGTGGGGAACTCTTTTGGAGGAAGTGCCACCTGGTTAAGATCTAGGGTGAGAGAGGAAACATGACTCTTGAAGGGAAGTGAAAGAAGCTCAGAAGGTGAAAACAAGAAAAGAACCTGGACAAACAGATGAATTTATCACTTGAATAGTTTTGCCTCACTGAAGAAAACATATTTCTTAATCCACCTAATGTGTACTAAGGCATGGCTTTCCACTTTGCACCAGGATTCTTTATTTGCATTTGCAAAATAAAACAAAATGCTTTATCGTAGGTTTTCTATAAATTCCAAATTTCATTGAATTTAAGAGTCTTTTGTTTAATATGACTATATGTTAACATGTAAATAAGTTTGTCTTTAGAGCTAACAAATCCTAATAAACAATACTCATTTCCCACCACTCATGGAAGGCACAGATTATAGTAGGAGTTCTGTAAGAGTTGCACACTAATGGAGTTTTAGGCAGGGATTCTTGAATCTTGTGAATTATATCTAATTTTTTTCTTCGCTGGTGGAAATCTTAAGAGTATAGCACGGTGTTAAAGCATGGGTTTTAAAGTTAATGAAAAGCTTAGTTTGTCACTTTCACTTAACTGGATGTGTAAAGTTATCCTACCTTTTTAACTCTCAGTTTCTTCATCAGTAAAATGGGAATAATAATAAATACTCCATATAATTTAAATATATAATTATATAGTTTAAATTAACATTTATATATTAGTTTCTATTTTTATAATTGTATACAATCATAGAATAAATGATCTAAATAGCTTTTTTCTAATATTTGAAAAATATAATTGATTTATATTAAAGAATATATGCAATCATATATGTAACAGAGCATAAGAAAATGAACAGGCATGAGCTCACCATTCACTCTAGGAAGGATAATATAACCACTAGTAGCTCATCTGCCCAAGTATTCTTCTTCAACTCAATCCTTTCCTCCCCTCTTTTAGGTAACCACTAACTCTTGAGTTTCAAGTTCATCATTCCTTCACCTTTGTATAATATAAAGTATTTTTATAATAGATATTTTACAAAAATAATGTGTGTTATCTCTCTGTATTATTTAGTTTTGTTTCTCAGTTTTATATTTTTAAAAGGATGTTGTATATAGTTTTCTGCAAGTCTTTTTTTTTTCCCGTTTTGTTTCCAAAATTGATTCCCGTTATTGTGTCTAACTTCAGTGCATTTCTTTTCAATGCTGTATAACATTCTTTGTGTGACTATGTCACAAATTTTTTATCCTGGTGATGGGTATTTAGGTTGTTCACCATTTCTTCCTCTGTGAACGGTGTTACTGCTGTGTGTAAGTTAGTATGTATCTCCCAGTACACACACGCAAGAATTTCCTTGTGATGTTGATGTAGAAGTTGAATTGTTGGTGTGTTAGTCCGTTTTGCATTGCTATAAAGGAATATCTGAGACTGGGTAATTTATAAAGAAAAGAGGTTTATTTGGCTCATGGTTGTGAAGACTGTACAGGCATGGCACCAGCATCTTGGCTTCTGGTGAGGCTTCAGGGAACTTTTACTCAAGATGGAAAGTGGAGGGAGCAGGCATGTCACATGGCGAGAGGGAGCAAGAGAGAGAGGAGGAGATGCTAGGCTCCTTTAAACAACCAGCTCTAACAGAGCTAACTGGTAAACTAACAGAACTAACAGAGTGAGAACTCACTTATTACCATAGGGAGGGCACCAAGCCATTTGTGAGGGATCTGCCCCCATGACCCAAGTGCCTCCCCTTAGGCTCCACCTCCAACATTGGGGATCACATTTCAGCCTGAGATTTGGAGAGGTCAGATATCCAAACTATATCCACTGGGCTTCAGGGTATTTGGATGTTCCATTTTATAAGATGATGTTAAGTTGTTTTCTAAAGTGGATGTGCCAGTTTAATGCCATCCAGTAGGGTATAAGCATTTGCATTGTTCTGCACCTTTTCTAGTTTTTGATATAGTAAGAATTCTTAATTTTGCCAAGCCAGTAGGTATACATGATATCTCATTGGTATCTTAATTTGTGTATCTCTGATTATCAGAAAGACAGCAGCTCTTCATGTGCTTAAGGGTCATTCTTTCTTCCTCTTTTATGAAATTCCAGCTTGGGTCTTTTGCTCAGTTATTTATTAGGTTGTCTTTTTTGCATTGGTTTGTAGGAGTGCTTTATATATTCTGCATACTTATCCTTTGTTGGATCTATGTTGCAAATATCTCCTTTTAGTTCATAGCTTGGCTTTTTACTTTATTTGTGATGCTTTTGAAAAACAAGTTCTTACTTCTTTTCCATATTCTCTTAATTATGCTGCCCACTGCTCAGTTTACTGGCAGAAACAGTCATCCCTCCTGACAGGCCCTTTTCGGATACCCTGGAAGCTAATACAAGCCTACATAAGTAGGATTTCCACCGAGACCTACTTTAAAAAATTTTTGCCAACTCTCAGATTGCTACTTCAACCCACTGCATAACTGACAACTAAAATTTTTCATTGAGAGCAGCTTCTAGCTCTGATCCAAACCAAGTCAGTCCATAGGTGGGACCTCAGGTCAGGAGGTTCTTAATGTGGTAGAATATGAGTATTTTCTTTTCTAGTTAACTAAAGAGATATTCTCTTATATTTTCTGCTGAAAGTTTCAGAAGTTACCTCTCTCAATTAAGGCTTTAATCTGTCTGGACTTGTGTCTGTTCTGTGAGGTAGGAACCCAGTATCCTTTTTTTTTTTTTTTTTTTTTTTTTTTTTTTTTGAGACAGAGTCTTGCTCTGTTGCCCAGGCTGGAGTGCAGTGAGGTGATCTCAGCTCACTGCAAGCTCCACCTCCCGGGTTCACGTGATTCTCCTGCCTCAGCCTCCCAAGTAGCTGGGACTACAGGTGCCTGCCACCAAGCCCAGCTAATTTTTTGTATTTTTAGTAGAGACCGAGTTTCACCGTGTTAGCCAGGATGGTCTTGATCTCCTGACCTCGTGATCTGCCCGCCTCAGCCTCCCAAAGTGCTGGGATTACAGGCGTGAGCCACCGTGCCCAGCCGGAACCCAGTATCCTTTTATATTTCTTGTACTGCACAATTGTTCCATGAGAATGGAGAAGGATGTATGCATCCAACTACTTGCACAGTTTTAGGCACATGGAAGGTACTCTGAAAAGGTTAGCTGTTGCTATTTTAACTTGTCTCCTGTTTTTTCAGTTGATTGGTTCAATCCTTCCTGAAATAATATGTGTGTGCGTTTTAGGAATGACAATTGAGGCAGATTTGCATTGGGCTAAGAAACCAACCTAAAACTCCTCTTTCCCCAACTTCCCCTTAGTATTGTTAGAAGCTTGATCTGTAAGTTTAATCACAGAGTAAATAATAAATAATGAGTTAATTGATTTGACCATTTATTTCCTTTGGACTTGGCTGGTAATTAAGGAATTTCTCTGGCACCTTACCAAACACCTGCTCCCTTTTCTCTGAATAATCAAATAGTCTTTTATTACAAAGTTAATTTCGCTACTCTGGAATTTACTTATTTGGCCCTGCATTACCATAGAGGTACTCTCTAACTCCATCATGGATGGTGGGGGCTCCAGCCATGATTCTGAAGTTCTCCTTAAGTCAATTCCTTCTTGAATGTCTTGGTCCAGATTGTACACACTGTACAGAAAACTTGATTTGGGGGCCTTTTCCAATTTCTTAGCTATGCTTTAGTGGAAAGGAAAGGCAAAGAAATACTTCTTGGAAAATTAAAACTGCTTAGCAACACTCCTGGGGTGCATTGAATGCACACGATGAAATCTGGAAAGTAAAACGTGAAACTTTATAAAGTCAGCATAAAAAGCACCATAAAAATTGGAGGAAAGTTGTTAGTTATATGACGGAGGATGACTGCCCGTTTATTGCTCGAGTGTGGTCGTGGAGATTCACTCTGAGGCTAAAGTGCTCTTAGGCAGAAGGTAGGTGGAACTGCAGGCTGCTGCTTGCAATAGGGAACAATAAACCCAGTTACTTGGGAGGTAAGCCTTCAGTCTGGGTTGTAAAATTATACTCCATGCTCAAGGCTTTTCAGAGGTGCTCAACCACCTTGTACAGATGAGTTTTTTAACTTCCTGGATGGTTTCCAGAGAGATGGAAAGATGAAAAGACTCATAATGATGAATGGCCCTTCCCTCTTTCCCTGCATGTATATTGTTCTGCTGGACTTCTAGAATGGACTCTGTCCATTGTGGATGTTGCTGGTGCCCTGCACAGATCCCCTTTACTGGGTCAGGGCACCCAGCCCTTGACTAATTGAGGGAGTTAGCTGCTAATACTTCATGCCTGTACCTTTCACTGGAAGATTCTGCCCTGCAGGGGAGGAACCCTCTAGCCTGGAGGTGACTGGGAGGTAACCTGCATCCTCCACTCTGGTGTGACCTTGTACCCAGTGACTGACATCACTTAGTGAAGTCAACGATTGGGAGTATCAAACCCAATCCCCTGCTTCCTGGCAGCACAAACTTTGTACAGTTTACTTCAGAGCTTTTTGTGGGATCAGACGGAGGCTGGGCTTATCTCAACTCCTATGCAGTTTCCCTCACCTTCTTCCAGTTTCTCCGGATCCTGAGAGCACTTCCTCAAGCACTCATTTGCATAGGAGTCGCCACATCAGGCTCTGCCTCCAGGGAATATGACCTAACACAGATTCTTTATCTATTTTTCTCCTCCAGCCTGTCATACTGTGCTCAGCGTGTGGAGTGTTTCCACAGGAGTCTTCCGTGATCTGTTAGGTTCTTTTGAGGGCTTGTTTCATGTGTTGGTCATCTTTAGACTTCCACCAAACCTCCCAACCCCATGCCCTGCCTGAGTACCTTCTCAGTGCTGTCGCAGGAATTGTGGAGTAGGGGAAGGTGGCATATGCAGAGGCCAAGAGGAGCTGGTAGGGGACTTCTGATGTTGGTGTAAGATCTGCCATTGGTAATTTGGACACTCGCTATAGGCAGGCAGAGGACAAAGCATGCTTCCGCCTTTGTGAGGAGGATAGCATTCCAATTTTTCAGCCTTAGTGATGCTGTGGGAACTGCTGTTCAGCTGAGTTGGGTGGAGGAATTGGCACCTCCAGCTTTGGTGATGTGCTGTGTGCTTAGGGACAGCCTGGGCCGAGGGTTGACCTTGTTCGTGCCTAGATCCAGAGCTGCTACACTTCTGCAGATGGGATCCTGGTCTCTATGTCTCCCCTACTCACCCTTACCTTCCAGTAACTGCTCCCCATCCTTTATTTTTTGTGTTGGCCCAGTGTTTCTGATGTCCACTGAGTTGTCAGAGCCTGAAATTTAGTGAATCATTCTGATTACTGCTGTGTCTCGTTCTCTAGTATCTAACCAGCCACTGAGGCATAGCTGCCTTTCTGGTCTGCTCCCTCCTGCCTTTGTCTCTTCTGATAACTGCTCGTCTCATTTGTCAGTATCTAACAGCCACTGAGCCGTAGCTGCCTCTCTGGTCTGCTCCTCCTGCCCTTGTCTTTGTTTCGATGCTCCTTGCATCTGGTCTGGACTCCCACGATCATCTTCTTAAGGCCTCCCTGAGCCCAAGCTCCTCTTCTTCTAGGCACCTCAACACCATCTCCATGGTAACTTTTCTAAAGCATGCAACACTAAAAACTCTTGGGTGACTTCCTGTGACCTCCAAAGGAAGTCTCAGCTCTGCTAGAATGGGACCAAAGCCCAGCTCCACCTTGAACTTGTGTCATAGCCTTGCTTCTTGTTCCCTCTCCTTAGCCGGGCAGATGCCTTGTCCTTTGATAAAGGCTTCCTGTCACCTCCTGAGGGCTCTTGTGCTTTTCGCAGGTGGATGCCATTACCTTTACCGCTGTGCCTCCCGCAATTGCTCTGTTCACACGCTGTCCGCCATCTGCCTGCAAGGGCCCAGGCAGGGTCTTACTCATCATTATGTCATTGCTTCAATAGAAGCCTAATATTTTGTACATAGTAGTCAGGAAGGAAACGACTTAAAAAATTCTTAATTTTTCTTAATACAAGGGTTTTTTTTTTTTTTGATAAAAAACAACTTAATAAAATTCTTAATTTTTCTTAAATTCTTAATTGATTTCTAATTTTTTTGTTATTATTGAAAAAGTAAAAAACTTGAGTTCCCCCTTTTCATTAAAAAACTTAGTAGTGGCTGGGTGCAGTGGCTCACGCCTATAATTTTAGCACTTGGGGAGGCTGAGGGGGGTGGATCACCTGAGATCAGGGGTTCGAGACCAGCTGGCCAACGTGGTGAAACCCTGTCTCTACTAAAAATACAAAAATTAGCCGGGCATGGTGGCACGTGCCTGTAATCCCAGCTACTCAGGAGGCTGAGGCAGGAGAATCACTTGAACCTGGGAGGCGGAGGTTGCAGTAAGCCGAGATCATGCCATTGCACTCCAGCCTGGGCAACAAGAGTGAAACCCATCTCAGAAAAAAAAAAGCATAAACCAAAACTTAGTAGTGTCTGTTGATTCAGGCAATCCCTAATGGCAAGAGGTTCTCTGAATTGAGTAATGCCTTAAGTAGTTTGGATTTTTTTAGTCATAATAGGATCTGCAGATGTTTGGCCAGTAACCCTATTTGTATGCATGATACGTTATTCGTACCAGACCAGGGGTCACAGGCTCAAATATTCTCCAGGTCTCAGGCTGTGTCACAGAAACAAGGGTGTCAGAAAAGCAGTATAAACCCCTCTGGTCAAGGGCTGCTGACCTCTGCTTTGGCATCCTGAGCGTCTGGAGAAGGTGGGAGCATGGAGACCTGAGAGTGCATCACATCTGACAGGGCAGCTGCTTCTCAGCTATGGCCTATGGTTGCCGTGTAGTGAATGGACCCCATGTTGAGATCCTTGGATATTGCAAGAGAAACTAGAGATGTAGATTTGTGTGAGAAGCTGTCTTAATTTTTAAAGATTGTCAACTGATTCAAAACAATTTTTAAAGCCAAAAATAAAAACAATGAACAAACCAAAGCCTGATTCTGGTCAAAGCAAGTGGGCTTGAGGGCTGGATCGTATGTCACTGACTGACTTTTGTTTTGAGGCTTCCGGTCCAGATAGTGTCCCTAGAGCATATTTGTGGTGACTTTGGGAGCCCCATGTCACTGGTGTTGACTTTGGGGACTGTAACTTTGGACCAGAGTCCTAGTGGCAGGAATTTGACGCCTTGTTTGCTGATGAGGGAGGGAATTTTAGGTAATTTTCTCCTCCCAAAATGACCCTGGCACCCCTTTTGTTAGCATGGCTTGTTCCTTCCTGTTTTTTTTTTTTTTTTTTTTTGAGACGGAGTCTTGCTCTGTCGCCAGGCTCGAGTGTAGTGGTGCAATCTTGGTTCACTGCAACCTCTGCCTCCCAGGTTCAAGTGATTCTCCTGCCGTGGCCTCCCGAGTAGCTGGGACTACACATGTGTGCCACCACGCCCAGCTAATTTTTGTATTTTTAGTAGAGACGGGGTTTCACTATGTTGGCCAGGATGGTCTCAATCTCTTGACCTCAGGATCTGCCCGCCTCAGCCTCCCAAAATGTTGGGATTACAGGCATAAGCCACTGTGCCTGGCCTTTTTTTTTTTTTTTTTTTTTTTTTTTTTTTTTTTTTAAAGAGAGGGGGTCTTGCTCTGTTGCCCAGTTTGGAATGTAGTGGTGCAATCATAGCTCACTGCAACCTTAACTCCTGTACCCACTCTTTTCATGTGAAGCAACCAGATTGGCTGATGGATGTGCTGGGAAGAAGGTGTCTCCAAGGAGATGAGTCAGTGCCACAGCACTGTATTATAGGCATTATGTATTATAGGCATTAGAGTTGTCCTTAGTCTATTCAGGCTTGTATAAAAAGGACAAAGGGAAAATTTAGGGATGGGGACAGCTATCAGGAAGGTGGTGGTTTTACATAAATCTTTCTCTCCACATGTCCATATGTAAATATATCCATGCTTTAGCAGGCCTGTTAGTTTAAAATATGGATTGCCATTTGAAAACTTGACATTTTCCTAGATGTCTTGAACCTTAGTTCATCTAGCCTGGCCACATCATTTAATAGAAAAGATAATTGCTAACACATGGTTTACCAGTTTGGAAGCTGTTCTTTTATATTTTATGATTATATAATTAATTTATTTTTACATTTAAAAAAGCTGCTTATTTTTGCTGGTAGAAATATAGATTGGTATGACTTTTATGGAAGACAAATAGGTAATCTTTATCAACAGCCTTAGCAATGGTTATATTGTTTGATGCAGTGATTCTACTTGTTGTAAGATATGCTAAAATAGTAATCAAAGAAGTGCAGAAGAAATAATTCATGAAAATGTTCATTGCTGTGTTATTTATGACCACAGAAAATATGCAACAGCCTAAATTGGGGAATAGTTAATAAAGTTATGCTTTATCTATCTGATGAAATATTATTCATATATTAAGTGTTGTTTCTAAAGAACTTTTTTTTTTTTTTTTTTTTTTTTTTTTGAGACGGAGTCTTCCTCTGTTGCCCAGGATGGAGTGCTGTGGTGCAGTCTCAGCTCACTCGAACCTCCGCTTCCTGGGTTCAAGTGATTCTGCTGCTTCAGCCTCCTGAGTAGCTGGGACTACAGGTGCGTGCCACCATGCCTGGCTAGTTTTTTTGTATTTTTAGTAGAGACGGGGTTTCACCCTATTGGCCAGGCTGGTCTCGAACTCCTGACCTCGTGATCCACCTGTCTTGGCCTCCCAAAGTGCTGGGATTACAGGCATGAGCCACTGTGCCCGGCCTCTGAAGAACATTTAATGACAGTGGAGTTAATGCTCTTGATACAATGATAAGTGGAAATAACCCAGTTTTAGTTAAAATATCCATGTATGTCTGTCTCTGTGTATGTGTATAACTAGACAGTAAGATTTTAAGGGAATATTCTGAAATATTAACAGCGACTTTCTCTGGGTGGTGTAATTATTTTCCAGATTTCCTACAATGAACATGTGTTGCTTTTTAATCAGGAAAAAAGTCCAAGTTTTTTTTAAAACTATTGAATGTACTTGATTAAAAAAAATACTGTGTATTATATGACCTAGCAATTCTACTCCTAGGTATATACCCAAAATAATTGAAAGCAGTGACTCAAATAGATACTTGTATGGCAAGGTTCATTGTAGCATTATTCACAAGATTCAAAAATGGAAACAACCCAAGTGTGCATCAGTAGATGAATGGACAAACAAAATGTGGTTTATATGCACAATGGAATATTATTTAGTCATGAAAAGGAATGTAGCTCTGATACATGTGGCAACATGGAGGAACCTTGAAAACATTATGCTAAGAAGTCAAATAAGCCAGTTACAAAAGGACAAATATTGTATGCTTCCCATTGTATGAAATATCAATACTAGCCAGATTCATAGAGGAAGAAAGTAGACTAGAAGATACCAAGGGCTGAGGAAAGATTGGAATGGGGAGTTATTGATTGATAGTTACAGAATTTCTCTCTGGGGTGATGAAAAAGGTTTGGAAATAGATAGTAGTGATGGTTGCATAACAATTGTGAATACAACTAATGTCACTGAATTGTACACCTAAACATGACTAAATGGCAAATTTTGTTATGTGTATGTTATGATTTAAAAAATTTGACATAATTTTTTTTGTCAAAACTGTGTTAGCTAATTGTGTGTTTGCTATTTTACATATGGTGTTTACTTTCAATGACAGTGGCTATCACTTTTTGGTTCATTTATCTCAATTTTTGCTTTTCACTTTTACCCCTACAGACATGCCTGTGCTTTAAATGGGTTTGTTGTTTTGAAGGTTTCAGATGCCAGGCTCAGATGCTGACAATGGAGCCAGGCAGGTAATGAGGCATCTGGGAGGATTTAAAAAAAATGTATAAGAGGAAATGTGTCACTTTTTTTTTTTTTTTTTTTTTGAGATGGAGTCTCACCCTGTCGCCCAGGCTGGAGTGCAATGATGCGATCTTGGCTCACTGCAACTTCCAACTCCTGGGTTCAAAGGATTCTCCTCTCTCAGCCTCTTGTAGCTGGGATTACAGGTGCCCGCCACCCAGCTAATTTTTGTATTTTTAGTAGAGACAGGGTTTCACCATGTTGACCAGGCTGGTCTCAAACTCCTGATCCGCCCGCCTTGGCCTCCCAAAGTGCCGGGATTACAGACGTGAGCCACTGCGCTCAGCCCGCTTTTTATATTGAGCCATACATTGCATTCTTGTGGCGCCATCTCGGCTCACTGCAAGCTCCGCCTCCCAGGTTCACGCCATTGTTCTACCTCAGCCTCCCGAGTAGTTGG
Organism: Homo sapiens; assembly: GCF_000001405.40. Lineage (NCBI taxonomy): Eukaryota > Metazoa > Chordata > Mammalia > Primates > Hominidae > Homo > Homo sapiens. The sequence goes on along the minus strand of NC_000003.12, from coordinate 31,942,157 downwards.
GACTACAGGTGCCTGCCGTCACGCCCAGCTAATTTTTTTGTATTTTTAGTAGAGACGGGGTTTCACCGTGTTAGCCAGGATGGTCTCAATCTCCTGACCTCGTGATCCACCCGCCTCGGCTTCCCAAAGTGCTGGGATTACAGGCGTGAGCCACCGTGCCCTGCCATACATTGCATTCTCGACTGGGAGAAGAAGGAAGAAAGAGAAGCCCTGCTGGTAACCAGCAGCCAGCCGATAATAGTTCTGGAATGGTGAAAAGTATTCTGGCAAATCAGATAGCACTTGAAGAAATACAGCTAGCACTTTTTTGCTTTGAAGATTGATTTGGCAGCTAGAAGTGCTAGAGGAAGATCTTTACTTATATTCTCTGCTTCCTGATATTTAAGGAATTTATTTCACTTGCAATTTAACACTAGTCCATTTTCTTTCCCTTTCAAAGGAAAGATGGGCCCCTCTGAGATGTGAAAGATGGCAGGTGGCTGAGGCTGCTTCTCTTAAAGCTACCTCTTAGCAATCCATCTAAAAATGATTATGGAATACAAGAAATTGGGGTCAGCAGGGATCTTGGCAGTAGGCAGGCAGCCAGATCCCTCTCAGGGGAGTTTGAGGTGTCTAGACTTGATGCTTTTGAGCTCTTGGTACGTTTCCAAATCATTGTTTGGCTCCTAGCTGCTTCTGTTGGAATTTACACAGCTCAGAGAGATTTGTTGGGCTAACTCTTGCCTCTGCTTAAATCAACTGAAAAAGTGACCACTTTCGTATCCATCAAAGAGTCTTCCCTTTGCTCAGGATGCCCTCCCTGAGATTCATTTATTTACCCAATAAGACTTTCATTTTCCTTTTATCTTGGCTTTTAGAGTAAGAGTTAGCAGAGTCTGTTTGTCTTGCTTTTCTTTTTTGTTTGCACCGGATCTTGATATAATACAGTCTCCTGTGTATATATGGTTACTGAAGTATTAAATATAAAATACTGACCTTTTATTCTTTCAAAGTTATTTCCTTAAATATTGATATTGCAACTGTTCATCCTTCTGTGTTTAGCTTGAGGAGAAAGCAATTTTTGAATGTTTCATTCACCTGTCGGACAAACGTTGAGTACATTTACCATTCTCAACACCTGGCACACCCTCAGCAAATAACTTGGAGACCCTGTGCTCAGGGAATTCACATTCTGGGGAGGGAAATGGTTAAGCACAAGCCTTTTTTAAGATGAGAGAGTTGGCCAGGTGTGGTGGCTCATGCCTGTAATCCCAGCACTTTGGGAAGCCAAGGTGGGTGGATCACGAGGTCAGGAGTTTGAGACCAACCTGGCCAATATGGTGAAACCCCGTCTCTACTAAAAATACAAATCTAGTTTGGGGATTGGGAAGACTTCCTGGCAGTAGTAACATCTACGCTGAGTCTCAAAAGACAGTAGGAGGTGGCCATGCCAAAGCTGTGGGGTTGTTCAAGCAGAGAGGCCAGGGGTGAAGGAGAACATCATCTATTTGGGAAAAGATAAGAACTTCAGTATGAGAGCAGGGTAGCCTGTGAAGGAAGGTGACGAAGAAGGAGTACAGAGAATCATACAGGTATGAAATCCCAAAGGCCTTTGCCATGAGATTGTGGCACTCTCAGAAAATACTTAAAAAAGGGAAATGAGGTGGCAATTTTATACATTCATATTATCAACACATCAAACCAGATATAGGACATCTCCACCAGCCCAGAAAATTCCCCAGTGCCCATTTCCAGTCAGTCACCCACCCCACCTCTCTACAGCTGCTTTCTGACTTTTATCACCAGTTATGTCTTTCTCAGATTTCATGAAAATGATGTTACGTAGTAGGTGTTCTGCCATGTCTGGCTCTCTTAAGTCAACATAATACTTTGGAGCTCAGCCACATTGTTGAGTGCATCAGTCGTAGCTCCTTTTCATTGCTGAGTAGTGTTCCATTGTATGGGTTCACCCAGTTTGCTTATACATTCTGTTGATGGACATTTGGGTTGTTTCTAGTTTTTGGCTTTGATGAATAAAGTTGTTGTGAACATTTCTTGTGTAAGTCTTTTTTGTGGACATATATTTCTATTTCTCTTGGTTAAATACTTAATCATGGGATTGCTAGGTCTGGCTGTCTATTAAAGAATATATGGAGTGGGCTGGGTATAGTGGCTTATGCCTATAGTCCCAGTGCTTTGGGAGGCCGAGGTAGGAGGATTGCTTGAGGCCAGGAGTTTGATACCAGCCTGAACAACATGGTGAGACCTCGTCCCTCTATTAGCCAGGTGTGGTAGCATGCACCTGTAGTCCCAGCTACAGGAGGCTGAGGCAGGAGGATCGCTTAAGCCCAGGATTTTGAGACTTAGGTTCAAGACTGGCAGTTTGAAAAACAGTGAAGTAAAAGGCAGACAGAGGGAAAAGATTGGCTAGCAAGATAGAAAGAAACCCAGGAGTGTGTGCATGAATTGAGGGCTCAGGGAAGATGTTCCAGAGAAGCCAGGTCAAGTGTGGTCTGAATGTGTTTGTGGAGTTTGGTCACTATGGCCATGCTGGTGTGCTGCTGACTGTAGCTAGGGGAGTTTCACTGGAGGGGTGGGGAAGGAAGCCAGATTCACTGGGAGAGAAGTTGGGAGAGATAAATCTAGAAGCTTGACTGTGAAGAAGAGGTCATAGTTGGAGCAGGCGTTAGGTCTGAGGGGAATTTTTTTGTTTTTTTTTTTTAAGATGAAAGAGTTGGCCAGGTGTGGTGACTCATGCCTGTAATCCCAGCACTTTGGGAAGCTAGGGCGGGTAGGTCACAAGGTCAGGAGTTTGAGACCAACCTGGCCAATATAGTGAAACCCTGTCTCTACTTGAAATACAAAAATTAGCTGGGTGTGGTGGCATGCGCCCGTAGTCCCAGCTACTCGGGAGGCTGAGGCAGGAGAATCGTTTGAACCTGGGAGGTGGAGGTTGCAGTGAGCCAAGATTGTGCCACTGCACTCCAGCCTGGGCGACAGAGTGAAACTCTGTCTCAAAAAAAAAAAAAAAAAAGGATGAGAGAGTCTTGGCACATTAAACTGAAAAGAGAGGGAAGTGTGAGAGCATAAGAGAGCATTAATGTAGTAGAGCAAATGCCTGGGAAGTCTAGTGTGGATAGAGTTCTGAGCTGGGATGCATGTTGATCTGAAGCAGGAGGAAGGACATTTATCCACTGAATGGGAAGGAAGACATTGATGGATACAGATGAAGGTGAGTTTGAGGGTGGGCAGGAAGTTGAAGGCGTTCTTGCTTTACTCTCTGTAAAGTAGGAGGTGAGGTTATCGTCTGAGAGTGGAGTTAGAGGAAGGGTTGATGGTGGACCCTGAGGCTTGGGCAAAGTCGAGGAGGTTTGAAAAAGCCTCTGGCCAGGCATGTTGGCTCACACCTGTAGTCTCAGCACTTTAGGAGGCTGAGACAGAGGATCACTTGAGCCTAGGAGTTCGAGACCAGCCTGGGCAGCATAGTGAAACCCCATTTCTACTTACCTGGGTGAGTTGGCGTGTGCCTGTAGTCCCAGCTACGTGGTAGGCTGAGGTGGGAGGATCACTTGAGTCCAGGAGGTCAAGGCTGCAGTGAGCCATGATCGCACCACTGCACTCCAGCCTGGGCGACAAAGTGGGCTCTATCTAAACAAACAAACAAACAAAAAACCCCACAAAAACTTCTGAGGGGAATGGAAAGAGAGCTCAACAGGTTTGCTGGACAGCTCTGAGGGTGTCCAGAATGGAGCCCCTGAATCTGTTATGCCATCTGCTGTTAATGGTTGTGTGGTTTTCTCCTTGGTGTTGAGTATCCTGAGGAGAGGAACAGAGAAGGTGATAGGTAGAAGGATCTGGGGTTGGGATTTGGTTGAGTGAGTGTTTAAGAGAGTGTGAGGGAGTTGAGATCATTGGTTAGTGGGCAGTTGATGTAGGATGGAGGAGAAAGGAGATGTAGACAGAAGAGGCCTGTCAGAGAAGAAGAAAATAGAGGTGCTAGCAAATTGGAGCATCAGAAGAGATGGAAGAGTTGGTGTGGTGGGAGAGGTGGCATGAGAGATCTCAGGGAAGGAGTTCGTAGGGTCAAAAGGAAATGCAGTGAGATGTTTGGCAGGTACTGTCAGAGTTGGAGCCATTCTGAGTAGTGATGGGAAAGCCACGCTAGGTCTTTGGGAGGAAGACAGTAACACCAAGAAGGAGGTTACAGAATGAGGTCAAGGAACTAATTGGGCAGTGTGCTTGGTGGATTCTAAGGTCATTTGGAATGACTGCTGGACTTGGTGACTCAGGGAGGACTGAACCAGGGGAAAAGGTCTTCAGCGAATGAGATAGAATGATTGAGAGACATGGAGGTAAATTTTACCCAAGAGTGGAGGAGTCTTATATTGGAAACAGCTTTGGGCAATAAGGAGAAGCTACAATGTGCTTCCATCAAGAGTTCCAGGTTTCAACCAAGATAAGAAGAGAGGTTGGGGGAAGGGTGGTCCCAAGAGGTTCAGTACAAAGGTGTAGGAGGGTGGGGATCCAAGGGAAGTTTTGGACTGTGGGTGTGATATTGTGGGAAAGGGTCGGGGGTCTGGGGGCAGGAAGGGGCTTGAACTTTGGACAGGACTGAAAGGCATGATGGGGGTGAGTGGCTGTATTGTTCTTCTAGCTCCCCTGCTGGCTAGGAGGAGCCAGTCTTCTCTTTGGAAGCAATTTGAGAAGTGCTCTGCTGGACCTAAATTGATGCTGTCCAAATTTCTGCCTTGAGGCAAGTTGGCTATGCCTTCTCGGATGAGTAATTTCAGCCCCTAAAGAGTATAGCAAATCCATATAACCAAGAGTTGGCAAGAAAAGGCTCTTTATGACATTTGAGTGTTTCATGTTCCTCTGACTTTCTTTCTTTTTTTTTTTTTTTGAGCCTGAGTGTCTCTTGCCCAGGCTGGGTGCAGTGGCGCAATCTCGGATCACTGCAACCTCTGCCTCCCAGGTTCAAGTGATTCTTCTGCCTCAGCCTCCTGAGTAGCTGGGACTACAGGCACATGCCACCATGCCCAGCTAATTTTTGTACTTTTTAGTAGAGACAGGGTTTCACCATGTTGCCCAGGATGGTCTTGATCTCTTGACCTTGTGATCTGCCTGCCTCAACCTCCCAAAGTGTTGGGATTACAGGCATAAGCCACTGCACCCAGCCATTCCTCTGACTTTCTAGAGGCCTGTTTACTGGAAGAGTGAATAATCTCAACTGCTTCTTTTTTTTTCCTGGTATCTAGAAAGCAGAAAGATAAGAAGACTCCTTGGGGTTTCAGTTCCATTCAGTGCCTTGGTTACACGGTGTGATAAGTCATGTCTGGTTCTTGAAAGTCAGCAGTGAATAAGCCTTTCCCAGTGTAGAGCATAGGGTTCCTTTGGGGAATTTAAACACATTTTTCTTTAATGGCTGAAATGAAGTGTGGCTCTTTTCATGGAAGTTTTATGTATTTGACCTATTTAATTTTTTTTTCTTCAGGAAATAAAAAATGCCACTTTCTTACTTCCCTTCCAAAACAGACAACCACTGACTTTTCTTGGCAAGGAGATACCTGTGTGTGTCATGGAAATGGATGGTGTTTGGAAATGTGAAAAATGTAATTTACTTTTTCTTTTCACCATTGAAGTGGATTAAAAGAAGTGAATATTTTAATGGAACTGGATATGATAAATGTCTTTCTTGTGAAAGCTTTAGAATCAGAATGAAAAATTATGTTTTGATTTTTCCCTATAAATATGCACATTTATTCTTGGAAGTAATACTAGAGTCTGTTTGTTACAGCATTTAGCTAACATGAGGTTTCAAAGGACAGTCATTTTGTACAGATTGAATACAAAATATGCAGAAGGGACTGCCTCAGTAAATAAATGCTAAGCCCTAGGTTGTTTTGGTAGTATTTTAAGAAAATAAGAGTTGCTGGTGTACCTTAAAGAATGTAAGAGAGAATAAAAAGAAAACAAAAATGAAAATAGGAGAAAGAAAAATTATTAAAGCATGAGAGGCTGAAGCAAAGAATGAGTGAAACCTTAGAGAAGCTCAGGAATGGACATTTAAAGACCAGTGGGGAATGTTAGAACAGAGGGGAGTTACATAAGGAAATGACAGTTCAGGAGTTGAGAAGGGATGGTGAAGAGGAGAAGGGGGTATGGCCCAACCTGTAAAAGCATAAAGTGGAAAGATAAAGGATTTTTCTCACTAGAATGGTGACTTTACATAAAAAGTAAAAACATATCAGATCCTGCTTGTAGAATTTTGTTATCACTTCAGCAATTTTATTTCCAGAACCCCTTGCTTAAACGCAACCTATTTCCTTTCCCTTTCTACATATGAAAACCAATTATTTTGGCCGGGTGCGGTGGCTCATGCCTGTAATCCCAGGACTTTGCGAGGCTGAGGTGGGTGGATCACAAGGTCAGGAGTTCCAGACCAGCCTGACCAACATGGTGAAACCCCGTCTCTACTAAAAATACAAAAATTAGCCGGGCGTGGTGGGGGTCACCTGTAATCCCAGCTACTTGGGAGGCTGAGGCAGGAGAATCGCTTGAACCCAGGAGACAGAGGTTGCAGTGAGCCAAGATCATACCACTGCACTCCAGCCTGGGCGAAAAGAGTGAGACTCTGTCTCAAGAAAAAAAAGAAAAAAAAAAAAAATCTATTTCATAGGAGTAGATTTTTTTTTCTTCTTTTAGTTCCCAAAGCAGCATTTCCCAGGATGAATTGCACCAAATGCTGTTTCAACAGGCTGTTCAAAGGAAATAAAGAATTTTATGTTCAAATAACTTTGAGAAATACTGTATAAAAAAAAAGTTTAACATGTTTATTTACTGCACAGTTCTCAGATCCCTTAACATCAAATATGTATTTTGAATTTCTAAGATAAATGGTCTCTCTTATCTAATGGAATTCTGGTTTTGCTCTGGGTGGCAAAAATTATAGTTAAAAATTCTCATCTCCCCAGACTCCCCTGTTGCCAAAGGTGACACAGTAGCAGCCAGTGAAATATAAGTAGAAGTGGTTGCAGGGCAGAGGCTTCCAGGAGAGCTTCGGTTTCTTGATAAACAGGATCTGTGAGGCTGGCACACAACTTTCCCATTTCCCTTCCCACCTTCCTGTATGAAGGGGATGTAGCAATCTTGTCCCAGGAAGGCCAAGCGCTAAGAGTTGCAAATCAGAAAGATTGAAGGGGTTCTTGATGGCTTCTTGCAACTACTCTACCAGCCTTGGAGTTTCTATCTTTGGACTGGTTGCTTTAGTAGAAAAATAGAGCCCCGATTGTTTAAACTACTATGGGTAAGTTTCTATGACATGCAGCTGAATGCAATTGTAACTCATACCAGGGTGATATATAGTAAGCAGTAATTGTGCTTATGTTAACCGTGGATATCCAATTTTTTTTCCTTTAAACTATTTAGAAGAGTCTTTGGGAAATGCTACGTTTATGAATAGAAATGTAGTAATATAGTCAGCCTTTTTTTTTCTATAAAAATGAATTTTCTCTTGGGAGGCCGAGGCGGGTGGATCACCTGAGGTCAGGAGTTTGAGACCAGCTTGGGAAACATGGTGAAACCCCATCTTTACTAAAATACAAAAAATTAGCTGGGTGTGGTGGCAGGCACCTGTAATCCCAGCTTCAGGAGGCTGAGGCAGGAGAATCCCTTGAACCTGGGAGGCGGAGGTTGCAGTGAGCCGAGATTGTGCCATTGCACTCCAGCCTGGGCGCCAGAGCGAGACTTTGTCTCCAAAAAAAAAAAAAAAGAATGAATTTTCTGATGGTCTTTGACTATGAAATTTGGGTTTAAAATTTTGGGCTTTTCCTTTGCCTTTTCCCCACACAGATGAAGTTTTTGCTTCCTTTTTTTTTGTTGTTGTTGTTTTTTAAATGGGCCAGGCTGATCTTGAATTCCTAGGCTCAAGCCATCCTCCCCCGCTCAGCCTCCTGAGTAGCTGTTACCACAGACAGGCATCACCATGCCTGGCTTCCTTTTTTGTAAAAACAACAAACAGACCAAAAAAGCCTTTGTAATTAGTTTATGCCTCTTACCAAAGCACTTTATATATGCCAGGTTTTTTTTTTTGTTTTTTTTTTTTTAAACAGAGGTGGTTTTCATTAGCCTATTCATGCCTTCTTTACAGTACAATTGTTCTGAAAATTTGTAGGGGAATTGACTCAGATGTACATTTATTTTCGTCATACTATCAGAGATGTTTAATTTCCTTTGAATGATTTTATTCTTAACTGTAGCACTTAACACTTTTTTCTGTCTTCTTTCCTCTCAAAATTAATGTCTGTAAACTAATGTTTAAGTGGCCTAGAGAGTCTCTTAATGTAAAAGCTTGTTGTAAAGTTGGAAATCTTTTGTAATTTGAATACCCCTTGATTGCTGTCCTTCAGTGCATTGGATTGTCCTAGGGTGTTCTAATAGTATTTCTCAATTAGCTGATAAAAGAATTTTAGAGGCTGGGTGCCCTGGCTCAATCCTGTAATCCCGGCACTTTGGGAGGCTGAGGTGGGAAGATTGCTTGAGCTCAGGAGTTGAAGACCAACCTAGACAACATAGTGAGAGCCCACCGTCTCTGCCAAAAAATGTAAAAACTCAGGGGAATGTGGTGGTGTGTACCTGTAGTCACTACTGCTCGGGAGGGTGAGGTAGAAGGATTGCTTGAGCCCAGGAGATCGAGGCTGCAGTGAGCTATGATAGCACCACTGCATTCCAGCCTGGGCAACAGCAAGAGACCCTGTCTCCTAAAAAAAAAAAAAATTTATTGTTTCCCCCTTAAAGGACATTTAAAGTATACTTCAAATCTCTAGAATATAAAATCAGAATGTTAAAGTTGAAGTGGCCCTTAGCAAATGAGTCTAACCTCCTCATTCTGCAGCTGAAGGGATCGAGAACTTACCGAAGGCCTCATTACTGAGCCAAAAGGATGGCAGGACTGGTGCTCTATTCATGAGTCTGCTCACTCTGGTGATGGCCTGACAATAACAGTGTGGGAAGTTACACAACTCATTTCAGTGATCAGTTTCTCCATGCGTAAAACTGGAGTAACTTCTCATTTGCTCAACCTGCAGTAAAATCTTTAAACTCTTCTGAGTTGCTTGGAATTGAATCCTTATTCTAGTATACTGTATTTGTTGGAAAGGAGAAATATTTGATTTTAGAAAACTTTATTTTTAAATAAATTTGAGTTTATTGCAGTATATAAAATTGAACCTTTTCAAGTGTACAGTTCAATGAGTTTTGACAAATGTATGTCTTATGAAACTGCCACCATAAATAAGAATATTCTACCATCTTAAAAGGTTAGAATTTGTTTTGCTTTGATTAATGAGAGAATACTTTCATTTTCTGTAATAAGAATATGGATAAAATGTTACAACTATTAAAATATTGACATACTTCATTGTTTTCATGAAAGCTGTTAAATTTTTGATTCTCTTGCTGACACCAAGAAGAAGGAGGGGGAGGAGAAGGAGCAGACATCATTAAAATGATGTTAAATAGCCTCTTTGTGACATGGGGAGTGTGTAATGGACTTTAATATTATTCAGGTAGAAAAAATGATAGGTAAGGATATAGTAGACTTATTTTTATTATACGCAATGTAAAACTTTACAGATTTTCCTGTGGGTTTGTGGAGACAAGGTGTTCGTTAAATTTAAATCATAGGGAAACCATTACCAATGAAATAAATTGTATATCTTCTTACATTGTTATTTATTTATTTATTATATTGTTAGAACAAGCAGCATCAAGGTACTTAAGCCATTTGTATCCCATTTGAAAGGCAGGAAGCGAAATCACTTAGGGCATTGAATTTGAGGCAGTGTTGTCTTGGAGGTAAGGAAAGTTTTAAGCTAAGCAAAGAAACTGGGAGATGCGGGTGGAGGTGAGGAGACCGTGTTCGGAGTTGGAAACTCTAGTGAAATGGATTATTTTAGCATAAACTTATCATTGGCAAATAACAGTGTTTGGTTTTCTTAAACTTTTTTTTCTTCAAGTTTCTTGAATGAGAGACCATGTTTTTCATTTTCATTTTTATTTTTCGGTATAATATAATCAGATATATAAATTCTGTAAATTTTTTTTTCTTCATTTAAAAAGATTATTTATTTGTTTATTTTTGAGACAGAGTCTCGCTGTATTGCCCAGGCTGGAGTGCAGTGGCATGATCTTGGCTCACTGCAACCTCTGCCTCCTGGGTTCAAGTGATCCTCTCACTTCAGCCTCCGGATTAGCTGGGACCATAGGCACACACCACCTTGTCTGGCTGTGTTGCCTAGGCTGGTCTCGAACTCTGGGACTCAAGAGATCCACCCACCTCAGGCTCCCAAAGTGATAGGATTATGGGCATGAGCCACCATGCCCAGCCTAAATTCTGTAAATTACATCACTATTTATTATTTATTCATTTATTCAAATAACATTTCTTGAGTACTTACTATGTGCAAGACACCATTCTAAGAGTTTTGAGAATAAAAAGATGGATTTGATAATGAGTGTTCTGTAAGAAGCTTCTAGTGTAATTGGAATTAAAAACATAAGCACAGACAACAGAACTGTAAAGGTGGCTTGGATTTGAATGCCAAGACAAGGAGCGTGGCATTCTGTAAGCAGTCAGCTTCCACTGATGTATAGAGGAAGGACTTCATCAGGTCTAGGCCAAGGTCATCTCCTTAAAGGGAGTTGAATCTGGTGGTGGAGTATAGGTGCATTCTTAATGGGTAGAGGGGAGTATGGAGACCAGCTAGGGGACCCTTGATAATTGTCTAAGGACTTGGAGTGTGTCCACAGAATTGGAAAGGAAATAGGTTAAGCAAGAGATGTTTTAGAGAGAATCATCAGAATTTAATAAGTGGTTGGGGGCTGGGGGTGGAGAGTGGGGAGTGTTTCAAATGCTACTAAGATTTTTTAAAAATTTAATTTGAATTCATTTTTTAGTAGGTATTACGTTCACATGGTTTTCAATCCAAAAGAGAATGCCATGAATTGTTTCCCCCTTCCTTCTGTCTCTCGGTCTCCCTCTCCAAAGATAATCACCAGTGTTATTGGTTTCTTCTATATGCTCCCAGAGATATTGAATGCCTATGTAAGCAGATAGGTGTGAGCACTCTTTTTTACTATCTTTTTTTTTTTTTTTTTTTTTTTTTTTGAGACCGAGTCTTGCTCTGTCGCCCAGGCTGGAGTGCAGTGGGGGGGATCTCGGCTCACTGCAAGCTCCGCCTCCTGGGTTCACGCCATTCTCCTGCCTCAGCCTCCCGAGTAGCTGGGACTACAGGTGCCTGCCACCACGCCCAGCTAATTTTTTGTATTTTTAGTAGAGGCGGGGTTTCACCATGTTAGCCAGGATGGTCTCGATCTCCTGACCTCGTGATCTACCCGCCTCGGCCTCCCAAAGTGCTGGGATTATAGGTGTGAGCCACCGCACCCAGCCTACTATCTTTTTATTCTACCCAGTAGCAATTTATTTTTCACTTACACTGTTTTTTAAAGATCATTCCATAGAAGGAGATAAAAGGCTTCCTAACTCTTTTCTTATGACTACATAGTGTACCTTGTATGGATTTACTGTGATTCATTCATCATTCTGCTATGGATGCTCATGTAGGTAGGTTCCAGTTTTTGCTGTTACAAGCAATCTACATTGCAATACCTGTACATACATACTTTCTCGCATGTGCACCTATTTCTGTGGGGTAAATGTTGAGAATAGAAATAGCTAAGTGTAAAGGTATGTACATTTTTAAATTTTGATATATGTTGCCTAATTGCCCCTTATAAAGGTTGTACACTTCCATTAGCAAAATAGAAAGTGCCTATCAATAGGATGTGGTTTTGAACTGTTGAAAATCTGAGAGGTAAAAATGATTTCTCAGGTCAGTTTTAATTTGCATTTACCCTTTTGTGAATGAAGTTGAACATGTTTTCATACATCAAGGGGCCATATATGTATATGTATATATATCCTTATCTGTGAACTGTTTTTTAATTAAAAAAAAATTTTTTTTTTTTGAGATCTGAGGTCTTGCTGTGTTGACCCAGCTGGTCTCAATCTCAGACGCCTGGTCTCAAGTGCTCAAGTGATCCCCTGCCTTGGCTTCTCAAAGTTCTGGTATTACAGGCGTAGGCCACCACACCTGTTTTTTTTTTTTTTTTTTTTTTTGGTTGGTGACAGGGTCTCACTTGATCACCCAGGCTGGAGGGCAGTGGTGCAGTCATTGCTGACAGCAGCCTTGAACTCCTGGGTTTAAGCCATCTTCTTGCTTCACTGTCCTGTGTAGCTGGGATTACAGGCATGAGTCGCCATGCCCAGCCTGTGAACTATGGCTGTATCTGTTGACCATGTATCTGTTCGGTTATTGGGCTTTCTTTTCTTACTTAGTAAGAGCTTTATTTTTATTTCCTTTTTTTTTTTTTTTGAGACAGAGTCTTGCCCTGTCGCCCAGGCTGGAGTCCAGTGGCGCTATCTCGGCTCACTGCAAGCTCCGCCTCCCGGGTTCACGCCATTCTCCTGCCTCAGCCTCCCAAGTAGCTGGGACTACAGGCGGCTGCCACCACGCCCAGCTAATTTTTTTGTATTTTTAGTAGAGATGGGGTTTCACTGTGTTAGCCAGGATGGTCTCGATCTCCTGACCTTGTGATCCACCTGCCTCGGCCTCCCAAAGTGCTGGTATTACAGGCGTGAGCCACCGCGCCCGGCCGATATTTTACTTTTTGTAACCATCATGAATGAAGTATTTTCTTTGATTATACTTTATAACTGGTTATTTTTTGTCTGTATTAAAGCCACATATTTTACATGTTAATTTTGTATTAGTAAATTTTTTTCTTGTCTAATTATGTTGACGGGAATCTCCAGATCCATGTTAAAAAATGCTGGTTCTTATTTTGTTCCTGAGTAGAATTTCTTGTTAAACATCATGCTGACTTTTATCCTGAGATATATTTTATGATGTTGGAAAAGCATCCATCTCTATCTTTTTTTTCTTCTAAGAATGGATGTTGAATATTATCAGATGTGAATGGATGTTGAGTATTACCAGGTGCCTTTAGAGTGCCTATGGCAATGATGTATGACCTACCATCTAAAAGATTTATTTTTAATCCTAGCTGGATGTTTCCTTTTTAATTCTAGCTGGTGTGAAGGAGATGCAGGCTTGGGAATGAGGTAGTTGAGAGTTGGATGTCTCTGCGATGCTATTGTGCAAGTCAGCTCTTTTATCAAATGCTATCAATATTTAATAAACCTAGACCTAATAATAGATTGACTTTGGATTGTGATTTTTATATTTCTGTCTTTCCCTGTCAACACCTTTTGGTAGCTTCAAGTTAAACTTCTAGTCCAGTTGGGGTTTAAAGGGTATAAATATACATTCTGGGCATTCTTTTTTTTTTTTTTTTTTTGGAGACAAGTCTCACTGTCGCCCAGACTGGAGTGCAGTGGCGGCAACCTCTGTCTCCCAGGTTCAAATGATTCTCCTGTCTCAGCCTCCTGAGTAGCTAGGACTACAGACAGGCATGCACCACCATGCCCGGCTGATTTTTATATTTTTAGTAGAGACAGGGTTTTCAGCATGTTGGCCAGACTGGTCTTGAACACCTGACCTCAAGTAACCCGCCTGCCTCGGCCTCCCAAAGTGCTGGGATTACAGGCAGGAGCCGCTCTGCGCCCGGCCATTCTTGGCATTGTTAATTGTGCAAGTCTGAGGTAGATGGTAGGGTCTGTGTCCTCCGAATCAAGAGTAGGATACTTGGGGGTAGCACACACAATAATTACTGTTTTGGAGCATGCAGATAAACTTTTAAAAGTCACCTTGATGTATGAGTCATTCTTGAAACTGTCAATTAGTGGATTGTTTTTTTCCAGGCAGGTTAAGGTAGATGCCAAATGGACAGGATGTTTTGGTTATGTGTTGCCATTTTTTAAAAAGATCAATACCTCCGAATTAAAGTTGTATAGGGACCTAAGTGCTCATTTTCTGTAGAGTTTTAAATACCATCCGCAAATCTCCATTATTTTTCTTAAAGGTATTTGTCCTTTAGGAGTAGAAAGTAATTGTTGTAAATGTAACTAACCTGAACTTCACCCTCGGGAGTTTAATGACCTTATTTTTACTGGTCGTGGTTCACACTGAATTTTCTCTCACTTCTTGTTCCTCATTCTCTCCATGCAACCTATCCTTTTCGGGCCTTTTTTATTTCTTACTCCTTACCTGTATGGCAGCCTCCCTGTTCCCGACTACAAGGGCTAGTAGGTGGGGGTGGAGAAGAAGAGCTCCATAGTGTTAACATACAAAGATGTGAAGATTCACGGGCTACAGACTCTGTGCCTGGTAGAACCCCACAATTATTCACTCAGCCTCTTTACGCATGTTTTAGATAAGGTGTTCCTGGTTATTATACTAGATTTCTGGAAAAGCCAAATGAGAAGGAGCTGGCATGAAGGCCAGCGGTAGATATACTGATTGCAACAAGGAATAATAGCTGCTGTTTATTGGGTGACCCTGAAAATTATATCAGGACCTTTAAAACCAAGGCCACTTAGGGCCATTTAGTGAAGGGACAAGCCTCTGTTCCTTTTATATCAGTATAGTACAATTTAAAAAATAGTTAAGATGACTCTGGGCATCCAGAAAAGATAAATCTGACATAGGTTGTTCAGTTTACGAAGACAGAGAAGTGTGTGATCCGTTTTTGAGTCAGTTATCTGGAAAATTTACCAAGCAAGGGTTGAAGAGTGGAGATTTCTTGTACTAGGGAAGCTAGCTTAAAAGATGTGTTCTAATGGAAACAGTTAAATAGTTGATGACTCAGTTTTTCTTTAGCAATTACTTTTATGATATGATGTGGTTGAAAATAACCTCCAAATATTCCAGAGTTTCTTTTACATATAATAGTGACGCTTGTTTTTCATGGTAATTGAAAATGTTTCAGATTCAACTTTTGTAATGAATAGTTTTAATTTATTTCAGATTTGAAATGTCAGTGACTTGGGAAGGGTCCAGAGTGTGTAGCTTTTACTTTACCTTTGACTTTTTGTTGTTGTTGTTGTTGTTGAGATGGAGTCTCACTCTGTCACCCAGGCTGGAGTGCAGTGACACGATCTTGGCTCACTGCAACCTCTACCTCTTGGGTTCAAGCTATTCTCCTGCCTCAGTCTCCCGAGTAGCTGGGATTACAGGCATGTGCCACCATACCCAGCTAATTTTTTATATTTTTAGTAGAGACAGGGTTTCGCCATGTTGGTCAGGCTGGTCTCGAACTCCTGACTTCAAGTGATCCACCTGCCTCAGCCTCTCAAAGGGTTGGGATTACAGGCATGAGCCACCATGCCCGGCCTACTTTCCCTTTGATTTTGTAGGTGGCTGAGGAAGTGCAACTGTGTTACTACTTCTGCTGCATAGGTGCTGTGTCATTCATATGTCAAAGTAATAACCTCTGCATGAGAATAACATTCAAAGCACCCTGTGTAGCCCTGTGTACCTACACAGCTTTTCAGACCAGTTCAGGCGTCCACAGCAAGCCTGTGCCATTTTTACTTGTCTTATGTTACACCAACTCCTGAAGTGTGGTGGCTTTCTGAATATGCTTATGGCATATGTGCTGCAAATTTTTGTGATTTCCTGTCTCCATATTCCAGAATTTATAGTAATCTCATGAGGAAGCGAGGTGAAGTTTTTGGTTTATTCCACGGCTTCTCAACCCCAGCACTATTGGCATTTGGGGCTAGATAATTCTTTGTTGTGGGAGAACTAGCCTGTATATTGTAGACTGCTCAGCAGCATCCCTGACCTCTCCCCAGTAGATGGTAATGGCATCTTCTCTGGTTATAACAATAAAAAATCTTTCCAGACATTGCAGCTATCCTCTGGGGGGGCAAAATCACCCATGGTTGAGAACCACCGGTTTATGCTTTATAAAGAGTGATTTTGAGGGCGAATTGACTGTTTATGTTATTATAAGAAAATGAATAAACATTTGTTGAGCACAATTGATAAGCCAACTCCAGTGCAAAACCAAGTATACAGAGGAAACATCCCTGTCCTCAAAGGAAACGTACATGTGTACTAGAACTAGAAATACAATACTTTATACTATGTGACAAAGCCTATAATAGATATAAAGATAAGAGAGTGGTTACTTTTACTATAAAGATATCAGCCAAAGAACAGGAAAGGAAGGAATACTTGACCTGGGTCTCGATGGATCAGTAGGAATTCACCAGAGTGAACTGCAGTGGCCTTCATAACAGAAAAGTCATTGTGAATTAAGGCTAAAGGACTCTACATTATGGTTTGCTTTGGGATATTCTTCTTGTCCCGGCATAATTATTTTTATTTTTATCTTTTTTTTTGAAACAGAGTCTTGCTCTATTGCCCAGGCTGGAGTGCAGTGGCACAATCTCGGCTCACTGCAACCTCCGTCTCCCAGGTTCATGCACTTCTCCTGCTTCAGCCTCCCAAGTAGCTGGGATTACAGGAGCCCACAACCACGCCTGGCTAATTTTTGTACCTTTAGTAGAGACGGGGGTTCACCACATTGGCCAGGCTGGTCTTGAACTCCTGACCTCAAGTGATCTCCCCACGTTGGCCTCCCAAAGTACTGGGATTACAGGCGTGAGCCACTGCGCCCGGCCCCAGCATAATTATTAATAGCACTCCTTTCACTCAAAAAAAAAAAAAAATGCTTTGCATGATGAATTTAACAGTCACTCTGGTAGTCCTGGGGAGTCAAAAGTTTGTGGGCAAGTGATGTGTTTAAGGTGCAGTGAGTTGTCTTATATTGTCAGAGTACTTTAGGGAGTGGGAAGGGATGTGGAGGATGGCTGGAGATAAGGTTAGGACCTATTGTGGAGGGTCGTGGAGGGTCTTGTATGCCATATGATGAAAGTGGAACTTGTCCTGGACAGCCTAGGAGCCAACTAAAACCTCCCGGGCAAGGGAGTGTGTTAGGAAGAGAGAGACAGAGAAAATGGGCTTTTCTGGCCCTTGAGAAGTTCCAGTCTGTTCTATATGTTGAATGCTGCTCCCAAGTACTACTACTTAGAGGAAATAGGTCCCCAGGAGTTTCTCCTTGGCTGAGTTTTTTTGGTGACAGCCAGGTGCTGTTCACAACTGTGTTACTTTCAACTGAGTTTCTTTGTGAAATGCATAAAGGAGACTTCTATTCATTTTCACTTTGTTCTTGACTTGTGAATGAGTGAGATTTTGCTCTGTTACTGAAATTTGAATGAATGGCTACTATTTTAGTTGAAAAGAAAAGATGAAATTATCTCAGGACTTGGCAAAGGATATTCTGTGGGCGAAATCTAGCCTCTAGTCTGCTGCTTGTTTTTGTAAATAAAGTTTTATTGGAACACAGCCACAGTTATTCATCTATGTATTGTGTATAGCTGCCTTAGTGGTACAACAGCAGAGCTGGATAGTTCTGACAAATACCATATGGCTTGTGATGCCTAAAATGACTGTCTGGGCCTTTGTAGAAAAAGTTTGCCAATCCCTCATCCAACTGAATTCAATATTCAAGTCAAGTCACTCAAGTATTTTTCATATCTTTACTCCGATTAAGATAGTTTCAGGAATGGACCAAATTATGCTGATTTTAGTGCATCTATTTGTTCCAAATTGGGCTTGTGTTTTCAATTTTACGGGAGAGATTTTGTTATCCAGGATTTTACCTGAGAGGGATAAAGCTCTAGAACTTGGCTTTTCTGTCTTCCAGGAAGTCTTGAATCTACTCTCTGGATTTGATACCTCACAAGGAAGGTGCTGCCCGGAGAGGCTGGGTGGCTGGACCCGGGCTCTGTGGTGGGGCTCTCTCCCCTCTAGATGGCCATGGACCACGTACTCTTTTCCACTCCAGAGTCCCTTTCCTTTTCCACTCCAGAGTCAATGCCGTAAGAGACAAATATATTTCTTTTTTTCTTTTCTTTCTTTCTTTTTTTTTTTTAGATGAAGTCTTGCACTGTCACCTGGGCTGGAGTGCAGTGGCATGATCTCAGCTCACTGCAACCTCCACCTCCCAGGTTCAAGCAATTCTCCTTGCCTCAGCCTCCCAAGTAGCTGGGATTCCAGGCGCCTGCCACTATGCCCACTAATTTTCTTGTATTTTTAGTAAAGACAGGGTTTCACTATGTTGGCCAGGCTGGTCTTGAACTCCCGACCTTCTGATCCACCCACCTCAGCCTCCTAAAGTGCTGGGATTACAGGCTTGAACCACCACACATGGCCTTGACAAATATATTCCAATTTCAAGCATTTTCAGAAAAGTAAGCTATTATAAATAACATGAATTTGTGTACTTAAGAATATTTTTGGCTTTTAAAAATACAAGTAGATCATACTGGTCTTTTTCTTTTACTTACTCCTCACTGTCTTTTAGAGACAGGATCTCGCTCTGTCATTGAGGCTGGAGTGCAATGGCACAATCATAACTCACTGTAGTCTCAACCTCCTGGGCTCAAGTGATCCTTCTGCCTCAGCCTCCTGAGTAGGTAGGACTACAGGTGTGCACCAAATCAGCTATTTTTAAAAATTATTTGTAGAGATGGGGTCTTGTTATATTTCCAAGTCTGGTCTCGAACTTTTGGGCTCAAGTGATCCTCCCACCTTGGCTTCCCAAAGTGCTGGGATTACAGGGATGAGCCACTGCTCCTGGCTCATACTGGTCTTTAAGAAAACAAACAAAAAGTACAGGAAGAAAAAGAGGCAGTTTTTTGGTTGGTCTGATGCATTTATTTCCTCGTTACGATCCTCTGGTGCCTTCTCATTTAATGACCATGTTTGTTTACTCCCTTTCAAACTGACAACTTTCACTCTGATTAGCATCAAGCTGTACCTGGTATTTGGGTGGGGACTGGACCTTTGGAGAGAGAACCAGGGACAACAGCCATATGTTAACCAGGGACAATGTTAATTAACCAAATTGGTGGTTTAGCTCCCCACCCCTTTCCTCCACCAGTCTGGATAGCTCAGCTTTTTGTAGGATTTGGCTACTTGCCTTCAGAGACTCTTCAATAAGAGGAGAGTGGTTACCCTGGGAAACCAGTTCACATAAATGAAGAATGCTGTTTGGTCATTTATGGTCCTGGACCTTGCCCCTTGTTCTTTCTTTGTGAAGTGTTCAGATGAGCGTTTTCTTTCATCTTTTAGTTGCTCCTTTAAAGCTCCAAGTGATTTTTTTAAACACTGTGAAGCCCTCACAATCAATTGCTTAAAATGTTTCTAGAAATTCCTGGTATCACTTAAAAATAGCTTCCGTTTTGTGCTCTAGAAGGTTATTGTTGCTGAGTGCCAGCAGCTACATTTTAGAATTAAGGCAGGTTTGGCCAGATTGGTGTGCAGTGTGGAGATGAAGAATCCCACCCCTGCAAGACGGAGCCACATAAGAAGCCAGCCGGGGGAACAGATCACTGTAGCCATCTCTGAAAAGTGACAGCGCTAAATCCTTGTCCTGCCTTTCTTCTCTTTCCTTCCAGTTTTTTAAAAAAAATTAATAGACTTTATTATTGTTTTTAGAACAATTTCAGATTTATAGAAGTTTTTTTTTTAGATGGAGTTTTGCTCTTGTTGCCCAGGCTGGAGTGCAATGGTGCGATCCAGGCTAACTGCAACCTCCGCCTCCCGGGTTCAAGCGATTCTCTTGCCTCAGTCTCTCGAGTAACTGGGATTACAAGCACGCTCCACCACACCCAGCTAACTTTGTATTTTTAGTAGAGATGGGATTTCACCATGTTGGTTAGGCTGGTCTCGAACTCCTGACCTCAGGTGATCTGCCCGCCATGGCCTCCCAAAGTGCTGGGATTACAGGCGTGAGCCACTGCTCCCGGCCAGGTTTATAGAAGAACTGATTGGATAATAGAGAGTTCTCACATACTCCCCCCAACTCCCACAGTTTCTCTATTATTAACATTTTACGTTTATGTGGTTACATTACCATTAATAACCGATATTACACCTCATTATTAACTGAAGTGTATAGTTTACCTAGATTTCTTTACTTTTTATCCAATGTTCCTTTTCTGTTCTAGGATCCCTTCCAGGATACCGTATTACATTTAGTTGTCATTTCTGCCCCTTAGGCTCCTCTTGACTGCGATGACAGTTTCTCACAATTCCGTTGTTTTTGATGACCTTGACAGTTTTGAGGACTACTAGTCAGGTGTATTGTAGGATAGTCCTTATTGGAATTTGTCTGATGTTTTTCTCTTGATGAGATGAGGGTTATGTGTTTTCAGAGGAAGATCACAGAGGGAAAGTGGCATTTTTATCACATCATATCAAGGGTACATACTATCAACATGATTTGTAATTGTTGCTGTTGACCTTAATCACCTGGCTAGAAGTAGTATATTTCAGGTTTTTCCCCTGTGAAGTTTCTCTCCTCTCCTGTCCTTTTCATACTGTGCTCCGCAAAAGAAAGTCCCTATGCTCAACCTAGTGTTTAAAGAGTAGGGAGTTAAACTCCTCCTTCTTGAGGGAATGGTTTTACATCATTTATTTGCAGTTCTGATGCCTGGGAGATTTGTCTCTTCTCCATTTATTGAGTAACTTAATCATTATTCATATCAGTATGGAATCATGCATATTTATTTTTTACTCTGGATTATAGACCCATGTTACTTTATTTTGTTGCTCAAATGTTTCCATTTTTGTTGGCCATCGGAGGCTCTTTCACTTGGCTCCTGCATCACTTTGACATACCCCCATCATTGTGGGTTTGAGCACTTCCTTACTTCCTGGTACTACAAGATGCTCTAGACCCATCTTGTGTTATTTCCTGCCCCAGTCTTAGAATCAGCCATTTTTCCAAGGAACCTGACTCCTTTTATTGGAGAATGGTATTACAAACCAAGATGTGGGCACTAGGTATACTTGTTGCCATGGGGTTATCATTTTTTTAGGTCCTCTTAGCTGACATAAAAAAAGTACATGTGTGTACTAAGGTGTATATATACACATATTTTAAAATATTTCTATGTGTAACCATGTGTATCTATATTAAGTTTATCATGAGTTTGACTTATGTTTAACATGTTGATATCTGAACCCTAGCCTATTAGCACATGGATTAATCTAGATTCCTCCTCTAGTTTATCGTTCACCCCCACTTCAATAGTGAGAAACTTGGAGTATTAGTCCATTTGTGTTGCTATAATGGAATACCTGAGACTGGGTAATTTATTTTAAATAATAGAGTTTTATTTGGCTCATGGTTCTGCAGGCTACACATAAAACATAGTGCCGGTATCTGCTTCTGGTGTTGGCTTCAGGAAGCTTCCAATCATGGTGGAAGGTGAAGGGGGAGCTAGTGGATCACATGGTGAGAGAGGGAACAAGAGAGAAGCCAGGCTTCTTTAAGCAACCAACTCTTGGTGTGAACTAATAAATAGAGTGAAAACTCACTCATCACCAAGAAAATGGTCCCAAGCCATTCATGAGGGATCTGCCTCCCTCCCACGACCCAGGCACCTCCCACCAGGCCCCACTTCCAACATTTTGGATCACATTCCAACATGAGATTTGGAAGGGACTGATATCCAAACCATATCACTTGGCCTCTACCATCTACCATCCATCTACTTAATTGTTTAGTTCCAGTACACATGTGTAGCAGTAGCAGCATTGGTAACCTGCATCCCCATGGGAAGCAACTTTATCAGCTAGAGTACAATTCTTATGTGCTGTTCCTTTTGCCTTTACTCTTACAGATGCCACTCACTTGCAAAGTCACTTAGGTTACTCTTTCTCCTACCTCCTTCAGTAAGGTTGTTTCCTACATTTGTAATACAATTAGATTCTTTTGTCACAGGCTGGGTTCTTTCCTAGGATCCCCTGACTTCCTAAATGATTCTTCTTTTCAAATTTGCATATATCCAGGTTCACTCTTTGTGTTGGACAGTTCTATGAATTTTGACAAATGCATGTCACATATCCACCAATACAGTATCATACAGAATATTTTCACCATCCTAAAAATTCCCAATGCTTCACCTGCTTATTCCTCCCTTCCTCCCCTAAACCACTAGCAACCCCTGATCTTTATAATGTCTTTATAGTTTTACCTTTTCCATCTTCTGCATTTTAAATTCTTTACACTTGAATCTCTTGAGCACCCACTGACAATGGCTGGCCAGTCAGAACTCATAGTCATTATTCTATTATTCTGCTCCTCTGGAGGGCACAGAAAGTTGGACTTCTCTTTGGAATAAAGTAGAAGATAGTTATGAAAGCTAAAATGCATTATCTTAACAACACGTCCATGTTTCACAGTCTGCACTATTAGTGCCATTATCCTCTAATAAAAAAGTGCTTTCATTCTAGTCTTCCTGTAAAGCCTGATTTGGTGGATAGATTTGCAGTGCCTGTGTTGTACTTCCTGTTTTCCTCAGCCCAGGATAGTGATTGCTATTTACTCAGCAAACAGTTTTGGAGGCACATTCTGGAAGCCATTCCTCCTGCTCTGTGAACTGCCTCCCTGGACCTTTGGTAATGATGTTTATTAACTCTGGTGATATGATTGGGTGAAAGAGACAAATCAGATCCTCACTTAGAAATTTGAATTGATGAGATAGCCGGTTGGGATGAGCACATTCCTGGAATTCTAGAAGGTGTCATCTTGGGAACTGAAACCACTATGTTCATTTCTGGAAAAACAGAGATTGGAACCAGAGGGAGAAAACACTTCCTCTCTGTTGGTTGGATTTCCAGTCTTTGCTCCAGCCCTTCCTAAGACCTGGCCACCTTCCTTGGCTCCTGTGAGATGCCTTGAGCCTCATTCAGTAAGTCACCCCGATGTATCCTCAAGCAACCAAATTAGTTTCTGTTACTTGCAATAAATAAGTCATAGGGAATTTATCTATGTTTTAAATTTGGTCTTTTCCTCTGCGGAGTGCTGTTCTAAGTGGATTTGATATGTCAGACTTATTTACATTAATACTAAAGCATTATAAAGGTCATGATAGAAATCTGTGTAAGAGGCAAAGAAAGGAGTGGTTGAGTCTACCTGAGGGCAGGAGGACACAGTCCATGAAAGAGGCGATCTTTCCAGGTGGTCTGGGCAGGGCATTCTGGGTAGAAGGTACAGTATGAGCAAAAGCCCAGCATTTGGAATCATCTTCAGGAGTTGCAGGATGTTTGACATAGGGTGTGACTGGGGGCAGTTGGTAGGCAGGTGAGATCCAGGCTGTGAGTGCCTCATGCTGTGAAGTTTGACTTTATCTTGTAGATCGAAACCACAAATGGGCTTTGGATGGGCTATTTGTGGCCTGCATATGTGTTTTGTTTTGCTTGTGCAAATGTTTTCCATCACTAGTTGCCATGATTTAAAAATCAAATGCTTTCCCTTAAACATCTGAATATGTACAAATTACCACTGTCTGAAATTTTTTGGAAGATTTATTAATAGATGGTCTAGCAGTAGTGGGCCTGCATTCCACATGGCACAGGAAATGGGGTATGTGGGCCCCTGTTGCCATGGTCTCACCTGGTCTACCCCATACACTGACTTTGCTTTCCTATCCTTA
Organism: Homo sapiens; assembly: GCF_000001405.40. Classification (NCBI taxonomy): domain Eukaryota; kingdom Metazoa; phylum Chordata; class Mammalia; order Primates; family Hominidae; genus Homo; species Homo sapiens. The sequence goes on along the minus strand of NC_000003.12, from coordinate 31,918,642 downwards.
TAGGCTTGGGCTGGAGGTAGTGGGGCCAGTGACTTGCTTACTTTCATTTGTTTCCTGTTTGGTCAGCAGTGGTCCCAGTGATGACCGCCTTACTATCTCATTAACCCTTTTCCTTTCTGAGGTGATTTTCCATTCCAAACTCTTTAGACACAAAACTGCTCTGGAGCCAGGCATGGTAGCTCACTCCTCAGGAGGCTGAGGCAGGAGGATCGTTTGAGCCCAGGAGTTCGAGGCTACAGTGAGCTATGATCATACCACTGTACTCTGGCCTGGGCAACAGAATGAGACCCTGTCTCTTTAAAAAAAAAAAAAAGAAAAGAAAAAACAACTCCAGTGTGTGTCTTCTAGATGTTTTTGTTTCACTTTCAGGGACTTGTCTTGCTGTCTTTTAACTTTGTCATTATTACTATTTTTTAAAGCAAAAGAGAAAGTTTAAAATACTGGCATAAAGGTTAAGTGAATTGTCATTGTGTTTTTAATAACTGAGGAGGGCTTTTGTTTGGAATGATATTTATAGTAAGTTGTTCTTTTTCAATTATTAGTTTATTAAAATAGTAAATTTTAAAACCTAGTATTTCTTGAACTTTAAGCTCAACTTGTAGATAAATTTTTATTTATAAAGTAGTAATTTTCATGTCAAAAATGGTTTCACTTATTCATTGATTAACCTCACTTAGTTTCTAAATTTAACAAATTAAAGTTATTAAGGCTGTTAGCACCACTTAAAGATTTAATCAGAGTCCCTTGATGTTTTAAACTGTAATCACACATTTTAAGTATCTGTTTCTCTCAAACACCTTAACTAAGGCTGATAACAAAACCGAGGAGCAAAGTCAGCCTCATACTTCAGCAGCTCTTGGGAATTAGTGCAGTAATCCTACTGGAAGCCAAGAGGAAAAAAGAGTGCGTTAGTCCAGTCAAGGTTACATGTTTTGAGGTATTGATTGATTGATTGTCAGCATACTAGATCAGTTTGTACCTTCCAAGGTGCTCCTTCCTATCTCAACAGCTAGTTTCTTTTCTCTTTTTGTGTTTTAAATCAGGCAGCCTCCAGAACCAGAATAGGTTCAGAGAGACTCTCAAAAGCTGGTTGCTTGATAAAAACAAAGCATACTTGTGAGTAGGAGGTTTGGGTGTCTGTAGTCTTTCAGCTGGGGGTTACCTATTTGCATAGGTTGCACTTGTCTGCAGCCAGGTGTGCTAAACTACCCATCATGTAAATTAACAGAGGCTCTTGAATGTACTTTTTTTCTCTAGTCAAGCAGTAAGGATTTATTCTTTTCATTTTTCACAACATAGCAAAAGACACCTCGTTAATAGCTTTTCACTATAAAGACTGTAAAGATTGAATTACTTTCTCATTTGGTTGGGACTCCTAGTGGAGTTGGACACTGAAATTCCTTTGCCAAGGCCCTTGGCCCCACCTCACATGAACGCTGTAACTGTCGTGTAATTTCTTGTGTGGGGCCTAGTGTGGGCACCGGTGGGATGCTGAACCCCGGCTGTGACACCGACTTTGTCTTGTCTTATTCTCCAGTGTCCTATTGACCTCCTCCTGGAATCTCATTATTGATGTGCACAAGGGAAGTAAAGTAATGCAAGGAGGCACAGCCTCACATTATTTAGAAGAAATGCTTTTGGAGAGGCTTGAAATCGATTTTTTGAAATCTAAATATTAGAACAAAAGAGATATATTTAGTCTGCATATCTTAATAGGAGTCCCGGCTTACAATAAAAACATTTATTAAACAGTTAAAGATGGAAAGCAGAGATAAGCAACCATTTTCAGGAGAGGGCCAGGTGGATGAATCAACACAATTGGTCTTTTTGGCAAGAATGTTAAAACCTGTTGGTTTTGATTTTGTTAATTGGAAACAGCGAGGGAGATTAACAGGTGCCTGAGAAGTAATTAATCAGGGATTTAGAGAGCTTTTATGTTATCAGGGAAAGGTGATTTTGAAAGTGTCCACTCCAATATTTAAGAGTACTGAGTGGAACAAACATTTACATTTTTACTGTATTGATTAGCTTACTCATTGGTGAGCCATGGACTGTGGAAAATGATCATTTGTGGGGGTGGGTGATAAAAGACTAAGAGTCAATTTAGAGTGAGGTTTGGTGCATGAAAAAAGGTGTCAGATATTTTACTTCTGACTGCTCATGAGAACAAAGGCATCATAATGCTTATAACCAACCTGTTGTTACACTTGACTCCTCTGTTTTTAGAGGCAGTGGGGTGGCCACTCACTCTACACTTGCCAAATCACCCAATTAGGAAGACAAACCAAGAAGGAACATTTTACGTGACTTTAGAATTGGGGAAATAGGTGAGTAGGAAGCTGTACAAAATATGCACATTGATTTCTGCATGTTAACTTATTTTGGGTTCTAGAATGTAGAAGCCAGTATCAGTGCATCCATGTTTGTGTGCTATAGCCTTTTGGATAGAATTTGATCAGTATCAAAATAAATACATGCATACTTATTGTACATTAATTATTTCCCTCCTGGAGACAGTGCTGGATTCTTTTTTTTTTTTTTTTTTTGAGACGGAGTTTCACTCTTGTCACCCAGGCTGGAGTGCAATGGTGCGATCTTGGCTCACTGCAACCTCCACCTCCCGGGTTCAAGCGATTCTCTTGCCTCAGCCTCCCGAGTAGCTGGGATTACAGGCTCCCACCACCACACCTGGCTAATTTTTTATATTTTTTAGTAGAGACGGGGTTTCGCCGTATTGGTCAGGCTGGTCTTGAACTCCTGACCTCAGGTGATCTGCCCACCTCGTCCTCCCAAAGTGCTGGGATTACAGGCGTGAGCTACCACTCCCGGCCTGGATTTCTCTTAAAGGGTGTTGCGTGGTTGGTTACAGATAATTTTTTTTCAACTTTTATTTTAGATTTGGAGGTACACGGGCAGGTTTGTTACCTGGGTGTACTGAGTGATGCTCACGTTTGAGGTATGAATGATCCTGTCACCTAGGCACTGAGCATGGTATGCGATAGTTTTTCAACCCTTGCTCCCTCTCCTTCCCTACTTTAGTCGCCCCAAGTTTTTATTGTTGCCACCATTATGTCCATTAGTACCCAATGTTTAGCTTACACATATAAGTGAGAATATGCGGCATTTGGTTTTCTGTTCCTGCATTAATTCGCTTGGGATAATGGCCTCCAGCTGTATCCATGTTGCTACAAAGGAAATGATTATTTTTTTATGGCTGGGTAGTATTCCATGATATATGTGTACCACATTTTATATATCCAGTCCACCATTGACAGGCACTTAAGTTGATTCCATGTCTTTGCTATTGTGAATAGTGCTGTGATGAACACCTGAAGGTCACCAGAGAATTTGAGGACAGGAGTTGGGAGGCGAAGTGGAAGGGAACAACTCCAGGAAACCACCAATAAGAGGAAATTTTATTCATGGTAATGGTTTTTTTTCCCCCCTGTTACCATTCAATGGCTATTTATTAAAAAAAAAAATGTGTTCAAAGCAGTGCACTGGATGCAGATGAGGATACGATAGAAGACAACAGGCATGGTAGTGGTTCACACCTGTAATACCTGTGCTTTGAGGCCAGGAGTTCAAGGTTACAGTGAGCTCTGATTGTGCCACTGCACTCCAGCACGGAGCTTGGGCGACAGAGTGAGACTCTGTCTCAAAGGGAAAAAACAAAACCAAACAAAACAAAACACAATAGACACATCCCCGTAAACACAGGGAGCTTATACTCTAGTGTAATGCTGTTCAATGGAACCTTCAGCAGTGATGGCAATGATATATAGGTATGTTGTCCAATATGGTAGCCAGTAGCCACATGTGGCTATTGAGTGCTTGAAATGTGATCAGCATGACTGAGGGATTGAATTTTTTATTTTATTTAATTTTATAATCATTTTAAGTTAAATAGTTGCACATGGCTAATGACTAGTTGGGCATTTGTAGTGGGTCAAGTGAGTTCTAGTTCTAGTCTTCATATTTAGAACACCTCATTTGCGGTAACTAGGAAAATTTGATACTAAAATCCAGAGTCTCGGGCTCAAATAATTCCATATACTGGGAAATCAGAGTCCCATCTTGGATATATTTTTGCTGTGACATTTCCCAAAGTGGGTTCCATGGAATGCTAGTCACATGAGATATACTGACAAAAAGAGTGCTGTGGTTAGTAAGGTTGGGAAACACTGCCTGCTGCCATATCCTTCTGGAGCTGCATAATGAATACAAGCATATTTACAGACTCTGATAAGTCACACAGTAAAGAAATTGATACTTGGTAGAGATGTATTTTGGCTCAGTTTCCCAAACTTAGTTGGCGATAGCACTCTTTTATTCACCAATACCTCTGAACACTTTTCGGGAAATGCTATTCTAGGGAGATAACTGATCTTGGTTAGGACCGTCTTAAAAATGAAAGGAAGAGGCTGGGTGCAGTGGCTCATGCCTGTAATCCCAGCACTTTGGGAGGCCGAGGTGGGTGGATCACTTGAGGTCAGGAGTTCGAGACCAGCCTGGCTAACATGGAGAAACCCTGTCTCTACTAAAAATACAAAAATTAGCCTGGTGTGGTGGCGGGTGCCTATAATCCCAACACTTGGGAGCTGACACAGGAGAATCACTTGAACCCAGGAGGCAGAGGTTTCAGTGAGCTGAGATTGTGCCACTGCACTCCAGCTTGGGCAACAGAGCAAGACTCCGTCTCAAAAACAAACATGCAAACAAACAATCAAAAAATAAAGAAGGAAGAAATGGTGGTTATAGCCTCTGGTTAGTTCTTGGTTCTCCGAGAATATGAGAGTTCTCCCATTCTCCTAGATTTTGGTGGGTTAGAGATATGACAGAATCGGGGCATAGAATTGCATATTGCACATTTGGGCACTGAAAAAACGCTTCTTGTCAGTAACAATATCTTTATTTCAGAGTTTTATATACATATATTTTGTTGTGTTCACCTTGGTTAGTCAGTTTTCTAATTGTTTCTGAGTTAGCCTGTGGTCTACAGTAGTCTAAGGTAGCCTGAATTAATACATGCACAAAGAGGTTGAATAGTTTGATTTTGCTTTTCTCCTATTTAGGTTTATAAAACTAGTACTTGGGCCGGGCGTGGTGGCTCACGCCTGTAATCCCAGCACTTTGGGAGGCTGAGGCAGGTGGATCACGAGTTCAGGAGATCGAGACCATCCTGGCTAACACGGTGGAACCCCATCTCTACTAAAAATACAAAAAATTAGCCAGGTGTGGTGTTGTGCGCCTGTAGTCCCAGCTACTCGGGAGGCTGAGGCAGGAGAATCGCTTGAACCTGGGAGGTGGAGGTTGTAGTGAGCTGAGATCGTGCCACTGTACTCCAGCCTGGGCGACAGAGAGAGACTCCATCTTAAAGAAAAAAAAAACAAAAAACAAAATAAAAAAAAAAACCTAGTACTTCTGTGTCCATTTACACTTTCTGACTCCCTTTACAAAAGCCTACAGGGTCTCCAGGGGTGGTATTATAGTCCCCTCATTTACTTGGTATAAATTAAAAGCACAGAGTCTATTATATATCAACCCCAAATGGCATTTTAGAAATTCCAGTTAGATTGTATTATAAATCAGTTCTTATGCTGTTATATATGCGGGTGTGTGGGTATATGTGTGTGTGTATGTACAAACACAAATAAGATCTCTAAGCTTGCTAATGCCTTACTTAACAATACAACTAGGCTGGACTCAAGGTTATTCATATAATAATGCCACCCTTGCTCACCTTCTGCAGTACTTTCTTGAGCAGCAGAGAAGGAAATGGATTGAGCAGGCCATGGGAGTGGATCCTGCTGCATCCATCATGCTTGTGAGCTCCATCCATCATGCCTGCTGTGGCAGGAAAAGGCTCAGAGCTGCTGGGTAGTGTATCTTCCAAGGTCCCTTTCAGTGCCGAAATTCTATCACTCTACGACAGCTTTATTGAGGGTTTCCATTGTAGTGAAGGCGCATTGTAGTCTAGCTGAAACTCTAGCATCAAAGGAGAGACATGCTCAAAATACTTCAAGGCTTCAAGAGGAAATGTTGATGATGAAGTTGATTTTTGGCCTTATAAGAGGGCGAGAGCTTCTTGGGTGCCTTAACTTACCATTTCATTCTAAGAGTTTAGAAAACACTGCTTGTTTCTGCCATTTGGAACTTCTCAATAACCAGTACTTCCTCAACTTTACTAATGTCCGCCCCCCGACCCCGTGACTATCACTATTTTGCCTTAATTTTTTTTTTTTTCCGAGACAGAGTCTCGCCCTGTCGCCCAGGCTGGAGTGCAGTGGCGCAAATCTCGGCTCACTGCAACCTCTGCCTCCTGTGTTCAAATGATTCTCCTGCCTCAGCCTCCCGAGTAGCTGGGATTACAGGCATCCACCACCACGCCCAGCTAATTTTTGTATTTTTAATAGAGACGGAGTTTCACCGTGTTAGCCAGGCTGGTCTCAAACTCCTGACCTCATGATCTGCCTGCCTCGGCCCCCCAAAGTTCTGGGATTACAGGCGTGAGCCACTGCGCCCAGCCAATTTTTTTTTTTGATTTAAACATTGTTTTATTATGGTAAAATATACATAACAAAATTTATCATTTTAACTGTTTTTTTCGGCATACTGTACCGTGGCATTAAGTACATTCACATTGTTTTGCAACCATCAAAATTACCATTTTTAATCAATGCTTGTCTGCATGGAGGATTAGGGGAAATTTCCTGTTGGGGCCTGACCTTCCAGCACCTGCCTGTACTAGTTAGTTGAGACTGTTATTCATAAGCAAGACTTGCCAACCCAAGTTGACCTCTTTCATAATATAGCTAGACTTATGGAAGGAGAATGACTAACTTTTGCATGTTCCCTGCTTGAGGCCACTTTCCTTCCGAAAGGAGGTGAAAGAAAGTTGTAGTGTGAGCTTGTCCAGCCTTCAGCTTGTGCTCTGCCTGTGGCCCAGGACAGCTTTGAATGCAGCCCAAAACAAATTTGTAAACTTTTCTTAAAACATGAGTTTTTTTTTTTTTGAGATTTTTTTTTAAAGTCCATCAGCTATTGTTAGTGTTAGTATATTTTATGTGTGGCCCAAGACAATTCTTCTTCTTCCAATGTGGTCCAGGGAAGTAAAAAGATTGGACACCCCTGTTGTAGAGGGAATGTTGAAGGTATTACCCCAAGCTTAGTGGTGTTTCGCCATTCCCCTGAGGGTATCTGGAGATTTCTGAGAAAGGGACAAAATGCTCAGAACCACCAGCGGCCACTTCCCATTCCACTCCTCCACCCCCATGAGAGTAGCTTTAAGATTAACCATCCCACTGTTTTCTTTATACATAAAGTTTCGTTGGGACACAGTCATGCCCATTTGTTTACTCTGGTCTGTGGCTACTTTTGTGTGGTATCAGCAGAGTTGAAGTTGAGTAGTTGGAACAGAGACTGCAATGGCCTACTGAAGCTAAAATATTGACTTTTTCCCCTTTTCCAGAAAAAGTTTGGCAACTCTGTAGGCCCTGAGCACCCCTGGCCCTGTGTCTTCTTTAAGTTCCCCCTCAAACAGGGTCTGAAGCAGGATGGACTTATCTGAGTACTCTGTGGGTGTCGCATTTAATATGGAACCCTGCCCTGGTGTCCTGAAAGGCTGGGCTGTGGAGATGAAAAGAATCAAAGCAACAGCCCAGGTGTGGCAGAAGACAATGTTCTTTTATTCTGGACCATGCTTGAGAAGACAGCCTGCTGGGTTACATAATGATTTGAGTAAAGGAAGTAGGGGGTCCTTTAATTCATGAAGTAGTTTATTAGGAAATTAATTTAAGTATGCTATAAATATTTGTAAGTTTGGGAGACTCATGGATTTGGTTAAAGGAAGCGGCGCCATTTGTTAAATTTTACTCTGGAAGCTTGAGGGTATGTCAGTACAGCCTTTGATTTGTCATACATTCCATTTGCCAAGAAGTCCAACTGAGGAGACTCTCTGGCTTCCCAGACTCTGAATTCTTTTATTTTTATTTTTATTTTTTTTTTGAGCTAGAGTCTCACTCTGTCCCCCAGACTGGAGTGCAGTGGCATGATCTTGGCTCACTGCAACCTCCACCTCCCAGGTTCAAGCGATTCTTCCACCTCAGGCTCCCAAGTAGCTGGGATTACAGGCGCGTGCCACCAAGCCTGGCTAATAACTTTGTATTTTCGTAGAGACAGGGTTTCACCATGTTGGCCAGGCTGGTCTTGAACTCCTGATCTCAGGTAATCTGCCTGCCTCAGCTTCCCGAAGTTCTGGGATTACAGGCGTGAGCCACCGCGCCCGGCCCCCTGACTCTGAATTCTGCCAATAGGTTGTCCTTTACTGAACCCCATGTCCCTCCTGTTTAAAGGCCAGGAGATGGCTAGGTGCACTGGCTCACACCTGTAATCCCAGCACTTTGGGAGGCTGAGGCGGGCAGATCACAAGGTAAAGAGATCGAGACCATCCTGGCCAACATGGTGAAACCCTGTCTCTACTAAAAATACAAAATTAGTTGGGCATGGTGGCGTGTTCCTGCAGTCCCAGATACTCAGGAGGCTGAGGCAGAAGAATCGCTTGAACCCAGGAGGTGGAGATTGCAGTGAGCCGAGATTGTGCCACTGCACTCCAGCCTGGTGACAGAGCAAGGTTCCATCTAAAAAAAAAAAAAAAAAAAGGCCAGGAGACAAGGATGCAAAATGATTGTCTTACACAGCGCCAGTGTAGCCAGCCTCTTGGTGCTCCAGGATTTAGGCATCTTAATGTCTTTAATTTCTTAAATGTGTATGTGTTTAACATTTTTAAAAAAATGGTGTTAGGGGGTTTGTTTCAAAGCTGCTACTCAGAGTGGGGGCCATTCTAGTAGATTCATGTGGGTTCCTAAAGGCAAAGTCGCATGTGTTTCCCATGGGATGTGAAGAACGGCCCTGGAAAGAAAAGCTGATGTGGTCGCTGAGGGTTATGTCAGTCACAGTGCACTCGCTTGATCTGAAATGGAGGGAAGTGAAATCGTTGGGGTGTCCAAGTGGCCGTACTGACTTGGTGAGTTACTGTGGAAATGTTCATTTGCACTTTTTTGCTAATGAAATCATTTGCTGAGAGATGGCAATTTAGTGAGAAGTTCCTTCTCTCCCCCTTTCTTTCTTTTTTTTTTTAAACGTTGAGCCCTACCAGCAATAGCTTTCATTAGCCACAAGAGTCATGGAGTTAATGGAATCTTTCATTTTCCGTTATGCCAGCTCCCTTTCCCAAAACTAATCTTCAGGTGCCTTAAGAGACAGCCTCAGAGAATGAAAGGCAGAAGACCAGAAACCAAATCATATTGGTATTCTGGTTGAATGCTAATATATTTTGGTGGAGGTCATTATTTAGAAACTATAGGTCTTGGTGATAAAATTACCGATGGCCTTAACAGTTCCAGTAGAAAGGAGAGTGTTACAGAAATATAGCTTTGAGAGACCACTGGAGGGCCAAGGCCAGCCATCTGAAAGGTAATGTCAGCTCTCAAGTTCTTTACTTTGCTCATTAACCTCTAGGTAGTTTTCCCTTAGCTCAGGCTATGGATAAAGTAAAAAGACTTAACACAGTCATTAAGAATTCTGACGAATGCTAGCTATGTTTTAGCATTTTATTCTAAGACACTTCTTAGCTAAATGATACTTCTCTCCAGTGACCTAAAGTTAATGGTTTCAGAAGGCCCTTGACCTGGCTCTGCTTCCTGTAGAAATGATTTCAAGGTTTCCAATTGGTTACTAATCACTAGTTAAGTGAAAGCCAAATAAAACAATGCTACTTGCAGTTCCCCAGGGGGAGCCGCTCATCTCCTCTTTCCATCTCATTGCCTGAAAGTGCTGCCATCATCTGTAGGAGATCAATATCTCCAGGTACTTAAAAAATATCCTGGCCTATGGAAATGGACTGTTATATCAGGGAATTGGCCGACACAACCCAGGGAATCACAGAATGTTTAAAGGCAAGCAAACATCCTGAAGTAATAGGAAACCAAAGTCAATGATGTTTTTTCCTGTCCAGTAGTTTCCTTAACCTCATCCTCACTAGTGAACTACATCCGACACAATTAGGGCATTTACGTGGCAAAAAACACCTGGCACCATTGTCCTGGGCTGGCCATCTTGCCTCTAGATCAGCTGGTAGAGCAACAAGTTATCAGGCTGCAGGTGCAAGAGAAGGGGGTGGCTCTTCCAGTTGTGTTGGAAAAAATTAAAAGGTAAACTTTTCCATGTGACCAATCTGCACAGGTTCTGTGCTCACATAAATCTCTGCCTAGACAATTATACTAAGCTCTTAGTGGATCCCCCTTTCTCCACCCACCCAAGCATCATTCTAGAGTGAGCTGCTAGTGTCATGTCTTTGCTCAGAGCCCTCCTGGGGTCTCCCTTTATATCTGGAATCAACCCCCCAGTCCCTATCATGCCTGCAAGGTTCTGTGTGATCTGGCTCTGGTTCCCTTCATCTCCCATCACTTCCCCCTTGTTCACTCCACCCGTGTTGCACTGGCTGTTTCTCCAGCACACCAAGCCTGCTCCCACCTCAGAGTCTGTATTTATTGCCTGAAACACAGTTATTTTTACCGCCACCATGCTTTACCCTCTTCCTTCCAGTCTTTGCTCAGAGTCACCTTACAGACAGGCCTTCCCTGACCCAGTGAAGTTAGAACTGCTCCTCCACCGCAGCCTTTTCCCAGCCTCCAACACTGTAGCCTGTTTTATTTTTCTCTAAGCCACTTATGGACACTTACTATGTTTGTGTATATGTTTATAATTTATTTCCCACCCCTAGAATATCAGTTCCACAAGGGCAGGAATGCTTATCTGTTTCACGGATTGTTCTATTCCCAACATCTAGAGGAGTCTTTGGCAGTGAATATCAACAAGTATTGAATAGGGAACCTCATAATTTAATAAAATAAACTATAGACCAAAAATTCAAGTATCTGGTCCTGGTCCTTATATGAACTAGTTATGAGACAATGGAGAGATCACTTAAATTTTTTTTTTTTTTTTTTTTTTTTTTTTTTTTGAGATGGAGGTCTCACCCAGGCTGGAGTGCAGTGGTGTGATCTTGGCTCACTGCAACCTCTGCCTCTTGGGTTCAAGTGATTCTCCTGCCTTAGCTTCCCAAGTAGCTGGGATGATAGATGCCCGCCACCATGCCTGGCTACTTTTTGTATTTTTAGTGGAGACGGGATTTCACCATGTTGGCCAGGCTGATCTTGAACTGCTGACCTCAAGTGATCTGCCCACCTCGGCCTTCCAGTGTTGGGATTACAGGCGTGAGTCACCGTGCCCAGCTAGAGGTCACTTAAATTTACCAGTCTTACTTTTCTTACAAGTAAAATGCAATAAAGAATACCTGCCCTATTTTTAAGACGACAAAATAAGATAATCAGATGAGTATGCTGGAAGCTCTGTGTGTTGGTCCGACCTAGAGTTCTTTTTTGGTCTGATACCATGGGGCCTTTGCATATAGCAGATCCTCAAAAGCCATTGGCTTGCTATTGCTTTTACTCCCTGGTCACAGACCTTGTGATGGGTCTGTGCATCTGTGTATCTGTGCATCATTGCATCTGGGGTGTGACCTATGACCTAAGGGAGACCTTTCAATAAATTATGACATCAATAATTCAGAGGCAGACTGTGTAATTTCACTGCTCCCGAAGGCTGGAGAAATGATCTGCTTTCTAGAGCCATAAAAGTTCTCTTAACATAAAACCTTCTACAGAAATGGGTTTCACAGGCAGGCTGTCTTCAGTGACTTCAGTGACAGTTTTTCAAAATCAAGTTTTACTTCAGTCAGTTTTCTGTTAGCCATGGATGATCTAAAAACATAGTTGTTATCACCAGGTACAACCTCTTTTATCTTGAAATTTGAATCCAATCCACTAGTGGTCCACCATGCTTGGCAGATTTGGTTCTCACCTTTTCTTCCTGCTCAGAGGAGAGGAGTAGCCAGTGTGGGAGGAGGATTAGAGGGTCAGGATGGCCTGAAGATTAATTCATCAACATGGACCTAATTCATCAAATCCTGATTGATTGGGAATTGGTCATTTTGCTAGCTGTATATATTCATAAAGTACCCAAAATGTCCCTGGTTATGGAGAGTAGTTTTGGCTTTAAAGAGCTTTATGTGCTGGTAGTGATAATAGATAGGGAGGATGATAATGAAAGGATACATTTCTATTTAATGATCTTTTGCCCTGGATCTGTTAGGGCAAACTTCCTCCATATGCACAACACTATGCCAAGCCCAGAGCTATGTTTAATCGAGTGATATAATGTCAAAGGAATTTCTAGTTTAATTGGCAGAGATACTCATAATATTATTGATAATAACAGTAGGAGGCCAAAGGATTTCCCAGTTTTTTTTGGCTCTAGTCTGCTTGTGGGAGAGTTGAAGTGGGTTATATATACTTTGTGAAAAATAATTTAAGAGGTAGTTGTGGGGTTGGTGAAGAACAAAGTGAAAAGGGGTTAGTTTTTTGGTTCCCTGATCGTGAAATAGATTGCTTTGTTTGTTCTTGCTTGGCAAATTGAAATGGCAGCAGAGCCAACTGAAGTGATGGACACTGACTATGGTGTTGTTTGTGGAATCGAAGAAACTTAGCAGGAGACACTCCCCAAACTCATATTCCTTCTACAGGAGAGTAGATTAATAAGGTTGAATGTGGTGACTGTTGCTCAAAATTCAGGCTGGATCTGAATATATATTTGTTCATCTGAGGAGAACACACTTTTTTTTTTTTTCCTTCTTTGAGGTGATGGGAATAGAATAATTAATCAAGTGATAGGTTTTTTTTTGTCAGGGAATGTTTTATTGTCTTGCTAAGAAGTCTTATATTTTTTTTTCTAGAGTGGTATGATGGATATTTCAAGACAGATTTGAATAATATCATAGTCAATGCTTAGAATTCAGTGATGTTTATTAATCTTTGTCCTCCTCTCTCACTAGGCCTTAATCTTGTCTATTGTGATGAGAATTCACTAGGTTCTGGCTGGGCACAGTGGCTCACTCCTGTAATCCCAGCACTTTGGGAGGCTGAGGCAGGTGGATCACTTGAGGTCAGGAGTTCGAGAGCAGCCTGGCCAACATGGCGAAACCATGTCTCTACTAAAAATACAAAAATTAGCTGGGTGTGGTAGCGCATGTCTGTAATCTCAGCTACTCAGGAGGCTGAGGCATACGAATCACTTGAACCCGGGAGACGGAGGTTGCAGTGAGCCAAGATTGTGCCACTACACTCCAGCCTGGGTGACAGAACGGGAGTCCGTCTAAAAAAAAAAAAAAAAAAAAAAATCACCAGGTTCCTTGACATAGAGCTCTTTGTGGAATGCCATGTGCTCTTTGACATATTGACAAGTTTGATATCATCGTGTGACTTGAGGACTAGGAAATCACAGCTCATATGTATTTATGCAGAATGTGATCACAAACTCATGCCCCTGAAAAATTAAGCTTTCTATGTAGGCAAGACAGTGATTTTGTTCAGAGTAATTGGTATTTCCTTCATTTATGTTATTAATATTTGACAGACATATTATACTTCCTGTGTGCCAGATACTATTTTAAGCATTTTACAAATAACTTACTTCACCCTCATTGAAGTCCTGTGAGGTAGATACTTCTATTACTCGATTCCTTTGTTGCTTATACTTTTGTTTTATATTCCGGTGGCAGCCTATAGGCAGATGCTTGTAGCTGCCTCCAGTTTAAGAAAAATTCCTTGGAGAAAACCTCAGCTCTGCCTCATAACTGATGCTCTCCTCTCCCAGAAAGTTGGGAAAGTTCCACCTTGATTTGAACTCGCTGGCCAAACACCAGCTATCTCTGTAGACACAGATTTTGACAGGTTCAGACCCAGATTGGAAATGATTTTGATTCAGGTTGCCTTTGAGTCTGTGGAGAGTCAGAGTTTATGGCAATTTCAGCCCGCTCTATCCTCTGTTTGGGATTATGTGTTCCCAGAGAGTAAACTGTGTGGCCCCAGAGTCACCCTAGGAGGATCTGAGTGACCCTGGGTTTTGTGTTTTTACTCTGTGGATGTTGTGGTCACGCTGGATCATGTTGTGTGGAGGCTTGGGAGCATGTGTTGGAGGAACAGTTGAGATTTTAATTTTATTTTTGGTGGCTTTTTTGGTACATCCAACCCTTTCAGGTTAATTAAATGCCAGGTAGAGCTAGCCCACAAGTGGATTTTGTTTTGAAAATGTGCCTGTTTTCCAGGAGCCCTTTGTGGCAGCCTGGTCTGGTTGCCCAGATATCATTTTGGCTTCTTGGTGCCTTAGTGCCTGGGATGAATTGGCCTGCCTGCTGCAGTCTCTTCTCCTCAGCCCTGATATCCGCCAACTGGGTGGCTTTGATGCCTCTGCTGAGGGCTCTGGTTTCCTGCCAGTCTGGGAGGCGTGGGATCTCATGCGTGGGAAAGGTAATCAAGCAATAAAACTAAGCCTGGGTGTGAGAGGTGGATTAAAGTGGGCAAGGAAGAAGCAGGGGAGAGGGAGGGAGCCAGCTGTCCAGAGTGGCCGGAAGAGGCAGAATGTGGGCTCCATCCTGGCTGGGACCTGTCAGCCCTTGTGAGAACTTTTAGGGCGGTAGTATTATAGTTTGGATTTTCCCCATTCATCTTCTCTCCTTCCCCTCTCCTAGGTTTTAGCTGCCCACAGAATCCTTTGAGGAGGTGATTCCTGGAAACCTGTGTTCACTGGATTTAGTAGAAATCCACCTTGACTTCCTGTTGAATATTTGACATGTCCTGACAAGTGTTTCCCTCCCATCCCCGCAACCCCGTCACCCTGCTTTAACAAAAAGCTTCAAAGTTGAGACCCTTTGCTCTGAGGTAGAAGATTTTATATACTCTTATTTTTCAGAAAAGGGCAGAATAATGCAGTAGTTAGGAACACAGCTCTGGGGACAGATTGCCTGGGCTCCTATTGCCTCTGCTGCTGATTGGCTGTTTGACTCTGATGAGAGATCTCTGTGTCTCGGTTTCCTCATCTTTAAAAAGGGCTAATAGCTGAGCATGCTGGCTCATGCCTATAATCCCAGCACTTTGGGAGGCTGAGGTGGGAGGATTGTTTGAGTCCAGGAGTTTGAGACCAGCCTGGGTAACATAGTGGAACCCTGTCTCTACAAAAGAGTTTTTAAAGATTAGCTGGGTGGTGTGGTATGGCCTGTGGTCCCAGCTACTCAGAAGTCTGAGGTGGAAGGTTTGCTTGGGCCTAGGGGGTCAAGGCTGCACAAGCCTTGGTGTTGTGCCACTGTACTCCAATCCGGGCAACATAGTGAGACCTTGTCTAAAAAAAAAAAAAAAACCTAAAAAGCAAAACAAAACAAGGGATTATAATAATGCCTCCATCATAAGGTTAGGGAAATATTAGCAATTATTAGTTTCTCTGCCTTCTCTATTCTCTATAAAGGGTCCTTGAGGTGAAGGCATGAATTTTTGTTATGTTTTCCCACTGTTGTATTCCTGGCACCTAGAATAGTGCTTGGTACTTAGTGCTTAGTATATCTTTTGAATGAATAAATGTAAGAAAGACTGTGCAAATGCTATTTGCTGTGGCCTCTTGTTTATCCTGTGTCTTTTGGACTATAGCAGGGATGAAGGAGGAAGGAAGGGCATGGGACTGGCAATGTCAGAAAAGTGCAAGAATGAATAAATCCTCTGTCTTTCTCCATGCTTTCAGCTTTCTGCATTGTTGAGCTGGCTGTTCTTCCTCACTGCTCTCTTTGGAATCAGACTCCATAGAAGGGTGAGCAGGGTGAAACAGGTGCCTGCTGGCCACTGACTTAGGGGCTACATTAAGACTAGCAGGTTTGGGAGGCCAAGGCGGGTGGATCACGAGGTCAGGAGATCGAGACCATCCTGACTAACACGGTGAAACTTGGTCTCTACTGAAAATACAAAAAAAATTAGCCAGGCGTGGTGGCGGGTGCCTGTAGTCCCAGCTACTCAGGAGGCTGAGGCAGGAGAATGGCGTGAACCTGGGAGGTGGAGCTTGCAGTGAGCCGAGATTGCGCCACTGCACTCCAGCCTGGGCGACAGAGCAAGACTCTGTCTCAAAAAACACTGGCAGGAAGGCTGGGCGCAGTGGCTCATGCCTGTAATCCCAGCACTTTGAGAGGCTGAGGCAGGTGGATTGCCTGAGGTCAGGAGTTCAAGACCAGCCTGGACAACATGGTGAAACCCCGTCTCTACTAAAAATATAAAAATTAGCTGGGTGTGGTGGCAGCCACCTGTAATCCCAGCTATTCGGAAGGCTGAGGCAGGAGAATCGCTTGAACCAGGGAGGCAGAGGTTGCAGTAAGCCGAGATGGTGCCACTGCGCTTCAGCCTGGGCGACAGAGTGGGACTCCGTCTCCAAAAAAAAAAAAAAAAAAAAATACTGACAAGAAGCAGCCTCTTAGTACTGTATATGTGCCAGGTCCATCTTTAAGGTGCTATATGTGCATTAGCTTGTTTAAACCTTAGCACAGCTCTGTGAAGTGAGATCTTCTTAGCCCCATTTTACAGACCGGAAACAGGCACTGAGAGGTTAAGTGACCTGTGCAAAATCATGCAGTATTATAAATACTTATTAAATGCCCTTTTTTGTTTGGTGCTTTTGTTTTTTGGAGACAGAGCCTCACTGTTGCCCAGGCTGGAGTGCAGTGGTGCAATCTTGGCTCACTACAACCTCTGCCTCCTAGGTTAAAGTAGTTCTCCTGTCTCAGCCTTCCAAGTAGCTGGGACCACAGGTGCGCGGCACCATACCTAGCTGATTTTTACTAGAGATGGGGTTTTGCCGTATTGCCCAGGCTGATCTTGAACTCCTGAGCTCAGGCAGTCCGCCCGCCTTGGCTTCCCAAAGTGCTGGGATTACAGGTGCGATTGGCCTAAATGCCCTTTTTGTACCAGGCATTTGTGCTAGATACCGAGCAGCCAGCAGTGAAGAATCCTGATGTGGTTCCGCCCTGAAGGACATGCAGTCTAGTGAATGTGTGGATGTTAACAAATAATCCCACAAATAAGGACACAGTGATGACTTGTGAGAAATGCGAGGGAGGCAGTGTGCTATGGGGCAGAGTGACAGGGAATCTGGTATGAGAAAGGGAAGACTTTGCTCAAGGGCAGGCCTTTTTCAGCTGGGATCTGAAAGCACAAGTAAGAAGTAGCCAGACCAAGAGTAGGGAAGAGACTTCCAGACAGTGGGATCAGGATAGGTGAGTGTTCTGAGGCAGGAAAGTGGGGGCATTGGGAAGATGGCCACTGTGGCCAGAGCAGGCGGAATGAGCAGACTGCAGAGGTGAGCTGAGCTACATCATGTAAGACCTGTAGGCACACTTAAGGATTTTGGATTTTGTCTTGAATGCAATGGAAGCCATTGAAGGATTTTAATTAGGAGTGCAAGGGGATCTCATTTACATTTGTTTGAAAAACCTTTATGTCGAGTAGAGGGAGATGATTAGAAGTGAGTGAGAATGGATGTGGGGAGATCAGCAAGAAAAGTTTATGCTTTGACTACAGGATTTAAAATGTGTATCCAAAATTCATATGGTCTCTTCAATAGATGCTGAAAAGACATTACATAAAAGTCAACATCTATTTTCGTTTAATGTCTTGTTTTGAAATATTTTTAGATTTACAGTAGAGTTGCAGAGATAGAGTGTTCTCACAGCATTTTCCCAGCTTCCCTTAATCAAATTTATTTTTCATTAACACTTTAATAAATTAGAAATGGATTTTTCCTTATTATAATGAAGACTATCTGAAACCAACAGCTAACATCATACTTAATGGTAAAAATACTTAGAAATGTTTCCATGTAAGACAAGAGTAATACAAAGTTTCCTGCTCACTCATTTCAGAACATTCTGTGCTTTGCAGTAAGGCAGGAAAAGGAAATCAGAAACAGAAAAAGTGATCCTCCTCAATACCTATAACATCCAAAGAGTTAATTGAATTGAAAATCTAACATTGATGCAATCAGTGGAATGGCAAAAGTACAAAATAAATATCTAAAACTCCCTTCTAGAATAAAGACAAAGTAATTGCTGTTACAACAACTGACTGCAGTGCCTTTGGCCCCTAAATCATGTAATTTTCCTCTTGTAGGACAAGCCTGAGAAGGGGAGAAATGTGAAGAGAGGTCTTGGGGAACAATGGGTCTTGTCTGAGGAGAGGCCAGGGGTTTAATAGGAGACAAATAGTGAGAAATTAGTCATAGTGGGCACAGCCAAGGGACCAAGGGTTGGAGCTTTTATCAGGAACAGGGCTGCAGAACAAGAAGGGGCAATGATATGGTAAATGGTTTGTTTTTTAAAAGTTTCATTCTCGGCTGGGTGCGGTGGCAGCACTTTGGGAGGCCAAGGTGAGTGGATCTCTTGAGCTGAGGAGTTCGAGACCAGCCTGGGCAACATGTTGAAACCCCATCTCTACAAATGAAAAACAAAAAAACAAAACCCACAAAAATTAGCCTGGCATGGTGGCGTGTGCCTGTAGTCCCAGCTACTGGGGAAGTTGAGGTGAGGATCACTTGAGCCTGGGAAGTCAAGGCTGCAGTGAGCCTTGATCTCACCACTGCACCCCAGCCTGGGTGACAGAGCCAGACCCTGTCTTAAAAAAAAAAAAAAAAAAGTTTTATTTTCTAACCATGTTTGTAAATAAATATGCAGTTTTAAAAACAGCTTAATCTTCTGCAAAGTTGGTTTCATAAAAGTAAAAACAGCTTAATCCAGTATATTACTAAGGTGCTTTTAATTGTAGTTATTTTCTGTAGAATATTTTCTATGCTGGGACCACAGGTGTGTGCCATCATACTCAGCTAATTAAAAAAATTTTTTTTGTAGAGGTGGGGTCTCACTCTGTTGCCCAAGCTGGTCTTAAACTCCTGACTTTAAGCAATTCTCCTGCCTCAGCCTTTCAAAGTGCTGGGATTATTGGCATGAACCACTGCACCTGGCTGAATTTTTCTTTCTTTCTTTTCTCTTTATTTTTTAAAGAGATAGGCTCTCCTATTTGCCCAGGCTGGTCTCAAGCTCCTGGGTTCCAGTGGTTCTCTCACCTCGGCCTCTCAAAGTGCTGAGATTACATGCATGGTGTTCAGATTTTTTAAAACATCTGTTTAATTTGCAGTATCTGTTGTTTAACTGGCAAGTTTAATTCATTTATATCATTTGTGATTAATACGTTTGGACATGTTTGTGCCATTGTAACCACTGATTTTTATCTGTCCAGCTTTTTCTATGTTTCTTCTTTCCACCCCACCCCATCTTGTATTTTTGGAGGATATATTGCATTTTTATTCTTTTGTTTATATTCTATTTTTTTCTTCTTACTCTTTTGGAATTTATGCACTATATTTTCTATTGGTTTCCCTTGAAACTTTACCATCCATATTAAGCTTTAAAAGGTTTGAAGTTGGCTGATGTGGTGGCTTACGCCTGTAATCCTAGCACTTTGGGAGGCCGAGATGGGCGGATTGCCTGAGCTCAGGAGTTCGAGAGCAGCCTGGGCAACACGGTGAAACCCCGTCTCTACTAAAATACAAAAATTAGCTGGGCATGGTGGGTGCGCCTATAGTCCCAGCTACTTGATAGGCTGAGGCAGGGAGGCAGAGGTTGCAGTGAGCCAAGATCATGCCACTGCACTGCAGCCTGGGTGACAGACCGAGACTCTGTCTCAAAAAAAAAAAAAAAAAAAAAAAAAAAAGGTTTAAAGTTAACTGTCTTAAACTTTCTCCCAAACCCAGTTGAATATTTTAATTTTAATGATACCCTCCTATGTCAAACTTTAGTTCTGTCCTTAAAAAGAATCCATAAGTTAAACATCTTTATTATTTTATGTAGACTTATATTGTTTAGATTTGCCTTTGTTTACCATTTTATTTATTCATCATTTCTTTTTGCAAACAAGACTTCTTTGTGGGATTATTTTTATTATCCCAAAGAACCTTAAAAGCTCCTTAAATGCAGGTCCCTTAGTGGTAAATTATGTTTCCGTATATCTGTATATCTGTTTTGTATATTTGTAAAGATATTTATTTCATTCTTATTCTTTTTTTTTAGATTTTTTTTTTTTTTAAGAGACAGGGTCTTGCTATGTTGCCCAGGCTGGTCTCGAACTCCTGGGCTCAAATGATCCTCCTGCCTTGGCCTCCCAAAGTGCTGGGATTACAGGCATGAGCCACCATGTGTGGCCAGCAGTTTCTAATGCTTACCCATCCTGAGAGTGTTTTTAAAAAATATTTTCAATGGACAAATCACAGTTGTATACATTTATAGGGTGTAATGTGATGTTTTGATACATGTATACAATGTGGAGTGGTTAAATCAAGCTAATTAACATATCTCTCACCTCACTTATCTTTTTTTGTGGTGAGGCATTTGAAATTTACTCCTAGCTATTTTAAAATATATAATGGATTATTACTAACTATAGTCACCCTGCTATGCGATAGATCTCAAAAACTTATTCCTCCTGTCTAACTAAAACTTTGTATCTGTTGACCAATGTATCTATATTTCCTACACACTTAAAATGTCAACAAGATCTTCCCAGACTAAAGATTCCAATATTTTTTCCTTTACATTTTGAAAATATCATTCCTTTCTCTTCTTCTTCTGTTTTTTTTTTTTTTTTTTTTTTTTTTTTTTTGACAGAGTTCTCGCTGTGTCACCCAAGCTGGGGTGCAGTGGCATGATCTCGGCTCACTGCAACCTCCTCCTACCAGGTTCAAGCAATTCTCCTGCCTCAGCCTCCCTAGTAGCTGGGACTACAGGCGCCTGCCACCACGCCCAGCTAATTTTTGTATTTTTAGTAGAGATGGGGTTTCACCATATTGGCCAGGCTGGTCTCGAACTCCTGACCTTGTGATCTGCCCACCTCAGCCTCCCAAAGTGCTGGGATTACAGGCGTGAGCCACTGTGCCTGGCCTCGTTTCTCTTCTTATACATCCAGTGCTGATATTAAAAACTCTAATGTCAACCTGATGTTTGTTTCTCTAAAGGTTTTCTGCCTTTTTTCTCTGGTAGCTTTTAGATTTTTCTTTCTTTGATTTTAAATTTTACTATAATGAATCTACATGTGGCTTTTTCTCATCTAACCTGTTTGGCACTAAGTGAGATCTTTCAATCTGAAATGTCGTATCTTTCTTTAATTGTGGTGAATACTTGGTCCTTGTTTCTTTAGATATTTTCGCTTCTTTTCATTCCTTGTTCGTTCTGTGGAACCGCTGTGGAAGGATGTTAACACTTCTGTTTTATCACATTTTCTTTTCATTTTAAAAATCCAGTCCTGATGCCTTCTGAGAGAGTGCCTTGATTAATCTTCCAGCTCACCAGTTCGTTTTTCCACCACACTCTGCTCTTCTACCAGTCCTGTGAGTGCCCTTAGCAAAGCTCTTCTTTTTCAAACCCCATATTTTCAATCAGTGGTTTCTAACTGCTCGTTTCTACTTGCATTTCCAGTAGCCTCCGCTGGTTTGCTGAGGCTAACTATGGTATTTGTTTTGTTTTAAGTTTTAGTTCTTTGTTTTCTATTAGGTCTGCTTCTTCTGTCTAAGTCATTCCATTCTTTTTTCTTCCTTTTATAGTGTAGATGTTTCTCTGATTTCTGGTTCTTTCTGCCTCTGGCATGGACCTTTTAGTGCTTTGTGATGCTTAGCTGTCTTGCCTAAGTTTTCTACCAGGGGGTGAATGACAGTAGCTCAGGCACTACCTGTCCTCCCTAGATGAGATGACGTGGCGAGAGAAGGTGCCCTTTGGACTGAAGTGTAACCAGGGACCCTTAACTCCCTGCCTTTCCTCCCCTCCCTCCAAGGACTGGCCCTAGGCTTTGCTAACTCTGCCTCCTGTGGCCTGTGGAAAGGTGCTGAGTAGGGAAGAGGCATAGGCAGGAGCTGGCTGGCCCACCATTCTTCTTCCCAGAGGTGACCCCCTCTAAGGCAGGCACTGCCCTGATTTCACAGCAGCCCTTCCAGCTGGTGCTTCTGCTTATCTGCCCATGACAATGATGTGGATGGCCCAGCTAGAGGAGCCTCCTTGAATCTGCCTCTGCTCTGTGGCCCTTAATGTCCGATTGTCCTGGACTGTCCCTGCAATCGGGAACCACTTCTGCTCTGCACGGCTCTCTGCTCTTCAGCTCCCTTTATTTTGTGTGGCGTCTCCACAACTGGATTCCAAGGAGGGAGCTGGAGATGGGCACGTTCTCCACATTGTCCAGAGTTGGAAGCAGTGATCCAAAATTCATAGATTTGTCAAGAAACTGTACCATCCTTTGCAGAAAATAAATGTCATTTTTTATTTGATTAGATTCTGTGGAATATGGAT
The DNA here is from genome assembly GCF_000001405.40 of Homo sapiens. NCBI lineage: Eukaryota > Metazoa > Chordata > Mammalia > Primates > Hominidae > Homo > Homo sapiens. The sequence goes on along the minus strand of NC_000003.12, from coordinate 31,896,333 downwards.
CTAAGCACCTGGAACATTTGATCCCCCTAAGGGATATAATCTTACACAGTCTTTTGAGGAGTAATTATTGTTTTTCTGTGAAGTCTGAAAAGTGATGCAATAACTCTTTCCTCTACAAAGTGTGATGGTTTTAGTGTGATGGCAACACGTGAATTTCTGAAGGATTCTGTATTTTGAAAGCTTTATTATCAATGGTGAATGTTTCATTCATACAACTGTCATACAATTCTTGGAGTTGAGTTTCTTGGAATTAATGTGGCATTGTTTTTAATTATCATAAATTAAGACATGTAGAATATACTAGGCATAATTTCTAGTACTGTGTGTGTGTATAGGTGTGTGCATTGAGGATATAGCAGCAGTGTTGAACTATTCTCAGCAATTACTGAGTGCATTGCTGAAACAGGGAATTAGATTTCACCTTCCTTTAATATGGTGATGTATTTCCCATCCTTGCTATTTCTCCTGGGTTTTGATTATGCTTCCCACAAATAACTGTAGAATTTATATAGTTTGTTGCTCTTGCCCATTCATGTAAATTTTTAGACAACATATCTGTACGTTTCTTGAAGGCAGGAACACTGAGTCACTTACCAGTGTATCCTCAGTTACTAAATATTTGTGGGAGCAGTAAGCATTATAATCCCCTGTTTTAAAGATGTTCACATTGGCACAGGAAGAGTCAAACAGCTTGGATTATCAGTTAGGAATTGTGTTCAGCTGTGAGTAATGGAGTTACATAAAGTTGGAGTCCATCACAGATTCTCCACGTTGACTGCAATTGTAACCACCTGAGGAGCTTTAAAAAACTACCACTGCCTGAGTTTCATCCCCAGAGATTCTGAGTTAATTGGTCCAAGTGTATGTGGGGGATTGGGATTGTTTAAAAAAAGTCTGGGCTGGGTGCGGTGGCTCATGTCTGTAATCCCAGCACTTTGGGAGGCTGAGGCGGGCAGATCATGAGGTCAGGAGATCAAGACCATCCTGGCTAACATGGTGAAACCCCCATCTCTACTAAAAATACAAAAAAAAAAATTAGCCGGGCGTGGTGACGGGTGCCTGTAATCCCAGCTACTCGGGAGGCTGAGGTAGGAGAATGGCGTCAACCCGGGAGACAGCTAGCAGTGAACCGAGATCACACCACTGCACTCCAGCCTGGGCGACAGAGTGAGACTCCGTCTAAAAAAAAAAAAAAAAAAGGCCGCAGAGAATTCTAATATGCAGCATTTATGTTCTGTCACATAAAAGCAGTTTGGAGGTAGCTTTTCCGGGTTGGTTTGGGGATTCCACAGAAATCAGAGACCCATGCTCCTTCCAGCTTTCTGCTTCACCATCCCTAGAGTGTGGCATGGAATTTCAGCCATTGCATTCATCTTCTAAAAAGCAAGTGGAGGAGGGAGGGAAGGTAATACGACAGCATTTTTCCTCATTAGTTAGAACTTAGTCAATTGATCACATCTAAGTGAAAGGAAGGCTGGGAAAGATATTCCGGCATAGCATGTTGTGTCCGACTAAAAACTAGCGTTCTCTTGAGAGAGAAGGGAAATAGGTATTTAGTGGGTAGTAGTCTGTCTCTGCCACACCTGGTTTCAGACCGCTAATCAATCAGTGGCAGAGCTGAAATTCAGATCCTGGCTTCAACCCAATAATGTTTCCACTCCTCCCAGTAAAAATGGAATGAGGATGTTGGAAAATAGCTGGTGGATTTAGGCAATACGTGTTTGGAAGAGAAGTTCTTTTCCTTTCTCTTGGGCTTGCTGCATCAACAACAACAAAACAAAAACGGATTTGCTTGACAATAAATTAGGGCCATGGGAATCCATGAATCTAGAAATAAACAGATGAGTGTATGGTCACAAATAGGATGTTTCAGTTCTTACTGACACTTTGTCAGCATTTGACATGGTCACTCTGTCCTTTCTGTGCTTCTGGTTTTCCTCTCTGCCTTGTTTTCTCTGTTCTTTTCCCTGTTTAATGTTAGAATTCCTCAAGTCTTGGTCCCAGGCCCGTTCCTTCCTGCCTCCCCTTGTCCTCCTTGTTCCTCTTTCTGGGCAATCTCATCTATGCCTGTGGCCTCAATTTCTACTTATTTGCAGATGATTTGCAAATTCACATCTCCAACTCCGACCGCTCCTGGGCTCCAGATTCATCCATCCAACGGCTAAGTGACATTTCTTGGAGTAAGGTATTTCAAATGCAGCATTCCCAAAACTGAATTCCTGCCTCATCAAATCTTGTCAACTGAAACTCTGCCATCACCACCTTGGTCTAGGCTATTGCCAGGATCACTGTAGATATCACTTGTATTAAGGTATAATTTAAACATTATAAAATTCACTCATTGTAAGTATACAATTGAGTTACTTTTAGTAAATTTATATAGTTTTGTAACTATCACCACAATTCAGTTTGAGAATATTTCTAACACCAACATTTTTTTAAAAAAATAAAATAATCCCTGTAAGCAGTTTGCAGCTAATCCTGCTCCCACCCTTAGCCCCAGACAACCACTTATCTTTTTGTCTCTCTGTTTCCCTTTGCTGGACGTTTTATATAAATAGAATGATACAATTTGTAGTGTTTTTCATCTGGCTCCTTTAGCATAATGTTTTTGAGGTTCATCCATGTTGTACTTTTATTGCTGAATAGTATGCCATGGGATGGATATGCCACATTTTCTTTATCCATTCACCAGTTAACATTTAAATTATTTCCAGTTTCTGGCTACTATGAATAATACTGCTTTAACATTCGCATGTAAGTCTTTGGTGTAGACATTTGTTTTAATTTCTGTTTAGTAGATTCTTAGGAGTGAAACTGATGTGTTGTAGGTTAAGTTTATTTTCACAAGCAGATGTTCTATTTCACATTCCTACCAAGAGTGTGGAAAGGTTCCAGTTTCTCCATATCCTTACCATTTGTCATTGTCTTTTTAATTATAGCTGTTCTAGTGGGTGTGAACTGGAATCTCATTGTGGTTTTAATTTGCATTTTTCTAAAGACTAATCATGTGCATCTTTTCATGTATTTATTAACCATTCATGTATCTTCTTTGGTGAAATGTCTTCTTTGGTGAAATGAAATATTTTGCATTTCTTGAATGGGTTGCTTCTCTTAGTTTTGAGGTGTAAGGGTTCTTTGTATATTTTGCATGTATATACTTGGTATTTAGTCAAAGATTGGCCAGAGATTGTGCTTTAGCCAGAAAGGCTTTGACTCTGCCCCTCTATCTGCTTGTTAGGAGGGAGCACATTAACATTTCAGGCTGTTTCCGTGTCCTTCCTGGCTCTTACTTTTTATCGCTCTTCCCTGTGCCTGAGCATAGGCTCTGTTGACCAAGGATGTATGGGTGCCGTGGGCCTGCTCTGGTCTCTGCTGCAGTTGTGCTCAACCACCGGTTAACAGATACATGAAAAGTTTAGCCCCATGGTTTTCTCACCTCCTGAAATTCCCAATTAAATCCCTGGCTAGTCTGCTGGTCCGTGGCTTGCTCCAAACTGGGCAGCAACCTCAGGCCAGTGGAGCCCCTGGTCTTCCCACTGCATCTGCCTGCAATTGCCACTTTACCTGATGATGATCCGAATCATGTGAGCAATTGCCCTCACCCTCGCCCTCTCCCTCTCCCTCAGGCAGCAGAACCCTGCTGCCCCAGTCGAACTACCGGTCAGCATTGCTAGGAGGAGGCTGGGGACAGCCCAGGCATGATCCCCAAGCTCTGCTTGTTCTTATCAAAGTTTGGTCAGTTTCTACTGTTCTGAAATGGTTGCTTTTGACAGTTTTGTCCAGTTTTATAGTTGACTTTTTTGGGGAGAGAATGTGTTAGTCTCCCCAGTCGTCACGTTGAGAGAAAGCGAGTCTCTGCAGCCGCCTTTCTGCTCCCTCTGCTCCCACCTGGCTTCTTTCCTGGCCTTTCCCTACTTTGGAGCTAGAATTCTCTTTCTACAAAGTAGTTCTGGTTCTGTCCCTGCCGCTGGTTGATGTTAGGATAAAGTCCCGCCACGCCTTGTAGGCGCAGCATGGTTTGCATTGCCTACGTCTTTAGCCCCATCTGATAACACACATTCTTTCCTTCTCTTTGCTCCAAACACACTGGTTTTTCTCCATTCCCTCTCCCCACTCCGTCCTCAGGGCCATACACGTGCTCCTTCCTCTGCTTGGAACTCTCTCCTCTCCTCTTCCCCGAGTCCATTTCTTCACACCTCAGATCTCAGTTCCTCCGTCTCCAGACAGGCCCTAGTAAGTCAAATTCTACTAATTGACTCACTTCTATTACAACACACAATCACAGCCAGAGTTTGGCACTCATTTTAGTGAATATTTTATTCTCTGCTTCCCTCCCCCGTTAGAATAGGGGCTTTGTCACCCATACCACATGTATCCTTAGCACAATACCTGGCTCATAGCAGATAGTAAAAATTTTTCCGAAAACAAATGAGTGAATTCTTACAAATAAAACTTAGTTTGGGGACTTGGAGCTACCCTCTTCAAAACATTGTTGAGCTTTTATATGGATTCTCTTCTCTTTAACCATTACCTGAATAAACTTATCCAGAGTGCTTTATTCATATCACAGAACCTATGTACAGTTGACCACACTGACAGCTGAGTGTGAGCCCCTGCCAAATAATATTTCCGTGGCACTGGCACCCCCCAAAAATGGCAAACACAAGCTCTCAAGTTCTGTCTTGTTGGCATTGTAGTAAACTGCTGATACAATGCAATATGAGCATCAGCATCAGATCTGATTTACTGTCTGCATTTAGGAATGTGATATGAACATTTGGAAATTCTTGTTTTATAAGCAGGCAGACCTTTGGGCACAGAGACGGTGGGATGGACTGCAAGAGCGAATTAGCCAGCTTTTTGTTTTTGCAAATGTGGAAATCAAGTCTTAGAGTGGATAAAGAACTTGCCCGAGGTCACAAAAATGAAAACAAGTGGTTCCCAAAGTGTGGTCCTACCAGCAGCATCAGCATCACCTGGGAACTTGTTAGAAATCAAATTCTCCTGCTCCACCCAGACCTCCTGAATCATAAGCTCTGGGGGAGGGGCCCAGGAAGCTGTGTTTTAACCAACTTCCAGGTGATTCTGATGTGGGCAAAGTCTGAAAACCCCTGGCCTAGGGCATAATTAGGTCTCTGACTGCCGAATCACACTACCTTCCTCTATGCTTTGTTGCCCCTAGAGAAAAAGTAAAGGACACTTTGAATTCAGGGACGGTGGAATTTAGAGACTTAGTTGATGTTTAGGGAAAAAGCTGAGCCATGGGGCTTGTTGATGATTGGGTTTGCTTCTCCTGGCCTCCACAGGACAGCTCCCATCTCTCTTGCTCTTGGTGGGTACTAAACTGGGGTTGCTCACCCACTTTTACCCCAGGGCTTTAGCTAGTATCAGAATTTTTTCAGCGTGACTTTCAGGATGGGTGTGTTATAGTACAAAGCAGAGACGTGAATCAGGACTTAGCTCATTTCCAGGTAAGTTCCAACATCGTCAGTATCAAGAATAAGATATAATTTGTGAGCATTAAGACGCAGATTGGTATCGAAATTTTCACCTAAAGACACCAGAAACTCAAGAGTTAATAGTTCAGAGGGAAATGAGGCAATATTGTGAAAGCCTATATTAATTCTCATAAGACAGGTCTCAGTTCTTTCGGGCTTAAATCAACTAGTCTTTAAAAGCAGATCGAGTCTCATCATAGATCAAATCCAAGCTCAGTGCATCAAATCTTGAGTTAAAAGTTCACTTTGACTTATTCTGGTGCTTTATGAGGTCTCCAAAGCAGCAGCCTCTCAGGCTGGTGGCTCTTAATCTTGAGGTGCTTCACTCAGCCTGGCCCCTGGAGCCCCTCTGCTCAAGTGAGCACCTTCATAATGCCAGGTGATGATCCCATTATGCAGGAACTCGATGCCAGGTGATTTCAAACAATGTCTTTAAACCTTTCTCAAAAACACTTCCAGAGTGACAAAACCAAGAAATCCACTGTCTGGGCTGCTGTGATTTAGGAAAGCTGGGGTTTGGCTGTTTTTGACTAAGACAAAATGAGGTTGGCTAATGCTTAAATAACATTCATCTTGGTTATATGGGTGTGTGGGTGCTCAGGTGTTTGAATGAATGATTGAGAGAAATGCTTGGCATACCAGATGGAAAACAGGGTGATGAATAACGGAAGGTTTTATTTTGACTCTGATTTTGCACTGTTTTTTGTACTTGAGGGTGCTTCTGAATCACTTGGAAAACTTCTTGAAATTCACATTTCCGACTTCCTGACCTTCACAAAGATCCTCTAGGTGTAGGTTGAGAGTCAGAATCCACATTTTCAACAAGCTTTTCAACTGATTGAGAAGCAGAGAGCAACTGGACCAAACTTTAAGAAACATTATTTTTATTAAGTTTTAAATTGACACATAATTGTACATATTTATGGGCTACATAGTGATGTTTTGAGACATACAACATACCATGATCATATCAGGGTAATTAGCATATCCATCATCTCAAACATTTATCATTTCTTTGTGCTGGGAACATGCAATATCCTCCTCCGAGCTATTTGAAGCTATATATTATTCATTAGCATCATTGTATTGTGCTATAGAATGCTAGAAATCCTCCCGTCTAGCTATAAGTTTGTATCCTTTAACAAATCTCCTTCTATCCCTCCCTTCCCCCAACCCTTCCCAGCCCCTAGTATCCTCTATTCTACTTTTTATTTCTAGGAGGTCAATTTTTTTTTTTTAAGTTTCCATACATGAGTGAGAGAATATGTGGTGGTTAAATTTCTGTTCCTTGCTTATTTCACTTAACATAGTGTCCTTCAGTTCCATCTGTGTTGCTGAGAATGACAGGGTTTCATTCTTTTTTAAGGCTGAATAATGTTTCATTGTGTATATAGACCACATTTTCTTTATCCGTTCATCTGTTGTTGGACACCCAGCTTGATTCCACATCTTGGCTATTGTGAATAGTGCTGCACTAAACGTGGGGGTGCAGATGTCTCTTCAATACACTGATTTCCTTTCCTTTGCATAAATCCCAGTAGTGGATTGCTGGATCATATGGTAGCTGTACCTGTAGTTCTTTGAAGAGTATTCATACTGTTTTCCATAATTGCTATACTGGTTTACGTTCCCACCAATAGTGTATAAGAGTTCCCTTTTCTTTGTATCTTCACCAGCATTTGTTATTTTTTGTCTTTTTGATAATAGCCATGCGAGCTGGGGTTAGATGATTCCTCATTGTGATTTTGATTTGCATTTTCCTAATGATTAGTGATGTTGAGCATTTTTTCATATATTTGTTGGACATTTGTATATCCTTTGAGAAATATCTTCAGATCATTTTTAAATGATGAATTTAAAATCAGATTATTTTTAAAGCAGATTATTATTATTATTATTATTTTTTCCTGAGATGGAGTCTCACTCTGTCACCCAGGCTGGAGTGCAGTGACGTGATCTCGGCTCACTGCAACCTCCACCTCTCAGGTTCGAGTGATTCTCCTGCCTCAGCTTCCCAAGTAGCTGGGATTATAGGCATGCACCACCAGGCCTGGCTAATTTTTTTTATATTTTTAGTAGAGATGGGGTTTCACCATGTTGGCCAGGCTGGTCTTGAACTCCTGACCTCAGGTGATCTGCCCACCTCAGCCTCCCAAAGTGCTGGGATTACGGGCGTGAGCCACTGTGCCCAGCCCATTATTTGTGGTTTTTTTTCGCTGTTGTTTGAGTTTCTTGTATATACTGGATATTAATCTCTTGTTAGATGAATAGTTTGCAAATATTTTCCCCCATTCTGTAGATTGTCTTTTCACTCTGTTGTTTCCTTTGTTGCACAGAAGCTTTTATAGCTTGATGTGATCACATTTGTTTATTTTTGCTTTGGCTTCCTGTGCTTTTGAGGTCTCACTAATTTATAAAATCTTTTCCCAGACCAAGGTCCTGCAGCATTTCCCTTTTGTTTTCTTCTAGTAGTTTTGTAGTTTTCAGGTCTTACATTTAGGTCTTTCATTCATTTTGAGTTGATTTTTGTATAGGATAAGAGATGTCTCTTTCTTCTGCATATGGATATCCAGTTGTCCCCGCACCATTTACTGAAGAGACTGAGCTTTCCTCGATGTATGTTTTTGGTGCCTTTGTCAAAAATCAGTTGGCTGTAGATACAGGAATTAATTTCTGAGTTCTCTATTCTGTTCCATTGGTTTATGTGTCTCTTTTTTGTGCCAGTACCATGCTGTTTTGGATACTACAGCTTTGTAGTATCTTTTGAAGTCTGGTAGTGTGTTCTAATATAATTCTTATGTAATAGACTATATTTGTTCCTGGCTTGGTGATGAGCCTGAGGACCCTCTGACAATTTAGTACCACCTGGGGTGTGTTGGAATCTCTACATCTTGGTGGTTTGGGAGGATGGTGATGGTGGCAGTGGTGGGACTCTGGTCACAGACAAGTAGCTGAGAGATGTAAGAAGACCACTGCATTTCTCTAGTCATTGCCACAAATTCCAAGAGTTAAGAAGATTCCAGATTTTAAAGTTTGGTTGGGATTGAGTTTGCCTGCAGGTGCTGTGCCTTGGAACCTGTTGTAAGGTTTTGGCTGTAGGATCCAGTGTCTTACTTCCAGGAAGTTTGGTTATCATGAGAGAAATTCTAGAAAACTTACTATTTTCTTCTAAACCTCTTAAGGTTTTTGAGTATAAACTCTTCTAAGATGACAAGACTACTATAGGGAAGGAAGAAAGTTTCTTTTCTTTCTACCCTCTAGGTTGAGCATATTTTGGGGTTATATATTATGCTTTCTTTCCTTCACCGCAATGATTAAGGCATTACAGCCCCACCTGGAGATGTGTAGATACCTCCTATGTGACACTGGTAGCTCCAAGGAGGAAACTTTTTGCTGACTTTAGTCTGTTGATCTCTGGAGATGAGAAGGGTTCAACAAATGATTACCAGATGATATTAATTTTAAAAACATATGGGACACTCGGGAAAATGCATCCATAGTTTGGCCCCCCACTTCACATACTGAGTGTGCTTTATTTTGCTGACTTTTCCTGAGTTTTTCTGTAAGTAGTAGATTGGAAGTTTTATAAACAAGGTACTTGTTGATCTCAGAGATGGTGAAGCTTTAGATGTTTGTGCACAGGAGGGACCTGGAAGGCTACTGAAACCTCAAGAATCAGTGTGTACATTGCTGGAAAGAACTGCTCCTTCCAGCTTGGACCTTGTACCAGGCAAATCTTTTAGTGGGAACCATGTGGGGGTGGGGAGATGCTGAGGGTAGGGAGGGTCTCAGTCTCTGCCATTAGTGTGTTCGTGGGGGTGTCTGTTGACTGCAACTCTGGAAGAGTCAGGTAGTAACTATCCCACATGGAGAAGGGTTTTCTTTTTTTTTTTTGAGATGGAGTCTCACTCTGTCACCCAGGCTGGAGTGCAGTGGCATGACCTCGGCTCACTGCAGCCCTGCCTCCTGGGTTCCAGCGATTCTTCTGCCTCAGCCTCCCGAGTAGCTGGGAGTACAGGTGCATGCCACCATGCCCAGCTAATTTTTGTATTTTTAGTAGAGACGAGGTTTCACCATATTGGCCAGGCTGGTCTCGAACTCCTGACCTCGTGATCCGCCCGCCTCAGCCTCCCAAAGTGCTGGGATTACAGGCGTGATCCACCGCATCCGGCCAGGAGAAGGGTCTTAAGCTGAAGAACATGGCATAGTTGCCATTGGTCAGGACGAGACAGGGTGCAGAAGTCTGTTCACAGGCCCCGTTCATGCAGTCCAGCAGTTTGGAGCAGATGCGTCTCAGAAGATAGAGGCCTGAGGAAGGCGAGGCAGATCTCAGCAGGGAGGTCCACCCTCTCCATGAAGCTGCGGTCAGCTAGGAGCTTGGTGCTCATTCCTCTTTCACGTGGCAGAAGGTGGGCCTGGGTAGGTAAGGGGCCTTCATGGCCCTGGACTTGACCATCTTGTGTGGCAGTGAGGGACTGATCCTCACCAGGACTAAGAGGAGCCTGAGCCCCTCTTGGTAATAGCAGTAATGTGGCTATGTAAGGTATGCTGCTCAGTCATTAAAGAGAGGGCCATAACCTCCCCTTCTTGGGCCCTTTATGCTTGTTGTTTTAATTTTCACTTTTAAATTTAGATGAAATGATTTTGCTTTTTGTTAGAACCAGCCTGTCTAGCAGAGTGCTTCAAAGAAAGATTTTTTTCATGCATGTTTGTAATTCTCTTGTAGTTTGGCTCTAACTTCTGGCTGTCAGCATGAGTGAGCTGTTTCCCACTGCAGCCCCCCACCCCCCATCTCCTTCTCCTTTCTTTCTTTCTTTCTTTTTTTTTTTTTTTTTTTGAGATGGAGTTTCGCTCTTGTTTCCCAGGCTGGAGTGCAATGGTGTGACCTTGGCTTACTGCAACCTCCGCATCCTGGGTTCAAGCGATTCTCCTGCCTCAGCCTCTCAAGTAGCTAGGATTACAGGCACCTGCCACCATGCCAGGCTAATTTTTTTTTTTTTTTTTGTATTTTTAGTAGAGATGGGGTTTCACCATGTTGGCCAGGCTGATCTTGAACTCCTGACCTCAGGTGATGCACCCATCTCAGACTCCCAAAGTGCTGGGATTATAGGCATGAGCCACTGCACCTGGCCTCTCCTTTCTATTTCTCTTCTTGCCTGGGGTTTGGCTAAGGGTTGTTGGTGAAATCCTAGGCCCAGTTCCTTCCCCGACAAAGGAAACATGTATGCTTTTGTCAGCTTTTAGATCCTAAAGTTGAACCTTAATGAAACTATGTCGGGTAGATGGGGGTGTAGAGGCAGCAATGAAATGGGTACCTGTGCAGACAGATGATGTCTCAGAGATGCAAGACTGGCAAGGCACAGTGAGTGGGTAAGGGCAGTGCAGTGTGTGGGTGTGAACGAGTGAGAACATGTGCAGGTGAGTGTGAATATGCAAATGCACCTTCAAGGGTGAGTGCATGGGTGGTTATGAATGTGTGAGTGTGTCACACTCTTGGTGCCTCCAGTTGTGCAAGTGTGCATGAGTTTGTGAGTATGTGAGTGTGAACATGTGTAAGCATGAATGCAAGTACCTGTGTGAGTGTGTTTATATGTATAGTGTGTGTGAGATGCATGTATGTTTGTGGGCATCAGTGTGAGTGTGTCACATATATAAGTGTATATGAGGGTATATATGTGTGCATTTGTGCTTCTTTTGGAAACAATGGATATATCTGAAGGATGTTAGTAGGCAATGGCTTGTCCTCAGCCCTTCCCAGGAAGGGGCCTACACTTGCCCTATCTCCCAGCTTTGGGATTGAGCAAGGGTTTCACCAAGAAGCTAGCCTGGTGAGAATTAAGATGGCTTTCCTCATGGGTTTGTTCGCTTTCTTCCCTCATTTTCCCTTTCTCCCTGCAGCACATGCTTTGATTTTTTTTTCCTCTTTTATTGATGTTATTTTTAACATAGCAAAGAAAGTATGTTCTCTCTGGGTACAATTAAGTTCACCAACACAGCAGTCAAGTTGCACACTGTAGCTTCAAGAAGTTAATTAATAAACCCCAGAACGTAGGAATTAGATTTGCCTTATTCTGTTCTCTAGAAGGGAAGATCTTTAAGAATGTTTCAGGATTTTATCTGACAATTTCACTTGGTTTAATGAAGCCCGATCCAGAAATACGGTTTACTTTTCCATTTAGAATGAAAGCTGTGACTTTGAGATATAGCTGCGTGCTCCTAACAGCAGTACCTGACAAAGCCATGACCCTGTGGGAAACCAAATTTAATTTCTTTCCTACCAGGGAATGTGACCCACAGGAATTCTTAATGCTATATGGACAGTGCTTATCCATATATGACACAAGCTGACTTAACTGTCAGAGGCCATGCTGAAAGAACACTTGTTGAGTCTGTTGCAATTTTTTTCTAGTCTGTTGGAATTTTTAATCAGATAGTGTCCCATCAGTCCCTTCCAAATATAAAAATTTTAACTGTCTTTAGAAGAGGAGTAAATTATTGATAACTCTCCTTAGTACACATGATTCAAACCTGTGCATTTGCATTGAAACTATTTTAGAAAGCAGTGGAAACATGTTCTTTTTTTTCATCTGAGGCAGAAAGTTAAAGATGTCAGTTTGAAATAGTTAATGTGAAAAATCATTAATGTGTCCCTATATTCTATATAATGTGACATCAGTTGGTTATTCTGTCATACTTACTGAAAAAATAAAACAGCGTTCAATTCATTTCTTTATACCAGCTCCTAAATAATGTCCTCTTCAATTATATAGTTATTTGTTTGAACAGGATGCATTTGGGAAGCTGCCTCTAGGAGAGAGAAAAGCTGGCAAGCTGGCAGGTTCTCTGTGGATAAGTTGGTAGGAGCGGTAAGGAGAGAAAAGTTAAGCCTTTGCTTCATTCCAGTCAATGGCATAGAGTAGATGGGGAAACTGAGGACATGTTACTTTGCCTTTTCATTGAAAGTTTATCCCCTTCCTTTTCTACTTACCTTTGTGTAAGAGTGGCATGTGGCCAGGCACGGTGGCTCATGCCTGTAATTCCAGCACGTGGGGAGGCCGAGGCGGGTGGATCACCTGAAGTCAGGACCTGCCTGGCCAACATGGCGAAACCCTGTCTCTACTGAAAATGCAAAAATTAGCTGGGCATAGTGGCAAGCGCCTGTAATCTCAGCTACTCGGGAGGCTGAGGCAGGAGAATCACTTGAACCCGGGAGGTGGAGGTTGCAGTAAGCCAAGATCACACCATTGCAGTCCTGCCTAACAGAGCAAGACTCATCTCAAAAAAAAAAAACAACAAAAAAAAAACAGGCTCATGCCTGTAATCCCAGCACTATGGGAGGCTGAGGTGGGCAGATCACCTGAGGTCAGGAGTTTGAGACTAGACTGGCCAACATGGGGAAACCCCATCTCTACTAAAAATACAAAAAAAATTAGCTGGGCGTGGTGGTGTCTGTAATCCCAGCTACTTGGGGAGGCTGAGGCAGGAAAATCACTTGAACCTGGGAAGTGGAGGTTGCAGTGAGCTGAGATCGTGCCATTGCACTCTAGCCTGGGCAAAGAAGCGAGACTCCATCTCAAAAAAAAAAAAAAGAGTGGCATGCTTGTCAAAGGGGATGCTGCAGTGCTGTGTCTGCAGGTGTGTGTAGGGGGGCACACATGGCACAACGTGCTGTAGTGTGAGCCTACCTAGTCTCCTTCCTCAGCTTGAAAGGATGATTGTTCATGTTCTAACTTGCCATGAGCATTGTCTGCACAGCCGCAGTCAGAATGACATTAAATATAGGTCAAGTGGAAGACACTCCTCAAGGCAGTCAGCACTTAAATAATTTGACCATTTGCTGCTCAGAAGTTACCCTGGTTCTTCTCTCATTGAGGGAGTTTGGTTTTTGCCCCACATTAAAGAATAGGGGCAAATTTCAAGTAGAAGGATCTGAAAATACAAATAAAAAGGGTTTTTTATGTCTTTGTTAATGTAAGGCTAGCAGCTGCTATAACAGATACTGATCCCCGTGGCCTAGTTAAAGTTTCTTTCTTATTAATATAGTGGTCTGATGTGGGTGTTGCTCAGCAGGTGATGCTCTTCCAGGTGGTGTTTCAGGGACCCAGGCTCTCCCAAGTTGTGCTGTAGGTTGTCTCCATTCCAGTGCGTGTGTGTGTGTGTGTGCGTGTGTGCACACTTCTGCTCACATTCTATTGGCTAAAGCTCAAAAAGCCACACCCTAAGTGCTGGGAAGGCTGAGAAATGTGTTCTGGATGTGGCTTCTCTGGAAGAGGAGGAAAGGGATTTGTTGATGGTAGTTTACGCCAGTGATTTTCACACTTCACCTGCAGCAGATTACCTGGAAGCTTGTTAAAACAGTTTCTGATTCAGCAGGGCTTGGGTGGGGCCCAAGATTTTCCATTTCTAACAAGATCCCAGGCAATGTTGTTACTGCCGGCTTGGGGATCACACTTTGAATAGCCCTGGTTCTGACACATTTTTGCGTCTTCGTTTATCCACGCTGTTCATGAGAACCAGAAATACCGTTATTAGAATGACTTGAGAGATGAGAGGGAAGAAGAGTAAAATAGATAGTAGTCTTGGCCAGACCATCTGAAATATTAAAAATAATTCAAAGTGGACGATTTCTTAGAGGAATTGGAGCTTTGGAGGACTGCCACCCGGGCAGTCATGTGCTAATGAGATGGCTGCGACTTGCTCCCTTGCCGGGGCCATAAGTAGGGACCTCTACTGCCAGGCAAAGGAGCTTTCAGCTTCATTATCTCTGTTGGAACAGGGAGATTTGGAGAATGAAGTATGTAAATAGGTCCTGGAGAAGTGATATGGAGAAGTTACAAGGAAGGACTTGAGTGAGAATCAAGGAGTTTCAGTTTGCTGGAGTGGACCCGAGCCTGAACTTTGGACACAGAAGAGTTGAACTTGGATTTTAAATTCCTTCAAGTCTCAGGATACGTATAATGTGGGGATAACATCTATTCTGTTGGGTTATTGTGAGAATAATTTAGAGGTTTGTGAACTTTGCTGGTTGTTGGTGCTTCTAGGTTAAAATAAGTATCTAACAGATTCATTTTTTAAGTGGTTAGTTCCAAACAACCTCATACATATTTATGTCTAAACAACTCAGTAGCTATTTGAAAAAATAATATCAATTGAAAGAAAAATATTTTAGTTTCTTAAATAACCACAATTACTTATTAATGGGATGTGTGTACCTGTGGGTACTGCACAGCTTCTCAAACCTTGGAATCATACTGGACATTGCTGTTCTCTTTTCCTGTTCTACGTTGATGTTTTTTTTTAAATCGTAGCACCTGCTGAAACTCTTTGCAAAAATATGATGGCATCAAAAGGAGTGTAGTGCAATATAATGTTAAAACTGTGAAAAGTCCCTGAGTTGGTAGTACAGACGGTATGTTGAGTCTCGCCATGTATCCCTCAAAAAATGTAAAATATGTTGCATTGCCTCTATCAGTTCACTGTATGACCCGGGTGCTTTGATGCATGGATGGAGAAACGTGGGATTTAGTAGGTTTTTTTCTTTATTCATTCCTTGCACAAGTGCTAACTGAGTAGCAATGAACTATCAGGCACACTGCTGGGCGCTGTGGGGAGGAAAACACTTTCCACTTCCGCAGAGTGTAGTCTAGTGGGGAAACCAGTCATTGAATCAGATAATCACACAAATGTAGACTTCAAATGGGGCCAGTACCATGAGGGAGCATTTCAAAGTGCTGCAAGAAAGAATATTTGACCCGGTCAGGAGAACTTGACACGGCAAGAAGGGGTAGGAACCATATTCCAGGCAGGGGGAGTAGCATTCTGGGCAAGTGTTTTTCAAACTATCTATGGTGAAGGACCTGCTTCACTCCATCTGCCAATTGCACTGTCATTGGTTCATGACTAGTATGTAGCTTGTGTGGACCACGTGTGTTTGACAACTTCTGAACTGTTGAGACTTGTCCAACTGATCTATGCATTTGGATATTGAAACAAAGCCAAATGCAGGAAATGTTTCAAAAGGGTGTGGTGGACTGGTAACAGTTTGTAGACCGTCAAAATTTGCAGACCACACTTTGAGTAACTGCTCCAGACAGCAAGAACAGCATGTGCAAAGGTCCTGTGGCAGGAGGCAACTTGGTGACTATGAAGGAAGAGAGAAAAGACTAGTGTCAGTGGAAGATGAAGTGAGAAGGTAGAAAAGTCAGCAGGGGCGGGCCTCAAGGCCACAGTAAGAATCTGAGGCTCAGGTGAAGACATTTCCCTCCTGGTGGAGAAGGGGAAATTGTCTTGACTACTTCCTAGGTAATAGCTTGAGAAAATTAACAGGCCAGATATTTGGCTACAAAGATTCATTGTGTGATTTAAGCAAATTGGAGTTCTTCTTCTTTTACCATGGATGTAGAGTTCAGTGGCATTTCAACGTCCCAGAGCAGGGGGATTCCTTGCCTTCGTGTGAATGGGCCTGCTAGAGCGTGTCCAGATGGTTGCAGAAGCACCTCCAGTTCCCTGACAGATGCTGCCAGGTGCTCAGGCTCCTTATGGTACCCATGCCACTGGCAGGAAGTTGGAGACCAAGCTTGCTGCTGCTCTCTGGGTGTGAAACTACCTCTCCTGGAGGCCTTGTGAATTTCAACTGTTCCTGTGAATTCATGTGGAGCATGTTGCAAGAGGCTGTGTTGCAATGCTTCTGCCAGTCTCTGTCATTCTGAGGTTTAATGTGGTATCCATGGGTACTGGGTGAAGTGTGGGCATGGCACCAAATCCTGAGTGGTCCTGGCCCTTGCCCACAAGTGCCCCATTATGAGCGCCACTCTGATTTAAGAATCCAGTGCTCTCTCCCTACTCAGGCTAACTTCTATGGGCATCTGGGAGGGACTTTTGGTTTCCAGCTTCATGGATGTGGAGTCTTGATGTTGACTTCTGGATCACTTTGCTTTTTTCTGCTTTGCTGTGCAGAATAGGGTAGGAGAGAAAAATGATGTACTGTGGTTTCTCTGTGCAGGTACTTCGTACTGGATTTCGAGGCTGGCATCCTGCAGTATTTTGTGAATGAGCAAAGCAAACACCAGAAGCCTCGAGGAGTCCTGTCTTTATCTGGAGCCATAGTGTCCCTGAGCGATGAAGCTCCCCACATGCTGGTGGTGTACTCTGCTAATGGAGAGATGTTTAAACTGAGAGGTGCGTTCTTCTCCCAGTAACTTTTCAGACAGGCCTCTAGTTGCTATGGTGATGGCTCTCTTGTTTTTTGATTTTTTGTTTTTTTAAATTGCCTTTGACAGTTTGCTGTGTTTGGAGGACTCTGTGGTGACACACATTGCCTCTCTTATCCCTGGGGTGGGGAGATGGAGCTGACATTAGGAATTACTTGTCCTAATTAACTGAGGAATTAAGGACAAAGGAAAGGTGAGTGATTCCCAAAGCAGCGCGCCTTAGGACTTCGAAGATCTTAAGTGTTAGCTCAGTATATTCTCTTTGACGTAATAGTATGAATCTTCACTACAGTGCCCTGTGAGGGCTGTGCTATAAGGGCAAAAAAAGACCTTTAAGGGTCCTAGTGTTTTCCCCCCAAAGTTTCTCTAGAACCGTTTCTTAGTAAAGTGCCCCTTTGAGTTTTGTTCAATCCACTGTCGTAGAGCCTGGTGAGAAGCCAACTGGAATGGAGTTAATGTCCCTTTGTATGCTTTCTTCCCTTCTCTTTGCTTCTTGAAAATGGATATCTTTGCTTTAATAAAGAAAAAAAAGAAAATGGATACCTGCCCAGCATCCCGGAAATGAGGATGACTTTCCAGGGAGTCCAGTATTCACCCTCAAGACACATCCATCGCACAGAAATGTCAGACTTGTAATAAAATTGCAGTGTAATTTGATTGCTAGATCATTCTACCAGGATCTGTCATGGTTGCATTGCTGTGATTCTTCTGCCACTTTTCTTCTAATAAAATAATGAAATGAAACAACAAATCTAAATGCCCACAAGTGCATGCACACACACACACACACACACACACACACACACATGGACACGCAGAGTCTATATTATTTATCAAGTCCTGAGGAAAAGTAGTATGTATTAAGTATTGAGAGGTGGTTGAAAATTCTGCCTTTTTTAATGTAACATTTTCTTTTGACTAAGAGCTAAGTATGAAGAAACGGCTGCTTGCTATCTGTTCGTGACCATGATCAGTTGCCTCTGCAAAGTCAGACTGAGGGACTACATTCCTCACCTCTCAGCCCAGTTTTCACCATTCTTCTGCCAAGCTTCACTACCCAAGAGATGGAATAAGCTAATGTTTATTATCTATATACAAGTCATATTTCAGAATCTATAAAACAATCCAAAAACCTCGGAAGTAAAAATGTCTATAGTTGATAAAAAACTTTCAGGAATGTGATAAGATTCATGTTCTCTTGAGATTCATGCAGTGTGCATTCCAGCTGGCTAGATTTATATGGTCCTTGGCTTCGCTTTGCCATTTATTGCTTAATAAATTGTCAGTGCAGAAACAATAGCAGACGAAAAACGTAATGGCACTTTCCACCCTGCCTGTGGTTTATAAAATGATACAAACCCATACAAAAGAAATATCCAACTAATTTGACAATTGAGCCATCTTGTTTTGCCATTGAATCATTAATATCCTTTGGATTATTAAGCCCTAGGTTTTTTTTAGAGGGCAATTTTAATAGCAAATATAGAGGTTTTATGATCTGCATGGAATAATCACAATTGCTAAATTTAGCTAAAGCGTAACTATAAAAAAAAGTCAGGATAAATTTCTGCATGTTTATGGCTTGTCCTTAGCCCGTCCCACAAGCAACTGGCTGTTGGTGTCTCATTTCACATCTTACCTGCACATAGTAGGAGTTGGATCATGGTATCATGAGACGCACAGCTTTTGGGAGTATTTTTGATGCAAAGCCTTTGGATAGTATTGCCACAAACTGGCAATTCTTCAAGTTTACTAAGGAAAAAGGCCCTAATTTCTGCAAAGTCCTTTGTCTTTGGAAGTTCATTACACCTGGTACACACTGTAAATCAGACTTGTGTAACAGGCCTTTTGACAGACAAATCATTTGGGATTTGTAGGGGCCATCTTCATGCCTTAAATAGGACTAAGCAACGAATTTCCCATTTGGTAACTCTAGATTTCTTCTCCTGAAAGTTCAAGCTGAAGTCAGGTTTTATGGACAAATGACACTTAGGCCCAGTTTTGTAAACAGATATAATTTCCAGGGAATCGTTGTTTTTTTTTTTCATAGTCAACATTTATGCAGCTAGTATTATTATATTTATGCAGTTATTTATGTGATTAAATTGATGATTTAGATTTCATTAGAACCTGTTGTGTGCCCATGATATTTGAGAATAACTTCATATATATTATTTGAGAGATAGGTTATAGATGGAAGGACATAACTATACAACATGACTACTTGCACTTTAATATCTCTTTGGGGGAAATTTGAGGCTCTCTAAGGCAGCATTTGGTATCTTGCTCTTTGCAATCGTATGAATCTTTGAGAGCATACTAAAATGGTAATTCAACTGAATGCTTATTTTGTAAATGTTAATAACACCACAATACAGCCCTGGTAGATAGCAAAAGGCCCTGAAAAACTGCCCTTTGAGGCCGGGTGCAGTGGCTCAGCCTGTAATACCATCACTTTGGTAGACCAAGGCGGGTGGATCATGAGGTCAGGAGATTGAGACCATCCTGGCTAACACAGTGAAACCCCATCTCTACTAAAAAATACAAAAAAAATAGCCGGGCATGGTAGCGGGTGCCTGTAGTCCCAGCTACGGAGGAGGCTGAGGCAGAAGAATGGTATGAACCCAGGAGGCAGAGTGTGCAGTGAGCTGAGTTGGCGCCACTGCACATCAGCCTGGGCGACAGAGCGAGACTCCGTCTCAAAAAAAAAAAAAAAAAAGTGCCATTTGATACTCATATTAGCTACACAAGGTTAGAGGCATTTGAAAATAAGCATGTGGTTCCTTGCCTGCTTTCTTTTTAAATAAGTATTATAGAAATGACTTTTTTCAGAGGAGGCTAAAAAATGGCAAAATTATTCTTATAACGGGTATTTCAGAATCCATTTTTCATATGGCTCAAGAGAGGATTTTCCGTGGGATTCAGTGCAGTCTCTGTTTTGGTGTAAGTACAGGCCGCTTGAGAACGTTGTGATCTGTGCTTGCTTCCCCACCTTCTTGCTACCTCTCACTCCCCAGGCTCCCCACCCCCTTAGGTGGGTGTAGAAATAAGTTGGATGTGTTTTGGAACAATCTCTGCAATCATTTCTTTCTCTGTTTTCTCTATTTTAGCTGCTGATGCAAAAGAGAAACAATTCTGGGTGACTCAGCTTCGAGCTTGTGCCAAATACCACATGGAAATGAATTCTAAGGTAAGTCACCGTGAGAAAGGAAGGAGGCATTCGAATAACCAGCCTGGCTTTCAGCCCCATTATTTGTTTCTTCGGGGAAGGTGTTTTTCATGTTATTTTTTAAGTTGCCCACTGCAGTGGAATTCCTACTTGTCCTGCTGCACATAAATTTAAAGCCAGGAGAAATGTAGTAAGATTTTCTTGTAGGTAGAATACGCAGGCACGCAGACACTATGGGAACCGAATCTGGAAAGACACTTTTGCATTCTGTTGTCAATTTAGGCAGCTGTTAATTGGTCTATTGAGAAGCTCTAGTGGATGATTTCATTGTGGAGATGGAGTTGTCAGATTTACAGTTCGTAAATCTAGTAGCCATCACCGATCCTTAAATAAAACCTAGACCCTGAATTGCTTATGTACTTTGCAAGGAGCTTCTGCATTCCTAGTGTATCAAAATGTTCTCGGGTAATTTGGCATCCAAGTATGATTTATTCTCTCCTGGGGACCTTGTGAGATCTTGTGTTAGGTGTGCAGGAGGTAGGAGGTGGGCATTTTCATGGATTATTGTGGAGGATTTACATTCATTAAAATACAGGAAACAATTTCAAAATGCATTTATCTAGGGCAATAAATATTTGTTAAAATTAATGTTCCAAGGGCTACTCCTTTCTATCATTAGTTCAAATATAGTTAGTGTATCCAACTGCTATCTTTTTCTGTATTCCATGCATCCTGTAGAAAGATCCATTCTTCAAACTTCTGATGATTCCATCTGCTAAAACCTGCCTGCTTTCTGGGTCAGGGCCATGTGAAATGTCTTACTTAGATACACCTGGCTGTTCTGCCTCCAAATACAAACTAAAATAATTTCTTCATAATGCTTTTTTTTTTTTTTTTTAAAGAAACATCCCCTTTTCCTTAACTTGCTTAGGATAGTGGCACTTACCTGTAATGCCTCGCTTAACTTGCCCTAAGCCGAATCTTCAGGAACTGTAGGTACAGCCCTCATTCTAAAGCATTTTCCCCCAATTGGCCTTCTTTATTTTCCAAGAATTATAGTAGGAGTTCTCAACACTTAATTGGTACTTTATATACATCTAGGAAGTGCAGTTTGTTTTTGTCTTTTTATATGTGTCTTTACTTTTTATAAACCAGAACAGAAGAGGATAAGAGTAGAAGGACTTATCCCCACCTATTGCCCTATGTGCTCATTAGAGATAGTTGTTCTTAACAGTTCTTGAATATCTTTCTAGTAAATTTAGTATATCTTGGTATGTGTATGTATATATAACTGTATCTACGTAAATACATGTTTTTATACAAATGGGGATCACATGCATACTGTTTTCTCCTTTTTTTTTTTTTTTTTTTACTTAATATATTTTGGAGATCTTTTTGTATTAGGCACATGGATTTACTTGCACTCCTTTTTGGTTGGCCAGATGGTGTTTTTGGGAATGGATGTCAGTGCTTTATTTAAGTCTTCTACTAATGGAAATTTAGAGTTGTTTCCTTATTGTTGTTGTCACATATAATGCTGTAATGTGTGACGTCTTTGTGCATATATATTCTTATACCTCTAGGTGTCTATCTGTAGGATGAATTTATACCAGTGGAATTGCTAGATCTTAGAATATGTCTTTGAAATTTTCATAGACGTTGCTAAATTGTCTTCTACAACGGTTGCCGTTATTTGTACTCCCACCAGTTCTGTAAGAGTTTGTTTCCCCCTCTCATTAACGGGCGTTACTAACATTCAGGTTTCTTCATTCTCACAGATCAAAATTGGATACCTCATTATTTTTATTTTCATGTCTAAAATCATGACTGGGGCCAAGTATGTCTTCAAATGTTTATTGGCCATTCTTAAAAATAATGCAAACTGCCAATTTATATCCTTCACTTGTTTTTCTATTAAGCTCATTTTTTCCTCTTGATTTGCAGTAGCTCTTTGTGTACAAAGGATTTTTTTTGGCCTGTCATTTGTACTGTTGATATTTTCTCCTAGTAGACAATTTGTATTTTGAGTTTGAATAAAATTTTTGCTTTGTAGAATATTTAAGTTTTTGCAGTCAAGTTTATGAGTATTTTTATTTTTGGCTTTTGGTTTTGTATCATATTTAGAAAGGGCATCTCTGGTCCAAAATTATGAAAATATTCTTCACTGTTTTCAAGGAGTTTATAGGTTAATTATTATATTTAAATCACTGATTCATCTGGAATTTATTTTGGGAGTGGGAATTGAGGTAGGGGAACCAACTTTAAGTACATTAATATTTTGATGAATCATTGTAGAGAAGAAAAATTAAAGCCTTCCTAATGGTAGTTAAAAAAAAAAAAAGAATTTGAAGATTCTTGGAAGCAGAGTTTGATTTCCTGATATATTCTCTGGTTAGCTTCAGGAATACTGACTAATCTATTAATATTAGAATCAAAATAAATAATAATTTAGAAGTTTAGGCCTGGAGGATTTCTTATTTGAGAAATGGAGATGAAAGTGCTATTACCACTCATTTATATCCTAGCTAGCATGATCAACTAGGGAATAATAATTTTAACACTGTGAACAGACCTTATTATTCAGTGACAGCATTACCAAATTCAAGGCTGCTTAAGCAGAAGTTAAATAGTGAAAACAAGGATGGGCTCAAAGTGAATATAAACTTGATATCTAGTTAACTATAGTACTGCTGCTTAATTTGCATCATGGTTATTAGGAATATATGCCAAGCCTCCTCTTCACCGTGTTTCTTCTTTATTCTCAGCAGATCAGATCCCTTTACAGTAGACTATAGAGAATACTTTCCCTACAGCTGCTTGGAATTTTGCCTTTTAAAAACTCTTACGTAAAATCGTGTTCAGGGTGGGAAAAAAATAACATTGTGTTCCCTGGAACAAATATTAGGTAAAATGGTGCTATAATTCAAACTCATTTTAGTAAGAACTACAGGATAGCCAGATGCATAGAACTGTAGAGCTGAAAAAGGCTTTAAGGATGACCCAGCCTGTGGTTTCAAAACCCAGACCTGCCTTAGTCACTACCTGATGAAGTTTTTCCCCAGTCCAGAGTGAAATGAGAAAAACAAGGAGGGAATTATTCCCAAAGACAACTTTATTTAAAATAAACGACTACTCTTTTTTTCAAAAATTATGTTGCTTTGCTTTTGGATGGTTAAAATATTCTTCCTTTTTATCGTAGAATATGGTAGAATATTGATTGCATTTTTTTTAAATTGAGGTTTATTAGAGTATAATTTGCATACAATAAAATTTAACTCCTTTTAAGTGTAAAGTTCACTGAGTTTTGACAAATATATAGAGTCGAGTAACCACCACTGTACTCACAATTCCGCCCTGCCAGCAGGTTCCCTCGTTACCCCCTTTATGATCAATCTCCTCGCTGACCCCTCTGCAACTGGCAACTGCTGATTGGTTTCCTATTTATAGTTCTGCTTTTTCTAGAATGTTCTATAGGTAGAATTATATGGCCTTTCACAACAGACTTCTGTTACTTACAAAAAAGTTTTTGAGGCTGGATGTGGTGGCTCACGCCTGTAATCCCAGCACTTTGGGAGGCTGAGGCAGGCAGATTGCTCGAGTCTGGGAGTTCGAGACCAGCCTGGGCAACATGGCGAAACCCTGTCTCCAAAAAAATATGAAAAAAATTAGCTGGGCATGGTGGTGCACACCTGTAGTCTCAGCTTCTCAGGAGACTGAGGTGGGAGGATTGCTTGAGCCCAGGAGACAGAGGTTACATCAAACTGAGATTGCACCACTGTACTCCAGCCTGGGTGACAGAGTGAGATCATGTCTCAAAAAAAAAAAAAAAAAGCTTTTGAATTTCATCCATGCTGTTGTGTGTATCAGTAGTTGATTCTGTCTTTACATTTTAGCTATTTTAGTGGAATTATGGTACTTTTTGTTCTTAATATTCTTACTTGGAAAAATTGAAAGTGTGAATAACCCTAAATCAATTCCCAGACTTAAAAAAAAAAAAAAAACAACAACAAAAACAAAACACGTATTGGCTTTTGAAATCCAGAGGTCTGGCTATCTCGCCCAGCCTCCATTGGTTTGTACACAAAGAAGCCCCAACCAGGAGGCTGTGGTGCTAAGACTGGAACCTGGGTCTCCTGCTTTCTTGTCCTTGCTCTGACATCTAGCCTCACAGATGTCAGCTAGGGCCACCATGTGCTTCCCTCTGTGGGTGGTGGGGTCCCTTCTAGGAAAGTTTCTGATTCTGCATGGACAGAAACTGACAAACAGACAAAATCTCCCTTTTCTCCATGTCACATAGGTTCATCCTGTGGTTTCCGGTGTTACTTGAGGTGGAGTCACCGGGGTATGGGATTGGTCTGCCAGGAAGAATAGAACACAGACTTCCCCTGAAAACACAAACAACAAAAGAAAACATTCGGCCTTTAGTGCATTATAAAAATTAAAGCAGCATTGATGGAGAAAGTGTTGAGAGAGAGTCATAAAGCCATTCTTATGAGAATCTACTTGTGTATGACTTTGAAGGTCTTAAATGCAAGAAATGCAAGAGTGAATTTCTTGCATGTGTGTGCGTGTGCATGTGTGTGTGTGTGTTTTGAGACAGGGTCTCATTCTGTTGCTCAAGCTGGCATGCAGTGGTGCAATCAGTGCTACAGCCTTGACCTCCCAGGCTCTCAATCCATCCTCCCACCTTAGCCTCCTGAGCAGCTGGGGCCACAGGCACACACCATCATCCCCGGCTAATTTTTTGTAGAAACAGGGTTTCTCCACATAGCCCAGGCTGTTCTCCAACTCATGGGCTCAAGCGATCCTCCTGCCTTGCCCTCCCAAAGTGCTGGGATTATAGGCATGAGCCACTGAGCCTGGCTTCTTGTAGTTTTTATCAAGTGGGTGGTCTTAGGAAACTTCTAGGATAGGAAAAGTGGTGTTACAGTGTGTCCGGAATTGGTGGGTTCTTGGTCTCACTGACTTCAAGAATGAAGCCGTGGACCCTTGCGGTGAGTGTTACAGCTTTTAAGGTGGCCTGTCTGGAGTTTTTTCCTTCTGATGTTTGGATGTGTTCGGAGTTTCTTCCTTCTGGTGGGTTCATAGTCTCGCTGGCTCAGGAGGGAAGCTGCAGTCCTTCGTAGTGAGTGTTACAGCTCTTAAGGCGGCGCATCTGGAGTTGTTCCTTCCTCCCGGTGGGCTCATGGTCTCGCTGGCTTCAGGAGTGAAGCTGCAGATCTTAGGGGTGAGTGTTACAGCTCATAAAAGCAGTGTGGACCCAAAGAGTGAGCAGTAGCAAGATTTATTGCAAAGAGCGAAAGAACAAACCTTCTACAGTGCAGAAGGGGACGGGAACGGGTTGCCACTGCTGGTTTGGGCAGCCTGCTTTTATTCTCTTATCTGGCCCCACCCACGTCCTGCTGATTGGTAGAGCTGAGTGGTCTGTTTTGACAGGGCGCTGATTGGTGCGTTTACAATCCCTGAGCTAGACACAAAGGTTCTCCACCTCCCCATCAGATTAGTTAGATACAGAGTATAGACACACAGGTTCTCCAAGGCCTCACCAGAGCAGCTAGATACAGAGTGTCGATTGGTGTACTCACAAACCCTGAGCTAGACACAGGGTGCTGATTGGTGTGTTTACAAACCTTGAGCTAGATACAGAGTGCTGATTGGTGTATTTACAATCCCTGAGCTAGACATAAAGGTTCTCCAAGGCCCCACCAGAGCAGCTAGAATACAGAGTGTGGATTGGTGCACTCACAAACCCTGAGGTAGACACAGGGTGCTGATTGGTGTGTTTACAAACCTTGAACGAGATACAGAGTGCCAATTGGTGTATTTACAATCCCTGCGCTAGACATAAAGGTTCTCCAAGGCCCCACCAGACTCAGAAGCCCAGCTGGCTTCACCCAGTGGATCCCGCACCGGGGCTGCAGGTGGAGCTGCCTGCCAGTCCTGCGCCATGCATTCGCACTCCTCAGCCCTTGGGTGGTTGATAGGACTGGGTGCTATGGAGTAGGGGGCGGCGCTCGTCGGGGAGGCTCGGGCCGCACAGGAGCCCATGGAGGGGTGGGAGGCTCAGGCATGGCGGGCTGCAGGTCCGGAGCCCTGCCCCGCGGGAAAGCTAAGGCCCAGTGAGAAATCGAGGGCAGCGCCAGTGGGCCGGGACTGCTGGGGGACCCAGTACACCCTCCGCAGCCACTGGCCCAGGTGCTAAGCCCCTCACTGCCCGGGCCGGGAGGCCCGCCGGCTGCTCGGAGTGCGGGGCCCTCCAAGCCCACGCCCACCTGGAACTCCAGCTGGCCCGCAAGCGCAGTGCGCAGCCCCGGTTCCCCCTTGCGCCTGTCCCTCCACACCTCCCTGCAAGCTGAGGGAGCCGGCTCTGGCCTTGGCCAGCCCAGAAAGGGGCTCCCACAGTGCAGCGGTGGGCTGAAGGGCTCCTCAAGTGCCACCAAAGTGGGAGCCCAGGCAGAGGAGGTGCCGAGAGCAGGCGAGGGCTCTGAGGACTGCCAGCATGCTGTCACCTCTCAATAGGAATTCAGTAAGCACTGAGGATGAATCAGGAACTGGCCTGTTGGCAGAAGTAATGATAATTAATACTTTATACTAGTGTGAGCTTCATCCATGATTGTGTTACTCTTCACAGAGGTCCTGTGAGGTAGGTGGTATTACTTCCATTTTTATAAATTAGAAAATGGAGGCCAACTGAACCTAAATGACAGGCTGAAAGTTACACAACTGTTAAGTGACTAAGCTGGGACAAAAGCCCAAATTGCTTAGCATGCTCCCTCTTCTTTCCATCTCCCATCCTAGTTTATTGGCATAATTTGAATAGAAAGGTTCACCCCCATCCCCTTGAGCCCCATATTTTCATATATTGCAGAGGAAACAGCTCTGGAATAGGATGTCTGCAATCTTTATGTAATCAAAGGAATCCTTCCTCAATCTTCTAAATTGATTCTGATTCTACAGTTTTTAAAGTGATATTGCTTAAAATTACATCAGCCTTTTGCACTCATTTTTGGGGGATGTAAGCTTATTATACAAGGTGAGCATTTTGGCGGGGTGGGGGGTTCCCGTAAACTTTGAATGAAAAGTGTCTTCTGATTAATTGGATATATCCATCTTTCAATTCATGACATTCTGGTTTAGAAATGATATTGTGGGGTTCAGAGTGAGAAGACCTGTTTAAATCCCTGCTCTGCCAATGATGTATTGAGCATACCTGCTTAGACCATTTTTTTGTACTTTCTGAACCTCTGTCTCCTCATCTTTGAAATGATGATATCTGTCTCATAAGGTCATATAGCTCAAGCAAGAGAGTGAAGTGAAAGCCATTTGCTGAAGTGAAGCACTCCTCGGAGTTGGAGGCTTAGTAGCAGGTGCTGATTTTCAGTAAGGCTGCTGCTTGGAAGTTCAGACTCCT
This sequence comes from Homo sapiens, assembly GCF_000001405.40. Lineage (NCBI taxonomy): Eukaryota > Metazoa > Chordata > Mammalia > Primates > Hominidae > Homo > Homo sapiens. The sequence goes on along the minus strand of NC_000003.12, from coordinate 31,869,042 downwards.
GACCACCTTTGGTGCTTTGACAAATCCCTCAAGGAAAACAACTTTGCTTTTTAATCCATTCGTGGCTATGTGTCTGTTTAGCAGTCTGTTTTTAGATAGGCCTTATTATTTTCAAGTGACCACATCAAAGAATGTAGGATCATTCAAAATCAACAAAAGTCAATATTTGGGAGTGGATTCGGGAGTTGGAGAAATTTATGAATAGTGCTGTTTTCAAGTTACTTTTGACCTTTGTGAAAAGTAGGGTAAAAAGAACAAAAGTCAAGTGATTAGGGAACATTTAAAAGACATTCATACAAGAAAATTTTAGTTTCATTGGCTTTAATTCTGACTGAGAAAAATTTTAAGGGTCAAACTTGATGGAAACTTACAATATTTTCAATAGTTTTTGGATTTTTTTTTTCTGGACATGGAAAGTGGATTCATTTGTGGAGATGACTTGTACACGAAGTGTAATAATAGCTTATGAGTCTGCTGTGATGCTAGTTGGGCTTTAGTATCTTCTCCCTTGATGTTTCATCCCTAAAGGATAAATGTGTGACAGACAGTGATGCTTATCACTTCCTCAAGTAGCGCTTGGCAGCCACCTAGACAATGGCGGGGGAGGTGGAATGTGGTGCTTCAAAACCCGATGGAGCTCGGGGATTGCCTTTTTGGTTCAGGTGGCTGTTTTCTGACTGGCATTCCCCATCCTCACTGCAAATGTATTCTTAGTGCCAATTCATCTCTAACAGCTTGCAAAGGCCTTTTTTTCTATAATGGAAGTAGCATTATTTTTCAAGATTATGAATATTACCTATATGCCATATAAAACATTCAGAAGATAGAAAAGTATTTCAAAAGGTCACCCCAGACCCCACCCCCAGACATAATCTGATGCTACCATTTGGGTGTGCATCCCTCCAGGCACTTTTTAATGTGGAAAAATGCAGAGAGACACATGACTCCATTTGGAGGTCCGTCCTGCCCGTCTTTTTTTTTTTTCTTGTACGTTCATATGCACGGAACTTGTACACGTTTTGTTTTCATGGGCAGTTTACATCTCTGTGAGGAGGGACTAGGAAGACCAGGCTTTGGCCATAGACCTATTCTATGTTTGGGCTGTTTTATTTTTAAAGTGACTGTGAGAGTGTTCAGTTGGGGACCTGTTTCTTAGAACATTTCTGGGATCTCTCTTGTGTTTTATCTTCCTTCCAGTCAGCTACTTGCCCTTCTGTCTGGGTCATTTCTGACCCCTTGTTCTGTCTGTCTGTTTCCCTCCCTCCCTCCCTCCCTCCCTTCCTTCCTCCCTTCCTTTCTCTTTCTTCTTGTCTTACTCTGCGCCCAGGCTGGAGTGCAGTGCCCTGATCTTGGCTCACTGCAACCTCCGCCTCCCAGGTTCAAGCAATTCTCTTGCCTCAGCCTCCTGAGTAGCTGGGATTACAGGTGCACACCACTATGCCTGGCTAATGTTTTGTATTTTTAGTAGAGACAGGGTTTCACCATGTTGGCCAGGCTAGTCTCAAACTTCCGACCTCAAGTGATCCACCCTCCTTGGGCTCCCAAAGTGCTGGGATTACAGGTGAGAGCCACCGTGTCCCGCCTGTGTCCTGTTCTTGATTAGCTCCAAGTGGGAAATTGAGAAAATAAAGGGAAGTGTTTCCTGGTATTTTATACATCTAACAGTATGGAAAGCACAGCAACTTTTTTTTTCCATCTATGGATAAAAAAGCAAGAAAATGTAGATATATGTAGATGTATTTGAAGTAGTTTATGATACTCATCGCATTAGAAATCTTTTCTCTGGGCTTCTAGGACCCCAGGCCTGACTCTCTCCTGGCGCTTACTAATGACCTGGTTTCCCATCTCCTCCACTTGACCCTGTGCTCACTGAGAGCAAACAGTGGTGGCTACACTGAGGATGGCAGTAGGTCCCTGTGAATCTTCATCTGTGTAAAGAGTGTGAAGACACTGTGGTTAGATTGGCATATGGTTAGGGCTTATTTTCCTTGCTAGGTAATTCTAAATTAAAATACAAATTTTAGGATAAAGTCTTATGCAAATTTGGTCATGGAGGAATATGATTGGCTAATACAGGACTTTAAATTCATTATAAGTCATAGGGGGTCTTGAATGAACAGCAAAAGTTACTGAGTTTTGAGGAGTGTATATATTAATGTTCATGCTGGAAGCTGCCCAAATTACAGGTCTTTTGGATTTTTTCTTTTTCCCCATCCCCTTAGAATGATAATTGCACATTAATTCACTTGTGGCCTTGTGGTAGTAAGAGCCCTGTCTTACCCCCGTCCACTGGGGTCTGGACAGCCCCAAGAGTAGGTGAGGCAGCTCTTCCTCACCCCTTCTAGCTGTGAGGGACCTGCCTGTGTTTACAAAACTTCCAATGATAGCTGACACCAGTGATATACCCTAACTCTCCTCCCCCGCCTTTGTCATGGCGTCTATACTCCCCAAGCATGTAGGGGCTTTAGTCAGGGCATGTTAGAGCATTGGACAGTGAGAAAGGAGGCCGTAGAGAAATGGGCTGGCTTGGCACCCTGGCTGACACTGGTTGGTTCCACATCCACTCTGACTAAGGAGAGCATGCTCTGTGGGTGTCTTCTCTTCCTGAAGGCTGTGTGTCCTGAAGCCACTGTTCCCACTTGTGTGGTTGAGTGCACAGGAGTGTGTGGATAGGTTGAGAGACCAACTGATAGACCTCGCCCCTGCTTGCCAGGTGCAGACACCACCCCTGTTTGGGGACATTGAGAAACTTTACTTGGGGAGGCCTAGGGGATGTGTGGACTGCTTCCGGGGAATTAAAGGGTTTGTTTGTTGGGGTGGGAAGGAGGAGACAGGAGTGGGGAATTCTATCCATAGCAAAATGTGAAGGGTGAGGTGATTTGAAGCTGTTTAATTGTTCCTCCCGCCAATCTAGGTTTCTGATGGTGAAAGACTACAACTTTCTTGACTTTTTCCCGCCCTGGGGTGTGAGCCAGAGGGCTTTGGAGAGGTGCTTTGATATTTTGGTTAGGATGCAACACAACGGGAAGCAAGATTAACCCAGTGACATCTGTAGACTCTGAAACCATGTGGTTACCAGGGATTTCAGAAGTCATCCAGCCCAACATCCTGGTCTATCCAACTACTTGGAAAGAAAAATGCACACCAAAGTGTTTACGCTTATACTAAATAAAGATTGATTCTACTCAAAACAACACCCAATTTTATTCTTTTAGAGAGGGTACTGCTGGTAACTCATTGGCTGAATTCTCAGAATTTTGGTGGCAATCTGACAAATGACACTGAATACCTCTTTTATATGATTAAGCAATTTTAGGGTCTCTCAGAACAATTTGAAATAATTCAGAAGTAACAGAATGATTAAAATGTTGTGTCTTAGTCTGTTTGGGCTTCTGTAACAAGCTACCATAGACTGGATACTTTTAAACAACATGAGCTCTTTCATGACCTAATCACCTCCCAAAGGCCCACCTCCTAATGCTATCAACTTGGGGGTTAGGATCTCAACAAATGAATTTTAGGGAAGACACAAGCCTTCAGACCATAGCAGATTGAAAGGGATTCCAAACTCCCTTTGTTGCATTTGTCTAAGAAACAGTAGATGAAAAGGGATAAGAAAATACAGGTTTTAAAACTATGCTGTGCAATATGGAGACCTCTAGCCACATGAGACTACTTAAATTTCATTGAAATAAGATTTAAAAATCAGTTCTTCAGTGGCACACATTTCAAGTGCTCAGTAGCCACATCTGGCTGATGGCTGCGTATTGGACAGCACAGATATAGAGCATTTCCATTATCACAGAAAGTTCTGTTGGATAGAGCTGGTAAAGCTTCCACTATTACTTAATGGTTTCTAAGAAGGGAATTTACCAATATCTAGTTTTGTCTCTTGCACAATGAACAGTTCTTTTAATCTACAGAGGTTTAATGGGGCTCCCTCACCCCTTCTGTCCCTCCCTCCCTTCTTTTCTTCTCCCTTTCTGTTGGGAGTCCTGGTCTTCTTTAGGACCTCGGCATTAAATGCTTGATCACTTTCACTTGTCCACTTGCCTCACCTGTGCAACAGGAACATAGGCCTTACTGATCTGAAGGCAGGAGCTAATGTTCTCTGTGGTCCGGGTCAGCTACTTGTTCACGCCACTGGAGCCATTTATGGAGCAGACATCTCACACGCGGCTTTAGTGAAGGACAAAAGAGCAAAGGAGACTGCTAGTTATGCCTGTCCCTAGCTCGAACAATCGTTAGTGGCACCAAACTTCCTAAGGCAAGTCCAAAACTTTATCTTGGCATTAAATGCCCACTCATTTCGGGTCCAGTTCCTTCCCCTCTATCTCTACCCATCATTCAGTCAGTGTTCTAGACAAACAGCTCCCCAAGCACCCTGCACACCTCCATGCTTCCTTGCCTTTGTCACTGCTGTTTCCTTTGCTGGGAATGCCTTTCCCTCCCCCTCCCTCTTGTGGTTTTTAAAGCTCATATACTTTATATGGTTAAGTATATGGTCGGGTGCGGTGGCTCACTCCTGTAATCCTAGCACTTTGGGAGGCTGAGGCAGGTGGATCATGTGAGGTCAGGAATTCGAGACCAGCCTGGGCAACATGGCGAAACCCTGTCTACCAAAAATACAAAAATGTGCTGGGTGTGGTGGCGTGTGTCTGTCATACCAGCTACTCAGGAGGCTGAGGCAGGAGAATTGCTTGAACCCAGGAGGCGGAGGTTGCAGTGAGCCAGATTGCACCACTGCATTCCAACTCCAGCCTGGGCAACAGAGTGAGACTCCATCTCAAAAAACAAGAAACAGAAAGAGAAAGCCCCTTATACTTCTGTGATGCCTTCCTGACCCCCCAGGCAGCATGGTCTTCTCTCTGTGCTCCCATATATACCAGTACTCACTGACATTATAGCACATCTTATTGTGCCCTCATGGCCCACCGTGTGTCCTCGGAGGCCTGGGACTGTGGGGAAATCATACTGCATCCTCTGCATCTGGCACTGTCATGACACATGGGGGTGGACATAAACCAGTTAGTGCATGTTCAATACTCAGCAAATATCAACGCTGCTTCTTCCTTCTTCTTCTCCTTTACCTGTTAGTAGTAGTATTAGTATCAGTATTAGTAACAGTAGTAGTATTAGTAGTAGTGGTGTTGGATTTGGGTTCCTCAGGAAACTAGATCCAAGATACCACATTTTATTTTTCTAAATATTATTGTTTTGTATTTGATCAAGTATAACAATTTTTTTTTATAGAGAGAGAACTATTAACCAGTAGCTGAAAATCAGTCATGAGTAACAAGCAAAATGTTTCTGAATTTTTAGTTTTTTAAAGAGAGAGGAAACTAATAGTCATAAGGAACACATTTTTGGGAAAAGGAAATAATAGTAAATGGCATCTTGGAACACATTGCTTTGTGGCAGATACTATGCTAAGTACTTTTCTTGGATTATCTTGTGTATTTCTCACAACAACCCTGTAAGGCAGGCACTGCTATGACCACATTTTCTAGGTGAGGACACTGAGGCACAGAGTAGATTTGTGATAAGCCCAAGGTGGCATAGCTAACAAGTGGCTCTTATCGTTTCTTAAAATTTAAGATATAATTCACATACCATAAAGTTTACTTTTTTAAAGTATGTAATTCAGTGGTTTTTAGTATGTTTTCAAAATTGTACAACCACTACCACTATCTCATTCCAGGATATTTTATCGTTCCTAAAAAAATCCCCTGTTTCCCTGTTTCCATGAACTGTCAGTCACCCCCCATTTCTATCCACCCTGTCTTCCCAGCCCCTGGCAACCACTAACCACTGTCTCTATGGATTTGCCTCTTTTGGATATTTCATTTAAATGGATTGTATGCAATATTGTGTCTCTTTGTGTCTGGCTTTTTTTCACTTAGCATAGTGTTTTCAAGGTTCATCCATGTTGTAGCATAAATCAGTACTTCATTCCTTTTTTATGACTAATATCCCGTTGTATGGACATGGCATAATTTTTAATCCCTTCATCGCTTGATGCATATTTGGGTTGCTTTTGCTTTTTGGCTATTGTGAATAATGCTGCTGTGAACATTTGTATGCCAGTTTTTGTGTGAGTTTGTTTTAAATTCTTTTGGGTGTATATTTAAAAGTGGAATGACTGGGCCATATGGTAATTCTATGTTTAGCTTTTTAAGGAACAACCAGACTGGTTTCCAAAGCAGCTGCACCATTTTACATCCCTATCAGCAATGTATAGGGTTCCAATTTTTCCATATCCTTGCCAACATTTGTTAGTATAGCAGCCATACTAGTGGGTGTGAAGTGATACCTCCTTGTAATTTTGATTTGCATTTCCCTAATGAATGATGTTAAGTCTCTTTTTATATGCTTATTGGCCATTCATATATACTCTTCGGAGAAATACATATAAAAATCCTTTGTCTTTTTTTATTCATTTATATTTTATTGAGTCATATGAGTTATTTATATAGTCTTGATAGTTAGACCTTTATCAGATACATAATTTGCAAGTATTAGCTCCCATTCTTTTTGTTTTTAGAAAATAAAAAAAAAGCATTACATTTTACTGTTGCATTTGTTCATGATAGTTAAAGTTCTAGGGTGGAACGCAGACATCTTTTATTTCAACACTGTCTTAATGCAGGATATGTTTATTTTGGTAATTTATTATTGTTAGAATTAAACCAGGCTTCGGTCTTTCCAAGTTTGATTTGAGCTTATACTTTGCATGTCTATGTGTGGTCCTTTGGTCTCAGGCTGGGGCACATTAAAGATAGCCACAGATTCTTTGAAGCTTTCCTGTCAGCATTCCCATCAAAAGGCAGGTGCTATTTTTTTCTTTAAAAAAATTAAAAAAAAATTTTTTTGTGGGTACATAGTGTATGTATTTATGAGGTACGTGAGATATTTTGATAGAGGCATGCAATGCATGAAGGGGCTATTTCTGAGCCTGGCATGTGGCAGCTTTGACCAAAAGTCAAAGTACCGCTGACAGTTCCAGGCATGGGCTGTAAGAAAACTGGCCCCTTCCACTTGGCTCAGAGCCCTGAGCCACTCTGTAAATATTTACTACCCTACTGGAGAGACCCCATTGCGAGGCTGTAAGAATACATGAAGGGACACAGCAAAATCCAGGCTTCCAGCTGCCCCTCTCAAGGCACCAGGATGTGCACGAGGCTTTCGTGACCCCTCCAGACAAGTCTAGCTACTGGCCAAGTACCACTGAGTCACCCGAGGTGATGCCACCCAGAATAGAAAGAATCACCCCAGGAAGACCGGCCTGAGTTCCTGACACATGTTGAGATAAAATAAAATAGTAGTCACTTTTAACCTCTTGTTTTGGGGTAGTTAGGCAGTAATAGATAACCAGTGCAAACTTGCCAAGGGAATGGTTAGTGTCACCAAAGAGGCCAATAATATTAATGGTATTAATCAATTTTTGAACAATGATACAAGCTAAAATTTAAATTCTGAGTTTCTAGTTCTATAGACAATCAGTCATCTGTATCTGTGGGTTCTGCCTATGTGGATTCAACCAACTCTGGATCACAAATATTCTAAAAAAAATTGCATCTGTTTTGAACATGGATCGACTTTTAATCTTGTCATTATTTTGTAAACAATACAAATAACTGTTTACATAGCATTTACATTGCATTAGACATTATAAGTAATTTAGAGGTGATTTACAGGGGAATATATATGCATAGGTTATATGCAAATAAAATGCCATTTGATATCAGGGACTTGGGCATCTGTGAATTTTGCTGTCTTAGAAGGGTCATGGAACTAATCCCCCATGGACACCAAGGGGATGACTGTATATGCCTTCACAATTTCCTAATGACCCCCAAACTGACCCAATGAAAATCAAAAATAAACACATTGATTAAAAACATGACTTATTCTAAATCTGTGATTTCTAAACTAATAATTTATGTTATTGGCTTAATTTTCAATTTTTATCCATAGTGTAGGTTAGAGCAATGTATATTTAATAACCTGTAGACTTAAGAACTAAGGTATTTTTGCCCATGTGTGGTTCACAACTGTAATCCCAGCACTTTGGGAGGCTGAGGTGGGCGGATCACTTGAGGTCAGGATTTTAAGACCAGCCTGGCCAACATGATGAAACCCCGTGTCTACTAAAAATACAAAAAAAAAAACCCAAAAAAAAAAACCCCAAAAAACCCCACAAAAATTAGCCAGGCATGGTGGTGGGCACCTGTAGCTACTCAGGAGGCTGAGGCAGGAGAATTGCTTGAACCCAGGAGACGGAGGCTGCAGTGAGCCGATATTGTGCCACTGCACTCCTGCCTGGGTGACAGAGTGAAACTCCATCTAAAAACAACAACAACAACAAAAAACAGAAAGAGAACTAAGGTATTTTTAACAGTGTTTTGAGTAGAAGAAACTAAAAAGAACATACATGAACTTTTTTAATGTGGTGGGTCAGGTCATCAGATAAGATGTGGTGGCAACGGTGGAGAATGTGGCTCATAACCCTAGCCTCCTTGGTCGTTCAGTCCCCTCTTATCACTTCCTTGTCTCTTTATTGCCTTGGGGCTTTCTGCCTGGAGCCCCTCATTCTTCTCCCATAGTAAATCCTTCTAATGCAGTTTCATGACTTGGTTAAGGTCACTCACTCAGTGACATGTTCCTTTGGACCATCCAATAACAAGATGCTTAATTCTTTCCTTTTTTACATCTCCATAGACCTGGGGGCAAGTAAAATACAACTCTGGATGTGCTTCTTCATGTAGAGAGTTGGCCCATCATAGGTCTGGTGACTGGTGACTGTGCTTCGTGCAGTGAATGATGCAGAGGTTGCCGAGGTGCAGGCTTCTTCAAAATCTTAAACGCTTTCATTTTCAAATACAAGGCCTTTTAGGGCACAGGGAAAGAAAAGGCTTTTCATTGACTCAGACTTCATGTAAGGGAGCAGGAAGGGCTGGTTCCAATGTGCGCAGGAGGGAGAGGATTACCAGGTATATGTGAGCAATGTCCACCACACCATTCTTAAGATACTCTCCATGCCCAAATGGAACTGTTATTGGAGTAAGTCCTACATGGCAATCTCCAAGTCCATTGGAAAATTTCACTCACTCTTAGGCCTCAAGGGCCAGTCTGATTACATGTGGGAATGCCACCTACTTTGCTGGGCTCTTGGCCTTCCTAAGCAGAAATGTGATTATACTACAAGGTAAGGGTGCTGTAATGAATTGTGTATTCCTCAAGGATTCTGGAACCAAAGCCCTTTCCAATGTCTCAGCACAAGCAGTTGCTGCACAGAAAAATAAACTTAAGGAGCCTGGGAGAGGTTCATTTTGGGATGATGATGACGTTAGTGATGTTCCCTTGATGGAAGTCCAAGATTGAGGGACCAGCATCTGGTGAGGACCTTCTTGCTGTGGCATCCCATGGCAGAAAGTGAAAGGGCAAAAGAAAACCATTTCACCAAGATGGAGATTGGGTCCATCATGAACTTACTGATCATCTCCAGGATTTCGTGAGGCAGCGTGGCACTGATGAGAACAACCTGCATGGCTGGAGGCCATGTACACATTGTAAATCTGCCCTTTGAAACTTATGTTTACCAGTTTATTATAAAGGATGTTGCAAAGGATACAGATGAAGAGATATGTAGGGTGAGGTATAAGGGAAGGGGCGTGGAACTTCTACGCCCTCCCTGGGCGGTCACCCTCCTAGAGCCTCCTGTATTCAGCTATCCGGAAGCTCCAGCTCCCATTTCATGGTTTGTCTCTTTACTTTTCCCATTTTTTTTGACATAGACAAAATTTTTTAGAACAAATGGAGGATCTGGTGTGATAGACAATGTAGGGAATTAGGTAAAAACAACAACAAAAAAAAAAACCTGGTTTCTGGCTGTGCCTGGGCCACTCACAGGCTACTACCTAGCTTTGTAATCTCAAGTAACTCAGTAAACGAGTAATGTCTCTTAGCCTCAGTTTTCACTTCTGTAAATTGGGCAAAATAATGGCATCAACCCTACAGGGCAGTTGTTAGGATTAAGTAATATTAAGCATGTCACAATATTCTTTTTATAACACAGATTCACCCAATTCTGCTACAACATTTCTGTTGATGGATAACTTGGTTGTTAAGCCAAGTTCTACCTGAAGATGATCATGAAGGAGTGGCTAAGAAGCATCTCTAAAACCTGATTGTTATGACTTTCCCCCTAAAAGTTTTGATAGACTGCCCAAATGTTTATATTCCCCATGCATCAGAAAGCTCCAGTATAATCCAGACTCAGCCAGGCTGGCCTTGTTCACATTGTGCATCTGGTTTTGAGTGGCTCCCATCTCACTTTCTGTGATGCTGCAGGATTAAAGGCAAGTGCTCTAGGCTCTCTGGGGGCAGTACCCGGTTCAGAACTAGCCCTATAGTGCCACCTGGGGCAAGTTATTCCTTGAAATGAGGACAGTAATTTTTGATGTGAGGATTGAATTGTATGCTGTGGTGAGGATTAATGAGATCATGTCTGTTGTGCTCTTAGTACAGAGCCAGACACTGAATGAGTTTCCGTGAGGGGTACTGTGCTTTCAGGACCCAGCTAAGTTGGGCCCTGCGAAACAAGCAGTACCTGACTGCCCAAGACTGGAAAGGCACAGCTTGTGAAATGAAATGGGGTATTTCTGATAAAAAACTGAGCTTCTGCAATAAAAGAGAAATTTAATTTATTAAAGTTGATGAAAAGGTTAAAAAACATAGGGGGCTGGGCACAGTGGCTCACACCTGTAATCCCAGCACTTTGGAAGGCTGACATGGGAGGATTGCTTGAGCCCAGGAGTTTGAGATCAGCCTGGGCAACATAGGGAAACCCTGTCTTACAGAAATATAAAAAAATTAGCCTGGTGTGGTGGCGTGCTCCTGTAGTTCCAGCTAGATACTCGGGAGGCTGAGATGGCAGGATTGCTTAAGCCCAGGGAGGTCAAGGCTGCAGTGAGCCATGATTACGCCCCTGCACTCCAGTCTGGGCAATAGAACGAGACCTTGTCTCAAAAAAAAAAAAAACACAGGCTGTGGGGAAGATATACCATGATAGGAACAACCAACCAGTCAAACAAAAACGGGAGAGACACACACATACTTACTTTTTCTGTATCTCTCTCTCTCTTTCTCTCTCTCTCCCCCCCTTTCCCTCTCCCTCTCCCTCCTTCTTTCCCTCCCTCTTTCCCTCTCCCTCTCCCTCTCCCTTTCTCTCTCTCTCCCTTTCTGTCTCTCCCCCCCACCCCCCTGCCAATCTTTGGAAGGACACACGAGAGGCTAGTAGTAGTGGTTGCCAGGGGTGCTGTTAGGGGAACAAGAGATTTATGGTTGAAAGTATATAGGGATTTAGGTGTACCTTTTGATATTATTCAAAATTTTCATCTTTTGCATTGGTCAGTTGTATATTAAAAATGTAGTTACTCAAGTGGTTAAAATTTGAATTATTAAAAATGTATTTTAAAACCTGGAGCCGAGGCTCTTTTGCTGAGTGCTGTGTTCTCGTGGGTCACTATTGAGTTGGTCGTTTTATCTTCAGGGAGATGCTCTCCATCAGGCAGTCACTGATGAACCTGCTTCTCATTATATTCTTCACTTGAAAGTCTTAACATCTAATGTCCTTGAAGATGTTCAGTAATTCCAAATTCCTGCCAGTTCAGATTAGGCTCCTCTTCTTGCTACTCTGAATTGCTTTCACTTGAAATAATTTGAAGTGTTTAAAGTTTAATGCTCTTTGAGGGGAGCTGCTACATCTCTCCCCTTTATTTGAATTAAATAGTGATTAATAGTCTCTGTTGAGTGGCCTCTTCCTTGACAAAACCCTCCGGTGCTGGGGTGGTTGGCTGATTAGCAGAGCTAGCTCCTGTCTTGGGTTCTGTAAGCAGAGCTTCTCCATCTGCAGAGGGCAGGGGGTATGAATGCCACTGGAGGTTGAAGAGGGTTAGTACTGCCCACATGAAAACTTCTTTTTCAAGGCAGGGTCTCACTCTGTTGCCCAGGCTGGAGTGCAGTGGTGTGATCCTTGAACCCTCCACCGCCCAGGTTCAGGCGATTCACCCACGTAGCTGGGAATACAGGTGCCCGCCACCATGCCCAGCTAATTTTTGTATTTTTAGTAGAGACGGGGTTTCACCATGCTGGCCAGGCTGGTCTTGATCTCCTGGCCTCAAGTGATCCTCCCACCTTGGCCTCCCAAAGCACTGGGATTACAGGCATGAGCCACTGTGTCTGGCCTACATGAAAACATTTTCAAGAAGCCCTAGGTGTATCTTACATTCAACTCGTACATCTTACTGAACAATACACTAGCCTGATAAAATATTTTAAAGCTGTTTTATTTTCTTTCCCAAATCATTGGGTGAAAAGTAAGATATGCTGCATCTCCTGTTGAGACTGAAGGTATAAAGTGCTCCAGGTTGAAAAGCAGAGTATGAGGATAATATGTTTTCCGAAGTAGCAAGTCTTTGGGGGAATAGATTCCGATGAGTTTAGGCTGGATAAACTCCCTTAGTAAAGTTGGACAAGCTCATCTAAGGATTGACTCTTCCCTTGGCTCTGTCTTCTTATTTCTGCTATTGGGTAATTTTGCTTTCATGTTTTATTAAGCTCAGTGCCATTTTTCTTCTAGAATTTTTCACAGATAATTACTTTTTGGGTACTTAAAACTAAGTGTAAAACATCACCCTCCTAAACATACCATCAAATTAAGTAAATAAAACACAATTTAAGAACAGCTTTTATTAAAACAATAAAGTTTGGGGATTTTTTTAATTGTCTTAATAAAGTGCAACAATTTTGCATACCTTCTCCAGCATAATCTTAACATTTGGCTGCCCGCCTTGCCTGAAAGGAAAGTCCTAACATTACCCAGGAAGATCATTTTAGGTCAAGAAGGCCTTTAGATTAAAACGTGTGTGTGTGTGTGTGTGTGTGTGTGTGTGTGTGTGTGTGTGTGTGTAATATAAACATAAATGTATATAACATATATTATACATATATAAATATATATATTTTTAGGAAAAAACAAAATGGTACAGTTTTGATTCAGTTGAACTAGTTTATTGCACCATACATCTGTACTTAAATAGGGCTTTTTTCTACAATACTTGAGTTGCTGTTTTTTTGCCTAGAACCTTGTGGGGTGATTTTCCATCGCTAGCCCTCTGTGAGAAGTTCTGACTTGAGGGTAGACAGCTCTTAGTCTGAGGACATTTCCTGCACTGAACTGCATCCACTGTGAGTGATAAAGTTGGGGTCAGTTGTTCAGAGTGGGGGTGTCTGGTCCCTGTTTTGCTAACATTGGAGGAAAGGCTTAGAAGAACGAATGAATGCTTGGAGTAGCATTCAACAAACACTGCAAGTAGATGAATGCTTGGGAGTAGCATTCAACAAACACTGCATGTCTGTGTACCATAATGTTCTAGGCACTAGGATATAGTACTGGACCCTGGAAAGTGACTACGTGTAGCTTGTACTTGTGTGAGGGAGACATCCAACAGACAAATATGTACTGTGCCAGGTGGTGACAGGTTCTATGAAGAAAAGTAAAACAAGGCTGGAGGCTAGAGAACAACAGTAAATATTTTAAGGTATTCCTACTTAAAAATATATCCTACATGGACTGTATTCTTCAAAAATGTCAGTATAAAAGACCAAGAAGGGTATGGAAGTGTTCCAGATTAAATGAGGCTAAAGATACATGACAACTCACCGAGCATGGCGGCTCAAACTGTAATCCCAGCATTTTGGGAGACCTGGTGTATGAATTGCTTTAGCCCAGGAGTTTGAGACCAGCTCAGGCAACATAGCAAGACCTTGTGTGCACAAAAAAACTTAAAAATTAGCCAGGGTGGCACATGCTTTAGTCCCAGCTACTTAGGAGGCCGAGGTGGAAGGATACCTTGAGTCCGAGAGTTGGAGGTTATAGTGAGCTAATCATGCAGCATGCACCCCAGGCTGGGGACACAGCAAGATCCCTGTCTCTGGCAAAACAAAAACAAAAACAAAACAAAACAAAACAAAACCATGACAACCAAATGCGATACCTACCCTAAACTAGATCTGATTTTACACTGACATGGAATTAATTGGAATACAGACAGTAGATAGGATAAAGGCATTTGATAACTGTCCTGTGGTTATACAGAGAATATCCTTGTTTTTAGAAAGACACACTGAAGCAGTTAGAGGTATTTAAGGGGAAAAGGCCTTACCCTTAAATTAGGAAAAAGTTTCATTCATTTATTCGTATAATAATTATGTGTGTTTATGTGTTTATTTTAAAGTGGGGAAGGAGAGAACAGAGGGAACAAATGATAAAACAAATGGGGTAAAATGTTAGTAATTGGTAAAACCGAGTAAAGGATACGTGGTGGGTTTTCTTTTCAACTTTCTATAAGTTTGAAATTATTTCTTTGTCAACTTTTAAAAATTATATATTGTATGTGTGTTATATAAAACTGTAAAATTATATATAGTCTAACACTTTTAAAAACATTCTTTTTTAAAAAGTATATATTCTTTGGGAGAAGTTACCTATTAATCATTTCCATGTTAATAATATGAATTTTAAGAAAAGTAATTTATTCATTTGCTATTGTCTTAGCTGAGACTAACCACAAAGGAACTGAGTGGCTAAGAAAATGTGGGAAAGGAGGCATTATGGGCCAATGGCAGCCAGGCTGATGCAGAGAACTGGTTAGAACACTTGGGCTTGGAGAGTGAGGCGCACAGTGTATTGTGGAAGATGACGTTTAAAAGGAAGATCAGAGCAGGCCTTTGATAAAACCACCACTGGGGTCAGTTTGGCCTTTACAGTTAGGCAATCTCTCTAGACCATTCTGTATGCTATCTTTGGGATAAAGTTATCCTTAAAAAAAAAAAAAAACTTTACTGAGATATAATGTATATATCATGAAAGAAGGTTGTGAGTGACCTTGACCAATATTTTATACAGATAGATGAACATTGTTATGCCAGCATCTATCAAACTTGATCAAAATGCCAGGCGCAGTGTTAAGTACTTTAATAGATATTATTTAGTTTAATCCTTACAATATCCTTATAAGATATGTCTTGCTTTTTAAATAGGCAATGAGGATAAAACCCTGAAACGTTATAAATAACTGCCTTAGGTTGCATATCTGATAAGGGGCTGCATTTTGGAGCCAGGCCTTGCTGCTCCAGCACCACTGGACTGGGCTGCTGCCTCATGTGTGTGATCCCTGATGTGTGGGTGGTGCAGCCAGGTGAGAGCAGAGGCTCTGTCTCAAGTTAGAACAGAACGTGCAGGTGCTTCCTGAAATGTGGCAGAAGTGAGCTGACGTGTCTCAGCCCAAGAAGAGAAGAAAAACTGTGTGAATAATAATAAGTAGGAAAATGAAGATGCCTGGGGAGTTAATTGAGCATTTTGGGGTTAATATTTAAGTAGAGTCAGTTCTGGGCTGGGCAAACTATAGCATCGATCCTTTCTTCCTTCCATTCATCCAATCTGTATTCCAAGGTGGCTAACCTTGATTTGCATTTTTCTTTCTGCCCAGCATTGACCTTCCCTACCACTCTTGCCTGTGGTACAAATTAGATGATCCTGTTTCTCTACCATAGACTTTACCTCCATCATCTTGTATTCTTAGCTGCTTTTCCAGCCCTTCACAGACCCCTTGATGCTGACCCTCAGTAACCTAGACAGGTTATCAGGAACTACACTGAGGGTTAGGATACAGGGTCATTTGAAGTGGAACTCCATGTTTTGTTAATTAGTTGGCACCTGCCTTCACAATCTTTCTTCCCTCTGAATCCTCTTTAGGCCAGGTCAGGAACTAGAAAAGGTTGCTGATGCCTGACTACCTGTATTAGGATATTTATTTTTCATTCATCTACTTGGCAGCTTATCTTAATGGCATCTTCCGTCCCTCCTAAGCCTTGTTGCTTGGCAGATCTGCATACCTCTTTGGACTAAAAAACTCTTTTTCATGTGAAAAAAACCTTATGAACTCCAGTGCATTGCATTGGGCAGTAGGCATTTATAAACTGCCTACTATGTGGGGCACATTGCCCTTGGTACTCTTTCTTTACAACTTATAGCATAGAACCTTTAAATTCCTAGATTCTCATCATGTATTCATGTGTTAAAACAAACAAAACAGGAATAGCCAGGCGTGGTGGCTCACACCTGTAATCCCAGCCCTTAGGGAGGCTGAGGCAGGCGGATCACTTGAGGTCAGGAGTTCAAGACCAGCCTGGCCAATATGGTGAAACCCCGTCGCTACTAAAATTAGAAAAATTAGCCAGGCATGGTGGCGTGTGCCTGTAGTCTCACTTACTTGGGAGGCTGAGGCAGGAGGATTGCTTGAGCCTGGGAGTTGGAGGTTGTAGTGAGTCGAGAGCATGCCACTGCACTCCAGCCTGGGTGACGGGAGCGAAACCCTGTCTCAAAACAAACAAACAAACAAAAAAAGGAAAAAACTTCCGTGCCACAGGAGTAGCTTGCTCAAATGTCACAAAAATGTGTTTTTCTCCTGTAATAATTGTAGTAAATAGTGCACTGTCGTTCATAGGTTTCTTTCACGTGCATCACCTCATCCCAGGGTTTTCCCACCTTGGTACTATTGACATTTTTGGCTGGATAATAGTTGTTGTGAAGCGGTTGTCATGAGCATTGTAGGATGTTCAGCACATCCCTGTACTCTTTACCTCCTGATAGTGTACCTCCTTCCCCCCGACCCCCTGCCCCCGACTGCCGGTTGACAGACTTTGCTGAATGCTTTGGGGGAGGGGAAGGAGCACAGTCACCCTCATTGAGAAATCCCTGCCTCAGATAATGCTCACAACAATCTTGCGGGTAGGTCTTATCTCCATTTCTGCAGATGAGGAAACTGAGGCCCAGGGAGATTAAATGGCCACATGGCTAGGGCATGGCAGAAGTGAGGCTTGAGGTCATCCCCATATGTTCAGTTCTTCACTTGAGGTCCTTTTTCACCCTGCAGCTGCTGGGAATGGTGTTTCAGTGTATAAGAGAGAAGCAAGGCCAGCGGGGTGGTTCTGCAGTTGAGCTTTTACTCTTGGGAAGGGCCTTGTTCTCTTTGCCAGATGCAAGACAGCCTATCCATCATGTCTTTGAGACTCCTGGGCATCTCCCCCAGAAAGGGATGCAGAGTGAGAGATGTTTTAGCAGCAAAGCTAGAATGCCTTCTGAGTCCTGCTCTGCCTGGTTCCAGGGATCACCGGACTCAGTCACGGGATGGAGGGGGTTCTGAACTTTGCAGTCTGAGACCCCCTTTGCCAGGATACTGCACAAATCAGAGGAGAGCTGCATGACACTTCTGGCACATGTTGCTGAAGAAGCAAATCACATCTTTCGGAAATTTTATTCCCCTGTGCTCTGTGTTGCACTGACAGAGTGGAGAAGAGATTGAGGAGAATGTTCTCTTGAGCCTGAAGTTTGACAGCTCGTGTGAGTCGTGCTGGTCTGGGTAGGACTGGCAGAGCCTTGGCCCTGGTGCCTTCTGGCCCTCCTCATGGGCTGCAGCCACTCTGCCATGGTGTGGACCGACAGCGGCGCCTCCTCCCTCATCCCGCTGTGGGCAGATGCGGGGAGAGGCTCTTGCCGGTTTCCTCTCCATTGCTCATCAAAGGTAGATGATGGAGGGGCCAGGGCTGAACTGGGGAGTGGGATTGGAGGGGAGCATTTACTCTTCAGCTCTCCTTCACGTCTCTGGCTGAGAAAAGAAGTACATCTCTCTTAGGACTTCTCGACACAGACTTCCAGGGCATCGGGGATTTCTGTACAGTATGAAACTATAAATATTTTCTTCCCCCAGTGGGATGCATAGTACAGACTGGTTAAACTTGAGGAAGTGTTTTTTTAGAATCTGATTTTTGAAATACAAAAGAATGTTACTAGAGCGTTCCTTGGCATTTGAAATGAGAAAAAGACATCTATCTTTTCTCTTGTGAAATTTTTTTTGCAACTTAAATACTGACCTTGGATAACTGCTTTGATTTTCTGGTTTTGAAGCCAGTGTCATGTTGTTCATGCTTTCCTCATTACTTCTTAATAACCAAATTATATGCAGACACACCACATTAATGGAGGCAGTTCAGGAATGGAAGAAACTCGAGTATTCTTCTCAATAGTTCTATCATTGGCCTTGACCTTGAGCTGTTTCCTTCTTTTTTGTACTTGTTTCTTATTCCGTAAAGTAGATGGAGCATTTCCTTCTTGTGTTTTATAGCGACATTGCAAGGCAAGTAAATCAATACTTTTGGAGAGGCTTAATCAAAGACAGGTTCAGTAGCTATTAATATCGTGATTATAATGATGGCATGATGACGAATAGTATAATTGCCAGCTTTATGTGCAGAGTGGGGGTTGTGAGAGTTACCTGGGAGTGCTCTGCCACTGACCTCTGCTCATTTCTATGGAGAGTGAAATTTTTCTCACATTTGTTTTAATGAAGTAGAATTTTGGTTTCCTTTTTTACACGTTGGAAGCTTTTTGCTGCCCCTTTGCTCTTTGCCCCTCCACTCTATTCTCCAAAGTAACCATTCTGGGCATGTAAATGTGAATATTGTTTTCAACAAAGGGGGAAGTGGGGTCATATTTTATATTTTCTTTCCTGGTTTATTGTTTTTGTTTTTTGTTTGTATTTTTCACTTACTAGCTCTTGGAATTTTTTTCTTTCTTTTTCTTTTTGAGATGGAGTCTTGCTCTGTAACCTGGGCTGGAGTGCAGTGGTATGATCGTAGCTCACTGCAGCCTCAAACTCCTGGGCTTAAGAGATCCTTCTGCCTCAGTCTCCTGAGTAGCTAGGACTACAGGTGTGTGTGACCATATCCAGCTAGTTTTTAATTTTTTTCTTTTTGAGACAGAGTTTCACTGTGTCACCCAGGCTGGAGTGCAGTGGCGTGACCTCGGCTCACTGCAACCTCCACCTCCTGGGTTCAAATTACTCTCCTGCCTCAGCCTCCCGAGTAGCTGGGATTACAGGAATGCACCACCACACCCAGCTAATTTGTTAATTTTTAGTAGAGATGGGGTTTCACTGTGTTGGCCAGGCTGGTGTCCAACTCCCAACCTCAGGTGATCCGCTTACTTCGGTCTCCCAAAGTGCTGGGATTACAGGTGTGAGCCGGCATGCCTGGCTAAATTTTTGTAGAGAAGGAGACTCACTATGTTGCCCAGGCTGGTCTCGAACTCCTGGCTTCAGGCAATCCTTCTGCCTTGGCCTCCCAAAGTGCTGGGATTATAGGTGTGAGCCACCATACCCAGCCCAGTCTTGGAAATTTTTTCATGCCAGTGTTTGTGTATATGTATGTATATGGATCTGTCATTTAAAATGGCTGCATGATATTTAGTGGAATGCATATGTCATAAGTCTTATCCAATCTCTTGTATAACAACGTTATAGCAATCTCTTGGTGGGTATTTTTTTGGTTATATAGTAGACCCTTGAGCCTAGGAAAGGCCTTGTTATGGTATGAAGTGGTAAGGCTAGTGAGACCTAGGATTCTAGACCTAGAATTATCTCTAAAACACACAGGCAGGACCAGGAGGAATCTTCTAGTCCTGTCTTTGTGTGCGTTAGAGATAATTGCTCTGTTTTTCTGGGCTTCAGTTTTCTCGCTAAAAAGGAGGATTGGACTAGAAGATATACTCAGATCCTATTCTACTTTAAATGTTATAAATGTATCCTCAAATTGCCCATACTGTCTATATTGCTTTGTAACAAACTTCCCAAAACTTAATGCCTTAAAACTATAATCCTTTATTTAGCTCCTAGCTATGCTGGACATTTCTTCTTATCTGGGCAGGCTCATTTGATCAGTGGACAAGTGGGTCAGGGGGCCTTTTATTCCTGGATGGCCTCATTCACATGTCTGGTGATGGCTGGTTCTGTTCACATGTGACTTGGCAGAATTTCAAAAGTAGCAGGAGCAGAAGATGAAAGGCATCTTGAAGCCTAGGCTTGGAACTGACACAGTGTCACTTTGATCACAGTCTCTTGGTCAGAGCAAATGACACAGCCAGCCAGATTCAGGTGGAAAGAGCCACCAAAGTGGACCTGAGACCACCCAACTCTGAACTTTTTGCTAAGTAATGAAAGGGATCCTGAAGTTTAGGCCACTGTCAGTCAGTTTTCTGTTACTTGCAACAGAGCGGGTTCCTAACTGACATATGTCACTATTAAGGATGTGATTAAATAAAGAAGAGAAACAAGGTGTACCTTTCCTTCTGTTTCATTTTAATGTATCAGACAATATTTTAGACCATTGGCCATGCTTTTAGATGGCCTTGGACTCTCAGCTTTTGGCCAGAAATGCTTTTTCAGCTGTTCTGTGTTAATCCTTAAACCTGAGCAGGAGGTCAGAGCAGGGAACAGGCATGTGGGAGGCAGTCATTGCTCCCATTTATTCTGGGGCAGAAATGCAATTAAAAGGTTGAAGCAGCAGCTCAGGCCTAGGAACATATTATTCTTTAACCTGGTTACTTTTCGTTTTAAATGCAATAGGGCATTTGAGAGTAGTAGAGCATGAGTTTTAAAAAGAACTGACGAAAAAAGTCACTGGGTGGAACTGGAACCAGATAATGGAATTCATGTTCTTCATGTTTGAGATGAGACTCACAAAACATTTTCCACCGTGACCTTGAACTTGCCGTATGTCTGTATTTGAACTAACTGGGGGGGGCTTGTAGTGGGAAAGAGAGATGTGAAATTCTTCTAGGACAAGCAGAGAGTAACAGCAGAAGAGAAGGTAAAACGTGTGCCTGAGTCAAGGAAGGCAGTTCACCAAGAGGTAAACTTAAGACCACAAGGGGTTGTGCCGGAGTATATAGAATCCTATCACACCATGCCCAGAACCAAAGGAACAACAAAGCTTCAGGGCAGGTGTCCCCTGAAGTCAAGCCTGATTCTGCATCATCTTGTATAGCACAAACTGGCGACACCTGTGACTTTGCCTTTCCCAGGGTCCCTGCTCTCCGCTCCAGGTAGGCTCAGCCTGAGGGAGGTGCTGGCAGGAGCCTCGGAGGCAGGAGGGGCTGGCGTGCTTCACTCCTTCAGCTTGTCTTGGGAGAGCTGTGGGCTGCATCCCCCTGGCTCCTCGTCCCACAGGCAGCCCCGCTGTGTGTCTGGTCTTGCAGGTTGGCTGCAGCTTCTGGGCCCTGCTTCCAGCCCCTCTTCCCATGATCCTCCAGCCTTGGAAGGTGTAATAGTTTCCCATGTTGCTGATCTTTAGTTTGCCTCCCTCTCCTTGGCTGTTCTTTCTGCTGTTCCATCCTCTGTGCAACCAATTTTCCATATTAAATTCCCTCACTGAGACACTTCTGACTTCCTGACTGGACAAAATCTTGTTGACTCAAAATGTATTCTCTCTCTCAGTGTTGAGTGTGAAGGGGTCTATGTCTTAACCACTCATTTGGAAGACTTATTGGGAGTCAACACAGATATGGATTGGGGTAATGCCGGTGAATAGTTTAAGGAAAGGACAGCTCTGAGGAGGGCAAGAGAAGGTTTGCTACCACAGTGAGAGAAGTAATAGGCTGGGCGTGGTGGCTCACACCTGTAATCCCAGCACTTTGGGAGGCCAAGGTGGGTGGATCACCTGAGGTCAGGAGTTTGAGACCAGCCTGACCAACATGGTGAAACCCCGTCAAAGTACAAAAATCAGCCAGGTGTGGTGGGCACGCCTGTACTCCCAGCTTCTTAGGAGGCCGAGGCACGAGAATTGCTTGAACCTGGGAGACCGAGGCTGCAGTGAGCCGAGATTGTGCCACTGTACTCTAGCCTGGGCTACCAAATGAAATTCTGTCTTTTTAAAAAAAAAAAAAAAAAGGAATGGGGAGAATTGCAGATGACTTGTGAGTGGAGGCTGAGATGGGGAACCACCTGGTGGATAAATGATGTAATGAGAAAGGGGAGAATGAGACATTGGGTTGGGGGATCCTTGAAGTGACAGCCCTTTATGGATAATTGGAAATCTGAGTTATTTTGAGGACTGAGAGTGGACATTTGTGATTCTTCTGAGAAGAGGTGACAATTGAAGACACACAAAAAGTTCTTTGTAGAGAAAAGTCCGTACAAACAACAGAAGGCTGGATCTTGGGGTTCACTCATAGTTGGGGGATAGAGGAATATAGAGGACATTGATGAGCTAAAGGATGTACACTCAGATACAGGAGGAAAATTCGCATGGTTTTTCATCCCAGCTTTGAAAGGTGGGCATGCTCAGGAGCACCAGAAGCTGCAGAGAAAGAGAGGGGCATTTGGGATAAGACCTTTGGATTTGCCCAAAGGGTAGTCAAGAGAGTGGTATATGTTTATATGTGGCCACTAGCACTAGATTAATTGTTCCCAATAGGATTTATTTATTTATTTATTTATTTATTTATTTATTGAGATGGAGTTTTGCTCTTGTTGCCCAGGCTGGAGTGCAATGGCGTGATCTTGGCTCACTGCAACCTCCGCCTCCCAGGTTCAAGCGATTCCTCAGCCTCAGCCTCAGCCTCCCAAGTAGCTGGGATTATAGGCGCCCACCACCAGGCCCGGCTAATTTTTTTGTATTTTTAGTAGAGACGGGGTTTTACCATGTTGGCCAGACTGATCTCGAACTCCTGACCTCAGGTGATATACTCACCTTGGCCTCCCAAAGTGCTGGGATTACAGGCATGAGTCACCTCGCCCGGCCCCAGTAGGATTTTTTAAATTGCCATTTCTGGTCAGATGCAATGGCTGATGCCTATAATCTCAGCACTTTGGGGAGGCCAAGGCGGAGGATCGCTGGAGCCCAGGAGCTTGAGACCAACCTGGGCAATATAGTGAGATCTTGTCTCTACAAAAAATTAAAAAATTAGCGTAGTGTGGTGGGACATGCCTGTTGTCCCCGCCACGCGGGAGGCTGAGGCAGGAGGATTGCTTGAGCCTGGGAGGCAGAGGTTGCAGTGAGCAGAGATGGTGCCGCTGCACTTCATCCTGGGTGACAGAGTGAGACCCTGTCTCAAAAGAAACATAAACTTTAAAAATAGCTATTTTAAAATTTTGTCATGGTTCAGTTATTTCAAATTTGCCTTTTGCAAAGCACATGTCTCATCTTCTCCATGTCTTGACCACAGTTGTGCGGGATTCCTCTTGAAGTCAAATAAGTAATGCACAGGTAAGCCAAAGAAACCTGAAATGGTAGCAATCCATTCATGGAAAAGAGCCTGCCCTGCTGTAAATGACAGGTTTTGGGAGTCTCTGAAAAGCATCGGTTTGCCCATGTTGCCCTGTCTCTGGGTCATGCAGAGCAGTAGAGAATTTCAAATCTGGACTTGGTGGAGTGACTGCTTTTTGCCTTTTTTCTCTTTATAATGTGTGCTGTCTGGGGCTCATGCTTAGCATTTCCTCTTGGTGAAGTCTGACACAGAACCGCTTCTTACTGGATTCTGCTCTGTGTGTAATAAACAGTCAATGTTATCAGGAAGTTGAGGAATAATAGAATTCATTAGTTTAACTTTTTTCTTACTATAAAAGCACTATAATTGCACATAATAAAATGTGGAAAATAGAGGAAAGAAGATCCTGGTCTCATCTCTCTACAACAAGCACTTTAACAATTTGGAATCTCTTCTGTTGGTGGACTCACTTCCTACTTTAATAAGTAATTTTGAGTCATTGCTTCCAGTATCTCTCAGTTTTTGTCCAGTTACCCTGGGTATACAGTTCTGCCTACACGAAGAAGAAATAAGAGCAGCCTTATTATAAAATATTCTGTATGTTCCACATACCTTGTGGCATAAAGAGAAACCCTTTCAGGATGAGCAGGAGAAGATGGAGGCAGGCAGGCAGAAAGTGTTAGAATTGCCGGTGGAGGGTTGCTGGATCCTTAGGGTGTTCATTTTTATTTTCATTAAAAAAAAATTGATATGAAAGTCATTGACATAAAATACATACAATGGTTAATTTTATTGAGACAGGGTCTTGCTCTGTCACCCAGGCTGGAGTGCAGTGGCACAAACACGGCTTACTGCAGCTTTGACCTCCTGGGCTCAAGTGATCCTCCTGCCTCAGCCTCCCAAATAACTGGGGTTGCAGGTGTGCACAACCTTGACTAGCTAGTTTTTTTAAAAAACATTGTTTTGTAGAGATGGGGTCTTGCTATGTTGCCCAGGCTGGTCTTGAACTCATAGCCACTAGTGATCCTCCTGCCTTGGCCTCCCAAAGTGCTGGGATTATAGGCGTGAGCCACTGTGCCTGGTCCAAATTAGCCATTTTTAAAGAGGACAATTAAATGATGTTTAGTACATTCGTTATGTTGTATAGCCACCACTTCTATGTAGTTCCAAAACAATTTTTGCTACCACAAAATAAAACCCTGTGCCCATTTGCAGTTACTCCCCATTTCTCTTCCCTGAGCCCTTGACAACAACCAGTCTGCTTTCTGTTTCTATGGATTTACTATTCTGATTATTTCCTATGAATGAAATCATATGTGACTTTTTGTGTCTGACATCTTATTCTTTATCATAATGTTTTTGAGTTTCAACAACAATGTTGCATGTATCAATACTTCATTCCTTTTTATGGATGAATATTCCATTGTATGGATTTGTCACATTTATCAATTTATCAGTTGATGAAAATTTGAGTTATTTCTGCCTTTTGACTATTGTGCATATAGGGCTGCTATAAACATTTGTGTATATGTATTTGAGTCTGTTTTTAATTCTTTTGTATAAGGCATTAATCTTATTCCTCAGTCTTTGGGTCATAAAATATACAGGCTGAGCCAGCTTACTTGAATCATGGCAGTTCACGGTTGGAACCAACACATTTTGCTTGCTGCTAAGCAATTCTCTGCATTATAATGATTTAAGTCACAATCCCAAAGATAATACATGGGTCCCCTTTTGCCTGACTGGTGCTTTGTTACAGGAATCCTAGTTCAGCATCTTGTACCTACGGTGTAAAATGTTAGAATCTCAGCCATCTTATCATAATTGCTCATGGGGAAAAACAATCTTTGTACTACTCTGCTCATCAGCAGATCTTAGTTATGTATCCCCAGACCCTAGCATCCCTGTCCCTTGCCTCATCTGCCCTCTCTCTGCTCAGAGCATCTGGACTCATGGCTGCTGCCTGTGTTTGATTTAGAACTAATGGTCCAGGGCCACCAGTGACTGTGGAGCTGTTAACATGTGACTCCCTGAGCACGGGGTATATGTCTTGGAGATACCCAATCGTGAACTTATTATTAGATATGCTCTATTTGCAGTGTCTAGATTGGTCCTTTGTCTGGAAATGCGTCTCTGTATTCCTCAATGTAGCTCTTGATAGACTTGAGGAGGAAAGGAACTTTGCTGTTATGCCAACTGGAACTTTAACCTATAGAGAGAATAAATTGGGGCAGCAAAGGAAGGAGGGCCAACAATGATCAGAGATGTCAGATTAAAGCAAGCATACCATTTTGCCACTGTCTAGCACTCTGAAACAATGGGTATTTATTGTTTTAGATGGGTTCTCCCAGAAGGCAGAGCCTCAGGGATGAAGGCTTGGGTGCAGGAATGTCATCCCGGAAGAGTAGAATAAGGAGAGCAAGAGGAACAAAATATGGAAAGAGAGGAGGAACCCCAGGAGGTGTGCTTTTGTGCTGATTACAGCTGTGGGCAATTTAAGCCAAATCCCACTGGCTACCCTTGTAGGAACCACACAGAATGTGCTTCAGAATTCTCTACCCCAGACACAGGTAATGGGATTATCATCTCCTGGCACCCATCTCCCATTGATCAAGGGCTGCCCCAAGGTGGGAGGTAGGTGGGGTTAACTCTCTCTTGCATGCCTAGATTTGCACTTGTATGTGGCTGAACAGTTGCTGTGGACTTTCCAAACAGGCTTCTGTAGAAGAGTCCCAGGTCAGAAGGTAGGAGGTAAATAGCACAGCCAAGGCCTCATGCTGTCTGTGTACCAATAGTTGGCTCAGCAGCCAGGAGTTAAAATGTGGATTGAGAGGTGTAAGGCAGGACACACAATGTGTCCAGCACGTGTAATTTCCACATTTTTTCATCTCTCTGTTTGTCGCTGCTTATAGCCACCTCCTGTATCTAAACCTAAATCAAAGTTTTAGGAATATCCCCAAATGATAGCGTTCTATTATGGAACGTATTCTCAGCCTGGCTCTGGGTGAAGGTCATGTTTTTGTCCCCAACTCCATAACTTCTCTTTTGCTCTTCCCGTATCAGTTTTGATGGAATTAGGCCAGTTGATCCGTTAGACTTAAAGTCACTAAGTCTGTTAAAGCTGTAGGAATCCAATTAGATTTTAACACAAGATGAAACTCTTAAAAAATGAATAATTTGGACTCTTCAGCAGGTAGTAGAGTCTCTGGGGACAGGAAGAAATGAGAAAAAAACTCTCATGTACTACCATGCAAGGAGTGATAAGAGTTTAATTTTCTTCTTCATGTGCTCTAACGTCTGTTATGACAGTGACATGCTGGGTCAGAAGCCATAGTAGGAGCTTTTGTGTTTTATGTAAAGCCCAACAACTTTTCTTTTGCATTTCCTGTAAGGATCACCCTGTCTTCCTCCCTGTATTAACACAGAGCCAACTTGCTCAGGTATTGACACCTGTTAGCCAATGCCACTTCTGTAATAAGCCCAGAAGCTCTTTGCTGAGCCAGTATTTGCACTGGTGAATTGATGGAAACTGCATTCTTAGAGCTCACACATTAGGGATACTCCAGGGTTCTATGATCATAGGGCTGAGATACTTCAAGAGAAGTCCTAAGTCTTAGCTAAGGTGATATGGAGACATCATTCCTTAATCAAAACAGCGAAATCATCCACCATTATGTATACAGACCTTAAGTGTGTGTGTCATTTTAACTTTGAATCTTTACCCACCAGTCTTTAGCTCTAAAGTTCCAAGGCCCATTCATCAAGCGTAGGCTTGCTGCTCGAGTTTCTGCATCATCTCCCTGATGTAAAGCATATCTATTATGTATTACCTGTAATTTCCTGTTTTGATTTGTTTAAAGAAGAGGGCAGCCTGATTACAGAACGCTTCTAGGTTTTTAGAGATAGTTTTTACTCTTTTTTAGTTGTCATGCCTGTACCTAATTCAATGGCTGTTTTTAGCAGCTCACTTTTATTGATATTTTTCAAATTATACAGCTTAGTTTCATAAAGACAATTATTTTCATACTTTTATTGGTTTCTTTGTTATTTAAATTGTGTAATTAAAATAATAAGTACAGCAGCACAAATACAGTAGGGACTAAATACCGTTGGCTGTTAGTAAATACCCAGCTCAGCTGGTGGGGGCAGAGTGTGCAGGCATAACTAGAGAAAGGCTTTGAGTCAGCACTAGAATGCATCAGTCAGTAGGTTTTGGAAGAAATGTGGTGGGACATCCAATTAGTTGGTTAAATTGAGGATATTGAAAGCATCTACTACAGCTTTTCTAACTCTGCTACCTGAAATCCTGAGATGGGGCAACACAAATATCTTCTCATTTAAAATAGCCTAAGCCTCGCCTGGGTTGTTTCTAATGGCTCCATCCACACACTTTCTGCAGATTTCAGTGACTGGAATGACAGCAGCCTAGTGCCTAAACCACAAATACTGCTAAAGATCCCCTGTCTTGAATTCATTGGTAAAAATGGAGAGATCTGAGAGTGAGTCAGGCGCTTTCCTTTGTGCTTCAGAAATTAGTAGAAAAATAAGTAAATAAAAATAAGTAAATGAATCTTGTTGGCTCTGTTTACTCAAGTCCTGTGTCTGGATTCAGGATTCTTAAAAGTCCAAGACAGGATCTAAACATATTTGTGTTTTAAAAATAAGCCTAGGCCAGGTGCGGTGGCTCATGCCTATAATCCCAACACTTTGGGAGGCCGAGGCGGTGGATCACCCGAGGTCGGGAGTTTGAGACCAGCCTGACCAACATGGAGAAACCCCGTCTCTACTAAAAATACAAAATTAGCTGGGCGTGGTGGCACATGCCTGTAATCCCAGCTACAGGGGAGGCTGAGGCAAGAAAATCGCTTGAACCTAGGAGGCGGAGGTTGTGGTGAGCCGAGATCACGCCATTGCACTCCAGCCTGGGCTACAAGAGCGAAACTCCGTCTCAAAAACAACAAAACAACAACAACAACAACAACAAGAAGCCTAACTTAGTGTTAGCATAAGCCTGTGAGCCTACAGTTTATTTCTGCTTTGGCAAAAGTGCCTTACTGGGAATTAGGGAGGGGTTAAATCTAGGTATATAAGACACCTGTGTATGTGTTCCATACTTATAAAAAGCACAGGAGAAAAGAAGAAGCCAAATATCAAGAGCTTCTAAGGTCCTGGCCAAATACAGTGTTTTTAGGAAAATTGCCTCATGGACGCACGACTTATAAGGTTTCTGTAGCCTCCTGTGGCTATCACTGTAGGTGGGTTAGTAAGGTGCTATCTAGCCAGACTTCCTGTGTTATTAGCAAATCTTGCATTTTTATCTTAACTTCATCAGCAATACCAAGCTTGGAATAGTAATTAGTGGGATTTATTCCACAGCTCCTGTAGGAGTCTGCACGCCGCTTGGGCATGTTGATGATGTCGTGATTTAATTTTTTTAGCATGAAACATTTGGAAACACAAGTAGGCGTGCCCTTTTGAGCTTGGCATTTTTGTGCCTGAGCATTTGGGAAGGAGATAATGATCTCTTAGTAGACAGGAGTGCTCTGTCAGAGATTAGTTATTGATTTTAAGAAAAATCAAATTTGCTTCTTGAAATGTTCTCAGAATGACATTGGACTTCCCATCCCATGGCTGGTTTGACCCACTGGTAGGAGACAGATGTTTAAATATAAAATAGGAGCCCTTGTCCCCATGTTCCAGAGTGATCATTTATAGAATTCCTCAGCACGCACTCGCCTTTTGTTCTATGATTCATTACTGGCATAAAGTATCTTCTGGGTCGATTACAATGAGACGTGAGAAGAAATAGAGCATAGAATAAATCATGAAAAGCCCATCTTCAGGGCAGTAGTAATATAATTTTATGATGAAAATTATCCAGTTGAAATGATCCATTCCATGTAGACCTAAGTAAATTGTATGCAAATAACAATTTAATACCTGACTATGACCCTGAGGAGAAAGCTTATTGAAACCCATTCTTCTAATTTGCTTGTCATTCTCTGTGTCTGCATGAGCCTTAGGTGGTACCAGGCATCTGGCTTGCCTGGCTGTTGTCTGTAATTTCTAATTCAGGAACTAGTCTCTCCCATCCCTAACCTGTTGACCTCAACTCCATATTGCTCTATGCTTTGCTCACTTCCACCTCTGCCACACTGTCCATCTTGCTCAAACACACCAAGTGAACTCTCACCCCAGGGCCTTTGTGCTCTGTTGAGATTCTATGTAGAATGCTCTTACCCAGATAGCCTGGCTCACTCCTTTACTTCGTTGACATCTTTAATCAAATGTTACCTTCTCATGAAGCGTTCTCTGGCCACCTACCTAAAATTGGAAAGCCTCCTCAAGTTTTTTTTCTTTTTTTCTATCCCTGCTTCATATTTCACCTATTTGTCTTTTTAGGGGGTGGTGGGTGGGGAGGAACTCTTTCTCTCACCAGGATGCCATTTCTGTGAGGACAGGAATATTTGTTTTGCTTATTGTTGTACTTTGTTCCTGAGAGCAGTGCCTGGCACATAGTAAATGTTTATTAAATACTTGCTGAATCTCTGAATAATGTGAGTCAGTTGATGTTGTGCCAGGTTGCTTTTTGGACATTTCATGTTTGTGTATGATAAGTGTGGTGGTATGTATGTCTTTTCCAGACTCTTCTGCCTGTTTGGAAAAGGAGAAGAGATAATAATGAATCAGTGTTGATATTTTTAAAATTAGGTTTTCAGGGAAGAGGCAGTGGTTTAACCGGTGATAAAAATTGAGGTTGGGGGGATTTATTGCTCTTTATTTACTGCATTCATAGCTTTTGCAAGGTGAGGCCATGTATCAAATTCAACAGAATACACCATGGCTGGTTAGATACCATCTCTGGCCTGAGAAAGGCCATCCTTGAGGGGAAGCAGTAAGCTGTGGAGACAGATGATTCCTGAGTAATGCACATTAAATGCTATGCGGGGTGTAGTCTACATTTTGTTTTTGACATCTGTATACATACTGCCCATCAAACATTACTCCTGTTATTAGGAATAGTTAATTAAAAACCATATAAACAATTTAAAGTATTAGCTCCATGTGGTTTAGCTCTAATGAGCTTATTGTTTAAGTATCTGAGAATTAGTATGCTATATTGGCCTTTGATATTAAAAAGTAATTTTTTTCGAAGATGCTAACTCAGCTCCCAGTTATGGTGTTCCATAGAGAGTTGTGGTGACTTTTTTGGACCTCAGTTGAAGAGAGCTGAGTGACTTACCTCAAGTGAGGCTGTGAATCCTCATGTCCTCATCACCTTCCAAGGCCCTACCACCTAATAGCATCACTTTGGGGTTAGGATTTCAATATATGAGGTTTTTTTTTTTTTTTTTTTTTTTTTTTTTGACAGAGTCTTGCTCTGTCGCCCAGGCTGGAGTGCCGTCTCGTGATCTCGGCTCACTGCAGGCTCCGCCTCCCGGGTTCACGCCATTCTCCTGTTTCAGTCTCCCAAGTAGCTGGGACTACAGGCTGCCGCCACCACGCCCGGCTAATTTTTTTGTATTCTTAGTAAAGACGGGGTTTCACCGTGTTAGCCAGGATGGTCTCGATCTCCTGACCTCATGATCCGCCCACCTCAGCCTCCCAAAGTGCTGGGATTACAGGCTTGAGCCACAGTGCCCGGCCACAATATATGAGCTTTTTTAGCGGGGAGGGGACACAAATATTTAGACCGTAATATGCACATATATGTATGTGTTTGTATGTGTGCGTATTTCCATTGTGGTTTTGTTAATATTTGTATCTGGTTGGATGAGTTCTT
This sequence comes from Homo sapiens, assembly GCF_000001405.40. Lineage (NCBI taxonomy): Eukaryota > Metazoa > Chordata > Mammalia > Primates > Hominidae > Homo > Homo sapiens. The sequence goes on along the minus strand of NC_000003.12, from coordinate 31,838,092 downwards.
CCCTTTTGCTCACATTTTCAAAATTAACTTGATCTTTCATGAAGCTTTATTCTTCTATTTACGTATTAGAATAAATTTGTTGAGTTGCTCAAAAAATCCTGCCGGAATTTTTATTACAATAATTATAAAGCTAATTAGAGAGAACTGACATCTTTACAACATTAAGTTGTCTCATCCATTTACCTGATATGTGTATTTCCATTTTCTCAATTCTGCATTGATTTCTTTTCATGGATTAAATTTTTTTTTTTCCTCTATAAAGGTCTCATATACTCCCTATTGGGTTAATACTTGTACATCATAGTTTTTATTACTATTGTGAATGATATCTTATTTTCTATTTTCTGATTGGTTATCGTTGATATGAAGGAATGCTATTGGTTTTTCTAAATTCATCATATATCTGGCAACATTGTGAGACCCATTGATTTTTTTTTTTTTTTGAAATAAAACAGTCACATCTACAGTGATTGTTTTCTAGTCCTATTTTGTTGGCTAGTGCTTCCAGGAAACAGTGGTAGTGGAATTCTTGTTTCTAATATTAAAAGGAATGAAGCTAATTTGTTAAAACTTAAATATGACTTAAATATGATGGTTACTGTAATTTTTTGCTTTGTAACCTAATTAAGAAAATTTCTTTTTATTCCTTGTTTTCAGATTTTTTCTCTATTAAAATGGCAATTCAGCATTTAAAGGTCTCTGTGTTATGTTACTTACTATATATATATATATATATATATATATATATATATATATATATATATATATATAATTTGGGGATCTGTAATTCTAGGAATATAGCACACAGTTGCCCTACTTTCAGAGGTGTGTTGTGTGTTTATGATGATAGGTGGTTAAATTGAAGTTTTGGGTAAGAAGAAAGATAAAAATGTGTAACAGTTATCAGCTTTCCTCCTTTCTATCAACTATTTTAAAGTGTGCCCTGTGTTAATACTATTTTGGATGATGAGGTCTTTATTTAATTGTGAAGGCCCAGCTGAAGGGGCTGAATCTCTAATCAGGTGTTTTCTGAGTTGAGTCTTGAATGAGATTTATAATTTGGGCCTGAGTTTTGAATGATTCATTTACCTTTTGGGAGCTGTAGACTTTAGATCTATAAAAGGAAAGGACTAGCCTAGACTTATGTCTTGAGATTCCATCTAGCTCTAAAATTGCATAGTTCCAAAGCATGAGAAATGCAGTGAATTGAGCTTTGTCAGCAGAAAGACAATTTTTCATGTTTTCAAAATAAAGCATCCAAAAGGAGTCTTGGTACTTGGAATTGCAAGGCCCCAAGCAAATGGTGTGGATGGAGGATGCAAAGTGGAGAAGGTGGAAGGTTTTGAAGTCACACTTGACACTTCTGGGTGGATCTGTGGAAAGTGGAGAAAAAAGGGTGGTGTGCGATAAGGGGGTCAGATGCCCAAGGACAGTGCTTTCAGTTGACTTGGGACCTTCAGGTTTGCCCTGGAGACTGGCTAGGGATTCCAGAGCAGTTGAATTAACTGTTAAGGAAGAGTCAGCAGGATTTATTGGCAGGGGGGTAGAGGAGGGGGGTTAGATGATTGGTGGATGGGAGGAGTTGAAAATGATGGGGGAAAAAAGCGCAGAAAATGTCAAGTTTTGTTTCCCACTATTTGCAGGAAATGAAATATATGCATTTGCTTGTGACAATTTTTCAGAAATCTGGCATTTGCGTGCATACTCATAGATTCAGGACAGTGTGTTTAGAAGCAGGCTAGAGACTTCGTCTCTGGAAGAACCACGATTTTTCATTTGCACACACATTTGCATGCATTTATATTGCCATTTGAGAGGGTATTGGTATAAAGTTAGTGAAAAATGTTTAAGATATATTAAAGATTTGAAGATGGCAATGGAAGAAATTTTCTATGCCTGGTTACTTAATGTTGAAACTCGTATTTCTGGATGAAAACAGGAATTTGGAAAAGTAGAGAGAGCTGGAACAAATTTGAAAAGCTAATCATGGAAATGAACTTGGAAAATTTCCCAGTTTTAAGAATCTTACTTCTACTTTAGGTCTGTTTAAGCTTGAAAGAATAGACAACTAAAAAACAAAAAGCAATGCAAATGAGGAGGTCAATATGAAGCAATTAAGCAAAATACTGGAATAGATTCATTTAAAAAGCAGTTCACATTTTATTCGGAGGTTGACTATCAGGAAAGTGAAATTCCAGCTAATTTTAAGGCCCTCAATATACTGTTTTAAAAATTGTTACGCTTTTTCTTTTTGTTGATTTTGAAGTATATTTACTTTTAGAGGAAAAGGATTTTTATCCTTAGCTTTCACATATTTAGATATGGCACAATTTTTTTAGAGGAAGAGAAGAAATATAATCAAATGATTTTAGTTGGTTAAATTTGTTTTTCAAAATACATTACCAGACTTGTTTGATTTTTTTCTGTTTGCCTTGGGCTATTTTTTTCTGAAATATAGTATCTTTTTTTCCTCCTTGCTGTGAAGGAATTCAAGGAAGTGAGGAAAATATGTTCCAAAGTAAATGTCATTTGAATGTTGTTACAATTAGTGGACGCTCAGAAATTTTTCACATCAGAAAAATTTTCTACAGTAGAAGTGGTTGTGTCAAATGTCTATTTGAAATCTTAAACCCCCTTCCCTCCCTTGCCTCCTTTTAATTCTAGCTCAACAATTACAAACTTTTGATACATGTCTTAAGAGGTTTTGAGGACCAGCTGATCTTTTCTATTTGGAACTTTGTTTATCGCAAGTATTAAGGGAAACTTTCCATTAGTTTAAATACTAATTATTTTTTTGGGTAACCCATGTAGATTGGATTAATTTATAGGGAACTTTGCTTTCTCTAACAGGTGGGTTTCTGAAAATGTGAAATCATATTTTAAGAGCATTTTTTTTCTCCGAAGCAAGTGGTTTTTTAGTAATTAGGATGACTGTCTTTTAAAGTTAAGGAAGCCTTAAGACTGTGACTACTTAAGATACCAAGGACCAAAATGGCCATATAGTTCATTCAGGAACCACTTAACAACCATTCCCCTATAATGAGGCTTGAAGACCTCATTTTATTAATTTATTAATGATAGTATTCATTGCATACTTTATGACACATGCTTTATGTGTCTTTTCTCATATCATTCTCCAACAACCCAATGAAGTAGGTAATATTAAACTTTAGAATGGAAGACACCTACATTTTCTAGGTTACACAGCTTGCAAGTGTTGGAGCCCAGATTTGAACTCAGGCAGTTGACTTGAGAAGGTGTGCTCTTAATCACTCCCCACACTGTCCATAGTACTGGGTGGGTACAGGGCCTGTGGATGGTCCAGTGCTTGTTGCCCTAAGCTTTCTCACACTAGGCTTCTATCTCCCAGGCTTGTTACCCGATTACCTTGATTGGACAGATTCTTTCTAGTGATTCCTCTCCTTTTCCAAGCACCCCTTTCCCAAATGGCAGTTTTGGCCAGTAGATTCAAAGCATATGTGTGTTTTGTCTTCTCTTTGCAACCTTGGGAAATTTAGGAATCATTCAATGAGAATGTAGGGAAAGACCAAGAGGCCTGTGTGATTATGTGCAGATGCCTGGACAGGCTCTGAGCATCAGCACTTGGTCTCACCTGCTCCCACACTCTTTTTTGCTGTCCCGCATCATCAGCCAGGTGCTTACGAAGCAAGGGGACATAAGGAGTAGCCAGATGAACACTGATGGCTGTGTGAGGGACGATTCTCCTAAGCAAAGGATGAAGAAACTTGCTCTCGACTCCGAATTTTCCACAGATGGCACACTTGGTGTTTCTAGTTGCCCCCATTGAAGTAAATATTTGGAACAAAAACCTGCCATGTTGTTTCTCAGACTCTGTTAATATTTTAAATTAATAGCGAAGATAGGCTTTTATGACATGGAGGCATAATTTTGAAACAAAACCTGGAGATTGTAGACAGGTTGCCTTTTGGAAACACAGCCTGCTCATTTATAGTGCTTGCAATTTGCTGCCTTTTCTCACTTGTTCTTGTAATGACTGATTACCTGTGGGATTTATGAAGGGTAAGACTTTTTTGCTCATGTTTATCCTGAAAGAAGGCATGGATGTGAATTACACTGTGAAAATCCCCAGTTAATGGAAAATTAAAGGTTTTTTGACTCAAAGTTACTGCTTGTAAATTCAAATGACAGCCATTAAGTAATTACGATCATGGTTTTAGACATCCACCGTGGAATAATTTTGCTCTTGGGTGAATCTGATTTATTGCCATTCATGGTGATACTGCTACAGGCAAAGGTGTCTATTGCCAGAGCTGTCTTCCTCACTGATTTCTGAAGAGTCCTCATTTCTACTCAGAATTAGAAGAGAGAGAGAGTGTGTGTGTGTGTGTGTGTGTGTGTGTGTGTGCGTGTGCGTGTGCGTGTTTTCCCTACAATCTTGATATTTAATGGCTGACCCTGTAAGTATTTAATTATGTTTTGGGCTTCTGACCAGTCTGACCTTGTAGAAAATAAGAAGGTCAGTGACTCAGCGACTGCTTATGATTTTGTGCTAAGCAACTTCTTAACATTTTAAAAATCCATAAGGTTTTCATTGTTCAAGTTTTCAGTGATATTAAGAAACAAACTTTGTCCATGCAGCTTCTGCATGTCAGGCACTGTGCTAAGTATTGTATATGCATAATCTAATTTAAACTTCATGGTGACTTTTAAGGGTCAATATTATTATTTCTCTTTTTAAAGATTAGGAAATTGATGTTTAATGAGAAAACTTAAATAACTCACCCCAGATCACATGGCAAGAGCAGGGGTTTGGTAGGGGAGGAGTGGGGGGATAGAGGTGTGTGTATGAAGAATGAAACTTATCTGTCTGGCTTCAAAGCCCAGGGAAAAATCTGCCTTTTCCTGGACTGGAATAAGCCTCGCTGACAGTCAAAATATATTTCAGTGGACTCTTAATACTTAGGCAAATTTACTGTTATTAAAGAAATATCCTCTTTCTCCCTCTACTCTCCAAGTGAAAAGATTGAAGCTGAAAGTAGGTGATTATTATATGGTTATTTCCTATCTTTATCTGCATTCCAATTCATTATGTCCAAGTCAAATCCAGAGAATCTTTACAATCTGCGGTATTTCAAGGTAAACCCAAACTCTGATTTCTACCCTGGCTCTCGCCCCACTCCTTCATCCCCTGGTGATCTGTAAAACGATGGATCATTAACATTTAACAGTTTTTAGAGCTGTGCCTGTTAGCCGAGGCCTGAGGCTAAGACTACCTAGGGTATCCAGACTGTTGGGTTGCTATGTAGTGTGCTGCCTTGCCTGTCTAGCTTCCCAAAGCCTACTCAGGCTTCAGGCCCATCACCCTTGGAACATCCTGCCGTGATGAGATGAGCTCACTTCTTTGACATTTTCTGGCTGTATTGCCAAATTAGCCCCTGTTATGCACCATCTTGTAAGTGTGCATCTGTGTATGTTTCCCTCCGTCTGTCTCTGTATATGTGCATCTTACATCCCCAGCAATATTATAGGTATCTATGGTGAAAAACTGTCTCATACATTTTGTTTTCTTCCTGACACTACACAGTAGATATTTTCCTAGGCACATAGTAGGTATTCAGTAAATGTTTGAACTGTAGGAACTAGATGATTTCCACATTATCTAACTTGCCTTTTCTCAAGCTGAGATGAAGTATAGGAACAATTAGAATGTAAATTTTATGCAAAATTAAAATGTTTTCAATAGGGAATACATACGTATAGTTCAAAGTGAAAGAATATAAAAAGTAGACAGTGAAAAAATCTCCCCTCTTCACTGTTTCTATCCTCTCATTCCCTGCTTCTCCACAAATAAGCAGCCACTTTATAGTTTTATATGTATCCTTCCACAGTATGTTTGTTTTAAACAAATAATTTTCAACAAGCTAAATAACAAAAATACTTATTTACCTCATGTTGGAAAAGCTATATTTTGCATACTATAGATCAATTATGTGCCTTCCTTCACTTAACTGTATAGCTGAGAGATATTTCCAGATCAATTCATAGAGACCTCTCTCATTATTCTCTTACAGCTTGGTAGTATTCCATTACATAGATGTACCATAATTTATTTAACCTGTCCCATGCTGACGGACATTTGGGTTGTTTTCTGTCCTTTGCCATCAGGCATAGTGCTGCGGTGACTAACAGGGACATATAGCATTTCACCCAGCTGCAGGTATGTCTGGAGGATACATTCCCAGACACGGGATTGCTGGAGCCAGGGGGAGATGTGTTTGTATCTGTGATGGGTCTGCTGATTGCTGTTCTCAGGGTTTTGCCACCTTTTTTACCTCCACAAACTCGTTTCTCTGTGGCCCTGTTGACAGATTGTGTACTCAGACTTTTGAATTTTTGCCAATCTGATGAGTGAAAGATGGTTATCTAAAGTAGTTTGAATTTACATTTATCTTCTGAGTACAGTTGAACATATTTTCCTATGTGTTAAAAGCCATTTATATTTCTTTTTTTGTAAGCTGTCTTCATACCTTGGCCCATTTTAATAATTATTTCCAGCTCTACATTTTTCCTAGTTTATAGTTGGGCTTTGCTGGTGGTCGTAGTGGGGTATTTTGTTGGTCTGTTTGTTTCCTTTGCAGAAATTTCCAGTTTTTAGGTGATCAAATTTATCAAGCTTTTCTTTTTTCTTTTCTTTTTTTTTTTTTGAGACGGAGTTTCGCTCTTGTTGCCCAGGCTGGAGTGCAATGGCACGATCTCGGCTCACTGCAACCTCCGCCTCCTGGGTTCAAGTGATTCTCCTGCCTCAGCCTCCTGAGTAGCTGCGATTACAGGCATGTGCCACCATGCCTGGCTAATTTTGTACTTTTAGTAGAGATGGGGTTTCTCCATGTTGGTCAGGCTGGTCTTGAACTCCTGACCTCAGGTGATCTGCCCGCCTTGGCCTCCCAAAGTGCTGGGATTACAGGTGTGAGCCACCGCACCCGGCTAAGCTTTTGTGGTATAGCTTTTGGATTTCAAAGTGTTAGGCCCATGGTTATGTGTTTTCTTCTAGTACTGTTTGTTTTTCTTAAATCTTTGATCCATTCGAGATCTGTGATCTGAGAGATGAATCCAGCTTTGTTATTCAGATGGCTTCCCAGTTATCCCAACATTTACTGAAAAATTCATCTCCACTAAGTTGAGATGCCATCTTTATCATAAACTAGATTGTAATTTGGATTATATATTACCACAGGATGAAATGTAAACACTGGACTAACAAATGAGGAATACTTGGTGGACAGCTTAGTTCGTGCATATAGATGACATTATTAAGCACTTAATAAATTAAACAATTGTGATGTGCCAGGCCTTGGGGATATAAAGATGAGCATGAAAGCATCTCTTAAGAAAGTAACTGGATAATCAATATAATCTTGATGCAGTGGAATAAGAGCAGCAGAGAGGCCGAGAAAGCCAGGGAGATGCTTCACAGAGCAGAGAACACCATGCTGAGTTTGAAGGTTCAGCAGAGGCTGACCAGCCACAGAGGAAGGGCATTCTAGGAACAGGAAATAATAGGTAGAGAGGCAGAGCTCCATGAGCGTCCATGGTGTGTGGGTCGGGGACGGTGGGGGGCAGGATTTTGAATAGCTGTTCATGGCCATAGCGTAGGACAGGAAGCACAATTGGAGATGAAACCAGAAGGGCAGCTAAGGAAGGGCAGTTCAGTGAGTATCTGTGGGATTTGGGCATGCAGTGTTGTTATACCTCCTTCATACCTTCAGCTCCCTAAAGAGAGGAAGGGGAAAGATGAAGAGGTCCAAAATGAATAGAAGCCAACACTTAGTTGTGTTCTGCAGGTCAGTTGTTGAGTTTTGACACCTGTTGCTTATTCTAGAGTGCTCCAAGCTCCCGAAGCCGAAGTCTCACTTTGCTCCCACATGGAACACCCAATTCTGCGTCTCCCTGTAGCCAGAGACACCTCAGTGTGGGGGCCCCCGGTGTTGTCACAATCACGCATCACAAGTCGCCTGCAGCCGCCCGAAGAGCCAAGAGTCAGTATTCCGGCCAGCTTCACGAAGTCAGAGAGGTAGGCTTTGCTCTCCTACTAGGTTAAGCAGCCCCGGGGAGTTGGGGGCTGTGACAGTCGCTCTGCCGACTCCTCTTCCTTTGCGCCGTCTTGATTTATGGAGAGAGGACCAGCAGCAAACCTCCCAGCCACACGGCTGTGACGGTCCTTCCTGGTTTAAAAAAAGTTAATTGTTCCTATTTCTTAGGTTAAGTGAATTGTTAGGAGACTACTCTGAGAACTCGGAAAGCAGAGAAAGCAAGCCTACAAAAATATGGATGTAAATGAAGTACAGTTAAATCCACGCTCATAGCAAAGACTAGGCCAAACCTCATGGATAATAAGAAAATAACTTTGGGTGTTTTGAAACTCAGGAAGTGCTAGACATAACGCAGATACCCCCTGTTTTCTGCCCTGCTTCACTTTCTTTCTCTCCTCTCCTGCTTCCCCTCATAGACACACTCCAAGGGGAGGGTTGGGTAGTGAAAAGAATACTGTCCTTGAAGTCAGAAGACTTGTTTAAGAGCAAGTCTTCTGACAGCCCCGAACCTCAGTTTCTACACCTGTAAAATGGAAATAAAACAGGCTTTGCCAGCCTTCTCTGGGGAAATAGGATCATTTGTGACAATGAAAACTCTTTAATTGTGCCTTATAAAAGTGAGGCGAGGTTATGTTTAAATTTCGCTTTTGATGCACTGAGAAGTCATCAGTTTGGGGATCCCAGATCCTTAGTATCCCTGTCATCCTCTGCAGCTGTTATAGAGAACAGACTCTCAAATAAATGATGGTGGTTTTGGTTGCCTACTTCCTTTGAGTGCTGAGGTTTTTTGCTCTGCAGCTTACTTGGGTACAGACCAGTTTGCTTTCCTCTTAGAGAAAGTGGCAGGGCTCTTCCTCCGTGTCACACAGAATGAGACTCCTCGACTAGGGTCTTGCCGCTGCTTGAGTTAGCATGCGTCTGGCTTTAGTTTTTAAATGTCACAAGCCAGGTAGTGCTCTGTTAGCTGACTATCTTGGTTCTGAATCTGGCCCAGGAAGGACAGTCTGAAATCCGAATCAAATCTGTAGATGCATATGAAAGACAATTTTTTTTTCTTGAAAGATTTTACATGTATATACTGTGTCTTGCCTAATAAAGAAAAAGTAGAGAGTCAGAATTCTATTGGAATTTTCAGGTAGAATGCTTACTTTGAAATAGTCACCCTGATGTGTTAAAAAGGAAAAACTGGGCCGGGCCTGGTGGCCCATGCCTGTAATCCCAGCACTTTGGGAGGCCAAGGTGGGTGGATCACTTGAGGTCAGGAGTTCGAGAGCAGCCTGGCCAACATGGTGAAACTCCATCTCTACTAATAACACAAAAATTAGCTGGGCATGGTGGCGCGTGACTGTAGTCCCAGCTACTTAGGAGGCTAAGGCAGGATAATCGCTTGATCCTAGGAGCGGGAGGCTGCATTGAGCCAAGATAGCCCCAGTGCACTCCAGCCTGGGCAGCAGAGTGAGACTGTGTCTCAGAAAAAAGAAAAAGAAAAAGTAGCTATTAGCTTAATTGTGTTACGTTAGTTGATATGATGAATGATTGTGCACAGGTTTATATTTCTTTTCATTTTCTTAGCACCTTTTCAAAACATTGTATAATGGAAAATTTTCAAATATATGCAAAATAGAATAGTAATGCAACCCTATATCCATCACCTTACTTTAACAATTCCAACTTTCCATTGTTCTTGTTTTATCTGTTTTTATTTCCCCCACCACTTTATTTTTCCTGCTAGAGTATTTTAAAGAATAGTTAAGTTTTATAAAAAGTTCCTGTTAGATAAATACCATTACATTAACTGGCAGTGATAAAATGACACAACACTTAACTATGATACCATCATTTCACTTTTATGTAGACCTCATCGCAGATTAGTTTATAAGTAATTTGAGACCATAACCTTGAACAAAGGCAGTTGAAAGTTTATGGTATTTTGATAATATTCTTTATTGTATTATAATGAATCTCTGTGGACTTACTGTTATAAATGATAGGAAGCCTGTATGTATGAAAAAAAAATGTAGGACTTGTGTGTAGTGAGCAGTGACCTAAATAAAAGTTGAGGTACTTTAGCATGATTAATTAGTAGCGTTTGATTCAACAGAATGTTTTCTACCTTCATTTAAAAAGAATTCAAATTTTTAAAATAAGTATGGCTTTTGTGTATGGGTGTACAAAGAAGTTTTATTTATATAAATTCTATAATGCAAGTTTATATTGCAAAAAATGTATAAAGAAAATTAAAATTACCTACAATTGTACCTCCCTACAGATAACCACTGTTAACCTTTCAGTGAATTTGCTTTTGGGTTTTTTTCCCTGTGTATTACAGATGTAGATACGTAAAAATCTATACAGAGCAATCTAAAAAAAATTTTTTTTTTTTTTGAGACAGAGTCTCACTCTGTTGCCCAGGCTGGAGTGCAGTGGCTTGATCTCAGCTCAGTGCAAGCTCTGCCTCCCGGATTCATGCCATTCTTCTGCCTCAGCCTCCTGAGTAGCTGAGACTACAGGCATCCACCACCACGCCTGGCTAATTTTTTGTATTTTTGGTAGAGACGGGGTTTCACCGTGTTAGCCAGGCTGGTCTTGATCTCCTGACCTCGTGATCCGCCCACCTCAGCCTCCCAAAGTGCTGGGATTACAGGCATGAGCCACTGCGGCTGGCCAGAGCGATCTAAATTTTGTAAATGAATACACGTATGCTTTTTTTTTTCCTTTATCGTATTGTTTTTTCTCTGTTGTCTATCTGTTGGGGAAAGCTATTGAAATTTTCCATAGAGTTTCATGATATGAAAAATAATTAGGTGAAGCCAGGTCCGGTGGCATGCACCTGTAATTCCAGCTACTTGGGAAGCTGAGGTGAGAGGATTGCTTGAGGCCAGGAGTTCAAAACCAGCCTGGGCAACATAGCAAGACCCCATCTCAAAAAGAAAAAAGAAAAAGTAGATGAAATGCCTCTATAGCCATTTGGTTTGGCTTTTGTACTCTTGGGTGACAGTATATTTCTTCAGCTTCTTGCTTTTTGTATATTGATAACCTTTATTACTCAAAATTTAAGTAAGATTGTTGACATATAAGTGCCAACACTGGTAATGGAGAGAATTTTAGGGTGCCGAGCCCCTTTAGGAAGAGTTTAAAGTTTCAGTCTTCAGACACCATGTCCACCTTCACTCCTGATGGGAGATGAGTAGCTGTTCTTTGGAATTTGTCATTTTGTGATGTGGCCAGGTCCACCTTGGGAGCTATCCGAGCAAATTGCACTCATAGTAGAAAGTTCCGCAGTTATTAATTTCAGAGCATAAAGGCCACTGCTTTAAGGTTCCACTGTATTTATCTATAAAATAACGAGAAGAAAATGGAATAGGATTTTTAACCCAGCTGTTCAGGGAAGATAAACTTATGACCACAGAAGCAATGGAGAAAATCATCATACACAAGACAGATGTGCCTGAATATCAGGAGAATAAAAGAGAAATAGCCCAGCCAAAGGCAATAGAATAAACAGTAAATGGAAAGCTACAGCATTGGTGAAAATAATGGGACAGTTTGAAAGATTAAATGGTTATCCAAAATATGAGGAATTGAGATACCAAAGGTCGGAACCCAGCATCCTCTCAGGAAGTGGTTAGGAGAGATGAGTATAGGGAATTTCAGAGACAATATCATCAGGAGGAACAGACATATTCTCTCTAGCAATTCAAGAAATGAAAATTAAGGCAACTGTTTGTGAAATTATCAGAATTAATTCTAGCCCATTATTGGTGGGGTATTAAGAAATGTTGACTGTGCTGCAGATTGTCTTTTTGCTACAATCTGGTGATGTATAGTAAGAATGAAACATAAACCAAACTGCATTGCCAGTGACCCATAAATTTCCTGCTGGGAATCATACCTGAGGAAACAATTTATGGAACTGGGGCTAGGAGGAAGAAAATTAATTTGGATAAAGCTATTCATACTAATAAAGGCATAGATTCAATACAAGACATTAAGGGAATGACTAAACAATAATACATTTTAGATTCTAAATCACTATATAGTAATTTAAGATAAGAGTCATGTCGGTATTATTACTACATGGACATGTATGCATAAAATGAGTAGGAAAATAACTATACAGAATAATATATGTACATTGGACCCTATAGTCATCTTAATAAGCTCCAGAAGTTGTTTAAGACAGTGGTTCCCAGAATTTTGGATTTTACTTGCAAACGAAGTTTTAGAAATAGAATTTTGGGAGTAACATAGTATTGCTATTTTAAAATTTACCCAGAAAGGACATTTTGAAAGTAGTCATAATCTCTGGTTTCCACTATCTCATAAAAACATCTTAATGCCCCCAAAAGGAATATAATCTCAGAATAAAGAGTCATTTATTGCATTGAGTAAGAAGTCTTATGGGGCTGGGTGCAGTGAATCACGCCTGTAATCCCAGCACTTTGGGAGGCGAGATGGGAGGATTGCTTGAGTCCAGGAGTTCAAGACCAGCCCTGGCAACACAGACTCCATTTCAACAAAAAATTTACAGATTTGCTAAGTGTGGTGGCTCATGCCTGTAGTCCCAACCACTCAGGAGGCTGAAGTGGGAGGATTGCTTGAGCCCAGGTGTTTGAAGTTGCAATGAGCAACGATTGCCCCACTGCACTCCACCCTAGGCGACTGTGCAAGACTTTTTCTTAAAAAAAAAATTCTTGGACTGGAAGATACTTCCTTGTGGATTGATTCTGGCCTGTGCATCTGTGTTTCCAGTCTGTCTCCTCCATTGCCATTGTCAATCACTCTTTGAGTTCATGCCTTGCTCTATCTCCAGAAAACCACCTTCCTAAATAGGAACATTTTATCATGTCACCTTTCTGCTCTTAAAGCAAACAAAAAAATCCCCAAACCTTTTTGATTCCCCACTGTCCATAGGATAAAGGTCAAACTCTCCTGGGTGGCCCACAAGCCCAGCTTCCTGCAGTGTGCACTCCTCCATCCCCCAACCCTCAGTGCCCCTTCTTGTCCTCACTGGGGACTTAGGACCTCCTCTGTTGGGAGGCCCATTGCTCAGCAGAACTTTCTGCCAAAACAGAAATGTTCCATACTTTACTTGATATGGAAACATTCATATCTTGGCTCCACTAGGAAACAGTTGAGCGTACAAGAAGGCTTAAGATCTATGATGGTGATGCAGGAGGTTTTATCGAGTGAGATGGGATGATATACCCGCAACTGCAAGATATCCGCTGGCAAACAAGGAAGAACCCAGAAACAGCCAAGGAGGAGAAGCGCAGACAGATGGCACTTCCAAAGCAAGAGAAAGCACTGATTGATGAATGATGTGAAGGCTTTGGTGGACAATGGCCAGAGCACAGATGTATGATCACTCACTCTGCGTCCAAACCAACAAAGATGGCGGGTCTTTCGATGGAGAACCTAGTCCAAGGCATCAACTTGAGATCTGATCTTGCCCTTGACGATATCAAACTGTACATATCAAACCTTGCGATCGTTTCCAGTGCTCTTGTAGCAACCATCGGTCAGCAGAAAGTGATCCTTCAGTGCGTTGAAGAACGATTTGGACCATTTTTTGGATCAGAGACTTTATGATGCCCTAACCACGACTCAACAGAACACTGTAACAATAGAGACTCACGTCAAGGCGCTTAAGCACAATTTAGGTTAAATTGCAAAGACAATTGATGGCAGTACTAGATCTCACATTGGCCAACCTGCAACTACAGCAACTGTCAAGGTGATCCCATGAGCTCTTCCTGCATCCATTTATCCCTTCCATATGTTCAAGCTGTCAACACTTCCTGTTTCTTCAGGCCCAACTGCTTTCATTGACCATGGTGTCTTTATAGAATTAAAAAAGGGGCAGGGCGTGGTGGCTCATGCCTATAATTCCATCACTTTGGGAGGCTGAGATGAGAGGATCGCCTGAGCTCAGGAGTTTAAGACAAGCCTGGGCAATCATTGTCTTAATGAAACCCCATCTCTACCAAAAATGCAAAAAAGTAGCTGGGTGTGGTGGCATGAACCTGTGGTTCCAGCTACTTGGGAGGCTGAGGTGGGAGAATCCTTTGAGCCTGGGCAGTGGAGGCTGCACTGAGCCAAGATCATGCCACTGCACTGCAGCCTAGGTGATAGAGCCAAACTCCATTTCACACACACACACACACACACACACATACACACATACAAATTAAATTAAAAAGGGCCTAGTCAAAATGAGCTTCGAAATGTGCACAGTATGAATGGAGATGTGCTGTAATATAACACGCACTCTAGATTCCAAAGACTTCGTACAAAACAAGGTAAAATGTGTCATAATTTTTAATACTCATATACTAAGGAAATCATAATATTTTATATCCATTCAGTTAAATAAAGTATTTTAGAATTTATTCTACCTATTTCTTTTTACCTATTTATTATTTATTGCTCCTTGCCTGGGCTGTGGACAGGTTGGGAGGAGGTCTTTCTACCTTTTAAATTCGCCTACTAGAAAACGTAAAGTTATGTATGTGTCTCCCATTTGTGGCTTGGCTTATCTTTCTCTTGGATAGCACTGCCCTAGACTGTGAGCTTGCTTACTCACCCACTCCTACCTTCATTCTGCAGGTAGTAATTGAGCACCTTCTATGTGCCAGACCACAGATACCTATGTGAAAGGTCACATCTTATTCATCTTTGCATCTTTCAGCCCTTGCACAATCACTAGGCATACTGATGAACAAATTGAATTAAGGACTCGTTCTCTAGCTGTTAGGGCTCTTTTAAAATGGCATATGGAGGTATTCAAGGGTTGCTTAGGTAACTATGTGGATTGTATGTCAGAGAGGAGACCTGGCAATTGGTTGAGGGTTGTCAGGTACTCATTTAATGTTCTCTGACTGATAGCATTTGGTGAGTGTACATCTAGATGACTATGTGACCATGGGGAAAAGTGATGATAGTGTAAGCCTATTAATGTGCCACTTGAATTGTTTTATAAATGAAATCTAGTATATTTTAAAAAATTAATTTGATCCTCTCAGTTATTTAAGCATATGATGATTGAAATGTATGGTATTTATTGTATTGTATTTTTTTTTCTATTTTAACTTTTTTTTTTTTTTTAGAGTTGGGGGTCTCACTCTGTTGGAGGCTGGAGTATAGCAGATCAATCATGACTCATTGCAACCTCCAACTCCTGGGCTTAAGCAATCCTCCTGCCTTAGCCTCCTGAGTAGCTAGGAGTATAGGCATATGCCACTATACCTGGCTAATTTTTTTTAAAGTTTTTTGTAAATATGGGGTCTTGCTATGTTGTGCAGGCTGGTGTCGAACTCCTGGCCTCAAGTGATTCTCCTGCTTTGGCCTCCCGAAGTGCTGGGATTACGGGGTGAGCCACTGCACCTGGCCTTTAACTTTTCTATGTCTAGTTATTACAATAGTTTTTAACGCGGCTCACACTTACTTCAATAGACACAAGTTCAATTGGTACAAGTACAATGTGATTTTAATAAAATTCTTCCTTGCTAGATGTTTTCTGAAGAAATGCAACCCTAATACATGTTTATACTGAATACTTTTTTTCAGTTGTGACATTTGAGACTTAAAAAACAACACTTAATTCAGTAGGGAGGCTTTGGATTCGTAGCATGATGAGGGAAAAGGTGGTGCTGTTGAATATTGGGTGTGTGTGAAGCACAAATAGAGATTTAGTTAAGCATCCAGTGAAAATTTATAAACAAATAGGAATTATCCTTCTTTGAAACATTTTTTCATTGTTGACTTTTGCTTCCAGGTACACACTCTCCTGACAGAGGAAAGCTGTTTGCTGCACTGGTTTACTGGATAGATTAACTGGGTTGAGGCTGTGTAATTTAATATGATTTTAAATAAACCTTTTACAGAGTCTGATATGTGGAGGGAGATGTGTGTTTATGTCATCTCACCTATGTGAATTTATATGTTTCTTCATGTAATTGCAATGTTATATTTACTTACTACACACACATACGGAAGACCCTTTAATGAAGTTCCCATCTTTATAAATGGATATTAACTCAGTATTCTCTCCTTTCAGGATGATTTGGTGTGATCTTGTTTCATGTGGATGGAGTAAATACCTGGTTAGAAATTCATGTACAGCCTTTGTTATGGAAGCAGTAACTGTAAACTGTCACCCTAACAAATTTTATTAGCTGATCAATTTTAAGGTAGTGATCTGTACTGGCAGAATTGAATACAGACAATCCCATCACCAGGGAAACCACATTTAGGGTATAAAGTGAATTTACCCTTTGTGTGAACAGAGTGATTAGTTTTTAAAAGGTCCTTAATTAATTTTCCTGTGTACTTTTTGGATAGATGATGACAAGTAACCATAAAATGTATTTTTAGTAGCAATTTGCCATCTCTGAAAATAAGTCAGTTTCAAACATCGGTTTTCAAAAAATGTTAATGTGGAATTAGTTAATAGCAGTCATTTCCAAATGTTTTTAAAGCAATAGAGTGGGTTGTTTGTGAGTAAAAATATTAGATACTTACTGTGTAAGAACAGGTGAAGTTGGTGTTTTATGAGAGCAGATTTACTTTAGAAGGTAAAAGGGGCATTTGTTGATAGTGAAGCAGGTTGGCTGGAATAGTGAGAATGAGAACTTATGAGCACCCCTACAATCCCTTATCAGCCTCTGCATCTGTGAACTTTGAAACAAACATTTGTGTGGTCTGTGGAACACCATGGGATCCTTTGAGAACACAGTTTGAGAGTCATTGGATTTGGTTGTCCACTAAGGGCATCTCAGGTGAACAACAACAAAAGCCCAACACCGAGATATGTCCCCCACCAATCCTCAACTCATTGTCCAACTGCTGCCCTGGCAGGAGAATGCTCTGTTGTGGTCTCAACCTGCTGGGAGCACGGCATGGCTGGGTGGGGTGGGGGAGGTAGGAGAATAAACTCTCAGTTTATTCTCTCACCAGGCTCTTTTTGTTCATTTACATGTTACACCTGGAAATTAGGTATTTGTTTATGTGTTTATTGTCTGACCCCTTGTCTTCCTCCATCTAAAGGTGTTTTTGGTTTAACCTGTTTATTCCCAAGCCCTTAGCACAGCACCTAGCACTTGAAAGATGCTCAGCAAAAATTTGAGTAAATGAGTGATTTCCCACTGAAAGGATTATAACCACTGGGAGATACTTCTCTATAGATTAGGTTTAAAAAGCCTTTGAGAGGAAGGAGTTTCTCACCTTGCACCATCTCCTTAGGAGTTAAAGTCCCAAAGCAGAAGCAAGGGGGAACTTGGGCCAACTGCATTGTACACTTACAGCGGCTTCTCACTGTGTCCTGGGCACACTTAGGTACTTCTTTTCCTAGTGCCTGGTGTACTTTATACCTATCTATATTTTTAGCAAATATTTCTTTATGTTGAAATTTTTTTTTTTTCTCCCGAGATGGAGTCTCGCTCTGCCTCCCAGGCTGGAGTGCAGTGGCGTGATCTCGGCTCACTGCAACCTCCGCCTCCCGGATTTAAGCGATTCTTCTGCTTCAGCCTCTTGAGTAGCTGGGACTACAGGCATGCGTCACGGCACCCGGCTAATTTTTCTATTTTTAGTAGAAACGGGGTTTCACCATATTGGCCAGGCTGATCTTGGACTCCTGACCTCATGAGCCACCCGCCTCAGCCTCCCAAAGCACTGGGATTATAGGCGTGAGCCACCGTGCCCAGCTGTAATTATTTTTTCTAATATCCCCATTAGTCCATAACCTTCTTTCTTAAGGGCATGACTTTATTAATAATAATAGCTATTACTACATGAATAATAATATTTCATACTTGTTAGGATCTTACCAAGTACCTGGGCTCAATACTTTCCTTGTGCTATCCTCAAGTCAACTCTGTGAGGTAGATACTATTATTTTCCCTATATTAAGACAAGAAACTGAGGCATAAAGAGGTTAAGGCAAAGAGAGGTGTACTAGCTAGGGTTCAACCAGAGAAACAGAACCATAGGAGATCTACATTAAGAGATTTATTAGGGGGAGTTGGCTTATATGATTGTGGGGGCTATTCAGGCAGGTCCAGGATCCATGGAGCAGACACAGAAGTGGCCATCTACAGATGGAATTTCTTCCTTAAGGAAGCCTTGGCTCTACTCTTTAGACCTTTCTGTTGAATCTATCCCATCCAGATGATCTCTGTAATCTCTCTTACTTAAAGACAACTAATAATGAACTTTATCCACATCTACAAAATACCTCTCAGAAACTGGGAACTGTAGCTTCTCCAAGTTGATACAGCAAAAAAGACCATCATGAGAAGTCACACGCGTGTGAAGTGGTTGATTCTGGCCCAGGGAATTTGACCGCCAACTATCATACCAGGTGCCAATTCTTGTGCAGGGAGCTGGGGCGGCAGTGGCTGCCAAGGCCATGGCTGTCTCGCCCTCCTAGAAGTATGGCTGAGACTCTTGATCTCTGTATGCCTCACTCCTACGTGGCCCCTGGCCTGTGCAGTACCCCAATGAGGACTCGATGAATTTATTCACTTGGATGAGTCACCAGAACACAGCACTATTCAGTAGAAAGAGCAGCGACCTCAGTTCCAGTCCTTGGGCAAGTCACATTACATCTCTCGTATGTAAAGTGGAAATATCACAACTTCTTACCTTGATGAATGATAGAAGTAAAAGTGCCCGGCAGAGTGTAGCACAAAGTAGGTGCTCAGGCAAATGATCAGAGATTCCCAGATGTGTCAAACTGAGGTCTCAGAGAGGGGAGAACCTCAAAGCTGCCATCGTCACCCTTCTAGTTTGTCAGCCTGGGTAGGCCAGAATGGGAGAGGTGGGTATCAGCGGGGGAGCCTCTGAAAAAGTTCTCCTGTCCATCCTACCCCTTAATGTGGGAGCTGCATCCCTAGCTCTAACAAAGGTTTGTGTGAAGGTGAGGAGACATTCTCCTTGTCCCACACCCTAAGTAGATGTGTCCTATCTGTCCTTCCCTGAAAGTGGCAATCTTAGCAACCGTGCTCTTGGTAGAATGTGGGAGTCTGTATTTTGCCTGAAAGTGCCTGCCAGTAACACGGCAGTGTCTCAGAAGTCTCTGAACACCTCCTACCCTACTCACTAGTGATTTTTAAAGAAAGCGGTAGGGGTGGTGGTGGAGTGGGGGGAGGCCAGTAATGACCAGTTCAGTGAGTTTTGTACCTTGTGATTCCTCTAACCTGACCAAAGGTGATGAGACCAGCTGTCACTGCCTTGTCCTTGAAGCCCTTTGGACTTTGAGGTGGTCTCCAGTGGGAATTCCACTCAGGAGGGCCACTGGGTTAGAATGAGGTCATTGGCCCCTTTTGGAGTAGGAGTGGGGAGCATGTAGAGACTGAACAAAACAGCGAGCAGAGGCCAAGAGCTGGAGAAGCGGTTAGTGGAGAAGTTGATTGCTGCTAGCAGTTAGAGGGTAAGCAGCTAAGTCACAGACCGTTGGGCTCCTGTGTGAGAGGAGGCCATGAGAACTGCTATGGTGCTGTGCTAGTCAGGGTTCTTCGGAGAGATGGAACCAGTAGGATGTGTATGTGCGTGTGCCTGTATACACATACATATGCACCCGTGCACACAGAGAGAGAAGTTTGTTTTAAGGAATTGGTTCGCGGAATTTGGGAGGCTGGCAACTTCAAAATCTGCAGGGTGGGCCATCAGGCCGGAGATGAGGGAAGAGCCAATATTGCAGTTCAAGTGTGAAGATGACTGCCATCATAATTGCTTCTTGCTCAAGAGGAGGTCAGTCTTTTGTTCCATTGAGGCCTTCAATGGACTGGAGCGGCCCACCCACATTACAGAGGGCAATCTGCTTTATTCAGAGGCCACCAATGTAAATACTAAGCTCACCTAAAAAGCACCCTCACAGAAACATGTGAGGGTGTTTTTTTGTTTGTTTGTTTTTTGAGGCAAGGTCTCCCTGTGTCACTCAGGCTGGAGTGCAGTGGCACGATCCTGGCTCACTGCTACTTCCACCTCCCAGGCTCAAGCCATCCTCCTACCTCAGCCTCTCAAGTATCTGGGACCACAGGCATGTGATCACCATGCCCAGCTAATTTTTGTATTTTTTGTAGAGACATGGTTTTGCAAGGTTGACCGGGCTGGTCTCAATCTCCTAAGCTCAAGCAGTCTGCCTGCCTTGGCCTCCTAAAGTGTTGGGATTACAGGCATTGATGGCAGTGGCTGCAGCAGGGAGGCTTGACTGGGGCTGCACACTCCATGGAGCTGGTGGGAGCCCCGCCCCTTCTGAGGTGGAGTAGGAGCTCCCCGGGTGCTGCTGCAGTCACCCAAACCGCAGTCCAGACCCAGGCCTCCTGCTCTATCAAGCAGGCAGGAGCCTGCCCTCCTTGGCGGGGCCACAGCTGCCCAAACTGCGGCTGTGGATCCAAGCCTCCCTGTGGTCTTAGACGGGGCTGGGAGCAGGCAGGATTTGCCCTGCTGGGTGTGGGTGTGGGTGCAGCTGCAGCCGCCTGACCCACAGCTGCAGACCCTGGGCCTCCTGCTCCACGGAGCAGGCAGGAGCCGGGGACAAGCAGGAACCCTGCCCCTTCTGAGTTGATGGGGTGGGAACTCCCTGGTGCAGCCTGCATCCTTGGGGGCCCAGGAAGGGCCTCCCTTGTACCCTTACTGGCTTGAGGATGTCTGTTCCTGCTGTCTGGCCTCTCTCCTCTCCCAGTGCCCTCTCCAATCCTGGAGCAGGGTTTGGGGCCAAGCCTTGGGGCCCTGAATGGCAGCAGGAGAGAGAGTCCTGCTAGAAGGGGGGCAGGCCCCAGTAAGGCCCCATCTTTAGGCCAGGGAGGGCCTGAAGGCTGAGGGCCGGGCTGCCAGTCCCACTGACCAGAGTGGGGACTCATGGCGCCTCTTCCAGGCCCGCCCATGGCTGCCCATGGCCACCCATGGACCAGTTGGCATGTACTTTCTCCCCTCTGAGGTCCATAAAAGCCCTGGGCTCAGCCAGAGCAGGGAGAGGATGGCCAGAGGACGAAGTGGGCAGAGACGAGATGGCCAGGGGACGAAGAGGGCAGAGAGATGGGATGATGAGCTGCAGAGTGGAGTACCCTCTCTGCTGATAGCTGGAGATGATGGAACAACTAGTTGCAGAGAGGAGCTATTCTCTCTGCTGAGAGTTGCGGAGACATCCTACTGGCAGAGAGGAGCCACCCTCTCCAGGGCCTTCTCTCTGCAGAGAACTGAACTCTTGACAGACGGCCTGCCTACAGAAAGGAGTCACCCGCTACGGGTCTCCTCTGAGCTGTTGTAACACTCAATAAAGCTCATCTTCGTCTTGTTCACCCTTCACTTGTCTGCGTACCTCATTCTTCCTGGATGCAGGTGAGAACTCAGGCCAAGGTGCTGCAGCCACAGATGTTTCCAGGAAGAAAAGGGACACCTTAGGGAGCCACTAACAGCATGAGCTACTGTGCCTGGCCCAGATTAATGTTTGACCAAATATCTGGACACTGTGCCCAGCTAAGTTGACACATGAAATTACCCATCACAAGCATCCTGGACTGTCTTGTTCCCCTGTGTAATTTTAATGCACGTATCTGTATCTGTCCCCTGAGGTCCCTGAGCTTGTTTCTGGAAAGCGAAGGGAGCCTGACTATCACCTGTCAAGCAGGCTTGGTTCTTGCACACACACTGTGGGGCCAGAGCTTGTCTCTGACGTAGTGGATGGAGTGATGTTTGCAGCCTAGCTCTTGTCCAGGGCCTTGATGATCTAGGCGGTTGGTTAAACTGACATGAAAGTTACATGGTGTTACAGTTGTCATAGGAATTCACCAGAGGGCAAGGCCACAGTGGGCTGATCATCCCTCCACGTAGACCTACCCGCTCTGGGCTCCACAAGTCACTGGGACCCCTGGAAGAGTCACTCCTGGATTCAGCAACTGGGGCAGACTGACTTTATACCTTTCAAACCTTTCCTCCTGACGATTAGAGTATTGCTGAACATCTGTCTATCTTGCCCCTCTCTGGCTCACAGAAAATTCATGTCTTAGGTGCCTTTGATGCTTTGCAGGCAGAAGGAAGCTAAGTGGCAAGTTATTTTTTATCACAGTTCAGTGACATGAAAGGCTGTTCTGCCTGTTTTTATCTCACGTGGCAATTTAATACAAGGAGCCTTCCGACAAGTGCCCTAAGGCTCGAGACAATAACATATTGTATTTTGGATATTGAGTGAGTGGCTGCAGAGAGACGTTGGCTGAGTTCATGTCTGTGACACTCAAACCCCCCTTGGCACCTGTGTTTTGTGATCTTATTCTTGGTTTTGTCTCCAGAGGGTGTTAGGTTCCTGCCACCGCCAGGGGCTCATTCTAGTATTTCAAGCTACAACAGAGATTCTTCCTCATTTAGAACCCAGTCATCTTGTTCAGCTTCCAGCAGAGGCAGGGCACTTTGGTCATTCCCATCTTTCCACCCCCATTAGATGCTTGGGCATTCTAAAGTTTCAGGTTAAATACCACAGTTTCCATAACTGGCCACCTCTCTGCCCCCCTGCCAGGACCATTAACATTTCTTATTGCTTTGATCTGAATTTTCTCTAATGTTTCCTTTTAAAGGTGTAACATATTTTGCTTCTACTTTTATATTAAAGGCTGAGAGTCATAAGCTGCCCTGATTATCTATTGCTGTAAAACAAAACATCTCCAAACTCAACAGCTGAAAACTACAAGAGTCATTTATTTTGCTTACGAATCAGCAGTTTGGTCTGGGTGTGGCAGGACCACTTGTCTCTGCTCCTGGGTGTCTGGGGTTTCCTGTGGAATTATTGGGGGGCGGGAAGAGCAAGCCAGGGGCTGGCAGGGCATCTCTCGGTGTTCATGTTGTCTCAGGGCGGGAAGAGCAAGCCAGGGGCTGGCAGGGCATCTCTCTGTGTTCATGTGGTCTCAGGGCCTCTCTGCATAGACATTCCAGTGTGGCCACTTCAGATTCTTACAGAGTCATGCAGGACTCTAAGAAGCGCTCCGGGGATAGAGAGCAGAAGTTGCTAGTTTCTTAAAACCTGGGCCTGGAAACTGTCACACTCTCACTTCTGCCATATTTTATGGCTTACGGAACAGAGAACTTTCCAGATCCACGAGAAGGGCATATCATATCCTCAGGGGCAAGAGAGCAAAGAATTCTTGGCCAACTTTAATCTATGGAATAAGCCACTTTTGTGCCTTAGGTATATGAATGTAGCCTAAATAGCCCCATATCCCTTTCTGAATCCTTTGCTTTCATGGTTTGGATCCTCTATTAATACGCTGTACAACCAAGTACTACAGCTGGGTGGCTTAAACCACAGAAATGTATTTCCTCACAGTTATTGAGGCTAGAATCTGAAATCAAGGTGTTGGCAAAGTTGGTTCCTTCCAGAAACCTTGAAGGAGAATGTGTTCCATGCCTGTCCTAGCCTCTGGTGATTACCAGCAGTCCTTGCTGTTCTGTGGTTCATAGACGCATCACTCCAGCTTCGGGCACCTGTGTCCTGTGGCGTTCTCCCTGCGTATCGGTGTCTCTGTCTTTTTTTCTCTTAAAAGGCCACCAGTTACTGGATTTAGAGCCCACCTCAGTTCTCTCTGACCAAATCTTAACTAATTACATCTCCACAGGTCCTATTTCCAAGGAAGGTCACGTCCTCAGGTTCCGGTGGACTTGAATTTTGAGGGACTGCAGAGTGAACTCAGTACAGACTTCTTTGACATTCGTTTAGGTCACAGCATGAGATTAGTCTTCCATTTTCGACTTTGTGTTTATGATTTAGTACAATGAGCTGTCGTATGTGCTCCAAGCTCTTGGGTTTGTCTTTCAGCATGGAAGGCAACTGGTCAGCTGTCACTGTTGGGATGCCTGGCCCTCTGTGGCTGAAGAAAGTAGCGGTAGTCTTGTTGGAGCTTGTCAGGCACAGGAGTAGACTCCACCCTGCCCCTGGGTTCTCTCTTGTCCCCACTAACGTTTGCCCTAGGAGGAGAGAGGCTGTAAGGATAGGTTGGTGGACAGGGCCAGGCTCTTTCCCAGAGATTCTGGCTCAGCTTTGTTTAAGCCGTGGACAGGGATGAGGCCCAGTGTGTCCACTCGGTGTATTCCTGCTTTGTGTGGTTCTTCACGTGGACAGCAGAGCTCAGCATGTACATGCGTGCCTAAGAAAGCTCATACTTATGGAATGCCAACATGTTGCCCTGAATCTGCCCCGTGAAGTAAATTTCATCCCCACTGTACAGATGAGGACACCCGGGCTTAGAGAGGGCCAAGGCACATGCTCAGGCTCATGGCAGGTGGGAGCAGCCAGGCTGGAATTTGAGCCAGGGAAGTCTCACCCTGGAGCCCTCTCTTAACAAGGCACACACAAAGCATGGGTACATGCACCTCGTCCCCTCCCCTACCCCATTTTGCCTCCATTTCTAGATAGTGACAGGGCAGGAGTAGTGCTCACAGCATTAGCCACAGATATTTTACTTTACATGTAATTTCTGGATGATAGTTGGTGTTAAAGGCAACAATAGGAAGTTTTAATTTTTGTAGCCTTAACTTACATGAACACTTTCTCCTATGTGTCATTTTATAGACAAAACAAACAAACAAAAAAACCAAAACTGCCTCTGCATGAGCTAATAAGTGAGTAACTGGTGTAGGCTTCAATTCTGGGTGGAGAGCCATCTGAGGGATTAGGGCTGTGTCTCAGGCCATGAGCTGTTCCCTGTGGGACCCTTGGGCAAGCCATTTGACCTTTGCTGCCACCTGCAAAATGAAGACAGTAGGCTGGGTTGTCAACTCAAAGATGCTTTGGTCATCCCTAAATCAGAACTTGATGTCACCATGGAAAAGACACTGTAAGATTTCTTTCTGAAGGTTTTTCTTTCCTCCAGCTACTTTCATTCTTTGATGATTATTCTCTGCAGTCCAAGGATAACAGTCTTAAAATAGGTCTGCAAAGAACCATTCCTGTATTTTTATTTTCAGAGAGATTCCTTATATTTCTTATATTGGAGAGATTTCGATGTAAAACACATAATATGTGACTTATGCTGGTTGTCTAGAAGGGATAAAATAAGAATTATAGGAGTAAACAAAAACTTCTGTTCTATATTTTGAGCAAAAAATAGAACCTACATCATTTTAGTACACATTTTATCTTTAACACAAAAATAATTGTCCTTCTCACATGTTATTGGAGAAGTTCGTTCTTTCTTTCTTTCTTTCTTTCTTTCTCTTTCTTTCTTTCTTTCTTTCTTTCTTTCTTTCTTTCTTTCTTTCTTTCTTTCTTTCTTTCTTTCTTTCTTTCTTTCTTTCTTTCTTTCTTTCTTTCTTTTTTTTTGCCTACTGTGTAGAGATTCCAGCATACCTCTGGAATAAACATCTATCAACTTAACATTCAGGAGATGAGAAGGTGTGGTGAAGATTTCTCACTGACAGAAAAATCATCACAGTAAAGCATGTTATTTAGAATTTCCTAACATTTGGGTTCATAAATCACAGCGACAATACTTCATAATTACATAGTGCCTTTCATTTGAGATTCTAAAAAGAATTCATAGATCAACTTGTGAGATATCACAGTTGTCTTAAATTCTTTGTTTGAATATATTGATGGAGATAATTTCAGAACCAAAATTTGGATGTGGGGAAAGGTGCCCTTTAACCCTGCCTAGGGGACGTTAACCAGGTATTAAATTATCTGTTATAATAACCTGGCCAGGGCCAGGCGCGGTGGCTTACGCCTGTAATCCCAGCACTTCAGGAGGCTGAGGCAGGGGGATCACCTGAGGTCAGGAGTTTGAGACCAGCCTGGTCAACAATGCAAAATCCCGTCACTACTAAAAGTACAAAAATTAGCTGGGCATGGTGGCAGGCGCCTGTAATCCCAGCTATTCAGGAGGCTGAGGCAGGAGAATTGCTTGAACCTGGGAGGCAGGCGGAGGTTGCAGTGAGCCGAGATCGCGACACTGCACTCCAGCCTGGGCAACAAGAGCAAGACTCTGTCTCAAAATAAATAAATAAATAAATTTAAAAAATAAAAATAATAACTTGGCCAGGTGAGATTTGGAGTTATTTATTGGTTCAGATGTAACTTCTGTGATAACTCTATTTCTTTAAACAAATTAGACTTTGAATTATTAATAAGTATAATCTAGGCCAGATTTAGAAGACACACGTAAATCTGTAGAGATACCTATGGGCCATTTGTCCACAAAGACCTCTCTGACTACTCTCTCCCAGCATCCTACTCTGATGGGCAACTACTGTTACCACTGTCTTGTGTGTCCTATACGTGAATGGGCACATATTTGTTAATGTGTACTTGCCTATATATGCATATTCTTTTTTTTAATGGTCTTGTTTTTAAAAACACCAACTGTGGTATATTACATTGTTATGGACTTGATATATCCTGTTATGAACTGTGTTGCTTTCACATGGAAATAGCTCTGTAGCAAGACATTTAGGAACTGTTTCTTTTTCCTGTCTGTAAAGTGTTATTTTCTATGGATGCACCATCACATACTTCAACACTCCTTTCTTTGAGGCACAGGCTCCAGGCCAGAACCCTCCCTGTGATCTTTAGGTCCCACCCCAGGCAATTACAAAGGCTTTACCTGCAGGCCTCATGGGGAAAGCCGTCCTCCCTGCGCCGCACATGGGGCACAGTCGGAGGGTGTTAGAGTCAAGGAGTCCTGCGAGTTCTGAGCCCAGGCCTCTCCGGGTGGAGGCTTCCTCATCAAAGGGCCCCGCCCTTCCCAGGCACCTCTGCTGAGGTCTTCTTGTGAGGGGAGGGGGCTTGAAAACATTTTACTCTGACCCAGTCCTCAGTCCTTGCCCACCCCCAGCATCCCCCACACCCCAACCCCTCTGCAGTGATCCTGCACTGCCATCCACAGGCTACATCTGAGCCCCTTTCTGGGGAGTAGCGGAATACTGCAGGAGAAGGCGCCTTTTTCCTGTTTTGACTCTTGCTTATAGGCTCACAGTGAGTACATGAGGGCTCAGTGGTTAGTTTCGGTTTGGGTTTTTGTCCTCATTGACCTCCTCGACACCTGGAAACTTAGCACTCGACACTCTCGCTGAACAATTTAGGGTGTTTCTAATTTTCTGCTCTTACAAACAATGCTTTAGGGAGTACCTGCAGCCATGTGTCATTTAATGAAAGTAAGCGGGGGATCCTTAGGATCAGTTCATGGATGTGTAATTGCTTGATGGAGCCATTGATGTTAGGGAGTGCCAGTTTCCTTACACCCTGTGGACTCACTGTGCCGTCAAACCTTTTGCATTTGCCAATTGGCTAGGGGAAAACTTGTATCTCATAATTTTAATTTAAATTTCTCTTAAGTGAGATTGAGCATCACTTCGTATTTATAGAAGCTATTGGCATCTCCTTTCCTGAAAACTGTTCATGTTTTTTGCCCATTTTTATTTAGTATGTGTTCCTTATTGGTTTCCAGGAGTTTTATATATATGTATATATTAAGATAATTCACCTTCATAATTTGTCAGTTGTTTTTTGATTTATTTGGGATGTTTTTAGCTGTGTTAAAATTTTTTTGTTTTTTCATAGTCAAAGTGTCAATCTTTAGAGATTTGGAGTTCTGTGTCATTATTATAAACATTTTTTTCACTCTAAGATTATTGTTTTAAAATTATGTTTTCAAGTAATGGTATGGTCTCCTTTTAAAAGCAGCTTTATTGAGACATATTACATATAATAAAAATCACTCATTTTTAAGTTTACAGCTCAATGACTTTTAGTCAGTTTACATAGTTGTGCAATATTACCACAAACCAGTTCTAGACTACTTCAATCATTATGGCTTTACTGTTTTGACTTTTTTTAAATAAGAAATTTGGTATAAAGAGTCAGAGGGGGCGAGGTGCGGTGGCTCATGCCTGTGATCCCAGCACTTTGGGAGGCTGAGGTGGGTGGATCACCTAAGGTCAGGAGTTCGAGACCAGCCTGACCAACATGGAGAGACCCTGTCTCTATCAAAGATACGAAATTAGCCGGGCGTGGTGGCACATGCCTGTAATCCCAGCTACTCGGGAGACTGAGGCAGGAGAATCGCTTGAATCCAGGAGGCAGAGGTTGTGGTGAACCGAGATCACTCCATTGCATTCCAGCCTGGGCAACAAAAGCAAAACTCCATCTCAAAAAAAAAAAAAAAAAAAGAGTCAGGGGGCACCCATTGACATTTTCTTGGGCTGGTCTAGTTTTCCAATCCCATTTTTTGAATAGTCCATCTTTTCTCCACTGATACGGCAGTGCTACCTAAGTTGCATACTAAATTAAGTACTTGGGTCTATGGTTTTCTCTGGTTTGTTGGCACATTCATATTCCAGAACTACAATACTTTACATGTTGTCACATTAGAATATACTTTAGTGTCTGGTAAGGCCAGCACAGCCTTATTGTCCTTAGTCACACTTCGTTTCAACTATTCCACAAGAACTTCAGACTCAGCATGTCTAGCTTTTAAAACCTCCGTGTCCACCACCACCCTACTGGCACTTTTATTCGGAGTGCATTAAATTTATACATTATTTAAGGACTGACATCTGAATGATATACTTTCTAAGAATAGGGGCATAGTTATCCAGCTGAAGTGTTTGTTTGTGTTCCTCAGGAGCATTTTAAAGTTTGTGGATCCTACATGTTCCTTTTAATTGCCAAGTATTTTATCCCCTTTTGTTGCTGTTGCAAATGAGACTTTTTCCATTACATGTTCTACTTGATTGGGCGACTTGTAAATAGGGAGGCTATTACTTCCTGTGGATTGCATGTATTCCCCCAAATCTAAATATATTCTTTTATTGTTTGTTGTAGTTTTGCTGATGATTTTCTTGGGCTTTCCAGGAATAAACTCATCCGTTGCGAATATTGATCATTTTGCCTCCTCTTTTTAGTTTATCAAATTTCTCTTAATAATTTTGTTGGCTAGTATGTCTAAAATAATTCTAAATAGTAGTGGCGGTTGTGATTATTCTTGGCTTAGTCTTACTTTTGCTGAAAATGCTTTGTTTACCTTAAGCATGGAGTACATATGGATGTATGTGTTTATATATTACAGGTATATTACTTGATTAAGAGTTTTACGAAGTCCAGAAGAGGTATTAATTGATTCCTTTGATAAATATTATTGCATGTGTATGATATTCTGGGCAAGATTCCAGTTCTGGGAGTACAGTGGGAAATGAAACAGAGACAAAGCCTTTGCTGTTGAAAAGTTTAAATTCTAGTGGAACAGACAGGAACAGAAATCAAATGATTAATAAATGTCAGGTTTTATGAAGTAAAGCGAAGAGAGGGATACAGAATAATGTGATGAATTTAGTTAGGAATATCGGAAAGGAATGTAGAATTGTTTTCAAGTGCCTTTTAATTATTCTATTTTCTTTCTATTTAATTTGAAATTTGGAATACAGTAGCTTTTTTCAGAACCCTCTCTCCCAGCCCCAGGCTCCTGCATTTCCCCCAGCCTGGGGACTTCAGAGCAAGCCTAGTGATTGATTTGCCCTCTCAGTCCACTGGTTGGTATTTGCTTGTTCTCATATTATTTCCAGGACACTGATTGTTTAAGAAATGAACTGAATTTGTTAGACAGCAGGGTAATTTATCACCTTGGATAGAGATACTGTTGCCAAGGCAACTGGCTACATTTGGGGACCTCAGTCTCCCAACATGACACCTGACAAGACCTCAGTGTCAGTGTGAGCCTTTCCTGGCCATCACCTCTCCTTGCCTTGCCCCAGGCCTGGATGGTCACTGTGAAATGCCTGCGCTTGCCTCGTCCTTTCTCCCCCTTTCCCTCCAACCTCCTGTCAAACCTGCTGGGATGACAGGAGTAAAATGGGGATGATCTTAGTCTTGATGATATGCTGGGTGAGTACAGAATTGTGGCTCTTTGCTCTCCAAGGTACCTGATTCCAGGTAACTGATTCTGGGTGAAACTCAGGGTCATTGTAGCTAGCTGCTCAGTTACAAAATCGGGATAGAAGTAGTGTCTGTGGCACGTTCTTCATGTTATATCACTCTTTTCCCCTGAATTCTCTGTTATTCTTTATACATAAGTTGAAGTTATTAATAAGTCATTATATCATGGCCCAACATCTGTCCAATTCTTAAAACACTTTCCTATTTGTAAGTAATTTCTTATTTCTTATGTGTAGTCTTCAGTGCCTCTTCCTTTCCTAGAGGAGTTTGGTTCTAAATTTGGCCACATCATGTCTTGTTACCTCTACCTTCATTGTTCTGCTCCATAACACCATGATCTTACCTTTGTTTAAAAGAAAAATTCTTTTTAGAGATGGGGTCTTGCTCAGTCATCCAGACTGGAGTGCCGTGGCCCAATCATAGCTCACTGCAGCCTCGAACTTCTGGACTCAAGTGATCCTCCCACCTCAGCCTCCTAAGTAGTTGGGACCACAGGCACGTGCCACCGTGCCCCGCTAATTTTTTTTTTTTTTTTGTAGAGATGTGGTCTTGAACTCAAATGATAAACCAGCCTTGGCCTCCCAAAGTGCTAGGATTACAGGCATGAGCCACCATGCCATGCCCTCATCTTGCATTTTAGCAGTCTCTACTTGTGCCCTTGACACCCACCATATATCCTCCAACACAGCATGCAGAGTGAATCTTATTTATTTATTTATTTATTTATTTATTTTTCTGAGACAGTCTTGCTCTGTCGCCCAGGCTGGAGTGTAGTGGCACGATCTCTGCTCACTGCAGCCTACACCTCCTGGGTTCAAGCAATTCCCAGCCTCCCGACTAGCTGGGATTACAGGTGTGCAACACGACGCCTGGCTAATTTTTGTATTTTCAGTAGAGACAGGGTTTCACCATGTTGACCAGGCTGGTCTAAAACTCCTGACCTCAAGTGAGCCACCCGCCTTGGCCTCCCAAAGTGCTGGGATTATAGGCGTGAGCCACCGTGGCTGGCCAGGAGTGAATCTTTTAATGGACATGTCAGATCATGTAGCTGTTAAAAAGCTCCAGTGGATTCCCATTGTACCTATAGTAAAATCCTAAATCCTGTCTGTGGCCTGGGCTGTCCATGACCAGGTCCCTGGCTATGTTTCTAACCTTATTTCTCAGAATCCTCCCTCCCAGACCCCTGTTTCCTGGGTTCTAGTTCCCCAGGCTGGATAGGAGGTCTGCTGTTCCTAGAACATGCCAAGACACTCCCACTTGAAGGCCATTGCACTCACCGTTCCCTGCATATCCACCCACATGGCTCCCCCCACCCCCCAACTTCCTCTAGACCTCTGTCCAAATGCCTCCTCCTCACACAGGTCTTTCCAAACTACTCTTTGTAAAGCAGCACCCCCTGCCCCATCACTCTCTATGCCCTTGCCTTGCTTTATTTTTTCAACAGCGCTTGTTACTGCCTGACTGCCTGACATTGTATTATGTCTTTATTTGCTCATTGCCTGTGTCCCACACTAGGACGTAAAGCTTCACAGGGAGCAGGTACTTGCTCTGCTTTTCTAACTGCGGGTACAAAGCGGAAGCTCAATAGATATGTATCAAAAGAAGGAATGACCCTTGCACTTACTGTTTGGCTCTCAGCTAAAAGAAGGTAAGTAAGTGCAAGACCATGAAGAATGGCCATCTAGACTTTTATCGTTGATGCATTTGAGTTCTTTTCAGTCTTCCAGGAAGAGATTCTTTTTGGGGAGTGCAGTGGCGAGGAAGTCTTGTCTGTGAACATTTGTTGGTCAAGTAGGAAAATGGTGATTTGGACACAAGTCCCTGACTTCAACTTCTGGCAAAGCCAGGAGGTATGGGGCTGGGACTTCTGCCAGAGGCTGCTGGGAGGGCTGAGGGAACAAGGGCGTAGGCTCTCGGGTCCTCCTTCCCTGCATCCATCATTCTTGGAGGGGAGGTAAGTGGTGTGACGGCATGATAGGTGGAGGCTAAGCATCCAGGGCCTGTAACCAGACTGCCAGAGTTCAATTCCTGGCCTGCCCTTGATCAGCTGAGTGACACTGGGCAAGTTACCTCACAAGATACCTATGAAGAGTGCTTTAGACTCTGCAAATGTACATGCAGATAGTGACAGTGTTGCTTCTTAAGTTCATTTTGAAAATTAGTAGAGAAAGACAAGTGTAGAGCTTAGAACAGTGCCAGGTACTTAATAAGTTGTCAGCAACTATTAAACCCTGCTACCATCGTCATCGTTATTGTAAGCTTGCAAGTCTTCTTGGGGAAGAGCTGTTCTTCCCTTCTTGTTGGGTTATCTTGTGAGGCCTGCCTGAGCCTATGGACCTCAAAGATACTTTTGTGAAAGGAAGATACTTTTTTGTCTACTAAATGAGGCAGGTTGTGATGGCTGAGCATTCAGCGCCTACCATCAGATTGTGGAAGATTGCTCTTTATTTGCTATTTTAAGGTGCTTTGTATTTTGTGTGGATCATTTCACTTTATGTCTTACCTATGAGAGCAAGAATGCTCAATTTGTTAGTAGTGCGTGCTTAGAAGAGAAAACCCATTTACTAGTCATTTCAAATTATTTTGCTAAAACCACGTATAGCCAAACATTTGCGTGAAGGGAGAATGTGGAATACCAGGCAATTCATAGTTGCATTGACTAGTTTTCTTTCAGCTCATAATAAAAGCCATCTTCTGTTTGAAGCCCCATGAGCTTCTGGAAGGGCACTGTGGATGAGAGCATGGGAATGCAGTAGAGAGAGATACGACTATATTTAGTCATTCTTTGAGACCAGCATTTCTGGTAATAGGTGCAAGGACCTGGTGTGAGGAGAGAGCATTGCAAATTCTCAGAAAGGGTTAACATATGTAATGTGTTGACAGGTTGTGAATTTTGTTTTAAAGGTTCATCTCAAAGGAGGAGTCAGAAATACCTTCCGTGAAAAAGCTTGCATGGTTCATTTTTAAAGAAACTGCAAACTCATACCAGTTCATTTAAAGTGTAATCAAGACAAAGTCTTGAAGCTCAGCATGCTCAGATACATCAGACCCTGAGCACCTTTTACATTAAAATAATAATTACGAATTTTGTCAATGATTTTGAAAACCATAGGGAAAGCCAGGTGTAATAGTGAGAATATAAAACATGCTCCCTTGGAGACAGTGTTGTTTGTTTGAATTAAAATCATTCCCACCAAACAGACACACAAAGTAAGGACCTTGACCATTTAAACAGCTAAAAAAAAATTGCAAACCAAAGCAGATTTAGTAGTTGGGAAAGTGAATGAAGTCTTATTAAAGTTGAGTAACTTCTGAAAAAGCTTAATTTTAAAAGCTTCATTTAGATCACGAATGCTGCTGTTTATTGCTGTTGGCAGTCAGCACTTCGTGTTTTGGTAAAATTACATCTTGTCCTCATGAAGCGCGTTTGGTAGGCGCTGTTACGTTATGGCCACTGTGGGATGGGGAGCTCTACCTTTAATGGTGCTTGTCTGGGAAGATGGCCAGTAATTTTGGACTAAGTAACTTTGGTTGTTAAAATGAAGGGCTTCAGATATTTTTCTCTCCCCTTCTGTCCTAATACGGGTCTCCTTCATTGTTAGATCACATTCTGCTTTTTTGCTGATTGATGATGACATCAGTTTGTTTACCCTAGAGGCTGGGTCATTTGCTTACTTGTAAGTCAGTGGAACTGGCTTTTGCATCTTTGCTACTGACTAGCTGAGTGCCCTCAAGCAGGGTTTTTTAACCTCTCCTTGCCTCGTTTTTCTAATCTGTAAAACGGAGATAATATCAGAATTATTATCAGGATTAAAAATCTGTGATGTTGATAGTATTGGATTTCAACCCTTAGAATAACATAAATATACATGATTCGTGTTGATATAAATAATAGGATGAACAAATACATGGGGTGGGGTGAGTAAAAGCTCTTCCTTAAAATAGACTTCTAACTAATAAATGTAGAATAATGAGGGAAATGAAAGATCACCATTGAGCAAACATCATAGTAATGATTGTTGCAGGTCAGAACCATTGATGTACACTAATGTTAGGTGAAACTATGATGAAAAACAGGATATGTGAATAGTCTCAAAGTATCTCCCTGTAGAATACTTATTTTTTTACAAAGAGAAAACAGTTATTTTACAGAGGAGAAAACTAGTGGACACCACCGCAACCAAGTGATCATGGTTAATACCACCAGTAATAAAGACATAAAAACATGTACCACCAAATATGATGCATTGAGAAGGTACAACATCACCTCTGTGTTATTCTTACCAAAAGTGCACATGACCCCAATCTAGGAAATACTAGGGACATTTTGAAAATAACTGGCTTGGACTTTTAAAAAGTATGATAGATTAAAGGAGATATAATAGTCAAATGCAACATGGGATCCCGGTTTGGATCTTGGACCAGAAAAAAAAGCTATTAGTGGGAAAACTGAAAACAAGGTCTGTAGATTGAGGTAGTTGTATTTTGTCCATATAAATTTCTTCATTTGAATAACTACTTTTATGTAAGATGTTAACCTTAGGGGAAGTTGCGCAAAGGGTATACAAAAATGCCATATGATTTTTGCAACATCTCTGTAAGTCCAAAATTATTTTAAAGTAAAATGTTTTGAAATACCCATCATACATGTGAGGTACTTTTGGTTTGAAGGAAGATGGTTATAAACGTCCCTGGTTCTGCCAGGGACTTAGAGGGGCTTTGAAGCATGTGAGAAGGTGCTCTTTTGTTCTGTCACGGTGCTATAGACTTGGCAGTCTTATCCCCTGAAGGCTGGATATCACTGTTCCTCCCTAGAAGACCTTAGCCTCTTCAGCTGACCTCAGGCCAGCGCCTCTCTGGGGAGAAGGGGGGCTGTAACTAGTCATTGGCCTGGTAGAGCTTTGCTTGGCATGTGGAAGTGGAACCATCAGAAGCCACTTTCTTGTTGCCTTCTTCTTTTGAAAAGGTCACGTCTGGGTGGAGCCGATGTTACACACTGTTCTCATTGATTCACAAAAAATTATTCAGGGGATTCTCACTGAATCATGTGTGATTTTAGAAAAGCCACTTTGTAGACTAGAACAGTATATTAGTTCAGCTCAGACTTAGATGCTGTAAAAAAAAAAAAAAAAAAAAAAAGGACCCAATACCATTGTCTAAATAAGGTACAAGTTTGTTATTCCCTTGTAGATGGACCAGAGGTGACCAACTAGAGCTGACTGGGTGGCTCTTTGATCACTGGCACAAGCTTCCATCCTGGGTCAACCCTGGCTATCCAGTTGTCACCTTTTTCCAAGTAGTGGGAAAAGAGGAAGAAAGAGGAATGTACTCTTGTTTTTAATGGATTTCACTTTTATTCAGGATCCGTTTGCAGGAACTTGGCCGCTTGGTCACGCCTCTAAGTGCAAGTGAGGCTAGGCAACAAAATGCCCTACTAAGAGCTGGAGGCAGGCCGGAATTGTTGAAAAGAAGGGGAATTAATACCAGGAGAGAGAGAGGAGTCTTCCACTGTCTTGGTACAATCCAGAGAATTCTCTTTTTTTTTTTTTTTTTTTTTTGATACCCAGGCTAGAGTGCAGTGGCGCATGATCTTGGCTCACTGCAACCTCCACCTCCTGGGTTCAAGTGATTCTCCTGCCTCAGCCTCCTAAGTTCCTGGGATTACAGGTGCCCGCCACCATGCCTGGCTAATTTTTGTAATTTTTTTTTTTTAGTAGAGATGGGGTTTCACCATGTTGCCCAGGCTGGTCTTGAACTCCTGACCTCAGATGATCTGTCCGCCTTGGCCTCCCAAAGTGCTGGGATTACAGGTGTGAGTCACCATGCCCAGCCCCAGAGAATTCTTTACAGAGCAGCTTGAGAAATGTTTTCCATACCTTCAACCCTGCCCCTTGTTACCTGTTAAGAAATAAGGGCTTAGTTCTTACGGCCGGGTGCAGTGGCTCATGACTGTAATTCCAGCATTTTGGGAGGCCGAGGCGGGCGGACTGGGTGCAGTGGCTCGTGCCTGTAATCCCAGCACTTTGGGAGGCCGAGGCGGACGGATCACCTGAGGTCGGGAGTTCGAGACCAGCCTGACCAATATGGAGAAACCCCATCTCTACTAAAAATACAAAATTAGCCGGGCATGGTGGCACATGCCTATAATCCCAGCTACTCAGGAGGCTGAGGCAGGAGAATTTGCTTGAATCCTGGAGGCAGAGGTTGTGGTGAGCTGAGATCGTGCCATTGCACTTCAGCCTGGGCAACAAGAGCAAAACTCCATCTTAAAAAAAAAAACAACAAAAAAAGAAAGAAATCAGGTCTTAGTTCTTATAAGCAGAGAGGTGATAGTCTGACCATAACCTCATGGCATAAGAAGTTGATATAGACCTCCTAGCACAGCATACTGTTGAAGGCATTCGTGGCTTCTTTCTTTCCTTGCAATGGACACAGGTCCTGCTTGCTCCTGGAGTGTAACCTTTCAGGACACGGACCTACATCTTTTGTCTGCAGTGTGAACACGGTCACAGCTAGAGATTTGGTTCCTGCAGGGATAGACCTCAGGGGCCTGGGCCTGCTGTGGGAGGCCTCTGCTCAGAAATTGGCCTCTGTTTCACCCACACTCACAGTAAATGCTCAGAAGCCACTGCAGTTAGTTTTGTGCCTGGTAAACAGGCAGGTGAGAAGCCAGAGTCTTAGGGCTGTTGGGGCAAGGGTTACAGGAGGTTATAACCCACTCTGTCAGATTGAGCCAAGGGAGACTTTTCCCGTCTAGTCATTCCTTCCTCTGCATGTGTGGTGTTGGCAGTAGCTATCTGTCTCTGTAGGGAACTTCCCCAACTCCAAAGACTTGGGGACCACAATAGTATGTCACCATATCATGGAGATGTCCATGCAGTTCTGTGTGGCCCAGTTTATTTCTGCCTAAAGAAAGAGTCTTTATCCCATGCTCCTGAAAAGTTGTTGGTTCTTGTACCTGACAGTCAGTATCCAGGGACTTGTGAGCAAGTCCAGGTGGCTGAATCCTAGTCCAGGTGGCTGGATCCTAAGTCTCCCCGTCCCTCTGTTGGAGAACCTATGGTGATGTCAGTAGCCTTATCTTTATGTATTAAAAAAAAAAGACCACTTAAAAGGTTAACTTTTTTTGGTCAAGGGGATCGTAAAGGATTATTTTGTAGCTGAATTAAAATCTAGGAAGATTAATAAAACCTGAAACACAGTCCCTATTTTAGGCTTACTTCAGAAAAACCTCCTAGAGCAAGCCAAAAGGCATGAAAAACTGCATTATTCTGATGACATTTTTCTTCTGATAGACTTATATAATTTCTGTGTCTCCTTAGCTGTTGTCAGCATGGTTTTCTTTTCAAAATAAAATTTAAGTATGTACCATAAGTTTTTATAGCATATTGAATTTCATGGTTTGGCTATTTTAACTTGACCCACCCATGTGGTTCATTAAAAGTCTTTCCTTGCTGTAGCCTTGGGTAGTTTCATGGTGATTGTTTATTCGTATAAGCATTTTGCCTACTCATTTGCTTTCAGTGAGAGAGTGTGGTTTTGATAATGGGAAAGGAAATGCTCCTTAGGTTGAGTGTTTAGCCTTAGTTGGCGACCCAAAGGTTTACGTTCTTATTAGCATGCCCAGGAGGGGTGGGAACGCCTGCCATGTTTGATGGCCCATCATGCCAGGGCCAGGCTGGTGTTTGTGCTGGGCCCAACTGCTTGCCGAGAATTATCATTAGTACTTTTTCTCTGTTCTCCCAGAGATGGTTTTCAGTTCTGTTTGGGTGTGATCACAGATAATGAAGTGAAATGCGGCTTCCTTGTCATGAACCACCATCATGCTCATTTACTGACTTGAAATAATATTGAGATCTCAATATGGAAAGGACAGCGGAGGAGGTGGGAAGACATTCCATTTTAGAAACATCTGTGGCTTATACAAGAGAAGGCACAACAACTAGGCCACTTCATCAATGTGATTCAAGTTAATGTGAGAAGTTGGACCATTGCTAAGACCATTTTCTGCCCAAAACTTCCTGCCTTTTTACCTTTCACTAAACAGAACCTTTGACCCAAATACAACCCAGGCAGAGGTTATTTAAAAATGCACTTTGGGGCCGGGCGTGGTGGCTCATGCCTGTAATCCCAGCACTCTGGGAGGCCAAGGTGGGCGGATCATGAGGTCAGGAGTTCGAGACCAGCCTGGCCAATATTGGTGAAATACCATCTCTACTGAAAATACAAAAATTAGCCGGGTATGGTGGTGGGCGCCTGTAGTCCCAGCTCAGGAGGCTGAGGCAGAAGAATTGGAAAATTTGTTAAGAGGGTTGATCTCATGTTAGTAATTACTTACCATAATTACTTAAAAAGCACTGTTTGCTTGTAAGTTTCTGGTACTGCTGCTTACGATTTTTGTGATTTGAAGCAAATAGGTTAAGTTCCTTGAGGCTTTATTTTCTTATTTGTTAAAGGAGGTTAATAAATGTTTTCAGCTATCATTTCTTGAGTGCTTATAATGTACCAGGGACTGTGACTAATTCATCTTCACCAACACCTCCATGAGCTATGCCCTATTACAATAATTATTTTACAAACGAGGCACTAGAGGCTAAGAGAGGTTAAATAACTTGCCCAAAGTCAGGTAGATAATGTGGAGCTGATATTCAAACCAGCTGATTGACTTCTAAGCTGATATTCTTGTTCTTTCTTTCTTCCATTTTTTTTTTTTTTTTTTTTTTTTTTTAAAGAGATAGGGGTCTTGCTATGTTGCTCAGTCTGGTCTTGAACTCCTGGCCTCATGTGATCCTCTCGCCCTGGCTTCTCAAGTAGCTGGGGTGACAAGCCTGTACCATCACGCTACTCTTAACTGTGACTATGCTTGATTACTCTGTTTGGTCTTGGCATATCTGAAAATAAGACCCAGAGAGGGAAAATGCTTGGCAGACATACCCCACAAGAAGAATCACCTGAGTTATAGTTCTGGAAGGGTCTTATGTGTAAAAGACCTGCTGACATATGTATACCTTGAGGTAGGGATTCCCAATCCCCAGGTGGTGGACCTGTACTAACCCATGGACTGTTAGGAACTGGGCGGCATAGCAGGAGGTGAGCGGTGAATCAGCAGTACTGCCTGAGCTCCACCGCCTGTCAGATCAGCAGCATTAGATTCTCATAGGAGTTCAAACCCTATTATGAACTGCGCCTGGGAGGGATCTAGGTTGCATGCTCCTTAATTGTCTTCCACAAAACTGGTCACTGGTGCCAAAAAGATTGGGGATTGCTGCTTTAGGGTGACAGTTTTCTGCAATTCAGATACAAGCTCTTTGTATACAGGACTTGAAGAAGCCTGTTTTCCACCATGAAATAAAACAGGACCTAGGTGGGGTTTCTTTAACAGTTTACTTAGTTGGCACTAAGTATGGCATTAGGCAAAAGGCAGGGGAAGGTAGATTATGTTGGCATGGTCCAACAGAAATATAATGTAAGCCACATATGTAATTAAAAATTTCCTACTAGTCATGTTAAAAGTAAGAAACAGGTAAAATTAATTTTAATAATATATTTTATTTAACTCATATCCAAAATATTATAGTTTCATCATATGATTAATATTAAAAAAATGTAATATTTTATGTATTTTTTCATATTAAGTCTTTGAAACTCCACATGCATTTTGGTTTTCTTTTTTTTTTGAGATGGAGTTTTGCTCTTGTCACCCAGGCTGAAGTGCAATGGTGTGATCTCGGCTCACTGCAACCTCTGCCTCCCAGGTTCAAATGATTCTCCTGCCTCGGCTTCCTGAGTAGCTGGGATTACAGGCACCTGCCACCACGCCCAGCTAATTTTTATGTTTTTACTAGAGACGGGGTTTCATCATGTTGGCCAGCTGGTCTCAAACTCCTGACCTCAGGTGATCCACCTGCCTCGGCCTCCCAAAGTGCTGGGATTACAGGTGTGAGCCACTGCGCCTGGCCTCCATGTGCATTTGATGCATACTGCATGCATTTCCAGTGGGACTAGCTATGTTAAATGTGCCCAGTAGCTATGTATGGCTGGAGGCTATCATATTGGATAGTCTATTAGTAGAAAAATATATTAAGACAGCCTTGCAGATAGCTCCTTATGCCCGGACCCAGAGTTTGGAACGATATATATAAAAATAATTATTATTGTTTCAGTTAACAACAGGGACTGTAAATGTAGTGGGTTCCAGGTTGAGAGTGCTAGAAAGAACCATAGCTATTTTATCTAACATTCACCCCCCCATCCCCATTTTTATAGGTGAAGGCTTGTATGCTCAACAACATGTGTGAGGTCACACAGAGAGTCATTGGCATCGTCAAGACTCAAACCCAGTTGATCTTTCTGGTACATTGTATTGTGGACATGGCAAAAAGTGACTGTGACTTATATCATGGTACATATAAAAAAACTGTGTGTGTATTTTAATGTACCCTCTTTTATGTGGAAAAATAGCTGTGACCTTTTGCAGGGTTCACAGAAATTGTAGTTTGGAGGGATGGAAATATCCTCTGAGATCACCTGATTCAGCTTCATTTTTCTCTCCTGGGCCCTTAGGCTCAGGGAGGTTAAACGGTTTGCATGAGGCGATTGCATTGGGTCTCCTGCCTTGCCGCCATTGCTTCACCATGATACTAGGATGATGATCATTGGAATCAGTGACTGTAAAACATCACAGAGCAAAGGTGGGAGATTCCATCTAAGAGCCAAGAATTAGTTTAGTATCTTACCTTTCTTTTCTTTTCTTTTTTCTTACCTTTCTTTTTGAATACTCAACTTGAGTTTCCTCCTGGCCCTTAAATCATTTGTGGCCAGGCGCAGTGGCTCACGCCTGTAATCCTAGCACTTCGGGAGGCCGAAGAGGCCGGATCACGAGGTCAGGAGATCGAGACCATCCTGACCCAACATGGTAAAACCCGTCTCTACTAAAGATACAAAAATTAGCTGGGCGTCGTGGCGCATGCCTGTAATCCCAGCTACTCGAGAGGCTGAGGCAGGAGAATCACTTGAACCCGGGAGAAAGAGTTTGCAGTGAGCCAAGATGGCGCCATTGCACTCCAGCCTGGCAACAGAGCAAGCCTCTGTCTCAAAAAAAAAAAAAAAAAAAATTAATAAAAATTAATAAAATAAAAATCATTTGTAAGGTTCATCAGTCTCTCTTGAAGGAACCTGTATGAGAATGGGAGAAAATGTTTGGGGTAGAGAGAAGTGAGGAGAGGGGAGGAAAGGTGTCTATTACTGCTTGAAAGATCCTGAATGAAGTTGACACTTCCTGTGTGGGGAAGCCTAAGGTAAAAGCCCTCATTGGGTGTGTACCTATACCAGGAGAGTAATCTACTGTAAGAAATCACTTAGAGCAGTGGTTGTCAAACCCAGGGCATTTGATAATGTCTGAAGACATCTGCTAATTGACTTCTAGTGGTAGAGGCCGTGGATGCTGCTAAAATAGCCTGAAACACACAGGACCCTCCACCCCCACAACCACCAAGTTATCTGACCTAAAATGTCAGTAGAGTTGATGTTGAGAATCCTGACTTATAGAGGAAAGGGGCAAAATATATATTCAATTGTCCCTTGGTATCCACAGGGGATTGGTTCTAGGACCCACTTCAGATACCAAAATCCATGGATGCTCAAGTCCCTTACATAAAATGGCATAGTACTGGCACATAACCTATGTACATCCTCCCGTATGCTCTAAATCATCTCTAGATTACCTTTTTTGGGGGGGCGGGGCAAGGAATTTCTAAAATTTATTTCACTAATAGGGATTTTCTATAGGAGAACCATCTGATTTTCTAACAGCAGTATTTCAGGTAAATATCTTTCCACATTTGCTGTACTCTTAAAGCCTTTCTCCAGTGTGAACTCTCCTGTGTCAAATGAGACTGGAGTTACAGCAAAGGACTTCCCACATTCCTTGCACTCATAAGGCCTTTCTACTGTGAGTTCTTCGATGCTGAAGGAGAGAATGGCTTCAGCTAATTTTTACCACATTCCTTGCACTGATCTCCAGGATGAACTCATGTGTTTCTTGAGACTGGAGCTT
Organism: Homo sapiens; assembly: GCF_000001405.40. Classification (NCBI taxonomy): domain Eukaryota; kingdom Metazoa; phylum Chordata; class Mammalia; order Primates; family Hominidae; genus Homo; species Homo sapiens. The sequence goes on along the minus strand of NC_000003.12, from coordinate 31,796,052 downwards.
TCAGCAAAGGATTTCCCACATTCAGTGCGCTCATAAGGCTTTTACCCAGTGTGAATTCTTGTATGAACACGAAGTGCAGAGCTGTAAGAAAATGATTTCCCATGTTCATTGCATTCATATGGCCCTTCTCCAGTGTGAACCCTCTGATGCACAGTAACATGCTCCTTCTGGCTAAGTAATTTCCCACATACCTCACACTCATATGGCCTTTCTCCAGTGTGAACTCTCTCAGGTAGAAGGAAGTGAGACTTCTTGTAAAATAATTTCCCACATTCCCCACAACTATAAGGTCTTTCTCCAGTATGAAGTTTCTGGTGATCAGTGAGGAGGTGAGACCTGTTCCTAAAAGATTTCCCTCATTTCCTGCGCTCATAAGGCCTTTCTCCAGTGTGACCTCGTTGGTGTTGAATGAGGTTGCCCTTTTGTCTAAAACATTTCCCACATTGTCCACACTCATAAGATCTTTTTCCAGTGTGAATTCACTGATGATTACTGAAGGTATTACATTTGCTAAAGGATTTCCCACATTCACTGCACACGTAACATCCTTCTCTAGTGAAAAGCTTCTGGTGGAACAAGTGAGTGAGTAGTGCCGAAAGGTTTTGTGGGCCAGACACGGTGGCTCATGCCTGTAATCCCAGCAACTTTGGGAGGCTGAGGTGGGCGGATCACCTGAGGTCAGGATTTCAAGAGCAGCCTGGCCAACGTGGTGAAACCCCATCTCTACTAAAAATGCAAAAATTAGCCAGGCCTGGTGGCAGGCGCCTGTGATCCCAGCCACTCAGGAGGCTGAGGCAGGAGAATCGCTTCAACCCGGGAGGCGGAGTTTGCAGTGAGCTGAAATGGTGCCACTGCACTCCAGCCTGGGCAACAGAGTGAGACTCTGTCTCCAAAAAAAAAAAAAAAAAAAAAAAAAAAGGTTTTATGAATTCTTCGCAGCTGTAATGAGTCTTTCCCTCATGAAAGGGTGGGCCATGCTTAGTTTCAGTGTTTGTCTTCTCTACATTGTGAGTAGCCTCTTGCTGGTGTAATCCCAAGCTGGGCAAGAAGTTCTTCCCAACCTCATAAGAGATAAATGGCTCCTGTGACACATGGACTTTACAGCTGTTTACAAATGACACTTCTCTGGCACCCCTTCTCTCGAGTTTCTCTCCAATGTGCTGCTTCTGGTGCTGATGAAGGTTTTCAGTGTCATCCAGTTTTTTCCCACATGCCCCACTCCTGTTCAGTTTCTGCTTGTGATGAGTTTCCTGCTGCTGTGCCAAGTGAAAAATGTCTCCCAAGATGGGGCTACACATTTCACAGGGGTGAGCCTTCTTGGGAGACCCCCCTGCCCTCAGAGTCCTGACCTGAGACTCTCTTTGTATAGAAATGCTCTGCTTATATGGTGCCTCTTCATCTTTCACTCCACACCAACAACCCAGGGAAGATAAAAGTGCCAGGTTCTTCAGCATCACGTCACAGTACAGGCATCTCTGAACCTCACTAAGGAGACTCCATTTCTTCTGGGAAAAGTTCACAGCCATGTCTGCAAGGGTCACAGTGCCCTGCTGAGCTAGGAGCCTCAGCACAACCATGGCCATTCAACTATGTGAGGAAGGCCGGGAGCGGTGGCTCACGGCTGTAATCCCAGCACTTCAGGAGGCAGAGGCAGGTGGATCGCCTGCGGTGTCAGAGGTGAGGTGGATTGCCTGAGCCCGGCCAGCAGGGTGAAACCCCATCTCTACTAAAAATACAAAAATTACCTGGGTGTGGTGGCGTGCGCCTGTAATCCCAGCTGCTCGGGAAGCTGAGGCAGGAGAATTGCTTGAACCCAGGAGGTAGAGGTTACAGTGAGGTGAGATTGTGCCATTGCACTCCAACCTGGACAACAAGAGCAAGACTCTGTCTCAAAACAAACAGAAAAACTATGTGGGGAAAGTGGGGTCGGGAGCTGCAGGTGCCATCACGAGGCTGAAGACCTGCTTCTGTGCAGCAGGGGCAAGTCCCCTCCACCTTCTGAGTTCAGCCACCACTGTGCCAACCCAGCGCCCTGGGGCCTCTCAAACCACAAAGACACTCGACACCAACCAACATGGCTGCTACTCTCATCTCTAGATTACTTCTAAAGCCTAATACAATGTCAATGACATGTGAAGAGTTGTTATTCTGTATTTTAATTGTCATTTGTTGTTTTTTACTGTTTTTCTTCAAATATTTTTCATCTGAGGTTGTTTGAACCTATAGATGTGGAGTTCACAGATAAGAAGGGCCAACTGTATATCTAAACTCTCTATAGTCAAAAAACCACTTTTTAAATTCTAGTTTTTAAAAAATTCACACTATTGTTTCTCATGAGTCCAAATTTAATTACAGTTGCTTTTTCACTTGGAAAACTTAGAGAGTCTTCCTAATTCCATGTTATTTTGTAAACCAGAGGTGCTTTTTAAGACCTTGAGAGAGAACAGTCACATTTGTTGAGCTCATCTTGTTTCAAGAAGGTGAATGTGTATTTTGTGCTTAGTTTTGGATTTCTTAGCATAATTTCCATCCTCCTTAAACCTACACAGCATTGAAGGCCATCAGCCTGGTAAATAAGCAGTGAGTGGTTACATTATCAGACACTTACTGCTAATTAAATTTTATCTAAATTTAGATTTTTAAAAGCCCTCCATATGTTTTAATTTTCAGCATAAATTATTTATGCTAGGAGGTCATACAAACGGGTGCTTGATTGTGGTCCTGAAAACTTCAACAGAGTTGAGGGAAGCTGCAGTGGCTGACTGCTTTTGCTCTTGCAGCTATTTTAGGCAGAAAGAAAATGACAGGCGCGCTTTCCCAGTCTGGCTGGGAGTTCACAGGAGGTGTCAGTGCCATCAGGAGAAGGAGGCAGGATATGAAAGAGACAGAAAGAATTAGAAAAATATTTCTGCCCTCTTTGGTTGGTTCGTGAATATAAAAGGCTGTGGGAAATAGTGGAACTGGGGAAATGGGCTAAATTAATAGATATTTTTTCTGTTACCTTTGAGACTACAATAAAGGGAGATGAAAACTTGTTTCATGCTTAGCTTCCAGGATATCCAAATGATGTGCATCCTCAGGGCCAAGTCAGACCCTGGTACTTCCAGAAACATCCAGTATGTCTGGATAGCTGAGCATCTACAACACACACACACACACACACACACACACACACACACACACACACACACAGAGTGCCTAGATAGCTGAGAGTGCAAAACGCACCCCCACACACCAACTCACCCACCCAGTGTGTCTGGATAACTGAGAATTTTTACACACACACACACACACACACACACACACACACACTCTGTGTCTGGATAGCTGAGAGTGTAAAACACACACACCCCTGCACACCCCCACAACACCAACTGTCACACACACACCACACACACACAGTGTGTCTGGATAGCTGACAGCGTAAAACATACACACCCCAGCACACACCCTCATACACCAATCACCCACCCAGTGTGTCTGGATAACTGAGAATTTTAACCACCACCCCCCTCCGCCCCGCTGCAACAAAACAGAAACGCTGCTATGGTTTGTCATTTTTAGGTAACTAGGAGCCTTTTAATTGTCGCCAATGTTGAGAGTGGGAGAGGGGGAACCATTTTGCAACCTGTTTAAAATGGGGTGTTTGAGAGCTGCCCTCAACTTTGAAAACTTGGAAAAGCTTTTTTACAACTCGATAATTATTTTTCTCTTCCTGAATGTTTTTGAAAGTTACACGTAATGTCTGATTGCTTGAAAGCTCAAGGAATGTTCTTTGACTTGCCAGATTATTACGACTTGCTCATTTTTATCATTTTTTTTTTTTTGGAGACAGGGTCTCTGTTGCCCAGGCTGGAGTGCAGTGGTGTGATTACAGCTCACCGCAGCCTCAATTGCGTGAGCTCGAGTGATTTACTAAGCTCAGTGTCACGAGTAGCTGGGACCGCAGATGTGCGCCACCACACCTGGCTAATTTTTTTTGTCTTGCTATGTTGCCCAGGCTAGCCTCAAACTCCTGGGCTCAAGTGATCCTCCCACCTCGGCCTCCCAAAGTGTTGGGACTACAGGTGTGAACCACCGCATCCAGCTTTGTCTTGCTCGTTTCAAAATCCCTCACAGCACCTATATCCACTGTTTTGCAGATTGTTTGGCTCAGAAAATTGATTGAATTGGAGTAATCTGTTTCTTATTTTTTTTTTTTTTGCTCTTTGTAAATGTAGTCTTTGAAACCCAATTTTTCATTTTAAGCACTGTATGTTTTTAAGATCATAATTAGTTACTTACCTAGTGGTCTATTTTTCTCACTTGGTGGTTACTAGCTTTTTAGGGCATAAAGATATGATTTTCATGGATTTTAACTTACTTTGGCCGTACACAGCTTAGTAAAGCTTTGTGGAAAAAAAAAACAAAAACCTCTTTAAGTCACTAGTGTGCTGTCTTACATGAGCCAGTAAGAACTCAAGTTTTCACTGGGGCTATGGTTTTAAGATAAACACATATTAGAATATAGTTATAGTGAACTACCTCTGGGGCATAAGACTGAATTGATCCTGCTGTGAATGCTTATAAAAATGATGCAAGGCTATCAGAAAATGTCAGAACCTCAGGGGAAATGCACGCTGATTTCCATTTCATGCTAGTCTTTCTTTATAACTCTGTCCACAGACTTCAACTCCTTTCAGTTACGTTCTAAATACTGTGGCCAATTTGCTTTTACAAAATGGGAGTTTTTAGCCTGGGAATGTGCCCTTCACATTAATTCTTCCTCTAAAAGCCACTGTGCATATACTCCCATTTTCTGAGGTTTGAAAGATGCATTATGGTTTTTAAACGACAAGATTTTTCACCTAGCATAAGAGCCAAATCTTGAGAAAAACAGGCTGTTCCAGTGTTTAAAATGACACTTCTATTTTAAAACAAAAAATGTTTTGTTTTGTAAAAAGGTCACACAGGTATTTTTTTTTTCCATGACATTTATGTTCATGATTCAAGTGGACCAGAATCAAACCTTCTCCATCCTTCCCTTCTTTTGCATTTGTTAAGTTGTTGATGAGTCTCAAGTGCCCAGTTCTTCATGCCAGCCAGCCAGGGAATCCTCTAGCATATGGCTTACATTTGGGGGAGAACATTAAAATGAGTTCCAACAAGCATAGCTGTGTCTTCTGTACCATCTGGCTTTCCGACACATATGCAGTAGATCTTTATGTGCAGCCCAGGTGATCTGATTCCAATGATGTTAACCTCTTATCCAGGCAAGAGTGTTGTGTAGATTGCTGCCAGTGGATCAGAGTGTGGTGTTTATTATCAGGGTCACCAGGTGTCAGTGGGTGGTTGAAGCTCTCAAATTTTATAATTCAGGCTTTGCGGTCAGACCTCAAGGATTGGCTCCAGTTCCGAGAAACTTCAAGGCGCCATAAGCATCTCAGTGGCAGCCCCACCTGCAGTTGGCAAGAATGCCCCCAAGATCTATCAGATGGCCTCTTAATCTTTTGCCCTTCATCTTTTTCCCCCGTCAGTATTTTTTAATTAGCAGATGGTGTATGCGAACAGCTGTGATTCAGAGACAGAAGAATTTTATATATGTGAAATGTAAATCAGGTCTTAATTATTCAGAGGATGATTGAGGACACATTTCTTCTTGAGCGCATACTCAGGGGTTCATGGGTTCTGCCACACACAAATGGTCTTTTAAAGGTTTGGGGAACATATTGCCAAATGGCCTGGAGAAAAGTCATCCTAATTTACACCCTTGGCTGGCAGTGTATTTGACTGCTTGTTTTCCTGAACTCCTGCCAACAGAGTATTACCATATTTAAACATTTTTGCCAACTTGCTAAGCAGACAAGAAAGCATCTAATTATTCTTACAATGTACATTTCTGTAATTACTTGTGAGATTGAAGCATGTCATGTGTTTATCGGTCATGTCTAATTTTTATTTTGGTAATTGTTTTGCTTACAGTTTTATCTCACTGACTTCCAGTTAGCTAAAGTAAGGAATATTCATATGGTGGGATACCAGATCATCTTTAAAATCATGTTCTTAAAAATTAATGTTATGGTAAAGTATTTGTAATATATTAAGCAAAAAAAAAAGAATAAAAATGTGTGTCATGATTGTAGTGGACATCAAAGTAGTATATAAATGTGGCAGGTTTAGTAAAAGAGTTGCAAATGTATACACCATACAACTCAGGTTACAAGGAAGAAGTATCCTCTTTATTTTTGGTGCATAGTCCAGTCATCCTCATGATCCCTAACCCCAAGGAGAGAGGAAAGAACCTTGCAGAGGGAGAGTCTTAGTCTCTTCTAGCCTGATGGTCCTCCTACGATGTGGCCTGGCCTCCGTTGCCTATGGTGCTGTGTACCTGCTGACTTGCAGCTCCATCCTGATCTGCTCCCCCTGCCTGGGCTCTTGCCCTCACGGTATCTTTCTTGAGGCAGTGCCCCTGCCTGGCAGTGCTCCCGGCTCTGCACTTGGTCCCCCACCACTTCTTTCACAGGCACATGCCGAGTTCTGAGTCCTTTCCTGGACCTTCAGGGACTTGTTTGCTCTGCCCTGTACCCTATAGGAAGAGTTTACAATTTAGACTTCTAAGCTTTGTTCTGGAGAACTTCAGCATCTGTTTTCTTTTCCAACAAAGGCTGACTAGACTACTCTTTCATGATGGACTCAAGGACCTGAAGAAAGACCCCTTGGTAGTGTCACCTACCCCTGCCACCCTAGAGTGCCTTTCATTGAATCTGTGCGTGAAGAGTTTTCAGACCACAGAATCTACAGGATATGGAAGAAAATATTTCATTAAATATATGTATGAAATAAACATCCTAGCCGGACATGGTGGCTCACACCTGTAATCCCAGCATGACCAACATGGTGAAACCCCTCTCTACTAAACATACAATAATTAGCTGGGCGTGGTGGCATGCGCCTGTAATCGCTGTGACTTAGGAGGTTGAGGCAGGAGAATCTCTTGAACCTGGGAGGCAGAGGTTGCAGTGAGCCAAGATCGCGCCACCGCACTCCAGCCTGGGTGACAGAGTGAGACTCCGTCTCAAAAACAAAAAACAAAACAAAACCAAAAAAAAAAAGAAAGAAACATCCAGGAAGGAAGTATACTAAAATGTTCATGATTTTCTCTGGATTAATGAAATTGTAGGTGAGTTTTATTTTTTCTTCCTCATGCCTTCTGTATTTTCCAAATTTCCTACAATGTCTATATAATGTTTTAATAATTCCATAAAGCCAATTTATTTTTATTATTATTTTTTTTTAGAGGCAAGGTCTCACTTTGTTGCCCAGGCTGGAGTGCACAGGTGGCATCATAGCTCAATGCAACCTTGAACTCCTGGGCTCAAGTGATCCTCCTGCATCGGCCTCCTAAGTAGCTGGAACTACAGGTGTACACCACCACACCTACCATACAGCCATTTTTAAATGGGAGTTTTTTCTTTTGGCTTCCTTGAATGTTAGAGAAAAGGGGCAAAGTTACTGATTAAATATAGTATGCATTTTGGATTACCTGTGATTTTTAGTCTTCCAGGCTTCTTTCTTCCAACTTTCCTATCCCACCCACCACCAAATTTGTAAAACAAGATCAAGAATTATATGCTTACCTGTCACCAGCAGATGGAATCAGGAAAAGGACTAAGTGGAATTAAGAATTTAGGAAAATGAGGCTTCTATCATTTCTTTGATACTTGTTTTGACATTTATTCCACACTGATAATAGTTATCTTCTATTAAATGACATTATGGCAAAATGTCATAGGATTTTATAGGATAAAATTTGGCACAGTAACTCCTTTCAGTATTCCTGTTCATGTTGATAGTTCTAGAAAACTAATTTCTTGTAACCCTGCCAGGGTCAGATTGCTGACATCTCTGAAATCTAGATACAGGCTTATCTCTAGACAGCTTTAAAATTTATTCCAGAGTCACCTTTTCTGGGAGAAAAAAAACAATAACCTAATCAATATGTCCTTTGGGAAGTATTAGCAACATTTTCTCATCTTTGTCAATTTGTGTAAATATTATTCATTTATTACATTTGTGATGGGCAGAATACTTTCTTTTTTACTTAATATATGTTTCCATTTATATTCTGTTTGTGCATTTTAAAGTAACTATATTCCATTTATATATTTACTTAAAAATACCAAATTCCTTATAATTTATTTAAATACTCATTCTGTTGTCGGGTATTTATGCCATTTGCCATTTAAAATCCTTATTTTGGAAATTATTCTGAACTGCACCTAGAAGGCATGTAGATTTCAAATTTCTTAGCAAAACATGATGTGAAGCATGTAGACTGTGAACCAATCTAGGACTGAGTGGTCTGTCTTTGATCTGCTGTCTTGCTGATCAACAGGGTTGGTGTGGCTGAACCGGCTGGCTAATCCTTCCCAAAGGACATATTGATTAGGTTATTATCATGTCTTTTTTTTTTTTTTTTGAGGCGGAGTCTTGCTCTGTCGTCCAGGCTGGAGTGCAGTGGCGCAATCTCGGCTCACTGCAACCTCCAGCTCCCGGGTTCAAGCGATTCTCCTGCCTCAGCCTCCCAAGTAGCTGGGACTACAGGGACCCGCCTCCATGCCTGGCTAATTTTAGTAGTTTTAGTAGAGATAAGGTTTCACCATATTGGCCAGGCTGGTCTGGAACTCCTGACCTCAGGTGATCTGCCCGCCTTGGCCTCCCTGCTGCGATTACAGGCATGAGCCACCATGCCCAGCCTATCATGTCTTTCGAATCCATTATATATGACTAAAAGGACCAGACCTTTTGTAGTTAAATCAATCCACAAATACCCCTGAAGCCTAATTTTTAGGACTTTAAAAGAATGAATATTGGCAAACCGAATTCCTTGTGATATTTGTGTATCCTTCGAGAAGTAGTAAATCATTCAAAATGCAAACAAACTAAGGGACATGAAGAAGTAAGGAGGCAACAACCATATCGTGACCGCTTATTCTATGCCAGGCATTGTGCAGAATACTTTTTCATAGTTGTCTTATTTAATTCCAGAACAACCTGGCAAACAGATAATGTTCTCTCTACTTTTGGAAATTGAAGACTAAGGAGTTCTTAAATCATTTGCCTGAAATTGCATCTAATAAGGAGGTGCGCTGGTTCAGATCTGTGTCTGCCAGATTAAAAAGCTGCTGCTGCTGGTCTGGCCCATGCTGCTCATATCTACAAAAGTCTAGCTCGTAGTAACTGAGAGTTACCTGAGAAGTGTGCCATGATGTATTCTAAATGGAACAAAGACTTAAGAAAACCAAAACCAAAACTTTTAAAGTGCTTAAATCATACAATATATATATATTTTCACCTGTGCTATGGTTTGAGTGTTTGTGTCCCCACCACAATTCATGGTGAAACTTTAATCTCCAGGGCAACAGCGTTAAGAGGTAGGGCTCTTTGGAGGTGATTAGGCCATGAGGTCTCTACCATCAGCAATGCCTTGTAAAAGGGCTGCAGGGAACTCTTCCCCTTCTGTCTGTCATGTGAGGACACAGCAAGAAGGTGCCATATGAGAAATGGGCCCTCACCAGACACAGAACCTACAGGCACCTTGATCTTGGACTTCCCAGCCTCCAGACTGAGAAAGTAAATTTCTACTGTCTATAAATTACCCAGTCGTAGGTTTATAGCAGCCCAAGTGGACTGAGATGTCTCAGGATGGAGAAGGCTTTTTAAAACGTGACTCAAAAAATCTTAAGCCAAAAACAACAAAAAAGAGAAGTATAAATTTGACTTCATAAAAATGAAAGCTTCATGGCCAAAAATATGCCATAAGCAAAGTCAACCTGGGGGCAAAGTTACAACTCATCACATAGATGAGAGACCAATTTCCCCGTTCTATAAGGGTCTCCTAAAATTGGTAAAGGAAAACCCAAGAACCCAGTGGAAAAAAGGAAAAAGAATATTAGAAGGTGGCTCACTGAAAAGGAGGGAATAATGGCATCCCTGGGTCTTTGCCTCTATCCTTGTCTGGTTCTGCCCAGGCTTTGGCACATGTGAGAATCATGGGAGTGATTCCAAAGTCTAGTTTGGGCTCTCCAACTTCTACGCAAGTTGCCTTTACCTACAGTGATGAGCAATTGAGGTGGAGTCTTTCTGGATCACAGTGAATCATAACTGTGGCCATTTTATGCCCAGAAGCTTGAGTCTCCCAGAATCCTAAAGCCATGCTCAGAGTAAGGTTCTCTGAATTTCAGAAAATTATTAAGGGAAGGCTAGGACTTTAGTTTGGGATTATTGTCTGTCAATGACCAGGAATTATCTAGTAACTTGCAGTACCTGAGGATAAGCCTTACAAGAATCCCAGAACAGAAAATGTTCAGGACTGAGAAACATGCCGAGGCAATCTAGTTCAGTCTCTTCATTTTATAGAATGAAAAGAAAAAAAAACGGCTCAGAGAGGTCGGTGGTTTGTTCAGAGTCACCCACGATGTTAATGGTGGAGTTGGATCTCCTGACTGCCAGTCCAAAACCCCTTCCATTGCGTTGTGCTTGTAAGTAGGCCTTGGGGCTTACTGAAACAGCTTTAAGACAGATGGATTCCAGTCTGGGAATTCTTCCTCGTGATTTAAAAATTGCCTGGCCAGATCTGGATTTTATCTTGGTTTTTCCTGTTTCCCTGTCTCCCTCCCACAAATACCAATCAAACACGCCTACCATGTGCTGTATACTCTTTTCTTTCAAGTTAGCGTGTTTTATTCAGTTACAGTTAGTTTATGTATATGTATACACTTTTCATTTTTATTTTGGATAAAATTGAGGTCATATATACAGTTTTATATTCTGTTTTTCCATTTATTACATTTTAGCTATTTTCTGATATCATCAAATGAAAATATGGTTCAAGACTGCGGTGGTTCACGCCTGTAATCCCGGCACTTTGGGAGGCCGAGGCAGGCGGATCACTTGAGGCCGGAAGTTCAAGACCAGCCTGGCTAATAGAGGGAAACCCCATCTCTACTAAAAATACAAAAATTAACCAAGTGTGTTGGCAGGTACCTATAATTCCAGCTACTCAGGAGGCTGAGGCAGGAGAATTGCTTGAACCTGGGAGACAGAGGTTCCAGTGAGCTGCTATTGTACTACTGCACTTCACTCCAGCCTGGGTGACAGAGCGAGATCCTGTATCCCCACCCCCCCGCCCCCCCAAAAAAGTTATATTAAGTCATACAGATTAACACTTTGGGAGGCCAAGATGGGCGAATCACTTGGGGCTAGGAGTTCAGGACCAGCCTGGCCAACGTGGTGGAACCCCATCTCTGCTAAAAATATAAAAATCAGCTGTGCATGGTGGTGCATGCCTGTAATCCCGGTTACTGGGGAGGCTGAGGTGAGAGAATCATTTGAACCCGGGAGGTGGAGGTTGCAGTGAGCTAAGAACGCACCACTGTACTCCAGCCTGGGTGACAAAGCGAGACCTTGTCTCAAAAAACAAAAAACAAACCCATTTTTGCTATTGTCATTTAAGTGGTTTTGCAATTGTAAATAACACTGTTGTGTCATAACTTGTACATGCATATTTATGATTGTGATTATTTCTTTATAATAAATACAAGTAGAAGTTGGGGTCAAAGGTTCCAGTGAGCTGAGTTTTTTTCTTTCTTTCCTTCCTTTTCCTTTTCCTTTTTCCTTTCCTTTTCCTTTTCCCTTTCCTTTTCCTTTTCCTTTCCTTTCCCATCTCTGTCACCCAGGCTGGAGTGCAGTGGCCATGATCTTGGCTCTCTGCAACCTCCGCCTCCTGAGTTCAAACAATTCTCATGCCTCAGCCTCCTGAGTAGCTGGGACTAAAGGCGCATACCACCACACCTGGCTAGTTTTTTTGTTTTGTTTTGTTTTGTTTTTGTATTTTTAGTAGAGACAGGGTTTGACCATGTTGGCCAGGCTGGTCTTGAACTCCTGACCTCAAGTGATCTGCCTGTCTCTGCCTCCCAAAGTGCTGGGATTACATGCGTGAGCCACTGCACCCAGCCAGTTTTTATTGTGTTTTAATACCCTAAGCAACAAATCACAAGTTTCTGTGGTGAATCACAAACTTGTTATCATTTGGTTTATAGAGAAGAATGTTTTTAAAAATGGATTTTACAATGTACTTTTTCTGCAGTAAATTTCTATCTTGTTTATAATGTTTTTAGAAACTCAAATTTTTTTAATTTTTATTTATTCATTCATATATATATATATATATATATATATATATATATATTTTTTTTTTTTTTTTTTTTTTTTTTTTTTTTTTTAATCGGAGTCTTGCTCTGTCACCCAGTCTGGGGTGCAGTGGTGTGATCTCAGCTCACTGCAACCTCCGCCTCTCAGGTTCAAATGATTCTCCTCCCTCTGCCTCCTGAGTAGCTGGGATTACAGGTGCCTGTCACCATGCCTGGCTAATTTTTGTATTTTTAGTAGAGACGGGATTTCACCATGTTGGCCAGGCTGGTCTTGATCTCCTGACCTCAAGTGATCTGCCCGCCTCAGCCTTCCAAAGTGCTGGGATTACAGGTGTGAGCCACCATGCCTGGCCTTATTTTAATAGTTTTTGGGGAACAGGTGGTGTTGGGTTGCATGGAAAAGTTCTTTAGTGGTGATTTCTGAGATTCTGGTACACGCATCACCTGAGCAGTGCACACTGTACCCAATGTGTAGTCTTTTATTTCCTCACTGTCCCAACCCTTCCCTATGAGTTCCCAAAGTCCATTGTATCATTCTTATGCCTTTGCATCCTCATAGCTTAGCTCTCATTGATAAATCAGAACATATGATGTTTGGTTTTCCATTCCTGAGTTGCTTCACTTAGAATAATGGTCTCCAACTCCATCCAGGTTGCTGTGAATGCCATTATTTCATTCCTTTTTATGGCTGAGTAGTATTCTATGGTGTGTGTGTATATATATATATATATATATATATATATATATATAATAGATATATTGATATAGATATATCCATATAGATATCACATTTTCTTCATCCACTCCTTAATTGATGGGCATTTAGGCTAGTTCCATATTTTTGCAATTGCAAATTGTGCTGCTATAAACATACATGTGCAAGTGTCTTTTTCATGTAATGACTTCTTTTCCTTTGAGTAGATACCTAGTGGTGGCATTGCTGGATCAAATGGTAGATCTACTTTTAGTACTTCAAGGAATGTCCATACTGTTTTCCATAATGGTTACGCTAGTTGACGTTCTCACCAGCAGTGTAAAAGTGTTTCCTTTTCACCACATCCATGCCAACATCTGTTATTTTTTGATTTTTAAATTATGGCCATTCTTGCAGAATAAGGTGGTATCTCATTGTTATTTTGATTAGCATTTTCCTGATAATTAGTGATGCTGAGCATTTTTTCCTGTGTTTGGCCATTTGTGTATCTTCTTTTGAGAACTGTCTATTCATGTCCTTAGCCCACTTTTTGATGGGATTATTTGTTTTTTCTTGCTGATTCATTTGAGTTCCTTATGCATTCTGCATATTAGTCCTTTGTCAGAGGCACAGTTTTCAAATATTTTCTCCTACTTTGTGGGTTGTCTGTTTACTCTGCTGATTATTTCTTTTGCTGTGCAGAAACTTCTGGGTTTAATTAGGTTCCATCTATTTATCTTTTTGTTGTTGTTGCACTTGCTTTTGTGGATTCTTGGTAATGAACTCTTTGCCTAAGCTAATGTCTAGAAGAGTTTTTCCCATGTTATCGTCTAGAATTTGTATGGTTTTAGGTCTTATATTTAAGTCTTTGATTCATCTTGAGTTGATTTTTGTGTAAGGTGAAAGATGAGGATCCAGCTTCATTCTTGTACATGTGGTTTGCCAATTATCCCATCACCATTTGTTGAATAGGATATCCCATTTTGATTTTGTTTTGTCAAAGATGAGTTGGCTGTATTTGACTTTATTTCTGGATTCTCTATTTTGTTCCATTGGTCTATGTGCATATTTTTATACCAGTACCATGCTGTTTTGGTACCTGTCGCCTTGTAGTAGTTTCAAGTCAGGTAATGTGATGCCTCTGGCTTTGTTCTTGTTGCCTAGTCTTGCTTTGGCTATGCAGGGTCTTTTTTGGTTCCATATGAATTTTAGGATTTTTTTCTAGTTGTGTGAAGAATTATGATGGTATTTTGATGGGAATCACATTGAATTTGTAGATTGCTTTTGGCAGTATGGTCATTTTCACAATATCGATGCCATCCATCTATGAACATGGGATATATTTCCATTTGTTTGTGTCATCTATGATTTCTTTCAGCAGTGTTCTCTAGTTTTCCTTGTAGATATCTTTCACCTCCTTAGTTAGGTATATTCCAAAGTATTTTATCTTACTTTTATAGTTGTTGTAAAAGGGGTTGAGTTCTTGATTTGATTCTAAACTTGGTTGCTGTTGGTGTATGGCAGTGCTACTAATTTGTGTACATTGATTTTGTATCCTGAAACTTCACTGAATTCATTTATCAGATCTAGGAGCTTTTTGGATGAGTCTTTAGTGTTTCCTAGGTATACATCAGCAAACAGTGATAATTTGACTTCCTCTTTACCAATTTGGATACCCTTGATTTCTTTCCCTTGTCTGATTGCTCTGGCTAGGACTTCCAGTACTGTGTTGAATAGAAGTGGTGAAAGTGGGCATCCTTGTCTTGTTCCAGTTCTCAGGGGGAATGCTTTCAACTTTCCCCCATTTTAGTGTAATGTTGACTGTGGGTTTGTTGTAGATGGCTTTTATTACCTTGAGATGTCCCTTCTATGCCAGTTTTGTTTAGGGTTTTAATCATAAAGTAATGCTGGATTTTGTCAAATGCTTTTTCCACAGCTATTGAGATGATTTTGTGATTTTTGTTTTTAATTCGGTTTATGTGATGTATCACATTTTTTGACTTAAATATGTTAAACCATCTCTGAATCCCTGGTATGAAACCCAGTTGATCATTATGTATTATCTTTTTAATATGCTGTTATATTCAGTTAGCTAATATTTTGTTGAGGATTATAGCATCTATGTTCATCAAGGATATTGGTCTGTAGTTTTCTTTTTGTGTTATATCCTTTCCTGATTTTAGTATTAGGATGATTCTGGCTTTATAAATGATTTATGGAGGATTCCCTCTTTATCTTCTGCAATACTTTCAGTAAGATTGGTACCAGTTGTTCTTTGAATGCCAGATAGAATTCAGTTGTGAATCCACCTAGTCCTAGACTGTTTTTTGGGGGGGTGGGGGGCAATTTTTAAGTTACTGTTTCAATCTCACTACTTGTTATTGGTCTGTTCAGAGTTTCTATTTCTTCCTAATTTAATCCAGGAGAGCTGTATATTTCCAGGAATTTATCTATCTCCTCTAGATTTTCTAGTTTGTGCACATAAAGGTGTTCATAGTTGCCTTGAATGATCTTTTGCATTTCTGTGGTATTGATTATAATATCTCTCATTTTCTTTCTAATTGAGCTTATTTAGCTCTTCTCTCTTATTTTCTTGGTTAATCTTGCTACTGGTCTATCAATTTTGTTTATCTTTTCAAAGAACTAGCTTTTTGTTTATTTTTTGTATTTTTTTTTTCAATTTCATTTAGTTCTATTCTGATCTTTTTTATTTCTTCTGCTGGGTTTGGGTTTCATTTGTTTTTGTTTCTCTAGTTCCTTGAGGTTTGTGACCTTAGATTATCTATTTGTGCTCTTTCAAATTTTCCAATGTAGGCATTTAATGCTATGTCCCAGAAGTTTTGATAAATTGTGTTACTATTATTGTTCTTTTTTTTTGACGGAGTCTTGCTCTGTCACCCAGGCTAGAGTGCAGTGGCGTGATCTCGGCTCACTGCAAGCTCTGCCTCCCGGGTTCATGCCATTCTCCTGCCTCAGCCTCCTGAGTAGCTGGGACTACAGGCGCCTGCCACCACACCCGGCTAATCTTTTTGTATTTTTAGTAGAGAAGGGGTTTCACCGTGTTAGCCAGGATGGTCTCGATTGCCTGACCTCATGATCCACCTGCCTTGGCCTCCCAAAGTGCTGGGATTACAGGCGTGAGCCACCACACCTGGCCTATTATTGTTCAGTTCAAAGAATTTTTTAATTTCTATCTTGATTTTATTGTTGACTCAAAGATTATTCAGGAGCAAATTAATTAATTTCTATGTATTTGTATATTCTTGAGGGTTCCTTTTAGAATTAATTTCCAATTTTATTCCACTGTGGTCTGAGAGAGTACTTGATATAATTTAGATTTTCTTAAATTTCTTGAGACTTGTTTTGTGGTATATCATATGGTCTATCTTGAGTATTCCAAGTGCTGATGAAAAGAATGTGTATTCTGCAGTTGTTGGGTAGAATGTTCTGTAAATATTTGCTAAGTCCATTTGTTCTAGGGTGTAGTTTAAGTCCATTGTTTGTTTTTGACTTCCTGTCTTGATGACCTGTCTAGTGCTGTCAGTGGAGTAATGAAGTCCCCCACTATGATTGTATTGCTATCTAATTTCTTACGCCTAGTAATAATTGTTTTATAAATTTGGGAGCTCCAGGTGCATATATATTTAGGGTTGCGATTTTTTCCTGTTGGACTGATCATTTTATCATTATGTAATGTCCCTCTTTATCTTTTTTAACTGTTGTTGCTTTAAAGTCCTTTGTCTGATAGAATAACAATTCCTGCTCACTTTTGGTGTCCATTTGCATGGAATATCTTTTTCTACTCCTTTACCTTGAGTTTATGTCAGCCCTTATGCATTAGGTGAGTCTCTTTAAGACAGCAGATACTTGGTTGGTGGATTTTTATCCATTCTGCCATTCTGTATTTTTTAAGTGGAGCATTAGGGCATTTACATTCAGCATTCGAATTGAGATGTGAGATATTGTTTTATTCATCGTGCTAGTTGTTGTCTGAATACCTTTTTTTAAAATTGTGTTTTGTTTTTATAGGCCCTGTGAGATTTATGCTTTAAGGAGGTTCTATTTTGGTGTATTTTGAGGTTTTGTTTTAAGAGGTAGAACTCCTTTTAGCATTTTTTGTAGTGCTGGCTTGGTGGTGGTGAATTCTCTCAGCATTTGTTTGTCTGAGAAAGACTTTATCTCTCCTTCATTTATGAAGCTTAGTTTTGCTGGATACAAAATTCTTGGCTCGGAATTATTTTGTTTGAGGAGGCTAAAGATAGGATCCCAGTCCCTTCTGGCTAATAAGGGTTTCTGCTGAGAAATCTGCTGTTAATCTGATAGGTTTTCCTTTATAGGTTACCTGATGCTTTTGCCTCACAGCTGTTAAGATTCTTTCCTTTGTCTTGACTCTAGATAACCTGATGACTGTGGGCCTCAGTGATTATTATTATTATTTTTTTGCAATGAATTTCCCAGGTGTTCTTTGGGCTTCTTGTATTTGGATGTCTAGATCTCTTGCAAGGCTAGGCAAGTTTTTCTCGATTATTGCCTCAAATAAGTTTTCCAAATGTTTAGATTTTTGTTCTTTCTCAGGAACACCAGTTATTCTTAGGTGTGGCTATTTAACATAATCCCAAATTTCTTGGAGTCTTTGTTCATTTTTTAAAATTCTTTTTTGTCTTTGCCTGATTAGGTTAATTCAAAGGCCTTGTCTTAGAGCTCTGAAGTTCCTCTACTTCTTCAATTCTATTTTTGAAACTATCTATTTCAGAGAAACACCATCAGGTGGAGGCAGGCAGGGTTAGGCGGGTCTGAGCTCAGACTCTCCTTGGGCAGGGCTTGCCACGGCCACTGTGGAGGATGGGGGTAGTTATCAGGCCAATAGGGTTATGTTCCAGAGGGGATTATGGCTGCCTCTGTCACTAGGGATGTGGGGGAAAGCTGGTAGCAATAGGCTTCACCCAGTTCCCACACAGTTGGCAAGGCCAGTCTTGCTAATAGCACTGAGTTTATCTCCAGGCAGCAGGACTCAGACCTAGCCCCAGGCTATAAATTTCCCCACTGAGAAAGCAACCATGGCTTTCAGGCCCCACCCTTCCCCATCTGCCCATACTGTCCACTGTGACTCTGCTGTCCTTCCTCCAGCATTTCCTGTTTGCCCCCAGATTCTGCTCAAGAGAGTTTATGTCCAGTCAAAATCATTACAAAGTTCAGCTGGAAGCTTCTTTCACCCTGCAACCTTTCCCAGATTCCACCTGCTGCCTTCCCCAAGTGCCCCTGTGAGACATTGTCAGGCATGGCTTCCCTGGGCTTGAGCTGGAGAATGGGAGTGCCTAAAAGGCTCTTCTCACTGCTGCTTGTAATTTTATATTTCATGCTAAATCCATTTCAGCTCTAGGTAAGGTTAAATCCTTTTCCTGTAATCTGGATTTTTGGATTCCCCAGTGGAGACATGTGTTTGGAGGCAGGTTTCTCCCCTCACACTTTGGGAACTCAGTTTTTAGCTTGTCTTGTGGAATTTGCAGTGGCCTGCAAGGAGAGTGGCCACGTTTTTCAAAGGATCTGTGAATTCTTTTGATTTTCCTAGTACACTTTCACAATGGTTCCTGGAACAAAAGTCCACACTGTGAGTCTCCACACACTGTTCCATCATCTAAGTGGGAGCTGCATGTCAGTCCTATCTCCTGTCTGCCATCTTGAACCCAGTCCTGTGCTGTACACTCTTGCAGAGAAAGGGACATTAGCACTTCCTGTATTGTCTACTGAGTCAAATACTCTTTAGTAACCAGCAGGCTAGGGGGACAATAGCGAGTCACTCACACACCTCAAAAAGAGTGGCTCTCTTATCTAAAGATGAAAAAAAAAATTACTGGGCCTTGAAAAGTGTATTATGTTTTAACAACAAATTAGAAAATAAGGTTAAGCTTAGTCACTGCTGTTCATTATTTCCTGTGATCCAGAGCTGGGCAAAGATGAGCCAGGGGCATGTCATCTGATGTGCTGTTCAGTGCTGCAGGAGTCCCTTCACAATGTGAGTTTTAAATGAAAGTTTTCAGAAGGCTTTATGTGTTTAGAAAACCTAGTTGCAAACTCCATTGATAATTGCATGACTTTTATAGTAAACAACATTTAAATCTTTTAGTGTAGGATTAAAGGTTGTCTGATCTTGAGATGGGTAAAGAATTTCTTGATTTTTTTTTCTCTTTGTAAACATTTTTTAAAAATTGTTTTATTGAGGTGAAATTCCCTAAAATATTAACCATTTTAAAGTGAACAATTCCATGGCTGTTAGTGTATTCACAGTGTTGTGAAACTGCCACTTCTATCTAGTTCCAAAGCATTTTCATCACCCCAAGAAAATACTCCATACCTGTGTAGCAGTCAGCCCTCCCTTCCCTCCTCCCCCCAGCCCTGGGCAACAACCAATCATGGTTCTGTGGATTTGCCTCTTCTGAATATTTCATGTAAATGGAATCATAGAATTTATGACTTTTTATGTCTCCTTTCACTTACAATGTTTTTGAAGTTTATCCATTTTGTAGCATGTACTAGTATTTCATTCCTTTTTGTATGTGGATAAGATTCCATTGTGTGGATATACCACATTTATCCATTCATCTGTTGGTGGACATTTGGGCTGCTTCCACCTTTGGCTATTGTGAATAGTGCTGCTGTGAACATTTGTGAGCTTATATTTGTTTAGGTACCAGTGTTCATTTATTTGGGGTTAGAAATTTCTGGGTCATATGGTAATTTTATGTTTAACTTTTTGAGGAACTGCCCAACTGTTTTTCGTAGCAAGCTGTGCCATTTTACATTCTCACCAACGGTATAAGAAGGTTCCAATTCCTCCACATTCTTGCCAGCTTTTAAAAATTTTCTCCTTTTTTAATGACAGCCATCCTAGTGGTTGTGAAACGGTACCTGGTTTTGATTTGCACATCCCTCATGAGTAATGATGTTGGGCATTTTTTTCGTGTGCTTGTTGCATAATTGCTTGACTTTTATATGTAATTAATCTCAATTTTAAGACCTGACACACAGTTTTGCCACTACTCTCTGCTTGATACCATTGAGTCTAATCTCATTATGCTCTTTAATCAGAAGGTGGCAGCCATCACAGGAAACCCAGAATTCCCAGATCATTGCACCCTCCTGACTTGCAACCCCACGTGCCTCTGTATTGTTGTTTTTGCCCCATCCTTCAACTCCTGAGACCCTTTCATTGTGCTCCTTGGAATTCATATTGCATCAGCGATATAATCCCCTACATCCTCAACCTGTTCTCTAAATGATTTCTTCACCTTGTTCTCTAACTGGAACCTGGTTCTCTCCCATAGCCCTCTTACATGGTGGCAGCATTCTCTCTCCCGCTCCTCCAAGGCCTGGAAATGGAGTAAGTGGCCTCTTTTTCTTCTCTGTCATTCCAGATTACTCTTACCTCTCCTTCCCTACAGGCATCTACCTTTGAGTCTCCTGTCATCGTCACACTGTGTTCCCCACCGTCCCTCCTTCATCCCTTGACAGTTTGAGTTTGTGAGTCACCATCACTCCCTCCAGCAGTGCCCTATCATAATTTTGGTGATTTCAGCATCCACATAGATGATGCTTTCAATTCCCTGACCTCTGCCGTCTCACTCACTCCCTCCCACGCTCAGACCTGTGACTTTAACATTACTAAAAATTTCAACTCCTTCATGATCTGTTTCAAGGCATCCACTTCCTTAACCATCCCTTCTTTTCCTAGGTTTCTCCAGGTGGCACCTTGATCCTGGACTCCAACAGCTTTTTACCCCTCTAGAGTCCTATCCTCTTTCCCCTGGAAACCCTTCTCTGCATGTTTCTGTTTTCCTCCTGAATCAGCTTGGGTTCCATGGTTCTCAGTGGAAGCAGTCCTTTGCATGTTCCCTCAGATCTGTTGCCCATTCTCACTTGGCTGTACTCACGGGGCAAACTCTTTTTTAAATCCCTGAACCTCTAGCACTTCCTTCCACAGCTCCATTCTTTTTTTGGAGAGAGAGAGTCTCACTCTGTCACCCAGGCTGGAGTGCAGTGGCATGATCTTGGCTCACTGCAACCTCTGCCTCTTGAGTTCAAACGATTCTCCTGCCTCAGCCACCCCCACTGAGTAGCTGGGATTACAGGCACATGCCACCATTCCCGGCTAATTTTTGTACTTTTTGTAGAAACAGGGTTTCACCATGTTGGCCAGGCTGGTCTCGAACTCCTGACCTCAGGTGATCCACCCACCTCAGCCTCCCAAAGTGCTGGGATTACAGGCATGAGCCACCACACTCAGCTCTCAATCTCCATTCTTAAGTAATGACCTGGCTTCTTGTGTCACTGAGAACAAAAGCAATCAAAAGAGGACTTCTGGCCAGGAGCAGTGGCTCATGCCTGTAATCCCAGCACTTTGGGAGGCTGAGGCGGTCCCATCATGAGGTCAGGAGTGCGAGACCAGCCTGGACAACATGGTGAAACACTGTCTCTACTAAAAATACAAAAATTAGCCAGGTGTGGTGGTGGGTGCCTGTAATCCCAGCTACTCGAGAAGCTGAGGCAGGAGAATCGCTTGAACCTGGGAGGCAGAGGTAGCAGTGAGCCAAGATCTCACCATTGCACTCCAGCCTGGGCTACAGAGCAAGACTGTCTCAAAAACAAAAAACAAAAACAAAAACAAAAACAGAAAACAAAAGAGGACTTCCAACAATCTCTTCCCTCCACTTGCCCATCTGCCTCTGTTGCTAGACACTGTACCTTCACCTGTGTCAGCCAGCCTCGACACTCCGCTCGCCTGCTCCAGGGCGTTGTTGTGGCAATTCTCCCATCTTACTCCTCTAAAGTCAATTTATTGGATCCTTTCTATTAGCATACAAAGCTATAACTTCTTCCATCTGAAAAACCCCTCACCTGACCTCACACTCTCCCTCTAACAATAGGTCATTTCTCTGCTCCCTTTTAAAAGGAATCTCCTGAAAAGCATCATCTGTTTTCAGTCTGTCTTTCTTTTTTTTTTTTTTTTTGAGATGGAGTTTTGCTCTTGTTGCCCAGGCTGGAGTGAAGTGGTGCAATCTCGGCTCACTGCAACCTCCGCCTCCCAGGTTCAAGCGATTCTCCTGCCTCAACCTCCTGAGTAGCTGGGATTACAGGCGCGTGCCACCACGCCCGGCTAATCTTTGTATTTTTAGTAGAGACGGGGTTTCACCATGTTGGTCAGGCTGGTCTCGAACTCCTGACCTCGTGATCCACCCACCTCGGCCTCCCAAAGTGTTGGGATTACAGGCGTGAGCCACCACGCCTGGCCTTTATGTATATTTGTAATGTATGAAAGATTACCTGCTAATTACATGAGAGAAAACAAAGCTTTCAAGAGAGATGCCAGGCAGTGTGCACTGCACTCGAGTCTCTGACTGAGTGTCACTACTGTGGGACAACTTGATGTGCCTACTGCATGATGAAGCATGACATTCTCAGCCACACTCATGAGTATTCCTATTCCAAATCGAATCAGACCTTTAGACCTACCTTCTGGTTTGCAGAAAATACAGGGGATGGAGAAGCAAGTAAACCACCACCATAAAGGACAATCAGATCCATAATATGGGACCTTTTGTACAACCACAACCCTCATTTCTTCAAATGTCAGTGTGGCAGGGACAACGATAGGCACAAACATGTAACACTTGCTGTGTGTTAGCAACATTTCTAAGTGATTCACATTTATTAACAAATTCATTCCTCATAAGCCTATGTGATGAGAACTATTGTGAGCCCCATTTTACAGTTTTTGCATGTTTGGGCATTTTCTTGGTGATTTTGCTGTTTTAAATGTCCCCCAGGCGTAGTGCTGACGAGTGCAGGAAGGTTGTGATGTGCCTTACAGAGAAAATATTTATGTCAGATATGCTCGTGTGAGTTATAGTGCAGCTGGCTGTGAGTTCTATGTTAATGAATCAAAATGTAGTACATCCAAAAAAGGAAGAGGAAATTTGCCAATCTGTATGTGAGGCCACTCTGGAAAGTGCTAAAGTAACATCTATAGTGCATATGAAACTTTGGGAAAAATAGAAAACAGCTACATTTGTGGATTCAAGAGATGACTTTTTATTTATTTATTTGTCAGTTTGTTTGTTTAAAGCATAGTGGACAGCATTATGGGACTGAAAGCCAAAAAAAAAAAAAAAAGTTTGGTCACGTTACCCAGGATCAGGAAATGTGAAACCCTTCTTGGCTAGTGCTGGCTTGCACGTTTTGAAAGGCGATATGACATGAAAAGTGTTACATTTACAGAAGAGGAAGGTTCCGAGAATCAAGAATCTGAGAAAGAATTTTAAAAATACAGTCTATCCTCATTACAGATTCTGTATTTGCAAATTCTCCTACTTCCTAACATGTATTTATAACTTCATTGATACTTGCAGTGCTTTTGTGGTCATTTCCAGACACACAGAATGGTGAAAACTGTGTTTCTGGATGCACATGTTCCCAGAGAGGGCAAACAAGGCAGGGCTTTGCCTTCTTGTTTCAGCTTCATGCGGAGATGACCAGAGGATAGAGACGGCAGGGGCAGTGCAGTGCAGTGGAAGAAGCTCAGCTCTGGGGCCCCTTGGAGGGGGTTCAAATCCCAGTGCTGGCACCTGTTACTGATGTGGCCTCAGGCAAACGGCTTACCACTTTTGGGCCTCATTTTCTCTTTGGTAAAATGGAAAATAAAATCCACCAAGATGAGTTGTTTTTGCATTTAAGATTATAGTCTTTGTGAGAAACACCCACACATACATTTCCCCAATGGTTGAGTATTTGCTCATTCACCATTTGTGGTGACTTTTTGAAGCAGAACTGTGAATAATGAGGATTGACTGTACCTGCTAAATGTTAAAAAGGAAAGGGGTTATGTGGAACGGCTGGTTTTCAATACTAATAAAACTGGCTTATTTTATAAGGACCTTGGCAGTTGAACCTGTATAAAGCTAATGGCATTTTGGTTGATAAAAATGTTGTGACCAGAGGTTCGGGGTAACCTAACCCTGTATTTCCCTAGGAGCAAACGTTTAGTATTGTCTAATTCAGTGTTTGTGGAGACTTTAATAGAACATAACTACTGTGCATAATGAGAATCAGCTGTAACTGATTTGGTGACTTAAAAAAAATCTGCTAGGCAAATGATTCTGCAAGAGAAGTGTAATATGTTTTACACTGAATCTATTGTTTCTTAAATGAACATGTTTCATGATGTCTGGCTAAAATGACATAGTGTTCCCGGACCAAACTGAGGGTTGGGCTGCTTATTCTTGCGGCCCAATAACAAGATGCAGAGGAACTGAGAAAGAAGAGAGTTGATTTCTGTAACGGGTTATAGGGAGAAGGCCGGGAAAATATCGTCAGACCAACTCAAAATTACGAAGTTTTCCAGAGCGTATATACCTTCTAAGCTATATGTCGACATGTAAGTGTGCATTCATCTAAAGACATGAGTGATTAAGGTCCGAGTCCTGAAGACCTTCCTCTGGAGCCTTAGTAAATTTACTTAATCTAGATGGGTCCAGGTGACAGGGGTGATTACCTTTGTCTTGTCTCCTGCTAAATCATGGAGGTTTGGGGAGTTCCTTTATACCCCAATAAAACTTGTTTGTGGAGGTCTGGGGAGTTCCTTCAGACCCCCAATAAAACTCATTTAATCCTAAATGGGTCCTGTTAATAATTCCTTCTTTATCTTGTCATGCTTCAAAGCCAAGGAAAGGCCTGGGCAAAACTCTTGGTGGGTGTTTGTGACATTCCAGCCTTTGCATAAGGACACTGGCTCTATCAGCTTTTAATATTGAACTTACCCACTCAGTTAGTGCTGAAACAGTTGTCATGGAGGCCTGCCTGTTCAGCTGTTAGTTAGACCTGGCCTGCCACAATAGCATAGAAATTCTGTATCTGTGATAACATTTATTCAGTGTTTCCTACATGCCTGTCACTGTTTTAAGCACTCTGAGTGTAATCTCATTTAACCTTCAGGGTAATAACTGGTAGTAGCAGGGACAGCAACAGACACAAACACTTACGTAACACTTGCTGTGTATTAGCAGCATTTCTGAGTGATTCACGTATATGGACTGATTCATTCCTCATGATAAGCCTATGTGATGAGAACTATTGTGAGCCCCATTTTACAGGTAAGGAAACTGAGGCCAAGGAAGATTAAACATGCCCAAGATTACAGTTAATAAGTGGTGTCCTCAGCCTACACTCCTAGACACTAAACTGTGCCACTTCCTAGAATGGGGAGAATGGGGTGCTCCCTCGACCAGTAAACAAATTAACTGAGTAGGAGCTTGTATTTTCTCGTATTTTATTATGTATTGTTAGTTTTCCGTGAAGCTGAGCTCAAAACTAGTTCCCTTCTTTTTTTTTGAGACAGAGTTTTGCCCTTGTTGCCCAGGCTGGAGTGCAATGACGCGATCTTGGTTCACCGCAACCTCCGCCTCCTGGGTTCAAGCGATTCTCCTGCCTCAGCCTCCCAAGTAGCTGGGATTACAGGCATGCACCTCCATGCCCGGCTAATTTTGTATTTTTAGTAGAGATGGGGTTTCTCCATGTTGGTCAGGCTGGTCTCGAACTCCTGAGCTCAGATGATCCACCCACCTCGGCCTCCCAAAGTGTTGAGATTATAGGCGTGAGCCACCGTGCCAGGCCTCAAAATTAGTTCCTACAGGCATTTTAGCTGATAGTAAACATAGCAAGTGTCAGACAATGGACTCCTGTTTCTCAAACCAGCTTTACAAACAGAGATGACCTGTTCATCAAGGAGAACAGACCACACAGGATAAATGCTTAAGAAATGGGCTATTTGGGTCGATTATTTTTTAATCTTTGAAATTGTTGATGGGGAATGATATGGCATTAACAGCATTGTAGAGTTGGTATAACCCCCGTCCCCCAACTTTTTTCCAGAGGAAAGGAAAAATAGGCATTTTAAAATTCAGTTTAAACCTGAACATTAGCCTCTCAGGACAGAAATGGGAAAATGCTCCCTGCACCTTTTCTCTTTATCTGTATCAGTAGTCCCTTGCCTGACATCCCTGAGACTACAAGTTTTGGTTTTTTTATTGATTGCTTTATCTTTGACCACAAGTTTCTTTGAGAATCTAATGAAAGTCAAGGACTCTTTCCTTAGGAGGAAAATGCTTCTAGGTACAGGCAGAACCTTGTCATCAAATATATTTTGTGGATATTCCCAAACCCCTTGAAAAACCCATTGAGATGGCATTGCAGGGTCCATAGATTTCAGAACCTTCTTAGGGGATCCATGAACTATTTTCACCATTTAAAAATACCTACAATCAAGCAGTTATCTGTTTCTTTGCTCTTGGCTGGAGTTAAGTGAGCATTTGCTGGGAAATCTGGTTTTCTTATGTAGACAAATAACTGAAAGCAAGAAGTGGGTGAGGTGGGGTTCCTTAGTGGTGAAAAGGTTGGGAACTGACAGCCTATATGGCGTCTCCATCTTCATCTGCCTCTCCTTTTCCCAAATCCTGTAGTCTGCACAGCTACAGTCTAACTCATATATTTTTATAATGAGTTATAATATAAAAATATATTTTTAATAAAATATATTTTTATAATGAGTTATAATATAAAAATATATTTTTAATAAAATATATTTTTATAATGAGTTATAATATAAAAATATATTTTTAATAAAATATATTTTTATTCTGTTTTTTTTTGTTTTTTTTTTGTTTTTTTTTTTTTGAGATGGAGTTTTGCTCTTGTTGCCCAGGCTGGAGTGCAGTGGCGTGATCTCGGCTCACTGCAACCTCTGTCTCCCGGGTTCAAACAATTCTGCTGATTCAGCATCCAGAGTAGCTGGGATTACAGGTGTGCACCACCACACCTGGCTAATTTTTTGTGTTTTTTAGTAGAGACGGGGTTTCTCCATGTTGGTCAGGCTGGTCTCAAACTCTCGACCTCAGGTGATCTGCCCGCCTCGGCCTCCCAAAGTGCTGGGATTACAGGCTTGAGCCACCGTGCCCAGCCGTCTGTTCTTTGATTATTTCATGCTTGCATGTTTTGTCTCCTCTGTTCATTCTTAAGACCATTTGGGTACCACTTCTTAAGGGCCCCTTTCTTATTTTCCATGGGGCTTGGCACTCAGTAGTTCAGTTGGCTTATTTTTCCGCGGCTGCCGTCTTCTCAGGAAAGTGCAGTGTCTGCCAAAGGTGTCCATTCTTTTGTCAGCAGGGGGCAGCAATGGAATGGGCAAAAATGGTCATTGTTCTTCAGATTAACTTTTCAGAGCTCTAAGACCCTTTAAGGGGTAATACCTACCCAATGTGAATGCTGAGGAAATTGTTTGTGAAATAAATGGAGCTTGATTAAAATCTAGCATATATTTCAATTCGAAGCAATATTATTGTTTTAACTAGAGGAATTGCCTTGTTTAGAGGTGTATGTAGGTTTGGGTTCCTGATGCGTTGGGGTGGCACAGAGGGTGAAGTATACAGTCAGAAGCCTAGGAAGGGAGCCAGTGAGCATTTCCTCAGGCTGCCGGTTACCTTTTATTGCTACTAAATTTACATGAACATAGGCCAATTTATCCCTGGAGTGAAATATGTATTTATGTTGTAGTGTGGAAAGAATTACATGTGTTTATTTTACATCTGGGAAATCTGAAAAAATATCTGCAAGAGTACTAATATTACACATTTTCTAAAAGCTTCGTTTAAAGGTGGTGAATTAATAGTACACAGATAAGTCTAAAGGGAGACAATTTCTAATTATTTTCTGAACTGAAGGAGAAAATGCATTTTCCTTCTATAAATGGTCAGATTAGCCAAAAATTGGGCAGCCCTGAGATAGGAGTTTGGTAGGACTGGTTTTGCAAGGTATGGGTCGCAAAAACCTCCCCTGATAAAAAGAGATGCCTACCAAAACCAAGGGGGCCATGAACGTGACCTCTCGTGGTCCTCACTACTGGTCATATGCTAATTATAATGCATTAACATGCTAAGAGACACTCCCACCAGCGCCATGACAGTTTACAAATACCATGGCAATGTCTGGAAACTACCCTATATGGCCTAAAAGGAGGAGGAACCCTCAGTTCTGGGAATTCCCCACCCCTTTCCCGGAAAACTCATGAACAATCTGTCTCTTTTTTAGCGCACGATCAAGAAATAACCATAAAAATAGCCAACCAGTAGTCCTCAGGGCTGCTCTATCGAGTATCCTTTACTCCTTTACTTTCTTAATAAACTTGCTTTTACTTTACTCTGTAGGCTGGCTTTTGAATTCCTTTCTACATGAAGCCAACGACCCATGTGACCTCCCAGGCTGAACCCAAATTTTGAGGTTCGCCTTGTGACAGCCCCGACTACTGACACAATTGTGATAACTGAAGCAGAGCATTTTCACCTGGAAGAAACAAATCTGAAGTCTGAGGCTAGACCCAGAGCCTGAAGGGTGCATTCAGTGGTTCATTTAACACTTAATTAGGGTCACCTTGCACTAGCCAGGTGCTATGGGAGTGGGGACATGGGCCTGCTCCCCAGACCTCAAGGCCTTACAGAAGAGAAGGGCAAGTGCTCACGGGAGGGCTCTGAGAGACTTGGGGCACGGGGACTTCTAAGTGGGAGATAAGGAAGGCTTCATGAAGAACTGAGGAAGGGCATTGGAAGCCTGGTAGGACTTTGACCATGAGAGATGGGGAGGAAAAGCTTTCTAGGCAGATGTAACCTGACAGGAATTCAAGAGGTGTCATGTTGCCCAAGTAGGTAGTGTATTTATGAGGAGGCAGGGACAAGATACAAAGCCACCGTTTGTGAGAATTACACACAATTATATTTTTTAGATCCTGTACTTTCCAAGTGGTTATTGCAGGGACCACAGTTGAGTTTTTTTCTCACTGGCTTAGTGATGGTCGTGGGAGAAGAACTTATTCCCATGAACAGAGGGAACTGTTTTAATCACAACTGCATGAGCAAAACACAAGAGGGCTCTTGAAAGAGAGAATTGGCTAATATTGTAGCAAAATCCAGAGCTCCTCAGTGGTAATTTTAATTTCCACAAAGTTAATGAAAGTATAGCCCTCCAGACCTGATATGAAAAAGTAGTATAACGTAGCTAATTGGGTTGTTTTCTAGACTTAGGAATCACCAGGGAAAGGCTAAGCTTAGAGAGGACTGTGGATTGAGCCCTCATCTCTTTTTAATCTCCTCTATAACCTGGCAGATTCTATTGGCTTTTCATTATGAGATTGTACTGCAAATGAAAGAAAGAGGAGGTGGGGTGTTCTGGGCTTGGTTACAGCTGGGTGTTTATCACAGGCATTTATAAGAAGTTAGTACACTTTCAGGCCCTCTGACAGGAAGCTTTGTAACCTGGCATTCATGTCATGCCAGCATTAAGTTTAGAGAAATGCTCCATTATTTGATTAATTGTCTTGGATAAAAGCCTTAACTGATGTTCCAGTTGACCTACAAATCTTGTGAAGTGAGTTTTAAAAGTATTTGTAAATAGTATGTATCCTTATAGCTCATGAATGTCAGAATTCTACACTGGGGCCAGCACAGTGGCTCATACCTGTAATCCCAGCAATTTGAGGGGCTGAGGAGGAAGATTGCTTGAGGCTAGGAGTTCAAGACCAGCCTGGGCAACATAATGAGACCCCATCTCTACCAAAATAAAAATTATCTGGGTGTCATGGTGTGAGCCTATACTCCCAGCTACTTGGGAAGCTGAGCTCAGAGGATCATCTGAGTCCTGGAGGTTGAGTCTGCAATGAGCAATGATTGTGCCACTGCACTCTAGCTTGGGTGGTGATGAAGTGAGACCGTGTCTCAAAAAAAAAACAAAAAAAAACAAAAAAACAAAAAAACTACATTGGGCCAAACATCACAGAGCAGTGGGCAGAGGGAAGACCCTATGTTGAAGTGGGGGATCTGTGTCCACATGGTGTGTCACATGGCCACTGTTTTCCACATCTCCAGTGTCAGCTGAGTGGGCTCAGGCAGGCATGTGACCCAGAGCCAATAACGTAAACTCACTTTCTCTCATCTGAATTAGGAGAAGAAACTAGAGGATTGGGTAGATTTGGCTCCAGCGGCTCTGCTGGGCTTTGTTGCAAGTGGAGGAAGTTGAGTTGAGCAAGAAGAGGAGAGAAAGGTGTGAAAACCAGCGACCATAGAGACCAGGGGATAGAGAGAAATAAGAGACGGCCATATCTCTGAAGGAAAGAAAGAGTAGCTCTTTCAAGTAGTTTCTGGGCACTCTTTCCTGTATCCATGCAACAAATCCCCTTCTCCTTGCATGAGTGTGGGTGGTTTCACTTCTTTGTTACTAAACTTTCTCTGTGACCATGATCAACTAAACCCTGGGAGGTATACAAGGAAAATATGAAACCTTGTCCCCTGACTACTGAACTTCTCAGTCTTGATAGAGCAAGAAAAAAAACCCAAACCTGGTCCTACTTATCCCCAGAAATGGTATTGTACCTCCTTTTTCACTTGCTAATTTTAAAGTCCCACTGGCTGTCACTTAGATTGGGTGTATACATTGTTTTTGTTCAAATGGATCCATCTCATAGTGGCATTGAGACCAATCTTCTTACCTGTCCGAAGGGAGGAGAACAGCCCCTTCCCAGCTCTCAAAGAGATGCCTGGGTGCTCTCCTTTGTATATTCATTCATTCATTCATTCATTCACTCACTCACTCATGCTTTCAGCTGATATTTTTTTGCCCACAGTTTGCCACATCTTGTCCTAGGTTTGGGGAAACAACAGTGAACAGAAGAGACAAAGTGGCACCGAGAGCCTGGTAAGGGCAAGAGAAATTAACAAATTAGTAACATAACACATCAGTAGAGGCTGGGCACAGTGACTCATGGCTGTAATCCTAGCACTTTGGGAGGCTGAGGTGGGCAGATCACTTGCTCAGGGGTTCTAGACCAGCCTGGATAACGTGGTGAAATCATGTCTCTACAAAAAAAAAACAAAAACAAAACAAAACACAAAAATTAGTTGGGCATGGTGGCACATGCCTGTAATCCCAGCTACTTGGTAGACTGAGGTGGGAGGACTATCTGAGGCCAGGAGGCAGAGGTTGCAGTGAGCCATGATCTCGCCGCTGCACTCCAGCCTGGGTGACAGAGCAAGACCCTGTCTCCAGAAAAAAAAAGAAAAAAAGTAGTTAGTTAATTACAACCATGATGTGTTTTATGGATGATGGGGATCATGGCCTTTTGGGAGGATGATGGAAGGCTATCTGGTGAAAACAACCTGTAAGCCGGGGTCGAAGAAGGAATAAAAATTGACTAGGAGAAAAACATGTCATGGACTTCACTGGAAGTTGAGCCTGGAACTCATTCAGATAATGCCTTCTTTATCCCACGATCATATAGATTAAGTTAGAGGCTCTAAGAAATTTGGGATTGTGTGTCCAGAGATATATAATGTGCAGTTAAAATGCTCCACCCTTGCTGGGAGATTGGTACTGGAGAGAAATGATGGTTAAGCCTGAAGCTTCAAGGTCCCAGGCTAAAAAGAGACAAGATCTTTTATTCCTTGAGTGAAAGTAGTAACAACAAACTAGGGGCAATGAAAAGGAGTTCTCAAATTTGCTAGAGAACCGTGCTGGCATCTTAAAACTTCTAGAAGCTTTGGAACTCGATCCTTCTTCCTTCGTTCCTCTTTCTTTATTCTTCCCTTCTCTTCTTCCCCTGTTTTGCCTCCCTTTAATCGCCCTTCCTTTCACTTGCCCTGTCTTCCCATTTCTTCTCTCCCGTCCCCTCTCCTCCATTTATCCACCCAACAAACATACATCAGGCATCTCCTTTGAATAAGACATTATGGGCCCTGCCCAGAAAGAGTTTGGCAGTGAATTAATTGACTGATTCCACCAGCAGGCTGGGCCGTGGAGAGAGATATATGTGGAACTATATTCGTTATAGTGAGTTCATTCTGTGTGTTTATATGAACAGTGATCATGGACTATATACTCTTACATGTACTCTTTTTAAAAGTGCATGCTCAGAGCAGTGAGGAAGTGTGGAGAAGGAGTAGAAAGCAGTTCTAAATGCAGGTGTCTGCAAAGGGCGGTTAGCTCTTTTGCAAAGCACTGTGTATTATATATCATTATTCTGTGTCATATTTGTGTGCCTTGAGGATTACATTGTAAGCAGTTCGTGTGCAGGAATTGTGTTCTCTCTTCTGTAAAATGGTGACTGCAGTGTCATTTACCCAGTGGGGATACAATAAACGTTAATTAATGGTGGCTTATTCCTTAACATAATTTTCCCTTTCAGATTAATGAAGCAGATTCCTGATAAATGCACTTGTCTCTCCAGAGTTTCATTTGCTAAAGCTCAAATGATGTAAAGGATTTGCCTGGAGGTGTGAAATTTTTGCCCAGTTTTTTTTCTTTTTTCAAGTGCCATTTGGAGATGCATTTCTTTCCTGAAAATAATTGGCACTAGTGAAATTAATTCTAGGTGGAAAAGAGAAGTATGTAGTCATGTTCTTGCCTGCTACTTTGGGTGGCTATTTGATCTAAAAA
Organism: Homo sapiens; assembly: GCF_000001405.40. Taxonomy (NCBI): domain Eukaryota; kingdom Metazoa; phylum Chordata; class Mammalia; order Primates; family Hominidae; genus Homo; species Homo sapiens. The sequence goes on along the minus strand of NC_000003.12, from coordinate 31,763,646 downwards.
CAGCAATTAAGTTTTAAAAGGGAATGGCAGGTGTTTACTGGGTAGAGCTAAGGCCCAGTTTGTATATGCTATCAAGCTCAAGTTAGAATATTAGAATATTCTTCAGGAATTCTTAGAGACATCCTATTCTCCTTGCAAAATAAAAGAATTTCCATAAAATCCAGATTAAATATCTGGACACTTAGAGGTTCTTTGAGATATGTGTGTGGAGTATGAGTGAACAAAGGTGAAGCAGTCTGAAGAAAATGGTTTAATTTCATGCTTGTTGACCCTTAGTTTGTAAGGTTACGTTCTGCCAGAGAAAAAAACTGATCTACTATCCAGTATTTGCTGAGAAATGACAGTAGATTAATCAGAAGACTTCTGAAGTGAGTCAGTAAAGCAGCATTTTAGGTTTTGTTTCTTTTTGTTTTATATGATGTGTGTTAAATGATTTCTGATTAGAGAACTGACAGAAATGTAAACACTTGAATGAAACTTTCAAACCATTTGCAGAACAATTCCTTACCCTTTCTTATTACGTCTTTGCTTATAAATTGTGTTTTCTTTTCTGTGAATTTTACCCTAGAGGAGTTTGCTGTGTGTGTTCTCATTCCGTTCCGGATGAATTGGCGGGTGGATAGGCCAGCTTGCTCCCAAGCGTCTTCTTTCTTCTAGGGGGAAGGCCATGCTAGGTGAGCATCAGAGTGTGTATGTGAGCCTTTGTGCTGTGATCTGTAGGAACAGAATGGTTCTGCATGCTTCCTGGTCATGAGGTGAGGAGCACAGAAATGTGGATCCTTCAGTCCTGACACCTCGCATCCGCAAATTATGATTTGGGCAAATGGTTTACTCTTTCAGCCCCAGGATTGTGTAAAATGAGAATAATGGTAATCAGGAGCTGGGTGCAGTGGCTCATGTCTGTAATACCAGTACTTTGGGAGGCTGAGGCAGGAAGATCCCTCGAGCTCAGGAGCTTGACACCAGCCTGGGCAACTTGGTGAAACCCCATCTCTACAAAAAAAAAAAAAAAAAAATGCTGGGCATGGTGTTGTGCATAGGCCTGTAGTCCCAACTACTCAGGAGGCTGAGGTGGCAGCCTGGGAGAGTGAGGCTGCAGTGAGCCGTGATCATGCCACTGTACTCCAGCCTGGGTGACAGAGCAAGACCCTGTCTCGAAACAAAACAAAAAAAACAGTAACCAGCCTTGCTTGTGGCCAAGACAGAGCTGGGAGGATTAGAGACTGTGACTGTGAAAGCACTGTTATAAACTGCAGCCCAGCGCTTCTCAGCCCCTGCCACACATCTTGTGAAATGGCCCTGTTTCTATCATTTGTGTAGTGGCTGTTACTGACATGGCTTTGATAACGGAAGTATTTTGAAAAGAGTGAGAAGAGAAAGATAAATGTGGGGGAAGCAGCAAAGGACTACTCTGTGCTTTTTTCCTTGAGCTAAATGCTGGGTTAAAACCAGACCTTGAGCTTTAGATAAGCTTGTTGAAGGTGGGAAGAGGCTTCTAGTGGGTTCTGGGGACATCATAACTAGGCAGTTGGACCTCAAGGTTGAGGTAGACCTGTTTTCTCTGGCACTATGAGGGAAGTGTTTCCCCTTGTTCTCCGTGTCCCTGGGATCTTTTAGGAGAGAACTTTGACTTCTCCTATTGCTTTCTGGGTCCACCTCGTTCTTCCAATAGCACTGCCCTCCCTTTGCTTAGGACTTTGCTTTCCCTTTCATTGCTGAGTACCATCACACCCCCATGTGCTGGTGCCCATGGCCAGACATTTACAAGGCTTCTCCATCCTTATGAAGGAAAATACTCTCTGACTCCCTTTAGGGTTTTTTTTTTTTTTTTTTAGAGACAGTCTTGCTCTGTTGCCCAGGCTGGAGTGCGGTGGCACAATCTTGGCTCACTGCAACCTCCACCTCCTGGGTTCAAGTGATTCTCCTGCCTCAGTCTCTGGATTAGCTGGTGTCAATTGTGTGCCACCATGCCCAGCTAATTTTTGTATTTTTAGTAGAGATGGGATTTCACTATGTTGGTCAGGCTGGTCTCAAACTCCTGACCTCAAGTGATCCGCCCACTTCGGCCTCCCAAAGTGCTGGGATTACAGGCGTGAGCCACCATACCAGGCCTCTTTAGTCTTATTTCCTTAAATTTTCTTTACTGGATATGGAAACTTTTTTTTTTTTTTTTTTGAAATGGAGTCTCACTCTGTTGCCCAGGTTGGAGTGCAATGGTGTGGTCTTGGCTCACTGCAACCTCCACCTCCCAGGTTCAAGCAATTCTCCTGCCTCAGCTTCCCAAGTAGCTGGGATTACGGGTGTGTGCCACCACATCCAGCTAATTTTTGTATTTTCAGTAGAGATTGGGTTTCACTATGTTGGCCTGGCTGGCCTTGAACTCCTGACCTCATGATCTGCCTACCTTGGCCTCCCAAAGTGCTGGGATTACAGGTGTGAGCCACCGCGCCTGGCGGAAACTTCTTAACTTTTCTTTACCCTGCATTATGCAGGGACATGAACAATGAATTAAAACAATAAAATACTGGTTTGGATTTTTTTTGCCTCTGAAATTGTTTAAGAAAGAAAGATGTTGGAGAGTGATAGGGCAGAGGACAGCTCACACACGACTGAGAATACAAATTGTTACAATTTTTTTTAGTTGTGAGCTGGCAGTATTTATAAAAAAAAAAAACTTAGCAGTTCCTCTTCTAGAAGTTTATTTTCACAAAATCTTTTTAAAGTTATGCTAAGATTTAGATACAGAGAGTTTGTTGAACCGTAATCCGTCATAGAGAAAAAAGTTAAACATCATCGTAATGTTCGGCCATAGGGAATTGGGCAATAAGTTGTGGCATATTTATGTGATGAAATGTTCTGCAGTATTTTAAATAGTATTGTAGAAATTTATTGACATGGTATGTTGAATTAAAAAGGTTGTAAACATGATTATGGCCTGTAGCCATTTTCATAAAAAGTTGAAAAAGGGCATACAGTCAGCCCTCCGTATCTGTGGGTTCTGCATCCCTAGATTCAACCAACTAAGGATTGAAAATATTCAGGAAAAAATATGGATGATTGCATCTATATTGAACATGTACAAACTTTTTCTTGTCACTTTCCCATGAAGAATAAAGTATAATAACTATTTACATGGAATTTACGTTGTATTAGGTGTCATAAGCAATTTAGAGATGATCTAAAGCATATGGGAGGATATGCAGACATTATTATCTTTTTATGTAGGGAGCTTGAGCATACATGGATTTTGATATCCAGGCGGAGTCCTGGAACCAATCCCCCATGGGTACTGAGGGATGACTGTACGATTGACCCTTGAACAGCGCAGGTTTGAACTGTGCAGGCCCACTGATATGTGGATTTTCTCAATACAAATTAAACTGAGTGTGACTGCCTCTCCTTTCACCTCCTCCAACTCTTCTGTCTCTGCCACCCTGAGACAGCAAGACCAACCCCTCCTATTCTCCTCCTCCTCAGCCTACTCAATGTGAAGAAAAGGACGAAGACCTTCATGGTGATTCACTTCCACTTAATGAATAGTAAATATATTTTCTCTTCCTTGCGATTTTTAAAATAACATCTCTTGGCCGGGCATGGTGGCTCACGCCTGTAATCCCAGCACTTTGCGAGGTCAAGGTGGGCAGCGCACTTGAGGTCAGGAGTTCGAGACCAGCCTGGCCAACATGGCAAAACCCTGTCTCTACTAAAAATACAAAAAAATTAGCCAGGTGTTGTGGTGTATGCCTGTAATTCCAGCTACTCAGGAGGCTGAGGCACGAGAATTACTTGAACCCAGGAGGCAGAGGTTGCAGTAAGCCGAGATCGTGCCACTGCACTCCAGCCTGGGTGACAGAGTGAGACTCTTGGGGAAAAAAAAAAGTAAATAAAAAACAAAATAACATCTCTTTTCTCTTGCTTTGTTGTAAGAATACAGTGCTAATATGTGCTAATCGACTGCTAATGTTATCGGTAAGCCTTCCAGTCAACAGTGGTGTATTAGATAAGTTTTTAGGGAGTCAAAAGTTATATGGGGATCTTCTGCCCTCAAGTTGTTTAAGGGTTGGCCATATATATACATAAAAATTCTGTAAGTACATTTGCCAGGATTTTAAAACTTCTCTCTGGTATTGGATATATTATGAGTATTTTTCTTTCTATTTGATTTCTTTTTCTATGATGAGTATTCTTTTGTATTAAAAAGAGATTTTTAATTAAAACAAAACATAGAGTAGCCTGCTGCAGAATGGAGCTCCCTTAGAAGCCCCAGTTTCAGATGTTGTGCAAGGGAGGCCAACCTTGTGTCCAGAGAGGTAAGTGCTACTCGATCTGCATTCAGGATCCCGTTCAGGTCTGTGTCTGTGTGTGTGGGAGGCAGAGAGTATAGATAAATTATAGCATATGAGGCACTTACTCACTGATCCTTTGCCTTCTACTCGGAATCCTTCTGTTGGACAGTGGCATTTTCTTTGAAAACAATTTAAAAGATTATTCCTTTTGTATATTGCACCCCTTGTTACCAACATGTTTACATGTTATTCAATTCTGACAAATGGAATTTCTAAATTAACAATTTTTAACCTTTGTGTAGAAATCATAGGGGAGGAAAAATATTTTTTTCTTCACTCTTCATAGTTCTGTCAACTAAACAATGATGAGGTTCATAATTTGGAAAGGAGAGCTTTATTTCTCACAAACGGCCGCAGCCTGTAGGGTGACCATTTTGACAGGCTGGGAAGCATAGTCTCTGGCCAGAAGCCAGAAACAGGCACTTCAAGGGTGGGAAGAATAAGACAGGATTTATACTGAACAAGGTGGCCAAATATACATATTCAAGAAGCTATAGGAGGAATCATGAATATTTATGAAAGAAATATGTACACATGCAATTGAGCTTCATGCTGCTCCATGAGATCCATGTTCAAAAAAATGCAGCATTAACATGATCCAGGGGTGGAGTTTTCAGCCCTCTGACATCAAAAGATGAAGTAGAGGACACGAAGACCCTCACTGCACATCCTCCATAGACTGGCCAGAACCACTCTCGTGGTCAGTGGTCTCTTATCAGGAATACCTGTCAGTTGCTTTGTTGAAACTACAAAAGGATGGGGGAGTGTCAGTGGGCTTGATTGAAATGGGGGTGGAGTTGTTTGAAAGGGCTGGTTTCTGTTTAGCCCTTAGGGAAGAAAGCCTAAGAGCAGTTAGAGACGGAGTTGGACCTCCCATCCTGTCATGGCTGTGAACTCTGTTTTCAGGGTTTCTCTGAGGTCCCCTTGGCTAACAGTGGTATCTGTTTACTTGGTTGGGGGTTCTAGAATTTTATTTTTATTTCTCAGTTCTTAGTTGGGATGGACCTCTGTAACAAAAGACAGATTAACAACAGAAAAACTGAAATTTAATACATGCACATGTACATATCATGTATACATGAGAGGTACTCAGAGAAATGAGTAACTCTCAAAGAGGTGACAGGCTTCAGGCATAAATGTCATCTTCCTCTGAGATTAAGAAGGGTGAGGGGAAGGCAGATTTTGGGGAGGTATCCAGGAAAAGTACTGTAAACATTAGTAAGTTTTGATATGCAGATTTTTAAGTTTGTGCCTTCTCCATTGATGAGGCTCTATAGTTTAGTCATCCTTATTATCTTCCTGGTTCAGAGAATGGAGACTTGCTTTATAAATGTAAATTTCCCTTACAAAAGGATAACTTCTTTGTTTTCAGAGCTGTTCTGGTGTCTGTAGTTTCTCAAAATAATCCTTATGCCAAAGAGGCATATTTTAGGGAGGCATATTCTGGTCTTCTATAATTATATTTTGGGGTGGTATATTTTTGGTCTTCTACAGCATATTCTGTTACACAATTCTGAAAATCTTTCTTCCACTTCACTATTTCCTTTAGCAAAAATTACATGAGAAAAACTGATAGAGATTGCTTTGAAGGAACTTTTGTTCTAAAGCCAAGACCTACTTTGTTTGGAGGAAAAGCTCTTATACATGCAATCATTAAAAGGAGATCTATGTTTATTGGTGTGGAAAGATGTCTGTGATGTGTTTCTTAGTTTACTAGTACTGCATTAACAAAGTACCACAGACAAAGTGTGTTAAACAACAGAAATTCATTGTCTCACAGTTGTGGAGGCTGGAAGTCCAAAATCAAGTCATTGGTAGAGTTGGTGCCTTCTGAGCACCATGAGAAAAGGATGTGTCGGCTTGTAGATGATCATCTTCTCCCCATGTCTTCACTGCTGGTCTTAAACTCCTGGCCTCAAGTGATCTTTCTGCCTCAGCCTCCCAAAGTGCTGGAATTTACAGGTATGAGCCACTATTCCTGGCCCAAATTTCCCCTTTTTATAAGAACACCAGTCATACCGGATTAGGGACCACCCTCAAGATCTTATTTATCTTGATTCCCTTTATAGAGAACCAATCTCCAAATAGGGTTCTATTCTAAGATACTGGGAATTAGGACTTCAGCATATGAATTTGGTGAAGGATACATTTCAATCATAAAAATATATTTTCCCCCTATTTTATTTAATTTTCACGGAAAAACCCTCATGTTTATTTGGTTAAACAAAAATAAGCTGCATAGGAACAATTTTAAAGTCCAGAGAGACACCAACTTTGTTTTAAGGCTGTAGCAGCTGTTACAGCATCTCCTTGCTACCTCCTCCAGCCTTCTCTGTGGACTACAGTGATACATTCAGAAGCCTGTTAGCTAACGCAGGAGTTTCTGAACACTTTTCCATTGGTTCTTCACCTGCTCATTGCCTGTCATGCCTGCGGCCTGCAATAGTAACATTTAAGATTTAAAATGTGAAAGCCAAGAGGAGGTTTCCCCCTATTTTAAAAGACATCGTTGTTATGAAAAATTTCAAATGTAAATACACTAGAGAAGATCATGTTGAATTTCCATGTCCCCATCAACAGCTTTAGCTACCCCCAAAGCCAATATTGTTTCATCCTTGCTCTTTTACCCCCATTGGGTTATTTTGAAGTATGTCCCAAGTGTTAGAGATGATACATTCTAAAGTGATCAAAGGTTATACAATTATATATAAGGGGTGATGTTTTTAAGATAAAATAATATACCTCTGTGTGTGTAGATATAAATTAAAAGAGTCAGAATAATACCAGAATGTTAACAGCACTTATCTCCAGGAAGTGGGATGACAGGTAACTTTACTTCCTTCTTTATAACTGTCTTTACTGTCTGATTCTGTTGGGATGGTTGTTGATGGAATGAGCCAGCCTTTTGTAATCGGAAAGCAAAACCAAAAAAGCTGGTTTCCAGATGGTGAGAATGGGTGGGCTGAGGGACAGTGGAAAGGAAGGAACCTTCTCATTGTTGTTTTCTGAGGCAGGAGATAGTTTTTTGCTTCTAGAATATATGAAAGAAATACGAGGAAGTCCACAGGAGCATGTGTCAGAGTGTAAAGGGCGCTGAAGTGGAGCCGGAGGACTAATGGTGAATTATGCCTTGCCAGGAAAGTGAAGCTGTGACTTTGGCAGAGTCATTCAGCTTCTCTGAACTCAGGTTTCCTGCCTGCCAAGAAGCAGACTTGACAGACCCGTACGATAAGTTGTGTTATGATCTCACATTTCTTGAGGATCTCAGTAACGGTTTCCTCCTAAGGAGTTTGTAAAGATAAAATTTGCATTTTATGTTTGTGCAGTGTGGTGTTACTATTGGGAGTGGTAAGGCAATGATTGTAGAAAAGCCAAAGGTGAAGAAATGACAGAAAGGAATCAGTTTCTTGGAACTGCAGAAGGCTTATCTCCCCCCATCTTCAGAAAGTGTCTTTTGAGTGTGTAGGTGCAATTCAGAATTTTGCATTTACCTTTTGCCCTCAACAGCATGGCCTGGTTTAGAGACAACACTGGAGATTTCTTGATACCAACTCAAACCATGGAAGGACCAGAAAAAGCTTTGGATGTTCTGGGTCTTTGGGTTGTCCTTTCAACCACTCTTTTGTTCCATCCCTCTCATCTCACATGATAAAGTGTCAAATTGTTGAACTTCAAAATGCCATTAGCCTGTCCTGCCTTCCAGGGGCAAGGGTGGACAGAAAAACCTGGGATCATGGCTTAAGTCACTTAGTGACGGTCAGCCTCAATAATGACACCATGAAGTCCAAAGCAAAGTAAGTATGAATCCAGAAAGCAGGTAAATATCTAGAAATAATGAATGCATCTCTTCTGCCAATTTCCTGAAAGGGAGAATAGATTCTATTACCAAAAAGATTAGTACAACTTCCAACCGGCCAGTTAGATCTGCTTATGAAGCAGTCTTCAACTTGGAAGTGGAAATAGGGTGTCTACACTTACACATCTTTGAAAGGAAAGCAGACTATTATACCGTTAGGCATAAAAAAATGACTTCGGGCCTGAGACTCCCCTCCTACCCAGAGTTGGGGGCAAGGTGCAGCTATGGGCATGAGCAAGGGTAATCCTGCTCCCATCCTGGAAGGCTGGAAACTCCATTCTTTCGACTAGAGGCACCAGTCAGAGGTCTGGGGAAGCTCTTTCTGTCCCCTTTGGTAACACTAACAGGGACCAGTAGAGGCTCCAGAGGCAGGAGATGAAGCAAGCAAATCAAAATAGTACCACAATGGCTCTGAAATGAGATTGTCATTGGAACCACAGCCCATACAAGCAGGCCAGGACCTATGTTCTAAACTTAAACATGAGACTTCCAGCCTAAAAAAGAAAAAAAGCAAATGGGACCCAGAGTCCCCTAACATAATAACCAAAATATCTAGGGTAGAGTTGAAAATCATCAGTCATATCAAGAACCAGGACAATCACAACATGAGTGAGAAAAGATCTTATCTGACACCGAAACTGAGAGTGAATAAAAATATTAGTTTCACTGGAAAACAGCCATGCCCATTTGTTTATTCATTGCCTCTGGCTGCTTTCAAGCTACAGTGACAGAGTTGAGTAGTTGCCACAGAGAACATACGGTCTGCAAAACCTAAAGTGTTTACCATGTGGCCCTTTACAGAAGTCTGCAGACTCCTGCAGTAAGCTCATTGACGACCTAGTGGTCACTGTTTTTGAGATCCTGCCGCCTGTTTACCTTTTGTTTGTTTGTTTGTTTCCTTTGGTTTATAGTATACAGTGTGATATTTCTTATATTGGTTTCTCCCTTCTCTTTCTGTGTCTTTTCCTTTCTTCTTTTTCTTTGTAACATTGTCATCTGTTTAGCCAGCACCCTCTCTCCACTGGAGCTGGATCCCTCTTCCTTCCGCTCATCTTGTCCGTTATTGCCACCGTCACTCTCTTAGCCCTACTGAGAGAAATGTGTTTTTGGAAGTTCTGTACACTAGTTGGGGGTTTTCTTTCTCCACTCACTAAAACAGGCTTAACAGATACTTGGCAGTCACGAACTGTTTGGGACTGGCCTACACAGGATTGTGTTTGTGGGTATGAGGAGCAGTGTCCCCAGGGGCTCAGGACCTTGCCTAAAGGGAACGCTTGGAGGGCTATCATTTTAGGTGTATGTTGTGCCAGGAGGTGTAGAACAAGAGACATAGGCTGGGAATTAAAGGGCGAAGGTAGAATGTCAGGTAGAAAAAGTCGGCAGCTCATTGAGAGAAGACAAAATTGTTCAGGTGTGAGACCAGGACTGACTGTGCCCCAACACTCAGATGTTTGGAGAAGGGGGTTGTGGATTGGAAAGCCAGCTCTCCACATATCAACTTACAATTTGTTAATAAAACAAGGCTGACTTTATTGTTTGCCACTGTGAGGAAGAACACCACCTCCACAGGGCACTGGCTCTGTCTCCAAGCGGGGAAGGCAAGGTCAGAATTTATCAAGAACTGGAAGTTTGGTATACAATGTGGAGACTTGATTAGGATTAAGATTAAGAATCAAGATTTAACAGTTCAGAATTAGTGAAAACAACAAGGCAAGGATTTTGAGGCAAGGCATTCAAAGACTTTTAGAGGGCAGAGTGTTGATGGTTTTTATTAAAGCGTTGATGAACATTTGGGGAAGTTCCTGTAATGAATCATCAAACCATTTCTGGGATGGAGTCCCCTGGAAAATTAAAGTATTGCTCCTGAGAGTAGTGGAATAGGATAATAAAGCAGCCATGTTAAGGCAGACAGTAAGCTGTTTGTGTGTGTGTGTGGTTTTGGTTTAATGATCCATAAAGCGGCCGGGCATGGTGGGTAACACTTGTAATCCCAGCACTTTGTGAGGCTGCGGCGGGCAGATCACCTGAGGTCAGGAGTTCGAGACCAGCCTGACCAGCATGGAGAAACCCTGTCTCTACTAAACATACAAAATTAGCCGGGCGTGGTGGTGCATACCTGTAATCCCAGCTAGGCTGAATCAGGAGAATCACTTAAACCCAGGAGGCGAGGCGGAAGTTGCGGTGAGCTGAGGTCAAGCTATTGTACTCCAGCCTGGTCAATAAAGATTGAAACTCTGTCTAAAAAAAAAAAAAAAAAAATCCTTGAAGCACAGCTTTAAAGCTTAGGTGAGGACATTGGCCAAGTGAAAAAGTGCCTACGTTAACCAAGGACTGATCCCCTGACTCAGAGGGGAACTTAGCAGGGACTCAGGAATTCCACCAGACTGAAGAGAAATGCCAAACCAAGGCCATCTTGTATGTGGCATCAAATTGTATGGTCTCCTTCCAAGCCAGACAGATTGAGTAATTGAAGGCACTGGGGCACCGGTTGAGGCTCTGCCAACAAGACAAGCAGCTTTGGTTCCTTTAGGATTAGGAATGTTTGTTTAGGAGCTGCTTCATGCTGAGCTTTTGGAGAGTAATGGAGGAGTGACTGAAGTTGTCAAATTTGTTGACACCTGACCCATCAGGATTGGACTTTGCAGGTGCCTCTGAAACTGCACAGGGTTTACAGCTCAGAAAAATCCGAAGCAGTCAAGACAAATGAGGCCCTTATCTTCTTGCTGTCTCCCGCAGCCCTTGCTTTACCCAGATTTAAACTTGTTGAGCTAGATATCATTGGTTTTTGATCTTTGCATCTTCGTTTCAGCTTTTTTGACTTGTTTTTTTCTTCTTCTGCAGCCACTGATGCTATTAACATTAACTCCTATGATTTGATTTTGTAACGCATGTGTTATTGTTTATAGTGCAAGAAACAGGCCATAGAATTTTTATTCCCTCTCTGACAAGTTTCTTATCTGTGAAGTTCAACTTGACCTACGTTTCATCTCTTTTACAACCTCAGAGTTGATATTTTCAGGTGATTGTATCTCTGAAATTTAATTTGGGGCTCTGTTTTTGTGCCCATGTTACAACATCATGATGCCTTGATCGTGGAAGCTAAATTCCAGAAAGAAATGAAATTTGTGCTTTTTGTTTGTTTGTTTTTAAACAATCATGGATGATTAATGTTGGTGTGCCTTGGAGGAAGTATTTGGGGTTATAATTTGAAACTTCGTAATTAAAGTAAATGGTTCAACATTTTCTTAAAGGCTGGGAGATCTAGGTGAGTCTGTTTGTTGATGGTTGGGCTTTGCTCCTTTGTTGATAAGCTGGTAGGCACCTTGAAGGGGAGAAGGAACCCTCTTTAAGAATTTGCTGTTGATATTTTTGGTGCATTCAGCCTTTCGGTACCACATTTATCTTCTCACATGTGCCCTTAATTAAAATGAGAGAGAGATGGACATAGCTAAAACTTGTTCTTCGGAAGTCTGATGAAGAGTCTTCATCAGTGCCTCCCAGTCTTAGCAAGTGTTGGAGCAGTAATAACTGTGATGCACAGCTCCAAGGCTAGAAATCCTACATTTCTTTCAGGGTTCATTCAACTTCTTTTGGATTCTGATGAAGCTAACGTAAAGTGAAGATTGGCATTGATTGTGTCATTAAAGACTAGAGTTCTGTTTCACATCTCATGGAAAATGAGAAGAAAACGAATCTTTAGGAGGTGTCTACTGTGTGCCAATCACTGTAAAGCTTGTATTATTTTTAGCATTCAGTTTCTCAAGAAAGAAGTCAAAAGCCATGAGGTGCCTGGTTACTGATGTGTCTCTAGCAAAGGGTTACTCAAGGGGCACTGTTAGCATTTTAAACGGCAGTGTTCTTTGTTGTACAGGACTGTGCCCTGATTCAAGAGACATTTAGCACTCCTGGGCTCTATGCTTTCAGTGCCGTAGTTCTTCCCCAGCCATCGTAACTGCCAAACCCCACTGCCTTTAAAGGCTACCTGCCGTTGCTATTGGCAATCGGCTCTCAGTAAATACGGATGAATACTTTTTATTTTTATTTTATTTTATTTTATTTTATTTTATTTGTTTGTTTGTTTGTTTATTTATTTATTTTGAGACAAGGTCTCACTCTGTCGCCCAGACTGGAGTGTAGCGGTGTGGTCACAGATCACTGCAGCCCCACCCCCTGGGCTCAAGAGATCCTCCCATCTCAGCCTCCTGAGTAGCTAGGACCACAGGTGCACCACCATGCCTGTCTAACTTTGTTTTTTGTTGTTGTTTTGTTGTTGTTGTTTGTTTGTTTTTGTTGTTTTTTTTGGTAGGGATGTGGTTTTGTTATGTTGGCCAGGCTGGTCTCAAACTCCTGGCCTCAAGTGATCTGCCCTCCTTGGCCTCCCAAAGTGCTGGGATTACAGGCGTGAACCACCACGCCTGGCCTGAATGCTTTTTTAGAGAGCTAGTATGTGGATTTCATCTCTGAGCACGTGCATCTGTTGTAATAGAGAAGAATATTCTCTAAGCCGGTTTCGTGTTTTTATTATCTAAGATTTTCATAATGTCTTCTGTTTATGAAATAATAATTATCCTATACTGTATAATTGGAATATAGTTCTTTTTGTTGATTAGAAATGAGTATATACCGTATAGTTTATGGCTTGATTTTATTCACCTTTTCTCTTAAGGTGAATAAAATCTTAAGATTATGGCATCATTCATAATAATAAAAACATAATGCATCATGTTTCATCATGATTTCTTCTTTCTTTTCAGTGCATTTTTCTAAGACAGGATTTTATGGTAGGAATTTACAGAAATGCTGACTACAAATAGCTCGAAATCCATTTCTCCCTGTTAGCATTTATACATACAAATGTCAGAGAATACATAGACGTTTTATCTTGTTTGAAGTTAAATTTAACTAGTTGGCAGTACTTCTTGGCAAACTGATAATGGAGGTATTATCTGTTACTAAATCTTCAGCCATATTATGTTCATCAAGTATTCTGTAGAGTGTCATAAATGGATTCTCTTGCACTTCTGTGAGAGGAGGGAAACTTGGATTCATTCATTCAATAGGTAGGTACTTACAGTACTTGGGATACATCAGCAGACAACACAGATAATGATTCCTGCTTGCACACTAGCATAAATGAATATAATAAGGAAATTACAAGTTAGTTTGGAAGGAGGTAAATGCTGTGGAGAATAATGAGGTTGGTAAGGAAGATAGGTGTGCCTGGGATTGGGCTGGAGGTGCAATTTTTATTTTTTATTTTTTGGAGACTGAGTCTTGCTCTGTCGCCCAGGCTGGAGTGCAGTGGCGCGATCTCAGCTTACTGCAACTTTTGCCTCCTGGGTTAAAGCGATTCTCCTACCTCAGCCTCTTGAGTAGCTGGGATTACAGGTGCCCGCCATCACACCTGGCTTATTTTTGTGTTTTTTAGTAGAGATGGGGTTTCACCACATTGGCGAGGCTGGTTTCGAACTCCTGACCTCAAGTGATCCACCCGCCTTAGCCTCCCAAAGTGTTGGGATTACAGGCGTGAGCCACCATGCCCGGCCTGGAGGTGCAATTTTAAATGAAGTGGTTTGGGAAGATTTCTCAAGAAGGTGACTTTTATTATTTTATTTTATGTATTTATTTTTGAGATGGCGTCTCACTCTGTCACCCAGGCTGGAGCACAGTGGTGCCATCTCAGCTCACTGCAACCTCTGCCTCCTGGATTCAAGCGATTCTCCTCCCTCAGCCTCCTGAGTAGCTGGGACTACAGGCGTCCACCACCACAGCTGGCTAGGTTTTGTATTTTTAGTAGAGATGGGGTTTCACCATGTTGGCCAGGCTGGTCTCGAGCTCCTGACCTCAGGTGTTTCACCCGCCTCCCTAAGTGCTGGGATTACAGGCATGAGCCACTGCAAGCAGCTAAAAAGGTGACTTTTAAACAAAGACCTGGAGAAGAAATGAGTACTTATTGAGCTCTCCTTATTTCTAGGCACTGTTTTAGGAGCCAGAATGGCTAGGTAGATCCTCTGTAATCTGCAAAAAAACAATTTGCATGGCCAGATTATGGATGTGTACACTAAGATGAGAACGCTCAAACCACATCTGTGGAATGTGTCTATTAACAATAATCTTTTTAAAAACATCGTTTTGAAGTAATCGCCGATAGCAGGTATTTGTTTCAAAAGGAAAGAGAAAAAAGGCTGAGCAAAAAAGAAACGAGCTTTGTGTCCAAGTCTGGCAGTCCTTACAGAATTACTGCTTCTTCCCACTGGTGACATCATGGTGACAAGGATCCTCCAGGGATGACAGTGACAAAGTAGGAGATGTTACTTCAAATAAAAACAGCTTTTGTGGAGAAGATTAAAAAACAGCGGACCAGAGAACAGGAATTTACTCCTGCTTCTGATGTCAGTGGGCTTTGTGACCTTGGGCGGGTTGCTTGAGCTCCTCCACTTCTTAGACTCGCTAATTATTTGTTAGACATGGTGCCGAAGCACTTTATGTACATCATCCTGTTTAATGGGATGTTATAAAACATGAGGAGGATGAACTTCACAAGATAACCATTAAAGTCCTTTTCTAGATCTTGTGTTCTTTTCTTTTTGATTTGTTAGTTCAAAGACATCATTAGACTACTGTTTGTCTTTGTTGTTATGATAAGCTTATGAATTGAAGCCAGGCCACAAGATATGATTATTTGCCATAGCTTAAGCCATGGAGTAGGGCTGGGTCTAGAATTTCTGGTTTTTCTCTTCCTGACATCTCTCCTGGTGTTAAGAAGGTCATGTCCTGTTTAGCATTTTTTTTTTTTTTTTTGCAAGCGAGCGAAGGGGGCTCAGCATTGGTTTCTTTGTAATCTCCTTTGTACAAACACCAGCCCCAGATTTCCCTTCCAATTCGTGAACTCTGAACAGGACTAGCAAAGAGTTAAGGTTTGGAGCTGGAGGAAAAGCAAGGAGGGAAAGCCACACAGTGCGCCTGCTGTCTCAGATAACCTTCCGTAGAAGAAGGACTCTAAAGGTGGTTGCAAGGACTGCTTTCAATGTATTTATTATTGACTTACCTCCAGAAGATCTGTAAAATGATATACCCAGATGGCCCTAATGGCCCCTTTTAGCTTGAAAGTTGACAAATTCTCTTTTGATTAGAGTGCCTTTGGCTAAATTTGCCTTGACAGATTTCACCCAGGATTGAGTATTTATCAAAAGACGAATGTGCACCGAACACGCTGAGTTGACCCTCACCTAGTTTTACCCACTTCTGTGGTTTATCTGCCGCCTCCCCAGCCTGTCGAAAGAACTTCCGCCCCTCACCTCCTTACTGTCTTCTTGTTTTGTAGATGATGAACCAGGTGGAAGGGCAGCAGAAGAACCTTGTGCACGCCATTGAGTCCCTGCCAGGGTCCGGCCCCCTCACTGCCTTGGACCAGGACCTGCTGCTCCTGAAAGCTACCTCTGCTGCCACCCTCAGCTGCCTTGGGGAGTGCCTCAACTTGTTACAGCAGAGTGTGCACCAGGCGGGCCAGCCCAGCCAGAAGCCAGGAGCCTCGGGTAAGACCCCCGGGGGCTTGTCCATGTTTGGGATGAGTACACACACTGTGTCTGTGTCCCACTGTCTTCCTCCTTTAATTCCATCCATTTCTCTACGATCCATCCATCTATCCTTATATCCAAGTATTTCTACTGCCCTTCGTCTCTACTGTTTGGGATATATTTTTATGTTACAAGTTACAAATGTAACATTTCATGAAAAATGTAATTCTGCATTAATCTCTCCTGCCCTTCCTCTACTGTTTGGGATATATTTTTATTTTAGAAGTTAAAAATGTAACATTTTATGAAAAATGTAACTAACATATTTACATAAATACTATGGAACACCTTTCAGACTTGCTGGCATCACATTATAAGTCTCATTCCACTCATGACGTTTGCACTCAGCATTCTGTGTTTTTTTTTTTTTTTTTTTTTTTATTTGAAGATTCATTTCATTCCATTCAGTGGGTACCTTAAAATGACAAAATGGACACGGAACCTTTCAAATGTAAATAAAAGCAGAGAACATAGTAAAGAAACCCTATGGGTCCATTAATGAGCTTTGGCAATTTTTAACATTTTGCCAATTCTCCCACTTTTTTTTTTTGAGTCAAAGTCTCATTCTGTTGCCCAGGCTGGAGTGCAGTGGCACAATCTCGGCTCACTACAGCCTCCGCCTCCTGGGTTCAAGAGATTCTCCCGCCTCAGCCTCCCAAATAGCGCCCTCCACCATGCCCAAATTTTATGTTTTCAGTAGAGACGGGGTTTCACCATGTTAGTCAGGCTGGTCCAGAACTCCTGACCTCAGGTGATCCACCTGTCTCAGCCTCCCAGAATGCTGGGATTACAGGTGTGAGCCACTGTGCCTGGCCCCACTTCTTATTTTTATTTTTGGCTTGAACATTTTAAGGCAAAAGCTCCCCATTCTATCTTTTCTTTTTTTTATTATTATTATGCTTTAAGTTTGAGGGTACATGTGCACAACGTGCAGGTTTGCTACATATGTATACATGTGCCATGTTGGTGTGCTGCACCCATGAACTGGTCATTTAGCCTTAGGTATATCTCCTAATGCTATCCCTCCTCCCTCCCCCCCACCCCACAACAGTCCCCGGAGTGTGATGTTCCCCTTCCTGTGTCCATGTGTTCTCATTGTTCAATTCCCACCTATGAGTGAGAACATGCGGTGTTTGGTTTTTTATCCTTGCGATAGTTTGCTGAGAATGACGATTTTTTTTTTTTTTTGAGACAGAGTTTTTGCTCTTGTTGCCCAGGCTGGAGTGCAATGGTGCAATCTTGGCTCACTGCATCCTCTGCCTCCCGGGTTCAAGCAATTCTCCTGCCTCAGCCTCTCGAGTAGCTGGAATTACAGGCATGCACCACCACACCCGACTAATTTTATATTTTTAGTAGAGATGGGGTTTCTCCACGTTGTTCAGGCTGGTCTTGAACTCCCAACCTCAGGTGATCCTCCCGCCTCAGCCTCCCAAAGTGCTGGGATTACAGGCCTCAGCATTCTGTTTTTAAGATCCATTGGCATGCAGCATCTGGTCCATTATTTCTGTGGTGTTGAGGCCACCACATTATACCCAGCGACTCTCGGATGACAGACAACGCACATTGCCTCCAGCTCTGTGCCCCACTCACCTCGCTGCAGTAAACATCCTCATGCCTGTCCCCTCATGAGGATACCTCTAGAATACACACCAGGAGTATTTCTAGTTGTTAATCAAGAAGCCAGGGATAATAATGCATTCCTTTGAGATGCCTCAGTCCTTTTGGAGGAGGGTTTAATCAATGAGCAGATATAAAGATATTTGTGAAGATTAAGATAAAGGTAAAAATAGCTTGAGACTGGTTATGTCACATATAATTATAAAGTATAATTAACAGAATAACAGCAGCCTTATTGTGCTTTGTTGCCCAGGGGTCACTTAATTAATGAAGGAATGAGGCAAGTTAGGTGATAGGAAGTAAAGCCAGATTATGAGTGATAGTCTTTATATTTCATGCTTTCCCCAACTGCCCTTTGCCCTTTGTTTCACTGAAGCATGAAAGGGACTGTTGGTTTTTCAGAGTAGATTGTGTGTGGGTAATTTGGTTTTCTTTTGGTGAAACCCACCATCATTTACTGAACTTGGCCTTTGCTACATGTTTTCTGAAATCTTTACAAAGTAGGTATGATTATGCCCATCGTTCAGATGATATGCTGGGACACAAAACAATTAAACAACTTGCCCAAGACCACCCAGCTAAGTGGCAGAACGAGGGCAGAACCAGGCTCTTTCCACTGTGGCAGGCGTCTTCCCGGCCTGGGGTTCTTTGTTCAATCTAGAACAACCACTCAGTGGGCTCAGTCCCCCAAACTGAGGCCAGGAACCGTGTCTTGCGAGCATTATAATTCTCTCAAGGCAGATGTA
This sequence comes from Homo sapiens, assembly GCF_000001405.40. Taxonomy (NCBI): domain Eukaryota; kingdom Metazoa; phylum Chordata; class Mammalia; order Primates; family Hominidae; genus Homo; species Homo sapiens. The sequence continues at coordinate 31,745,504 of NC_000003.12, read as the reverse complement.
TACATGTTTTTAAAAAATAATTTCAGACTTAAGTTGCAAGAATAGTATGAAAAATGCTCACATATCCTTCTTCAAATTCCCCAAACAGTAACATGTTATGATGTTTGCTTCACCTTTTCCTTATATTTATGTATTATAATTTTCTAACCACTTAAGAGTAAGTTGCAGACATGATGTCCCTTCACTATTACATACTTCAGTGTGTATTTCTTTTGAAAAAAGGACACTCTCCTCTAAAGACAGCACAGTGATCGAAATCAGTAAATTAACGAGTATAGTCCTCTTTGCTGGTTATCCCATTGTAGCAAAATAAAACAATTTGGGTGCAGAATCCAGTCTAGGAGATTTGCGTGTATTCACGCTGGAGCAAGGGCGCCCAAACCTGCTTTTCTACCTTTCCTCTTGCTTCTCAGCTTTAAGAATGAATCTCAAATGCGGAAGCTCAATGAGGCTTTTGACATTTTCTGATCTGGAATGAGCCTCAGTGACCCTCGCTGAGGACTGGGCACAAATTCGGAGTGAGACTGGAGACTTTTCAGAGTTTCTGTGGTCTCTTTTGCCCTATATTGTAACTTGCAGCTTCTGCAATGTAATAGGCTCGTTCCGAGAATCTCACTAGTAAATATAAGCTTGAATCATTTTCTTATTCCTAAAATTAATCCCTCTTGAAAAAAATATTTCTTCAGGGCTTCCTAGAAAATTCGTTGTTTTTTTTTTTCCTAATTTTCATTGGCTCTCTGGCATTTTTAAGGGCCCAGGGGAACAAAGCTCAAATGGATGCATTTCAGAGGTGGTGACGGGTTGAAATGGAAATTATTGGGAAAAGGGGAGACCAAGAAGTGTCCCTAAAATTATGTCACATCAGGTGCTACCTCCTTCATGTCCTCCCTGTGCTCTCTCTCCCACCTTTGACTGTCACTTGCCCACTCTCCTTCTTTTCTTTCTTTCTTTCCTTTTTTTTTTTTTTGAGACGGAGTCTCGCTCTATCACCCAGGGTGGAGTGCAGTGACGCGATCTCGGCTCACTGCAACCTCCGCTTCCCAGGTTCAGGCAATTCACCTGCCTCAGCCTCCCGAGTAGCTGGGATTACAGGTGCCCACCATGCCTGGCTAATTTTTGTATTTTTAGTAAGGACCGGATTTCTCCATGTTGCCCAGGCTGGTCTCAAACTCCTGACCTCAGGTGATCCATCCGCCTTGGCCTCCCAAAGTGCTGGGATTATAGGCGTGAGCCACCGCACCTGGCTAGCTCACTCTCCTTCTTTTGGACTGTTTTCATCAAGAAACTTAGCTGAAAGTTGGAGAATAGAGCATGAAGCATCACGATCACTACTTTGTTTCCTTGTCATCTTACCCTTTTTACATGTCATATTCCATGTAACACAGCCCCTGAAGTTTTAAAACAACCTACTGTGTGTCTTAAATCTATGCTACCCACTGGGGGAAAGCAGAGTTACTTCTTGCAGGAAAAGCATCATAGTTGGCTGCAGTTAAAATAGAATTCCAGAATCTCAAGCTGGTGGGATAAGAGAATAGAGAATACGTTGGCCCTGGGAGTGCTGCCACAAAATGTGTTTGTTTAGACACTTGGGGCTCTCAGGGTTGATAGTTGCTATAGCAGCTGCCTGACACACATTGATAAAAATATAATGGTTATGTCTAAGAAGTGCCAGGTTGGGCTGATGGAAATCAAAATCTCATTAAAGTGAAACTCTGGCATGGTTTCATTTCAGTGTTCGATGGGCAGGAAGGCCCGTCTTACCTGAAGCATTACCAAATACCCATACAGATTGTTCCTGCCTGATGGCTCTTTGCCTTCTGATCCTTGCACTGTTTTTTTTTCCTTCTGTCCCTTTTCTGAATAAAAAATGATTTATGATCTTGTGTATTTCATCTTGTATAGTATTTAATTGTGTCTTCTGGGATATATGTTTGCTTTGGAGCCTTTGTCTCCAAATGTTGCTCATTACGCTGTTTTTGTTTCAAACACATTGAGCAGCCAGACTGAAATCTGAGAATACTTCAGTATTCATCTGCCTCCCATCTATACATTTGGGCTCCCAGACCTGTTTCTGATGTTATTATCTCCAAGATATACTGGGTCTGAAGTACTTTACTTAACTTCCATTTATGGAGAGGTATGTAATTAAAATTAAGAAAGTAATTTGGCCGGGTATGGTGGCTCACACCTGTAATCTCAGCACTTTGGGAGGCCGGGCCGGGTGGATCACTTGAGGACAGGAGTTTGACCAGCCTTACCAACATGATGAAATCACATCTCTACTAAAGATACAAAAATTATCTGGGCGTCGTGGCGGGCACCTGTAATCTCAGCTACTCAGGAGGCTGAGGCAGGAGATTCGCTTGAACCCTGGAGGTGGAGGTTGCAGTGAGCTGAGATCGCACCACTGCGTTCCAGCCTGGGGGACAGAGCAAGACTCTCTCTAAAAAAAAAAAAAAAAAAAAAAAAAAAACTAATTTAGCTTTTCGGTCAAGACTTAAATTATGCAGCTCTTTTACCATTACTGGTGGCTCCTAAATCTACTTCAGCAGCTTGATGGAGGCAAACAGTTGCTGGACTGGGGACTGGGTATCTGTTTTCTTCAGCCTAGATGTGTGCCTTCCCCGTGCTATGGGGAAGAGGCAGGCAGAACCACGCTCAAAACTGGAAAAGGTTGTGCTCTTTGGGAGCCTGGGCTTTAGGTGGGTTTCAAGTGTGGGAGGGGAACTGGGCCTAGAAAGTGATTCGAGGGTACAGAGTACTCTGCCCTCCATGCTTCTGGTTGATTTGCTATTTGCTTGCAAGTCTTAGTCTAGGTAACATGGTTTGAGTTCGGGCAGATGCCTGTAACTAGACAAGCTCATTCTAGTGCCAGGTAAGAGCTGCACATTAACAGCAAGATGCTGTAAAACAGGCTTGGGGAAGGACACTGGAGTCATAGCTGCCAGAGCAAGTGACAATGGCACCTTGGCAGAATGCAGTAGATGACACAGGTACCCGTGAACACAAATGGGGACAAAAGATCAAGAGAATAGATTTGAGAGAAGAAGAACCAGAGCAGAATTTAATATACTTTCCTTAACTCATCCTTGCAATAACTCTTCATCCACTTAAAAGATTTGCGGGGAGTGTCAGTTAATAAGCCAGTTGCATTGGTCTTCCCATTTTGGGGTTTGGCCAAAAGGGCCAAATAAGTGAGACTATTGTAAGGACCCTTGGCTCTTCTGGCTGTTTGCCTTCTTCCTTTTGCGGTACTTTACGTTTTTCCGGAGACCTCTTCAGACTTGTATTTTTCATCTCTTTTCTACCACTCAGGGACTTCCTTTGCTTTCTTTGTCTGTTATACTTTCTTTCCTGACACCTACTGCTTTTGGTGAAGCTTTGCCCCACTTATAGTCACCTTTCCTTATTTTATGATTAAAAGCTAAGACAGAAATGTGATATTTCAGTAAATAGGTGTATTAGTTCGTTTTCATAAGACTGGGCAATTTACAAAAGAAAGGGGTTTATTGGACTTACAGTTCCACATGGCTGAGGAGGGCTCACAATTATGGCAGAAGGCCAGGAGAAGCAAGTCACATCTTATGTGGATGGCAGCAGGCGAAGAGAGAGCTTGTGCAGAGAAACTCCCGTTTTTAAAACCATCAGATCTCGTGAGACCCATTCACCATCATGAAAACAGTGTGGGATAGACCTGCCGCATGATTCAGTCATACTCCACTGGGTCTCTCCCACAACATGTGAGAATTATGGGAGGTACAAGATGAGATTTGGGTGGGGATACAGAGCCAAACCATATCAATAGGATATCAATAGGATATCAGGAGAAAAGGAAAAACTAGCATTGTAGAATATTTCAGATAAGTGTTTATTTTTTATTTTTTTACAACTGTCTAAACAGAGTTTTTGAGTGCCAACTTCTCCCTAAAGAAAGCAGTTAGAGGCTGGGCACAGTGGCTCACGCCTGTAATCCCAGCACTTCAGGAGGCCAAGGTGGATGGATCACGAGGTCAAGAGATCAAGATCATCCAGGCCAACATGGTGGAACTCTGTCTCTACTAAAAATACAAAAATTAGCTGGGTGTGGTGGCATGCGCCTGTAGTCCCAGCTACTTGGGAGGCTGAGGCAGGAGAATCACTTGAACCTGGGAGGCGGAGGTTGCAGTGAGCCGAGATTGTGCCACTGCACTCCAGCCTAGTGACAGAGCGAGACTCCGTCTCAAAAAATAAAAATAAAAGAAAACAGTTAGATACCAAGGCGCTGGCTTTCCACTGGGAATATGTCTTAAATGGTTTCAAGTGAAAATTCAATCTTTTTGTGAATTTCAATCTTATTCTATTTTGGAAAACCATTTTATGTTTACTGAACCTGGGAAGCATGAATTCACTGTTACAGGAAGAGGAAAGACCTTGCAGGGGCCTTGTAGGTCTCAACACTCTAAGCAAGGCTTAAAATAAGGCCAAGGATAGATTAAGACAATTCCACAGTCAAACCTTTGCCCTTAAAACTGGTGTTTTTCTCTTAGTCTCCTTATGATTTTTGTTTTTATTTCCATACTGCTTTTCATGTTTTCTATTTTGCTATACAAGTTGTATTTCTTTTACCCTTCTTTAGTATTTTGGGAAGAAATATGACATATATATATAAATTCTAGTAGTGGTCATATTAAGTTTATCATAACCATTCTTTTCTTTTCTTTCTTTCTTTCTTTTTTTCTTTTTTTTGAGATACGGAGTCTCACTATGTTGCCCAGGCTGGAGTGCAGTAGCTCTTCACAGGCACAATCATAGTGCAGTCTAGCCTTGAACTTCTGGGCTCAACCAATCCTCCTGCCTCAGTCTCCTGAGAGCTGGGACTGCAGGTGTATGCCACCATACCCAGCTTCATAAGCATTCTTTAACCTATTTTTTTTGGTAGTCCTCAAAGGGATGATGCAATACTTTTTGAATCTTTTCTTTAATGATGAAGACAGGGCATACTTTAACTTCCTCTGCCCCTCTATTCTGCTTTCCAATTTTTGCTATTATGTAGGCTATTGTTATTAATATTTTAATATTAGTATAATACTTAGATAATGTATGATAATGACTAATTCTTTTTAAAAGTAATATGTGACTTTAATATTCAGTTATGTAACCATGCTTAGAAATATTATTCATAGCGGCCAGGCACAGTGGCTTATGCCTGTAATCCCAGCACTTTGGGAGGCCGAGGCGGGTGGATCACAAGGTCAGGAGTTCGAGACCAGCCTGGCCAATATGGTGAAACCCATCTCTCCAAAAAGAATACAAAATTAGCTGGGCATGGTGGTGGGCACCTGTAGTCCCAGCTACTTGGGAGGCTGAGGCAGGAGAATCACTTGAACATGGGAGGCAGAGGTTACAGTGAGCTGCAATCGTGCCACTGCACTCCAGCCTGTGCAACAAAGCAAGACTGACTCAAAAAAAAAAAAAAAAAAGTATTATTCATAGCCAATTCTGGAGCTGGGACCAGGGTGAGATGAAAGAGGCACTAGCCTTGAGTGCAAAATTCAAAAGGATGTCAAAAGTTTCAGTAGTTAAGATAAAAAGATGAAGTTCAGTAGTTAAGATAAGTAGTTATGTTTTAATGCAATATTTTTAACCAAAATTAATGCAAAAACAATTGATAATGAACAAAATATCAAAAGTTTACATAAAGACAGTGTCTTAGCATGGGCTGCTACAGTATTATAAAACACTGTAGACTGGGTGGCTTAAAGAACAAAAATTTCTCAGTTTTGGAGGCTGGAAGTTTAAGATCAAGAGTCCAGCCTGGGGCCAAAAGTTTCTGGTGAGGGCTCTCTTCATGGCTTGCTGACAGCTGTCTTCTTGCTGTGTCCACACATGGCATTTCTTTGGTGTGTGAGCCTGGAGGGCAACCGAGCTCTGGTATGTCTTCCACTTCTTTTAGCAGTGGTCTCTCTTCCTCTTTTATCAGAGACACTAATCCAATTGGATCAGGACCCTACATTTTTTATGTCATTTAACTTTATTAATGTGAAGGCCCTTTTTCAAAATATGGTCACATTGGGGTTTAGGACTTCAACATATGAATCTTGGGGGAACATAGACATTCAATCTGTAGCAGAGAGGATCTGATAGGATGGAGATTAGGGTGAAGTGAGGCTGAGTACTATAAGACTTTCTCTCTTCCTTGTTTCTTCCTTCCTTTCTCCCTTCGTCCTTTCCTTTCCCTCCTCTTCCTTTCTTTTCTTATTTCAATTTTAAAATATTGTGTTAAAATATAATTTACCTCAGCCAGGTATAGTGGTGCATGCCTGTAGTCCCAGTTATTTGAGAGGCCAAGGCAGGAGGATTTTTTGAGCCCAGGAGTTCAAGATTGTGGTATGCAGTGATCACACCTGTGAATAGCACTATACTCCAGCCTGGGCAACATAGTGGCATCCTGTCTCTTAGAAAAAATTACCCTTTATCTTGATGACTGATTTTCTTGATGCTTCCTTTTATTTTACATCTGAGGTGAATGTCTTACTTGCCTGACTGTAGTCCCAGCCCTGCTCAGCTCTGTGTTTAACTGGGTTCATTGCTTACTACCAGTTTTTTTTTTAATATATATGTATATGACATCCCCATTTCTTGAGTTCTTAATTCTGCTTCTTTTATTCATACATTGGTAAATATTTTCAAGCTGTTTTTCCTGCAAGAAGAATCATTTCTGAGTCTCTGCAGTGCTGCTGAGAGGGCACATGGTGCATAGCGTAGGAGTCTGGGTTGTGGAGCTCGGCTGCATGGGTTTTAATCTGGATTCTACCACTTACTAGTTCTTAATGCCTTTGTTTCTTCATCTGTCAAGTAGGCATGGTGGTAATATGTACGTGCCTCGTGGGTCACCATTAGGATTAGATGAGGCAATGCACAGATAGCATGTACCACAGTACTTGGCACCTGGCAAGAGCTCAATAAATGTTGGCCATTCTTACCGGGGAAAGACATTTTGGCTGGGGATGAATGTTTTCCCTCAGCTCCCCAACCCCCTCCAAATTTGTCGGTTTCTATTTACATTCTTCTGTTTGCCTGTTCATCTTTTGGCATTTAGTGTTGTCGCAAAATTCAAACTGATTTTTTTTTTTTTCCTTTAAGGCAGGTCTAATTTTTCTGCTTCCATGATTGGAAAATTTTTCTCTTGATTTTTGTTATTCAAAAATGTTGCCAAACTTCATAAACTAGGGATTCATTATACTATTCTGTCTACTTTTGTGTGTGTTTGGAATTTCAGTAATAAAAAGCCGGAGAAAATATTGCCAAGCTGCATCTAGATGTGCATTTTTTTCCCATTGATTTTGCTGGAGTGTGGTGGCTCCTTTAAGCAGCCCCCACAGTTCTCTGTTCAGCCCAGGACATGTATTTATATTTACATTTTTGTCTATCCATTGATTTGGTCTCTCTCCTTCAGGAACATGGATCCTTTATCTCTTGGATCTCTGTTGTGCATCTTCTGTATTGTCTTTCTTTTTTTTTTTTTTGAGACAGAGTCTTGCTGTGTCACCCAGGCTGGAGGGCTGGAGTGCAGTGGCATGATCTCGGCTCACTGCAACCTCTGCCTCCCGGGTTCAAGTGATTCTCGTGCCTCAGCCTCCCGAGTAGCTGGGATTACAGGTGCGTGCCACCATGCCTGGCTACTTTTTGTATTTTTAGTAGAGTCGGGGTTTCCTCATGTTAGCTAGGCTGGTCTCGAACTCCTGACCTCAGGTGATCTGCCTGCTTCGGCCTCCCAAAGTGCTGGGATTACAGGAATGAGCCACTGCACCCAGCTTTTCTCTATTGTCTTCTGCCTCATGATTGTCATCTGTGTCTTTTGCAACTGCAGATTGGTAGAGCCGCCTTATCTCAATACATTATTTATTTGACTTTCTGTGGTGTTGATTCCACTATTTCCTGTTCTCAGTTTTAATTTTAATTCTACTAATGTTGGTTTAGTTTCCTCATAATAATTCCTTGATGCATCCATCTCTCTTTTCACCTCAGCCTGTTTTCTTCTTCTGGTTTTCTGTTCTTGTTTCATAGAGGGTGCTTTGTCCTATATTTATGTGCTGAGGAAACACCTTTCCTGGTGTTTTCTCTAACACCTTATGTTAGAAATTTTACATGTATTCTTCCTCTTAGCCTTCTTGAGAATATTTTTTCCCCAAGCTCTGTACAGTCCTTTTTATTCACTCCACGTAAGAATGTTTTTTTGCCTTCGTCTCCAAATGAGACAGCTCTATCCAGCCTCCTAAACCCATGATCACTTTTTAAAAGCAGCTGAACTGATCTGAGATGGGCGTCTTTCTCATGCACCGGCTCTTTGATATTCGGAATTCATAGGGTCCACAGAAAGTTGTGTTCCCCAGCATGCATTGCCAACTTTCCTTGTCCTGTCCTGGTCTTTGTCTATCCCAAGATACAGCCTACCACTGCCAGTTCAGACTCCACTTCTTGCTCTGTGGTGCCCTAAGTTGCCATATCTGGATAATGATGGGATAGAGGGGAGGGAGACACAGAGTTGAGGTGTGGGAAGAATGGAGGGAACGTTGTCCTGATTGCCTAGGCAAGTAGATCTCTTTTCTTCCCCCTAGTGTTTTGTTTAAAGACAGGGTCTTACTGTGTTGCCTGGGCTGGAGTGCAGTGGCATGATCATGGCTTACTGCCTCAAACTCCTGGGCTCAAGTGATCTTCCCATCTCAGCCTTCCAAGTAGCTGGGACTACAGGCGTGTACAACAGTGCCTGGCTAGTTTGTTAATTTTCTGTAGAGACAGGGTCTCACTGTGTTGCCCAAACTTCTTTATCTTTTAAAAAGATTTCCTAACTGCTCTACAGGATGTTTACTGCTTGTGTAATAAAGCAAAGAATTTTCAAATAGCACCCCTCTATCTATGGAACAACTGTTTGGCATTTTAGATCTGAATCCAGTTTGAGGTTTCTGAGGCGGGAATTGGTCAGTAGGAAAGGCAAGAGGTATCTGTCCACCTCTCTTATGGCAGATTCTAGTGTCTTGAATCCTGGGCTGGTTTTCTTAGTTCAGCTCCGTCTACCTTGTTATTTGCGGATATTTCTCTCAAGTTCTGGTATTAGTGCATCTTTAGCCTTTGGTTTTAGTGTTGTGAGTTTTTACCTTTTAAAAAATAACATGAAGTGCTGCTATATGGATGCTTTTTTTGCCATTAAGAAAAAAATTGTAGTCAAATACACATAACATAAAATGCATCATCCTGACCATTTTTATGTGTACATCTCAGTACACATTCTATGTGTACACATTTTATGTGTGCATTCACATTGTTGTATAACCAATCTCCAAAACTCTTTCCATCTTGCAAAACTGGAGCTCTTTACCTTTTAAACGTTAACTCCCCATTCCCTCCCATCCACTCTCCAACCCTCAGCAACCACCATTCTATTCTATGTCTTTCTTTTGGCCGTTTTTTATTTTTTAATTTTTAGGAGGCTATAACGTGCACTCTTCTTAAAGTTTTCTGTCTCCGATTTCTTCAGCACATTCATACTGAGCGTACACTCTTTGCTAAATCATGTTCATGGTTCTGGGGACACTGCTGTGAGCAAGGGCAGTATTGTTCTTGTCCTCAAGGAGCTGACATTCCAGGGAGGAGAGACAATCAACAAGTAAATGAGTGTGCTAGTGAGTTCAGACAGTGCTAAGTCCCAGGAAGACAGCAAATGGCAATATGACAGAGAGTGCCTTTGGGGTGCTATTTTGGCCAGGGAGGTCCCAGAAGGTCTCTCTGAGCAAGTGATATTTTAGCTGACTCCTGGATCTACACAGGAGACTTCCTCCCCGATGTAGAAGGACTGGAGGAACAGCCCTCTGGGAGGAAGGAACAGAATGCACAAACACTCTAAGACTGTCATGAACTTGGCACATTTGAGAAACGGAAAAAAATACTGATGTGACTTGAGCATACTAAGCAATGGGGAGAAGAGAACAAAATGAGGCTGGGCAGGTCACAGAGCAAAGCCAGGCAGCTTAGATTTTGTTCCAATTGTAATGATAAGCCACTTGGGACCTTTATTAATTTATTTATTTTGAAACAGGGTCTTTCATTGTCACCCAGGCTGGAGGGTAGTGGTGCAATCACCGCTTACTGTAGCCTCGACCTCCTGGGCTCAATCAATCCTGTCACTTCAGCCTCTCATGTAGCTGCAACTATAGGTGCATGTCACCATGCCCAGCTAATTTTTGTATTTTCTGTAGAGACAGGGTTTTGCCATGTTCCCCAGGCTGGACTCAAAACTCCTGGGTTCAAGTGATTCACCCGCCTCAGCCGGGATCCCAAAGTGCTGGAATTACAGGTGGGAGCCACCGTGTCTGGCCCACTTGAGGCTTTTAACAGTAGAGTTATGTGACCTAACACTTGACATTAAAAAAGGATTTTTGCATAAAAATACACTTGAGTTGGCTAATACTGCATACAGCAGCACACAGGTGCATAAGCACCGCACATACACAGTGTCTTCATCTGCCTCTGACAACCAGATTCCCCTGGGGATATGTCAGGAATGTTTGGGATACCTGTAGACTTTTCTTTGAGTAATTCTAATGAAAAGGCTGACAGATAGTATTGCTTTATGGATGGAACATCTGAGACCCTGAAATGTTGAATTTTAGTTCATGAGTCATGCTGTACTTTAGCCTAATTTTTCTTTTTTTGCTTTTAGACTTAGAACAGAATCTACAGAGTGTCAGTCAACTGAGCTTGAGACTTATCTATTTTTTATTAGCTTTTTTGGAGACAGTGTCTTGCATTGTCACCAAGGCTGGAGTGCAGTGGCATGATTTGGGTTTACTACAGCCTTGACCTCCTTGGCTCAATAGATCCTCCCACCTCAGCTTCCCAAGTAGCTGGGACTACAGGCTTGTGTCACCACACCTGGCTTATTTTTATATTTTTTGTAGGGATAGGGTTTCGCCTTGTTGCTTGGGTTGATCTCCAACTCCTGGGCTCAAGCGATCCTTCTGCCTCAGCCTCCCAAAGTGCTGGGATTACAGGCATGAGCCACTGCACCCAGCTGAGACCTCTTTATTCGAATGGCAGAATTGCTATGGGGTAAAGAAATCCACCTCTGGTTACTCCTGTTTCTATTAGTAGGTGTATAAAATGTTCTACAATAATATATGACCCTTAAAAAAAATTAGAGTAAAAGTCTTTTCCCCTCCCCCGAAGGGAGTTGGTGGAGGATTCGAAAAATGGTTTTTGGTTTGCTGGATTGGTATCTGTAAAAGTGTTTCTTGCTAGAATGGAATGAGTACCTGTGTCCTTGGTGATGGGGCTTCCTGACATCTGCCACACCAAGCCACGTCTGAGGGCAGGGGTGGCATCCTGTGCTCACTTTGCAGGCATCTTTTCTGAGCCATGGCCATTGTGTCACTTAGAATTCAAACCACATTTTGAGCAGCCTATTTTTGATAGAATCTGACTTTCTATTGTGAATATTTAGAATTTTTTTTTTCTTTTTTGAGACAGAGTCTTGCTCTGTCGCCCAGGCTGGAGTGCAGTGGCGCAATCTCAGCTCACTGCAAGCTCCGCCTCCCAGGTTCACTCCATTCTCCTGCCTCAGCCTCCCGAGTAGCTGGGACTACAGGTGCCCGCCACCACGCCCAGCTAATTTTTTGTATTTTTAGTAGAGATGGAGTTTCACCGTGTTAGCCAGGATGGTCTCGATCTGACCTCATGATCTACCCGCCTCGGCCTCCCAAAGTGCTGGGATTACAGGCGTGAGCCACCGCACCTGGCCAGAAATATTTTTAAAAGTTCAAAAAAAAAAAAAAAAAAAAAAAAAACACCTTTATCTGGCTTTGGTAAATCGCAATTGTTTTTGTCCACTGTTGGGGAGTGAAACAGCCTGTGATGATTCTGATCTTGATATTATACAGAAACTAGTTCATCAACAGATGATCAGAATCTGCACTTGGTACTTCATTCAAAACAAGCCCTCTGTGTTTTACCTCATGCCCTTTTCAAGTAGGTCTCTTCATACAGTGAGTACAAATATTTCATGAGCTATAAATGTTTAATTTGGAAAATACTTGGCATCATTCTAGGTCTTTATTTCAGAAAACATCCTGGGATGGCACGGGTCCAAGTCACATTCCACAGAGCAGCTGAAAAATGGGACACTTGGCTCTTTGCCATCAGCCAGTGCCAACATAACCTGGGCAATTTTACCAAACTCTGCTGAAGACGAACAAACCTCACAGCCAGAGCCAGAGGTAAGCGTGCAGTCCTCTCAGTGCATTCATGGCTTGTGTTATCGCTTGTTCAGAAATATAGTAATTATATTTGTAACTTGCTCATCTCTTTGTTTTAAGAGGAGACAAATTAAAAAATGGAAGAATTGCCTGGAGAGACAAAATCAGCTATGTGCATGCCCGGCACTTCTCATGTTCTTGTGTCTGGCAGCTGCTGTGGGTGAATTGTGATCCTACGAATGAGGAATCTCCTATTTTCATTGAAATGGGAGTCACTTTAACTTCAAGTGGGAGAAATTCGAACAGACCCGTTAACATGGTGCCTATTGACATGATGGGAGCAGTTACAATATATTATGTCGCTCCCCTGAATAATGGCTTCTTCGTGTGGTTCCTGCTGATACAAGCTCTTGCCTCACATGCTCGACTCCTGCATGCTCCTGAGCCAGGCCGGGATCTGTGGGGCCATGGCCAACACTCCTCTTGGGCATTGAGCTGCAGCCCAGGTTCAGGCTGCCGAGGATATGCACTGCCTCGTCAGGAGAGCAGTCCTTGCAGATCCTGGTGATCAGCCAGGCTCCAACAGGCTTCATGGACTCTCTGTCATCTGCCCGCAGCCTGGCTCTCCTATTTCTGCCTCTAAGTGGCCGCTGGAGGGGAGCCAAATGCAGTGTTTCCTTTTGTCAATTTTATTTTGTGTCCTGAGTCCATTTTTGTTTTTCTTGTTCTTTTGATGCACATGATATAGTCTTGATATAGTCTCTTGAACTGGCGGAGGCCTCCTTTAACCATGCATTAGAGGTTGTTCTTAATTTCCATTGAAATCATTTTAGCCTGAAAATTGTAGAACACTTACAAAATCTATTTGATAAGGTTGAAAGCCCCAAGGCAGTGTCTTTGATCAAATGGTTTTGGTTATCAATGGAAATTTTTCTCCAAGCAGCATAGGATTATATTCTCGGACAGTGATGTAGTAGCATAACTCTTATAAAGTCAGATTAGCCTGCCTACAAATATTTCATCGGCATCTTTAAGGGGTGTTAGAAGGGTGTGAAGTGAATAGTGGCTGTGGATTTTTGAAAGGCATTTGCTCTGTATGTACAAGGAGTTTCAGGGTCAAGAAACTCATGCAGCTGATGTGTAAGTGAATCAGAAGGTAAGTTGGCAACCGTGTGAGTGGTAGAGAAGTGAGTTATTAGATCTTTAGTAATCATTTTTTAGATCCTTATTTCTAGCAGCATTCTTGGGCAAAACCTAACTGGGGCTATCACATAATCAACTTACTTATTATGGCTCATGCTATTTCTGACTTTGTAAATCCTCCTTAGTGTTTCTTCTCTGTTTTTCTGATAGGTGTTCCCTCTGACCCCCAAGGTTTGAGGCCAGGTCTGTTGTTTTTTACACAAAGTTGTTGCCCACTTTGCCTCACCAGTCAGTAGCATTGGCAAAAAAAATTAGCATACGATTATCTGTGAGAAATAACTAACTCCTGGCCGGGCGCAGTGGCTCACGCCTGTAATCCCAGCACATTGGTAGGCTGAGGCAGACGGATCACGAGGTCAGGAGTTTGAGACCAGCCTGACCAACATGGTGAAACCCCATCTCTACTAAAAATACAAAAATTAGCTGGGCGTGGTGGCACACGCCTGTAATCCCAGCTACTTGGGAGGCTGAGGCAGGAGAATCGCTTCAACCCAGGAGGCAGAGGCTGCAGTGAGCCAAGATCGCACCATTGCACTCCAGCCTGGGCAACAGAACGAGACACCATCTCAAGAAAAAAAAAAAAAAAGAAAGAAATAACTAATTCCCAAGTTCAACTTTAAAAAAATACATCCTGAAGAAGAAGAACTAGCCAGAGCTTTTTTCATTAAAGTAGAGACAGTCATTAATTTCTAGTTGTCATTTTTGCCCTTAATTGTTTTGTCAGAGCAAGTTAAGATTTTGTTTGATTCCATGTAGTAGGGAAAGTCTTATGGAGTAGAATGGTGTTTTGGTGTTTTGGTGGTTTTCTGAGAAGGGAGAGTTAGAATTCTTTGGCAAAGACTCCCCTCATTTTTTCTAGTGAGTGCTACGGCAGATGATTCTCAAAACCCAAACAGCTAGTAGAGCTTGGACACTATTTTTCTTCTTAGGCCATTGTGCTTTGCCACATTTTTTGTCTTAATAGTTAAAAAAACTAGCGACATCCACACAATAGTTTTTCTGTCAGAAAAAAAAATGTTGCTGTTGCCTCCTTTCTGTACATTGTGGAGGAATAACTTCTATATAGAATGAAGTGAAATTCCTAAAGGTTAAGAATGCCTTATGAGCAGGTCCTTAATGCTTTTGATCTAGAGGATATAGTTACTTATGTGAGTGATCATTGGGAAACTAACTTTCAGAATTGTGGTTATTATGGTCGTGTAACTAAATTAACTATTGTCTTCTGGTTTACCGTTTAGAACATGTTAGGTCTTTGGGGGGATAAGTGGGGTACCAAAGGTAGCTCCCCTCTGCTGGTTCTGGCTTCCCATAAAATAACCTACATCTGAAACAGTAACGCATTTTGAAGCTTAGTCTGTTTAATTCCCTGCAGAATAAAAGCTCAAAGAGCTGTACATATTTAATACGTGAGTTAGAAGAGAGCTGTGGTCGGCTCTGTTATAAAATGTAGTGATCTTAGAATTTTATTCTGCTGGGGCTAGAACTAACTAAATGTGAAAATGAAATATTCTTCTATAATGAAATGAGTTAGGATCTTGGTTTTACCTATTAGTAAAACAATTTTTTCAACAAAAAACACCATCTGAAATGTAAATCAAGATAGAAAAAGGTTTTCCGTGTGTCGCTTCATCATGTATGCCTTACTTTAGGACAAGAAGGATGGTGATTGGAGTAGAGACTGTGGACCAAGCTCTCTTGACTTTTTCTTTTTTTTTTTCCCCCTTTTTTTGGAGATTTTTTTTTTGCTCTGTGGCCAGGCTGGAGTACAGTGGCGTGATCGATCTCAGCTCACTGCAACCTCCGCCTCCCGGGTTCAAGCGATTCTCATGCCTCAGCCTCCTGAGTAGCTGGGATTACAGGCAGGCGCCATCACACTCAGCTAATTTTTGTATCTTTAGTAGAGACGGGGTTTCACCATGTTGGTCAGCATGATCTCGATCTCCTGACCTCGTGATCTGCCTGCCTTGACCTCCCAAAGTGTTGGGATTACAGGCGTGAGCCACCGTGCCCGGCCACTCTCTTAACTTTCTTTCCACTTTCTCGATTGGAGAGATTGGAAACAGCTACATGTCCCAGACTTTCTTACAGTTGGAGTTCTGAACACGTTACTGGGAGATGCATTTGTGTGAGATTTGGAGACCAAGTTCCTCCTGCTCGTGCTGCTGGCAGGCAGTGGCATGGAGGTTGGAGTGTTTAGAGGCAGTTGTGGTGTTGTGGTGGCCACACTTAGAGTTCCAGGCCTTAGTCCCACCTACCTGGGTGCGGGAATCTGTTGTGGCAAGAGCAGCAGCTTCCTGACCTCTGAATCACGGCCACCTACAATGTTGTGACCTTGAACTTAAAAGTCTAAGGTGCCGGCTGGGCGTGGTGGCTCATGCCGGTAATCCCAGCACTTTGGGTGGTTGAGGTGGGTGGATCATGAGGTCAGGAGTTTGAGACCAGCCTGACCAACATGGTAAAACCCCATCTCTATTAAAAATACAAAAATGAGCTGGGCGTGGTGGCGTGCGCCTGTAATCCCAGTTACAAAGAAGCTGAGGCAGGAGAATTGCTTGAACCTGGGAGGCAGAGGTTGCAGTGAGCCGAGATTGTGCCACTCCACTCCAGCCTGGGCGACAGAGTAAGACTCTGTCTCCTCCAAAAAAGAAAAGTCTAAGGGGCCCCTGATGTCTGCTCCTCCAGCCTTTTTAATAATTCTACAGGCACCTAATTCCCATATCAAATTCCTTTCTGACTGTAACACCTGGAGTGGTTTCTGTTTCTGCACCCACTGTGACTGGTTGGGCTCTTGGCACAGGAGGGAACAGGAGAGCCCAGGGCAATGAGATAAACCCATCCTGAATGACAGAGCTCACACGTGACCATGTACACTCACCTTCTAGAGGACATATCTGAGCAACAAAACCTTAACTGTTTTTTAAAAGTCAGGTTTATTGAGGCGTAATTCACAAACAATATAATTCACCATTTTAAAATGCAAGGTTCTCAGTTTTAACAAATCAAAGTAGTATCCCTAATCCAAATCTAATTCAAAATCTGAATTAGATCTGAATTAAATCTGAATCCCTAATTCAAAATCTAAAATGCTCCCAAATCCAAAACTTTTTAAAGGCCGACATGACACTCAAAGGAAATGCTCCTTGGAGTATTTTGGATTTCAGATTTTTGGATTTGGGATGCTCAACCGGTATAATGCAAAACTTCCAACTTCCAAAAAAATTCAAAATCCAAAACACTTTTTCTCCCAGGCATTTCAGGTGAGGGATACTCAACCTGTATAGAACAGTTCTATTGCCCCCAGATTCCCTCATGCCCCTTTATAATCAAATCTGTCCCCCAGCCCTTGGCAACCATTGATCTGTTATTTGTCCCTATAGTTTTGTCTTTCCCGGAATGTCATATATATATGGAATCATGCAGGAGGGCTTCTTTCACATAGCATAATGCATTTGAGATTCATCCATGTTATGTGAATCATTCTAAGGCATTCCTTTTGCATTCCTTTTGCATTGAATAGTATGTATGGGATCTACAGATTATCCGTTTACTAGTTGAAGAGCATTTGATAACTTTAAATTTCTCATATTTTTTATGGGTAAAATGGAAAGGGGGAGCAATGAAAAATAATGTTGTGTTAATTATTTGAGGGTAAATATCTGGTGCCAGATACCTACCCCTGGCCTTAGGACAATCAGGACTATCAGTCCCACCCCTGGAGACTAAGCAGAGGGTTTTTAAGCCTGTTCCTCAATAGCATACTGTCAACTCCTATCAACCCCTGTGTTGACTGTCTCAGTTAGCAGCTTTGCCTAGTTAGTCATCTGGATTACAGTGGCAACAATGCTATCAAGAGACCACATACCCTATACCACCACAAATCTAGCAGGCGTAGAAAAACTTATAATATCTTTATGTACTGAGTACTATATCAGCATATAAGTTAGCTAAATGGACTTTGGTTAAAAAATTGCATAATTGAATTTTCAAGTAAACATGTCCTAATCATCCTTTCCCAAAAGAAGAAAAATTGTTTTAAGAATAAGGGAAGGAGACTGATATAAAAGATTTAGCTGAGTTCTGCGTCAAGAATTTTCATGCTTTTGATTGAATGGTCATTATAGCACTGAACTTTTGAACTACTTAACAAGCCATAAAGCTGTCCATCTGAAATCCTCTGATGTTCAGCTTGAAGCCTGGCCAGTACAATCCCCTCAACACATTTTTATCATTTTTTTAAATTTTTCATCCCCATGATACATAAAGGTATAGGTAGATGTTGGTTGGGGATGTATCCGGTGTGGGATGGTGATAGATTTTTAGAGATGAACAAGGTTAATATGTTGTTTTGATCCTTTAAATAATTATTTTAAAGTTTCAATCTTATAAGTTTGTTTGAAACAGGTGGCACATATTTATTTGTGGTCAACAGTTTGAAGAGTGAGGTATAGCTATCACTGACTTATGATGATTGAAAATCACTTTATTGAATCCTGTGATAACCTCACAGAGTTTAACTCCAAATGGTTGCTGCATAGGAAATATCATTGATCAAGTTTAAAATTTGTTATAAGTAAATTTCGTGGGTGATAGGATTATCCTTCCCCACTCCATTCCTCATCTCTCATCATCAAACAGACTACATCTCCTTCCAAGAATCTGTAGAATAGACCTTTTTTTTTTTCCTTTGAATCATGACCTTTGATTCACTAAATCTTAGAATAGTCTTTAGGAGTCAAATGGCCATTCCTCAAACTCGAGTGGTTGTTTAACTTGCCAAGCATCACAGAACTTAGGTTGACGCAAAATTGATATGTGGACTTCCTTTCTCCCAAGCTAGTGCTCTTTCCTTCATACTACACTATCTCCTATATTGGATAGGATTCTTTCAGATGCAAATAACAGGAAACCCTACAATTAATAGCTCAAATAGTAATAAATTTAAGCCTGGGTATGGTGGCTTATACCTGTAGTCCCAGCATTTTAGGAGGTCAAAGCAGGAGGATCACTTGAGGCGAGGAGGTCAAGACCAACCTGGGCAAGATAGACCCTGTCTCTACAAAAAAATATAAAAATTAGCTGGGTACGTGCCGATGGTCCCAGCTACTTGGGAGGCTGAGGTGAGAGGATTCCTTGAGCCTGGGAGGTTGAAGCTGCAGTGGGCTGTGATCACACCACTGCATTTGAACCTTGGTGACAGAGTGAGATCCAGTCTCAGCAAATAATAATAATAATAATAATAATAAATTTTTGCACAAAAGAATTCTGGGAGTAGGTGGTTCCAGGTGTGGTGCAGCAACTCATGATGGCCTCAAAGATACAAGTTTCTTCCATTCCTCCTCCTGTTTATCCTTATGCTTGTCACTTCATTGTGGCAGCATCATAGCTGTAGTCCCAAATATTGCATCCTCATGACATATCCTTTAAAAGAAAGGATGGGAGCTCTTCTCAAGATACTTTCTGAGGTCAGGTGCGGTGGCTCACGCCTGTAATTCCAGCACTTTGGGTGGCCGAGGCAGGCGGATCATGAGGTCGGGAGATCGAGACCGTCCTGGCCAACATGGTGAAACCTGTTTCTACTAAAAATACAAAAATTAGCTGGGCATGGTGGTGGGTGCCTACAATCCCAGCTACTTGGGAGGCTGAGGAGGGGGAATCGCTTGAACCTGGGAGGCGGAGGTTGCAGTGAGCAGAGATCGTGCCACTGCACTCCAGCCTGTCAACAGAGCGAGACTCTGTCTCCACAAAATAAAATAAAAAAAAAAAATTAAAAAGACACTTTTTGTTTGGGAAGCGAAGCCCCTTAGTACACTCCCCCTGTTATCTCACAGCCAGAACTAGATCACATACCTACTCCAAGTCCTGTAACTGGTGGTGGGTCACTGGATTTTCATGAGTCACCCTCCCCGGCTGTGGAGTGTGCCTTACCTGAGATCAAAGGGATCTCAGATCCCAGAGAGACCAGAACTGGGCTTTTGTCAGCAAGAGAAAATACAGTATTGGCTTTTGGGTCATAATAGATTGTGTCTGCTATACCCCGATGTACCCCAAGCAGGTTTTCTTCATGTAGTGGTCATCTTCAGCCCCACAAGACTTTTCTGACCTGGCAGTTTCATCTCATAGACTTAATTCTTTGAGGGAAGACACCATGTGTGATTCTTCTCTGGAAACTCCAGAGTATTTAGGAAAGTACGATGCATGTAGCAGATACTCTTAAGTACGTAATGAATGAATGTGAACGATGAGGTTCATTGGTAGTATTCATGACTAAAGGGCATGCTTCCTTCTCGTTCTCATCTCTGTTCTGTGCTCTTCCCTGTGGCTTCCGGGAGTTCCAGTAGAAGTAAATTTAACCTGTTGAGTGACATATGACTTACATATGCTGCTGTGATGAAAGATTCATCCATGGTCAGCGTCCTGGAGCTCTCCAGGCAGAAGATGCTTCTATGAATTGGTTCATTCCTCATCTGTGGCCTTGATTGCTATCTAACAGGTGCTAAGTGGTTGTAGTTATACATGGAATTATTTTGTGTGAGGGTCTCTCATCATGGGATAGAATTCTTATTATAATCTTTTAGAAGAGCTGCTGAAGACATTCCATTTAGATCCTCACACTAAAGGAATGAACAATGATTTGATCATCCGGGTTTTTTCTTTTTCTCTTCTGGCTGTTGTTGGTCTGGGGGGAAAGTAGTTCATCCTTTAGGCAAATGTAGAAGATATGCCTTCTAGCTATCAGACCCTTAGGACTCACTAAAAATCAGAAAGAGCCATAATGTTGTTATGCTTAAAAATATACTGCTCCCTCAATTAGTTCGTTCTGTGTTCCAGTATAGTTAAACAGTGATGATTCATCTATGCAATTATTTTATTCACTCAACAGATATTGAGCTCTTATTATATAGTGGGCATTGAATGGAGCCCTTCCTTAGTTTAGCAGATTTTCATAACCCAGTTTATTAGCTCTGTACATGTTTCATAATAGTTATAATTATTCTGTATTCATGAGATTAGAAGCAAGAGAAATGTCTCTTAACCAAGTGACGTTTCCAAGGTTAGTACCCTAAGACTGTGTAGGTCCTGGTGCCGTGTGGCTGTGGGTTTACCTATGGCCTGCAGCAATTGAGATGACCATCTGTGAGATGACGTGGAATTTGAAGATGTGCTTCTATGGTTATCTCATAGGCTATACTGCCTCCTGTGGTTAAGAGCTCCTCCTGTCTGTCTTGCAAAACAGCATCTTTCTGCCCTCCTTCCTTCTCAATCTTAGCAACTCACAACGTAATCATCACACACAAACCTAAACCCTGCACACATTTTTTAAGAACTTGTTGGACTTGGTTTCTGGCAGCTTTCATGAGCTGTCTGAGTACAAGGCATGATAGTATATTTTTCTGTGCAGTTTTGGGGGATTAATTTCAGCTTATGCTCGTTTTTCAAGGATTTTTTTTCTTTCCTCCATTGCTTTTCTCCTCCTCTCTTCCTTTTTTGTGGGTGATAATAAGGTTTTGCTTCTTGGGTGGGTGTTGTTTTTATAAGAGAGGAGGTGAATATAGTGGAAGGTCCGAAATCATGCCTTTGCTATGGCCAGTAGGATATGTGCTGGGGCTTTTAATGGGTTTCGACACTGGACTGAGAGAGTCTTTGGGAGCGGCCTTAGGAGTGTTCACAGTATTGCCTTCCTTCTCTCCCCTCCCACCAGGCCTGTGTGGCTTTGTGATGTAAACACCCACCAGAGTGCTGGGGAGGTAGCCACCTTGGATTTGCCAACTGTGAGCTGGAGCCATATAAAAAAGCTCAGCACCGAGTGGTATAATCTCTCCTATCCTGCAGCAGTACTCAAAGAATTAAGCGCTTTGAAACTGGTGAATGAAAAGGGCTTAAAGCACTGCAGTGTTTAGTCTGAGTTTTCCCTCCTCCTTCCCCTTTTCTCTTTTCCGTTCATTTTTGTTGCCACAAAGGGAAAAAGTCAGATCTGAACCAGAGGTGAAGAGTTGAAGAGATTGTAGCGATGTGGTATGAAAAGTTTTAGTATTCTGTTGTTTGGGGTATTTAGTCTCACCCTCTAAACATGGCCCTAAATTTCACAGCTCCCTTGCTTCCTTCTCACTTGCCTAGTTCTATGAAATTATACCAGTATAAATGAGCTTTTCACCATCTGCCTGGCTTATATTTTTATTTTCCCACGATGAATGACTATTCTAAAAGTGATTTATTTTCTGGCCCTGATGATGCTCGCCTTCTAAAGATGGAAAGTCAACGCTCAGAGATTTATGATCTTGGAGAAAGAATGTTATGGAAGAAAAGAGTAAAATATTTCTCACATTTACTTTGGGCTTTGCCTGAGTTAATCGATGAGTTCTTGTATCCCTTTTGTAATTTGAATTGAGTTTTGTAGATGGCTTATGGCTCTATGCATTGCAGGGGCTTACTGTGTGCTAAATAATTGTAAATTTAAAATTTTTTTTGGTACTGATGATGGATGTGAGCAACTAGAGGGAAAGGGGTGTGTGTGTGTGTGTGTGTGTGTGTGTGTGTAAGAAACAGAGCAAGTGAGTAAGCCATAGAATTGTCTTTAAGTTCTGGCAGTGTTTTTCAGATCTTATGGATGTAGGACTCAAATGGCCATTCTGTAATACTTGAAAGTACTGTACCAGCAGCTGTTTGGCTATCCATCCTGTCCCCAGCCACCCCGGGACCATAGCCTTCCTCACCCCTAAAGATACTGGAGCAGCCCTGGCCAAGGCCGTGGACTCCATGAGGTGCCCAGTGGAGTTGGGTGTCATGCGGTGCTCTGTCACCACTGTCTTTTCTCTCTCTCAGATAACAGTGTGCTCCTGTCCCTCCCAATCTCCATCCTTTTCTCTGTCATTCACCATCCACAGCCAGCTAAGCCTGTGCTGGACAGTCCTCATGTCACATAAAGTT
The DNA here is from genome assembly GCF_000001405.40 of Homo sapiens. Lineage (NCBI taxonomy): Eukaryota > Metazoa > Chordata > Mammalia > Primates > Hominidae > Homo > Homo sapiens. Next base: position 31,723,149 of record NC_000003.12, on the reverse strand, counting down.
CTCTCTATTGGCTGTAGTGGTCCCATTAAATGACCACATTACTAATAAGTATAAGAAGAGTGGTGGACATACAGCCATGCGAAGGAGAAGGAAACTCTAACTTTTTTGGAAATGAAATTAAATGCAGTTGAGAACAGTGTATCAATCCTTAAAACCATGGGAGTGCTCTTTAGATTGCTCCAAATCTCCATTCACATTTTTCTTGATCATCTCATCAGAACTGCTTTTCTTTAAAAAAAATATAAGAAATGTATATAACTTTGTTAATAGTTATTTAAAAATTAATATTGTAAGAGTATCAAATCTTTATTTACAGCAAATGTATTTAGCCCACATTATGAGTTTAATATTGTAGGTTACCCTGGAAACCCCCAGGAATGACGGTTATTTTTTGATAAATGTGTTTCAGATTCCAAATATCTTCTTTTTCCTAGCTTATGTACTAAAATGCAGAGCCAGCTTGTAATTCTGACTTTAAATATATATATATAATGTAATTCAAGGAGAAAACTACTCCTTTGAAGGATGTGAACTTTTCTTATAGTAGATTGATGCTAATTCCATGTATTGAATTGAGAAAAGAAATGGAAGCAAGAGGGACTTACACTTATGTTTACCTGGCTTTTAAAAACCCCATTATGATGAATTTTTAGTGCTAAAACCTTTATTTAGAATGTAATATTATACAGAAATTCCCATAATGGGAAAATCCTTGCCCATTTTAGGTATTGATGTGCTAGATCAGTGGTTCTCAAGCAGATGACTCTTGTGCCCTGCAGACATGAGGGGCAGGTGCTCCTGATGGTCACTGACTAGGGCTTATGAGAAGCCTTTATAAACTTCAGTCTCCACCTCACAAAAGCCAGGTTTTTGTTTATATCATCTGAGAATACAGGTTCCTTGACGGAGCAATCAATTGGTTGGACATAAGGTACAAAATCATAATGAAAACAAGAGATTCTGTTTTTGATAATTTGGCTGTTAAGATGAGTTAAAAAAAATTTCTAAGTCTCAAGGGTATTTTGAGGGGGTGGCAGTTAAATTGTTGCGTTTCTAGGTTGGTGAGAATGAGGTGAATAAGCTTTTTTCTCCTCAGCATTTGGGTCTCTTTAAGCTGTTTCATGATATGGGGGATGGGGATTAACATGATGTCTCTCTGGAGCCCCAGCTGTGGAGTCTGACAAAGCACTTTGAACCCAAACTCTTTCAATGATTGCATGTAAGAATGTAAACATGTGAATCATTAATGGTTGTATAATGGTATGTCCTGATGAAAATGTTATAAACATTATGTGAGATCATATATCGCTAATGTCCAGCTCAATGCCTGGCACTCAATAGTAAGTCCTTATTAAAATTGTTCTTTGGCCGACCTAGCTTATCTTTATTTGTAGATATGAAGTATGTTGGGAAACACTTAAGAACGTGTGTTGTCATGCTATTCTAGGCTAAGTAAGATTCATTTCTCTTTTGTCTTCCAAAGGAGTAGTCTGGGTATAAATAATGACATCTGCCATTTATATAATGGAGCATGGTTTACAAAGGACCTCCACTAATAACTTATTCAAATATGGCTTCTCCACATAGAGCTAATTTAATAATTATCAGGGTAGCTCTGTTGCTGGTGTCTTGCCTGGGTTTTCTCTGAGGAAGTCCTGAAATCACCTGGTGCGGCCCCAGGTCAGTGAGCATCCACAGGTGGGAAGCCCAGGTAGCTGATTTGCACAGCACATCCCAGGTTTGTGCATCAGAGGAAGTCTGTGTATACAGAAATAAAGGAAATATAAGTAGGTCGCATTAGCTTCCTATTGCTGCTGTAACAAATTACCACAAATGTATTCTCTTGCAGTTCTGTTGGTTAGAAGTCTGACACAGGTCTCAGTGGGCTAAACTTAAAGTGTTAGCAGGGCTGTGTTGCTTTCTGAACGCTCTAGGGTAGAATCTGTTTCCTTGGCTTTCCCAGCTTCTAGAGGCTGCCTGCATTCCTTGGCTTGGGCCCATTGCTCCATCTTCAGAGCCAACAGCATTGACCCTGCTTCCGTAGTCCCATCTCCCTCTGACTTCCCTCTTCTGCTTCCCTCTTCCACTCTTAAGGGCCCTTGTGATTACACAGAGCTTACCCAGATAATCTAGGAAAATCTCCCTGTTTTAAGATCAGCTGATTAGCAAACTCAATTCCATTTGCAACCTTAATTTCCCTATTGCCATGTAACCTAACATATCAGGACTTGGACATCTTTGGGCCTTTTTTTTTTTTTTTTTTTTTTTGAGACAGAGTCTCGCTCTGTTGCCCAGGCTGGAGTGCAGTAGCGTGATCTTGGCTCCAGGTTCAAGTGATTATCATGCCTCAGCCTCCCCAATAGCTAGGATTACAGGCACCCACCACCACGCCCGGCTAATTTTTTGTACTTTGAGTAGAGATGGGGTGTTGCCATGTTGCCCAGGCTGGTCTCGAACTCCTGAGCTCAGACAGTCCTCCCACCTTGGCCTCCCAAAGTGCTAAGATTACAGGCATGAGCCACCACGCCTGGCCGTCTCTGGGCCATTTTCCCACCTACAGCAGCAGGGGAGTTGGCTGGCATTCACAGAATACATTACATAGAGCATGGAGATAAAACTAGGCTCAACCTCTGGCTGGTGGAAATTAAGCAAGTTGTTCTATTGCTCCTGTTGAGGAAAGCAGTCAGCTCAGCTGGACTCATTATTGGAAAAGAAATGCCTGGCTTTGCTTTTTATACACAGTGAAGCCTTTTCAAACTTGCTTTTCCCAGGCTGCCCCTGCCATTGCCCCTCCCTTCCTCCCTGTATCTCCCAAGAGCCTCAGAATTAAGCCGGACATGAAACTATGATGTCTCATTTTTTACAGTTTCTACAGTTCGTGCTTTGGCAGTAGTAGGAGGAGGGTTTTTAAAATTATTGTAAAACAGCATAATTATTGCATTAAAAAATACAGTAGAAACCTGTAGAAAGTCAGAAGTAAAAACCCTGTATTTCCTTTTGATGCCACCTCCTTAGAAGGAGCTACTGTGTGTCTTTTATGGGAAATTTGTTTTTACAGCAAACATATACATATAATATATAAAATATATATAATATATATATATGTTCTTTAACTTTTTTTATACCAGTGGAATCACAGTATGAGTAATGTTCTATGGCTTTTCAATTGTCAATTAGACAATATATCTTAGGTATCTTCCCTTGTCAGTACGTAGAGATTGTTTGCATTCTTTTGAACAGCTACAAAGCCATTCCAGTCTATGAATATATCATAATTTATGGAGTTATGTATTATATTTTATTTAACAAGGAATTTATTTAACTGGACCCTAGGAGTGGCATTTAGGTTGTCCAGTTTTTCATTATTATAAATTGTCCTCTACATATATTATGTACACTTACAGAAATATATCTTATATAGGGAAACTTTCCGGCAGTGGAATTTAAGGGAAATTCAGTTAACAAATGTGGGAATTTAAATTTTGATAAGTATTACTACATTGCCCTCCAAGATTAAGCCAAATGTATACTTTCTCAGCATTGTGTGAGGGTTGCTATTATCCTGTCTGTCACCATTAAGAAATGAATGTCAAGCTCTTATTTTATTTCCACTTTATTTTTAAGATTAATGGTATCTTGTTTTTAATTTCCTTTTTTATAATTATGTATGAAGTTAAGCATATTTTCACATATTTATTAGCCGTTTGTATTTCTTTTGTCTTTAACATCTTGTTCATAGTCTTTGCATATTTTTCAATTGGGTTACTGGACTTCCTAATTAATGTTTTCTAAGAATTCTTTTAATATACAAAGCCAGTGAATTTTTAATAATGTGGAGTAAGTATTTTTCCACCTTTTGGGTGCATTTTTTGAGGTAAGAAGCAGTAACAACAAACATGATTACGTCCCCACTGTAAAATTTTTTCTCATGAAGATCCCTTAGCTTGAATCGTTTTGAGAGTCAGATTCCCCTTACATCCTTTTATAATTTAGCATTAGTTTAAAATTCAGCTCCCGGATTTTATGTGTTGCTGTCCAGGAACACCCACTGGAATGAGCCAGCAGGTGATTCTACATGTGGGCTGTTTTGTAGGGATGAACAGCAGCTATGGGAATGTACACTAACTGATATATACATTTATCCTTCCTGGAAACATCATCTAGCAAGACTCTAGCAGTCCTCTTATTAAGAGAAATGCACCATGTGAAGAGGTAGTTTTCCTACCCTCACTTTCTTGCTGGTCTTGCTCCTTGCTTGAAAACAGATGTGAAAATATGTAGAGATGCATTCCATGGAGGTTCTGATTTGGACCTTCCGTCCCCATCCCGGGTCTGATGTTACTGGTTTTTAATGCAGTTTTATGCAGGATACTTGTCAAGTTGAAAAAAACAATTCGTTTGTTCCTTGAAAATGAAACACTTAATGACAGAAAAGTTTTTAAAAGAAATTCAAAGACATTGGATTAAGTGTAGCATGATAAAATATTCAGTTAAATATCAATTTCCAATAAAGTGTTACATACTCTCAGTTGTTCTGAAACTTTTGAAACTCATATGAAGGATGCGTTTCATGATCCTGTTTTATGAAAACGGGATGAAGATGTGTTCAGGAGTAGAGAATTCTGTCAAAATCTCTAAATTGACAAATTCTCTAAAGTGACAGAAAACCTAGCTTGGAAAGTCATCATGGTGTTATTTTATGCTACAGAAATGGAAATTCTGGGGCTGGGCATGGTGACTCATGCCTGTAATCCCAGCACTTTGGGAGGCTGAGGAAGACAGATCACGAGGTCAGGAGAGCGAGACCATCCTGGCTAACACAGTGAAACCCTGTCTCTACTAAAAATACAAAAAATTAGCTGGGTGTGGTGCCACGTACCTGTAGTCCCAGCTACTTGAGAGGCTGAGGCAGGAGAATCGCTTGAACCTGGGAGGCAGAGGTTGCAGTGAGCCGAGATCGCGCCACTGCACTCCAGCCTGGACAGCAGAGTGAGACTTTGTCTCAAAAGAAAAAAAAAAAAGAAGAAGAAGAAATGGAAATTCTGTGCAACAGAGTGATACAAACAAAAACTAGAATATTTAGTATTGAAAGGATTGTAGGTCCTACCTGAGCACAGTTGTATCTTAAAATTCACCTTCTTTTTGTGCTTAATATAAGAATCCCACCGTTCTGATTATTAACAGTGCTACTACATACCGTTTGCATTACCCCAGGATGATTACAGCTGTCTCACAAATTTCCCCTGGAAGTTTTCACTGAATGAAGCATTTGAGAGCAGGACAAAGCAGAGCATGATAATGTGACAGTTTTTAAAGCAGAGGACATAGTGAGCCTCATTTGGGGTTTATGGCAGCGGAATAATGTGAAAAAAATATGAATTGCTGCAATTACCCTCTTACATCCTGAGTATCATTTCACATTTGAGTAAAAGTACAGGGAAACCTTCTTTTAATATCCTGTGTCACTGTGGCTAGAAAAATGGACACACATAATGCAAATTAAAGAGAATAGAAAATGCCTGCTGTTTGGACCAAAAGGTATTGAGTGGGATTTAGAGATTGCAGCTTTATAATGGGGCATTATTGGTGCCTCCTCATTGTGGAATTAAGGGCTGTGGTAGTTTCGCTCTTGGTTTATTTCTTTTTTTTCTACAAAATGCTAGAGCCTGTTTTCTGCCAGATGCTTTCTTCTTGGTTTGTTAATATTTACAGAAATCAGGACGGAATAGGCGTATACCAGAGTTGTCTTTAAGAAAAATAAAAAGAATAAGACCTGAGCTTTGGGTTGTTTCTGATATTCCTAGCTCTTGATCTGCTTGTGGTACCAAATCACTGGTTTGAGAGTCAGAAGATAATGATCCAGAAACTACCTCTTGAAGCAAAATGGGGTGGACTTGCTTGATTTTATCCCTTAAAGACTGGGCTGCTACCCTGTATGTATTGACATGTGCCTGGCACATGGAAAGTCCTCAATAAATGTACCTTCTGCGTGGCCTGGAGAGAACATTATAACATTATCTGCCGAAGAGTTCTTAATGCATTTTGCTTTTTCCATTATTCATGATGCAGTCCCTTTTGGCCTGCAAAGAACAGTAAATGCCTCTTGCTTCTAATGACTTGTAAATCAAAACCGTTCTGTGGTTTGTGATGCTCCTGATTATTTCCTTTGTGTTATCGTACGCTTCAGAAATTTCCATTGGAGAGTGTTATTTGGGAATTTCTGGGTGAGAAGCATAAATGATTAAAGTGGACACATAAAATTCAAAGTTGGAGTTGAATGACTGCCTGGTGTGGCCACTGATGAAAATATAATCACCCTTATCCAATCAAAGGTGATAGCTTTCTGAATCTGTTTTGGGGTCATCAAATGAAATTTCTGGAACCTTGTCTAATGTTGAAGAATATAATTTTCTTCAACTTGTGCCTACACAAGTTTATGAGAAAAGTTGTCCATATGTCTGTGTTTGGATCCCCCTAGCATCTAGGCCAGAGCCGTCTCCTCACTGGCCGCCTAGGATTGGGTTTGGAGAATCTGAGGGGCTGGTAGCACACCACCTGTGCTGCTCCTCCCTGGGAGCCAGGCCCCTATCACACCTGCTACTTTTCTCTGCTGTTCCTCATAGCCCCCATGGCCGGGGATCATTAGAGCAGACCTTCTCAAATGTTAGAGTGCGCCCAAATCTCCTGGAGGGCCTCGGGGAGCAGGGAGGAGGAGCAAGGGAGTTGCTGTTCAGTGGGTATAGAGTTTGCTATACAGGATGAAAAAGTCCTAGAGATCTGTTGTACAATAATGTCATTATAGTTAATACTCCTGAACCATACACTTAAACAAAAAGTATGAAGTTGGATATAAAGTGATACATTTGTCAAAATTCATGGAACTGTACAATAAGATTTGTATATTGTACCAAGTATAAGTTATAACTATATTTCAATTAAAAGGATAAACAAACCCCAAACCAAACAAATACTGGTCTCTGCCCTGCCCCCAGAGTTTCTGTGTCTGTAGGTCTGGAGGGGGGCCCTAGACTTGTATTTCTATTCAGTTCACAGTGATTCTGCTGCTGCAGGTCCAGGGACCACAGTAGACCTAATTTAGAGCCTTTCCCGCTGCCACTCTGCATTCCCACAGTGCTTTACATGTTTTCTGCTGTCCCTGCCGTAGAGTTCAGGCCCGTAACTGCATAATTTGTGGGAAAAGCAAGGCAGTCTAGCAATTAGTGGCATCAAGTGTACAGTTCCGAAAGAATCACTGATGTGGTACCGTCGACTTTAGTCTCGTGTCTCTTTTTGAATAAGGCCATTTACCATCCGCAGATGAGAAGAAATCCATCACCCAGCACAAAGCATAAGTCAATAATGATTTCAACTGTGGATATAGAAAGCCAGACTTCTAGTCTCGGCATGGACCAGTGCTTATGACAGAAGCAAATCATCGGTAGTAGAATTCCTTTAAGTTTTTAGGCACAGAATCATTTTATTACTATTGGCCACCCCAACTACATTATTCCTTCATCAGTTTGTTTTTGAAATGGAGGTGTTTGTAAAATTGTTCTGTGGTGTTTCATCAGGAATTTTAGATTTTCAAAATAATCTCTTCCCACTGAACTTTCTATTACCAAGAAATTAAGGAAAGATAGACATGGCAGTAACGTTCGAGTGATCCCAGTAAAACTTACACATAGGATTTAGAGGAGGGAGGGATTGCTCCTGCCCAGATTGTTAGAGCCAGCATCATGGTGCCAATGCTGTTCTTACAGGTAGATAACAATTGGTGGAAGGAGTAGAAATTGATTGGGAGGCCATCAAAAGTTAGAGCACCACTCTCCAATCAAACTTGCTGCAATGATGAAAGTATTTTCTTTCTATGCTGTCCAATATGGTAGCCACTAGTCTGAATGTGGCTAGTGCCATCAAGGAACAGAATTTTAAATTGTGTTTAATTTTAATTATTTTAAATAGCTAAATGTGACTAACAGCTTCTGGATTAGATAGCACAAGTCTAGAGAGTAGGGTGAGAAGTGAGTATACTGTCCTCAGACTAGGCTAGAGGAAGTTTAGGAGGGGAGGGGAAGTATGGGTCAGATTGAGGAAAACCGAAGTACTGACTGAGTAGACATTTTCCTCTGGGCAGTGGGAAGCAACTGAAGACTTTTTTTTTTTTTTTTTTTTTTTGACACAGCCCTCAGGAGATCCTGAGAATATGTGCTTGATTGAAGACTTTTGAACAGAGCAGTGGGTGTCTGGGGAAGAACACTCTGGTGGTGTGGTACAAGACAGTGTTAAGAGGAGGCGTCTGGAGCAGAAGGATGAGCTGGGAGGCTGGCAGGGCCCTACATTTATGTGGTCAAAACCTAGGGTGTGGTAGCAGCAAAGATGAGGAAAGGAAGGGATGGTGGGCCAGGTGGCTCTCTAGATGGGAGGTGTCCGGGAACTTGCAGGTCTCAAGCCTGGGTGACTAGGAGGATGGTGCGCAAAACAGGAAAGGCAGGACGCGGCTGCTGGGTTCCTTTCTCGAGTGCACGCAGGGCTGAAAGGAGGGGAGCTGAGATGAGAACGGCCCTTTTCCCCACTGAATGCTGCCTGCCCATGTGTGTCGTCTTAGCTGTTTTCTATTTGCCCATCGTGTTTAGTAGAATAATTGAATCTGCAGACAGTTTTGACTAGTCCATTTTGCCTCTCACTCCACCCCGCTGCCTCTCGTGCTTTCTCTCTCTCTTCCTTACCTGCCTGCTGCCAGCTCCTTGCCTCCCCTCTGATTACTGCGCCCCCGCAATAACTCACTGTTTGATCTTCCACATACGGGAACTCGAAACCCAGCTACTGTCTGCCCAGCAAGGCTGCAGTGTCCAGGGTGACCCAGGCCATGTCCTGCACTGATTGTAATCCTCCTCTGCGCCTAACACAGAGCCTTACGTGTATACCGAGTAGAGGAGAAGGAAGGATGTCAAACATGTCACTACCACCCCCCAGTGCATGTTGGTCTCCCTCACGCTGGACTGTGGCAGGAGTCTTCCAAAACTGCTCTCAGTGCCCCATCCCCTCTGTGTGCAATCATATCGTTGCTTACTTAACCAACCATTCATCTCCTAGGGCCTGAGTTCTGTTACCCAGCCTCCTCAGAATCTTCAGCAGTTCCTCATTTCCATAGGGGAAAGCCAGCTGTTTATTTCCTTTACTTATGCAACGAATAAGTCAGTGTCAGATAGTATTTTTGTTGATAAAGCCACAGCGGCGAGCAAAACATTTTGGTCCTGCTTCCTGTGAGCTGACTTTCTGCAAGGGAGAGAGATGATAAATGCACATATAATATAGTTGAGAGTGATCAGTGCTGCAAGGAAAAGCAGAGCTGAGGAAGGAGCAAATGGTGGAGAGGGAGGAGAGGGAGTGGTGCTGGCCTAGACGGTCAAAGGTTGCTGTGGTAAGGGGACACTGGAGTTAAGATCTGAGTGAGGCTGGGTGCGGTGGCTCATGCCTGTAATCCCAGCACTTTGGGAGGATGAGGTGGGCGGATCACTTGAGGTCAGGAGTTCAAGACCAGCTCGGGCAACATGGCTAATCCCCATCTCTACTAAAAGTACAAAAATTAGCCTGGCATGGTGGTATGCACCTGTAATTCCAGCTACTTGGGAGGCTGAGGCAGGAGAATTGCTTAAGCCCGGGAGGGGAAGGTTGCAGTGAGCCAAGATCACACCGCTGCACTCCAGCCTGGGCAACAGAGTGAGACTCTGTCACAAAATAAAATATAAATAAATAAAATAAAATTAAAAAAAGATCTGAGTGAAGTGAGGGGGATATGGATGAAGAAGACCTATAAGAGCAGGTGCAAAGGCCCTGAGGTAAGCCTGTCCTTTGCGTGTTCCAAGAACAGAAGGTGGCTGGGAGGGGTGAGCAGAATGAACAAGGAGGGGAGCGTGATCAAGAGAAGAGTAGAGAAGTCGTGGGGGCAACATCGTGTAGGGCCTCACGGGCCACAGTCAGGACTTTGACATTTAGTCTGAGTCAAGAGGAGAGGGCTTTCAGCTTAGGAGTTATGTGATGAACTTTATGATTTAAGATGCCTTCTAGCTACTGTGAGGAGACTGACTGGGAAGCTGTTGCAGTAATTAGGAGAGAGAGGTGACGGTGGCTTTGCCAGAGTGGCTGAGGTTGTGAGAAACCATGAGATTCTAGATATAATTTGCAGAAGTTGCTGATGGATGTGATGTGGAACAGTGCGTAAGCAAGAAATTAAAGTCAAGGATGGTGCCAAGGCTTTTGGCCAAGTGATTAGAAAAACAAAGCTGTTATTTACTGAGATGAGGAGGATCATATTTTGGAGGTATGAATTGAAAGGTCTGTTTTAGACACAGTAAGTCTGAGATGGCCATTAGGTGATGTGTTTTCACTGCTGTAACAAATGATCATCGACTTATTGATTTAAAACAATGCTAATTTATCATCTCGTAGTTCTGCATAAGAAGTCAGACACAGGTTTCAGTGGGCTGAAATCAAGGTGTTGGCAGGGCTGCATTGCTTTCTGGAGGCCCTAGGAAAGAATTTGTTTCCTTGGCTTTTCCAGTTTCTAGAGGCTGCCCACATTCCTTGGCTTGCAGCCCCTTCCTCCATCTTCAGAGCCAGGAACGTTGCATCTATATTCCTCTTCCTGTCCACAGCGTGGAAAGATTCTCTAACTTTAGCGATTCATGTTTTTACATCAAGGCCACCTCAGCAATCCAGGTTAATCTCCTCATCTCAAGGTCCTTAACGTAATCACATGTGTAAAGCCCCCTTGTCACTTAAAGTGCCGTATACACAGGTTCCGGGAATTAGGATGTGGGCAGCTCAGGGGTCTGCTATCCTGCCCACCTCGGATAGCTAAGGGGGAGATGTTGAATAGGCCACTGGGTGCACAAAGCTAGAGTTCAGGGGAGAAGGCTGAACTTGAGATACACACTTAGGAAACATACATTTAGAAATTATTGAAAGCTGTTGGACCAGATGGGCTCTCCAAGGGAATGAGTCCTATTATAAGGCCAAAACCATGTGCTTGGCCTCAGCTGTACTTCCCTGCAGTAAGGTTCTCTTCATCCCTGGCTGGCATCATTTCTTCTGTTGGACTGTCCCCTCCTTCTCTTGGCTACTTTAAGTGCTCCTCTTTGGTGACACCCAGCCCAGAGTCTGCCTTCTCTGTGTGAGCCCCTCTGATCACCCTGGGCACGCCCTTCCTCCTGGCCTTTGCTATTTGATTTTGCATCATATATCCTTTCATTTATTTTTCTATTTTTGATGACAACATTATTGAGATATAATAGGCATGCCATACAATTTATCCATTTAAATTGTACCAACCATTTGGTGGATTTTAGTATATTTACAGGTGTATGTCACTGTCACCACAGTCAATTTTAGAACATTTTCATCACCTCAAAAACAAGCCCTGGACCCTTTAGCTGTCACCCCCATTCCACCCATCCTCGCAGCCTCTGGCAACCACTAATCTTTGTTGCCTGTCTTGGATGTCTCATAGAAGTGGAATCACAACACCTGGCCTTCTGTGACTGGCTGTCCTGTTAAATCTAGATTTTGTCCTTGCACACTCAAGTTTCCCATGCTTTCTTTTTGGTTTTATAAATTCATTCCTTTTAAGAACTTACTGTACATCTGTTATAAACCACCCTTTGTGTTGGAATTCTAGAAATGAAACCCTCAGTTAGCTAGGATTCCTCCATGAAAGAATTCCGATTAAGGTAAGCTGACAACCACATGGCCACTGCGTTCCCCTCCTGAGCCACTGGCTGATATTACTAATTGATCACAGCATTCTTTCTCCCCAGATTTGTATATGGCCTCTACGTCCACCTCCACCCATGGCCCTGAGTAGCCAGCCCCAAATAATCAATTTTCCTTTGCCAAAAGAGGGCTGACATTTCTGGTCCAGTTGGAAAGTAGGTGTGCACTTGCATAAATCCACTTTGCTAAGTGCCAGAATGGGCATGTCTGAAGCACCTAGGGACTCCTTGCTAGAATGGAGGCTCCACCTCTGTGAAACATGGTTGAACTAAGTCTCAAATCATGAGTTGAAACTTACAGTCTGAAACTTACTAGTCTCCAGGGGTAGGAGAAAGAAAGATCCATGTACTCCTTCTCAACCAGAACACCAGCCTGTTGAATGCTGAGACCATATCTTAAGCAAATTTCTATCTTCAGTATCTAATGTGGTGCTTTGTTACCTGTGGGCATTGGAGGTGGCTGAGGTGATTAACCCTTTCAGGCCTGGTGTCTGCTTACCATTAAACCTACCCTTATGCCTTTATGTCTAAACCCATTGCATTCCCTCTTATCAGAGCTCCAGGAAGGCTAGAATGGGGTCTTGAAGGAGTTTCTTCCCTACCTTTCCTAGGTCTGGAGAACTCAAGTAGCTGTGGATGGCAGGTTTGGATGGCAGGTGTGGATGGCTGCTGCTCCTGTCACCTCCAAACCACAGCTGGTCCTCTGGGGCTGGTTGCTGGGATACTATCTCTGATTCACTGCACTTGCTGCTTTGTGTTTGTCTTGCTTAGTTCACACATTTGCATGTGACCTTGATTGAGACATATTTGAAAGTTCTCTGAATCCTTTCCTAGTGTAGCTCCAGACCAGGGAAGTGATGCTTACCTCGTGGACAGGGCCCTGCAGCCCCAAAGCCCTCAGTGGGGAAGGCCTAGGAGAGGAGCTTGGGTGGTGTCAATCAGCTTTGAGAGGGAAGCTGTGGGGGGAGAAGGGGAGCAGCACAAGTAGGAAGATGCAGGAGTGTTAGCAGCAACCTCAAGTCAACATACCACTGTGTGCCCAGTACGAACGTCACAGGCCTCGTCAGAGCATGGCTGTTTACCAAGCACTTCTTGTGTGCCAGCCACTGTGTTCAGTGCTTTACACGCTTTGCCTTGTTGAGACCTAGAGCAGGCCTCTCAGATATGAGAGGTGGTACCATCTCCATTTTAGAGACAGGAAGGCTGAGCCTTACAGGTGGGGCATAGCGTCTTTAGGATTTATCTCCAGGACTATCTGCAGCCAGATCTCCAAGCTTTCCTTTTGTGCATCTCTGTCTCCTAAAGCTGTGGTGGTCTCTGATTTCATGGCCTCTTCCTTATCCTCACTATGACTTTTATCCCAAATACTCATGAGCTTCCTGTGATCGGTGCTGCCTGAAGACCTTGGCCCCACAATCATAAACAGCTTTGCTTTCAGGGTGTCTTTCAGAGCTCTTGGCTGTGTTATTAATTCAGCGCTGGATTTGGTTTTAAAGTGCTAGTGTCTTGCTCATTGAGATGCTGTAAAGCACCTGACACAGTGCTTGGCACCTAGGAGGCCCTCTCTGTCTTGTTGGGGCCCTGCCCTTTCCCTGCTTTTCCAGGCAGCAGGCTGATGCTAAGCTTGATTTGCAGCCTCTGGGATTCTGCACGCTGGCAGTTGGTATTCATACTGGCACGCTCCAAAAGCTCAGCTGCAAAATTGTTGCCTACCCCTTCATTTGCCGCTGCTTCTTCCCTTTTCTTTTTTGTACTTTCTTTAGGTTTTCCTTGCTATTTCTTGATTTCTTTTTTTCCCTTTCATTTAAAAATAGCAGGACTCTGGTTTCTAATCAGAAATGTAGAAATTAGACAAAGACATGCTGCTATTTCCTGTGAATGCTTCCCTCGAATGTTTTAAAGGAACGCCTGTTGAATCCTCTCAATATAATTGTTCCCAATTATCTTGGCTGATGACAAATGCCCCCACTCTCTCCCCTCCCCAGAAGTGACTTCCTTCTGCCTTCCAGGGTGTGTTTTATTTAAAACTAACCTTTCTGCAGGTCGGCCCCTTTGCTCAGGAAGAGCATCTGTCCTTCCAGTCTATAAGAGCCAAGTGTGGTAAATGTGTGTGTATGTGTGGTTAGAGCCAGCCAGCCAGCTCATCCCCTGGGAGGCGGCAGGAGGATTGTGATGTCAGTGACGACAAACTCAGCATCTCCGAAAGGCAGCTGGGACTAGCTTGCTGTGTGGACATGCGTGTACTTGGACCTGTCAAGGATAAGATCCAGCTTCTCCATCGGGTTCCCCTCACAGTGGCCTCGTTGTTGAATCTACCTCCAAATGGCAAGATAAGGTCCCCTAAATTCGCCGGTGGCCTTTGAGGCACAGTTGGTTGCCTGGCTTTGGAAGTGGCTCCATGTAGAGGATAGTACGTGTGCAGGAGCCTTCAACAGCCGCCCTGCAGCAGGGCCAAGGGGTACCAGCTATACCAGACACCAGCTGAAGGCATGTGTCCACAGCTTCTGTCTTCGGCATGACTTCTGACCAAAGTGGAACATCCACCCTTTCAGCTGAGATACCCTCTACCCAACAAAGATGGCCTACTTTTGGAGAATTAGACACAGCCACCAAAAAGACTCTTCCAGAGGAGAAATCTCACCTGTGCAGTGTGTGGGAAGGACAGTAGGTTCATCAGGATCAACCATTTGGCATTCATATGCCAAAACTTTCTATCTCTGTGTCCTCAGGGGAGATACTTTTTCCAAGCATGTAGTAGTGAATGCCTTGCACTTGGTAGTCATGTGATATGAGTTGCTTATTGGAAATGGGTACAAGAAGGCCAAGTGAAATTTCCTGGATTGCTGGCCGTCTTTATATACCCTGGGCTATGCTGATGTTATTGACATATATACAGAGTCGGACTGGATCTTCAGATGTGGCTATGTCAGTTTTCATGACCTTTGCCTGTTAGATGGGGCTTCTTAAGAAATGTCACTGATTGTGAAGATACACTGTGAGGATTATGTAATGATTGTGATAATTTGGTTAAATATGCTGTACATATTGGAATGAGAAAATGACTAGAGATAAAAGGGACTAAGTCCTTGGTTTTATGGATTCTGTACTGCAAACACTAACACTATTATTGTTAGAACTGAAGGTCGGGTGCAGTGGTTCATGCCTGTGATCCCAGCACTTTGGGAGGCCAAGATGGGAGGATCACTTGAGGGCCAGGAGTTTGAGACCAACTTTGGCAACATAGCAAGACCCTGTCTCTAATTTAATAAAAAATTTAAAAATTTTAACTGAAGACCTGAAAAATGGATTCAGTAATTGGTTGTTGGGCACTTGCTCCTCATAGACACTGAGACCCCTTTGTTTCTCTTCTGTAAAATCACTGTGTTTCTTGATTTATCCCCTTTGTCTTCTACTTGCCTACTCTTCCAATCTCTCCAGTCCCTAGCCTCTATCTATGTCTCAACTCCACACTCTTTATTTTTCTAGAACCTCTCATTTGTTGGGAAACCAGCCTCTGTTGACTCTTTTCCCCTAGAAAACATAAGTACACTTGCCCTGGTGGCCATTAGTGCATGTTATTGCCTGTTCTGTGTAGTTATGGAATTGAGAAATAATTTGTCTATGAGGGGACATCATTCCCTGGTTACTTCTTTGCCATGCTGCTGTGTACCTGACAGTTCTCTTTTCTGAGGATATCTGAGCATGGTGCTTTGGGTCTTCTCACCTACTGCCTGCATTTCTGTGACCCTCAGACTACCCATTTTTTTTGACATGGCTAGATTTCCCCAAAAAGATCATATCTAGATGTGTATGGTCTTGTCACTCAGTGCCAAGGTTTTTTGGTATGGCTCAGTTCACCCCAGTGCCTCCTTGCCAAGTTAACAGTGTGTGGGGAAAGTTGCCAGGCTTTAAAAATGATTGAACTGCAATATGCTTGCTGCTAAAAGAGAATTTGATGTTCATTCTCTAGCTGGCTTTATTGTCTGTCCTTGCCATATAGGTTTTCAGGAAAGTTGCAGGTCACTTGAGTTCAGTGGGTGCTGTTTTTCTGTTGAGATATTGTCTGTTTATTGGATACTTATTTACTTGGGCATAAGATGGCTTTAGGAGGTCGTCTTAATCCGTGCTAGAGTAGACCCTCTTGCCCCTGCATGTCTGTGATTCCTGGTTTGGCACAGAAAAGCTCCCTGTCCAAAGGCAAAATGCATCTTTAATGGTTAGGTAATGGAACCACGCAGGCTTCTGCCATGATATCTCAAATCTAACCAGTGAGGATTCAGTCCTCTGAATTAAGATATTAGGTTATAAGGCCATGTACAAATAAAGGAGATGTTAGTAGATCAAACTGCTTGTGTTGACCCCAGCTACCTGAAGGCCAGGTCTAGGTTAAGAGAGAAGGCAGTTCACTAAAGCAGGAAGGGTGGGGTGGGGTGGGAGTCATCTGTCTGAGGAGGGGAAAGCAGGAGTGAAGTGCCAGGAAAGAGAGTACCTTTGGGGACATGGGTGGAGTGAACGAAGCCTGTGACAGGGAAATGAGTGGACTCTGCAGACAAATGTCTATTTCATGCTTTTTCCTGGGAGGGACACAAACTGTAGTTACATTACATATATGTATTGAATAAAAAGATTGGCATTTCAGTCATGCTTGAAATCTGCATTTGTATTGAAGAATTAAGATATTTGTTTAAGAGATGAAAGCAAAGCTAAATGTTTCTCCCACATTGATGTTCCCATTGAGAAGACTGTTGGACCCACACAAACCTAACACACGTCACAGTTTTGCCTCCTGGCTTTGGCCTCGGTGGCATAGCCCCATATATCTCCTTCTCCTTACTAGATAAGAAGCAGAGGCCCATGGTTAAGGGCAGAGTCACATCTGTAGATGCTGTGACTGTCTTGGATTGGACCATTCCCAGCCCAAGACCCCATCTCTCACATGGTCTCAGCCTTTGGTCCTCAAGAGGCTGGAGGTCAGCGAAGGGGCAGAGACCCTTCTAAGAATCCAAGGGGAGCTATGGACCCCCTCTTCAGAAAAATGCCCAGACTTACAATTTTTGCATAAAATTTCAAGGATGGGGGTGGATATCTTAAGGGCTGTCCATGTGACCCAGGCCAAGAACCCTTGCTCCGGGCACAGGTCACTGTGGGTCACCAGGGAATGTCCCTAAACCCCAGCCTGCCCGTGAAGCTTTTTCCTGCCCATTGATTTTTCGCTTATCGTTCTCCCCATTTGCTAATAGGCACAGTTGCTTGATTTTTGTAGCACCATATGCCCTGAGGTGCTTGTGTGGTAGAAATATTGTCGTAATTTCTGTTTTTATTAAAATCCTCATTTTTCCAAAGCCTGCTTCTCTTTAAAACATATTTTAATTCCATTTTATCTTCAAGTTTGCATACATTTTTGTGGCTGGGCTGGCTCATTTGCAAAAATCTCTGGGGGATGGGGGATCTGAAGATTCTTCTGCTTAAGTCTTATAAATTCTCTCAGCAGTATGAAACCGTTTCTCACATTCATATTTTTCAGAGATGGGGGAACACTGTTCTGCCATTTTTGATGACCTTGAGAGAGTTGTTACTGTTTTATAAGTGAAAATTCGCAGAGATTCAGAGAGGGGAGGCGTGCAGGGGCTCCCAGGAGACAAGTAGGACTTTGTGAGAGAAGGGGAGTGTGGATGTGGATAAGCACGGGGACCTGATTATGGAAAACAGCACTTAGAAAGGATGATAATTATCCATCTCTTTGAATTCCACATCAGAGTAGCGGAATCAACAAACCCTTGACCCTGAAAGGGAAGGAGGTTTTGTGTCTTTAAAACTCCATCAAGACCTGCTTCTTCAAACCCTCCATTCCTTGCAGTGCCTGTCTATGTGGGTGCTTTGTGGTTGCCAGTAGATTGGTATTTACATTGCCATGGACCTCTTTCAGACAGAGTTGACCTGCTGACTACTGCTGCCTTTCCATCTATGTACCCCCAAGTTGGACCGCGATGGGGGTGGGGGGGGGGGTCTTCTCTTTGTGCAGATGGACTGAGCTGCAGTGTGGGTGGATTGAAAGTGTCCTCTAAGATGTTTACTGTCAACATGGTGTATGAAACCAGCTTAACTCTGATATTTACTTGAGGCTGGGTAGGAGAATTGTTTACAAATCACATTGGGAGAGAAAGGGCAAGTTCTCAGAGGCTGTGGGAGAGAAAACAGTCCTAGGTCCTTGTTTAAGGTTAGGGCATGGCTTGCTCAGGATTTGTGCCACCAAGGGGCAGTGTGCCAGGCTCCCATGGCCGTCCTTCTGTGGGCGGGACTTCAGGGCCACCAGTCATCCCGGATGACTCAGCTTCTGGGGCACCTGCACCAGCCTTAATTTCCTCTGCTGGAGCCACTGTCTTTGAGAGGAATTGTCAGACACAGAGGGCATGTGCTGTTGATTTACAGTGGGAAAGGATGGAGGGGTTTGTTTTCACATTTATGTGTGTACTCCGTATCATGCGGCTGGATCTTGTGGAAGACTTTCTGGCTACTAGAAGTCAGGGACAAGCTGGGTCTAATTTTCGAGTAAGGCAGACAGCTGGAGGAGGTGTGGTCCCCGAAGGTCTATAAACACATCACAGTGAGTGTAGCAGTGAGTGGGAAAGATGAGGATTTCCCCTGCAATGGCTTGTGAGCAAATAGGAAATCACAGCTTTAGAAGAATGAATCATTCTTTGCTTCATGAAGCTTATGGCAGCCTCAGTGGAGCAATTGATTTAGTATGCAGTCCATTCTTGGTGAGAACAGCTAATTTCAAGCAGAAAATAATTGCCCGCAAAATGGAGCTACTTCTCCTGTTGAGATGTTTAAGGACTTTGCAGCCCACTCCACCTGTTGGGTACACCATGGTGGTTGGATTTCACTTGGTTTTGATTGTCCTTTTTCTTCCCAAAGCAGAATGCCCAGGCACTACCCTCTCCTCCCCCAGCTGGTGCTGGCATGAGAGGAATTCTGCTAATACAGATTACTGCCCACCGGGTCACTGCAGAGGAAGTTGCAGCTATAGCACCTTTGCCATTGGGAGGGATTTGTGTCTGAGCTCTCTGACTTCCGTAGCGTAGACTGGAAATGGAAGCTCACAGGGAGCTGAGACAGCCACCCACTTTCAAACTGACCTGAAATCCAGAAGAGGCAAAAGGGAGGAGAGCCAGGAGGACAGGCCAGTAGAAGGGAGGCCCTGCTAATCTCAGCATTAGCCATTCAGACTCATGGCAGCGGTGGCCTTGGCACCAGGAGCAGTCACGCAGCAGCACGGGGTGTCATGAGGTGGAGCTGGAGGAGACCCCCAGGGCCACTGGCTGTAAGTGCTGGGCTCCTGTGTGCTTCTACCCCTAACTTCCCAGTGTAGAATCAGGGTAGCTCACAGCTCAGAGACTTCCCTCTCTGGCTCTTCCTCTCAGGGTTAGCATAGGTAAGGATTCCTCAATTATTTCAGCATAATCTAGCAAAGCAACTTGCCAATGACGTCAGATAATACCCATTATGAGGTGGCTAGAGAACTGGGCACATAATAAAAGAAAACTCAGCTTTTGGCTGGGGGAATATCCTGTGGGCTTCACTGAGATCTTCCCAACCATCTCTTTAGAATTGGGGTTATTTAGAGCTGATTGAGAACACCTTAGGAGTATGTCTGTGGAAAACGTCTATTTACGTTGAAGTTTTAAAAATGCCTACCCCAGGAGGGAAGGAACACCGTTATTACCTCTCTTTGGAATGTTGGAAAGGAATGGTCCGTGTGGGTATGTAAGGCCAGACAATTTTAAACACCTTGACCACTAAAATAACCTTTGTATGTTAGAAGTGCCTGTAGATATAAGATGATTCTGTCTAATGAGGTTAGTAAATTGTTCGTTTTTTGCATGGACATTTGGACAAGTCTGTATCCTTTCATGTTTAACATCTTTGAGCTTCTGAATTTCTGTATATTATGTCTGACCTGTTATTGATAATTGGAAAGAAATGTATAATGTTCTGTGCAGAGTGCTTTTGCTTATATGTAAGCAAGCATCATAAGAACATAGGTAAATGTGGAGTGTGGAATGTGGATACTTCTTTCAATAGAATTCTGAGGGCAAGTTAACCTTGTAACCAGAGTCCTTAATACTTGGATACTGGAAAATTTTATGTGCAATAATCCCCTTGCCCAGTTTATTAAGTTGCCTGTTTTCTATGTAATGTGAAAAATTGGAATTGAGTGATTGAATTAATAAACTTGCATCGAGGAAAGCAGGGTATGTTGGCCAGTGTGAATCCCAGTAGTATCATAAAGTTTCAGTTTTGCCTTAAATTTTCATTTGTTGTCTTCCTCCCTAAATTAATGCCAATTCTCAGCATTTTCTTATACCTGCTAGAGTGATCCTAATTGATTTGGGTAGAAATAGTCTTAGAGCACGTTTTTCCATAAATAATTTTAGTCCCTGGATAATCCAACTTTTACTTATAAACAGAAAAATTTATATTAGATATGAAGTGGCCTGGATTGTGCAAGTTAACAGGAGTCTAACTTTGGTAAACTCCTACTTGCTAATAGGCAAAATGAAGGGGGCTCATACCCATATACTATAGTTAGTTTCTTAAAGAACAGGGAGCTGTTTTGTCAGGGGAAGTCCTTACACTCACTAATCAGGGATGACGGGAGAGATGAAAGGGGATATGCAGTGTCCAAGGCACAGGTCCGACCCCCAGGGGACTTGTCTGCCCCGTGGCCAATAGGACTGGGTCACAGAGGAGCTCTGCCCGGGACAGGATTGGGTTTCTTCTGTCATTGCAAAGCATGTGAATTCATACACTTTATTTCTAACTTCTATTGGGCCAGCTGGTGATTTTTATTGATTATTTCATTTTAGCCAAACTCAGGCTCTGAATTGGTTTTGTCTGAAGATGAAAAAAGTGACAATGAAGATAAGGAAGAGACGGAATTGGGCGTCATGGAGGATCAGCGTAGTATAATTCTTCATCTCATTTCACAACTCAAACTTGGAATGGATTTGACCAAGGTAGGTTGGCATGTCCCCTGGATTTGTGGTCAGTTGTTGGGGTTCTGTCTCTATCCTCAAGCCTTCTCTATGCACATTCTTTTCGTTGTGGTGAGATTGGAGAAGAAGAGTGGGGAAAAAGGCCAGCATTGCTTTCAAGTATGGATATTCCAGGTATAATTTGAAAGGACATTTGTACATAAATGGTTATCCTCAGGGCTGGACAGCCCTGCATTTGATCTTGGGAGGAGTTGTTGCTACTCTACAAGGGCAGGGAGAACATCAGAAAAAGCATATGAGATGGTATGGAAAATTCAAGGTACTATTTCTTTGTTTCTTGCTATGTTCTAGAGATAACTGTAGGTGGCCTATAGAGATGGCTATGCACAGTGGCCATAGAGGGAAAAGATGGGGAAGGGAAATGGTGGCACCAGGAATGACGCCACTCTACACGCCCAACCTCACGACCTTCTGAGGGCTGTCCTTAGCTGTAACAGCTGGTCCCCAAGGGTAACCTTGTTGCTGATCCAAATCTCATTGCCATAGGTAGAAGTGGAACCAACTCTTCTTGGTGCTGAGTGCAGGCAGGATGCTTCCTGAGGAACCTCACCAACAGAACCAGTGTCCTGACCACTAACGTCATGGAGAGGGTCCCACATACGTCACCCCTCACCTCTAGTCAGTAGCTTCATTCTAGAGGCAAGCAGGAAAGGCAATTTTGTACGTAGCTGAAAGCTTGTGTGGTGTCACTGGGGCCATTGTCAGGTGGTAGAAAGAGCCTGGAGTTCAGCCTTCCTGGGCTCCACTCCCAGCCAGTTACTCCAGTTGGGAGCCTTCCTGGCACGGTGGTGTGAGAATCGCATGAGGCGTGCGGAGGACCTAACCCAGTGCTGAGCTCCTAGCAAGTGCGTCACCATCTTATCCTTACGAAATGCTATGTTATGTGGTTCGACTGTGGTAGGGTAGAGAAGCAGCTGTTACACAGACAGACAGACATGATCTGCGGGGAGGGTGTGCTGGGGAAGGAAGTTCTAGATTCTGAAGGCCAGCTAGAAAAATATGGATGTCAGAGCCACTGAAGGCACAGCCTGGGGAACAGCCCTAAGGGCAGTTGGCTTGGTTGGCCACAGTGGAGGCTCTGGATTCCACAATCTCATCTCGGACTAGGCAGGGGGCAAGAGAAGAGAGAGGGAAGCGGCAGTAGTGTGAGGAATTCTTTGAGGAGGAAGATGACAGAACAGAGTGACTAACCATTTATAGAAGACAGGAGAGAGACTGAGGAGATAGGAGCCTCTCAGATGACAGACAAATCTTTTCTTTGAAGTGTTTTCATGGGTTTGAATGTGAGCGTGTCTGATATTCTGGGAGACTGCACCACTTTAAACAAAACAGTGGGCCCACACTGAGGACGCCAGACATAGAAAGTTCCTTCTTCACCATCCTCCACCCTCTGTGTGGCTGCTTCTGTTTTGCACACCAAGCTATG
Source organism: Homo sapiens (assembly GCF_000001405.40). NCBI lineage: Eukaryota > Metazoa > Chordata > Mammalia > Primates > Hominidae > Homo > Homo sapiens. The sequence goes on along the minus strand of NC_000003.12, from coordinate 31,700,893 downwards.
ACGACTTGTTCTCCATGCTGCTGCCTTCCCTTCATCTCAGTCCCCTAGCTGGATAATGCTTATTGTTTTTTCAGCTACAGGAGTCATTTAAGTGCTTGGCTTTTAAAAGATGCCCATGTTTTATTCTTGTGGATTGTGTAGACACCCAGACAGAGCTTGAGTTGAAGTTTGATGAAGTGTGGATGATAACGTGTACAAGTACAATCTAAAATCACAGTGTTTCCAAACTGGGTCATGAACCATTAGTGAGTTGTGAAACCAATTTAGTGGAGGTCAGGCCACCATTTCTAAAGAATGAAATAAAATACAGAAGAAAATATCAGAGCATTCTGCACATGAAACCTAGTTCTTTTGATACATGTGTACTGGGTAACGATGTAGGATATATTCTCATTGTGGATTTTTTTTTAATGTTTATAAAACTCAGAATCATGAATGATGGAGGAAAGAGATTGTAAGAGAAATTGAAATTGCCAAGGTCAGATATGGAGAAGCAAGAAAATATTGAGGGGACTATATTATGGCAAGCTGAGTGTCTGAGCGACTTCACGTTATTCCTGTCTTGCTCTAAAATAAAGAAATATCACAACTGTGCATTTCATATTTATTATTGTTTTATTAGAATATGATTGTTTTGCATTTCCAGAGCCACAGCCTCTTCTTGAAAGAGCAGACATTGCATTTCTCCCAATACTCAGTTGAGTACCTGAAAGAATAACGTTTCCTGTCTATAGTTTATTAACTTACTTTACTTGGAAGACTCTGTCATTCAAAAACCAAAGGAAGACTTGACAAGCTGAAATACTTGTGAGGGAAAGAGGTAGAACTGTTACTATCCCATGAGATTTCTTGGCTTCTGTTGCCCTGTATTATAAAAAGGTTGATGAAATTTCCTCTCTCCGTACTGTCCCCTTTTCTCTTCTTGGCAGTTGTCCATGTCATTAAATTAAGCCTGTACTAAATAAGCAATGGAAGAACTTAGCCAGAATGGAGTATCTGATGAGCAGGCACCCTGGAGAGAAAATCTTCTTCACCTCAAGGATGAAGGTCTAGTCCCTCTCCAAAAACAAGTACACTTCCGTGTCCCTGAGGATGTGCCAGTGTTGACACATTTGTGAGTCATTACCAGCCCAACTGGGCACATAGTGCTGTATCTTGCGATGGTTCACTGTGGTTACCAGACAGGGCCAGGTTCGTGGATGTTTGACCTGTGAGGTTGCTCAGCACCCCATGCTCAGAAGGGCTCCATGCTTGGTTTAATGCCCTGCTATCACTGTCTTGAAATTCTTAATAATTTTCCAACAAGGGGACTTGTGTTTTCACTTTCCACTGTGCCCCACACAGCATGTAGCTGGTCCTGCCTCTAGAAGCACCCTTGTCTGCCCTCTTTCCTCAGGGTGGCACCATAACCCCAAGTTACTGGTGACTACCTCCACTGGAATAACCCACTGTATTTCCACAAATTGTGGGTAGCCTAGAAAAGAAGAGAGGATGGAGGAACCACAGTGAGGTGGAGGGTCACCGAAGGTCTGGCGTGTTGTGCATGCTGGTGAGTGGCTCCATTGAACCTGGAGTGGACGTTAGGATCAGGTCCTGCAGAGCCTATGGGCCATGTGAAGGGGACAAACTTGATCCTGAGGGCTATGGGAAGCCTTGGAAAGTTTGAGCAAATGAGTAACATCATGTGGTATTCAGGAGATCCTGACATGACTGTTGTGCCAAGTTCCAAGCTCCAAGGAGAAGGGCCCACAAAATGCAATATTGAGCTTGCAGGTGTAGGACCATTTTTACCTAGTTTTCAGGGATATGAAAAGCAACAATTTGTAACGTGTTCACTCATGTAACATGTATTTGTTGAGCACTGCACATGCCAGATACTGTTTTAGACACTGGGATTGCAGCAGAACATTGAGAATCCATGCCCTGATGGGGCCTGAGTGATGATGGAAGGAAACAGACAAGAAACAAGTGAGAGAGAGGGAAGGAGGGAGGGAAAAGAAAAGGAGATGGAGATGAAGTATAATGAAGAGAAATAGAGCATATCAGGGAGGGTAGCTAGTGGTGGGACGGGGGTCCCTCTTAGGTAAACTGGTCAGGGTAGGATTCTACTAGGTAACATTCTAGTGGAGACCAGATTTAAATGAGGGAGCCAGCCATGTGAGCATCTACGGAAGAGTGTTCTGGCCGGAGGGGATGGGGGTGAAAAAGGCCCAAGATGGACCTTGTTTGGCATTTGGGCATGAGGCCAATGTGGTTGGATCAGAGTGAATTGAGTGGGATTGGCAGGAGAGTAAGTTGGTGAGACAGCAGGTTATAGGGCCGTTTAGGATATTGTGAGGGCTCAGGATGTTGTTTTGAGTGATATGGTGGCCATTGGAGGGTTTTGAGCAAGGGAATATGTGGCCTTACTTGTATTTTTGTTTTATTTTTATTTTATATTTTTGAGATGGAGTCTCGCTCTATCACCCAGGCTGGAGTACAATGGTGCCATCTTGGCTTACTGCAACCTCCACCTCCTGGGTTCAAGTGATTCTCCTGCCTCAGCCTCCCAAATAGCTGCGATCACAGGTGCGTGTCACCATGCCCAGCTAATTTTTTGTATTTTAAGTAGAGATGGGGTTTCACCATGTTGCCCAGGCTGGTCTCAAACTCCTGACCTCAAGTGATCCACCTGCCTTGGCCTCCCAAAGTGCTGGTATTACAGACGTGAGCCACCATACCTGCTTAGTTGTATTTTTAAAGGGTAATTTTGACTCTGCTGTGAAAAATAGACTGAGGTGGGGTGACTAGGGTGTGAACAGCAGGGGTCAGGGTAGAAGAGAGAAGGAAGCTGGCCAGGCACCGTGGCTCACGCCTGTAATCCCAGTACTTTGGGAGGCCGAGGTGGGTGGATTACAAGGTTAGGAGTTCGAGACCAGCCTGGCCAACATAGTGAAACCCTGTCTCTACTAAAAATACAAAAAATTAGCTGGGCGTGGTGGTGGGTGCCTGTAATCCCAGCTACTTGGGAGGCTGAGGCAGGAGAATCGCTTGAACTCGGGAGGCGGAGGTTGCAGTGAGCTGAGATCACTCCATTGCACTCCAGCCTGGGTGACAGTGCAAGACTCCATCTCAAAAAAAAAAAGAGGAGGAAGCTACTGTAATAACCTAGGTGAGGTGCTGGTGGCACAGTGCTAGTGGCTGATTCTGGATGTGCATCGAAGATACTGCCAACAGGATTTGCATATGATGTGCAGTATGAGAGAGAGGAATAAAAGATGACTGTAAAGTTTTGGCCTGAACAGCTAGAATAATTATTATTATTAATTGCTATTCGTTTTATTGTTTTTTATTTTTTGTTTTATTGTGTTTTTAAATTTTGTTTTATTCTTTTATTTCTGGCCTGAACAGCTAGAATAATAATTACTAATTGCCATTTGTTTTATTGTTTTATTATTAATTGCCATTTATTATTAGTTGCCATTTGTTTCAATTGTCTATTGCTGGTAACTAACCCCCCCCCAATTTTTTTTATTCATGGTTATGCAATCTGGAATGGGCTTAGCGGGGCAGCTCTTCTGCTGGTCTTGCCTGTTGTTCACTGGTGAGTTGGACTTGGCTGGAACAGCTGGGCTCTTCTTTCTTCATGAAGTCTTAGGACCTTTCCCTCTCCGTGTGTTCTTCCCACATGGTTTCTCCAACTGGGTCGCCCGACTTCTTAAATGGCAGCTCAAGGCTTCTAAGGGGGCAAAAGTGGAAGCCGGTAAGCCTTCCTAAGACTTAGGCCCCAAACTGGCACAAGATCACTTCTATTTTATTGATTAAAGTAAGTCACAGATTCAGGCCAGATTGAAGGAGGATTATGCAAGAGTGTAAATTCCAGGAGGTGTGGTTCATTGGAAGTCATCAGTGTAACAGATTACCACTCCATTTTATGGAGGAGGAGGAGACTAGGGAAGAACACGTTGGAGATGTTGGGGCTATCACAAATCCAGTCTTGGATCTGATTAGGTCTGAGATATCCATCCACTAGGCATTCAAGAGGACATGTAGGCATTTGGATATATACAAATCTGGAGTTCATGAGTGAGGCTCAGGTACAAGTTTGAGAGGAAACAATGTATAGATGGTGGTCAAAGCCGTGAGGCTGGATGAGTTTCTCTAGAGAGTGAGTAGAGACATGGGGAAAAATATCCAATTACAGGGTTCTGGGATATTCCAACATGGAGGGGTCAGGGAGATGGGAAGAATCTAGCAAAGGAGATGAAGAAGGTTCAGCCAGTGAAGTAAGATAGAAGTCAGAGGAGTGTGATGTTGTGGAAGCCACGTGAAGAGAGAGTATCAAGAAGAAAGAATTGATCAACTGTGTTGAATTGCTGCTGATGGGTCAAGAAAGCTGGGGCCTGCAAATGGACCATTGTATTTGGCTTTGCCAAAGTCTGATGGGAGTGCATTCAAGGGAGAATGGGAAAAAATGTGGTATAAAGACGGGGAGTAAAGATAGCTCTTTAAAGGAACTTTGATATAAAAGGGAACAGAAAATTGGGTGGAAACTGTAGGAGTATCTGAAATTAAGGGAGATTTGGTTTCTTAAGATGCTTGAATGCTGATGGGATTAGGAGACAGAAGAAAAAATGCTGCAGGAGAGAGGAAGCAGATGAGTGCAGGAATTTGAGGAGGTGAGAGGGCATGGGATCCAGTGCATGGAAGGGGAGTTGGCCAGAGATAGCATAATGCATCCATTGCAGCAGGGGGGCAGGCAGAGAGAGGGGTGCAGACACCAGAAGATGGCAGGAGACCCTCATGGTTAACCACATGGCTCTGAGCCAGACTGCCTGGGCTGGCATCCCCACTGAGTTCCTATCTATATATTACCTTGCATCTGAGTGCCTCTGTTTTCTCATCTTTAAAAGGAGGTTGATAATTGTACCTTCCTCATAGGGCCGCTCTGTATGTATGCATACTGACGTGTGAAGGATTCAGAGCAGTGCCTGGCACAGAGTGAGTGCTGTGTTTGCTATTATGATTATCAAGTGAACCTTCTCTCTGGACTGCTTCAATTTACCCAGTGAGAAAAGCAGGAAAGTGACCAGCTGAGAGTGATAAAGAGCAAAGGGTTATTAGAGGTTTGAGAAGGGAGGAGAAGACAGGGAACAAGTAGAGAGAGGAAGCAGGTAGGAGGATTGTCACACACCACCAGGGGGCCACTTAAGGTTTTGAGGTTGTGAATTTAAACTAAGAGTCTGCATGTTGTCTCTGTTTCTCCAAGAAAGTTGAGCTGCCAGATTGAGATATACAGAATGTGAGGGGCTGGATTAAACAGAGTTAAGGTTTTCTTGGTTAGTGCCTGGATGGAGGGAGAGAGTGGCAGAGTTGCTTGGCATAGATCAAAGGGAGTTAAGTATAGGGTTGGGCCAGGGACTCTATACTGGGAGTGGAGGGAAGTGAGACCACAAGGGGGTGGTGGACAGTAAAAGGTCAATGGGTCAAAGGTGCTGGTAAGACTAGGGACTGGATGGGGTGAATGGGACATATGGGGCAATAGCAGAGAGAGGGATGCTTGAACTTGAGATTATGGGTGGCAGTTACAGATAATGACAGTGTGCCTGTTTGTAACCCTATGTGGATTTCTCAGAGGATTTAGTCTAAACTCCAGTGTTACAGATATAGAAAAACCTCGAACAGTGTATTTTGAACCCTTTCAGAGAGCACAGCTGGCTTCAGAGAGTAGGTAGAAGGTGGGGGATGCAGACTGTGGCTAAAACTAGTGGATTGAGCTGTGCTCCGGTGGTGAGGTCCCTAACCTAAAGATACCCAATTCATAGCTCATCAATCAAGAACACATGAAACAAGATTCATGCTTTGAGGCCGGGTGGCTTGTGCCTGTAATTCCAGCACTTTGGGAGGTTGAGGTGGGCGGATCACCTGAGGTTGGGAGTTTGAGACCAGCCTGACCAACATGGAAAAACCCTGTCTCTACTAAAAATACAAAATTAGCTGGGCATGGTGGCACATGCCTGTAATCCCAGCTACTTGGGAGGCTGAGGCAGGAGAATCGCTTGAACCTTGGAGGCGGAGGTTGCAGTGAGCCGAGATTGTGCCATTGCACTCCAGTCTGGGCAACAAGAGTGAAAGTCCGTCTCAAAAAAACAAAACAAACAAACAAACAAAAGATTTATGCTTTGAAAGAGCTTGCTGAGATAATTTTCTATGAGTCTTAAAGAATTATTTAAGTTGTTACTAATCAAAGAAAGAAATGACCTTATTTTAGACCTTCTAAATCAGCAACAAAATAGTAGATACATATTTAGTGTATACAGGGTAAAAATGATACCCCAACTCCTTGCTGATGGCATTATAAATTGATTGCATTTTTAGAAAGCATTGACTACGTGTCAAAAATCAGCAATGTTCACTGAAACTTTTTAAAAAATTAAAATAATTTTAAAATTTAATATTGAACAGATACAAAAGAATATAAGATATATGGATAATATAGGGCAGGGGTCAGCAAACCTTTTTTTTTTTTTTTTTTTTTTTTTTTGAGACAGAGTCTTACTCTGTCACCCAGGCTGGAGTGCAGTAGCATGATCTCGGCTAACTTCAACCTCTGCCTCCCGAGTTCAAGTGATTCTCCTGCCTCAGCCTCCTGAGTAACTGGGATTACAGGTGCTCACCATCACGCCTGGCTAATTTTTGTATTTTTAGTAGAGATGAGGTTTCACCATGTTGGCCAGGCTGGTCTTGAACTCCTGACCTCAGGTGATCTGCCTGCCTTGGCCTCCCAAAGTGCTGGGATTACAGGCAAGAGCCTTTGCACCCGGCCAGCAAACATTTTTTGTAAAAGGTCAGACAGGTGGCTTACATCCGTAATCCCAGTGCTTTTGGAGGCTGAAGTGGGAGAATCACTTCAGTCCAGGAGTTTGAGACCAGCCTGAGCAACATAGCAAGACCTTGTCTCTACCAAAACTATTTTAAAATTAGCCAGGTGTGGTAACACACACCTATGTTCCCAGCTACTGGGGAGGCTGAGGCAGGAGGATCACTTAAGCCTAGGAGTTTGAGGCTCTAGTGAGCTATGATCATACCACTGCACTCCAGTCTGGGCAACAGAGCAAGACCTTATCTTAAAAAAATTTTATTTAATTAAATAAAAGACCAGATAACAAGTGTTTTTGGCTTTGCAGACCGTATTGTGTCTACTGCAACCATTCAGCTCTGCCATTTGACCACAAAGGCAGCCGTAGAAAATGCAGAAATGAATGGTTATAGTTTGTTCCAATAAAACTGTTTGTCAAAGCAAGTGAAGATTTGGCCCATGGGTTGTGTTTGTTGACCCCTGGTATATAGAATCACACTACAGCAGACATCATGTTCTCACCACAGGTTTATGGAAAATGACATCATTACCTGTGTACGCTTTAATGGATATATAACATTCTACCACATTGCTGCGTTATTTACTTTCCCAACAAATAGTCTGTGGTTGGCCACGTTGTCTCTTTTTGGCTTCTTGATGTTATAGGTGATGATATAGTGAACATCTTCTTAGGCATACAGCCTTTTTCCTTTGATTGAATTATTTCATTAGGCCCAATTTCTAGCATCAATCACAATATGCAAAGATTAACATTGCTGTGCTTGAGCTTTTTTTTGTAAAAGGGAAATTTTAATGAAAAGGGTCAGAAGGCCAGTGTTTATCCTGGAAATGAACCCCACAAGGCAGAGATATGGACCTCAGGGGTCTCTGGTCTCCCTGATCCTGCTTCCACTTCTCTTGCCAGATCCCTCCAGCTGTTCTTCTCCCTGAATCTGGTTTTCAGTATACTGTCAAGCAAAGCCTGTTATCTCTCCCGAGTGTTTGCCTTTTAATAGAAGAGAGAGTGGAGACCTGGCTTCCCTAAGCTTGTCTGTGTAAATCTGTTTCATGAGGCGACACAGTTATGCGATCTCCATTCTTTCTCCCTTTCTGTCCTGTTGGCAGCAGTTCATCAATCCACACTTCTAGAAAGAGTGACAGTCACAATGGTAGTCTTCAGGCCCCTTGGGGGCGCTGAGCAACCCAGCATGGGCCTTGGCCAAGCAGAATTGATTCTCATTCCAGCTCTCCACTGACGTAGCCATTGTAAATTGCAAAACCTCTCTGGGCAGTTTCCTCATCTGTAAAATGGAATAGTTGTACCTGCTTACAGACATCTAAGAAGATTACATAAGATAATGAGTGTGAAACCCAAGCACTGTGCCCTGGCTTGAGCTCTAAAAACAGTTTAAATCTGAAATATTTCATATATTCTTACAGCAATGTTTTTGTCTTATACAATTGTTTCTCCTTTTTCTCTGAGCAGGTGACTGATTGTTTACAGAAGTGTCAGAGGTGGTCTCGGGGTTGCTCTGGGCATTGTGAGTCATTTTAGCTTTCAACATTGTCACTGAAATATTATGTGACAAGTTTGTGTCTAATGCCTGTTGCTCGTATCTTCCCTGGTCTCCAAATGAGGTTACTGATTCCTGATTATAGGGGTCTATAATCTGAGCCAGCAAAGAATGAGCGTTTCCTGGATACTAGGTAGGCACTGGACTAATTTAACACTGCCATTTAATACTCACAATCAGCCTAGAAGGTTGGTATTTTTATTTTCTCTATTTTTACAGCTGAGGAATTGAGTCCTGGGGAGATGAATTTGCCACGTACACATGGCTAGTCACTGTTAAGGGATGACGTTCTGCTCCCAACTGAATTCCTTCTGTGAGCTGATGTCTGGGACTCTGGAAAAACACAGGGATTAACTTCAACAGATATCTTTCTATATAGTAAATATCTTCTTGGAAAAAGTAAAATTTTATTTCAAACTCTTCCCATCTGACAAAAATTTTAATGAATGCTTTTCATAATGTTTCAGGCACCATGAAATGGGTGTGAGGGAACCTGGCAGGTTAAGGAAACCTAGGGAAAAGGTTGGCTAAGTCAAGAAACCTTTTGCAGTGTGAATTGTCTGCGCTTTATTTTGTAAAATTGGATTTTTGTGTATTTCTCCTGGTTTTCTCAAAATAGGACATAAATGAACCTTTGCGGTGGTGGAGGCCTCTCTGCTTGCTTGTTTGCACTGGGTGTGTTTGCCAATCTAAGGATAAAATACGAAGATGGCTCCCAAGGTTATGAAGTCATGTTTCTTTTTTCTTTCTTTTCTCTTTCTTTAAAGAGACAACTCAGGCTGGCATACAGTGGTGCAATCATAGCTCCCTGCAGCCAGAAAGTCCTGGGCTCAAGTGATCCTCCTGCCTCAGCCTACAGATAGCTAAGACAACAGTAAGACTACAGGCTTGCACCACCACACCTGGCTAATTTAAAAACATTTTTTGTGTAGAGACAACAAGGTCTTGCAGCCAGGTTGGTCTTGAACTCCAGGGCTGAAGCGATCCTCCCACCTCAGCCTCTCAAAATGCTGGGATCATGGGTCTGAGCCACTGCACCCAGTCAACTGATGTTTCTTTGAAGAAAATTGCACCTACTCTTGGCCTTCTATTTGCAGAGGCCAGCTGTGCTCCCTGCTGTGGGGAGGGGACTGTCCCTCCTTCCAAGTGTCCTTCGCCTTCCCCTATGGGTGATTGTTTATTTCGGATTTCTAAGAGCCTAAGATCCCAACCTGAAGATTGGTTATTTACTTTTAGATTGATGCAACTTTAAATGTAATTAATTGTTCTCTGAGTCCCTAGTGCAGATCCTCTCTTTTTTTCCTTCCCCCCAAATAGTTCACTGTCTTAATTATGTTAACGGAAGAAAAGGCAGTCTTTATTGATGGCTCGGTAAATCCACAGCAGTGATTTCAGGTCATTTGGATGCCATCAGTCTGAACAGCTGGGCCGTCACTCACCCTCTGTCAGAGGCAGACAACCCAATTAGTACTCACCACTCCTTGGCTCTGTATCCCTGGTGTTCACTGTCCAAGAAATGGATGATTAAATGACTTATTTGCAAACACACCAAAAAAAAAAAAGGAGAGGGTGCCCAGGAGATTGTAGGAGAGGAAGAAATCAGACCAGACTAGGAAGTCTGTTTTAATGAAAAGTATGACATCTTGTCCAGAATGTTCAGTTGCTGGTTTTGAAGTTGATCTGGCATTCTGCACAAACTCCAATGAAACACACAACAGAAGATGAAAGAGGAAATAGTAATTCTGCTCCCAACCCATTCTGCTCCATCTCTCCAGGTATTCTATTTTTTTCCTGCTCTGACAAAGCCACGTCATTTTAAAGTACAGAATACATACCTAGTAGGTTGGACTTGATGTTGGCTGTGAGCCCATATTCCCTCAGTCCACAATTTTGGGAAGGTTGTCTTTGAAAATTATTATTCTCAGGTATTGCATTCCCAGTAGAACCTTTTTTCTTTTTCCTCCAACTTTTTTATTTTGAACATTTTCCAATCTACAGTAAAGTTGCAAGAGTAGCACAATGGACTCTTGTATTAGTTCTTGCATTGCTATCAAGAACTACCTGAAACTGAGTAATTTATAAAGAAAAGAGGTTTAATTGACCAGTTTTGCAGGCTGTACAAGTTCTGGGGAGGCCTCAGGAAACTTACAATCATGGCAGAAGGCGAAGGGGAAGCTCTCAACATCTTACATGGCCAGAGCAGGAGAAAGAGAGCAAAGGGGGAGGTGTTATATACTTTTAAACAACCAGATCTCATGAGAACTCACTATCATGAGAACAGCAAGGGGAAGTGTGCCCCCATGATCCAATCACCTCCCATCAGGCCCCGTCTCCAACACTGGGGATTACAATTTGACATGAGACTTGGGTGGGGACACAAATCCAAACCATATCAACTCCCATATATTCTTCACCTTTTTTGGCCAATTACTAACATTTTGTACTTTGCATTTCTTCTCCCTTCTTCCCTCTCTGCCAACCTCTCTCCTCCCCTCCTCCCACCTTCCTCCTTCCATTTTTCTCTCTAGTTCTCAAGCTGTTTCCCTCCAGAACTTTTTCCGTACACATACATGTATATGTGTGTGTAACACATTGGGTTAGTCCATTTTCATGCTGCTAATAAAAGACATACCTGAGACTGGGAAGAAAAAGAGGTTTAACGGACTTATAGTTCCAAATGGCTGGGGAGGCCTCACAATCATGGCAGAAGGCAAGGAGGAGCAAGTCATGTTTTACATGGATGGCAGCAGGCAAAGAGAGAGAGCTTGTTTGGGAAACTCCTCTTTATAAAACCATCAGCTCTCATGAGACTTACTGTTAATGAGAACAGCACAAGAAAGACCCACCCCCATGATTCAATTACCTCCCACTGGGTCCCTCCCACGACACGTGGGAATTGTGGGAGTTACAACTCAAGATGAAATTTGGGTGGGGACACAGCCAAACCATATCATACATGTATGTTTATTTTTTGATTAACCATTTTAGAGTATGTTGCAGACATCATGACAGTTCTTTCCTACCCCTTTGGTGAGTGTCTTCTAAGAATAAGGACATTATAGTATACATGTGTCACATTGGGAAATGTAACATTGAGGCAATATTATTTCATATTCAGCCCATGGTAAATTTTCCCAACTTGTCCCAATCATGTCCTTTATGGCCATTTTTTAAAACTCCAGAATCCAACCCAGATTATGTTGCATTTGGTCATTATGATGTCTCTAGTCTCCTTTAGTCAAGAAAATTCCCCGCCTTTTTCCCTTTCATGGCAGTGATACTGAAGAGTTCAAGTCAGGTTTTCTTTGCTTTCATTTTTGTTTTCCAAACTGTTCCTCAGTTTGGATTTGACTTTTTTTTTTTCCTCATAGTTAAGAGCCAGACTAAACAATTTGGGCAGTAATAATTGGCAGAAGTTGCTGAGCAGAGCCTTTGTTTTTCCTTTTGATAAAGAGAAGAGGAAGATGCCTTCAGACTAGGCAATTTCATTCCTTCTGGCTCCTTTGGAGCCTTTGAAGGCCCATCCTGGAGGTCATCCAGCCACATTCTTTTTGGCCCCAAAGGTGTCTTAGGAGATCCAGAAGAGTGTGGGGCAGACCGGGTTTGAGTCTACTCATTCATTAGACATTTAGAGTGCACTTCTGATACATCAGGCTCTGGTTCCTTACCACCCAAAACACGTTCCTGAAATAAGCTAGATTCTGTGTAAGCTGGCTTCAGCCTAGAAGTTGGTATGTATGTGAATATTCTCATGTTGCTCGAGAGAAGCAGCAACTGAAAACTTGGCTGGATATACTCAGAAGAATTAAAAGCATAGTGAATGAGAATCTGCATTTAAAAATATGGGTAACTTAAACATGTCAAAGGAAACAAAGGTGTCTCTCATGCAGTTCATCTGTTTGTCTTGTTTTTTGCTAGGTATTAAGGAGTCAGGTGTCTATCCACTAAGAGCTTACAGTTTTGAAACGTGTGCATTAATAAGAACAAAAGAGCCTTGCAGGTGGAGATATGTGTGAGGTGCAGAGGATAGGAGAGAGGGGTTGTTGCTTTAGCCTTGAAAGCAGGAACTGTCAAAAAAAGCTTCACAGAGCAGGGAGCTACTTGAGCTGATGAGCTTTTTGTCATAGAGACAGGGCAGGAGAAAGGGCAGAAAAAGGGAGTGTGTGTGTGTGTGTGTGTGTGTGTGTGTGTGTGTGTGAGAGAGAGAGAGAGAGATTTGTGCAGGGAGGGATGGGGGCAGTCAGTCAGGACATCGTGTGAGACCAGAGGGAGGTGGGGGCGTTATCTCTTACATAGATTTTAGAAAGATGACTCTGGCTGTTGTGTGGAGGAGAGTTGGAGGTATGGCAGGATGCTGGGCCTCCAGTTCAGGAGCCACGCCTCCTACGCCCTTCCTTCATTGCAACGATCTCCCTCCCATTTATGATATTAATGATACTGTTTGGAATGGTGGATTTTCTTGCTATGTTGGGAAGAGTGAAATGGCCCTAAAAGGTGGGGCTCATGTCCCATTCTCTTGCCCATTTGATCTCCTTTGCCCACTTCTTTTAAAAAAATTATTATTATTATTATTATTATTATTATTATTTGTAGTGATGGGTTCTCACTATGTTGCCCAGGCTAGTCTTAAACTCTTCCTGCCTCAGCCTCCCACTGTTGGGATTACAGGCACAAGGCACCATACCTGGCTCTTCCCCCTCTTCTTAATCCATGACAGCAGCTGGGGTGGCCCAGACATCCTAGCTGTCTCCCTTGTCCACTGAGAGAAGATGTTCTTGTTAACCAGAAGCAGATAATCATGATGTGTCATGGGGTAATGGCAGGGACTTGGAGGTGGCACCTGGGAGCCTGAGGTTCCCTGCTGGCTCGGCCACTGGGTGGCCCAGGCATAGCGCCCTCACCTGTGGGACCAGGGCAGTGCACTAAATCATCTTGCTTTTTAGTTCTGACATTCCGTGACTCAGGGTTCCAAGTGGAGTTCTTTTTCTTATTTATTTACTTATTTTTTTTTTTAAATCCTTCAGCTTTTGAATTCAGAAATGCTGACTAAATTAGGGGAAATATCTTAAATTCTTCTCCTTTTCAAAAGTACATCACTAGAGAGTAAATATTGTATCAGTTTTCCTTGTTAACTTTAATCTTGGGTACAAACATGAAGATTCTTGTCTAGAGGTGGAATTATTGCCACAGAAGCCCCATTGCCATAGAGTGGGGAAAAAGACACGAGCCAAGGTTACGCAATTATCTTTGTTTGAAGTTATACCCATCAGGGCTGATGGCCTCAGTGTATATTTCTGTCCTTCCCCTCCCCTGGCTTGCCTTCTGATCACAGGGCCCCTTGGACCTGGGAAGGGAGAGAGCAGGAGACGGAGTCACTTGGGGAAGGGATGCAGATGCAGACATTTGTGGCAGCCTGTCCTTTGTCATTGATTTGGCTTCATTAAGGGATTTCCAAGCTGCTTAAATTCACACTCCCCAGCTTGTGCACCCTGTCTGGGTGGAGTTCATAGGGGAGCCCTTGGGTGATTCTGGGGCAGAAGAGGGAAGTGTGGTGAGTATTTGGGGGTTATTTACTCTGCTATTGGACAGCTAAGTGGTGGGAGAACACAGCAGCCTGACCCCAGTGAAGCCTCATTGGAAGAGCAGCCCCCAGAGAGCACAGTGATGGTTGCTGAATGATGACCTGTCCCCACGAAAAAGGCATAGGAAGTAATAGAGGTGGCATCTGAAGGTTATTTCAAGCTAAATGCTTTTCTTGGCCAGATAAGATCCTAGGACAGCCAGATTCTCAATTTTTTCAAGTCGTGGATTAAAGAAAATTAGGAAACCTCCATTGATTTGCATAGTTGTGTTTTTAAATAATGTTTCTTCCTTGTGTGTATTATAAAAACAAAGCAGAAAGATACTCAGAAAAAAAAGTGTTAAAATCACTCAGTTCTGTCACCCGGACAGATATGTTAACATTTTGAGTGTTTTTATGATTCTTGGATTGTATTACATGTTCAATTTTACATCTGGCTGCTTTTTTATTTAGGACAGGCACATTTTCTCCTGACATACTTTTCAAATGAAAGATAGAAAAGCATTAAAGGAGATCTACCAAGCTTTACCTCTCTAGCAGATGGGGCTTTTTCTAGTTTCCTCTGAAATTTCTGTACTTTGCTGTTCTCATGTCTGCCTATCTCTCTCTGGACATCTGTATTAGTCCCTTTAGTGTTGCTGTGACAGAATGAGACTGAGTCGTTTTTCAGAAAAGTACATTTATTTAGCTCACAATTCTGCAGGCTGGGAAGTTTAAGAGCATAGTGTCACATCTGGCTGGCTTCTGGTGAGGGCCATGTGCTGGGTCAAAACGTGGCAGAAAAGGGAGCGGGTGTGTGTGCAGAGATCATGTGGGAAGCACAAGGGTCTAGGAAGCCAAAGTCGCTTCTAGAACAGCATGCTCTTGCGGTCCCTAATTCAGTCCTGAGAGAGTGAGAACTCGCTCCTGAAGGAAGGCATTAATCTCTTCATAAGGGATCTGCTCCCATTACCTACACACCTTCTACTAGTCCCCACTTCCTAACACTGCCACATCGGGGATCAAATTGCAACACACATTTGGGAGAGGACAAACTCAGACCACAGCAGCATCTCTTCTCCCTTCCATCACATCCAAGTCATTTGCAGGGAAGGGTGTTGGAATCCTGAAGTAGAGTCAGGGTTACAGATCTGTGAGCCTGTGTGATATTTGTGGTCCGTGATCATACACCCTCCCAAATGTTTTCATGGGAGTGAGGGACTGCAGAAAGGAAGGACAGAATTAGTTATGTAAAGAGAGATTGTAAACCAGCCCCATGGTATTGGTCAACTCGCTGGAACCCGGTGTGTTCCCTGCGTGGCCCAGCAGGTCTGGGCTAGCTTTCCAGTTTCAAAATCCTGTGAGTCCACGTTAGGAGGAACAGAATGAGATGCTCTGGGTTAAGGCTGGCTGTGTTTTGCAGCTAAGTGGGTGGATTATTAATACCCGATAACTGTTTGGGAGGCCAAGACGGGTGGATTGCTTGAGCTCAGGAGTTTGTAATGAGCCTGGGCAACATGGTGAGACCTTGTCTCTACTAAAATAAAGAAAATTAGCTGGGTATGGTGGCATGTGCCTGTAGTCCCAGCTACTCAGGAGACTGAGGCAGGAGAATCACTTGAACCCAAGAGGTGGAGGTTGCAGTGAGCTGAGATTGTGCCACCGCACTCCAGCCTGGGTGACAGAAGGTGACTCTGTCTCAAAACAAACAAAAAATACCCGATATTTGTTTCAAGTTAATTTAAGATCACTCTAGGACAGTGAAAAATGGACTTTCTCTTCTTTAAAAAGCAGTAGCAGTAATGAGTTATGGGCTTCCCAGTTTCAGAGTACCCTTCAGTTGCTTTAAGTGACTTACAGTAGATGATTAAATAATCATTGGGTTACAGGCATTTGGGGTTGTAGAGCCCCCTGAGTGACCACCTGGATCCACTTTGGATCAATGAGGAGTCTCTGTCTTATCTCTACCAGAGTTATCCGGGCCTCTACAAGGTCTCTGTCTTCAATCATGGTGCCAATAACAAACCTAGGGGTAGCCACTCTGCCAGTCCTTTAGCAGCAGGTTCTGTATGTTAAGTGCCAGCCTGCTTTGTAACTTCCACTGGTTTCTCCTGGACCAGCCTTGAGGACCGACCTCCACAGATGGAATCACCATGGCCCCTCTTGTCTGCGGCAGCTCTGTGGATATTTGCCTGCTGATGGGCCTGCCCCGTCCTGGAGCTGGGCCCTTTCCACAGTCCTACCCTTCCTCAGTCATGGTGGGGCTTGTACACCATTCTTCTACCGAGGCCTCCCAGTGCACACTGTCATTGGTGGTGGGTCCTGGTCTGCCTGGACCCCCTATGAAGTGGCACCAACAAACCCCAGTATCCATGTTTGTGAGAACACACTGATTGCCGACCCCTCCCTTCCCCTGCCCCAGCCCACTTGGTCTTGCCTGATGGCAGGGGGAATACAGAAAAGCCCTTCCAGGCTGTTTTCTTCACATCTCTAAATAATGGAGAGTTAGGGGAGAAATGGCAGTGGAGACTGAGACAGAGACTATTGTGTTAGCCCAGGTAAACAAGGAAGAAAATCACTCAGAGCAGTCTTGTCCACAAAGCTGGGCTCTCGTTGATTCCACTGCCACTTCTCATTTCTTTGATATTGTTTCCCTTGGTTTGTCATGTGTGCACAAGTCAAAACAGACTGCTCCCTGGCTGGAGATGTTATGAATTTGCTTAACAGTGGTTGCAGCCTTTACCTTTCTTTTCAGCTTTTCCGTGTAATCCCAGGGATTGTCTGACTTTGTGTCCTTCCAAATGCAGGTGGTGCTTCCCACCTTTATCCTGGAGAAGCGATCTTTGCTGGAGATGTATGCAGATTTCATGGCGCACCCAGACCTACTGCTGGCCATCACCGCTGGGGCCACACCAGAGGAGAGAGTCATTTGCTTCGTTGAGTATTATCTCACAGCCTTTCACGAGGGCCGCAAGGGCGCTTTAGCCAAGAAGCCCTACAACCCCATCATAGGCGAGACATTTCACTGCTCCTGGGAAGTTCCCAAGGACAGGGTCAAGCCTAAGAGGACTGCTTCCCGCTCTCCTGCCAGCTGTCACGAACACCCAATGGCCGATGACCCTTCCAAAAGCTACAAACTAAGGTTTGTGGCTGAGCAAGTGTCCCATCACCCACCCATCTCCTGCTTCTACTGTGAGTGCGAGGAGAAGAGACTGTGCGTCAACACTCATGTATGGACCAAAAGCAAGTTCATGGGCATGTCCGTGGGGGTCTCTATGATAGGGGAAGGTAAGCCATGTCGTATGTTGGAGTTTGGCTCTTACACAGTGACGTTTCTATACCTGGTAGATGATTGATAATTTTGTGTGTGGAGTTTTTTGTTGTTGTTGTTTTTAACTGGTTTTGGAATTAGAGTGTGGGTGGTAAAAGGGTCAGGTTTTGTTGTTTGGGAACAAGGTCTGGTAATTTCCCAGCGGGGCCAAGGTAACGGACTATCTGCCTGACAGCCGCCCACCTGGACCTTCCCACCTGGACCTTCCCATGCTGTGCACGCGCGTGCGTGCACACCTTACAGGTACTGTTTTCTTTC
Organism: Homo sapiens; assembly: GCF_000001405.40. Lineage (NCBI taxonomy): Eukaryota > Metazoa > Chordata > Mammalia > Primates > Hominidae > Homo > Homo sapiens. The sequence goes on along the minus strand of NC_000003.12, from coordinate 31,683,332 downwards.
AGCTTTGCATGAATATAAGAGTTGGCCTCCAAATCTGTGAAAACACATTTTTATTCATTCTCACCGGTGTTCTGGCTCACAGACAATGAGGATAATCATGCTGCCTATTCAAAATCTGCTCGTAAAAATTCCCAAAACAAATCTTTTGACTCTATGCTGGAAATTCTGAAGCAAGAACATAGTATAATCACGCCACTGGTGGATCACACATTCTTATTTTAGCAAATAGCTGTGAATGAAGTTTATTCATTGTTTGAAGAAACCTATAATAATCCTTGTTAAATTCAAGCATCTGTGTTACTGGTTCTTCAACTTTTTTTTGAGTCACAAATCTCTTCAAGGCTCTAAGGCTGTGATTCTCTTCCTAGAAAAAAGGAATCTAACTCCAAATTTGTCTTTGAGTTTCAGGGAGTACATGGCTCCTTAGAAGCCCTTCCAAAACCCCATGAGATAAGAGCACCTTTCATTCACTTAGCACATTTTTATTGAGCACCTACTAGATGCTTGGCATTGCCTTAGGAGCTGTGGTTACTTGAGCAAACAAAACAGACCAAAAAAGATCTGTTCTGATGATGCTTCTGTTCTCCTTCTTTCTCACGGGGAAATGAAATAAATAAGTAAATAAAATGGATTGTGTGGTAAGTTGAAGAATGGTAAGTGTTGTAGAGAAACAAAGCAGGTGGGGGTCCGGGGAAGACCAGGGAGAGGGCAGTTGAGCTTTCAGATGAGCTGGCCAGTGGGAAGGCCTCACTAAGGTGATATTTGAGCAAAGACCCAAAGCGGGCAAAGAGGGGTAAGGCAAGCCTTATAGGTCACTGGGAAAGAGTTTGTGTGCAGAAAGAATGAGGCAGAGGCCTACAGGTAAAATGTCCCTGGCACGGGGATGGAGACAGGAAGCCCATGTGGCTGGAGCAGGGTGAACAGGGGCAGGTGGAGGTCAGGGAGGTGATGGTGGCCAGATCACATAGGACCTCATGGGCTATTGCTAGGGACACTGGCTCTTACAGTGAGGGAGCCCTGAAGCCACTGGTGCTTTTGAGCTGGAGAGTACCAGGCTCAATCTCATAGTTCAGCAAGACTGCTCCAGCCGTTTGTTGAAAACAGACCCTGGGCGGGGGTAATGGTGGAAACAAGGAGACTAGGGAGGAGGTTGTGAGAATAACTAAGCAGGTGATGATGGTGGCTTGGACCAGGTGGAAAATAGTGGAGGAAGTAAATGTAGTGGAGTAGTAAGGATCTGGATAGGTTCTAAAGTTAGAGCCAAGAGGATCTGCCTCTGGATGGGATGTGGAGTGTGAGAGAAAGTGTTGCCAAGGTTTTGACCTGAGCACCTAGAAGGATGGACTAGCTGTTAAAACTGAGATGGGGAGACTTGAGGGCTGGGTATTGGGCTACTTTGAAGGAAGAGTATGGGAGCTCAGGGCGGTTGTTAGGGTTTAGTCATTGAAGGGAGTGCTAAAGTAGGCAATTGTGTATGCAAGCTGGAGTTTCATAGGGAGGGTCCTGGCTGAGATAAAATATTTAAGGCCTTGAGACTAATGAGACTGCTGAGTGAGCACTGATTTCTGAAGCATTAAGCAGCATTAAGAGGTCTGCAAGATGAACAGCCAGCCGAGGAGACTGATGAGGGGTGGCCAGAGAAGTAGACTGAATGGAATGGGAGAAGGTGCTCCTTGCGAGGCAAGTGAAGAAGGGCTTCAAAGTGCGAGAGTGATCAACTGCATCACATGATGCTGGTTACTCCAGTAAGATGAGAACTGAGAAGGGATCATGGATTTTGGATCATGGAGGTCATTCGTCACCTTGACAGCAGTTGTCAGTGGAGTAGCACTAGTGAAAATCTGACTAGAATAAAGTCAAGAGAGAAGGAAGGAGAGGAATTAGGGACTGTAAATGTGGACAGTTCCTCCTTATTTAGGGTTTGCATGCAATGGTACTGTTTTGGAAAATAGCCACTCTTGGGTTCCACTTCTCTGTTAGGTTTACACCCCAAAGCGCTGCTCCCCCTCTTGCATAGGTAAGATGGCAACTCCAGAGTGCCCACAGGTGTACTCAGCATTCGTGTTGGGCCTTCACTGGGGTCTTCCTTGCATGCAGGTCTAGTAATCAGCAGCTCATGCTGCACTCGTCACACCTTCCTCTCAAGGATCAATCAGGATCAAGAAGTTCACCAATGAGACATTCATTAATTTGTGTAGGAAGCTAGGGACACACCTGTCACCAGGATGATCTTGGGTCACCCAGTTTAGGCCTTTTCCACAATTCAGATGGAGGTGGGTTGTATCTGTGGGGGAAAGATGTAAAAATACATCTATCTTTAGATAAACCTCATCAATAATGAGTATTATCCTCCTCTTAGGTTATCTTCTGTAAGAGTGCAGTATTACAACTATTTTCCAATTAGAAAAATCCCAATTCATGACTGGGTTGTCTGGCTTTTCCTGCTGTTGACAAGGGGAGATGGATGCCTGAAGTGGTCTCTCTTCTTAAAGAGGAGTTGTTACCAGTGATGACTGGACCATGAAATCTTGTAGCTGAAAGGGCATTTGTCCACCATATGCTCCAGGGTTTCCAGCTGTGCTGTAGAGAATCCCAGGCTCCTTAGAGGGGCACAGGAAGTGAGTGGCAAGGTTGGTGTTCTTCCAAGTCCACTCCAGCCCGAGTATCTCCATCCATCCTTACCTATTTACCAGAGGGACTTCCCTATACAAGTTTATTTCCGAAAGGGTTCTGTTGCTTCAGAATGCTCAGCAGACCCCGGATGAGTCCAGCTATCCTCATTTCACAGATGAGGAGCCCGAGAGAGGCAGCTTGCCTAGGAACCCATGCATAATTCACAGTATCCATCCTGCCCTCAGCACAAGCCATTGAAGGGGGATGCAGGGCAGGTGCTGGGGTCTCCTTGAGTCAGGGGCCATTTCTCAGCTCATCTCTGACCTGTGGATGAGATACCAGAATCTGAGGAGGTTCAGGCAGCCCCCTGAGTTCACAAGCCCAGGAAGAGCAGAGGAGCAGGGTTGAGCAGCAGGCGGTGGGCCGGGGAAGGGGGATCAGGTCAAGGGCGATTAGAGCCCTATATGGACACAGCCAGGGCTGTTGAGGCCTCTCTCTGACACTGAGAAAACAAACTTGATTCAAGTGTGCTTCTGTGGGGGCAGGGCTAGAGGAACGAGAGGTATTTCCTCACCGGCCTCTTTTCTGACCCCAGTGACTGCTTGTTCTCCTGAACTCTGCCTTCTCCTTGGATGAAGCGACAGGGAGCTACCACCGTGCAGCACTGTTTGGGTTAAAGCCCCCTGGCAGGTTTCAAAAAGGTGTTTCAGCCCAGACTGGGGACTCTTGAAGTTGTGTGAACTAAGAGCTCCGGTTAGAATACTCGGGTAACTCTTCCTATTGAAAGCAGGGAGAAGATTGCCAAGGACTCCCCTGTGGGAGGTTTATGTTCACATTGATTTTTATACTTGAGTTTGTAATAAGAAATGGGAGCAACATTAATCTTGATTTTGACTTATCTGGGGCTCTGTGTTTTCATAGGTTGCTTTGGGCTTGGCTCGTGCTATGAGGTTTATATTGGTAAAAAATCTTTTCCTTTTCTTAAAAACAAAAATTGGTATTCAGGAGACTCATCTCATTCTATTTAATTTTATTCCTTATTCTAAATTTCCCACATAATAAATATTTTGAAGATGAAATATGTTTGTTTGCCAGAGAAGGTAGAGAAGGCAGTTCACACTTTGTATTTATGCCCCATATGCGAGATAATTCCTTACACATTTTCTACAGTTAGTATTTTAATCATGTTTACCTCCTTATCGGTAACAGTGGTGGCTCGAATAAATCTGTCATTTACCCATTCACTTATCCATTCATCCATTTATTTGTGAAGTGATTGGCACCATCCTTGATGCCAGAGATGCAGCAGAGGCCACAGCACACAGATTCCCTGCCCCCGGGAGCTCATGCTCCAACAGGAGGGTCGGAGAGAAGACAAGACATGTGCGTGAAGTCCTCAATGTGATGGATGATGACTGACACTAAGAGACAAAGTAGGAAGGAGGAGAGTGAAGCTGGGGCAGGGAGGTTGCAATTTTCAATAATGTGGACCTCAGCAAGATAGAGCAGCTGAGGAAAGGCCTGAAGCAGGTTTAAGAAGGGGTCTTCTATGCAAAAAAGAACAGCAAGTGGTAAGGCCCCAAGTTGGGAGCTAGTGGCTGGGGTGTTTTGAGGACAGCCAGGGGCCACTGTGTCTGCAGCAGTGAGTGCGTGGCTGGGAAGAGAGGAGATAAAGCCAGAGAGGAGAGGCCACATTTTGGGATCTGATTTTGGGGCTCTGGAACGTCTTTGCCGTTTGCTCTGAGATGGGAGTCGCTGAGGGTAGACATGATTTTAGCATCCCTGTGTTGGCTGAGTGAAGAATAGACTGAAGGCAGAAGTGGAGAGGGCCCAGTGCAAAGATAGAAGCAGAGAGGCAAGTTGTTTCTTATTTCTCTTCTTCCCTCCTACACACACACACACACACACACACACACACACACACACACACACACACAGTTTGAATCTGTGATTAGTCAGAGTAAGTGCTTGGTGAATAGAATGCCTTTTGTCTGGGGATTTCCCTGCACTCAGCAGAAGTGCTTGTTGCCGCTTGTCAAGGCCTGAGAAAGCCAGATTCTTAAATTGGAGTAGAGGGTCAATACCTCCCAGTCTGTGAGCCCCTAATTCTTGCCATTAGACAAATATGTGGAAATGTTCGAAAAGGTAGATTTGCAATCCATTTTTGGTGATTTAGGGAATTCTTCACAGAAACGCAATCTCTCCCTTCAGGATCCTTCCTTCTCTACCAAATAGCAGTCACTTTTCCCCTGTCCCCGACCACCAGCGGTGGGCTCCGACAAGGAGGTGGCTGTGCAGTGGTGTCACGTGTGTGATTGTGTTTTAAAGCTGGTTATTCTCTCTTCCCCACACAATGTGTTCATCTTTCCCTTCTTCCCTCTACACAGCATGTTCATCATCATCTTCTTCCCTCTGCTTCCCTGCACCCTTGTCCTTCCTGTCTCCCTCTGGTGTCTCTAGCCGTTTCACTTAAGCCACACCGTCAACGGGGCACCCCTCAGCCCAGCACAGCACATGGCCTCCTGTCATTGCCTCTGCAGCTGAACTTGAGAGAGTGATGAGGTCCTTTTAGCCCTCTGTCCCCTGAACTAACCAACATCTTTGCTCTGTCTTTTTTTTTTTTTTTTTTTTTGAGACGGAGTCTCGCTCTGTCGCCCAGGCCGGACTGCGGACTGCAGTGGCGCAATCTCGGCTCACTGCAAGCTCCGCTTCCTGGGTTCACGCCATTCTCCTGCCTCAGCCTCCCGAGTAGCTGGGACTACAGGCGCCCGCCACCGCGCCCGGCTAATTTTTTGTATTTTTAGTAGAGACGGGGTTTCACCTTGTTAGCCAGGATGGTCTCGATCTCCTGACCTCATGATCCACCCGCCTCGGCCTCCCAAAGTGCTGGGATTACAGGCGTGAGCCACCGCGCCCGGCCTTTGCTCTGTCTTATGTTGGCCGTTGTTGAGTGTCCGTGTCTCCACAGGGTAGGCCTGTGAGGTCTCAGGATCATAGCTCCTCTGTTTCTCATAGGCAGCAGGCAGAGGCTGGAGCCCTTGATTCACTTTACCCAGCCCAGGACCACAGTGTCGTGGGTGAGAAGCCGTGGAACACCCTCTCCTGAGGCCCTCAGATGCAGCCTGCAGATGAAGCAGAATTAGAATTTGTTGCTCTCACTTTTTCTAACTGCTTGAAAATGCCACTCAGAATTTCTCAATAGCATGCTGAGTTCAGAAAGAAGATTCTGGAGAGAGACTGTGAAAGGCCTCTCCTGGACATGGCCCTTCCTGGCCACTCACCTGATGTTTTCCTGCTGTGGGTGGGCCTGGGCATGGCCAGGGGACCCTTGGCTCGTTCTTGTGAGGCCTTGAGTTTGCCTAAGTCCCTTCAGTAGCTGCGTCCCCTTATCTTTTGTATTAATTAAAATGTGTCCGCTGTAATGCAGGATCTGATTTTTCACACAAACTATTTCTAAGAATCTCCAAACTTCGAAGCAGAAGGTTCTGGCTCCCACACTCAGAGCTCCTTTGATTGGGGGAAGGCAGGAGGTTGGATAATTTCCCTTCCCTCGCATATTTCCTGCATATTCTATGAATTTGTTGATTGGGTGTAAATAATGCTTTTTCCATCTCCTCATTATAAAAATGAGGTCTTACATGGGTCCACTTGGAATTGTGAACGTAAATACGTGGGCTCATCTCCTAAATCATGGCCTTTAGGCTGTGGCATATTTGACTGTAATGAAATGCTATTATGAAGTGCTTCATTATGCCCTGAATTCACTCACGTTGACCCCAGAGACTGCACCCCTTTCTCCCACCCTCTCGTTTCTATTGCTCTAACAGTGAGAGCCGACACTGTTCAGTCAACCTAAGACCTCTGTCCACGGGAAAGTGTGGGCTGCTCACCCCTCCCAACCTCGCACCGCTGTGGAGCTGAGGGGCGTTCAGCTGCTCTTTGCAGCCCACTTCCCTCAAAATGCCTGAATCAATGCCTGGTAAATGGTGCAGGCTCTTAATTGAGTCTGTGGGGAAAAACAGTTAGTTCTAATGAGAGGAAGCAACATGATTGCCACTGGGCTTGTGAGTGCCAATGCTGCCGGGTCTGCAAACACACTTCCCAGAGTTCCTTCTGTGACTCTACTTTCCAGGATGAATGTCCCAGCTGAATATTTTGGTTCCTCAGATTGAGATTGGACACAAAATTATTTTAAGTTTATCAGTTTGAAAATCTTAATGCTTTGCCTTTATTGGCGAATCAATTTGTGGAATTTCAAATGAAGATCTCCCAGCCTGAGGAAGATGCATGGAAGGATTGATTATTTGATGTTTTTTTTTTTTTTGGCTTCTCTTAGCTGTTAGGCCAAATGAAGAAGTAACTTATATTTGTGATCCCATTTGTAAGTCTAATTTTAATATGTCTTTTATTCATATTAAGGAGATTTTTTTTTAAATGCAACCCTGAAAAAAAAGAGTATGTACTAAGAAGGCATAATTGCAGGTGATTTGATGAATGAACACACATTTATGGATTTTCAGAAACAAGCCAAAGGCATGTGGTCTTGCCAGTGCCTTCAAATCAGTTTAGCTCTGAGGCTCACTGACCTCCCCCAGGACTTGGGGGAAATTTTACCTTGATTTGGAAGAGATTTTTCTGAAGAAAAATGGGAGGAGGATGCTATCTCTTATGCAGTATTACATTAGAGAAAGTCTGCCCTGTGTCTCTTCCATCCCTCACAGGTATAGCCTATTGGAAGACGTTGTAGTTTCCTCTTTTTTTTTTTTTTTTTTTTGAGATGGAGTCTCGCTCTGTCGCCCAGGCTGCAGTGCAGTGGCGCAATCTCGGCTCACTGCAAGCTCCGCCTCCCAGGTTCACGCCATTCTCCTGCCTCAGCCTCCCGAGTAGCTGGGACTACAGGTGCCCGCCACCATGCCCGGCTAATTTTTGGTATTTTTAGTAGAGATGGGGGTTTTACCATGTTAGCCAGGATGGTCTTGATCTCCTGACCTCGTGATCCACCCGCCTCAGCCTCCCAAAGTGCTGGGATTACAGGCGTGAGCCACTGCGCCTGGCCCTGCAGTTTCCTCTTTATTGCCAGTTGGTGATACCCATCGAGAGGGCTGCTTTAAAGAATGAGGAGTAATTAAGACATAAAACCTTCAGGATTTTGGCAGTGTGCCATGCTGCAGTGCTGTTAGCTGAGTTTAGAATCGCCTTCTCCATCTTTACGACAGCCATGGGAGATACAGATACCATTATCTCTGCATCACAGATGAGGAAACTGAGGCACAGAGAAGTTAAGATTGCCAGGCTGGTGAGTGACGGAGGACTTGGAATGATCCTCTAAGATTTCATCCAGGTCTTAAAAAAAGTCGTGGCATATTCTCCATGAAAAAACATGGTGAAGAAAATCTCAGCTGTATAATCCTACCTTACTACAAAGTTTATATTTATGAATGAGACTAGGAATACCAGCCAGCCAAGTTTGTGGCTGTTGTGTGTTTCCAGTCTGTAGAGGTTTCCTGCTAGACATGCAAGAGGTGGGAGTTCCCAATTCCCAAGGTATCCCGATTAAGGACATGAAGGGTGAACCACAAAATAGGAATGCAGTAGACATCAGGGGCAAGGTTATGGTGCCAGGGAGACATATTGCTCGCCTGGAAGGATTTTACTACCAAGTAGAGATGCTCCTTGGCTTATGATGGGGTTATGTCCCAATAAGACCATCTGAAGGTGAAAATATCCTAAGACGAAACTACATTTAATATACCTAGCCTAGCAACATCCTCGCTTAGCCCAGCCTATCTGAAACATGCTCAGAACCCTTACATGAGCCTGCCGTTGGGCAGAGTCATCCGGTAGCACAGTACACTCGAGAGGATGGGTTGTGTCCTAGTCCATTTGTGTTGCTATAAAGGAATACCTGAGAGGAAAGAGGTTTATTTGACTCACAGTTCAGCAGGCTGTACAAAAAGCATGGCACTAGCATCTGCTTCTGACGAGGGCCTCAGGCTACATCCACTCGTGGTGGAAGAGGAAGGGGAACCCCTGTGTGGGGGTCACATGGCAAGAGCAGAAGCAAGGTGGGGGAGGTGTCGGACTCTTTTCCATCTATCTATCTATCTATCTATCTATCTATCTATCTATCTATCTAATCTATCTATCTGTCTATCTATTTGAGACAGGGTCTCACTCTGTTGTCCAGGCTGGAGTGCAGTGACGTGACCATGGCTCACTGCAGCCTCGACCTCCCGGGCTCAAGTGATCCTCCTATCTTAACCTCCCAAGTAGCTGGGACTACAGGTGCTCACCACCATGCACAGCTAATTTTTTTTTAAAATTTTTTTATAGAAATGAGGCTTCGTCATGTTGCCCAGGCTGGTCTCAAACTCCTGGGCTCAAGCCATCCTCCCACTTCCACCTCCCAAAGTGCTGGGATTACAGGAGTGAGCCACTGCACAGGCCTAGCCTCTTTTTGACAACTAGCTCTCAGGGGAGCTCTTGCAAGAACTACTAATGCGAGCACTCACTCATTACTGTTAGGATGGCCATAAGTCATTAATGAGAGATCCCTCCCCATGACATAAACACCTCTCACTAGGCCCCACCTCCAACATTGGAGATCAAATTTCAACATGAGTTTTGGAGGGGGTCAAATATCCAACCTATACAGGAGTTTGTTTAGTCACTTTGGGAGGCAGAGGCAGGAGGATCACTTGAGCCCAAGAGTTTTAAGACCAGCTTGGGCAACACAGGGAGACCTTGTCTCTATAAATAATTTTTTTTTCAATTAGTTGGGTATGGTGGTGCATGCTTGTAGTCCCAGCTACTCAGGAGGATTGCTTGAGTCCAGGAGGTCAAGGCTGCAGTGAGCCATGATCGCGCCACTGCACTTCAGCCTGAGTGACTGAGTGGGACCCTGTCTCCAAAAAAGAAAAAGAGCCTCGCTGCCTGGCATTACACGAGAGTGTCATCCCATATATCACTAGATTCAGAAAAGACCAAAATTCAAAGCACGGTTTCTATTGAACACTTACTGCTTTGGCACCATTGTAAGGTCAAAACATTGTAAGTTGAACCACAGTAAGTTGGGGGCTATCTGTAGCCCATTAGTGCTGTGGGGAGGGTGGCAGTGGACTATCTCCTCTGGGGCCTTGAAGGCATGGTAAATGCTAGCCTTCTCTACAGGGTCCAGGGGCCTCTCTCAGCTGCCACAGTCTCCAAGTCTGTGGGGATACAGCTGGCACCCAAGGAACCGGGGTCTTGGGAGATAAAACTTGAGTAGAGAGGGATATTTGAGGTGACCTCTCTCTCTTCCACTTTCCCTGGCTGTTGATCAAGAAGAACCAAGTATTGATCTGTGTTTGACATTGGCTGCAATTTTCTACCTGCTTTAGGCTGTCTTCTCAACCCAATTCAAAGAAGTAAGATATAAAGGTAGGCTTTGAACAAAAAACACTGTCAGACTTGGCCATTCTTCTCCAAGGGTCCTGATCAGAAACTATCAGGATTGAAACACCAATGTCTAATTCTCCTCAGAACACAACATTCCTCCCTTTACTGCTTGGATAGGACAGGGCCTCCAGGGTCATCTGGGATGCTCTTCTTTCTAAAATGCAGAAGGAAGAATGAATGACAGAATGAGAGCAAGAGGTGGCCTGGGGCTTTACTTTTGGCAAGATGAGTTTAGTCAAGAGAGCTCCAGCAAGTTGGAGTGGAGAAGAGGGGAGAAGGCCCATCTCTTCTGATACGCAGTGTATTTGGTGTAGTGGACTTATGCTGTTTGTGGATTTGCATTAAATGTACTCAATTATGTTCCCAGCCAGAGAAAGATAGGATGTAAATGCAGCTGTGATACCTGCCCTCCAGTCCAGCCCACATGATCTGCTTCTCCTGGGTGTCTCAGTGCCTTCATCTGTCCATGTGTCTGAGGATCCCTCCACACTGGGAGGGATTGAGGCCCCTAATCACATACTAGCATGTCAGCTTGGGTTTTCAGAACCAGCCAAGTATTTCATGGGTTGGGAAAACTGACTTTAATGGACTTAACTGAGAACTGAGAGTGATGTTGCTGGTTCGGACAAGCCTAGTGTGTCCTAAATACCATAGTGCATGGGCAATTAGAGGAATTCTCCACGGTAAATTGAACTATAGTTGAACACATCTTAGTATTGACTTTAGAAACTAAGAGCAACCATGACTCCTTTGTACAAATTAACCCTATCTCTCCTCAGACTCCCCTGGCAAGCTCATCTATACTAAAAGAAACTTCCCCTCCCTCCGCACTCCCACCCCCCTTCCTTCTCTCTCTCCCTATCCTCCTGGTGTGTTCTCTCTCTCTCCCTCTCCCTCTCCCTCCCTCCTGCCCCCCCCCCCGCCCCCGCAAATTCTAGCTCTAAGTGATTTAGATGCTTATGTAGCCTAAGAGGGAAGTATTAAACAGCTGAATTACTTAACCTCTCTTAAAAGTTTGTTTCCTCATTCTTATTAAAACGATAATCATTGCCAAATAGGGCTGTTGTGAGCTGAAGAAGATAGTTCATGTGGAGCTCCCAGGAATGTCTGGCAGCTGGAAAGTGCTCTCATGTGGGAGCCATTGACCCCACTCTTCACTCTTTCCACTGGAGGACTGGAAGCCCAGGAAGGTGCCGGTCGCTAACCACCTCTGGTCCTCTACCCTCCTAAGGCTCAGAGCATTCTTGACGAGCTCAGAGCAACCCTAGAGTGAGGCCTGGGGTGAGCTGGAGTGGAGCCAAGAATATGCATCTCTAGGGAGCCAAGTGCCAAAGTATTGGATGGGAGACTGAGAGGTGCCTTGTGAAGATGTGATCTTAAGAGAGCTGTAGTGCTGGGTCTCAGGGCCTCTGCCAGTCTGTATAGGGCCTCTGTATACAACTCTACGGCAGTCCTGGGAGCTTCTGTATTTTGGGGGTAGTCTTGAGGACTTGATGAAAACTGTGGCCCTGTTCCCTAGAAAAATGAACAAAATTCTGCATTGCTTTGAGAGGAATAAGGCCTTTCCCACTTTGGGTTGTAGGTTGGAGAACCCTTTCTCTGGAAGTGCGTGGGCAGTAAGTGTTACAGAGTCCCACTCTTGGCAGATGTCTTTCCTAAGGTTGCTGACAGCAGCTGTACAGCCTGATTTCTCTATTTTCATGAGAACCATTGAGCTTGTCTCTGTAGCTCTCAGGATAAAGGCAGAACTCTTCCTAGAAGTTTAAAAGACAAGGTCTGACCCCTGCTGACTTGGTCATCCTCCACACCTATATATATCATCTCTCTTCTGCATGTGGGCCCTCTTCCCAGCCTCTTCACACTTACCAGGCTCCTTCCTACCCCAGGGCCTTTGCACATGCTCTTCCCCCTGCCCAGAACACTCTTCCTTCCCCTGTTCATTTTCTTAAGGAAACCTTCCCTTACCAGGTCAGTCTCTCCTGTTGGAGGCCTCCATTGTGCTGGCCACCTTGCCCTCCTACCTTTATCACTGTTACAATTTTGTGTTCATTTGGTGACTAATGACCACCTTTCTCTTCTGCTTTCTGAGGGCAGAAAGTGGGTCTGTCTTGTTCACTGCTGTATTCTCAGTGCCTTGCACACAGTAGAGCCCACAGTGAACGAGCAGCTCACCTCTGCAGAGGTGGGAGATGTGACATCTGTGCAGGAGGCTCTTTGGTTTCCCATCTTCATTTCTTCTGATCCCCAGTGCCCTCTTCACATGTTTGCATGCCTAACTCTCCCTCCTCTCTCCCTGGAGGTGTGTTGAGGCTCCTGGAACACGGGGAGGAGTACGTATTCACCCTGCCTAGTGCCTACGCCCGGTCCATTCTCACCATCCCGTGGGTGGAGCTCGGAGGAAAAGTCAGCATCAACTGTGCCAAGACTGGGTACTCAGCGACAGTGATATTCCACACGAAGCCTTTCTATGGAGGGAAAGTCCACAGGTAGGAGCTGGCCGGAGAGACTCTGGCTTTGTCTTAACAAGATGCCCTGAGTTTCCTTTCACCATTAGAAGACTGAGTTTCAGTAATGGGATGAGTTGAAAATCAAGATAAACTTGTTAAGGTCTTTTCCAAAAGAGATGCCTTTTCCCTACCTTACATGGCAGTTTTTTGGAGTCCTCCCCACCCTAAACTTAAGGTTAAATCTTCGGTGATGCATTTGCAGAGCACACGCCAGAAAATAAAAGCACTTCTGTTTGTTGGAATAAACTCTCCCTTCTGAAGCCACAGTTTGTTGCTTTGCTCTAAAGTGATTGAATCTATGAACCCAGACATAGCCAGACAGTTCCCCATTTCACATTAGCTGGCTACACTATCCTCAATTCTGTGTCATGCATCCATGAGGTCAAGATCATTTCCTTCTTTTGAAAAACTGGGGAAGCCCAAGCCTAAGTAATTGAAGGAGAGGTCTGCTCTTTGAGGAAGCACAAAATTGTTTTTATTGCTGCAGCTATAAAAAATATTCCTCTTTTAGCACAGCTCTACTGTGTAAGCAAGATATACTGTACAAACAAACTTCCATCTTTGCCCTTTTTCTTGGAAAGCATTATTCTGCATGGCATTAGTGTGAGTGTATCAGAGTGTCACAGGGGCACGTGGACACCCTTGGGGACACCTGGAGCCAGCACACACCAGCTCGTAAGAACTGATTTGTGTGTACTTCACGTTCAGTGCTATCATGTTGGTAGTTGAAATCAGCCATGATGGGCACCACAGAAATTGGCAAATGGTACAGATCAGGTGTCTTCCCTTTTAGAGATCCAGTTGTTAAATATTTACCAGAATGCCACTAATATCTTTCCACTGTGTGCAATCCAGAAGATGCCTCATACCTGCCTGTGAGCCTCTGCATTGCTACCTAAGAACTGTGACTGTTTTTAGGCTCAAGGAGAAAGCCTCCCAGTCTGTTTGAAAACTCTAAATTCAGCCTGAGCTGGGCCTTAAGGAAAAGGGGAGTTTAGATCCTACACATGGCTGCTTTGGGGCAGGCATCCCCGTTCCTGTGGTGTTCCTTCAACTGTGCAGAAAGCTCAGTGGTGGAGAGGGAGCTGGGAGTCTGCTTTCACTTGGAATTCCCACAGGTGAGGCAGGTGAAAGAGAGGTCGCAAATCTCCACAAAGGCCCTTTAAATGAGAGGTTGAAGTCATTCCTCAGAGCCACTACTGTGAGTAGGAAGCTATTGATTGAGACTGAGACTCTAGGTTTTGCTCAGCCTTCATTCAGGGGATGTGTGGATGCTGGAGTGGATGTTTCCCTCCTTTTCCAACATAAGCTCTGTTGGGATTGTGGGCAACCATGTTTGACCCCATACAAAATAGACCTGATTTAAGGATTGAAAAGCTCACCCTACACTCTTACACACTTTTTAGGGTTAAAATGTAGCATTATTAGATACTATTTTGGAGAAGACAGAGTATATGCTATTTTGTTTTCCTTTTTTTTTAATTAATTTTTTGCATAAGTTATTGGGGTACAGGTGGTATTTGCTTACATGAGTAAGTTCTTTAGTCGTGATTTGTGAGATTTTGGTGCACCCATCACCCGAGCTATAGGTACTGCCCCATATTTGTAGTGTTTTAATTCTCGTCCCCTTCCCACTTATTTTTTCTTGAATTGCCTGATTTTCATCCCAGTGATATCTGTTTATCACAATTGAGAAATTAACATTGCTGTATTACTATGAACTAATCTATAGACTTTATTCAGATTTCACTATTATTTCCAGTGATGCTTTCTTTTGCTGTTCAAGGATATTAGATCATCTTTTAAGAGCTAGTCTTTGAGCAAAGCTGCAAAAACAATCCCTCCTTCCCATTTCTGATTAAAAAAAAAAATCTCTAGAGATGGGTGTACCTTTGAAGTCTCTGTTTTTATCATTTTGAAAAGTGTGTACTCATTTGACTCATTAATTCAGGGTTACCGCAGAAGTGAAGCACAACCCAACCAACACCATTGTTTGTAAAGCCCATGGGGAATGGAATGGTACTTTAGAGTTCACCTACAACAATGGAGAAACCAAAGTCATCGACACAACCACACTGCCAGTGTATCCCAAGAAGATCAGACCTCTTGAGAAGCAGGGACCCATGGAGTCCAGGTGAGAACCGGGCTGTGTCTTCCTCTCCAGCTTAGTCATGCTGGGCACCTGACTCAAGGGACAGAGAAGAAAGAAGACTTTGAAACTTAGCGACTGGAAACAGGCCAGGAATCATGTTCTACTGGCTTCTTTAGATATTTTAATTTTCTACTGTGTGTCACTTAGGAGCAGAACCTTTCAGCTTTCAGTTACGTCATTCTGTAGTCATGGGGTGGGGTGTGAGGACAGACTTCACTGCTTGTCTTACAAAAGTTTGTCAACTCATCTGATCTGTTGCTTAATTGCAAAGGTAAATACCGAGAGTTGATAGTAATCAAAGAACTGCACAGTGAGTCAATAAGATACTATTTTTTTCTTGCCAGATTAGCAATATTATTAAAAAAATTAAATGCTGGGAAAGGTGTAGTAAAATTGACACTCTATACCCTGTCCTTCTAGTAGGAGTGTGTGCAGTTTAGCTGCATGGATCAGTAGCTTTCAATTCATGAATCCATTTTAATCTTGCATTCTACTTCTAAGAATCTGTTCTCAGGGCAAACTCTTAAATTCAGAAAAAATTTAAACAACATAAAATGGTTTATTCTTTTTTTAAAGAAAACTAAGCAACAAAAGAAAGAAATCACCTGTCTAATATTTGGAAAATGGTTAAGTAAATTACGAAGTATCCATTCAGTTTGTATATCTATGCTGTGACTATGGTATGAATATAATGCAGCCACTTAATGTGATGTTTATGCAGGCACAGAAGCAGAATCTCCTTGGAATATGCCAGTTTTATTTTTTAATGTAGGACATCAGCAAACTATGGCCTGTGGGCCAAATCCAACCTGAGGCTGATTTTGTAAATAAAGTTTTATTGGAACACAGCCATGATCATTCATTTACATATGGCTTATGGCTGCCTTCCTGCTACAATGGCTGAGTTAGGTAGTTGCAACCAAGACCATATGGCCTGCAAAGCCTAAAATGTTTACTTTCTGGCCCTTTACAGAAAATTTTTGCCAACTGCTGCTCTAATCTAAGAGCATACACTCTTTAGAAATACGATGCAGGGTTAAAATGAAATTACAAATGATTTTATGAAAGCTTTACTATTACTACAAGAGTTTGTAACCAAATAGAAACAGTTCTTGTAAGTGGAAACAAAGCAGGGATACCACAGTATGTATAAATAATACATTATATTAATAACTGGGTTTAATGGAAACAGAGCTTCAGTATCCCTGGAACCTTTGCTTTGCTGTAGAATTAGTACACTCTTGCTTGTTAATCAGTTTATTTGAGGACAGTGAGCATAACCTTTCTCTGTGTCTAACTGGAGAGCTTGGACTCTTACCAGTTGTCTTTTTCAGTCCATCCTGTTGGGCAGCAGTAGCAGGACAAGGGAAAGGCTGCGATAAGGAAGGAAACCCATCCCCTTGCCCACACTGCCTCTGATGAAGCATTCCCAGAATGGGGAAACCTGTGGTTCATATCATGACATGACTGTTGTTTCTGATCCAGCTATTGAGAACAAAACTGTGATCACCTGCTACTTTTCTTCCAAGGATATCAGAGTAGTTTAGCTACTCCTTATTAAGACTCTTTGTTGCTTGTTAGCCTATGGGAATGCAGAATTCAGCTTAGAGCAGGGATGGAGTCTGGTGCCAGAGTAAGAGAGAAGGTGCTACCTCTTTTTGTCTGTTTATGTGGATTTTACTGAAATAGGGAACAAGCTACAGTAGCCCCCTTTATCTGTGATTTTGCTTTCTTTAGTTTCTGTTACCTGCAGTCAGCCACCACCTGAAAATATTACAGTATTTTCAGAGAGAGAATACATTCACATAACTTTTATTATGGTATATTGTTATAATTGTTCTATTTTATTAATCTCTTACTATGCCTAATTATAAATTAAATGACATCGTAGGTATGTAATGTATAGGAAGAAACATAGTATATATAGGTTTGGTACTATCTGTGGCTTTGGGCATCTGCTGGGGGGTCTCCAAATGTATCCTCCATAGGTAAAGGGGGACTGCTGTATAGGGATACTGAGCCCACCCATCCTTGTTCTCTGCAGAGGAAACGGCCTTGAGGAGTGGAGTGGCTGGTTCCAGTCTCCGTGGCTGCTCAGAGCACCTGTGTTCACTCTCCCAGCCGGGTGTGCTAGGCCTTCCCTGCAGAGGCAAAGGAGGGACCATCAGCATGGCTAGGTGGACCAGCAGTTAGAACAGTTGTCTTAGCTCTCACAGTGGTGCCAGCCCTTGGTGAGGCCTCCAGTCCCCAACTAGAATTCCTGGAAGGGAACTCCAGTCCCATTAGTGGTAGAATGAAGATAATTCTGTGGTCTTCGGTCTTCCCATACCTGTAAGTCTGCTCACAAGGCCCAGAGCTTGGTCTGAGCAGAAACTCTGCCTTGGCCAGAGCCCTCAGGGGCCCAATGACTTAAGGCAGAGCCAGCACCCAGGGATGCCAGTCCTGCCCTGCCTCAGCCACTTGCTCGACCTCTGCCATGGTGCCCTCCCCTCCTCAGAGCAAGCTTACCTCAGCTTCCTTTGGCTTTTCTTACTGAATTGCTGCCATCTCTCCCCACCCTGGAGACTCCTTTTTCTTTTAGCATGGTGTTCAGAGCCTCCTCCACTCCATTCTCCTCCCTGCTCTCAAGTGACTCTCCTGGTTGGGTCCCTATTCATGTTGGGCAGAGATCTTTGTCTGTGGTTCTGGTCCCATCACCCTGTCTCTGGTTTTGGGCGCTCTGCCCTCTACTCTTGGGGCCACTGTCTTAAGATGGGACTTACCATGGGAGGTTCTGCCCTTCAGAGGACCCCCTGACCCCAGCTGTCCTGGTGCCCAGCCCCACCCTCAGCGTAAGGTGTGTGTTGAGGCTGTGTGATGAGAATTACTGTGATTTTACCCAACACCCACCCCTCATTTTCTTCCCTCACCCAGCCTTACTGTTTGGGCGAGTCTTTCCTCTTAAATCAGTTATGAGGGTACAGTGGAAAGAGGAGGGACTGAGAGACCAATCAGATCTGGCTTATCTCTCAGTGCCAGCAGTTTTCTTGTGTGTGTGCAGCTGGGGTTTCTTCTGTTGGCATCTGTACCCCCAGGAGGTGCTGCTGGCTGTCCCTAGTTCACTGGCAGCCCCATCTGTCTGTCCTCTGCCTGACCATGCCAGCACTCAAGCCTTCCTGCTGCTCTGAGCCCTTGCTGGGGAAAGGGTTAAGGACACCCGCTGTAGATATGCTCCCCGGCCCAGGACCTAAAGATGGGCATTCACTTGCCCCTGGGTGAAGGGGCCTCATTTTCTAGAAGCCAGGGAGGGAATCTCCACCACCTGGCATTCGGACAGTTCCTTGTCTGTGAAATCCGACCTTCTGATGCATTTAAGTGAGGAAGTGCTTGGGTGGTGGTGTCCTGATTTATCATGGGTCCTTTCCTTTCTCTCTAGAACAGAGTGTGTCTGAATACAGGCTGGTCCCAAGGACATCCTGAGGAGGAAAGCTGTGTGTTAAACATAAGCCAAATACAAACTAGTGTTAAACACTAGCTTCTTTCCTTTTCTCTTGTCCCACTGTCAAAGTGCTTTTTTTTTCCAAGTAGTCAGCCTTGATTGACGTAAACCAACCAAGCTCCCCTTTTATTTTGCTCATTTCATGGGGTTTCCTCCTGCCATGCCAGGGTAGGAAGGTCAAGGTCATCTGAGTGTCCAAAGAGCAGCTGGGCTGAAGAGGGGTAGTGAGCTGAACAGCCTGGCCTCACTACCTTTAGGCTGCGTTCTACAATGAATTCATGAAGCAGAGAAATGGCTTTGTGTAGACATGGGGGGAGATGAGAGATCCCGCACTATAAGCATGCACACACAAATACCCACACATCACACATGCATCAGCCTCTAACCCCTAATTCCAGGTTCCCTTGTGGGAAAGCAGGTCTTGTTCTGATTTACCAGTGTGGTGTCCTTGGGCAAGTCACCTAACCTTATGTGGACCTTAAATTTTCTCCTCTGTAAAATGGAGATAAGAATCTACCGTCTATAATATATCATTGGGTTGCTGTGAGGATTAAAGAGGTTTATGTATGTAAAATGCTTAGAAATATGGCAAATGCCATATGTGCCTGCTACCGTTGTTTGTAGTAGTAGCAGAATGCCAACTACTACTATTAGATTTGATTCCCAGAATCTCCGGGCCCTGAGAAAGGCATGCTGCCTGGTACAAGCGGAGAGTAGAAACAACACAGAGGTGGAGCTGGGTAGCCCTGGGTTCAAATCTAGGCTCTCGGGGTCTTTGAGGTATCTGGGATGAGCTACCCCAGAGGGGGCTTGCCTGGCGGCCCCTCGCTGCTCTGGCTGCTCCTGGCAGAGTTCCGTTAGCTTGCAGCCAGCTGGCCTGGCTGATTGTTTCCTCTCCTCCACGCATCCCCAGGAACCTCTGGCGGGAGGTGACCCGATACCTGCGGCTGGGGGACATTGACGCAGCCACCGAGCAGAAGCGGCACCTGGAGGAGAAGCAACGGGTGGAGGAACGGAAGCGCGAGAACCTCCGCACACCATGGAAGCCCAAATATTTTATCCAGGAGGTAACTCTGCCGCCTGTCATTGGTCCCTTGCCCAGGAGAGAACTTGTCCTGAGAGGGTAGATGGGTTTTTCTTGCTGAGCCCCCAAGACTGGATAAATACCAGGCAGGGGAAGGGATGGACTAGGGCAGCTCGGTTCTGACTCCAGCTTTGGACAAGGCTTCAGGACAGGTTTTCTGCCACAATATTCATGAAACCTTCTGGAGGGCAGAACTGAGCAACTGACACTTCCCCTCCAGTATCCCTATGTCAGAAAAGCATGTCAGCCTGCCTGTGAGGGATCGCGATGGGACTGCAGACTGGATACTGTTCTATTTTTAAAAAGAAAATCATCATGGCACCTGTTAGATCATCTTTAGTAACAAATTAGTTGAGGAGTGCCTCACAGGCCATCTCAACACCTGGGTGGGCTGGAGCCCTCACTGATGAAGAATTGCCTTTCAGAGCTTTGCCTCCTGTGGGCCACAAGGGCTAGTCATGCAGGGGAAGGCCAGCCTGAGTCCTGTGCCTAAAATGCTGTTGCTGTCACCTGCAAATGTGACACTAGAAGCTAGAAATAATATCTGGGCAAGTGGGCAGGGCACTGTGTGCCCAGCTGAAGCCCTTATGCTCTTGAAGTTGTGGAGGGATTGGGAAGCACTCTGAGAACAGAATTGGAAATTATGAAAATGTAGGAGCCACACGTCTTAAAGCAGGCCCACAGGAACCCAGCAACATCAATGAAGAGCAGGCCGGTGAGGGCTGGGGCAGATGCCACTCATCTTCCAGTGATAAAACAGATTGTCTAGTTGTTCATGAGGAGCCAGAAATCTAAATTTTTATGAGAAATCTCATATTTGCATGGTCAAAGATTTAAAAAAATTTAAATACCAGTAGGCAATCAAAATGTATCTGTGGGCTTTCCTTAGCCCAGGTGCTGGTAACCCCTGACTTCTGCTACAAAGAGGGATTATTCTGTCTATATACGAGGCTGAGAAGTGAGTTAGGGCAACATAGTAGGTAACTGGGGTGGATTCATGGTTAAGAGCAGGAAGAGCAGGAAGCCACCACTGTTCTCCCCAGAGTCAGGCTGTGGACTGAAGGAGATTTCAAGGTTGGATTCTGGTTCAGACAGGAAAGCTGCCTGGAGAAGACTTTGCCTTTATGGGTCACTGAGTGGGGACCCTGTGTGGGAGCCCTGCCCAGGTGAGGTAAAACCTTGAAAGATCCTTCTGTGAGGTTAGCTCCCTTTTCTCTTGAGGGAGCTAGTAGCTTGAGAGAGCTAGTTTGTCTGGCTTCTGTGGAAGGCTGTGCATTAAACAGCAACAACAACAAGAAAAAACATTTACAGTTCTTCCTGAGTTTAAGAAAAGCCAGTATGCCCATAACAGAAGGGCTGGGAACATGTAAGGAATAAGAGTCATCTGAACACCAGCACAGTTATTCAGTATAGTGCCTTCTAGTCATAACTAGATGGTATTAATACCATTTTAATTCTTGCCTTTTTCTCACTTGATATTTGATTGATGGTGTTTCTTGTGTGTGCTGATTTGTTTGTGACTACTGCCTGCTGGAGAGAGCCTTTGTTGGGTGTTCCCCTGTGGGCTGGAAGTCACTGGTATGCACACCCTTGCCTTTTCTTTCCCCTGGCCATTCATCTAGCTACTCTCCTTTTCTCTTGTCCCACTGTCAAAGTGCTTCTTTTTTTTGGCCAAGTAATCAGTCTCGATGGAAGCCAACCAAGCTCCCCTTTTATTTTGCTCATTTCTTGGGGTTTCCTCCTGCCATGCCAGGGTAGGAAGGTCAAGGTCATCTAGATCTCCAAAGAGCAGCTGGGCTGAGGAGGGGTACTGAGGCCAGCAGCCTGGCCTGCGTGTGAGGTATTAAGACACGGCAGACACACAGAGTGGCTGCGGTTATCCTTGCTTCCCCTTTTCCCTGTTGAGAGGTCTCCATGTAATAATGCCTCCTTTCTTCTCTTGCAGGGCGATGGCTGGGTATACTTCAATCCCCTCTGGAAAGCACACTGATGGGGTGGAGGTGCAGAGCTTTCCAGTATAGCCCTGTTTTTGTAGGAATATTAAAGTAGTAGAGTATCAGGGTTTTGTTGGCATTCACTGAGACCTTGTATTAGCATCCAAGAAATGATGAGAGAGAGAGAAATTATATACTATGAAAAGTGCACCCCCACACTCTGCTAGAGGAATGAATTTATTCAAGAGCCATTCGGGGCACGTGTGTGTACACACCGTATACGTTCACACACATGCACTATGTAAACATCTGAGTATGATTACACATTTAAATACTGCACTCACCAAGGTTAAAGTGGGTAATCATAAGCTCCTTTTTATCAATGAAGTTTGAAGTTTTTCTATTTTTCACTTTGCCAAAAATGTTTTACACTCACAAAGATATTCTCACTTAGTCAACTCCTGTCAAAATGAAGGTGAACTGGCATGGCCCGATCACTGTCCATAAGGGAGAAAGTGGCTCATTCCTGGTAGAAGTATGGGTGGTTATCATTTCAAAATTATTGTGATTCTCACCTCCCTCCCCACCTCAGTGTTTTGTCTGTCCGCGCCCAAGAAAGATAAGCAAGTATTTCCTGCTGGATGGGGGTTGGCAGGAAGCTGTTAAAGATTTATGCCAGAGCCTTGCAGGATGGAGCACCTCTGGGACAACTAAGAGCCAAGGCCCACCAAGGAGTTTTCCACCCGTCTCTCATGGTCACAGCGCTAGTCATTCATTTTTGAGAAGTTGCTTCTTTTACATCAGAAAACCAGTCAATCATATGGAGACTTCTTTTGTGATGAAAAAGGGCTTTAGAAGTTAAATACATGCATGCACATGAAAACATGCACAACCACAGCCTCAATCTTGTATTTAGTTTGGGGAAAGAGAAGAGAATTTCCTGTGGATTATTTTTTCCTCAAGTGCACCTCTCTGGTTAACCCAAACTCTGCAAGAAAGCACTGTGACTAAAACATACATAACGCCTGCATAAATATTCCATGGTTTCAGTTAAATTTCAGTTTTTAGCCTTTACACATGAGGTCAAAGGAGTGACGAAAATACAAAGCAAGGAAAAAATGAAATATCTGGTTTTTGCTGAATGCTTAATTTATTTTTTACTGTGCCACTCCAATATTTATCAAATCCAAATAGCATGAATGCTTCTCTGTAGTAATACTAATTTTGTGCCTTTTGTCTGCTTTCTTAAGACCAGTTGTTCACACTTTGTAGATATTAGACAAATATATTTCGATTGAATACATATCTGTGTCTGTGTTTTATTTTCAGGGATTCAACAGTTCTATTAAATTGGTGGCTCTAAGTGAGCTCAACTTTTCCTGGTTAAATATTTCTAGTTATTGATATGAAGAGCAATCATATCTATATGGAAAAAGTATTTAACACATTTAAAAATGTACCAGATAAACATTTATGAATATTTTCTGGTAAGTCCATAAGAACATTTAACTCCTACCCAGTGAGTGTTGTTTCACGAGAAGAGTCACTGCCAGAAGTCACAATAGAAGCCTACTTAGGTCCACAGTCTTTAAAGCATCTGGGTGAATCAAGTATCTGGAACCATCTTATTTCTGACAGAGAAAGTGGAACAAATGCTATTTTGAGAAAAAGAAGAAAACTCAACTCAATGAGACTGAAAAGTAATCACTGTGTTGTTGGATTTTCCAGTCTGACTACAAAGCATAAACCATCTGGGAAGTAAAACATGGAGAGGGCTCACTTTTCTTTTGAGGCCAGGGGTACATTTAAAATTGTGAAATGTTATGTGTCAGGAGATTTACATAAAACATATGTACTCCAGGAATAATTATAAATACCCTTGTAGCCACTGCTTAAGCAAAGAAACCTGTTTACCAGTACCTTAAAAGCCACTATTGTGCCCCTATACAATTGTATCCCTCTCCATGCCTTCCTGGAATAACCATCCCCTTATGGGTTTTTTGTTGTTCTTTTAGACTATACACACTATGTGTGTATTTCTAAACAGTGTGATTGGTTTTACCCATTTTTGTAAAAATTGAATCATACCCTAGTTTGCCTATTTGAGCCAATATTTTCTTTCTAGTTCAATCCTTGTTGCTCTATTTGTTCATTTTCTTGCTGAGTTCATATTATGTTTTATTGTGGTAAAATATATGTAACAAAATCTACCATTTTAACTATTTTTTTTTTCCCAGATGGAGTCTCACTCTGTCACCCAGGCTGGAGTGCAATGGCGCGCAATCTCTGCTCACTGCAACCTCTGCCTTCCGGGTTCAAGCGATTCTCCTGCTTCAGCCTCCCGAGTAGCTGGGATTACAGGCGTGTGCCACCATGCCCAGCTAATTTTTGTATTTTTAGTAGAGATGGGGTTTCACCATGTTGGCCAGGCTGGTCTCAAACTCCTGACCTCAGGTGATTCACCCACCTGAGCCTCCCAAAGTGCTGGGATTACAGGTGTGAGCCACTGTGCCCAGCCTGGCATTTTAAAAATATACTGAGAAGTGGAATTGCTATATCATATGAAAATTCTGGTTTAAGTTTTAAGGAATTGCCACACAGTTTCTCACAAGAGCTGGCTGCCACATTTTGCAATGCCACTAGCAATGCACAAGGGATCCAATTTCTCCACATCCTCACCAATACCTATTATTTTGTTTTTACTTTTGTTGTTTCTTTAACCCCATCCTAATGGCTATGAAGTGCCATCTCAATGTGGTTTTGATTTATATTTCCCTAATGATTAGTGATGTTGAGCATGTGTTTTTGTGGTTTTGGCCATTTGTAAATCTTTGGAGAAATGTTTATTCAAATCCTTTTGCCCATTTTAAAATTAGGTTCTTTTTGTTGAGTTTTAGGAGTCCTTTATGGGTATTAATCCTTTCTGGATATTAATCCTTTATCAGATATGATGTGCAAATATTTTCTTCTGACTCTTTGGTTGCCTCTTCACTGTTAATGGTGTCCTCTGATGTACAAAAGTATTTAATTTTGATAATGTCTAATTTATTTTTCTTTGTACTTGTGCTTTTGATGTCATATCCAAGAAATCATTGACAAATACAATGCTGTGAAGTTTTTGTCCTATGATTTCTTCTAAGAGTTTTATAGTTTTAGGTCTTACTGGGGGGTAGGGGGTACTTTGATCCATTTTGAGTTGGTTTTTATATATGGTGTTAGATAAGGGTCCAACTTCATTCTTTTGCATGTGGATATCCAGTTTCCCCAACACCATTTGTTGAAAAGACTCTGCATTCCCCATTGAGTGATCTTGGTACCTTGTTGAAAATCACTGGCTATATACACGAATGTTTATTTATGGCCTATTCTTTTCCAATGGTCGATGTCAGTCTTTATGCCAGTACCACACTCTTTTAGTTACTGTAGCTTTGTAGCAAGTTACAAGATTAGGAAGTATGAGACCTCCAACTTTTTTATTCTTTTTTCAATATTGTTTCGTCTGTACAGGGTCATTTAAGATTCCATGTGAATTTTAGGATGAAATTTTCTATTTTTGCAAAAAACTCTGGGATTTTGATAGGGATTGCATTGAATCTGTAGATCCCTTTGAGTAGCATTGTCTTAACAGTAAGTCTTCCAATCTGTTAACCAGAATATCTTTCCATTTATTTATCTGTCTTAATTTCTTTCAGCATGTTTTGTAGTTTTCACTGGGCAAGTCTTCCTCAGTTAAGTTTAATTCTTAAGTATTTTACTCTTTTTGGTACTACTGTAAGTAGATCTTTCTCAGTTTCCTTTTTGGATTGTTCAATGTTGGCATATAAAAGTGTAAGTGCCAGGCACAGTGTCACATGCCTATAGTTCCAGCTACTCAGGAGGCTGAGACAGGAGGATTGCTTGGGCCCAGGAGTTTGAGATTTCAGCATGCTATGATTGCTCCTGTGAATAGCCACTGCACTCCAGCCTGGGCAACATAACAAGACCTCATTTCGTAAAAAACACATAATACTGATTTTTGTGCATTGGTTTTGTATCCTTTGCTGAATTTGTTTATTCTAACAGTTTTTTGGGGGGTGTGTGGGATCTAGGATTTTCTAGATACAATCATGTCATTTGCTAACAGATTTTACTTCTTCCAAATTTGGATGTCTTTTATTTCTTGTTCTTGCCTAATTGCTGTACCTAGAACTTCAAATACTGTGTTGAAGGAAGGAGGCAAAAAAAAAAAAAAAAAAAAAAATCCTTGTTTGTTCTTGATCTTACTGGAAAAGGTTTCAGCCATTCACTATTATGAGATTGGTTGTGGGTTTTTCATATATGGACTTCATTATGTTGAGGTACTTTCCTTCTACTTCTATTTTGCTGAGTGTTTTTGTTATAAAAGGGTGTTGTATCTTGTCAGAATGCTTTTTCTGCATGAGTTGATCAAGTGGTTCCCCCCCTCTATTCTGTTAATGTGTGGTGCATTGCACTGACTTTCATATGTTGAACCACCTTGCATTCTAAGAGTAAACTCCATGTTCTCATGGTGAATAATCCTTTAAATATGCTGTTGAATTTGCTTTGCTAGTATTACACTGAAGATGTTTGAATCAATATTCATTCATAATGGTTGTTGATCTGTAGTTGTCTTGTGTCTTTTCTGGCTTTGGTACCGGAGCATGCTGGCCTCATAAGATGAATTAGATTTTCTGTTTCTCTATTATTCAATCCTGGTAGGTTGTGTGTTTCTAGGAGTTTGTCCCTTTCGTCTAGGTTATTCAATTTGTTGGCATACAATTGTTCATGGTATTCTTAGGATCCTTTTTATTTTTGTAGAACTGGTAGTAATGTCTTCACTTTCATCTCTAATTTTAGTTATTTTTTTTTCTTTGTCAATCTAGCTAAAGGTTTGTCAATTTTGTTGATCTTTTTGACAAATTAACTCTTGGTTTTGTTGATTTTTTTTTCTGTATGTTTCTGTTCTTTATTTCTGCTCTAATTTTTATTTCCTTCCTTCAGCTAGCCTTGGGTTTAGTTTTAGTTCTTTACGTTGTAAAATTAGGTTGTTGATGTGAGATCTTCTTAAATGTGTTTACAGCTATTAATATGTATTTCTTTTTCAGCAGTGCTTTCATGGCATCCTGTAAGTTTTGTCATATTGTGATTTTACTATCATTTGTCACAAGATATTCTATAGTTTGCCTTGTGATTTCTTATTTGACACATTGGTTGCTTAAAAGTGTGTTCATTTGGATTTCCCAGTTTTCCTTCTAATTGCATTGCATTGTGATTAAAGAAGATACTTTATCATTTCTGCCCTTTAAAATGTATTAAGAGTTGCTTTGTGGCCTAACATGATCTATTCTGGTGAATAATCCATGTACACTTGAGAAAAGTATACATTCTCTGGTTGTTGGGTGATCTGTACGTTAGGTCCATTTGGCCTATCACATTGTTCAAATCCTCTGTTTCCTTATTGATCCTGTCAGGTTGTTTTAACCATCATTAAAAGTGGCGTATGAAACTCTCTTACTGTTATTGTAGAACAGTATTTCTCCCTTCAAGTCTGTCAATGCTTGCTTTATATATATTGAAGCCCTGATATTTGATGCATGATGCTTATAATTGTTCTATCTTCTTGGTAAGTTAATCCTTTTATCAATATATAATGTCCTTTTCTCTTGAAACAGTGCTTGACTTATTTTGTCTAATACTAGCATAGCCACTTCTCTGTGATTACTGTTTTTTCCATCCTTTAACATTGAACGTATGCATCTCCTTCCATCTAAATATGAGTCTCTTGTAGACAGCACATAGTTGTAATCTTTTTAAAAAATCCATTCTGTAAATGTGTCTATCAATTGGAGTTCCATTCATTTACATTTCAAGAAATTACTGGGCGGGGTGCAATGGCTCACACTCGTAATCCCAGCATTTTGGGAGGCTGAGGCAGGCAGATCACTTGAGGCCAGGAGTTCAAGACCAGCCTGGCCAACATGGCGAAATGTCATCTCTACTAAAATACATAGATTAGCTGGGTGTGGTGGTGCATGCCTGTAATTCCAGCTACTTGGGAGGCTGAGGCAGAGAATTGCCTGAACCTGGGAGGCGAAAGGGTATAGTGAGCTGAGATTGCACCACTGCACTCCAGCCTGGGTGACAGAGCAAGACTCTATCTCAAAAAATAAAAAAAGAAATTACTGGTAGGGAAGGACCGACTTTGTAATTTCGTTGTTTTCTGTATGTGTCATGCCCCTCATTTCCTCCATTACTGCCTTTTGTGTTGAGCCATTTTTTTTCTCTTGTAATTAATTCTCATTTCCTTGATCTGTATTCTAGGACTGTTTTCTCTGTGGTTAACACAGAGATTACATTAGCAGCCTAAAGTTGCAATAGTCTGTTATATTTATACCAACCAATTTGTCCATGTATTTACTTTTACTATAGATCTCCATATTTTTGTATGGCTTACAGTTACTATCTGAAGCATTCCATTTTAAATTTTAGGATTCCCTTCAGAATTTCTTGAAGGGCAGGTCTAGTAGTAATGAACTCGCCCCCAGCTGCTGCTTTCTCTGAGAATGTCTTAATTTTGGGAGACATGTCTCCCGAAATAATTAAGACATTTGGGAGAATGTCTTAATTTCGGTCATTTTTGAAGGACCGTTTTGTCAGATATGGAACTCTTTGCTGAGACTTTTCTTTCAGCACTTTAAATATATCATGGCACAGCCTCCTGGCTACCCAGGTATCTGCTGAGAAATCTGATGATAATTTTATTAAGGATTGCTTATATGTGACAAGTCATATCTCTTGCTGCTTTCAAGATTCTCTCTTTGGCTTTAACAGTTTGATTATAATGTGTTAGTGCAGGTCCCTTTCAGTTTATCCTACTTGGAATTTAATGAAATTCTTGGATTTGTAGATTCATGTCTTTCTTCAAATTTGATGTTTTCTGCCCTTGTCTCCTCCATCATGCTGCCTGTCTTTGTTCCTCCTGGAACTCCTTTAATGCATATGTTGGTTTGCTTGATGGTGTCCCTTAGGTTCTGTTCACATTTCTTTATCCCTTTCTCTTTTTTGCTTCTCAGAATCAATTTCCAGTGACTAGGTTTATGATTCTGAGTCTGTTAAATGTCTCTTGTCAATTTTTCAATTGTGATTTTTTTCAGTGATGAAATCTGGTTTATTTTTCTTATTGACACAATGTTTTACATATTTATGGAGCACATACATAGAATATGTAATATGTGTAATACTCATGAGTATTACACATATTACACGTGTAATATGAGTATCTGTCAGGTTATTTTTCATTTCTATGTGTTGGGAATATTTCAAATCCTCGCTTCTAGTTATTTTGAAATATACAATATATTGTTGCTAACTATAATCATCCTACTCTAATAGTGAACATTAGGATGTATTCTATCTAAGTCTGTACCCATTCACCAGCCTCTTCATTTCCCAGTCACACACTCCCCACCTCTGGTATTCTATTCTCTATCTCCATGATATCAAGTTTTTAGGTCCTACACAACTGAGAACATGTTGTATTTGTCTTTCTGTGCCCGTGTTATTTTACTTAACATAATGACCTCCAGTTCCATCCATGTTGTTGCAAATGACATGATTTCATTATTAATGGCCAAATAGTATTCCATTGTGTATATATACCACATTTTCTTTATCCATTCATGTATCGATGGACACTTAGGTTGATTCCATATCTTTGCTATTGTGAATAGTGCTGCAATATACATGTAAATGAGGGTATCCTTTTGGTAGACTGATTTCCTTCCTTTTGGATAGATATCCAGTAATGGGTTTGCTGGATAGTGTGGTAGTTCTAATTTTAGTTTTTTGAGAGATCTCCATACTGTTTTCCATAGTGACTATACTAATTTACATTCCCACCAAGAGTGGGTAAGAGTTGCCTCTTCTCTGCCTTCTTGCCAGCATCTGTCTTTTAATGATTAGCCATTCTGAGATAAGATATCTCACTGTGATTTTGGTTTGCATTTCCCTGATGACTGATGATGTTGAGCCTTTTTAATGTACTTATTGGCCATTTGTATGTCTTCTTTTGAGAACTATCTATTCAGTTCTTTGCCCACTTTTTAATGGTGTTTTCACAAATTGTTGTGTTCCTTATGTAGCCTGTTAGTCCTTTGTCAGAGGATGTTTGCAAATATATTCTCCTATTCAACAGGTTTGTGTCTTCACTGTTTCTTTTACAGTGCAGATTTCAGTTTAATAGAGTCCCATTTGTCTATTTTTTATGTTACTGGAAGGAATAACCAGGTATGTCCATTTGTTTTTGTTGTCTGTGCACTGGAGGTTTTAGACATAAAGTCTTCCCTAGACTAAGGCAAAAAAAATCTTTCACCCAAGCTAGAGTGCAGTGGTGTGATGACAGCTCACTGCAGCCTTGACCTCCCAGCCTCAAGTGCTCCTCCTACCTCTCAGTCTCCTCAGTAGCTGGGATGACAGGCATGCACCACCATGCTCAGCTGATTTCTATTTTTTGTAAAGACATGGTTTTGCCATGTTTCCCAGGCTGGTCTCAGACTCCTGGACTCAAGCAGTCAGCCCACCTTGGCCTCCCAAAGTGCTAGGATTTCAGCTGGTTGTAAATACATGGATTTATTCTGTGTTTTCTGTTCTGTTCCGTTGGTTTATGTGTCTATTTTCATGCCAATACCATGATGTTTTGGATACTATACCCTTGTAATATAATTTGAAGTTAGGTAGTGTGATGTCTCCACCTTTGTTCTTTTTGGTCAGGATTGCTTTGGCTATTCTAGCTCTTTATTGGTTCTATATGAATCTTAGGATTTTTTTTTTCTATTTCTGTAAAAAATGACTGGTATTTTGATAGGGATTGCATTTAATCTGTATATTGCTTTGGGAAGCATGCTCACTTTAACATTCTTCTTCTGATCCGTGAGCATGAAATGTCTTTCCATTTGTTTTGTCCTCCTCAACTTCATTCATCAGTGTTTTGTAGAGATTTTTCACCTCCTTTGTTAAATATATTCCTATGTATTTTATTATTTTTGTAGCTATTGTAAATGGAATTGCTTTCTTGATTTCCTTTTTGGCTATTTCATTATCAGTGTAGGCAAATGTCACTGACTTTTGTATGTTGCTTTTTTATCTTGCAACTTTACTCAATTTGCTTATCAGCTGTAATAGTTTTCTGGTTGATTCTTTTCATTTTCTAAATATAAGATTGTGTCATATGCCAAGTGGGACAGTTTGGCTTCCTCTTTTCCAATTTGGATGTCTTTTATTTTCTTCTCTTACCTGATTGCTCTGGCTAGTACATCCAGTACTATGTTGAATAGGAGTAGTGAAAATGGGTATCTTTGTCTTGTTCCATTTCTTAGAGGAAAGGCCTTTAACACTTTTCCATTAGTATGATGTTAGCTATGGGTTTTTCATATATGGCCTTTCTTATTTTGACATGTTCCTTCTATACCTAGTTTGTTGAGTCTTTAGTCATGAAGAGATCTTGAAATTTATCACATGCTTTTTCTGTGTCTATTGAGATGATCCTATGCTTTTGGTCCTTCATTCTGTTGATGTGATGTATCACTTTTATTGATTTGTGTATGTTGAACCATCCTTGCATCCCTGAGGTAAATCCCACTTGATTATGGTGTGTTATCTTTTTGATGTGTTCTTGAATTCACTTTGCTAGTATTTTGTTCAGTTTTGCATCTAGAGTCATCAGGGACACTGGCCTGTCAATTTTTTTGTTGTTGTTGCTGTTATGTCCTTATCTCTTTTTGAAATCAGGGTAATGCTGGCCTTATAGAATGAGTTAGGAAGAATCCCTGATGCTTTAATCTTCTGGAATAGTTTGAGAAAGACTGGTATTACTTTTGTTTTTGTTTTTTGAGATGGGGTTTCACTGTGTTGCCCACGCTAGTCTCAAACTCATGGGCTCAAGCAGTCCTCCTACCTCAATCTCCTGAGTAGTTGGGATTGCCTCCAGAGTAGCTGTGATTACAAGCATGCCAGCACATGCAGCTATGGTATTAGTTCTTTTTTATGTTTCGTAGAATTCGGCAGTGAATCCATCCAGTGCTGGGCATTGTCAGAAGACTTTATTACTGCTTCCATCTCATTACCTGTTATTGGTCTCTTCCGGTTTTTGATTTCATCCTGTTTCAATCTTGTTAGGTTGTATGTGTCCAGGAATTTATCCATTTCCTCTAGATTTTTCCAGTTTGTTAGCATATTGTTCATATAAGTGTCTGGGAAGTTTTGTATTTCTGTGGTATTAGTTGTAATATCTCTTTCGTCATTTCTAATTTTATTTGGGTCTTCTCTCTTACTCTAGCTAAGTTTATCAGTTTTGTTTTTTTTTTGAAGAACCAACTTCATTTCATTGATTCTTTGTTATTTTCTAACTTTCTACTTCATTTACTTCGCCTCTGATCTTTATTTCTGGTAATTTTTTTTTTCTGAGACTGACTCTTGGTCTGTCACCCAGGCTGGAGTGCAGTGGTGCGATCTCAGCTCACTGCAACCTCTGCCTCCTGGGTTCAAGCAGTTCTCCTGCCTCAGCCTCCTGACTAGCTGGGATTACAGGCAGCCGCCACCAGACCCGGCTAAATTTTGTATTTTTAGTAGAGACTGGGTTTCACCATCTTGGCCAGGCTGGTCTCAAACTCCTGACCTCGTGATCCACCTGCCTTGGCCTCCCGAAGTGCTGGGATTACAGGCGTGAGCCATCATTCCTGGCCTATTTCTGCTAATTTTCAATTAGGTTTGTTTTTGTTTTTCTAGTTCCTTGAAGTGCATCATTAGAGTTTTTAGTTGAAATCTTTTTTGCAGCAGGCATTTATTGCTATAAATTTCCCTTTTAGTACTGCTTTTCCTGTATCCCACAGGTTTGAAGATGTTGTATTTCCACTTTCATTTGTTTCAATAAATGTTTTTATTTCTTCTTCATTGACCTAATTAGGTTGTTCAGGATCATGTTATTTAATTTCTATATGTGTGTATAGTTTTCAAAATTCCTCTTAGCATTATGTTCTAGTATTGTCCCATTGTGGTCTGAAAAGATACTTTAAATTTGTTGAGGCTTATTTTTTTGGCCTAAAATATGGTCTATCTTGGAGAATGTTCTGTGTGCTAAAAAGAAGAATGTGTATTCTGCAAATGTTTGATAAAATGTTCTGTGTTAATGTTAGGCCCATTTGATCCAAAGGTCAGTTTAAATCCAATGTTTCTTTGTTGGCTGTTTTTTTTTGTCTAGATGATCTAATGCTTAAGAGTAGGGTGTTGAAGCACCCCACTATTATTGTATTGGAGTCTGTCTCTTTGCATGGAGTATGTTTTCCCTTCTCTTTGTTGTAATTCTATAGGTAAAGTGCATTTCTTGTAGTTAGCATACAGTTGGGTTATGTTTTTTTACCCATCAGGCAGTCTATATCTTTTAAATGCAATATTTAACTGATTTACATTTAAGGTTATTACTAGTATGTCAGGTTTTGTTTCTGTCATACTGTTGTTTTTAGGTTGTTTTGTATATTCTTTTTTTGTTTTTTTTTTGTTTTTGTTTTTGTTTTTAGAGACAGAGTCTTGCTCTGTCACCCAGGCTGGAGTGCAGTGGTGCGATCTCGGCTCACTGCAAGCTCTGCCTCCCAGGTTCTTGCCATACTCCTGCCTCAGCCTCCCCAGTAGCTGGGGCTATGGGTGCCCACCACCATGCCCGGCTAATTTATTGCATTTTTAGTAGAGACGGGGTTTCACCATGTTAGCCAGGATGGGCTTGATCTCCTGACCTTGTGATCCCCCCCTCGGCCTCCCAAAGTACTGGGATTACAGGCATGAGCCACTGTGCCTGGCCTGTTCTTTTTCTCTTATTGTAATTGTGGTTTGGTGGTTTTCTGTAGTGGTACCATGTGAGTTTGTTCTTTTCACTTGTGCATTTGCTTTTCCAGTGAGTTTTTTACTTTCCTGTTTTCATGATGGTAAATGGCATCTGTTCCCTTCCACGTTTAAGATTCTCTTGAGCCTTTCTGTAAGGCTGGTGTAGTGGTGATTCTCTCAGCTTTTGCTTGTCTAGGAAATATTTTATTTTTCCTTTATTTAGCAAGGATAATTTTTCTGGATATAGTATCTTTGGCTGTCAGGGCTTTTTTTTTTCTGTCAGCATTTTGAATATATCATCATCCTATTCTCTCTTGGCATGTAACATTTCTGCTGAGAAGTCTGCTGTTA
The DNA here is from genome assembly GCF_000001405.40 of Homo sapiens. NCBI lineage: Eukaryota > Metazoa > Chordata > Mammalia > Primates > Hominidae > Homo > Homo sapiens. The sequence goes on along the minus strand of NC_000003.12, from coordinate 31,649,905 downwards.
TTCTGATGGGAGTTCCTTTATAGGTACTAGACACTTTTCTCTTGTTTTTAGAATTCTCTCCTTGTCTTTGACTTTTGAGTTTGACTATAATGTGCTATGGAGAGGACCTTTTTGCACTGTTATCTGTTTAGGGATCTCTGAATCTCCTGTATCTGGATATCTAAATCTCTTGCTAGACTAGAAAAGTTCTCCCCTCTTTGCCTTCTGGGACCCTGATAATTCAAGTATTTCATTGCTTTGTGTTGTCCCATATGTCATGAAGTTTTTGCTCATTACTTTTTATTTTCTATTTTTGCCTGAGTTATTTCAAAAGACTTGTCTTCAAGTTCTGAGATTATTTCTTCTGCTTGACCTAATTGGTTGTTTAAGATTTTGGATGTATTTTGTATTTCATCCAATGAATTCTTGTATTCCAGAATTGGCTTTTTTCTTTTTTATGATATCATCGATCTGTGTGGTAAATTTCTCATTCATATCTTTACATTTTTGGTTTTTTTTTTTTAAGAGTTTTTGTGTATCTCACTGAGCTGCTTTAGAATCAGTTTTTCCCCTGGATTTTATGAATTTTTGATTGGAATCTGTTATTGCAGAATTAGTGTTCCTTTAGAGCTGTCAAATTTCCTTGACTTTTCATGTTTTCTTTGTTCCTATGTTGATATCTATACATCGGTATAACAGTTGCTTCTTCCAAATTTTTGACTTTGCTTTTGTAGAGGACTTTTTCCTGAAGGTGTGTCTATGATGCTGGTTGGGTAGGACACTTTCCCTTTGATTCTGGGTGTACGCAGTAGCATACTGTATCATTTATTCAGTAGTAAATGGAGTCAATGGTATCTGTGATTTCCTTGGTGGCTTAGAGTGAGGTTATTAGTGGAGGCTTTGGTGATGTTTTGCTGGGGCCTGGTATGCCATGTTGGTTAGTCTTTTGGCTCCATTACTGGCAACAGTGGGCTGTGTCTGCACTTGGCTCAAGGCAAGGGAAGCTGGCACTGGTGTTAGTGGGTCCATGCAGGCTAATTCTTGGGCCTCCAGGTGGCTTACTCAAGCGCTAATAGTGGCAGCAATGAGTCAGTCAGGCAGGTTCTTGGTCCCCTGGGTGGCTGGCATGGCATGGGCAATGACGGGAATAGTGGTAGGACAACAATCTGGGTCCAAGTGGTGTGCATCAGTGCTGGTAGTGGCCTGGTGGGTAGGCCCAACCTCAGGCCCCTTGCAGGAGTGTTCAGGTGCCAATGGGGGTGGAGTGTACTAAGCAATCCTTTGGTCCTTGGATTGTGTACTGTGACGCTGTGGCACAGGGTCAGGGGGAGGTGAAGCCAGGCCAGGTGGGCTTGTCTTCAGGCTGCCTGGTGGTGAGTTCAGGTGCCAACCATGGTAGGCAGGAGTATGCTTGCCAGCCACCTGTGGAATGCTTTGGTGGTAGGTGGCAGCAGCCTTCAGTGGTGGGCAGCCTAGGCCAGCAGATGGGGAACACGTGTATCACTCATGCAATAGCTTATGCTGGGGTAGCCTGTGCCTCACCCATGCCTCAGACCTGGTATGACTGCCCAAGGTTGCTCATGCCTAAACCCTAGAAGCAGCAGCCATACTTCTCTTGTGCCTCAAGCCCTGGCATTGCTGGGTTCCAGAACATACATGGTCTACTGTTGGGAGGCTCTAAGACAGTGCCTTGCTTTAGCTGCTTACGTCTTAAGGTGTGTGTGAAACCCAGTGTGAGCTTCCTCCCTGAAGCAGTGCCATAGTATAATCTCCTGGCAGCTCCCTATGTTAATTTCAGGGCCTGTGACGATCAAGGGGCTCTCCCATGGTAGGGTTGCAGGAGTCCATGGTAGAAATGTGGACTGCTGATGGTCTGTCACTTACCTTTTCCCTGTACTGGGGAGTCCCTTTTGACTGCTAGACATTCCTGGACAGGCAGGCGTTCCCACTTCCTTCTTAAGTATTTCCTATCCCTTTGCTGTTGACTTCCAGTATTCTCTCTTGGATGATCTATTTGAAGTGTGATTATCTACTCACCACTGTGGTTCTTCTTGGTGGAGGCGGCAACTACTAAATGCTTCTAGTCAGCTGTCCTGAAGTGCCTGTTGGAATTTGGTGCTTAAAATAATTTCTTAGTTGATTTCCAATTTTGTTTGGTTTTTCTGTGTTCTCCTTTAGTTCTTTGAGTGTATTTTGAAGTCTTTAGTACATCTGATGCTTTAGGTTAAGGGACAGTTTCTGCACATTTTTTCCTATGAATAGACCATGTTTTGTTCTTTGTATGCCTTGTGATCTTTTGTTGAAAACTGGACATCTGAAAAACAGCCAAGTTTCCCAGTCTTTGCAGACTGGCTCCATGCCAGGAGGGACCTCCACTCACTAGTAAGATGTGTTCTGACCTTTAGCATCATCCCACGATGAAGCCCCAAAGACCCTCCAGGACTTTGCTTGGTAAGGGTCTTGCCTGAGGCCCTGTGTGTATTTGTTTTTATTCTGTTACACCACGCTTTTAAATTTTTTACTTTTCCAAAGAGTCTTCCTGTACCTTGTTCTAGTCCATAGGTCTGCAGTCCTGCAGCTTTCAGTTACCCACCACTTTCTATGGCTTTTCCAAGGCTGCGCTCTAAGTATACCACTTTTCCTCATCCAAGCTCCAAGTTAGGCAAAACAGAGACCAGTTCTTCAGCAGCCCCCAAAATGTTGCAAATAAGATCTGTCCTGCTCCCTCCTACTTGAGGGAGGTCACTGGTACCTGGGCTGCTGCTTCCTCCCAACACTACCACACTGTGGAGAGGGTGGGGCAAGCCTGAGTAAAACTACCACAAAATTTCTTACCATTTTGAATGTGACTTTTCCTTGATTGGGCATTAGCTTGGTTCTTGTAGACCTTTGCCTTTCAGAGTTCCCATAAAGTTTTCTTTAGTCAGTCTCTACTTGTAATCTTTCCATGGGGAATGAAGACATGTAGCTGCCTATTCTTCTTGCTGCTGTATAGTCCAAGCACAGTGCAAAAATAAAATGTACAGCATAACAAGTTATTTTACAACAGACACATGTAATCATAATGCAACTCAAAAAACAGAACATTTGTAAAACTTAGTAAGTTCCCTGCTTACCAAATCACTGATATCCCTCGCCCTCCCTTCCCAAAGCTGACCATTATTTTAACTTTGTGGGCAATGATGTCTTTGCTTTGCTTTATACTTTAACAGTTATGTATACATCCCTAAACAAAATATAATAATCTTGCCTGTTTGGGAACTATAAACAGAAACGTATGTTACATATCCTTTTGTCTGATTCTTTAATGTTTTTACCAATGTTTTTTCCATATAAAGGTATCTTTTCTCCTTGTATTTCTTTTTATGAATATACTGCTGTCAACTTGTCTATTTATGTTTAAGATTTAGAATGGCTGGATATAGGAATATGTATATTGTCAGTTGCACTAACTAATGCCAAAGTTTTCCATAGTGGTTTTTACCAGCAATATATGGGAGCTCATTTATGCATACCTTCTCCAATTAGCCAATCTGGTGGACAGTATGTTCATTTTCATGTATTTATTTGCCATTTGGGTTTTTCTTCTGTTAAGGGCTAATAAAAATATTTTGTTTTCCTAAGAGTTCTTTATATATTCTGGATATTAGTCCTGTGTCAGTTACAGGTTGGGTGACAATATATCTTCATTTGCCCAAGATATCCAGTACATGCCTGTGGTCCCAGGGTAATTAAAGGGGCCATTGAACAAAGGCACAGAACTTGCATTACCAGACTTCAAACTTATGGTAAACCTACAGTAATCAAGATGGTACACTATTGGTGTAAGAAGACACGTACATATCAATAGAACAGAATAGAGAATCCAGAAATAAACCAACATTTTAAACAGATTTCTACAAAGGTGCCAATTAAATGAGGAAAACAAACACTCTTTTCAACAAATGGCATTGGATCAAATGAATTAAAAAACCCTAACACCTCAAAGTCATATACAAAAACAACTCAAAATACAGTATAGATCTAAATGTGAGATAACTTGATATTAGAAAAAGGAGATATGAACTAGGTTTGCCCACTGACAGGTCTCTATTTTACTTTTTATATTCCCTTGGGGAAAGGGAGGTAACAGAGCTACACTAGTCCCCACGTTCTTGAATGTTTGTTAGTGAAGTTTTCTCATTAATAGTTAAGTCCATCAAAGCATTTTTAAAAATTTCCTTCAGCAGGATACAGACTGGGCTCTGGTCCATGTAAATCTTAGTCTATGGAAGGAAGAACACATGATATATCATCTATCTATCTAGCTTGTTTCAACAACTAAGTATGCTGAGATTATGAGAACATACTGTTATTAGTCACTCTGGCTGCCATTTGATCTTTCTTTAGTTTTCGTCTTACTAGCTCCACTTTTCACTGAAGCCAGTTTCATAGGAGACACTTGATATTTTAATCAGTGTCCCCAAGCTGGAGTGCAGTAGCGTGATCATAGCTCACTGCAACCTTAAAGTCCTGGGCTCAAGCAATCTTGCCAGCTTAGCCTCCTGAGTAGCTAGGATTACAGGCACATGCCACCATGCCTGGCTAAGGCTATTTTTAAGATTTAGAAATAGAGGCTGGCCGCAGTAGCTCATGACTGTAATCCCAGCACTTTGGCAGGCCGAGGCGGGTGGATCACCAGGTCAGGAGTTCGAGACCAGCCTGACCAACATGGTGAAACCCCCTCTCTACTAAAAATACAAAACAAATTAGCCAGGCGTGGTGGCTGGTGGCACGTGCCTGTAATCCCAGCTACTTGGGAGGCTCAGGCAGGAGAATCGCTTGAACCCAGGAGGCGGAGGTTGCAGTGAGCTGAGATCGCACCACTGCACTCCAGCCTGGGCGACAGAGCGAGACTCTGTCTCAAAAAAAAAAAAAAAGATCGAGACCATCCTGGCCAACATGGTGAAACCCTGTCTCTACTAAAAATACAAAAATTAGCTGGGCGTGGTGGCACGCACATGTAGTTCCAGCTACTTGGGCCACTGAGGCAGGAGAATTGCTTGAACCTGGGAGGCGGAGGTTGGAGTGAGCAGAGATCACACCACAGCACTCCAGCCTGGCAACAGCGACACTCTGTCCAAAAAAAAAAAAAAAAAAAAAAAAACCCCCAAAAAGATTTAGAAATTGAAAATATAGCATTTTATTGGAGAGTTTTTTCTAAGTAAAATTGAGATTGTGACTGTCTCTGGGTGGCACTTAGAACTGGCAATGTCTAGTTACTATACAGATAGTGGGGAAGATGTAAGAAACATTAAATATTAGATATGTTCTGTGATTCAAAGGATCACAGATTATTTTATTGCTAAATTCCAATTTTAATAATAGGGATGTCTAATAATAGGGAGTTTTAACCAACTACCCAGCTAACAACAATTAGAAAAGCTGAACAATATCCGCTTCAAGACTTAACAGAACCAAAACAGTATTAGCAGGCCAGAATCAAGAAGACAAGTTCTGAGGCAAGCTTGGCATTTGGGGCCATTTTCCCTTGGGAAATTGACAGAGTTGAATACCACTTTTAATGACTTTGTAGGACTATGGGGACAAATATTCCTATCTGCTTGGGTGAAATCCTCAGAGAATTTCAGCCTGAAAATAATGAACTAGCCCTTATGGGGATGGCAGGCTAGCTTCCTATATAATATTAATCCCTTCATAAATTGAATTAAGGTGTTTCTGGTTTATTAGTTCCCCTAGGTACCCGGCAAAAACAAAAGAAAATCTGTAAAGCATGGGCTGAACATGGTGGCTCATACCTGTAATCCAAGCTACTCAGGAGGCTGAGATGGAAGGATCATTGAAATGTAGGAGTTTGAGGCTATAGTGTCAAACCACTGCATTCCAGCCTGAGTGACAGACCCTGACTCAAAATAAATAAATAAATAAATAAAAATTCCTGTGAAGTAAACCACCACCTTAGGCCTAAACTGACTCATACAATTTCTTAAATATAATGTCTAAAACACAAACCCATGCCCGTAAGAAGACCACAGGAACAACAAGCAGCAGAAAAAAAGACCCACTATGCCATAGAAACAAGACCCACAAGAGCTCTAGATAATGGATTTATCAGATACAATACATAGCATTTAACACAGCATTGAAAACTATGCTATGTTAAACAGTGATAAGATTGGGAATTTCAGTGGATCAGGTGTAAAGTATAAAAAGAGACATGGCTGACTTAAGGAGTGAACGGAGAGGCAAAAGAAGAGAGAAGGGAGAGGACAGAGAAATTAGGAGTAAGAAGGTCTAATTATGTTTAACTGGACTCTCAGAAGGAAAGTACTAAGAATAGGGGAAGAAGGAACATTTAAAGAGATAATGAGAACTTCAAAAAAACCTGATGAAAACCAACAAGTCACAAAGTTAAAAGCTCAACAAATCCAAAGTGGGATGTATTAGAAGAATAAAAAACATACATTATGTGAACACCATAACAATGTTGACATAATGCTATTATTCATCAGAAAAAAAATAGGCTTTTAACAAAAAATCTTATTAAAGATTGACATTTCTAAAAAGCTGAAAGCTCAATTTACCAATAAGATACAGGCTCCAAATGTGTATAAACTTATTAATATGGAATCAAAACATATAAAGAAATAAATTCATAATTCAAGGAGAAATACACAATCTATTATAATCGTGTGTGATTTCAGTACATTCTTCTCAGTAAATAACAAAATAGCCACAAAAGATTCAAACAGTATGCCCAAGAATTGTCAAAAGAACAGACATTGTTTTCAGGGACATAAGGAGAAAAATTATATATATGTAAAATATTTATATTCAGCTGGGCACAGTGGCTCACACCTGTAATTCTAGCACTTTAGGAGGCCGAGGCGGGTGGATCACCTGAAGGTCAGGAGTTTGAGACCAGCCTGGCCAACATGGCGAAACCCCATCTCTACTAAAAATACAAAAAATTAGCCAGGCATGGTGGAGGGCGCCTGTAATCCCAGCTACTCAGGAGGCTGAGGCAGGAGAATTGCTTGAACCCAGAAGGCAGAGGTTGCAGTGAGCTGAGATCACACCATTGCACTCCAGCCTGGGCAACAAGAGCAAAACGTCATCTCAAAAAAAAAAAAAAAACCAAAAACCAAAAATTCAAAAAACATTTACTTATGTCTCTGAAAGCACCGTGTGCTCATTTGACACTATGTTTCATTGGCAAAATATAATAATAATCTATATGTTTATAAACTGGCCATAAGTTGAGTCACAGAGCAAGCCTCAACCAATTGCAAAGGATTAAAATTATAGAGTATCTGACTACAATTCAACAACGGTAGAAGTTGATAATAAAAGGATATTAGAAAACCACCATATTTGGAAATTTTTAGAAAGTACATGTAAATAACTCATGGTCTTAAAAAAGAAGTACAATGGAAATTAAATATACATTTAACTTAATGACATTTAGTCACCTCAAAACCTGTGAGAATGGAGGCTAAATTATGCTCGGAGTAAATCTGTAACAATATATTAGGAAAGAAAAAATCACCACACCAAGTTTAAAAGAATATGACCCTCCGCCCACCCCAAGGAAATGGCACAAAATAATGAACTAACACTGTAGAAAGCACTAAAGTGAGGAGCTGGTCTTTGAAAGAAAAAAAAAAAACAGCTAACAAAATTGATGTAAAGAAAAAAAAAAAAACAAAACCTGCCAAGGAAAATCAGGGGAAAAAAGTGTATGGCAGAGGTGGGGGGAAAGAAGTATGAATTCAAGGGGGAAAAATGAAATATCTATAATTAAAAAGGAACACCAATAGAAGCTGCAGACATTAAAACAATTAAGTGATATTTTCAACAATTTTACTTTAACCGAATTGAAAATTTAGATGAATTCCTTGAAAATAACTCACCAAAATGGAAACAAGGAGTAAAAAACTGAAATAATCCTGTATCTGTGAAACATAATCTGTAATTAAAAGCATTTGCAAAAGAACTCCAGGCCCAAATGGTTTCACCAGTAAATTTCACCAAGCATAAATCACTATTCCAGGAATACAAGTTTCATTTAATTTAACATTGTGAACAAAGTTTCTGTAATTCGTGTACCACATTAAAGGAGAAAAATCAGCATCATCTCAATGAATGAAGGAAAAAACTACTTGAGAAACAAAACCTATTCATGATTAAAAAACTCACAGCAAACAGTAACATCCTTAATCTGATCAGAGATATCTATAGAAAATATACAGCAAACTTAAAGGGTGAAATGTCAAAAGCTTTCGCTGTGAGAGAAGAAAGCAAGATGTTGCCTTTTCTTTGCAGTACTATACTGGGTGTGTGTCCTAGCCAGTGCAGCAAAGCAAGAAATATAAATATATAATGATTAGAAAGGGAGAAGTAAAATTGTCATTATTCCCAAGTTATGATGTTCACAACAAAAAAAATTGGAATTGTTAGAATAAGTTTAGTAATTTCAACGTATAAAAATCAAGTATTTTTATATGCTGAGAAATAGAAAATCTAATTTTATGATAGTATTAAAAATAACATATACCTTGGAATCAAAGTTATGAAAATGCGCAAGGTCTTCAAAAGCAATAAAACAGAAACTAAACGCCTGCATAAATGGAAGGATATGCCACACTCATGGACACAAGACTCAATATTTCAATGGTGTTCATTTTCCCCAAATGATCTATATATTCACTGCCAAATCAAAAGCTCAACAGGGTTTTTTTTTTGTTTTTTGGTGAAACTTAACCTGATTCTACAATTTGTATGAAAAAGCAAGGCAAATTAAGGAACAATGGAGGGACAGATGGACTTACTCTACCATATTTTCTGAATTATCTTAAAGCTATATATTAAGTCAACATACACAGAGCTCTGTGGAATATAACAGAGGGTCTAGAAATAGATGCATATATGGACATATGATTTACTACAAAAGGGATACTGAAGAGCTGTAGGAAATGAACTGTCTTTTCAATAAATGGTGCTGGGTCACTTAGATATACATATGCCAATAAAACCCCTTAAAAGAAAAACAATTCACATTGTGCTCAACAAATGAATTATAGGTGGACTGCAAAGCTAAGTATAAAAAGTAGAACAATACATTTTCTGGAAAACACAGCAGACTATCATCATGGCTTCAAGTGAGGAAAAGATTTTGTATAGGTATACAAGAGATGGAAATAGACTATATTAAAATTATTAATTCCTAGGCAATTTGCAACACAAATGAAGGCCTTATATACAAGACAAAGAATTCCTATTAACATAATAAATTTTTAAAAAACCAGGAGAAATGTATTAGAACCAACACCTTATAAAAGGGAGATTTCTAAATGGCCAGCCTTATTAACCTAGAAATATCAAACTAAACATCATGACAAATCATTATTCACCCACCAGAGAGGCAAAATTAAAAAGATGACAGGGGTTGACTGGGATATGGAAGTAACCATCAATTCCACTTTTAGAAATACATGCATATAAGCACCAAGGGAGATGTAAGAGTATTCCTCTAACATTGTTGGTAATATCCTCAAACTGGAAACAATGTAAATACCCTTTAGCAACAGAATGGATATGTGTGAGAGCCAGCTACAGACATACACAAGGAATACTATATATAGCAATGAAACAAAAAAAACGTGTAGCTGCAAGCAACAACCTCGATGCATTTCACAAATAGTGGGCAAAAGAAGACAGATAAAAATCATACATACTCTATTATTCCATTTCTATAGTTCAAATAGATGCATCTCAACATGTTTAGAGAGAAATACTGAATTGGTAAAACCATAAATCAAAGCACCAATAAAGACCAATATAATGATTACCTTTTGGAGAGGGAAGTGGGACAGGATAGTGACCACAAGGGGTCATGAGGAAGCTTCTGGAGTACTGGCACTGTTCTGTTCTCTTGACCTGTGTCACGGATACAAAATTGCTCACTTTGCAGTTAATTCACTAAGGTGACCCCTGAACAATGACTGCCAATCAAAAATTCACATAAAACTTTTGAGTCCCCCAAAACATAACCAGTAATAGGCTATAAAACAGTGATAAGTGTCACACATGGTGTTTTAAGTGGATACTAGCAACACTTGAGCTCATAGTAGCAACAGATGGCTATATTATAGAACAGTATTTTATGCAGTTATGATTTAATATGGCTTTACATTGGTTTACATTTCTCAACTGTGAATGGCGCCATGTAGTGAGCTTAAGTTTTCATAAATTTTAACATATGATAGACTTGTATATATTTTATGGTAGTAAATGATAAAAGAATAGTACCTAGGCCAGGTGCAGTGGCTCACCTGTAATCCCAGCACTTTGGGAGTTCGTGACAAGTGGATCACTTGAAGCCAGGAGTTCGAGATGAGCATGGACAACGTGGTGAAACCCCATCTCTACTAAATATACAAAAATTAGCCAGAGATGGTGGTGGGCACCTGTAGTCCCAGCTGCCTGGGAGGCTGAGGCATGAGAATCGCTTGAACCCAGGAGGTGGAGGTTGCAGTGAGCCAAGATCATGTCACTGCACTCCAGCCTGAGTGATGGAGCAAGACTGTCTCAAATCAACAGCAAAAAAGTAGTTATCTATATACTTTGTGCATTAATCACATAGCTTTTTCTTAACTTTTAAAATATTTCTAGGCTATGCGGTTCATTTGCAAGCTTTTTTCAAATTGTTGTAAATCTCCAAAAATGTTTCAATACATTAATTATATAGGTTTTTTGAGACAGCATCTCACGCCGTTGCCCAGGCTGCAGTGCAGTGGCACGATCTCGGCTCACTGCAACCTCCGCCTCCCAGGTTCAAGCTATTCTCCAGCCTCAGCTTCCAGAGTAGCTGGACTACAGGAGCCTGCCACCACGCCCAGCTAATTTTTCTAATTTTAGTAGAGATGGGGTTATACCATGTTGGCCAGGCTGGTCTCGAACTCCTGACCTCAAATGATCTGCCCACCTCGGCCTCCCAAAGTGCTGGGATTACAGGCGTGAGCCACCATGCCTGGCCAAAATTTTTCAATACATTTATTGAAAAAAAATCCATGTGTGCAACTCATGTTGTTCAAGGGTCAACTGTACATTTTTGTGTTCTCTTGTGTTACATTTCACAATAAAAATAAGACATGACATTTCATTACTGTTTTTGGTCTGTCTCAATTTCCTACTATTTCCATGGCAGACAGCTGTTGAGCTCAACATTACTCCACCTATCTCGATTAAGGACTATGGGCAACATGGCAAAACCAGCATTAAGCAGCAGCAGCTACAGCAAGATGAAAAGAGTTCTGGAGACTGGTAGCACAACAATGTAAATGTACTTCACTATTGAACTGTATACTTCAAAATGGTTAAGTTGGTAAATTTTATTTAATATGTATTTTACAACTCATTTTTTAAAAACGAGAAACAGCTCCAAATTTCATGATCTTACACCCCCTTGGCTATGGAAACTCAATACAGGATGCTTTTATACTATTTTAGTCCTCTGGTCACTTGGTCATGGCCTAGAATGCAAATGAATTAAAACTCCACAACTATAAACTCAAGTAGGTTACAATGTAAGTCTTGAAAGGGAATTTTCTTTGGAGTTGCTGCCTCACTGCCTTATTTATACTACAGAGCACTACAGCCTAAAAGCTGTTTTATAGTCTAAAACTTCAAGGCCACGATCTTTAAGTTCCTTTGGTGTACAATGTTAGTGATCACACATGAAATGAATTAAGAGATCTAAAGAATATTTTAAGTCAATTATCCTATATTCCAATGTATTCAAACTACTATTTCACTTTTGTGCTACAATACAAGTGCTCAAACAGTTACAATATGGTATTTTACTGACAAGATACACTGAACCAAAATGTTGTTTCCTGAGAAAGGTGAGGGGTCTTTCCTTTGGGATTTTTCTAATGAGAAAATTCTATACTGAGACTTGACATTTCATTACCAGAACTTCATGGATGGTTTTGTTAGGTCCCTATCCTTATTAAACAGAGATAAAATTCCTAGTTGGCTAGGTGTTCCCCCTCCCCAAATCCCTTCCAAAAACAAAACAAAAAACAAAAAACAAAAACAAAAACAAAAACAAAAAAACCTGAGATTTTCATTCCAGGGTAAAAGAAGGCCAAATAAAATAGCTTGGTCTAAGATGAAATAATCTAACGTATTTTTTTCCACACATTTTCTTTAAAACCTTTGTGAAAGTCAACAAGGAAGAAGGAGGTATGTGTTCAGTACCAATTCCTTTCAAAACCAAAAGATTTGTAAAAAACAACACTTAACACAAAATTTGAATTAACTTTATTTCCCCTACAGTCAACAACTTCTCTGCATTGAATTTTAAAGCAACAAAGTAAAATAAAATCCCCCAAATGACAAGGTATCAGAAATCCAGACTTCGTTACACTCTATTTGTGAAAATGTTCAGCCATTTTATTGTTCTGTAAAGGAACCATCATCTGGGTCAAAAATGAATTCTATAAATCAAAGAATATTCTACACCTTGGAAAAGAAAATCAGCAGTAACATTCTCACTGAATATTGTAAATTACATTTTTCTTCATAAAAGGTACATACTATTCTGCACTTTTCCACCAAAAGCAGTGGTGTGTTATGCTTGTTATATAAAAAAAAGTTATATCCTGTGGCAGGAAAAACCCTTTCTCTTTCACTTTTACTAAACAACTGGAGAAAATGTTCAAGTCTGTATAAAGTTGCCTATAAGCTGGAAAGTGAACTTGTTCAATCTCCATTTACATTTTAGTGCATTTTTTGACAACTGTCACATTTTTAACAAAAGTAAGAAAATGCATATAGCACTAAAGAGTGTTTCATCAAATGCTTAAGGGATTAAAAAATATGGAGCAGAGAACAAAATCATTGTGAATGGATGAACTGTTGTAAAATGAAAAAAGTCCAGGCAAAGTTGTTACAAGTCTTTTGTCACTTTGATGAGTCACAGAAAATGAACTTTGGATACCTGTCCACTTTAAGGGTTTTTTCCTTAATCTTTTGCATGTAAACATAGTGCTAACTTCAGTACTAAGATACCAAAACTCCGTCCTGGTAAGCAACATCCTGTGTAGTTGCCATGATTTCCAAAAAATATAAATTTAGCCCTTGAATGAATGATGTATGAAATCTGCTCTGTAAGTACCTGGTGAAAACGACTGCTAACAGCAGTAATAATGTGTCAACATAAAAAAACTACTTGAATCAATTAGCTACTCAGAGGTCCATCTTTGAAACAGCAGCTTCTTCTCAGAGCAAACAGTAAGCAACAGAAAATATACATTTGATGAAACATTCTTTGCATTAGAGAAACATGAAAATAAATATAATTCAAGGAAGTATAATGATTCTTCTAATATGTCTTTCTCAGACCTGTACTAGTTTACCGGTTCAAGAAGCTCTCATCACATTTTGTCACTTGTATTTTACATATTGCTATTCGGGTAATTCAAATAAAATGCAGGTCTTGTAAAAGAATAAAAACATTGACAAGTATGCATGTGCCAGGGACCAAATTAGAGGGTTCTTTGGTGCAGTTAGTCCAAATTCTCAGATTTGAAGGATAATATGTACCAATAAAAAAAAAATCTGCTGCTAGACATTTACAGCAGTGCTCTGTCTTGCTTCACATTAGAAATCGAAAACAGCTGTTCTCAACAAGCCAATTTTATTTTTTTAATCAGGCATTGCCAGAAAATTTTGTACATTAACCTGGACCAGTGATGGTTCTGTACCCTCTTTGCTGTGAAACACGACATGAGCTAAAGGCAAAGACCGGTTCTCACAAGGACAACTGCTTCAAGTTAGGAACCAGAACAGTGCATTTAAACAGTCTTCTTAGATATTTTCTTGCCTTTCTTAAAAACCAGCTTATTTTTAATGTAGCCACGCTTCCTTTTGGTAGTCTATAAAAAAACAAAACACATAGTATTAATGCAGGTTTCTTACTGATTAAAAAATCTATAAACACACACATGGTTTACTGAACTATGATGACTTAGTAAGCTCTCTGCTCTTCTTGTGACTGGATTCCTTGAATAGTTCAGTGAACACCACTAAACTGTTAGTGGTGTTTCTTACCTGAGTACACTAACACATTCAAAGTGAAAGGACTAGGTTCCTAGACATCCTCACCATCAAGTGAATGAATCTTCAGCCCTCTTCTCAACCACAAAGTGCTGAGCTGTAATTATTAAAATTTCCAGGCAAGACAGAATATGTAACACTAGACTAAGGAATCAGAAATGGTAATGCTGCTCCTGATTTAGCCTCCAGGAAATTAGGTGTGTGCCAGAAAAACACGTTAACTTAGTAACTCTTAGAGTCCCTGTTTTCTGTAAAATGAGGATGACTGTAACCATCTACAAAAATGAGAGATATAATCACTTGGCACATTCTCTAAAAATAATCCTTTAGGTAGGAAAATAAGCAATTGAAAATGTAAAGCAAAACAATATTCCTTCAGTTTCATACATCTTTTAAAAATAAAATATTTTTCTTAACAATTCAGTATCCCACTAAAATACTTTCAATAGACGTTTCCTAGTATTAGAAACAAATTACCGGAAATGCAGTGGTACAAATTACTGCTAAAATATTTATGTTAGAACCCCACAGGATAAATTATAGGCACATATGTCTTTCAATCTGACACACAGCCCTAGATATTGAAGACAGCAAATATTTTTTGAAACTAAGTAATTTAATGCACCATCAAAGCTCTGGGTTAACAGAGGCAGAAGACTCAAGAGACTGACCACTCAATTCAATTTTCACATTTAAATACAACTCTCAGAGGTTTCAGAAACTGGGTAAATCCTGCATCATGTTCCTTTATCCATGATGTTCAATTCAAGATAATTTATAGTAGTTTCTAACAGGGATGAGAACACAAGGCAAAATGCAATCCTTCTTAAGGTACTAAAAATTAGCTACTGCTAACTTGTTAACCCCATTATATTACCTTATTGTTAAACTGATGTTATTAAGGCACAAAGTAAGAAACTTCAGAGGGTACAATTTTTAAAAATTCAAACCAGATCTAGTAGTTTCTTTATTATAATTACATCCAGATTCTAACAGGATACTTTTTCTATGAGATCTTATGATGTGCCCCAGGAATATCCAAGTGTGTAATAGCCCTCAGGGTGCTTTTCTCCTACTGGCAGTGAACCATGTGCCAAAAAGCCTTTTCTGCAGCCTGGACTACAATTTCTAGTGCCTTAGTCATGCCGGCTTTGCGATGGCTGGTAAACTCTCAGAATGGATGCTGTTATGTATACCCTCCTCCTCCAAAGTCAAAACCAGGATAGAGAAAGGGAAGTATAAAAAGCATTCCTTCATAGTGTTAGTACAAAACATCTAAAGCCATGGAAACCAGAATGTCAAAATATGTTATTGGCCACCACAATATATGTTTTGGGCACACAAGACAGATTATGTTTTATTTATCCATTCACATTTATTTGGGGAAAATGATGGGAAGAGAAAAGGGGTCAAATGAAGAAAATTCACTGCCTTTGGGGTCTATATCATCAGACAACAAGTTCAACAGCCCTCTTTTTGCAGAAAAAGTACACCTTAGTTATACTTGGATATCTTAGGAGTAACTGCTTTGAGAATAGCAGCATTTGCTGCTCACCAGTTTCTCCTACCTCATGCCTGTGACAATCATCTGATTTTTTAATGTTATTTTACCTAAAGATAATGAGTTTCATATGACTAACACAATGAATGTCAGCTCTATGTGACATTTTTAAATACATTAGTCTAGACATGGTAATTTACATCTGGCACATATTCATATAAAAAGCTTCCATTTACATATCACACCGTTAATATTCAGCACTTTTATAGTACAAATTAAAATCATCTGTATTTTGAATATATTTGATGTATATTTTAAGTAACAAAGAGTTAAGACAGTTGTTTCAATGATATAAGATAGCTGATCTGAGCTATGTAAACCTAAGCATCCTTAAAAAATGAGATTCAAAGTCAGTCTAATAATAATCAGTATTATAAGGATAGTACCTTATAATGAACCTTAACATTTTATCTGACTGTTCATTACTTCCCATTTCCTACTGCTGGACAACCTATATAAATACTAATTTTTAGCCATCTTTTATAGCAAAAATTATAATCTATTTGGCTTAAGTGAGCAATAATGACCCCCAATGAAATACTTCATATCTTATATAATATTAGAAAAGAATTGCAGTAGTCTCATAATTCCTGCCTATAAGCTTTGTCACAATTACATTAAAAAATAATTATCTTAAGATAAATGATTTTTTTGGGCTTCAGAAGGACTCACCCAACCCAAACCTATTCTTTATTCAATGAATAATAGAGTAACATCATACTAAGAATGGAACATGAAGATGCAATATAAATTTGCTCTGCTCAAAAGATGAGAATTTAGCATTTTTACTTTCATACAGGTTTGGAAAGCGATGGCCACAGCTACATCTTACTTTACAAGTAAGTCTTACTAATGGCAATAGCACAAACCAAAGCCAGAAGGCCTCTGGAAAAATCTCAGCTTGGGATATCTGAAGTGCTCAGTTTGAAAGGAATGCTCCTAGCAGGCTAGGCTGATATTTACTTCGTATTAATATAGAAGCCATAGTCTTTATAAATCTGGCAGATGGAAATTTATTGCAATTTCCAGAAATTCTTTTTCATACAAACCAACACACCTTAAGTTACCCTTTAATGCCTTCACTTGGCACCCACCTTCTTTGACAAATACTTCTGTTTTGGGAAAATGTTGGTGACTCGAGGTTTGTGATCTAATGTCTCCCTGTTATCAGGTGCTTTTACTTTATATATCCTAACAAGCCAGTGTTCTGATGTAAAGGCTTCTTCCAAATGTTTGAATTTAATGTCCTTATTTCCAATCTCAGCATTACGTGTTCGGTCAAAACCTGGGGGTGTACGAAAATCCAGCTGCAAAAGTGACATTATTATTGGGTGTTAACCATATTGGAAAACATTCAGTGTTATAAGACAGTAAGTGTTATCATTACAGTAATACCTTCTCCCTTTAAACTAGGAAAACAATCAAGTAATCTATCTACCTTAATAGTTCTCATGTATTGCTAACTAGACAGGAAAAAATCAGGAAGAGAGAAACTAAGTACATCAGAGTAAGAATTTCACAAAATCCTTAGAGTAAATGAGCATTCTAAAGGCATTAAAAAAAAAAAAAAAACCCACCAAAACATAGAAATGAAATCTATCAAAGCCCTTTTTATAGGTATACAGACAGAACACACCCAAGGGGCTTCTTTTCTGTTTCAGGGCCTTGCACTATCTATCCTCTCTGCCTGGCGTGTTCTTCATTCAGCTCTTTTGCATGGCTAGCTCCTTTACCACCCCCTTCAGGGAAATATTTTCTTGAGATTAGTGACTGACAAATCTCCTTTATTGTTTCCTCATAGCATCTTGTTCTTTTACCCCATAACATATATTATTAACATCTTTACTTAACGCTAAAAATTACCTGTATCTTCGATTGGGATGTAAACATGTCTTTGTCTTATTCAAAGTGTAGCTTTATATCCCAATTATTATTTGTTAAATAAATGCACAAGTAAGAGATACTACATTCTGAAAGTGGGAACTACAAAGGAGGCCAAATAAAAAAACCAAACCGTGAAAGGATTTATGAGGGATAAAAAGGGAAAACATAGGGAGAGAAGGAGACTTTAAGAAATTCTCAGACCGTCCTGATGTGGTGGCTCACACCTATAATCCCAGTACTTTGGGAGGCTGAGGCAGGAGGATGGCCTGAGCCCAGGAGTTCAAGACCAGCCTGGGCAACATAGCAAGATCTTGTCTCTACAAAAAATACAAAAATTAACTGGACGTGGTGGTATGTGCCTGTAGTCCCAGCTACTCAGGAGGCTGAGGTGGGAGGATCAACTGAGCCCAGGAGGTCAACACTGCAGTGAACCATGATTGCACCACTGTACTCCAGTATGGGCCACAGAGTGAGATCCTGTCTCGGGGAAAAAAAAAATGCTCAGACTAAGTTTATGTTGACATACAAATCTAGCATAAGTAAATTCAACTTTTTTTTCCATTTTTTTTTTTTAAACAGAGACTGGGTTTCGCCATCTTGGCCAGGCTAGTCTCGAACTCCTGGGCTGAAGCAATCCTCCCACCTAACCTCCCAAAGTTCTGGGATTACAGGTGTGAGCCACCAGGCCTGGCCAAACTCAACTTTAAAACAAACATGAAAACCAGCTCTCCTTCAAATAGTGAATTACTTGTTCTTGCTTATCTATATGATAGCAAAAGTTACACTTCATATTTTAACCATATATTATTCTTGAGTAAGGTAGGCATCAAAATGAATGTATGCTGGGAACATGGCTTAAAACTATTGATAAACTTAAAAGAGAGGAAGAAAAAGGTCCTTCAACGTGATCAGTAGTGAGCAGAGAAACTAATCAGAAACAAGCCAATCAGAAAATATGTTTTCTGGGGTAACTGATTATTATGGCCAGTGTGCTTCTTTCTTAGCAAGCGTTTAAAGACCAAGTGTGGCCTTCAAAAGAAATTATAAACACAAACAAAAACCTAAATCTAGATTATCACCTGCTGTTTTTTAAGTCATCTACAGAGTAATTCCAAGTGAATAATGATAAAATATGATTCACTTGGAATTACTTGAAGCAACACAACAAACAGGAACACAGTATATGCTAACTATTCTGAAACCAAGTGAATATTCTAGTCCATATTAGCCACAAAGATGGTGTTTTAGAAAAGGATAAAACTTGGGGCTGGGCGCGGTGGCTCATGCCTGTAATCCCAGCACTTTGGGAGGCCAAGGCAGGGGGATCACGAGGTCAGATCGAGACCATCCTGGCTAATATAGTGAAACCCCATCTCCACTAAAAATACAAACAATTAGCCAGGTGTGGTGGCAGCCGCCTGCAGTCTCAGCTACTCGGGAGGCTGAGGCAGGAGAATGGCATGAACCTGGGAGGCGAAGCTTGCAGTGAGCCGAGATCACACCACTGTACTCCAGCCTGGGCGACAGAGCGAGACTCCCTCTCAAAAAAAAAACAAAAAAAACACCACAAAAAAACACGGTAAAACTTGATTCACAAATTGAGGTCCAAACACACCCCTTTAGTTTTGATAGTTATCTTGATCCCCAGTGATAGTATAAAATTAAGCAAGCAATTTTTCCTCTGCTTTCTTACCAACTTAACCAGAGAGCAATACAGAAATAAGCAGTTTTCAGTGAAACTAATAGTATGAAGATAAAAATTTGGGACAGACACTTATAACAAAGGACAGATTAACAAGAGCAAAACAAATTTATTAAGACGTTCGGCGCACATTATGCAGGAGAAACCTCAATGAAAAGGAACTCAAAGCAGTGGCTTAGAACTCTGGCTTTTATAGCATGCTTAACAAAGAACAATACATTTGTGGAGAAAGGACAAAGGATAGTGGTCTTAGGCCTTCAAGATGGGAAAGTAGAAGGGTACATATATGGGAGAAACTAGTAGAAGGGTACATATATGGGAGAAACTAATGGAGTAAATTTTGTTTGCAGATTCCTCTGGTGCTTTCTCTGGGCTGATAAGAGTCTTAGAGTTGTCTCCAGTAAAGGAGAATTTATATTCTGCCTTTAGGCAGAAAAGAGGTTAGATAGAACTTTTTCTCTGTTTGCTGCTTCTAAATTGCCTTCAGCTCAAAATTAACTTTCATGTCAAAGAGGCATATTTTGGGGTGACATATTCTGGTTTCCTTAAAAATCAAGTCATCAATCCAAGCCCCATTATTTACAAACAAGAAAAGAACCAAGTGGAATCCAAGGCAGATACAAATTGTCTGAGAGTTACATGACTTGACAGAACCTGATCGAAAACACAGGTGTTATGACATCAAGTCCATTGTTTCTTCTTTCTGCCACAATGCCTCTTTGCACATTCACTCATTTTGTAGACCCTTAAGCTTTTGTACCACATCATTCTAATATACTAGAAAACTCTGACCCAGGCAGCTCTAGCTATTTGTGGTAACGGAGAATGGGGAGAGAGTGAACATCTGAAGTGACTATTTACTTCGAATCTTTAATTTTAAGCTTTTCTCCACCAAGCAGCAAAGTGACCTAAGACACCACACTGTTTCCTAGCTAGGAGAACTCTTCTTGGAGAACAATACTTTCCAAAAGCATGAGTTCTAATGGTGAGATGGCAAGCAAAGATTGGATTTGAGGCTACTGTTAATAAATATGTTAGAAAGAAGTCCTTGATCTAAAATTTTATTTTCTAATTTCTCACATATTAGTTTCAGAAATCTAAATTTAATGAAAAAAAGACTATTTAGATAAGCACATTTCTCTTCAGCACAATCAAAATATCATTATCCTGTTTTCTAGAGGCAAATAAGACTTGTTTTAAACATTATTTTGAATGAAAATTAGAGAAAAATGGATTTAACTAACCTGCATTTCTCCAAATCTGTAGTATGACATTTTATACATAAGGCAATTCAACAAAGTAGGGGATCCTGCTTTGTCTACACGGAATTCTCCCTGTGGGGTAAAATAGTCACTTTCCTACAAGAAAGAAACCACAAGTTCTATGTTAGTTCAAGTTAACATATTCAAAGCTACAGTTTCCTCTTTTCATTTCCCTGTAAGAATAAGCTTCTGAGGTATCTTTATAAAGCCATATTCAGTTACACCTCAAAAAAATTAATCCCACCAGACTTCGAACCATGTTATAAGGCCTTAATAATTATTATTTTTGAGACAATGTCTCGTTCTGTCCTCGAGGCTGGAGTGCAGTGGCGTGACTGTGGCTCACTGCAGCCTCAACCTCCTGGGCTCAAGCAATCCTCCCATTTCAGCCTCTCAAGTAGCTGGGACTACAGGCCCACGGCACCACGCCCAAATAATTTTTGCATTTTTTTGTAGAGACAGGGTTTCACCATGTTGTCCAGGCTGGTCTTGAACTACTGGGCTGAAGTGATTGGCCTCCCAAAATGCTAGGATTACAGACTTGAGCCACTGCACATAGCCACTTTCATAATTTAAAGAGACTGGTACCAACACCATGGCTTAATACCAGGTAAGGCTGGCTCTCTCAATTACCCATCCTCATCTCCGTTACTCCTTTTCAGAGTTTTCTTAAGTGTTCTAGCTAAATTTTTCCACATGAACTTTAAAATCGGCTTTATTTGGGGAGGACAATGTTAAAAAGACTCCTGTGGTAATTTTTATGGGGTTAACTTATAAATTAACCTCTATGAGGAACAATTTTGGCACTCTAGGTAAAAAATGTAATTTCTGAGTCAGAAATTCCTTTTCCAGGAATTAACGCTACAGAGATACTTGTATATGGCCAAAATAATGAATGCAGAAAGTTATTATGCCATTGTTTATAAAACTAAAATACTGGAAACAATCTAAATTCCATCAATGGTGACAGGTTAAATAAATCATGCACACACACAAAAAATGCAACGTACTGTGCAAATGTAAACAAAGGAATAAAGAAGTTCTCCATATTCTAACATGGAAAAATCACCAAGACATATTATGAAGTGAACAGGGTATATAACTTGCTAGAAGTTAAGAATCACAAGAAAATAACCAGTGATTACCAGGGACTCCACCGCCCGCCCGCCCCCCCATTTTTAACTGACACATAAATTTGTGTATATTTATGGTGTACACCATGTTTTGAAATATGCACTGTGAAATGGCTACATCGATCTAATTAACATATGCATCAATCATACTTATTTTGTTGTAGTGAGAACACTGAAATATCTACTCTCTTAGCAACTTACAAGTACACAATACATTGTTATTACCTATAGAGGAACTTTTTTTTTTTTAGGGGGGGTAGACTTTTTTGTATATCCTCTTATACTTTATTTTTGAATCACGTGAAGGGGGTAGACATTTATTGTATATCCTCTTATACTTTACTTTTGAACCATATGAGTGTATTATCTATTCACAAAGTTTAAAAATAATTTAAGATGCACAGAAATTTAGGACTTCTGTAATATTAATGTTCAAAGCATACATTTAGAAACAGTGATCTATCACATGTCACAGTTTTAACACTGACTGCTAAAGCAAATCCACAAATAAAAACCATACTGGGAGAATTAAATTTCAGAAGATTAATACAAAAAAATAATGTTTACTAATCACAGTTAAGGGAAACATTACAGCATTGACATTTGACCAGGAAATCTGAGGCTTTACTTCATCTGCATCACACGACACCTGCATACATTTTTCCCAAAAGATTCCTTTATTCTGGATCAGTGGCAATTACTCTTATCTTTTGTGCCTTCATCATGTAAAAGCACAATGCTGGATGTCCATCTTCTAAAAGCTCACAATTTAGTGAAAGAGGTAAGACACAATCTAATACAAAAAAGCAGTGGTTCCCAACCTTTTTGGCACCAGAGACCAGTTTCGTGGAAGACAATTTTTCCACGGATGGCGGAGGGCTGCTGGTTTCTAGATGAAACTGTTCCCCCTCAGATCAACAGGCATTAGTTAGATTCTCATAAGGAACATGCAACCTAGATCCCCTGCATGCGCAGTTCACGATAGGGTTTGTACTCCTATGAAAATCTAATGCTGCCGCTGGTCTGATAGGAGGCGGAGCTCAGGCGGCAATGATCGCTCACCTGCCCCTTACCTCCTGCTATGTGGCCTGGTTCCTAACAGGCCACGGACCAGTGCTGGTCCGCTGCCTGGGGTCTGGGGACTCCTGCAAAACAGGTATAAATAATTTGGTGATGAGTACAGATGTGAGTATACCAGAAAAGGGCTTTTGGAGAGGGGGCAAGTCTGTGGTAGGGAAGGTATTCCAGGAAAGAGAACAGTAAAAACACACGTGTCAGGTGAGTCAAGGAAAGAAAGCACAAGCAAGTTTCAGGGGCTAGAACATACTGGCAGAGTAGACAAAGGTGGCAGAAGAACAAGACACCAGCAAAGGAAGGCAAAACATAAAGAGGCTTACATTCCAAGCTAAAGAGTTTACACTTTATACTAATGTTTTATCAGAGGTTATCTATTTTGTACCAGTCCCTAGGCTGGGGCTTCAACTACTTTACTATAAATTCTCATTAAACGGCACTATAAATTAGTTATTTTTGGCAAAAGATAACCTAGTCGGCCTCGGTCACCATTTTAATTCCAGATCCTAGAACTAGACCTAGTGCTCAAAGCATATTATGTTGACTTGCTAAAATAACTTGCCCAAGTTGACAGTTTTAGTTTTAACTCATGTCTATATGGTTTTAAGACCCTTTCCCTTAATCTATTGAAGTCTTTTGAGCCTAAAAGTAACACGATCAATTTTATCTTACACTGGGAGGGAGGAAACAAGGCAAAGATAGCAATTTCAAGGTTACTATCCTATTTCAGGTTTACAAGCATAAGGGTAAGTACTAGAGTGGAAGCAATGGAAATGGAAAGAAAGGGATGACATGAGAGGCTGTGAAGAGACGTAAAAGTAAGAAGTCTTGGCAAGGGACTGCTTCATAGGGAAGAATGGTATATTAGTTCCATTTTGACTTCAAAAAGTTTTAATATAGGAAATGCCTCTACTATCTTTAATAAATAGTAAAGCCAGGGTAAGGAACTAATCTGAGGGATAGGATGATGAAACAAATACAATGCAATTAGCAAGATGAGAGAATTACGAGGACACAGTGAGCTATCTTTCACATACCTGGAATTATCTAGTTTCTTACCCGAATGTCTTTGGGATGTTCTCCTTCAGCTATCCTAACCATCCAGAGAAATTTGTTGATATCATCACCAGAATAGCCAATAACCCCTCCAAAAATAACCAAAACATAATCTACATCTAGAGTCCTCATGATTTTATAGGCTGCTGTTTCATTAGAAGACATAGCTTTTCCCACCTGCAGAATTTAAAAAAAAATGAGAATGTTTTTGATTATTCCCACATTCATAAAAATCAATGTATATTTTTTACTACAACATGGAATTCATCAAGAGTTTGTTTTACATGGAATTTTTTTGCAGAAATGATTTACTATGAATTCAACAAATGCATTGGAATTTATGAACCTCTCAACTACTATAACTAATTTACAGTCAAAAATCAGAATACATGCTCTAATATTTTGCTAATAATTAAGTTCTATAACATTAACATTTTATGATGAAAGCAGGCAAGCTTAGAAAAAACAACTTCTCACAACCGCAGGCCAGGGCTGGCCAGTGATCTTGCTAGCACATACATTTCTTCTCCCCAGTCTAGCATGCATCTGATAATTAGCTACAACAGTAATACAAATAGAATTCATTTGGTTAAGACTACTCTTTGTATTTAAAAATCTTTGAAGTACAAAGAGGGGATTACATTAATCTATGCAGATTAGTTGTTTAATAGCTAGAGGAACAGTTTGCCTATCCATAAAATACAGTGCATTTACTTTACATATTTGCAAATAATTTTTAGTTTATAACACGAAAAATACAAGCCAAACATTTTAAGTTTCAGATTTTGTCTAATTCTTCAGTAAGCTAAATTTATCATAAAATCTACCAGAAATCAGCCTGCAATTCTGAATGATACTTAGTATCATTCTTAAAAACAAAATAAGCACACCTTGAACTCACTTTATTGAACATATGTGTAAAAAAGTATTTTGAGAATTCAGCAGAGTACTTTTCACCCACATTTTTCCTATTTAGTCACAAGTGAAGCCTGATTGCTAAGGAGTGAATAAAGATTTTTTAACCTTGTATTTAGTAAATCCTTACCAGTGCTATGTGGCTGTTATTCCAGGTGTTATTATCCACCAACGTAGTTCTATTAGCCATTCCAGCTATCTGATAGCCATAATCCCACCAAGACATTACTCGTGCATGTTCATCTGTATTTTGCCTTAGCCAAAAGTAAGCTTCTCTAAAATCATCTAAGATATTCCTGGTGCTGAAAAGAATCACAATACTCTTTTAAATGAGATGTCACAAATGTGAAGAGGCTAACTTAAAATCTTGAGGTATTAAACCACTGAATACTTTCAGATTTTAAGGATGGTAGTTATTAAGTAAAAGCCTCTACCAATGAGAAAAAAAAAAGTGAAACAATGAAGAGCTAGACTGGTGTTATTCAAACTAATGTGTGTGTGCACAAACCACCTGCATATCTTGTATTTAAAAAAAAAAAAAAAAAGCCGATTCTGATTCAGTAGTTCTGGGGTAGGGCCTAATAGTGTACAAGCCTAATAAGCTCCCAAGTGAAAGAGTAGTTGAAAGCCATGGCAATACATAAATCAGCTGTTCTTACATTTTAGCTGCATCTGAATCACCTAGGTCTATTAAACCACAGACTGCTAGGCCCCAGCCCCAGGTTTCTAATTCTGTAACATTAGGGTGAGGTCAAGAATTTGCATTTCTAACAAGTTTCATGGTAATGATGATGCTGTGTGTACAAAGACCACACATTTGAGAAAAACTAATGTATATGATTATGCATGCAGAAATATTCTGGAAAAGAGCATGAAATACAATGATTACTACCCATGGCACCAAGGTGGAGGAGAGGACAAAGAAAGGTAGATTCAAATACAGAGCTTCACAGGAGCACAAGGCAGAGGCTGGCAGGGGCGGGGGAGAGTGCACGGGGATGGTTAACGGGTACGAACACCACAGTGTGATTACAGTCAAAAATAATTTAATTATACATTTAAAAATAACTAAGAGTGTAACTTGATCGTTTGTAACTGAAAGGATAAATAGTTGAGGGGATGGAAACCCCATTTTACACGTGATTATTACACATGCCTGTATCAAAAGACATAAATAGAATGTACCCCATAAAATTATGTATTTACTGTGTACCTACCAAAATTAAAATAAAAAATTAAAAACAAGCAAATGCAGAATCTCACAAACAACATTCTATTTTTTAATTATATCCTTTGAGACAACGAAAAAGAAGTGTAAGTATAAAATGTTTTTGTATCCGAGTTATTTTCTTACCCATCATGATTGTATGAGGCCAGGACTACACTTGGACTAGAGTAGGCATTGCTTGTGACCCAGGTACAGTGGACAGCAAACATCATCAATAGCATCAGCATCAACATGGTGACAATGCTTTTTATATTAGGGCCTAATCCCTCTTCAGTTTTTTCCTGTTCAGTTGCATGTTTCCTCACTTTACCTGCCTAAAGATATTAAAAAAATTGGTTAGACAAATTCATTATTTGACTTGCTTCATTAAGATACTCAATGGAAAAAGTTGAGAGACTGTTTATCTATCAATTTAATTCTATGACTCAGAAAATGTATAACCATCAGATATTCTTATGTGGGTGATGGAGTGTTTTCTAAGTCAAACGTGAATAAGGTTTCCTGGGAATATACCAATCCAGAAACTGGTCACAGAGCAAAATAATTATCTCCAGTAAGAAGCTGCTTTCAAACCCAGTTGTCCTTATACTTTAATTAAATACAAAGGAGATTAACCAAATGACCCCATTCTGGTGAAATCTTAATATGTAAATTCTTATAAAATCTGAATTCCACATCCTGAAAATGGCAATGCTCAGCTATAATTTTGACCATGTACCACTTTAGTATAGGAAAAAACTGCATTAACAGAATCAGTCTTCCGATTTCGAAACCCTAAAACCAACAGACTTGTTAAAACTACGATTACCTTAAAAAATCACCTTCCCCAACAGAAAAGGGAAGAGAGAATAGAAAAAGTCACAACTTCTAAATTTCAAGGCTGGTTAAGAAACCACAAAGCAACAAAAAAACCCCAACAATAACAACAAACACAAAAATCAGGAATGTGGGTTTATTAACACACATCTTTATGAATTACATTCATCTTATAGAAGGAAAGAATTTCAAAGTTATTACTGATACTGGGAAGTTTAATTTATTAGTATTTTAAAATCCAGGCAATATTCAAATAGCAAAGTTTAATATGTCATCCAAGACAAGTGCTCTAATTCTTACAAGTCCTTTTCACACTTGCACCAACTGAGAAACTATAGATTAAAAATAAATTACCTGTATTGGCCAGTTACCTATTGCTAACGAACTGGAGGGTTTTAAAAAAGGCATTTTGCTCCCTTCATTTTACTGTTCAACCAATCAAATGTCACTTCCAAAATATTTTGAAAGTATGCACTGAGTATGGACCTCAAGGATAAGCACCTGTCTGTCCACATGGTTTCAGAGGGGTTTACAGTGCCAAATGTTATGTAATTTAGTACAGCATAAAGTTTTTGCTCTCAAAAATGGAAGGGTATATTAACAAGGGTATATATCTTAAGTATTTAGATAACAAATTACCAAAAAGAGGAATTCCTTCTCTGATTACATTCTATTTTCTAACTCTGAGCTAAAGGACTGACCAGGATTCATATTTTGAGGCAAACAGTGGAGACCAACTAGAAAAGTCACAGTTTGTCCAAATCATCATTTAATAACATTTCTTGATATGTATAGTTCTTACTGTGGTGGAAAAATTAAGAAAGGACATAGACAATTTAAAGGCCTTACTTTAGATTCCCCACCTTATCATACAAATTTCCTTGGTTTCTTTTGTCATCCTCATCACTGCTGTCCTCCACAGGTGGATTTTCCCTTTTCATGTCATCCCCCAAATAGTGCTCAAAAACATTTGAAAAGGCAATTGCAGACAGCATACACACGACTGGAGTCAAAGTCAACATCAGTCGCACCATCACTCCAGCAAAGTAGACAGCACTGATTGCATATAGAGCAACTGCAAAGACAAATTCTCTTACAATATGTTGGAGGGAAAAAGTTCCCAGGAAACTGAACTAGATACTTAAAACTATAAAACCAACCTGGAATTATATAAATGTCTCACAAACGATCTAATTGTTTCTAAATTGATACTACTGAACAACTGATTAATTAGCCACATTTAGAAATTATAACTAGTGTTCACTAAATAAAACCTACACATCCACAGTTTAGAAAAATGTATATGATTCAAATTTAATTAGTTATGAAGAATTAGACTTAATTCACTATTTGTCAATAACATCATAAAAAACCCATAGCTGGCAGATAAAAACATATTTGTGCATGACATCTCCAGGCAAAATAAATTTATAGATTTAAAATCTATAAAAAGCCAGTGCCAATATCTGGCATAAAACCTGCTTTAAAACAAAAACGGGATGAGAAGAACGTAAGTTATTAATCAAAGGAGGAACCTGCAAAGTTACTGCCAAGAAACTTAAAAAAAATTTTTGAAACAAATTTCCAATAGCCAGAGCTTTCTGGATAATGTGCTAACCACAGGAAAAGACTCTAACTATTTCTGGCTGAAGGCTATGTATAACTTTACAAATTCAGTGAGTCATGTGAGCTCCTACCTTATCTGATGCTAATTAAATTTTTCTTCCTGACTAAAAAATACATCGCATCATATTCTTAAGTGTGTATCTCAATGAATTTGTATATATACACACCTGTGTAACTACAACCCATAATGATATAGAACATTTTTATATGTCCTCATGCCTCTTCTCAGTCAGTAACAACCCCCTCCCCTATCAAAAAAGGTAACCACTATTTAGACTTCTAAAGAATTAGTATTCCTTATTGTTGAACTTTACAGGAATGTAACCACATAAAAATGTTCTCTTTTGTATTGGCTTCTCTTATTTCCCCATCCTGTTCTTTAATGATTGTTGTGTTGTATTCCACTACAGATATACAAAAATTTATTCATGCTACTGCTGATGACTTTGGAATATTTACTATTAGGGGTTACTGTAGATAAAATTACTAATGCATTCTTAAACATGTCTTCTGGTAGACATATGCACTCACTTCTCTTAGATATATACATAGGAATGGGATTACTGAGTCATGAGGTTTAAGTTAAATCTTCTTGAATGATGCAGTATTAACAGGGCCTCATCCAGGATCCATTAACCTAGAGAACAATGAGTGTGCAATCCTTTAAACTGAACCCCTACAGGTGCTGTTCTTTCTTTCCTGATTCATGTGTCACTCATGGTCCAGATCCTATAATTGTACAAGTTTCTAGCACTACAAATTACTTACCAACTGGTGTGATCCTGTGCACGTGATAAAGTTTTTCTCAGTTTCAGTTTTTATCTCATACAAAACAACCACAGCATATTTCATGTGTGATTAAATCATGTAGAAGCCTTTGATATCTGCTTATTTTGTCCACTTATATTAGAAATATAGAACCCTAAATACTTGGCATTTAAATATTTTGTATTTCAAGTCTTATTAGTTGGAAATATACAAATCTGTCAATGAAGAGGATGTTTAGTGAAAGGTGATCCTTATTCCGCTATAAAATGGTCTTTGCTCTGAAATCTGGAAGATGAATGTCCCTAAAAACTTCTTCCTACTTAAATAAAATTTTACTCAGAAAACAAAGTCAAGGCTATTGTCAACAAAGTTAAAATTTTCA
Organism: Homo sapiens; assembly: GCF_000001405.40. Lineage (NCBI taxonomy): Eukaryota > Metazoa > Chordata > Mammalia > Primates > Hominidae > Homo > Homo sapiens. The sequence goes on along the minus strand of NC_000003.12, from coordinate 31,620,395 downwards.
ATTCTCAAACACAAACTACAACATTAACCTCTCAGAAACCATAATATACTAGTCCTAAATTAAAACAATCAAAATACTTAATACAAATTCAATGAATTTTTTTCTTTTTTTTTTTTTTTTTGAGACAGAGTCCCGCTCTGATTCCCAGGGTGGAGTGCAGTGGCTTGATCTTGACTCACTGCAACCTCCGCCTCCCAGGTTCAAGCAATTATCCTGCCTCAGCCTCCTGAGTAGCTGGGATTACAGGCATGCACCACCATGTTCGGCTAATTTTTGTATTTTTAGTAGAGACAAGGTTTCACCATGTTGGCCAGGCTGGTCTCGAACTCCTGACCTCAGGTGATCCGCCCGCCTCGGCCTCCCAAAGTGCTGGGATTACAGGCGTGTGCCACCATGCCCAGCCTCTCAGTGAATTTTTCTTGGTTAAGCACCTATGCAAAATAAAGGAGAAAATTTATCTTGAATATATAGAGTCAAACATAGAAAAACAAAAATTTAAAGTAAATAATCTCAAAAAGAAAAATAACTATTCCATATCAAAGTATTCATTAAAAACCTCTCTTACCAAATACTCTTTCATCGTTGATATTTTTGATGCAGAACCAAAGGCCTGCTGGGAAGGTACATACAAGAATATGTAGATCAAAGAAGAAAGACACCCAAGTCGTAGGTTGATGCTCAGACACTGATGCAATAATTGGAATGTGTATTTTTGCATACCTGGTATTAAAAAAGTTAATATTGTTTACAATTAAGTGATAAAACAGGAGTTCCTTTTAGATGAAGAAATCTTGTTTGGTTGTAGAAATGGTACCTACTCCCTACCCCTTCTTATTTAAATATACCTTCCAAGGTAACCAGTTATACTGGATAGTTTCTGTTTGGTCTACACTGGTAAAACTAAAACTAATATGCCCTCTGTAAAATTCAGAGAATTATCTAGATCCAGACATGAGAATGTTGGCTCTGAATTCCAATACAGAAATCTCTGTTCAACTGGCAATTTGTTCTGTAGTTTAAGTCAGCATTTTTCATGTTTGCATCAACGAGTCTCATTACCTTTTGGAATTATTACTACAGACTGAATATCCTTTATCTGAAATGCTTAGAACCAGCAGTGTTTCAGATTTTAGAATATTTGCATTATACTTACCAGTTCAGCATCTCTAATCTGAAATTCTGAAATGCTTCAATAAGCATTTCCTTTTAGCATCATGTTGGTGCTCAACAAGTTCATGATTTTAGAGCGTTTCAGATTTTGAATACTCAACCTGTAGCAGAAATACTTTACCCAATAATTACACCTTACACAATAATGCCTTGCTTGACATGAAGCTGGCATGGAGACAGGTGAAGGAAATGGAAAGGACTGAAAAAATTATTACTGAAACACCCTGAGATTCTAAAGTAGTCAATTAATTGACTACTTTATAATATAACTGCACAAGTTATATTATAATATTACAATTTTACTTTACAGTTATATATAACTGTATAATTTATTTTACAGTTATATTATTACTTTATAATATAACTGCACAAGTTAACCTAGTAATTTAACCTAATCAGAATAACATTCTACAACTTGGGTTATCCTTCAAATTCGTTAGTGATCCACAGGCTGAACTCTTGAAGTATGTGTCTAATTGTTAGTTCCAGTCATTCATGCATAATTTGCTTATGTCCTTTAATTAGACCTGGACACAAGTCCTTCTGGTATCACATCAGAAAGCATGTCTGTTCAATAAATTGTTTTTTATTGAGCCACCTGGGGAGTAACAAGACAGAACAGCAGGAACAGAGGAGGGGCATAAATTATAATCAATAGATATTTTCTAATCTCCAGGAAAACATTTTAGAGAAAAAAAGTTTTATTGAACTAGTCTAATTCAAAACCAAATGTATTAACTCATTTTATAACAGCACTTTAAAAAAAAAAACCACAACAGATATATATTCTCTTGTGTTTCACAGATTTAAAAAAACAAAAAAACTTAGATCAGATGGTATTAGAAAAAATTAAATTTTCTTCCTATCTATGGCAATTAAACAGTATCCTTAAGAATTCTTAAGAATAAAAAATTATTACTAAAGATGAAAATGTTATAAAAGACAAATCAATCTTTAAATTGCACAAAGGTAACCTAAATATTCTTACAAACAAAACGGAAACAAGGAGTTGCCCATGCAGAACAGTAATACACAACGTACATTTCATACTAAAGATGCATTCAGAACAGGTATCATAACAAGATAAAGTAAAAGGAATTTAACATTTACTAAACTAGCATCTTTGGTACTTAGAAGTGTTGCCCAAGAACTGAGTGAAACACTGACAAAACAGATAAAAACAAAGGAAAAGCAGTATTTCAATAAATATGATGCCAAATAATGTAACTGTACTTACCCAGTATCCCACAATGAATAAAACCTGCCACTCCATGGTGCAATGTAACCTTGGAAGGAAAAACATGGATGAAATTAATCTGCCTTTTTATTATTTTGTAAATCTTTTATTGCCTTTATGTTTATTGCTAATTATAGATAGACAAACTAATGTTCAAAGAATTTCAGTTTTCATTTATAGGTGTCAACCTATTTCAGACAGTTGGCAGTCAGAAAAAATAAGGTAGTGATCAAATAAAAACAATATCCATGGAGAACCCACTTCCAGAGAAACACATTTGAGATAAAGTTGTAGAAAGTTTTCCAATTCTCTTAAGCTTTTAGTTGACTAATAAGGCTAAGGCATTAAACAAGACCAGATCATTTAAAAAAAATAAAATAAACGGGGGGCAGGGGAAAGGGAGTTTCTAAATGATCTAGTCCAGTATGCCATATCCCACCAGATAAATTCAAAGATGATTTTAAACACTCACGGCTTTTACATTAATTTGACAGAATAAATTTAGAAAGAATTCAATTTGTTTCTAAGGACTGGTAAATAAAGGTTAGAGGGTAACTTAGAATCCAGAAGCAGACTGAAACTGATTCTGTTAGTAAACTGCTGAAAAGTAGGGGAGAAAGAGGGAGTGTGTGTGCATGCAAGAGAAGGTGAGCATATAACAGGTAAATAACAGAAGCTCTGATTTTTTTTTTCTTTTTATAGTTTGGGACTATTCATCCAGCAAGAGAAGGACGCTTAAAAGTAGATTTATCAGAGCTTGATGCCACAAAATTAAGATATACTATTCAAAAAAAAAAAAAAAGAAAAAAATCACTTTGTAGTCATGCTGTTATTCAGATTTTAGAAACTTTGGCTATTTTTCTTATATTGTTTGTATAGACAATATTCACACCCTACAGGTGATAACACGTACCTGTATAAGTCAAATAGATGACACTAAGGAACACAGCACCTGCAGCTAGTGATACACCCAAAAAGAAAAGGGTCTGGAACTCTTGTTTTGTTAATCGGTCTCTCAGATACTGCAAGAAAGCATAAGCTTGCAGCAATGCAAAGACACCTAATTAAAGAAAAGGGTCACATAATCAACAAAGCAGTTTTCCAAGGTCATTTAAAAACTTTCATTTGAAAGAGCTTCTTAGAATGTCCTGCACCATTCATATCAAAGACTACTTATTTCATCTAGCCAACATTTCCTTTGTCAAATGACAGTTGCCTAATTAATACATCCAAAAAATTCTGTGACTTTTTTTTTTTTTCCTAAATGATCAGACTCCTTACACATGTACCAGACCAAAGGGGAAAAAAAATCCCATTTGAATAACAAGCCTATTTAACACATTAAGTTCCTCCCTTTCCTCTATATTTTAGGGGGGTTTTCTGGGGTGGAGGGAAGTAATTTTTCAAAATCACTGAAAAACAATTCTCCGATTTGTTTTGCTGAAGGATACAAAGACTTAGGATCAGGATAATCTTGATATATAGTTACTATTTATAACTGAGTAATAAGATGTGACCTTAATTACACATTTAGACAAGATTCTAAATTTGTATCAGGGCTCATGCCAAATTATGGCATCTTGGCATTTGAGAAACCAGCAGAAACTGGGAAGTCTCTCTCATCTTTTCTGTTTGTTCTCCCCTGAGGCAGGTCATAAAATAATTCTCTGACCTTCCTGTAAGTAGGTTATAAGATCCTCATTCCAGAGGGGTCCTTCTAACACCCAGAGGAAAAGATGAAGACACAGAGACACCAAGAAGAATATGAACAAATAGGCCTTAAGTTCTTCCCAGTCTGTTGCCATTAGATCGTACTTCTCTTTGTCCAATCTTATTTCTACATGACTGTCCACTCTTCATCAAACCTAAGCATAAAAATACAGTTTCCCTGCCTTTTTAAAATTTTCACTTCTGAAGACTCTTGTGTCATGTAAAATTTATGCTTTTCTCTTGTTAATCTGTCTTTTGTTAGAGATAACAATCTTTTCTCCCCTACATTAGTAAATATAAAGGTGAGTGCTAAGATATACAAAACTAAAGGAGTAGTCGCAAAAACGGATTCTCAAAAAGTACAAAACATGATACAAAAACATTAAACATAAAACTTTAAACAAAGAGGATGTAAGAATCCTCAAGCATCTAGAATATTAATTTTTAAAAATAAATTCAATTTTAAGGGTTGTTTTTAAAAGTCCATTTTACAATGGTTAAGTAAGTATTATCAAAGATTTAGAGTTTAGGAAATGTTGTAATGCATACGTGTAAAGACAGGTGACTGCGTAATTACATAGACATTCTATTCATTATTGTGTACACAACACTAAATATACATCTCTCTGCGTCTCAAATTACTACTTGGTAAAGTGACAACATCCATTCAGAAATCTAAGTAAAAGCATTTCATAAATTTTAAAGTGCTATATAACAGTAAGATAGTGATTCTTAACTATTCTGGGAAGATGGAGATTAAGTCAGACTCCACTGAGAATCTGATAATAAACTCTATAGAAACACCACCTCTGAAAGTTATATATTGCTATCTATATAGTATCAGTGTACAGATGTTACAAATAAAATAACTACCCACAGACTTCCAATGGGTCATGAACCTTGCAATGAGAATCTCTGATAAAATTTTTATCTACAGATTTCCCATAATTGTGAGTCAGATTACTTTGGTTGTCATTGCAACAACCAAAATGATCAAAAACTGTCATCTCTTGGAAGACTGCCAATCACACGTCCACATATTCTTTAGAAGAAGGAAAATATATATTTTTCATACCTGCAGCTGCCATGTGTTCACTTGTTCTGATTGGCTGGAATCCCACAAAAGGTATCTGCATTGATAATATTAAACCCACAATGTAGAAAGTGCTATATGCTATAAAGACAAAATAGGAAACAAGGATAATTTACTACTACCATTAAGTACCTAAAACATAAATGTATATGTAAATCCTGTTTTTAGCAAAGTATTAACTGAATTTAAGAACAGAATCTTGAAATGACTTTTATTAGATGTCCATTTGTTAACCATATGTTACAGATTCTGAATATTCTATCCATTTTTCAAAAATACTAAGTACTATATTTTGCAGATCATTACAACAGTTTGTGAGACTTGTGTTGCATTCCTTTCCCAGAAATGGAATCAAGTTTGTTTTGATCTACCATTAGCAATCATTCATACGACTCAAGAAGCTAAGTAATACATACATAAAATTAAGTAAATATCAGTCCTATTGGCATTAATCCAAAATACACGACTTAATACTCATCACCACTGCCAGCATGTGTGAATACCTGCTACTGTCTCAAAAGCTCTGAAGTAGTTCATACCTTTTTATTATCCCATAATACCTTTGTATAGTACTATGAGTTAAATAAATTCATATGTCCACCAAGTTTTCTGTAATTAAAGAACTAAGTACACAGAAGTCAAGCCATTATACAGACCAGCTACTGAATTTAGCATCTAATAAAAGAAACTCACTTCTTTTCACACTAAGTATGTTATAGTATTCTCATCAATCTAAATTAAGTTTGTCAATCTAAATGGACAAGGAAACTGGGGAGGGATTTACAATTTGTGTCAAATACCTGCTTTATATTCACAGACCACTGTTACGCAATTGATTAGAGAGAAAGTATTTGAAGTCACTGAAACTAAAAATTCATTAGAAATAAAGCCCATCTGAAATAAGTTAACGTAAAAACTACCCCATTTATACAGATTACACATCATTTAATAGTTTTTGGCAAATAAACTACTCTATCAAAAACAAAGATTGGGGGGTATATTTAGGAATACACGTATTTGTGTATCCTATATACTGTGTAGCATAGTGTACTACACACTTTCCTCCTCACCCAACTTAGATGAGAAAGAATATTCATTTGCTTTTAAAAGAAATCCATCTAGAGAAGGAAGTTAGGGGCTACTGGTTCAAATATTAAGTTGCCTCACAATCTATATGATAAGAGATGACCACAGTGTTAGGAAGACAGTAAGAAGCTCATAAATTTAATAGGAAGGACCAAAGTAAGTAAAGTTTCCACTGACCTCAAGCTAATGGAGGACCAGATGTCTAGAAGACAACAGACATAATCCATCAGATAACGTTCTTTCCAAACACATTAATGTTGGAATGGAATTACCCTCTATGACGTACCCAAACCCAAATGTAATCAAAGTTAAACAAAAATTTCCCCGTCACATGACCCGAAATGTCTACAAATTATTTTTTTAAACAAATCAGCCTGTTGAAGCCCTGATAAAGGAGAGTCACAGAGGCAGGAAAGAGAGAGAAAAAAAAAAGAACCATGCATACTAAAGTATAAAGAAAATTAAAAACTGAGAAGAAGATCACTATGTAATCTTACAACTACTTAACAGCAAAAGCTTCAGTTTCCTCACTATAGAATGTGGGTTGGACAAGATTTGTAGATCCCTCCCAACAATTATAAACTAAGATTCTATGATCAACAGGCCTTTCAGATATCCAGAGCTGAGAAGTCAAATCCTAGACAAACACTGAACACACAAAGGCACAACTAGAAACTGACTAGGCCTGAGAAAACCTTATGTCATTTATGTTTTTATTATAGCTAAGTCCACTTATGTTGAAACACGACAATCACTTCTGAAGCTGGATTTCTTTCTTCTAAGTACAAATAAACACTGAATGCTGTAACACTGCCACAGAATTTAGGTTTAATATAAGAAATGATACAAACTGAATGAAAAAGCCTTCTTAAAAAAATTGAGGTGAAAGTCACATGACATAACCATTTTAAAGAGAACAAATTCAGGGATATTGAGTACACGCATAAGGTTGTGCAACCACTACCCCTCTATAGTCCTAAAGAATTTTCATTACCCCAAAACAAAACCCTACACTCACTAAGCTCTTACTACTCCACATTCTGTCCTATTTCCAGCCCATGGTAACCACAAATCTGCATCTGTCTGTATGGATAATTGGTTCAATTGCAAAGGTAATAGATGTTGTTTTTGTCTTAAAGTAAAAAGTGAAAAAGTTTCCACCCTATTTATTTCCCTCTAAGTCACATTCTCCAGAAATAATCACTAGCAGGTATATGGGTACACAAATACATATTCATAGTCATATTCATACTTTCTCTTCAAATGGAGCCACACTTTGCTTGACAATGTAAAAATTTTAGCAATCATGTTTGGTAACTACAGATGAAGTTTCATCTTAGACATTTGCTCAAATTCATTTCCAGGCGTATTTGAAAAGAGGAGACCCGATAATACTCTCAATTCAGCACTTCCCTGCAACTTCTCAGAGATATTTACTATCATTAGTAAAGTAGAAAACATTTTATACAGAAGCAGATGCACTAGAGTTTAAGTTAATAATAAGAGTGATGGAGAGTTCAAGAAAAAGAAAATAGGAAATGAAAAAGCCCAGGTGGGACTTTAATTTGTATTATTTGGTAAACATAGGTTAATGCTAAAGATAAACTAATAGAAACAGACAAGTTTTCAACAGTATTTTACCTTGAAACTTCCTCTATCCCAATTAGTCTCATTCATACCCACTTACCAGCACCAATGGTACAAATCTGATAAACGTGGTATCTACAACAATCCAAACATAAGCATTTACTTTTAAGAGAACTGGACCCAAGTACCTATTTTTCACATTTTTTGGATCACTGAACCTGAGATGTTTACATATTGGAGGTATGTGTTTTATGTCATAACACTCTTCAGTGCACGGATAGACACAATTTGAATATCCCTTATCTAAAATGCTTGGGACTAGAAGTTTTTTGGATTTTTGGAATATTTGCATTATACTTAATAGCTGAGCATACCCAAACTGGTAATGCAAAACAGGAAACGCTCCAGTGAATATTTCCTTTGAGAATCATATTGGTGCTCAGAAAGTTTTGAATTTTCAAATTAGGAGTACTCAACTTGTACTTCCATTAAATAAAGTTGAAGATTGCTTGCCAGATAATATGTCAAATACAACAAATACCTTGCTTAATACTGACTGCTCTGCTTGAATTTGTAAAATTACACATATATTGCTATATCTCAATTTAAATCTCATTTACAAATCTACATTTTAAGACATAGAAAATAAGAAATTAGATACATCTGAGTAAAAAAAATGGTGAAGTAACTCAATTCTTAAAAATAAACACAATCTTGGCCAGGCATGATGGCTCACACCTGTAATCCTAGCACTTTAGGAGGCTGAGGCGGATGCATCACTTGAGGTTGGGAATTTGAGACCAGCCTGACCAACATGGAGAAACCCCGTCTCTACTAAAATTACAAAAATTAGCTGGGTGTGGTGGCGCGTGCCTGTAATCCCAGCTACTTGGGAGGCTGAGGCAGGAGAATCGTTTGAACTGGGGAGGCAGAGGTTGCAGTGAGCTGAAATCGCACTGCACTCCAGCCTGGGCAACAAAAGCGAAACTCCATCTCAAAATAAATAAAGAAACACAATCTCCACTGCAAAATGAAAACATACGCTTTTTGCCAGACTTTGTACTACAGCATCTAATATATGTTTAGAAATTACCTCTTCAATTTATGCATTTAAACATTAACTTGAGTATGGTCAATATATTCTAAAAACAGAAAATCCCATTAAGATCAATCCTACCCTCTAAGAGTCAGATAAATTGCTAAAAATCAGAGATGTAAACAAATAACCATAATATTAGGAAGAAAGGTCATGTGACATTTGGTGGGGGAAAGGCTCTATAAAACTTAAGATCTCTTCTTTTCTTGACATGGACTTCGAAGAGGTAATTAATGTCTGGTACTGTTCTCTAGTGTTTTCAGAAGACCTCAACAAGACAAACCCATAGCCATCATTCTCTACCAATTCTCCTTCCAATGAACTCTTTAAGAACCCTAACTAAACTACTATACCCATCTATTACAATTTTCTATCCATCCATGTAAACCTACTTTTCTTACCCTTTAAGTTAGAAGAATAAAGCATTCCATCAAAGTGGTGAGCTCTAAGGAAATACATGATACCAATAGTGTTGTAAATCATTTATTACATCATGAAAATGTTACCACACTGCCATCCTGTGGATGCACAGTTACTGGCATTCATTACTGGAGATGATAATTCCAATGTGTGAGAAAAATTCCACAAAAAATTACCATTAGAAAGATATGTATATACATATACACACACATATATTATTATTCTGTTTATTCTTAACCAAAGAAAATCTCTCATCTGGGACAGATAAGTAATAATCTCAACAGAACCTAAAGATGTCTACATTCTTGGAAATATTTTATATCCAAGGGTGGGACGAGACAGATATAGAGAAGAAATATACCATAGTCCTTGACTTAATGTGCTCAAGTGAATTATTCTAGAAAAGAAAAGGCACTGAAAAGTCTGACTCAAATTCAAATGAAATTTTAAGTATTGAAGAAGTTTGCTGTTCCCCAAAGCAATCTTTAAGTACCTTCTCTCTGATAAGGCATTGCAGCTTACATTGACAGTGCTCTTTACACTTTTAAGTTATTGTTATACTTCTTTTTATGTAAATAAAGTTAGAAAAGGTTATGCAAATACTATATTCCCATTAACTTTAACCCATGTTAAATCACATTAGCATTTTTGAATTGCTTTGCTCTCTCTCAACCAAAATAGTATTAGCCAAAACACACACAACGGGTAGATACTTTAAAATCCAACCAATTTTGCTTTATTATAAACAAATATGATTAAAGGCTTATGAAGGCTTTGAATACTAAAGATATTTTATTTCTTTGTAATCACTTCTGGTTACTGTGAACCCTGGTAGATATGCAGGATAAAGAATAGTAAGAAACATGGATTAAAGAATAAAACAACAAAAAAACACAAAACACTGATTCTTCTTGACCAGCAGAGAAATATATGATTAACTTAACAGGCATACATAATGATAAAAATCATTTCTCTTTTCCAAGGACAATGCTCATTATAAACTATGTTGAGAATGAATCACTGAAACTTATATTTTACAAACTCCAGACTTGTAAAAGCAGCAAGAAATTACTTACGTGTTCAAAACACTTCAGTAGAGATACTTAATCACAACATTTTTAAAACAGCAAGTGTGGCCGGGTGTGGTGGTTCACGCCTGTAATCCCAGAACTTTGGGAGTTAAAGACCAGCCTGCCCAACACGGTGAAACCCCATCTCCACTAAAAATACAAAAATTAGCCAGGTGTGGTGGCACATGCCTGTAGTCCCAGCCACTCAGGAGGCTGAGGCAGGAGAATTGCTTGAACCCAGGAGGCAGAGGTTGCAGTGAACCGAGATGGCACCACTGCACTCCAGCCTGAGTGACAGAGTGAGATTCTGTCTCAAAACAAAACAAAACAAAACAAAAAAACAAAAAAACAAACTCAGCAAGTGTATCTGGTACTGATAACTAAAATGAAAAAACAAATCTAAACAAAGTACATCTTGGTTTAAGTTCTACCCTGTGGGAACAATTCATTTAATTCTGGCAATGTTTAATGAAATAATATTAAAATATAGTGAAATTACAAAGGTACTGTATGTGTGGTGTGTTTGGAGACTATGAAAAACTCATGGAATATATAATTTTTATGTAACTTAAGAGGTGTTAGGTAATGATCCTCAGTAGCTTCTAGAGCTAAGTAGTGACTATACCTAACATATCAAGAAGTAGTAAAAGACAAATACCAGCAAATTTAATTCACTCATAAAGAAGAGAGTAAAACAAACAAAAAATAAAAAAAGATTTAAACTACAGGAAATCACAAATCCTGTTACCACAAGTCATGTTGCCACTAAAAACGTTTTGGTTCTTCTTAACACATCCTTTTCTTTCTTTTCTTGAGACAGAGTCTTTTTCTGTCGCCAGGCTGGAGTGCAGTGGCATGATCTCGGCTCACTGCGACCTCCGCCTCCCAGGTTCAAGCAACTCTCCTGCCTCGGCCTCCTGAGTAGCTGGGACTACAGGTGCATGCCACCAAGCCCAGCTAATTTTTGTATTTTTAGTAGAGATGGGGTTTCACCATGTTGGCCAGGATGGTCTCGATCTCTTGACCTCGTGATCCACCCAACTCAGCCTCCCAAAGTGCTGGGATTACAGGCGTGAGCCACTGCACCTGGCCAACACATCCTTTTCTTATTGTCGACTACTACTGTAGTAGGCTCCTAAATTCATTTAACTGATACCATGAAGAATCCATAACTACTTCTATGCAGGAGTTAATTCTTCTGGACTATGAAACACACATTTCTCAATGAGAAGAATAGACCTTTAAAGGAAATCTCACTCAGGTCTATTCTTCTAGATAATGGTTGGCCTGTAGAACATGAAGACTGTTTCTATTCACTGAAAGCCTTTTTGATCAGGCCAATGATTATTGCTACAACACAGGTGAGATCCTTGCTCTAAATATCCCGAGTTTTAATATAAGGAGATACTGGAGGACTAATCCTTGTGAACTACACAATGAGTCATATTAGCAGCATAGGTGGTGCAAGCAATACCATCTTCCCTTTGTGTTTGAACTTTCAGTTTCCCCCAACCCCAATAACCTCTAAAATATCCACTGGCAAAGCTGCAAAGAAGATCCATAAATATTGTAAACCGATCTAAGGAAAATCCCATCTCTTTCCCCCAATAACTAGCTTCAGTGCCTGTTACAACACTCATCTTGAAAACTCACTTTATGTAATCAACACTGAAACTTCTAATTTTAAATGAAAACCTATGGAAAAAATAGGGGCGGAGGAGTGTAGTTATTGTAGTCCCGTTTGCCTGTCTGCTCTTGGCTCACCTACCTTGAAGGTACAATAAACAGTAAAGGCAAAACAATTAATGCAAATAATAATATTGCATCTGTAGAAGATGGAATCTTGTCTTGATAAAACTTTATCTGCCACAAACATAAAACTGTACAGCCTCTTATTGTTTTCAATACCTTAGGATCAAAACCATCAAAACTACTTGTTTAATTACATACTGAATACCACTGTAAATACTGGGGTGTAATCCCAAATATTTTGTGGCAACAAAATGTAGCTATATTAAATAAAATGCTGCTGGGCACAGTGATTCACGCCTGTAATCCCAACACTTTGGAAGGCGGAGGTGGGAGGACCACTTCAGCCCAGGAGTTCGAGACCACCCTGGGCAACTTAATGAGATCCCCCTACCATTTCTACAAACAACAACAACCACAACAACCCCCCAAAAACAACAAAAAACAGGAAATCAACGTTTTATTTGCTATAAACCCTGTAGTATTTGACTTTTTCAACTATATACATTTATTCAATTATATAACACTTGGATCAGTCTGTTCTCATACTGCTGATAAAGACATACCTGAGACTAGGCAATTTACAAAGAAAAAGAGGTTTAATGCTCACAGTTCCATGTGGCTGAGGAGGCCTCACAATCAAGGTGGCATGCAAGAGAGAAATGAAAACCAAGCGAAAGGAGTTTCCCCTTACAAAACCATCAGATCTTGTGAGAGTTATTATGCACCACCAGGAGAACAGTATGGGGAAAACCACTCCCATGCATCATTTCCCACCGGGTCTCTCCCACAACATGTGGAAATTATGAGAACTACAATTCAAGATGAGATTTGGGTGGGGACACAGCCAAACCATACATTCTGCCCTGGCACCTCCCAAATCTCATGTCCTCACATTTCAAAACCAATCATGCCTTCCCAATAGTCCCCCAATAGTCCCAAGTCTTAACTCATTTCAGCATTAACACAAAAACCCACAGTCCAAAGTCTCATCCAAGACAAGGCAAATCCCTTCTGCCTATGAGCCTGTAAAATCAAAAGCAAGTTAGTTACTTCCTAGATACAATGGGGGTACAGGCACTCGATAAATACACCCAGCCCAAATGGGAGAAATGGGCCAAAATAAAGGCGCTGAAGGTCCCATGCAAGTCCAAAATCCAGCAGGGCAGTCAAATCTTAAAGCTCCAAAATGATCTCCCTTGACTCCATGTCTCACATCCAGGTCACGCTGATACAAGAGGTGGGTTTCCATGGTCTTGGGCAGCTCTGCCCCTGTGGCTTTACAGGGTACAGCCTCCCTCCTGGTTGCTTTCATGGGCTAGCATTGAGTGTCTGCAGCTTTTCTAGGCGCATGGTGCAAGCTGTCAGTGAATCTACCATTCTGAGGTCTGGAAGACGGTAGCTCTCTTCTCACAGCTCCACTTGGCAGTGCCCCAGTGGGGACTTTGTATGGGGGCTTCAAGCCCACATTTCCCTTCCACACTGCCCTAGCAAAGGTTCTCTTTGAGGGCCCCACCTCTCCAGCAAACTTCTGCCTGGACATCCAGGCATTTCCATACGTTCTTTGAAATCTAGGTGGAGGCTCCCAAACCTCAATTCTTGACTTCTGTGCACCTGCAAGCTCAACACCATGTGGAAGCTGCCGAGACTTACAGGTTGCAACCTCTGAAGCCATTGTCTGAACTGTACCTTAACCCCTTTTAGCCATGGCTAGAGCAGCTGGGACACAGGGCACCAAGTCCCTAGGCAAAACTCAGCAGGGAGGGTCCTGGGCCTGGCCCATGAAACCATGTTTTCCTTTAGGCCTCTGGACCTATGATGGGAGGGGCTGCTGCAAAGGTCTCTGACATGCCCTGGAGACATTTCCCCCACTGTCTTGGCATTAACAGTTGGCTCTTTGTTACTTACACATATTTCTGCAGCCTGCTTCAATTTCTCCTCAGAGAATGGGTTCTGCTTTTCTATTGCATTGTCAGGCTGCAAACTTCCCAAACTTTTATGCTCTGTTTCCCTTTTAAAAATGGAATGCTTTTTAACAGTACCCAAGTCACCTTTTGAATGCTTTGCTGCTTAAAAATTTCTTCCACCAGATAGCCTAAATCATCTACCTCGATTTCAAAGTTCCACAAATCTCTAGGGCAGGGGCAAAATGCCACCCATCTCTTTGTTAAAACATACCAAGAGTCACCTTTACTCCATTTCCCAAAAAGTTCCTCATCTCCATCTGAGACCATCTCAGCCTAGATTTCATTGTCCATATCATTATGAGCATTTTGGTCAAAGCCACTCAACAAGTCTCTAGGAAGTTCCAAACTTTCCCACATTTTCCTGCCTTCTCCTGAGCCCTTTAACTGTTCCAATATCTATCTGTCTGTTACCCAGTTCCAAAGGTGCTTCCACATTTTCGGGTATCTTTTCAGCAGCCTTCCACTCTACCAGTACCAATTTACTGTATTAGTCTGTTCTCATGCTGCTGATAAAGACATACCTGAAACTGGGTAATTTATAAAGAAAAAGAGGTTTAATGGATTCACAGTTCCACGTGGCTGGGAGGCCTCACAATCTTGGCAGAAGGTGAAAGGCACATCTTACATGGCAGCAGGCAAGAGGGAAATGAAAACCAAGAGAAAAGGATTTCCCCTTATAAAACCATCAGATCTTGTGAGACTTACTCACCACCATGAGAACAGTATGAGATAAACCACCCCCATGATTCAATTATCTCCCACTGGGTTCCTCCCACAACACATGGGAATTATGGGAGCTACAATTCAAGATGAAATTTGGGTGGGGACACAGCCAAACCATATCAACATTTATTATCAAATTTTAAAATTATAAAAAAAAACACCTATTACAGGTTATATTTTAATTGCTATTTTGTACTTTATAACACACAAGTGTTATTTCTCCATTATGTTTCTCACAACCAAAAATAGTTGAGTGAAAGTTTATTTTCACTTAAAAAAAAAAGAAGGAACACTCCTTAGATTCACACTGGGGTTTTATCCTTTCAGTCTTAATACAGTAATCACCTCTCTTAGCCTCTTGAACTCTTTTGTCTATCTGGCTATTCCTTCATAACTTTAACATCAACAACAAAAGCAAACACTTAAATAGTATTTTTTTGTGTTCATCTATTATTAAGCACCTTTCATATATTAACCTGTAACTCATTAATCCTTAACAATCTGTAAGGTAACTATTATTATCTTTATTTGACCCATGAGGACATTAAGGCCTAAGGACATCAAAGGACATTAATTTGTCCAAAGTTACACAGTAGTAAGGGAGCAAGAATTGAACCCTGGTAGATTGGCTCTGGAGTATGTACTCTTACCCTCAATGTCATGGCACCTTTTATTTATGGTTACATTACCACAAATTCTAAGTCTGCTTCTGTACTATTCTCTCTTCTCAAGATCAAGACTTATCTCCAAAACTTTTAAAAGAACATGGTTAAAGTCCAAACTGATTTTCACAAATTTTTCCCTATTTCCATTTTGATCATATGCTATTAAATTGATTACACTGTATAATATACACTCCTTACACGAAGGTTTTTATTCATCTTTGTATCATAATGGCTAGCACAAAACAGTATTTATTTTTTCAACACTTAATAAATGTATGGTGAGTGAAATTTGCTTTAATTTCCTCAGTAGTATGGTAGAATTAGACAAAATAAACTCCAGAGCTTCCAGCCCTTGTATCCGGGAACTTTTCTTTTTTTAATGCTGGATTTTTTACATGCAATCTTTTTAAGTTTGTTTTTTCTAAGTTAAACTAGCATTAGCTGTGTTCTGTTTACAGCTGCCAAGTATAAATGTGACTCCTAATAATTTGGCTTTACTTTTAATGTACTCAATAATTGGATTATCTTTTCTTTATTCACAAAATATATAATGCCCATAATAATTTGTACAGAACTAAAGTAGGTAGTATGTTCAAAAAACTTTAATGACGGTTCCCAGCAAATATCATCTAAAAAATACATTTTAGATATAATATGAAAAACAACTGTTACTCTCCTTACTCAACTCACTGCAGAAAACATAGACAATGCCATAAACAAGCTGTTCTAGTGACATTTCAAAAGCATTCATCAATATTAGAAATTGATTTCTTTTCTGTGCTTAAATTACTAACCTAATCTAGTTAATGCAGCCCTTGAGGTACAATTCCTATTTCTATAAACTAAAAACCAAGTCTTATTTATTATAAACTTAACACATACTCATTGTATGTATCTGGAAAGCAGAAATAAGTATGAAAAAAAATCACTGGTAATCCTTACTGTCTGCTTTTAATTAACATTTTCCTGTGTCATCAAATACTCAAAAAGATTAAATTTAAAGGCTGCATAATATTCCATATGGCAACACTGCAATTAAAAAATCATTCCCCTATTGGTCATTTAAGTTAGTTCCATATTTTCACAATTACAAGTTATACCACAGTAAATATCCCTAAATTTGACTTCATATCTTTAATAATTTCCTTATGACATGAACACAAAGTATGATAAGCTTTAATCAAATTAGAAAGCTTAAATCACTTCACATCCCATCAGTTTTACTGTGATTTCCTGCAAGCCATTCTTTCTACAAATGCAACATAAGGTTTGGGTGTTCCTTTTAAAACAGTAGAATCCTATGCATAACATAATTTTTAAACATTTACTTCCCAATATAGTGAAATTCACCAAGTCAAAAATATCTCTTAACAGAAAATTAAATTTTTCCTCCCAAAATTTCAAGTAGAGACGGCCTCCCATCTCAGCTTTTCTTACACCTCCCTTGCTCAATTCCCATGCCACTCTTCTACCACTATACATCCACATTACCACCCATGTGCCTCCTTTTCCACATGTGAATAAACTTTGACAGTTTTCTGTGGTTGTGCTACAATTGATTTTAAGGACACTTGAAAAAATCTACTCAAAGAGGACACAACTTTTTCATAATTATTTAAAATAATTCAAGTCATTTAATTCAACACTTAGAACAACACAACTAAACTTTTAGTTAATATAATTATGAGTCTGACATTTATCAATCCTTATTTTTTTTTACCTAAACATTTCTGCTCAAGGGGAGAGAGAACAAAAGACAAAGGATGTTACGTGCCAAAATCAAAGAACTTTATATACAAACACTTTACAATGCTTCCATAGTTTTTAGGACCATTAAGTTAAGAGAAATTGAACTTAAATCCTGACACACTCTGGATGAAGGAAGAGCAACACTTGCTCTATCATACTACTTTCCATCCATTTAGAAGTAAACCCTAAGAAAGCAGACTAGAAATCATCAAAATACTCCTGGATAATTATAAGTAAAAGAAACAAGTTGGGTAGAGTGGAGAATTTGAACATTATGAACATTAGCTTTATACACACATACATCCCTAACCCATTTTATTATTCTTTCTTCTTAAAATACTCTCAAGAATCAACCAAAGTAGTATGAATTTCATATTTTTCTAGAGTGACCAAAAAAAAAAAAAAAAAAAAAATCCCAGCTACCAAATACAAAGGCCTTTCTCAAATTCTAATCCTTTGAAATCTTGGTGCTAAGGTTAAAGGGGAGTTGGACACTGCTTGAATTTTAAACTTTTATGTAGAATATACTTCCATCTGACCATTTTAACAATATACTTATTTGACTACTTCTGACATCTCCTTTGGCTCTTCTTCCTGAATCATGGCATTTCATAAAGTGTATTTCTCAATCTTCTCTCTCTTGTATTCCTCTGACCATTAAATTTCCAAGATCCCCAATTTTTAAATTTACACAAAACAACAACAACAGCAGCAACAACAAAACACCCTCTTAGTTCCTTCACTGTAACCATTTAACTTAAAAAAAAAAAGTTTAATCTGTTATTTATTATTCTCCTTTCTGGATCCCAACTACTGTTTATAGTGTTTTTGGGGTAGAGAAATACATAGGTGTATGTATTTCAACAGTACGGTTATTTGTTTAAACGAGAGGCACACAGATTTGGTGGTTTTTAGCATCATGGGCCATTCATTCAGTCATTCATGCAATCAGAGACAGGTCTCCTTCTGTCACCCAGGCTGGAGTGCAGTGGCAAGATCACAGCACACTGCAGTCTTGAACTCCTGGACTCAAGTGGAACTCCAGCCTCAGCCTCCTGAGTAGCTGGGATAAGAGGTGTGAGCTACTACAGCTGGCTCATTACAGGCTTTAAAGCCAAAATCTGAGTTCAAGCCTCAGCCCCGTTATTAGCTACATGATCTTTAGCAAATTATTATGTCTCCTCTTGTTTCCTCACCTGTAAAATGAGAATAGTACCTACCCTCACAGTATCAAATGAAAAAGTATGCTGAAATGGCTATAAATGTAATATACTATGCTTTTTTATTTTGTTGAGATACAATTAATATACTATAAAATTTATCTTTTAATAACCTATCATGTAATGGTTTTTGGTGTATTCACAAGGTTGTGCGACCATCACTACTATATAATTCTAAAATATTTCCTCATCCTTGAAAGAGACCCCATATCCATTCAACAGTCACACCTCTCCTCTCCTCTCCACATTCTCCTCCTCCTAAATCCCCAGGCAACCACTAATCTACTTTCTGTTGCTATGGATTTACCCATTCTGGACATTTCCCACAAACTCTACTTTCTGTTTCTATGGATTTGCCTATTCTGGACATTTCACACTAACAGAATCATATACTATGTGGCCTTTTATGTCTGGCTTTTTTACATAATGGTATAAAGTTTTCAAGGTTCATGTTGTAGCATATATCAGTATTTTATTCCTTTTCATGGCTTAATAATACACCATTGTATGAATATACCATATTTTATGGTTTCATAAAGCTGATAGACATTTGGGTTGTCTTCATTTTTGGCCATTATGCACAATAAATGCTGCTATAAACATTCACATAGAAGCTTTTGTATGAATATATGTTTTCGGTTCTCTTGGGTAAATACCTAGGAGTGGAACTGCTTGGTCATATGACGAATCTATGGTTAACTTCTGAGAAATTGCCAAGCTACTATGCTTTTGAAAATGAATTTAATTAAGATTTATCTTTGTGTTATTGTTTTCCAAAAACATTATTATAATAGAATTGTATTATTTTACTAAGACACTGGTTTCAGTTCACAATTGCTCTCTAGTTCCTTCAACCCATAGAAGTTCTAACTCTATCATGGAAAATGAGATCTAAGGTGAAACATCATCTACCGCTAAACATCACAGTGAAAATATTGTTTTAAAACCTGTAGAGAAAAATGAACATTTTTCTAGAGACAACAGAGACTCAGTCTATTAGTACATTATCCAAAAAAGAGCTTCTGAAAGCTTATTAAGCTGCTTACTTTGAGGATGTCAATCTCTTACAGTAAGTTGAATTCGATATAAAAAATGTGAACGATTTTCATGATAAAAATTCCCATTCCCCAAAATTAAGAGGAGGAAAAAGTGTAGACAAATATTAAACCCAGACTAATTTCTACAAAAACGAAAAAAAAACTTGTCAAGGAAAAGTTGATGACAAAGCACTTATATAAAAATGCCTGACCTTATCAATATAAACAGCAAAATGAACACAAAATTATTTTTACCTTTTCATGCATAATATTGACCAAATAGAAATATCTCTTCAATAAAATGAATGAATACAAAACATCTCTTAGTTGACAGATGTCAAAAATCAAATTACTTACCTATGTAGACTCTTTTGCTGTATCTCTGCATCAGTAACAACACAAATACATGCAGTGGAATAAGATTGATGATAAATACATAACCACCCCAAGCAGAGACCTATAGGAAAAGAAGTGCTAAGTTAAATATATATTTTTACTTTTTAAAATAAGTATATTTAGGAATCTAAACATACAATGAGCAAATATAAACATTAAGATTTTAGCAATTTTGAGAAATGCTTAAATAAGAACTTACTAACCTATGAAGAACGTATTCCTCATTTTTATTGATCATTAAAATAACACGATCCCACAAATCCAATATGCTTTTCCAAACGCACTGGAGAAATGTTCAAATTAAATTAGATTTAATAGAAAAGCTGAGAGTATTATAATTTGTGAATTGTCAGTAAACAGACTGTCATAGAGACAAGGAGTTTTAGGATATAGATCATAAATTTTGAAAATAAAAAAACGGGTTTTACCTCACCCACTTTTTATGACAAATTTGTTGTAAGAAAGGTCACTGAGAGTAAGAGCAATGAAAGGACTCACTGACAACTAAAAAAAATTCAGATGACATGAATACGCTTTGAGATTCTCAAAACTAAAAGTGCTAGTTGGGCATGAATTTTTTTCTTAAAAATGGATTACAAAGCAAGATCCCATTTTAATCTTTGGCTTATACAATATACACTATTTAGCCAGAATAACTGAGGATGTTCTTGGTCTACATTAATGAATATTCTAAAGAGAATCTCCATTCTCAACCAATAGAATTAATTAATTTTTTGGTACACTAAATAATAGGTAATAAGCTCCTGTCAATATCAAAGTTCTTAGATGTCCTCTAATAATCAGAGCTTGAAAGGCTCATTTGTATCAACAGTCATGTTAGCAGACTATATGCTAGCATATCTATTCCAATAATGCTTCTCTTACGTAAAATATTTCAGAACCCCTTGTGGAGAACTGCCATCAGTTTTCAATACATACATCAGTTTTCTGCCTTGGTCACATGCTATTTTTCACAAAAAACAATGTTATTCTAATGGAGCGCCAGTCCTATCTGAAAGACTTCTGATTACTTTAAAAATTTAAGTCTAAATTTGAAAGAGAACAAGTTTGATATTGCTAAGTACAACTACCCAGAATGTGCCCCAGGCTCTAACCACTTTAACTCAGATAACTTGGATGCACATATTCCATGACATTTGTTTAAAAAGAAAAAAAAGATTAGCTCAAATTGTCATTAATTTTCAAAACAAGACTACTATACAGGCTATGGTGTAGAAAAAAAGAGAAAGAAGAATAAAAAGGTAATACTGAACCCCAATCTTAAGAAACCTGTTTAAAAAAATATGTAGGTGGCTGGGCACATTGGCTCACGCCTGTAATCCCAGCACTTTGGGAGGCCGAGGCAGGCGGATCACCTGAGATCAGGAGTTCGAGACCAGTCTGACCACATGGAGAAATCCTGTCTCTACTAAAAATACAAAAATCAGCCAGGCATGGTGGCACATGCCTGTAATCCCAGCTACTCGGGAGGCTGAGGCAGGAGAATCGCTTGAACCCAGGAGGCAGAGACTGCAGTGAGCTGAGATCATGCCATTGCACTCCAGCCTGGGCAACAAGAGCGAAACTCCATCTCAAAAAAAAAAAAAAGTAAGTAAATTTACAGGTTAACCTAGAGGATATGACCATTATTTCGGTAATGACTCTAGGTATCTACTACATTAAGGTTGAAAATTGAGCATAATATCAATATGCTACCTTATCTACTCTCTTCACTTAAGAACAAAGAAAAGCTGAAACCAGTCTGACAGTGAATCTGATGTTCTGAAAAGTACTTGCTGATCTTATGCATGATCTTTAACTACAGGGATTTATTTCTTCTCGGACCCACATAAATTCATTTTAAGAGTTTTCCTTCATTTACTTTAAGGAGTGAAATGAAAGCAAATGGGCCAGAAGAACAGTCTTTCTACAGCTTTTTCTCAATCCGTCTCTCTTTTTAGTTAACTCTTTACTTGGGTTATCTTTTTCACCAAAACTTCCAAGTACTCTTATTTCTCTGTTCTAAGTTCACTTCACTAAACTGTTTAGATAATGACTGTTTAAAAACTCAGATTTTAACATTAAGCAGTTATCTAGTCAACTCCAATACGAAAAACTAATTTTTAATACCATATTTAAAATTGAGTGTTAAGTAAAAACTTATTTCATCTAAACATGGTTCCATGCTTGATATATGACAGGCAAAATTTCCTGTTCTTTTTGAGTATGCAATCTAACTTGGAAAATATTTTACTTGTCAGAGCTATTTAAAAAATAAAGCTAGGGGCCAGGTGCCGTGGCTCACACCTGTAATCCCAGCACTTTGGGAGGCTGAGACAGGCAGATCACTTGAGGTCAGGAGTTTGAGACCAGTCTGATCAACATGGTAAAACCCTGTCTCTACTAAAAATACAAAAATTAGCCGGGCATAGTGGCACACATCTGCAATCTCAGCCACTTGGGAGGCTGAGGCGCGAGAATAGCTTGAACCCAGGAGGCCGAGGTTGCCGTGAGCCGAGATCGTACCACTGCACTCCAGCCTAGGCAACAGAGCCAGACTCTGTCTCAAAAAAAAAATAATAATAATAATAATGAAATAAAATGAATAAAGCTAGGAAGAATAGAAAAATAATATTTAAATTTAAGTCATTAAAAAGTTAAAAAACAGGCACGGCAGCTCTTGCCTATAATCCCAGTGCTTTGGGAGGCTAACGTAGGAGGATTGCTTGAGGCCAGGAGCTTAAGACCAGTCTGGGCAACAGAGTGAGGATCTGTCTCTACAAAATATTTTTTAAAATTAGCCAGGCGTGGTGGCACATGCTTGTAGTCCTGGCTGCTCAGGAAGCTGAAGTGGGAGAATCACTTAAGCCCAGGAATTCAAGGTTATAGTGAGCTATGATTGCACCACTGCACTCCAGATTGGCTAACAGAGAAAGACACTATCTCTGAAAAAAGAAATGACAGGCCAGGCATGGTGGCTCATGCCTGTAATCCCAGCACTTTGGGAGGCCGAGGCCAGCAGATCATGAGGTCAGGTGTACAAGACCAGCCTGGCCAACATGGTGAAACCCCGTCTCTACTAAAAATACAAAAATTAGCCAGGCGTGGTGGCGGGCGCCTGTAATCCCAGCTACTCAGAAGGCTGAGGCAGGAGAATTGCTTGAACCCAGGAGGCAGAAGCTGCAGTGAGCTGAGATCGTGCCACTGCACTCCAGCCTGGGCAACAGGGCAAAACTCCGTCTCAAAATAAATAAATAAATAATGAATATAATCTTAAAAAATTAAAAAAAATTCTTAATAAAACATTTAAGTATTTTGAAGTGGTACACTTGAAAACATTTTGTTTTACTTGCTGCAAATATTTGAGGGGTTAAATGTTAGCCCTCTCCACCAAAGCAGGTGTATACAGGACCTGTGAGTAGGAGAAGGAAAGAGGATGGTAGTAATGAAAGATTACATTAAACAAAATAAAAATCCTACAGACTTCAGGAGAAAAGAACTGTTTTAACCTCCAGAGACCTACTAGACTTCATGTAGTCTCAAATATGAAATCTTACCATATAGAAATAGGATAAGCAGCAGCACATTGTCCAAAAAACTGACCCAGTTTTTACAGATTTTACCTAAAAAACAAAAGCAACTGATATAATAAAAATGTTTACAAATGTTCTTGCGGAATTTTTAAAAGTTAAATGTTTGGTAACCACAGGCTACAAAAAGTCAAGGTTATTCTAAAAAATACTGTGGTTATTCAGATATGCAGACATACTTCATATATGCATTTATAACACTGAGCAGCACACTGAGACATTTTAAGAATAGCTCTCATTCTCTGTTATGTAGTTTTCAGTAAAAAGAATCATCTTTTAAATAACAAATTACATTTTTCTCATTTTCTGCAAAGTCTCTTGCCCTCACTGATATCCACACACCATGCCACAGGTCACCATGGCCACCTCCTACCCCTTCTCCTTAGGTGTCTACACTCCAGAGAGGTCTTTTGCTTGTTCAGCAGTGCCAAACCAGTTCAATGGGCTGAACCACACCCTACGCAATGAGGTGTGAAAACCTTCCAAGTTTGCCCTTTCCTGGGTACTCTCCCTCAGCCTCAGGATACCATATAGAGTTTCCTTCTATTTTAGTTACTCTTTTATCATAATTAATACTTCTTTCTCTCTCCTAACTGAACCCAGACTGCTATAATCTATTACAATAAAACCAAGGTATATTTTACAACCACTAACTACAGTTCATATCTTGGAACTTCCCCAGACTCAATCCAATTGGCTGAAAGAGAAAAGTAAATGAAACATATTTTTCAGTATTTACTAATACACAGAAAACTTTGCTAGGCTATGTTGGACACAAACTATAACTCAGTCCTGTACTGTGGAGATAAGATACAAAGGCAAGAACTTGAGTCAAACACAATATAAAAGAGACTCTACGGTGAGTATAAACACTGAGTACCAAAAGGTCCTTATAGAGCCTGAA
This sequence comes from Homo sapiens, assembly GCF_000001405.40. NCBI lineage: Eukaryota > Metazoa > Chordata > Mammalia > Primates > Hominidae > Homo > Homo sapiens. The sequence continues at coordinate 31,595,926 of NC_000003.12, read as the reverse complement.
TGCCAAAGGCAGGAAAGCAGTTCTGGCTGGGATAAAATTACCAGAAGCTTTACTGAGGTGGTGGTTTTGGGCAGAACTTTGAGGGCAATGAGGCAGGAAAGATGCAAGGCATCCAATCAATCACCCACAGTGGATTCAGTAGCAGGCACAGATGGAAGAAGTATAGGTGTGGAATTTAAAATTTTTAAGCCCACAAAAAGCTCACAATCTAGAGGAGGAAGTAAACTGAAAAGCAAGTAACCAATATACCATATTTCATAGAAACTATGACCATCACTCATAACATACATCCTAATTTCAGAGATGTCAAAATCTGGGGAGAAAGTATACATTTTAGGATTGATGAAAGGTACTATATACAAAGTGTTATAATAGAGGTAGGTATCAGAAACTAACTGCATGAAAACAGAAATGAGAGTAACAAAATCTATGTAAAAGAATGGTCAAAATGTCAAAGCAGGCACTGAAGAATTATAAACAAGGAGAGAGGGATCAATAACGAAAAGGGGAAAACAACACCACCTGCCAAAACAGAAAACAGCTGAGCTACTCAGAAGGAACTGAAAAGACTTTAGGAGAAAAGTTAGGACTTTGTAAGTATGGTATTATGATATATGGACTTTCATCCACAGTTCGTGGCTCTTAACTCCCCTTGTTACAGAATCTCTGTCTCTGAACTTCTCCTACTCACTTTTCACTTCTCCACTTGGCAGGGCTCTAATTTGATTTTGGGTCATAAGACCCTCATTTCAGAGAGGGTTCTGCCCCATACCTGGAGGAAGGAATGCTGCACAGAGAGGCCAAGAAGAATCTGAACAGATAGACTTTGCTGGGTTTAGGTCACACTCTTTTTGTCCAGTCACATTTTGACAAGGTTGTCCATGCTTCAATCATGGACAACCAATAAAGTCTCCATAAAAGGCCCAAGGACAGGGTCTGGTGAACTTCTGGACAGCTGAATACAAGGAGGCTGACAGGAAGGTGATCAAGAACTCATCCATGTACCAGGATGGTGGTGCACCCCAACTCCATGGCAACAGAAGCTCCTGCACTTGGGACTCTTCCAGATCTTGTCCTACGTATCTCTTCATCTGGCTGTTTATCTGTATAATTTAGGGTATCTTTCATAATAAGCCAACAAATTGAACTAAGTGTTTCCTTGAGTTCTGTTAGCCGATCTAGCACATTAATCAAACCTGTGAAGGGGGGCTGGGCCCAGTGGCTCATGCCTGTAATTCCAGCACTTTGGGAGGCCGAGTCAGGTGGATCACGAGGTCGAGACCATCCTGGACAACATGATGAAACCCCGTCTCTACTAAAAATACAAAAATTAGCTGAGCGTGGTGGTGCACGACTATAATCCCAGCTACTCAGGAGGCTGAGGCAGGAGAATCACTTGAACCCGGGAGGTGGAGGTTGCAGTGACCTGAGGTCACACCACTGCATTCCAGCCTGTGGACAGAGCGAGACTCCATCCAAAAAAAAAAAAACCTTGAGGGGGTGATGGGAATCCCTAATTTAAGCTGGGCTATCAGAAGTTCTAGAGGCCCAGACTTTCAACTGGTGTCTGGGGGCATAAGCTGGGACAGTGTCTTGGGGACAGGCCCTCAACCTGTGGGATCTCGTGCTATCTCCAGACAGACAGTGTCAGAAATGATAGGGAGGACACCAGCTGGTGTCCGCAGCAGAATTAACTGCTTGGCAGTGGGGAGAAATCGCCAAATATTTTGAGGTCACATAAGTCTTCTGTATTGATGATTATTGTTTTGGTGTGAAAGCAGAGAAAAAATATGGATTGAGTTTTTTCCCAGACAATAAGTCATGCTCACCATTTGGTCTTCATTTACACATATTAAGGAGTCCAGTAGCAGAGGCTTTGAAATAGAAAATTGCATGTTCGGATAAGCTATTTTTAAAAATAACAAGGGTAAGCTTCAACCCAAAACTATAAGACATGCAAAGAAACAAGAAAGTGTGACCCAAATTTGGACAGGTATAGGCTGGGGAAGGGGACATGGTTGATAAAAACTACTTCTGAGTGGGCCCAGATGTTGGAGTTAGAGGACAAAGACTCTAAAACAGCTGTTATATGTTCAAGGAATTAAAGAATACTATATTAAGAAAATTAAAGAAAAATATAATGATATAACACAAAATTTCCATAAAGAAACAGAGATACATATTCTCCTATACATGTGAGAAATAAGAATGAACTAGAAATTTTAGAGCTGAAAAGCATAATAAATGGAATAAAAAATTCACTAAGTAGGCTTAATGGCAAATTTGAGATGGCAGAAGAATCAGTGAGCATGAAGATAGGTCAACAGGAAGTATCCAACCCAAAGAACAGAGAAAAACAAAGTTCAAAAAAGGAGAGGCTACAAAGACAGACAGATAAAAACATTTAAAGAAACAATTACAACTTCCCAAATTCTAAGGTAAGCACTAATCTACAGATCCATGAAACCCAAGAAGCCACCAAATACAATAAATACAGAGAACTACACCTAGACAAACTGTAGTCAAAGTACTGGCAGATAAAGACAAAGAGGAAAAGTTGAAAAGAGAAAGAAAAAAAAACCCACAAGGAAGTAACGATATGATTGACTTTGCATCAGAAAAAAAAATTTTGACAGAAGGCAGTGGAATGACATACTCACAGCGTTAAATGAAAGAGAAAATTATCAAGTGTTCAATGAAAGAGCAAAGTATCATTAAAAGTAATGGGAATAACCGCAATTACTTTTGCACCAACCTAATATATTCTTACATAACTATCCTTCAAAAAGGAAGGCAGGTGAGGATTCTGGGAAGATACTGAAAGAAGAAGCAACAGAAATCAGCTCCCCACCTAGACAATAATTGCACGGGCAGAATCAATCTGATGTGAGGAAGCTTGTCCTCCAAGTACTGAGGTTCTGCACTCTGCTCACTGATTGCTGCTTTTTGTCATAGAAGAGCAGACAGAAGTGATCACCTTTGCACTTTGGCCCCAATGTTGCAAGTCCCTCCTCCTCTGGCTGAAGTGACTGACAGGGGATTTAAAGGGCTGGCACTTTTTTCCCCTTCATTTTTCTGCTTTTCCCCACTTTGGAAACCAAATACTAAAGACTATGACATTCAAAATCAACCACATATACAAAGAAATATATGACGGGAAATTAGAAAGTCACCGTGAATACCCTGGAGAAGGTGTAGGCCTTTACAAATGGGCAATAAGCACATGAAAATATGCTCAACATTACTACTCATTAGGGAACTACAAATAAAACTCCAAGATGCCACCTCACACCCATTAGGATGACTACTATCAAAAGAACCAGAAAATAACATGTGTTGACAAGGACAGGGAAAAATTAAACCTTTGTGCAGTGTCGGTGGGAATGTAAAATGATACTGCTGTTGTGGAAAACAGTTTGGCATTTCCCCAAAATTTAAAAATAGAATTGACATATGACCCAACAATTCCACTTCAAGGTATATACTCACAATAATTGAAAGCAAGGTCTTGGAGAGAGATTTGTATAACCACTTTCAAAGTAGCTAGACCATAAAAGTGTCCAGCTGCAGATGAATCAATAAGCCAAATATGGCATGTACATACAACGGAATATTATTCCACCTTAAAAAGGAAGAAAATCCTGACATGCTACAACATGGATAAACCTTGAAGACATTATGCTAAGTGAAAGAAGCCAGTCACAAAAAGACAACTACTATATGATTCCACCTATGTGAAGTATTTAGTCAAAATCATAGAGACAAAAATTTGAATGGTGGTGCCAGGGGCGGAGGGGAAGGTGGAAAGGAGAGATATTGTTTAATGGGTATAGTTTCAGTTTTGCAAAATAAAGAGCTCTGGAGATGGATGGTGGTGATGGTGGTTGCATAATCAATGTACTTAATGCCAATAAAGTATATACTTAATGATTAAAACATAAATTTTGTGTTATGTCAATTTTACCATAGTTTAAAAAAACTGGGGGAAAAATGAAGGCAAAATTGAAAAATCCCATTACAGCAGATTTGCTCTAGAAAAAATATTAAAGAAAGTCCTTCAGGCTAAAAGGAAATTATAAAAAATGGAAACTCAGATCATGGGACAGAATAAAGAATACTGGAAATGGTAAATATGGAGTATATAGAAGACTCTCTTGATTGTTTTCTTAATTTAATAAGTGTAAGTTATATGAATATAAATATAATCTGTATTGTTAGGTAGATAACATACATAGATATAATACATACGACAATAACAGCACAGAGGAGAGGAGAGAAAAAATAAGGCTGTGTTGGAGCAAAGCTGCTATATTTTACCAGAATTATGTTAAGTAGAAGTAGATTGTAATATTAAGATGCATAATTCGTTCTCTGCATCAAGCGCTATAAATAAATAGCAATAACAGGCTAAACAATCAGGGGAATTAAAATGGTATACTTAAAAATGCATTTCAACACAAAAGAGGACAGTAAATGGCAGGTGCAAATCAAACAATACTTAAAACTCCAATAAAAAGGCAGAGATGGTCAGTCTGGATAAAAAAGCAAGATCTAACCATACGCAGTCAATGAAACTTTTAAAATCCAGAGATACAAATAGTTTGATTTTAAGGACAGAAAAAGATAAGCCATGGAAACAGGAATCATATGAAATCAATCAAACAAAGCAGATTTTAAGACAACATTCCTAGAGATAAAGAGAACTACTTCACTATAATAAAAGGGTCAATATACCAGGAAAATGTAAAAATTTTAAGTATACAGGGACCTAAAACAAATCCTTAAAATATATAAAGCAGGAACTAACAGAACTAAAAGAAGAAACAGTTTCTGAGAGGCAGTTATTGAAATCTCCAACCATATTGTTGAAGATAGAACTTGAAAAGAAAAACGATGAGCATATAGAAGATTTGGACAATATCAACCAACTTGACCTGACCATTAATTTACAATATGCAACCTCCAAACAGCAGAATACATGTTCTTTTCAAGCATATGTGGATCACTGTCCAGGATGGAGAGCATGCTTGACCAGGATCCAGCAATCTTGTTTTGAACAGTCAAGATAGTAAATATTTACACTTAGGAGCCAGATCTGTCACAACTATGCAACTCTGTAATTCTGGTGTAAAAGAAGCCAAAGACAGTATATGTTTATGAATGGCCAGGGCTGTGTTCCAGTAAAATTTTATTTACTAAAGCAGGTAACCTACATATGGGCCATACTTCACAGACTTCTGTGCTAGACCATAAAACAAGTCTCCATATACTTAAAAAGACAAATTATACAAAGTATGGTCTTCAACAACAGAATTAGAAATCAACAAAAAAAAGTATGCTAAGAAAACCCCAAATATTTGGAAATTAAACACCATGCTTAGAAAAAACCCATGAGTCAAAGAAACTATGAATTCGAAGAATATTCAACCACATGACAATGAAAACACCACATATTAAAACACAGAGACTACAGCTAAAGAAGTAAATACAGTATATTCTAGTATAAATAGTTATACTAGAAAAGTAGAAATGGAGAAAATAACTTAAGCTTCAACTTTAAGAAGCTAGAAAAGAGTAAACCAAGTGTGAATTAGAAGGAAATAATGAAGACGAAGAAATCAATGCAATTGAAAATATAAAGGAAAAAAAAATCAGTGAAACCCAAAGTTGGATAAGCTTTATCTAGACTAATGAAGAAAGGAGAGAAGATACAAATTATCAGTACCAGGAATAAGGAAGGTGACATCACTACAGATTGTACAGAAATCCAAAGACTTATAAAGAAATATTATGAACAATTTCTGCCGACAAATTAGGTCATTTAGATAAAATAAAAAAACTTTTAAAAAGATACATATTACCAAATTACTCATGAAAAAAGAAAATCTGAATAATACGATGTCATTAAAAAGCTTAATTCATATTAAAAATCTTCCCTGGTCCACATGGCTTCAATGGTAAATACTGCCAAACAAACAGTTAAAGAAGAAGTAATACCAATCCTACGAGAATTATTTCAGGAAATAGGGCAGGAAAAAGTACCCTGTCCAACGTGATGTTAGAGGTTCCAGTCAGTACAACCAGGCAAGGAAAAAAAATTAAAGGTATACAGTTTGGGAAAAAAGTAGCAAAGACCCTCTGTCTCTGAAGATAACATGATCTTGTATGTAGAAAATCCTAAGGAATCTAAAAAGTAAATTTTAACATGCAAATTTAGCAAGGTCACAGAATATATGATCAATACATAAAAATCTACAATACTTCCCAATTTAAAAATGTACAATGAAGTTATAGTAATTGGGTCAGTACAGACAACTAGATCTATGTTTATGAGGTAGGCATAGACATCTAGATCAATGGAACAGAACAGACTCCAGAAATAAATTCATAATCATGCCCCCTGAGATCAGGACAAGATACAGTTGTTCTCTCTCATCACTCCTATTTGCATTGTAATGGAAGTCCTAGCAAATGCAATAAGACAAGAAAAGAAAAGAAGTACACAGACTGAAAAGGAAGAAATGAAGCTGACTTTTTTTCGTGCATGACATGATTGTCTACGTAAAAGACCCCAAAGAATCAGAAAGAAAATTACTGGAATCAATAAATGATTACAGACAACACTGGAGGATACAAGGTTAATACATGAAAGTTAAACTTGTTCCTATATACCAGTAATGAACTGAAATTTAAAATTAAAAACATAATACCATTTAGCACCCAGTACGTATTAGCACACACACAAAATGAATTACTTAAGTATAAAACCAACAGAATATGTGTGGAATCCCTATATGGAAAACTACCAAACTCTCATGAAAGAAATCAAAGATGTAAATAAACAGAGAGATATTCCATGTTTATGATAGGAAGACAATGTTGTTAAGATAACAAACCTTATCTCAGCAAGTGACTTTGTGGACATCAACAAATCAATTTGAATGTTTATATGGAAAGGCAAAAGACTGAGACTAGCTAACATGATATTGAAACAAGACTGATACTACACCTGACTTCAAGACTTATCATACAACTACAGTAATCAAGACAGTGTGGGAAAAGAACAAACAGATCAGCAGAACAGAACAGAGCACAGAAATAGAGCCCCATAAATATAAACTGACCTTTGACAAAAGGCAATACATAGAAAAAGAATAATTTTTTTAACAAATAATGCTGTAACAGCTGGACAACCACATACAAAAAAAAATCAATCTAGACACAGATCTTATACTTTTCATGAAAATAACTCAAAATGAATCACAGACATGAATGTAAAGTGCAACACTTTCTAGAAAACAACACTGGAAAAATCTACATTGGAATAAAAGGCAAAAATCTAGTGGTAGCCCAAACATGGCATGAAAACTGTATTCCAACAGAATTTACAAATGGCTTTCTTCCTCTATACTGAGCAAATCTAGCAGAAATGTAGTGCATCCAGATGACTAAAGAGACATTTTTGTAAAAGGATTTTTTTAATGGATTAGGCTTAGGGAATTAACTTTACATAATTCTCACAAATTATGAGGTCCTCTGTTTCTAGAATAAGTTAACATTTCCTAACTGATTTAAAAGAAATAAATATTTGAGACAAATATTTTAAGGGTAAAACTCAATTCTATTACCTATATTATAGTGAAGCACCTAGTACCTGCACAAAAAAAAAGTCCATATACATGCGGCCAGTGACTATCTTATTAAACAGAGTCGAAAGTTCTATTGGAAAGTAGTATTGCTCTAGGCCTACAAACATGGGCCATCTTGTGTTTTGGTTCACAGTATTAGGAGATGCACTGAATTCCACTTGTGCTTGGGATGTGGAAAGCTGCAAGAGAATGTTATTTTCACCTCAACAATAAGGGAAAAATTCTAGATGATCTACAAAATAGTAAGTTTTCTTAGGCTTATCAGAGAGCTAAAGTCACAAGGCAAATAAGCAAGTGTTAAAACAGCTAAGGAAACCAGACATAAGAGGAATTTACATTCACAAGCTCTTTTCATAAGCCCTACCAAGTAGTCATGAAAAAGATTTGGAGTAGGATAGAAGTTCAGCATCCTTGGTGACACTGTCAGTCACATGGGAAATTAGAAAATATCTGAGCTAGAAAATTAAAATAGAGCATAAAAACTCTGTGCAATTCTTATAGTAATTTGTACACAGATGTTTATAAATGTTTAAAATGTAATAAAAATGCACACAGATGTTCACAGAAGCGTTATTCATCATAGACAGAAATTAGAACCCAAATGTTTAATCAACTGAAAAAATGGAGAAATACAATGTGATAACCATACACTGGAATATTATTCAGCAATAAAAAAATAAAGTATTTATAAATACTTCAACATAGACAAACCTTGAAAATACTATTGTAAGTGAAAGAAGCCAGATGTAAAACAGGTAAGGTCGCTCACACTTTGGGAGGCTGAGGTGGGAGGGTAGCTTGAGGCCAGGAGTTTAAGACCAGCCTGAGCAATATAAGGAGAACCCATCTAATTTGAAAATTTTAAAAAAAGATACAAAAGGCAACATATTATATAATTCCTTTTATATGGAATTCCAGAATAGGCAAATCAGAGAGGCAGAAAGCAATACCGGTTGCTAAGGGCTGGGGGGATGTGAAAATGGAAAGTCACTGATCATGGGCGAGGCTTTTTGGAGTGTTAAAATGTTCTGTAACTGGATAGTGGTAATGGTACAACTTGGTTAATATACTAAAAGTCACTGAATTCCATTCCCTAAGAGGATAAATTTTATAATATGCAAATTATTTTTCAATAAAAAAATTTATGGGGTACAGCTAAAGTACGTAAAGGAAAAATTATAGCTTTCGGTGCTTAAAATAGATCAAGTCACTAACCTGATCGCCCAGAAAAATTAAAGCAAAAATGAAGAAGATCTAAATAAATGGAAAGAAATACCATATTCACAGATCAGAAGACTACATATTAAGATAACAATTCTATTCCAAACTGACCTATACATTCAATGCACTTCCAATCAACATCCCAGAAGGCTTTTCCGTTAAAGAAGTTAATAATGTGATTCTAAAATTTACATGATGCAAACAGCTAAAAAAAGCCAAATTAATTCTGAAAAAGAGAAATAACATTAGATTACTCATGCTACCTGATTTCAAGAGTTTCTAGAAACTAATGAAAACAACATAAGGTATTGTTATATAGACAGACACAGATAAACAGAAGAGTCCCAAAACAGACCCATATGTATATATTCAATTGATTTTGACAAGGTTACCAAAGCAGATAATTCAGTGGAGAAAGAACAATCTTTTCAACACATGATGTTGGAAAAACCTAACATTCAAACCCAACAACCCTTATATTGCACCAGACCATAATCAACTTAAAATAGATGACAGACCTGACTGTTAAACCTAAAACTATTTAATTTCTATAAGTAAATACATGAGACAATCTTTGTGATTTAGGGTAGGCAAAGATCTCTTAGAGAAGATACCAAGAGCAAGATCTATTGAAAAAAAAGCTGATACATTCCATAAAAATCAAAATTTTCTGCTCTTAGGAAGAGACTAGAGAAAATGTTTGTAGAGCACACATCTGATAAAGTATTTCCAAAATATACAAAGAACTCTCACACCTCAAGAGTAAGAAAACAACTTAATCAAAACATGGGCAAGATATGAACAGACATTTCATCAAAGAACTGGGATGGCAAATAAATACGTGAAAAGATGCTCACCAGTCATTGGGGAAAAGCAAACGAAAGCCATAAGATACTACTACCTACCTACAAGAATGGGTAAAATTTAAAAATGTGACCATGCCATCTGATGGAAAAGTAGAGTAAATATTACTGTCATGTATTTGTGGAGGGAATGCAAAATGAATACAGCAACTTTGGCAAACTGCTTGGCAGCTTTTTATAAAGTTAAACCTATACTTATCACACAAACCACCAATCTGTGCTTATGCATTTACCTAAGTGAAATAATAATATATGTCCAAACAAAGACCCACAAGCAAACATTTTATAGCCACTTAATTCATCATTGCCAAAAACTGGAAAAGAAATTGTAGTACATCCATATAATGGAGTACTATTCAGCAATAAAAAGTAACAAACTACTAAAACATCAACAACATGGATGACATTCTCAAAAATATTATGCTAAGTGAAGGAAGACGGATATACAGGGTCACGCCTACTGTCTGTATTTATATGGCATTCTAAAAAAGAAACTCCCAAAGCTATATAGACAGAGAAACAGAAATCAGACCAGTGGTTGCCAGAAATGGGGTAGGGAGAAGACTGACTACAAAGGTACAGGAGGGAACCTTAAAGAAACAAAACAAAACAAAACAAAAAACAAAACAAAACAAAACCTGTAAGAGGCAATATGATAAACACTGCTCCTTGTACTACTTTATCTGTGTTAATTACTTTTCTGAATCATATACTCTGGTGCTCGTAAATAATAACAAACATGTACTCATTTCTTACTATGTTCTCACAATATTCTATACCTTTACATGTATTAATTTTTAAGTTATATAAGGAAGGTACAATTATTACTTCCATATTATAGTTGATGGAACAGGCACAGGGTGGGGATTTAAACAACCTCCAGTGACAGAGCTGGAAATCAAACCAAGAGAAAACCAAACCCTGGCAATTATGCTATAGACTTTACTCTCAATCACTCAATCACGATGAAAATGTTTTAATCTCTGTAGAACACAAATCCAAAAGTGTATCCAAAAATGTCTATCAACACCAGCTTGTAACAGTAATAGGGCATCAACAAATAATAATGCTATGACAAAGTACTTATCTTTTAAATTTTAAAAACATGTACCTTTTAAAAGAGTTGGTTTAAAAATAAAAACACTGGGTGAGGAATTAGACAACTTAACATTTATATATTAGAGATTACAAAAAATGTTTTCACCTTTTTATAACTTCATTTGGGCTACAAACAACTTTTCATAGTAGTTAGAACTGTAATTATTTCCACTTTCAATTAGTAATAATGAAATTTTAAATGAATGTCATCATCTATTATAATTCTGTAGGCAAAACGTTTTCTGTATCTTAAGAGAAAACTGAATGAGATTCAAAAGTGTCAATTTGTCAAGAGTCAGAGAGTATTTTATGCCAGAACTCAAACACAAGTGTTCTAATTTTCAAATACTGAATCTATTTCCACCGTAAACCTAATTTATTTAAATATATTGTTTTTAAAAAGAAAACAAAGGAAAAACTCACTAGATAACCTCCCAGTTTCTGGGTGAGAATGTTTTACCATTCCATCCTTCTGTTAATATGATCCTTCAAAGCAATGATATCTATAATTTCTTCTACTAGATTATCAACTTCATATAACCTTGTGTAATCAACACATAAAACAGCACCTGCTCCATATTGTATTCTACAAAAATTTCTGTTGAATTAACAAAACAATATCATGCCACTTAAAAAAAAAGATGTAATGAACAAGCTAATCTTAAAACTTATGAAAATGCAAGGCACCCCATATAGCCAAAGCAATCTTGAAAAAGAACAACAAAGTTGAAGGACTTATGCTTTTGGATTTCAAAACTCATTACAAAGCTACAGTAACCAAAACTGTGCGGTAGTGGCATAAAGACACAACATACAGATGGCAAGGGAATGGAACAGAATTGAGAGTCCAGAAATAAACTCATACATTTATAATCAATTGATTTTTGACAAAAGTGCTAAAACCATTCAACAAAAAAGAGTATTTTTCTTTAACAGTGCTAAGATAAGTGGATATCCACATGCAAAAGAATGAAGTTGGAATTCCTCTCTCACACCATATACAAAAATTAACTCGAAATGGATCAAAGACCTAAGTGGAGGAACTTGACATATAAAATCTTTAGAAGGAAACAGAGGTGTAAGTCTTCATGAGCTTCAATTAGGCCAACAGTTTCCTTAAATATGACACTAAAAGCACAAGCAACAACAACAACAAAAATTAATTAGACTTCATAAAAATTTAAAATTCATGCAAAGGACACTATCCAGAGTGAAAAGGCAATCCACAAATATGCTCAAAAGTAAAGGGATTCAAATGTTTCACTACCAAAAGAATCCACTAAACACAAAAGAAGACTAATGGAGAAATGAGGGACAAAAAAAAAGCTATAAGGCATGTAGAAAACAGCACAACCACAGAAATCAGTACCTCTTTACGAGTAATTACTTCCAATGTGTATTAAACTCTCCAAAAACAGAGATTGGCAGAAAGAATAAACACATGATCCAACTACATGCAGTTATGTAAGAGATGCACTTTAAATCCAAAGACAAAGAGACTGAAAGGACAGAAAGTTATTCCATGCAAATAGTAACCAAAAGAGAGCAGGGATGGCTATACTAATATGAGAAAAGACAGACTTTAACTCTATAAAATTCAAAACAAAACAAAATGAAACAAAAAAAGGCAGGGTGTGGTGGTTCAAACCTGTAACTCCAACACTTTGGGAAGTGAGGAGGGAGGATTGCTTGAGCCCAGGAGTTCAAGACCAGCCTGGGCAACATGGTGAAACCTCATCTCTACAAAATTAAAAAAGAAAAAACAGACTTTGAATTTTTTTTTTAAAAAAAAGGTTACAAAAGAGAAAGAACCCAATATATACAGCAATAAAACAGTTCAATACAGCAAGAAGGTATAGCAATTGCAAACATTTATGTACCTGATAACAGACCATCAAAATATAGGAAGAAAACACTTGACAGAATTGAAGAAATAAACAGTTCTACAATAATAGCTGGTGACATCAATACTCTATTCTCAATAATGGATAGAACAACCAGACAGGAGATGATATAGAACTTAACACAACAAACCAACTAGGTCTAAAAGACATGCACAAAACACATTATTGAATAACGACAGCATACACAATTCTTCTCAAGTACACATGGGACATTTTCCAGGACAGACAATATGTTGGGCCGCAGATTAAAGCCAAATATTAATTTCAATAGATTTAAAAAGACAGATACCATACAAAGTATCTTCTCCAACTACAACAGGATGAAGTCAGAAATCAATAACAGAAGGAAAACTGGGAAATAAATTTGTGGAAGTTAAACAAGATACTTACCAACAGATCAAAAAATAAAAATGAGAAAATACTCAGAGATGAATGAAAACAAAACCACAATGTATCAGAACTTATGAGACACCGTCAAAGTAGTACTAAGGGAAAACTTTATAGCTATAAATGCCTACATTCAAAAACAAAAAAAAAAATCTCAAGTCAAAAACCTGACTTCACAAACTACGTTGTGAACTAGAAAAAGAACAAACTAGGGCTGGGCGCGGTGGCTCATGCCTGTAAACCTAGCACTTTGGGAGGCCGAGGTGGGTGGATCACGAGTTCAGGAGTTCAAGACCAGCCTGACCAACATCGTGAAAATCCATCTCTACTAAAAATACAAAAATTAGCCACACGTAGTGGCAGGCGCCTGTAGTCCCAGCTACTCGGGAGGCTGAGGCAGAGAATCGCTTGAACCTGGGAGGCAGAGGTTGCAGCGAGCCGACTGCGCCACTGCACTCCAGCCTGGGCAACAGAGCAAGACTCCGTCTCCAAAAAAAAAAAAAAGAAGGAAAGAAAAAGAACAAACTAAACCCAAAGCTTCCAGAAAGACAAAATTGAATAAATAATAAAGACTATAACAGAGATAAAATAGAGTGCTTGCTTCAGCAGCATATACACTAAAAGAGAGAAAAGAAAAAGAACACAGAAAAAAATCAATGAAACCAAAAGTTGGTTCTTTAAAAAGAGCAACACGATTGACAAATCTTTGGCTAGATTAAGTAAAAAAGAGAGAAGACTCAAATCACTAAAATCAGAAAGCGGGACATTACTACTGATTCCATAGGGAACAAGAAGAATTTTAAGAGAGTATTATCAAGTCTTGTATGCCAACAAATTGAATAGCTTACATCAACAAAGTCCTATTAATAGAAACACAAAAACCTACCAAGACTAAGTCATGATGAAATAGAGAATCTGCAGAGACAACTTGCAAGGAGACTGAATCAGCAATCAGAAATCTCCCAAAAAAGAGAAGTCCTGGTCCTGATGGCTTCACTGGTGAATTCTACTAAAACGTTTAAAGAACTGAACCAACACTAATCCTCCTCAATCTTTTCCAAAAACTGAAGAGAAGGGAACACCTTCTAACTCATTCTATGATGCCAGCATTACCCTAATCCTAAGACAGACAGACACTGCAAGTAAAGAATATTATAAACCAATATCACCTTATGAACACAGATGCATAAATCCTTAGGAAAATACTAGCAAACCAAATTCAGCAGCATATGAAAAAGATTATATACCATGACCAACTGGGACTTATTCATGAATGTAATGTGCTCAAAATTAAAAAATGCAAATGGTAGTTCACTGTGGGTGATTTTTTTCTTTGTATTTTTCTGTTGCATAAATGTCCACAAAATAGAATATTTTATTTTTTAAATTTATTATAAAGTATTTGAAACATACACAAGTGTAGAGAATATTAAAATAGTTATGAACCTAGCTATTCAGACTTTCAAATTCAAAAATTATACATTTGCTTCAGAATATTTGATTTAAAATTTTTTTAGCTGAGCTAGGTGAAGCTCCCTTAATATTGCCCACCTCAGTATCACCCACCCACCCTCAGGAAAACCCATTATCACAAAGCTGGCGTACATGCAGCTTATCTATCACATTTTTATACTTTCTTTATAAACTGCTATTAACAGACATAGTATGATTTGTACTGCTTAAAAACTTACATCAAGGATTTCTCATACTGCACATATTTTATCACAACTTATTTTTCCACTAAGCATTATATTATCAGGATCTAGCCACATACGCATGTATTATTTTTATGATTTAAAATATTATATAGTTTATTAAAAGGCATTCAACAGAGGTTCTCGATTTTAAGGTGTTTTTTTTTTTTTCTCCTCAGCTGCACACAATAAACAAAGAGTTTTTAAAAACACTTTTTGATAAGTACAGCAGCACTGGCAACATCCTACTGCTTGGTATCATCTTCACTTGAATGGGTATTTTTCTTTCTTCTCTTTTAAACTCAAGATTAAGACACTGTCTATACTGATCACATTGCAACCTTCTCCTCCAGAATTCCATGCTAGAGCAAAAATACTCATTAGCCAAGTAGTTTTGAACAATATAAAATAATTATTAAAGAGAAAATTTATGCTGCCATTCACCTAGCTACCTAAAAATATACTTAATAAAATATACAAAAACATATTGACACACACAAATTTTGGTAATTTCTATCACTGGAAAATTACAAGCTAAAGCTAAAATAATAAATACATAAATAAATGCAAGCTCTAAAGTGAACCCAAGTAGCATCATATTTCATACACAGGGGAAAAAATCATTAAGTTTAAATAGCCTGGCAGCAGCAAAATAAATAATGCTAGTTTCAGAAACAATTTAAAATTCTTAGCCATCAAACCATGCTTCAACTTTCCTGGGTAACTATTTCTTACCTATCTCCCCAAAACAAAGAAACAAAAATATCAACAGATTGTTTTATGATAGCTCTTCTTTTGGAGTTCTGACTTATTTAAAAAGGATATTTACACATAACTTGAGAGATGCCTAACATATTTTAAAATGTTATCCATTATTAAATTGATTATGAACAGTAATACAGATCTCTGTACGCAACTACATAATTTGTAAAAGACAAATCTGCGTACAGCCTAAAGTGTTTCAGGAGAAAGGTCACGAGTAATAATGGCAGCAAAACATTAAATGTCACTTACCCATAAATAGTATGTGAACTGAAGTGCAAAAATAGCAATGCCTTCATTATCAAAGGATCCAGCTACTGACCGAGATATGTAGCCTGGTACAATAGCAATAAAACAAGCAGCTAAAAGTCCTGCTCCTTGGTTCCAAAGTTCTCTTGTAAGCAGGAAAGTAGATATAGATGTAAGGCCGCTAAAAGTTGGTGCAAGGAACACACATACGTCTCTTATGTGAACAGTTATGTTCAATGTATTTAAAATCCAATGAATAAGGCCAGCGGTTATCATCAACCCTGGGTAAACCTAGGAAGAAAAAAATGGAAAATTTAATTACATATAAAATGAGACACAAAAATATTAATGTATGTACTCTTCATCATTACATTTTGTTTACCTTACATAAGTTTGAAAGCAACATCTCAAAACAATTTGCCTTCTTTATAAACTACAAAAAAAAACCCACACCTTTTTGTGTTGCATACAAAGAACTAGCTCATATCTGGAGGAATACATAAAAAGATCAGGGAGAATATGAAACAAGAATGATTAAAATTCAAAATGTTTAACAATGTTAACTGTAGGTAACTTTTTTACTGATCCCACTAACTTTTTTTTTTTTTTTTTTTTTTTTTTTATCAAAACAGGGTCTTAGTCTAGCTTATCCTTGAGTTTGGAGTTCTAACATACTCCAATTTTGCCCATACTTGTGTGTACATAAGAAAATGAGAAAAGGAAGATAAAGAAAAATTACACACAAAATTATTTAAGTCATATTTATAAAAAAATGTTCCCTCCTTTCAAGCCCTAGATTTGGAAAGTAAGCAAGGAAAAGAGGGAACAGTCTAGCTAGGAAAAGAGGGAAGAGTCAGTTGGTGAATCCAGAGATAATGTTTTGGGACTCCTGAAAAATTAAATTTTTTATACCACATAAAGTACTTAGGGATAAAAGGGAAATAATAAACTAGAAGAGGCCAGTTAACAGTTATACGTACCCTCACTCTAAAAGAGGAACATCAAATATTAAAAGGATTCAAGAACAGTGAACAGGACATTCTTCCTGAGTTATTATTCAGTGACTAAAACATGCATTTACATCTGCTCCCTTAGGTAAGTCCTAAAAGACTCTTTTTTTACTCCATAACAGAAACTACAAAGGTTATACATTTCCTTTCCTGGCTATACAATTTGCAACTGCAACCTCTCTCCCCCACACTCCCGTCTTTAACTCTCTTGCTTTTTCTCCATAATACTTATCATCATTTGACGTACTATTTATTTTATTTATTTACTTTCTATTTATTAACTGCCTACGCTCACAAGAATATAAGCTCCAGAATAGCAGGAAATTTTTCCCCAGCATCCAGAAAAATAACTGGCACAAAGTGGATGCTCAATACCTACTGCATGCATGGAAGGAGAAAGGGGGAGGGGGAGGAAAAAAAAGCATGATAATTCATCCACATTCTCAACACATAAAAATTCTGTTCTACTTCAGATTCAATACTAGGTACCAGTGTGTAATTTTGTCAGCAATACTGGGGGGGAAAAAAAAACAAAGTGAATTTAAAATATTTTTCAAGATAAGACAATATATCCATATAATACGGTAGACTGAACTGACACACACAAAAACAGCCAAGATTCATAGAAGTACTAAATGAAAGAACCAAAAATAAATCAACAAATAAAACCCCAACAACAAAAAAAGCATAATCAAGCTCAAGATAGGGTATTCTCCAGATGCCAAAAATGAAGAGGAAATTCAAAGTAGGTGCTGATGTCATGGGAGCCCACAGGAGAGAAGAAAAAAGCCAAACATAACCAGGCCTGATACAGGCCTTAAGGAATGAAAATGAGGGGGTTTCACCCAACACAGGGATCAGAGTGAAGACCTAATTACCAGCAAAAAGTCAGGACCTGCTTATGAAACTAGACAAATTCTATTCATCCATCAAGCCTTCCAATGCTCAGAGCAGAAACAAAGTCCTAAAGGAGAATATGAAACTCATTCAAATGTGTCAATGTGGGTTCTACATTTATAATAACCTTAAGTATAAGAAACCTCAAACTAAGTAAAACTGTCCTAAAACCAGTGAAACCCCTAAAATTCTCCAGCAAAGGCAAATAAGAAAGATTATTACAGGGATGATCCCAAATCTCAGGACATCAGGACTCTTAGAGAAAACAGGCTTCCACTGAGGATTAATTTAAGATAAAGTTATAAACTGCACAAGAAAAACTATAGTTATCAAATGTAATACAATTTAGGTATATGATAAGATTAGCACCACAAGAACTGCAGATAATAGCTATCTGCCGTATGTACTACCCATTTAATACTTCTCCAATTCACAATGCAGAACATGATAACGACTATTGTGCCTTCATCTCTTTATGTCTTTCTCTCTATTTACATCAAGGATAAGAAGATGCCCCAGACTAGAAACACAACACCTTACTATCATGGAGAACATGTTCTTTCTAAACACAAAGGGAACATTTATAAAAATTTGGATATATCCTAAGCCACAAGTCAAGTCTCAATAAATTTTAAAGGATTGAAATTACATAGAAGGTGTTCTCTAACCACAATATATTTGAAGTACAAAGCAAAAAAACATAACTGGGTAATCCCCTTATGTTTGAAATTAAATACAATTCTAAATAATCCATGAGTCAGGGAAATTATAATGAAAATAAAGATACATTTTGTTTTAAATGATAATGAAAATACTACACATCAGAACTTATGAAATGCAGCTAGTACAGTGGCTAGTGTGTAGTTTCTAGGCTTAAAATGCATCTCTTAATAATGAAGAAAAGTTGAAAATTACTGAGAAACCATCTCAAGAAGTCAGAAAAAGAACATGAAAATAAACTCACAAAAGAAGAAGAAAATAAATTAAAATTTAAAAAATGCAAAACAAACCTATGCTAGAAGTAATCAACAGAGTCAGAAGTTTCTTTGGGTTAAGAAAAACCCTAATAAAATGAATAAGCCTGGCAAAATTGATTTAAAAAAATCAAACATATATTTCTCCGATACAAGACAATGTTGCTTTGTCTTTCACCTTCATTTCTCCTTATGTCCCAAATCCTAAAAATATTTGCCTTTGTGTCATCTTTCTGGATATCAGAAGTCTGCATGAACTATAATCTTTAGTCAATTACCTGGAATAATTTGGAATGTCTCCATATTCAGGGCCTGAAAAATCCTAATTATCTGATTATTCTAGATATATAATTATCATGATTATTCTACGTTTCTATCTCCTTCCAAATTGCTTTTTCAACCAAATTGCTATAAGAGCAAATACACAAATAAACTGAACTTCATTCAGATACACTGTGACAGCAGATCCCCACCCAGCCTCCACCACTTGTCAAAAAGAGTGGCTAGTGTGAGACAACCCAAAAACAGGTTGGGGATTAAGGGGAGGAGGTATCAAGAAAAGAGCCTAAGTAAACTGAATACTGGATAATAAGCCACAGAAAAATTTGTTAACTATACAAAGCTTTCAAGAATCCCTACCACCTTGGCAATTAATGATTTACTCAAGTAACAATAAATGTTATAATTAACATAAAGAACTGCTAATATACTTACAGTACCACCTACTATTCTTCCTAGTGGATACCATGCTCTTTCATCAAACCAATTTAAAAATTCATAGAACCCATGAGATGCAAGATGATGTGTTGATCTATAGTTAAACCTAGAGAAAAGAGATAAAAAGAAATGTTATAAAACTGCTTAATAGAAATAGCTCCTTCTTTATATTAAACTCTGTGGCTACATAAATGTATCTTTCAGAGCGTTTTCATCAAACTTATATAACATAATCTGAAGATATCAAAAGAACATGCTTATACCTCTACATAAATAAAAACGCCCCCAACTTCAAACCCACACCTACAAAACTAGTAATGTTCAAAATAACATTTAGCCATTGCTTGGGGTCCAGGTGGTAGAGGGCTATAAAGAAGTTCATAAATCTCAAAAGATTAAGAACTGCTGACAGAAGATAACATCAAAATGGAAGAAACGGTACACTCACCAGAATTGCCCAAAATCCTGCAACCCTAAAAACATTGGCTTTAAACTATAATAGCACTAAAAATATAAAGAGAATAAACCATAGCAGCACTATAAAACAAGAATATGGCCTTATAGAAAAAGAAATTATAATTTCTGAGACAAATGAGAAAAAATGAAATTGAAGAAACCAGGGCCCAAAATGAAAGGCAGAAGAAAACCACAAACCATAGAGGGCAATTCCAGGGATATTCCATGTTTAGTATAAAGCAGCTGTCATGGGCAGGGGAAAAGCCTGGAGCAATCCTCAGGGTAATGCCATTAGGTATACTCAGTCAGGTCAATCCCCTTCCCCCTACTATTTCGAAGCAGGGAAGTGGGCATCAGAGGTGTCTGCCTGAGGTAGAAGCACTACACATAGACAAGTGAGTCAAGAAGCAGAACGATGCTGGATACAAGATGAACAGGAAATCCTTATACCCCAGATCAGTTTGATACATCCTTTCCAGCAGCAAGTTATGATCTCAACTCCAACAATCACTAGATGCAAGCTTTGTAGCATTTTTACAGTCTTTTCCAATACTAAAATAAGCAACATATCCCCCCCCCAAAAAAATCAAGCATTTGACAAAAGCAATCACCATGACAGCTAAATATCAAAATCAACAAATAGAAAAATTAATACTGTAGAAACAGAAGCGAGAATATATTCAGATGGTTAATATAACCCAGAGTTATATTAACTCTGAAAGAGTTATTAATATTAAACTTTCAGACCTGAAAGGAAGTATAACCTAGAGGTTGAGAGGTCAGGTTCTAGCATCATACTGCATAGGTTTGAATGTTAGTTCCACACTGACCAGCTATGTGACCTTGGTTGGGCAAGTTACTTATGTTCTCTGCATTCTAGTTTCTTCATTTGTAAAACAGGGATTAACAACAGTACCTATGATAGTACTAGTGTAGCTATAAGCAAACAATACAGCATCTCTGAAGCACTTAAAGTCTATAGTTAATGAAACAGACTTATGATAAAGGATCCATTTAAGATTTTGAATGGCAAAATTGTAATTGCCAAGATAAAATAAAAGATAGGCTAAATAGCATAAAGGACAAAAATGAAGAGCAAATTAGAACAAGATAAAAAGTATAAAAAAATTTAAGTAGTCTAGTTCTTACACTGATATAAAACAAAAATTTTTTTTCCGCAGAGCATACACATCCCAATACATTTCAAAATACTGAAGTACAACTTAAAATCATTAATTCAGAGAGAAAGGTTTTCTACAAAGGAATGACAAAATTAGATTAATACCTTCTCAGTGGAACCACTGGATTGCTAATAAGGCAAAGGAGTAATATATCCAAATTTCTGAGGGGAATTTTAAAATCAGAATTTTAAGTAATAACTTTGTGTGCCAACAACATGGAAAGCTAAGCTAATGCTAGAAATGCTACCCTGCTCCCTTCCTCTTCCAAGAAGTATTTACCAGATCAGAATTTAAAAAGGGATATCTTCAAATGCCAGAAACAAAGTAGTGATTGTATTTACAAAGCGAGGATTATGGAAAGGCTGTCTAGTAAAAGATGGAAAACAATCTAACCACCACCATGGAAGTGACAAAGTTCTTCTCTATCTAAAGGCTTAAAAGGCTCCAATAAAAAAAGCTAAATTAAACACTGTGCTAAGCATCAAGGGTCTAAATTTACAAAGAATTCCCAAGACAAGAAATTAACATTGAAAACAAGATCCAAACACCTGGATTAGCAATAGAAGCAAAAACTAAAAATAGCTCTACCCAGATAAGCTCATAAACAACAGTTAAACTAAGAGATTCACCACACAAAGTTGAGTATACCCCAGAAAGAGTAACACCCCCCCGAAACTTCTGGAAATATTTTAATGGAAGAGGCCTAGTATTTTAGCAAGAATACCAAGGTTTTAAATTTTCAACCTAATTTTTCATTTTAAAAAACTGACTTCAAGGGACTGCTAATAACACATTTTAAAAACCAGGAACCATGAGAGTCCAACCTCATAAAGTTTTCCTGACAAGTATTTTTTCACTTTCCATTTTATATAATTCTTGGCCTCTCCCTCTTTATCAAATCATTCTTCCTTTGGCTTTAATGACTACAACAGTCTCTTGATTTTTTTACCCCCACCTCTCTAATCTTCTCTGTTTTCTGTATAGGTAGCCTCCTCTACCTAAGATACTCTTATTAATTCACTCTAAAATCTCTGCCGAAAGGATGTCATTCACCCAAGTCTTCAATTATTACCAGTATGCCCACAATTCACTAATATCATCTCCCTAACTAGATCTTTCTTCTCATGTCCAAACCAGTGTTATGTGACTACCCATGTGGAATGTTTTTCTTGAATGTCACAAATGCATCTCAGACTCCACATTCAACTAAACTCCTGATCAGACACCTACCATCCACTCCCAAAACAAACATATGCACTATATCTGCTTTCAGTATTCTCTTACCGCCACCTAAGTTGAAGAAATCTAGGTGTCATTTTTGAAAGTTCCTTCTCTCTCACATCCTATACAAAAATCATAACAAGGTTGTCACTTCCTAAATATCTCTGAAATCTGTATACTATTTTCTTATTCTGCTACTAGCACTGTAATCCAAGCTATCATCTTTTAACTAGACTACTGAAATAGCCTCTAACTGGTCTCTTTACATCCATTCTGCCCACTTCTAGTTCCCCAATCTGTGCACTCTGCCACAAGAAGGAAGTTCTTTTCAAAATGTAAATGTGATCATATTGCAACTCTCTGAATTATTCAAAGACTTCATCACTTTAAAATTAAAGCAGAAAAACCTCCACTTCTTAACATAATGGTCAAAACCACACAGTCTACCTCATACATAACTCTAGTCTCATCTCACACCGTATTACCTCTCTTCTTTCCATCTTTCAGTCCTCCAAGCTCACCTCATTCCTTCCTGTTACAGGATCGTTAAGACTGCTAATCCCCTCTGCCTGTATCACTGATGTCTCCCTCCCTATCCCAGTTAACTCATCCTGCAAACTTCAACACATTTCTAAGAGATTCTGTCATTTTTCCATCTTGACATAGATAAAATTTCACATCTGTTTCCTTAATATCTATTCAAATAGATAAATACTCCTAAGAAGACATCACTGTGTCTCCAACACCAAGCACAGCATCTGGTACTTCACAAACTCAAAGGACATATGAGAATTTTGTTTCGGTTGCCCATGCTTCTGCAGTGCAGTGGTGCGATCACAGCTGCAGCTTCAGCCTCCAAGTCTCAAGTGATTCTCTGACCACAGCCTCCCAAGTAGCTAGGATTACAGGTGTGTGCCATCACACTCAGCTAATGTTTTATGCTTTGTAGAGATGAGGTCTTGCTTTGTTGCCCAGACTGGTCTCCAACTCTTGGGCTCAAGCAATCCTCTCACTTCAGCCTCTCAAAGTGTTGGGATTACTGGCGTGAGCCATCGCACCAGGCCAAGAATATTTTTAAAAATATAAATGTAAGTTCAAACTTACAACACTTAGTCAATAGTAAGAACAATTACATTGTTTCAATGAACACAAAAATCTTAAACTTGAGGTTAGAGATCATAGCTGCAATGATGCCAACCATGTCATGAATCTACTTCTGTATTTTGTTTTGGTTCACAAAATTGCAAAAATTTTGACTCATAGAGATAAGTGTCAAAGACTAAATTTTTTAAAAAAAGTTTTCCTTACTGTTAAATTCTACAATTAAATAATACAGAAGTTTGTTTGGGGCCTAAGAGAAAATTCTGGTTCAAGGTTGAGTAATTACATATAAGAACTGCTTGCATTCCTCATCATATATATATATAATATAATATATATAATTAATTATATATTATATATCTCATATATAATTAGCTATATATTATATTATATATAAATTTAGATCAGGTGCTTCCTTTTTGAGATATATAATATATATATTTAATATCTTAATACTTATATATTAATATATTTAATATATTAATATATGATATATTAATATATCATATATTAATATATATTAATATGTTTAATAAAATAATTATGTATTAATATATTTAATATTGATATATTTAATATTTTAATATATATTTAATATTATATATAATATATATGATATATAATCTCAAAAAGGAAGCACCTAACCTAAATTTATAACATATCATGAACTTATGTTACAGATTGAGTTGTTACTAAACAAAGCATAGTCTGATTATTTTCATTCATGCAAATTCCCAGGATACCTCAGTTGGAACATTAGCAATTCAATCCAAAGCAAATATAAGGCATCTGAGCCTAATACATGGCTCCAAATCTATCTCAAGGACTTCTCTGTTTCCTCCAGCTTTAGCTGCCTGATTTTCTTTTCCTCTGTTCATGTAAATATGAGTAAGAATATGATTGGCTCAAATCATTTCGTACAAAGTCACACATCACAGGTAACAGACAATCTATGTGTTGGCTGCCATGAGATCCCATGCTTGTAATCCAATACCTGTAGCCAAAAGAGCAGGGTCATATGATATAAAACATGGCTGTTTTGGCTTCTTTGCATGTGCTGTGAGTAGAAGATGATGGGCATGAGAATTGTGCAAGGGTTGTGAATGTAGTAGGCACTATAATTCATTTTCCTAGAATAAAATAAAGCCCTTAGTGATGCTGAAAATACTTGGATACTTAGTGCTTCACCAAAGTATTGAAGGCATAACTGGCTTATTTGCTTCTCTTTTTTACACCTCCTCTTCCAAAAAAAAAAAAAATGCATGAGGCTTTCCAGTAACACTTTTTCTCCCTTTTCCCCCCTTAAGACTACCCTTAAAATCCACTTAATAAAACCTATAGTGTGATTATCTCTGGACAGTGCAGTCTACACAGGATTAGAGCTGCCTGTTCATGTCAGAAGACATAGCAATACCTATGTAATTTTTTTCTTCCTAGTTGACAAATACTCTCCTCTTGACCAAACATTAGGTTTCTCTAAACCCTCTTCTCAACTAGGCTTTGACCTTGGGCTTCAGTGTCTGTTCCTGTTGGGCCTGGACTGCCCAGTTACAGCAAGAATCCTGTTAAGTCAGTTCAGAAAGAATCCCTACCCTCCATTTCTGATCACCTCAATATGATCAAATTCCTTATCCCCAGGATCCCCCAGGGTATCTGGTCACCCTGGTCTGCCTTCAGCAAGAATCCCTGTAAAGCTAGTTTAGCCAGAATCCCCCTACTCCTTTCCTTACATCCGTGTTTTCCACCCACTGACCCTATCCCTGCTCCTTGACTACAAATCTTCCATTTTCGTTGTATTCAGAATTGAGCCCAGTTCCATACTTAGATGTCTCTTCCCTATTGCATTAGTTCCTGAATAAAATCTGTTTTTATCACTTTTTAAAAAAAGGTACTTGGATTGACCATATTGATCCTATAACTACTCTTTTCCATTCCATTTTTAGATAACTAAAAACTGAATGTATTTATCACACCTGCTTTTTGAGATGTTTCAGCATGGTCTTTTCCTCAGCCCTTGGCTCTGTCTACATAGAAACGTGCCATAGCCAAGTACTTTATTCTCACTTCTTCATACGATCATCTCAGACCTGAAGTTCCTAATCATTTTATAAGAAGTCTTCTCTAATGTTTCATCCTCCTCCTCCCAGTCTACCTTAATTTCTGCTCTTAAAACATGTTGAAACCTCTACTGAAGTTCACCTCACAATGAACTACATTTTCTTAGTAATTTTTGTATCTTGGAGTTATCTCATAGTTTCTGGCAGTTCACTCATGAGGTTCAATTAATGCTTGCTTAGCTAATTACTCCTTTTTAGCATACTAGTATCAACACTTACTTTAATTTTTGTCTTCTATTCCCTTCTTCATTAAACTCAAACACCTGTATGTACAAAGGTAGTCTTCAATTTTGGCATGCCCTACTTACATATTTTTTTAAATATTTAAATAGCTGAAAGGAGAGTGTTATAGATGAATCATAAACTGAAAACTGTTGAAGCTGAGTGATGTATTCATGGAGGTTCATTACAGTATTAGCTCTACTTTGCTGTATGTTTGAAATTTTCCATAATGAAGGGTATATATACGTAGATATAGCTTATTATCTATACATATATTTATAAATATGTACTTATAAAATTTATATGATTTACATACATAATGACACATATGAGTAACATAATACATATATATGCAAACTCTATTATGGAAAATTTCACACACTCACACATACTCTCACACACAATTATAGTTTTCCCCCAATAAAGCTAGGTGAACTGGCTTAGAAATAATGTTTTAAAAATTAGCAGTCACCAAAATAAAAATAAAAGAGAAATCAAGGAGTAAAAAACGATGTCCAATCTCACATATATCCTCCTTCTTTTAATACTGTCAATGCAAGTTTTACTATTTTAACTATAATAAAAGAATCTGTTTTGAAGCAAGTGTGACAAAAAATTGCTAAGTATATTTGGTGGTAGTTTAATTCATTATGGTCTTTTACTTTTGGTTTATTTGAAATTTTCATAAAAGTTAACAACAAAAACAAAAACACACCTCCTCCAACTTCTCTTAACCTGATTTTTAGAGCTAATGAACTTTTTCTGCAAGGGGCATTTAGGGAAAAAGAGACCGTCTCCTAAGGTAGCAAGAAGATATTAAATTTTGGAATTCAATTTATGGAAAAAAATGGTTATGTTTTTTGGGTTCTAGCACAGTTAGTACAATACGGTATTCAAAAACATTAAAGCATATGGCTGATGTAGTGGCTTAGGTCTGTAAACTCAGCTACTTGGGAGCCTGAGGCAGGAGGATTGCTTGAGCCCAGGAGTTCGAGAACAGCTTGGGGAAAGAAAAAAAAGTTTTTTAATTAGCCAGGCATGGTGGCACATGCCTGTAGTCCAACAACTCAGGAGGCTAAGGCAGGCGGATCACTTGAGCCCAGAAGTTTGAGGCTGCAGTGAGCTATAATCGCACCACTGTTCTCCAGCCTGGGTTACAGAGCAAGATCCCGTCTTTAAAAGAAACAAAAAGAAAGAAAGAAAGTAAAGAAAAGAAAACTCAGCTTAAATAGAACTTTATGAGCTGGTAGGTGTATCCAGTAAATACTGCATTATTTCCTTACATAAACAAACACTAGGAATATCAACCTATTTGTAAACCAGGGCTTTTACAAATAAAAAGGGGAAGTCACAAGGAGCTGCCTTTGCATTTTCCTTCCATAGATCTTGTCAGAGATCCAATCATTTGATACATTTGGTTTCAGATTTATTTCATCTTATATTGAAACACCTAATTTACACTCAAAACAACAACAAAGAAATCTCATGATTATGTCCTGAAGCAAAATACCACAATATACTTTTAATCTTAGGTTAAAAAAAATTATATCTCTATAAATGGCCAACAGGTATATGAAAAGATGTTCAACATCATTAGTCATCAGAAAAATGCAAATCAAAACTATAATCAGATAACATCTCACCTCAGTTAAAATGGTTTGTATTCAAAAGACAGGCAGTAACAAATGCTGGTTAAGATGTGGGGAAGGGGGAACAGTCCTATACTGTTGGTGGAAATGTAAATTAGCACAGCCACTACGAAGAACAGTATGGAGGTTCCTCAAGAAAACAAATAGAACTACCATATAATCCAGCAATCCCACTGCTTGGTACATATCCAAAGAAAGAAAATCAGTGTACCAAAGAGACACCTGCACTCTCATGTTTATTGCAGCATTATTCATAATAGCCAAGATTTGGAAGCAACCTAAGTGTCTATCATCAGATGAATGAATAAAGAAAATGTGGTACTTGTATTCAATAAAGTACTATTTAGCCATAAAGAAAAGAATGAGACTCAGTCATTTACAACAACATGGATGGAACTGGAGAGGTCATTATGTTAAGTAAAATAAGCCAGGCATGGAAGGACGAATTTTACATGTTATATCTCATATGTGAGAGCTAAAAATTAACACAATTGAACTCATGGAGATAGAGAGCAGAATGATGATTACCAGAGGCTGGGAAGGGTGGTAGAGAGGGGGGCAAAATGTGGGGAGGGGTAACGGATACAAAAATATACTTAGGATGAATAAGATCTAGTATTTAAGAAAAAAGATCTGGTATTTGATAGCACAACAAATAATTTAGCACATATTTTAAAATAACTAAAAGATTGGAATTGAAATGTTTCTAAAACAAAGAAATGATAAATGCGTGAGGTGATGACTATGCCAATTACCTGGATTTGACTTCTACACATTGTATGCCTGTACCAAAACATCACATATAACCCATAAATAGATAAATCTATTATGTACCCATAATTATAAAAAATTAAAAATTATATCTCAGCCTTAAAATTAACCTAAGGCTTTTATATCTTCAAAACAAATTTTGAGGTGGCAAAGGGTTTCGTATGTTTAATTAACATTTTCAGTCCTCATTAAAAGTGACACCGTATCAGAAAGAAATATTAATAATTAGAAATGCCTAAGAATAAATTAAGTGGAAGAACAATATATTGTTAGCCATAATGCTGTGGCCACAATGAGCGACAAACATGTCCCACATTCCAAAAATGTTCAGTTCACAAATGTAATTTTAACAAGACAACACAAATCTGGTTTAGTTTAACCTTTGCAAATTAAATCCAACAAACAGAAAAGAATCAATCAGGAACAGAAAGAAAATAAGAAAAGGGAGGAAAGAAGCTTTGATCAATGATGGTGATAAAAGAACAGCAAATATTAGTAGTAAAGGAGGGTAAAGAGGTGCAGCAAAAGGCAGCGAGGTGGAGCACTGTACCAAGTATTACATTTCAACACAGTGCCCCCTTAAGGCCAGGCAAAGCCAGGGTCCTAATTTGCTCTGAGTTGAGAAACAGGTTAACTAAAGTTTCTATCTATCAAAATAACCACACATAGACTCCAAGTGAGGGCTCAGGGTTGTCTCCCATGGATAGAGAGAGCATAATGACAGTTTGACAGCACAGCTTTAAGAGAATCCCAGGAAGTCTTGCATGACAAGATATTAGAAAAATGTGCCTCTAAAGGTGGTTATTCTATATCTGACATTGATTTGTTTTCATTTTTACAAGGTAATAATCATGTTTTCAAAAAACTCCTTGAGCAACCATAGTGTACCAGGTTTCTGTTAGGCACTGGAAATAGAGCACTGGAAAGACAGGCAAATTCTGCTCTTTTGGAACTTAAATACAATAAACACAAACCAGGTAATTACAGTTTGAAACAAGAGCTGGGGGGAGTAGAGGAGAAAAGATTCAGATAAATAAAAGAGTAAAATGGGAAGAAGGGAAGGAGGAAGGGGTAGAGATTGCTGTAAGCAGGGTATAAATGAGGTCCTATCTTAAAACATCTGTGAAGTCTTTAAGGATGGGGGTAACCAGCAATTCAAAGAGTTAAAGAGCTGTCCTAGGCAAAGAAACTATCAAGTGCAAAGGCCTTGAGGTGGAGAAATGGTGTGCTGAAGGAAGAAAAAGATGTTCAAGAAGGGGAGTGGTAATTTATGTTGTGTACACTACTTCTGCACAATTATTGTTTTAAAAAAACATGTCAGACACTATGATCCTATTTTTCATTTAATCATCACACACATACACACTCCTTTGCGGCAGGACACTACACATATGATTAGACTAAGGCACAATATGTAACATAAGTTGTCCAAAGTCACACAGCCATGAAGTGGTCAAGATGGGATTTGATCAAGGTAGCTTTGACTCTGGTGCCCACATTCTTAAGCATGATCACAAGGTGATTCCAAACAGCAACAGGGCAATTAATGCAGGTAAATCATTTGTATCACCTTCTGGGCACTGCGAACCTTAAAGATTTCAAACTGTTCCCAGTATCTCAGGGATTCCAGACAAGAGTGGGGTACCAGAATGGACACACAGTTTTGAATGACATATGGTACCATCTTATATAACCTTACCTATTTGTCTATTTATATATGGGGCTTTTGTACAAACTCATTTGAAGAAAGGATTCAAATGCTAAACAAGTATTTGAAAACAATGGCATGCGTATCTATAGATCTATATCTATATATGTTTAAAATATCTAAAACAAAAACCACTGGTGTAGTTCTCTTAAGATCTGTTAAGATGCAACTTTGAACCTTAAAGCTTATGCCCTTTCTAAAGTTACTTTGGAAATAAAAGGACAGAGAAGTCTAATATATGTCTGACTGTACCATTTCAGATTTCAATTCTTTGGTATAGGTATGTCTTAAAAAATCATGGCCAGAAACCTTTATTAAGTACTGCTTGACCAGTAACAACCATCCTCACTCACCACCTTACAAGGGTCATACATAATTGTTGGTTTTACCAAACAAATCCTCCAATAAGTGTGACTATCACAAAGAAACAAAGCCAAGTAGTCCCTATCTCTAGCTCACATTTCTCTCCTTTTTGGCACCTTTCTCATACTTCTTATATTAACCAATTCAACCACTGTCAATCTTCAGATAACTGAACTCTTCTCAGTAAGCTATAATTTGTCATCTTTACTTCTCCGAAGTTTAGTTCTTACAAGGTTATGAGTAAGTATGTGTACACTTCATTATCAAAAAAATGTACAACAACTCCTTCCTCTTTCAACCAACAAATGCTTATTTTATCTCAATCCCTCCTCTGATCACAGCCAAGTTTGTCACATAATGTTACACAACTACTTGGGAGATTGTCCAATGAGAAATATAATGTCTGCCTGCTATCATTTGAATAGTAAGTGTAACAAAAAGAATGAAGAAATGGAAAAGCATTTGTTCTCACATAATTTTTCCTTCCTGCTTTTACAACTCTGAGATATAAAAACAAGAAACAGGAATTTCTATTTGGTCTAAAAAGGCCAGTTCATCTTTGTAATACACGTTATACATGGATCAACAACTAATCTGAGAGAAAGCAAAGTACCAATTTCTCATGAAAAAGAAAGAATGAGAGAATGCAAGGAAGGAAAGAAGACAGGCAGGCATGTTAAAAGGTTAAGCCTATTGTTTCTATTGTCCATTATTTGCAACATCTTCCAAGAGATACAGAACTTCCATTATTATCACCATAATTATTATATATTGGTATTTTGATTTGAATAAATTATTTATGGGATTTAAAGTTTAACAATTGGTTCGGAATCTCTTCCTCTTTCTGGTCATCAGGTACTTTCTAATCCCCCAGGAATTTAAAGTATGATTGTTTCTCTTCTTTCACTGAAATTAAAAAATCTCATTTTACTTTTTATTGGCAATCCTTCCTTTATACGTAACCCTGATGAACTTTGCACCTTGCATTCTACCTTTTCCAATCTAATATACGAAATAGCATTGATTTACAGATTTGTCTCCTCCACTGGATTGGAAGGTCCTTGAGAAAAGAAACCCCCAGCCTAAGAGAATAATGAAAACAACAAAATCAATAAATTGTTAACATTTTATGAGTGGTTATTATGCCTTAAATACCTTTGTTATTAATAATTTGATCTTTATGACAACTTATTGAGATGTATATTATTGTCATTCCCTATTTACAGATGAGAAGATGGAAGCACAAAGAGGTTAAGTAACCTGCTCTTACTCAAGGTTAGACAAGTCAAAGCAGCAAAGCCAGGGGTCTATTTCACATCATTTTGCCTCTGGGCAAATATGAAGGAATCAATCTTCCAACTCCTAGCACCAAGGACGGTGCCTGGTATATATAGTAAAGTTAATAAAATATGTGTTAAAGCTCCTCTGAACTATTTTATATATGACCCAATTTTAAAGCATTTTTACACAACTGTCGCCCGAGCAAAGTGATTTAGTGCCAGTGTGAGGTTGTAAATGATGTGAAATGTTTAAACATTCCCACTTTACTAAGGTAAACTATTTTTTTTATATAGAAATATACTATTCAGATAGAGGGCACTAAAATAGTGTAACTGGTTTAATTAAATTTTCATTCAGGGAATACTCCCGTATACTTGATATTCAATGCTGTTTGGGTCCCGGTTCATGTTCTGGCCTCTGAAGTCTTTCATCAACAGTCACTCACAGAACCATTTAGTATTGTATACAGAAACGGAAAACACCTGCTGCAGTCAGCTACTCGGGAGGCTGAGGCAGAAGAATTGCTTGAACCCGGGAGGTGGAGGTTGCAGTGAGCCAAGATCGCGCCCACTACACTCCAGCCTGGGTGACAGAGCAAGACTCCATCTCAAAAAAAACGTCTGAATAAGGGTCTAATTTCCACAATTACCAATTTCAGCACTTGTTCTGGCTCTATCCTAACACTATTCACACCACTTTTCTAACTCTATCCTGGCCACAGGGGCATTATATCTGTTCCTTCAACATATCAACTTTTTATCTGCTAAGAGGAATGCTCTTAACCCAGATCTTTGCAGGGCCCTAATTCCTTGTCATTCTGATTTTAGTTCAAATATTATCTCAGAAAGGCCTTCTTTCACTTCTCAATCTACAGTAGTGGCCCCATAGCCATGGTCTACAAACACATCAAACACTAGTTAGCATATTACTTTTTTAATAGCCTTTATCACTAACTAAAATTATCTTGATCTTTTTATTTACTTGTTTGCTTGCCTATCTGAAAAATAAGCTCCATCACAACAAAGATCCTTGTATATATCCCAAATGCTTAGTACTGTGTCTGGCACATAGTTATCACACAATAAATATTTGTTAAATGACTGAATGTTAAAGGCACTCACCATGCATACTAAAATAATTTGCTCTACTAGTTTAGATAAGCAATCAAAACCAATAAAAATCAATGCTGAAGATAGTTGACTAGATGTATCTGGTACTTGTCTCATCTATGGAGAGGAACCACAATAGCGAGTAAAAAAGATCACCTGAGAGAGAACAATGAAATTCAAGAGAGTAGTGATGGGAAGCATCAAAAGCAAGGAAAAAGAGGGAAACAAGCCTGTTCGGCTGGGATCAGGTAGGAGGCTGGAGTGGCTTATAATGCAGAAAAAGGGTGAGAGACCCCCTAAGGTCTACATTCCCACTGGAACCACTAGGACTCCTAAAATCCTAGCCACAGGAGAGCTCCTTGACCCTCTCAGGTCCCAAGACTAACAGGGAGCTGCCTGAAGTCCACGCGAAAGCACTGCTCCAGAGAGACAGCTCATGCTGGATCCCACGAATCACTCGAACCTAAGCAGCTACAACATGGTGCCATTTTGAGAACACAGGCCCCATTAAACTGCATCCTGCTGCCAGGGCCACTACAAGGCAGCGATACTGCCCACCCCAGCAGAGGGCGACTGTGAATTTTTACCTGCGCTAAGGACAAATTCCATTGCTTACAGCCACTTGAGGGCTGCAGGCTGCTGCAGAGCCAAGGCAGGAAACCCATGCCCCGCCCCCAAGTTGCCAGCCTACAGCTACTCTGAAGGAAAGCAACCCCACCTTCCCTAGTAGAGCAGGGTTGCAATGCAGTTGCTGCTGGCCCCTCCTGAGCATTCCACCCACAAACTGGGGATCACCCCTCCCTTGCCTACCACTGCCAGCCGGTCCACCCAGCTAGCTCCATACCCCCACCAAAGCAAGTACCCAAACACACAATCCAAGGTGTGGATGATCTCTGGTGATCACCTCACTAAGTCCACCACCAGTGACACCTGAACACTACTCCCAGGGTCTGAGGTCAGGCCCACTTAACCTGCCACTACCAGCAGAGCTAGGACCCATACTCATGCATCACCTGCAGGTCTGGGGACCAGCCCACACAACTCATTGCAGCCACCACAATACCAGCACAGACACTTAGGTTCCAGGGAGTTGTCCACCGCTGCTACTGCAATCACCCATGCTACACCTGCTGCCCAGGGGCTCGAGAAGCTGCCCTCCCCTGCATGACCCACCACTGGAATCCCAGCACCTAAGCAGGCCACCTGGAGGCCTAAAATCAGCCTGGATGCACGAACGCTGTCACTGGCATAAGCTGCCCTCGGGCCAAAACACTGAGGGGATGCTCAGTTCACTGCTGCCACCACTGGGTCCAAAAGACTGTTACACCTGGTATCCCTGACCCCATCAAAACTTCACCACAGCCTCCACTAACAACCACATCTTAAGCCCCTGGGGAAATCACAGACACACTAATGCTGTTTACAGAAAAAAAGAAAATCATATGGAGACTACACACTACCACACACACACAGAATCAATACCAAAGTGCCATATCCAACCAACACCATACATATATCTTCAGGAAAAAATTCTCTCCAACAAAAGCAATGTCAAAAAATGCCATTACACCAGATGTGCAGATACCAAAGTAAAAACACAGGAAACATAAAAAAGAAAATATGATACACCTCCAAAAGAACACAGTAATTATCCAGCAACAGATCCCAATCAAAAAAATAAATTCACAACAAACTCATGGACACAGGGAGTAGAAAGATGGTTAACAGGGGCTGGGAAGAGTAGTTGGGGGTTTGGTGGGGAGGTGGGGATGGTTAAATGGGCACACACAAAAAAATTCCAGCACGAATGAATAAGACCTATTTGATAGCACAATAGGGTGACTATGGTCAATAATAACCTAACTGTATATTTTAAAAAAAAGAATGTAATTGGATTGTTTGTAACTTAAATGATAAATGCTTGAGGGGACAGATACCCCATTCTCCATGATGTGCTTATTTCACATTGTAAGTCTATATCAAAATATCTCACGTATCCCATAAATATACATACTTATCATGTACCCATAAAATTTTTTTAAAAAATAAAAAATTTTGAAAAAAAAAGAAATTCACAAAATCCCAGAAAAAGAACTCAAATTATTTATTCTAAAAAAACTCAGTAGGATACAAGAGAATTCTGAAAAACAATATAAAGAAATCAGAAAAACAATTCAGGATATGAATGAGAAATTTACTCAAGAGGTAGATATCATAAAAAAGAACCAAACAGAAATTCTAGAACATAAGAATTCATTGAATGAAATAAAAAATATATATGAAACCTTCAATGACAGACTAGATGGGGCAGAAGAAAACTCTCAGAACTTAGACAAGTCTTTTGAAATAACCTAGTCAGACAAAAATAAAGAAATAAATTTTAAAAACATGAACAAAGTCTTCATAAAAGACAACAGAAAGTGAACAAATATTAAAATTTTCAGTGTCCTAGAAGGTGAAGAGAAAACAAAAGATTTTAAAAGCCTATGTAACAAAATAATAGATGAAAACTTCCCAAGTCTAGCAAGAGATTTGGACATCCAGAGACACAAGGCTCAGAAATCTGCAAACAGATACAATGCAAAATGTTCTATCCACAATACATTACAGTCAAACTGTCAAAAGTCAAACATAAGGAGAGAATTCCACAAACAGCAAGAGAAAAGAGTCTAGTCACTTATAAAGAAACCCCCATAAGACTAATAAAAGATTTCTTAGCAGAAACTTATAGGCCAGGAAAGAAAGGGATAATGTATTGAAAGTGCTGAAAGAAAAAAAAATTGCTAATGATACTATATCCAGCAAATTATCCTTCATAAATGAAGGAGAAATAAAATATTTTCCAGACAAGCAAAAGCTAAGGAAATTCATAATCACTACACTAGCCTACAAGAAATGCTCAAGGGAGTACTTAATCTGGAAGTGAAAGGACAATATCTACTACCATGAAAACACACAAAAATATAAAAACCACTGGCAAAGCAACACACACACAAAGAAAAGACTCAAATGTTACCACTACTACAGAAAACCACCAAACCACAAAGATAAATTATGAGAGAAAGAACAGAACAAAATAACCAGAAATCAATTAATAAAATGACAGGAATAAACCCCCACATATTAATAATAATCCTGAATGTAAATGGATTAAACTTTCCACTTAAAAGATATACACTGGCTGAATGAATTAAAAAAATAAAAGACCCAACTATATGCTGCCTACAAGAAACTTATCTCACCTGTGAAGACACATATAGACTGAAAGTAAAGGGAAATAAATTCAGATATTCAATGCAAATGGAAACCAAAAGTGAGCACGAGTACCTACACTTAGATAAAGCAGGCTTTAAGTCAAAAAACAGTAAAAAGAGACAAAGAAGGTAATTATATAATGATAAGTGGATTCAACTAGAAGAAATAACAATTCTAAACATATACGCACCCAACACTGGAACACCCAGATATATAAAGCAAATATTACTAGATTTAATGGAAGAGATATATTCCAATACAATAATAGTTGGGGACTTTTAACAATCCACTCTCACCATCAGATAGATCATGTAGACAAAGTTACCAAAGAAACACTGGATTTAAACTGCACATTAGACAAAATGTACTTGACATGAACATTTCATTCAACAGCTACAGAATACACATTATTCTGATTAGCACAAGAAACATTCTCCAGGATAGACCATACAATAGAACACAAAACAAGTCTTAACGAATTAAAAAAGAAACAATATCAAGTATCTTCTCAGACCACAACAAAATAAAATGAGAAATCAATAACAAGAGGAACCTTGAAAACTGTACAAATACATGGAACTTAAACAACATGCTCCCAAATGGCCACTGGGTGAAGGAAAAAATTTTAAAGGAGAAAATAAAAAAAATTTCTTGGAACAAACAAAAATCTAAACATGACATACCCAAACCTATAAGAAACAGCAAAAACCATGCTAAGTTTATAGCAATAAACAACACCTACATAAAAAAAAAAAT
Source organism: Homo sapiens (assembly GCF_000001405.40). Lineage (NCBI taxonomy): Eukaryota > Metazoa > Chordata > Mammalia > Primates > Hominidae > Homo > Homo sapiens. The sequence goes on along the minus strand of NC_000003.12, from coordinate 31,559,311 downwards.
ACAAAGACTCCAAATAAGCAATCTAATAATGCACCTCAAGGAGCTAGAAAAGAACAAACCAAACCCCAAATCAGAAGCAAAGAAATCATGAAAATCAGAGCAGAACTAAATGAAAGAGACAACACACACACACACACACACACACACACACACACACACACACACCCCAAGAATCAATGAAACAAAAACAAAAAGTTGGTTCTTTTGAAAAGATTTAAAAAAAAAAAAACCAATAAGGCACTTCCTAGACTAACCAAGAAAAAAGAGAAAGACCCAACTATAATCAGAAATGAAAACAAAGACACTACAAATTAGTACCACAGAAATACAAAAGATCATCAGAGACTACTACGAACAACTATCTAGAGAACCTACAGGAAACTGATAAATTTCTGGATAAGCATAACCTATCAAGATTGAATCAAGAATAAATTAAAAAAAAAAAAAACCTGAACAGACCAATAAATGAGTAATGATACAGAATTAGTAATAGAAGTTCTCCCAACAAAAAATGTCCAGGAATTGATGGCTTCACTGTCAAATTTTACCAAACTTTCAAGGAAAAACACACATCTATTCTCCTCAAACTATTCCAAACAACTGAAGGGGAGGGAATTCTCCTTAACTTTTTCTATGAGGCATTACCCAGATACCAAAACTAGACAAGGATACTACAACTGGCTAAAAGCCAATATCCTTGATGAACACAGATGCAAAATTTCTCAACAAAATCCAACAGTACATCAAAAAGATAATACACCATGATGAAATGGGTTTATACCAGGGAAGCAAGGATGATTCGACAGACACAAATCAATAAATATGATACATCACTTCAAGAAAATGAAGACAAAAACCCTATGATCATCTCAATAAGGAGAAAACATTTGATTTTTTAATTTTGAACTTAATCTTGAATTTGCAAGATCCCTTCATGATAAAAGCTCTCAGACTATGCATAAAACACACCTCAAAATAATAAACGCCATATATGACAAACCCAGAGCTAACATCATGCTGAATTAAGAAAAGTTGAAAGCCTTTCCACAAAGAACTAGAAAACAAGGATATCTACTTTCACCATTCCTATTCAACATACTACTGGATATCCTAGCCAGAGCAATCAGGTAAGAGGACAAAAGTAAAAGGCATCCAAATTGAAAAAGAGAAAGCTAAACTGTCCCACTTTGCATATCACCTGATCTTATATTTGGAAAAACCAAAAGACTCTGCCAAAAAACTCTTAGAGCTAATAAGCAAATTCAGTAAAGTTGCAGGATACGAAATCGACATATAAAAATCATGTACTGATTCATTTTTATATGTCAATGACAAACTAGCTGAGAAAGAAATCAGGAAAGCAATCCCATTTACAATAGATATAAAAAATACAGTGGCTCACGCCTGTAATCCCAACACTTTGGGAGGCTGAGGCGGGCGGATCACGAGGTCAGGAGATCAAGACCATCCTAGCTAACAGTGAAACCCTGTCTCTACTAAAAATGTGAAAAATTAGCCAGGCATGGTGGCGGGCGCCTGTGGTCCCAGCTACTCGGGAGGCCGAGGCAGGACAATGGTGTGAACCCGGGAGGCGGAGCTTGCAGTGAGCCGAGACTGCGCCACTGCACTCCAGCCTGGGCAACAGAGCAAGACTCCGTCTCAAAAAAATAAATAAACAAATAAAAATAAAAATATATATACCTAGAAATAAATTTAACAAAGGAAGTGAAAGATCTCTATAAGGAAAACTACGCAACAATGATAAAAGAATTAAAGGGACACAAACAAATGGAAAGACATCCCATGCCCATGGATCGGAAATATTAGTATTGTTAAAATGAGCATACTGCCCAAAGCAGTATACATACAGATTGAACACAAGCCCTATCAAAATACCAATGTCATTTGTTACAGAAATAGAAAAAACAGTCCTGAAATTAATAAAGAACCAAGGAAGAGTGAGAATAGCCAAAGCAACCATGAGCAAAAAGAACAAAGCTGGAGGCCAAACTACCTGATTTTATAAGACTACAGTAACCCAAACAGCATGGTTTTAGTATAAAAAGACACAGACCAATGGCACAGAACAGAGAATCCAAAAGTAAATCCACATATTTACAGCCAACTGATTTTCAACGAAGGCTTCAAGAACGAACACTGGGGAAAGGACATAGTCTTCAATACATGGTGCTGGGAAAATTGGATATCGATATGTAGAAAAATGAAACTGGACCTCTATCTCTCTCCCTTTATGCAAAATTAACTCAAGATGGATTAAAGGCTTAAACATAAGATCCCAAACTATAAAAGTAGAAGAAAACAATAAAAAACCACTTTAGGATAATGGTCAAGGCAAAGATTTTATGCTAAGACCTTAAATGCACAGAAAACAAAAACAAAAAGAGACAAATGGCACTGTATTAAACCAAAAAACTCTGCACAGCAAAGGAAATAATCAACAGAGTGAAGACACAACCTACTGAAAGACAGAATATACTGTAAACTATTCATTCAACAAGGGACTAATATGCAGAACCTAGAAAGAACTCACACAACAGTAAATCATCATCATCATCACATTAATAAGCAAAGGACATGAACAGATATTTCTCAAAAGAAGACATACAAATGGCCAAGAAGCATATGAAAAAATGTTCAACGTCACTAATCATCAGAGAAATGCAAATAAAAATCACAATTAGGTATCATCTTACCCAAGTTAGAATGGCTATTATTGAAAAAGACAATAACAAATGCTGACAAGGGTGCAGAGAAAACAGAACTCTTATACATTGCTTTGGGAACATAAATTATATGGCCACTTGGAAAAGAGTGTGGAGATTTCTCCAAAAACTAAAAATAGAACTACCATATAATCCAGCAACCCCACTACTGGGTATTTATCCAAAGGAGAAGAAATTAGTACATCAAAGGGACACGTGCGTTCACACGTTTACTACAGCACTATTCACAACAGCGAAGATGCAGAATCAACCTAGGAGTCCATCAACAGACAAATGAATAAAGGAAGTGTGGTATATAAGCACAATGGAATATTATTTGGCCATAAAAAGAATAAAAGTATGTCATCTGCAGCAACATGGATGGAACTGGAGTCATTATGTTAAGTAAAATAAGCCAGACACTGAAAGACAAATTTCACAGTTCTCACTCATTCGTGGGAACGGAAAAAAAAAAAAAGTTGATCTCAGTGAGGTAGACAGATACCAGAGGCTAGGCAAAGTATGGTGGATAGGAGAGAAGCAGAGATGAAGAGAGATTGGTCAATGGGTACAAAAATACTGTTAGATACAAGGCATAAATTCTAATGTTGTATAGCAGAGTAGGGTGACCATAGCTAGCAACAATTTACTATGTATTTCAAAGTAGCTAAAAGAGAGAACTTGAAATGTTCCCAACACGTAGAAATAATAAATACTCAAGATGGATACCCCTAAATAACTTGACTGGATCATTACACATTCTATGTATGCTACAAAATATGATATGTACACCATTAAATATGTAAAATATTATATATCAATAAAATAAAGTGATGTTAACTAATGTTTAAGATTCTGAGACCTTTAAGGGTGTCCTAGTTTATCACTTTTCTGGTTCCACAAAAATACATAATAAAACAAAGATAATGTAAAAAGACTAAAGAACAAGACAAGTATAAATAAGTTGAGATTGGATAAAACACACAAATATTTAAGTAATAAGGGCCTATGATTCAAATGTGTAATGTGACTTAGTTTCCCAGCAATCAGGGCCAAAACAGAGAAGCAGGAGTAACAGAACTATCAAGGAGAAAAAGAAAGAAACGCTATTTCCTTAATCAAATTAAGTTTTGATTAAGTGTATCAACATCTAACAGTGTTCTTAAAATAGAATACAGATATCAAAATGCAGACTCATGAATTTTCTTTAAATATAAAGCTTATCCTAACAATTTTTTGCAAGAATCATGTTATTTTTATCTTTTCATAGGTTTTTATAGCTAGGAACCACCTCAAGAATAACAAGAGGATTTGAAATAGAGGCAGCACAGAGTAAGTGAGCAGGTGACAGGATATGCATGCAGCCACACAGTTTTAGATTTTGGCATTCCTAAACATCTTGCCAAGAAGGATATATATTCCCCACAAAATTGGTACTATAATTGAGAACAAGTATATTCTAACCAGAGGTTGCAAAACAAAAACCAGGTATGCTGATGGGAATATTTCTTTTTCATCATTCTTATATGTCTGGAATGGTTTGGAACACAGAGGCAGAGAGGCCAGTCAGTGGAATCCAGTAATTATGATCCAGTTCTGCACCCAAGAAGGTCAAAAAGAGAGTAAAAACAATCATGAAGAAAACAGACCCAACAAACATATCAAATACATACTGATGGTCAATATAGGTAAACAATCACTATAGAATAAATTCTTGTTGACTTTAGGGCTGTTATGTTTCTTAAAGTTGGCAAAACCAGCAGCTGGCAAAATAAAAATCTTAGAGAAAATAGAGGTAAAGGCAGGGTTTTTAATCTTTCTGGGTGAGGGTCTGTAAGAATCTGATGAAAATATGGATTCTCTTACCAGAAAAGAGTGCATAAAAGTTTTGCAGAATTTCAAAATTATTTTTTAGAAGACCTCCAACATAAATCACAATAAAAAGCCATCTACTTGATGAATAAATTAAAACTCACCAGCACTGAAAAATCTGCTCTGAGTTACCTTCTTAAAGTTTCAGAGAAATTACACCTTGGAGCTGCTGACGCGGTTTTGGGAAATTCAGACTATCTACACACTTATCTTTCAAGTTTTTGACACGGCCATTAAATCATTTAAAATTTAGTATTATTTTCATCAGGGAAAACAAAACAGCAAAACAAAAACAAACAACAACAACGAGAGATAGTACTAGTTAGACAAAAAGCTATGTAACCACCTGGTTCTTTTTCAAATTACTCTGGTGTTTAAGGGCTTTTGATCAAAAAGATTAAATGACCAAGGCTCATTTTTTCCATTGGCTCAAAAAGTTAAGAACTGGCAGGAAGGGATTCACAAGAAAACAAGATTAATATTGAGTTTTCATTTTTTTAAGGAGAATAAAATAAACCACAATTTGTTTCTTAAAATCTGATTTTTAAACTTTGGTTTACAAATATAGCACTGTGCTATCTCAAACTGTGGTTGGCAAAATTGTAGTTGGAGCAAGACTACTCTACCAACACTTAAACAGATGTCTTTTGTGAATCCTAGAACAGAAAAAGCTAGAAGCTACATAAAGAAAAACACTGAATGTAAGATTCTGTAATAATGCAAATATTTTTCTTAAAAATGCAGCCATAAAATATGGATATAATCTATGAATAGATTATAGATCTCAAATAACTATTCACTTCAGGGCCAATAAACTTGGGCATTCTGCATACAAGTACACAATTCTAAGAACCACAGGCAAACTTGGTCCCTGACCTCACAGAGCTGACAATCTCACAGGAGGAAGAGGCAACAAGAAAATATAATTAAGCAGAGAACCCAGGGGGTACTAAAGGATACCTTCTTCGCTCATTTTTTTTCATTTTTAAAATCTAAAGTATAATTTAGATGCTTTAAAATACACCAATTGACATGTTTCATTAGATGAGGTTTGACAACTGTATGCATAACATCACCCTCATGATGAAAGTTCCCACATGCACCTTTAGGCACTTCTTTCCAAGCATACTTTGACTTCTTTCACCATAGATTCATTATGTTTGTTCTCGGATTTCAGATAAATGGAATAATCGTAATTCTACTTTTTAAAAAGGTGAATCAGGCTTCTTTCATTTAACATGTTTTTGAGATATATTCATATACCAACAGTTTATTCTTTTTTACTGCTGAGTAGTATTCCATTTAATGCATACTACAATCCATTCCCCTTCTGAAGGGCATTTGGGTTGTTTCCGGGGGAGGAAATAATAAGGCTGTACATTCATTCTTATAAAATATGAACAAGCATTCTTGTAAAAGCCTTTTTTAAGGACACAGGTTTTCACTTCTTTGGGTGAATACTTAGCAATTCCACTCCAAAGTTATATAGTAGACACGTATTTAAGAAATACTAAACAGTTCTCCAAAATAGTTACCATTTACACTCCCATCAGCAATGTACAGGAGTTCCAGTTCCTCCCTATCAAGTTTTATTTGGTTTTTTTTTTTTTTTTTTGAGACGGAGTTTCGCTCTGTCGCCCAGGCTGGAGTGCAGTGGCGCGATCTCGACTCACTGCAAGCTCCGCCTCCCGGGTTCACGCCATTCTCCTGCCTCAGCCTCCCGTGTAGCTGGGACTACAGGCACGCGCCACCATGCCCGGCTAATTTTTGTATTTTTAGTAGAGACGGGGTTTCACCGTGTTAGCCAGGATGGTCTCGATCTCCTGACCTCGTGATCCGCCCGTCTCGGCCTCCCAAAGTGCTGGGATTACAGGCGTGAGCCACCGTGCCCGGCCTTATTTGGTTTTAAGAGCCTATCTTATGTATCACACTGGGTGCTAAAGATACTAGCAAACAGGACGGACCTGTCCTCACAAAGCTTACTGTCCAAAGGACTCGTGGATGGCTTCTACAACTGACATCTAACTTAAACCTGGATGAATTATTGAGCAAAAAGGCAGGAAAAGAGGAGAAGTGTTCTTGAGAGAGGAAAGAACACTCGTAAGGGTTAAAAAATACACATAGGTAGTTTTCATAATGCTAACAGAAAATAAAGATAGAACAAGTTTTGTGATGGCAGAAATATGCTTTAAAAAAAAAGGTAAGAAAGCAATGTAGTAAGTATAAGTTTTTAAAAGTCAAATAAGGATTCCTAAAAAGACAATGTGTTTAGTTTATCTCCCTATTATAAGCTCTCATTGTATCATGTTCCTTGACAGCATTGGTCATTCTTACTGGTTCAAGTCTAACTCCCTCACTAAACTAGAATCATGTCTATTTGGGTTCACACTACTGTAGCCATAGTCCCTGGCAAGTAAGAGGTATTCAATCAATATTTTTTGATTACATGAGATCAGAGAGAAGTTAGGTAGTAACATTCAGAGATGGAAAGAAAGGTTTACGAAGGGTATTTGTATTAGTTTCCTATTGCTTATACAGCAATTTTAAACAAACTCAGTGGCTTAAACCAACATATACTAATTCTATCATAGCTTCATGGGTCAGGAATCTAGGCACAGTTTAGCTGGATCTTCTGTTTAGGGTCGCACAAGGTTGACATCAGGATGTCACCAGGGTTGGGTTCTTATGTGGAGGCTAAATTAGGGAAATAATCTGCTTCCAAGCTCACTCAGGCTTCTAGCAGAATTCACTTCCTTGAGGTTATAGGACTGAGGGGCCCTGGTTTCTTCCTGGCTGTTGGTGGAAACATCATAGAGGCTGTTAGTAGTTCCTTGCCACATAGGCTTCCCTAACAGGGCTGCTTATCTTATAATGCCAGCAAGGAGTCTCTGGTGCAAGTCTACTGGTAAGACAAAGTTTTACACAACGTCACATAATCACGGAAGCAACATCCCATCACCCTAGACTCTGTCTATCACTCTGTTCTTCAAAGACTATCAATTAACAGGCTCTCTTGAAAATAACCCTTTCTGTAAAGATTTACAAAGCCACCTATAACAGTTTGTTGTTACACATACGACTACCAAAACTGGCCAAGTTAACATGTATTCGTGGGAACGGTAAATGAGAAAGCGACTAGTACCACCAACAGAAATGACCAATTATGGATGCTAACGTAAGCATAAAAGAATCAGGAAAGAGGCCAGGCACAGTGGCTCATGCAGGTAATCCCAGCACTCTGAGAGGCCAAGGTGGGTGGATCACTTGAGCCCAGGAGTTCAAGACCAGCCTGGGCAACATGGCAAAACCTGTCTCTACCAGAAATTTTTCAAAATTAGCCAGGCGTGGTGGCATGCGCATGTAGTGCCAGCTACTTGAGAGGCTAAGGTGGGAGGATCATTTGAGCCTGGGAGGCGGAGGTTGTAGTGAGCCGAGATGACACCACTGCACTCCACTGTGGGTGACAGAACAAGACCCTATCAAAAACCAAACAAACAAACAAACAAACAAACAAAAAACACCCAAAAACCACAATCAGGAAATAAAGGAAAGGAGTACAATTCAACAAAGGGAGAAGAAAAATAGAAAAGTAAAAGGCAAAAGACAAAGTGTTAGAACACCTCAAGGATTATTCTATTCTTTCTCCTTTACCCTATTAGTAGGCCCTCTCAGGCTATATAAGGTACCAGATCTTTCTTATAGGACTAAGTACCACTATTTGCAACACTTCATATATACCCAAAATTCAGCACTAATAGGGACAGAGAACAACCAAGGTAAAGTACAAAGCAGCTAAGGCCAACTAAAGTTGGCATTTCAATCTACCTTTTATTGCTCCTGCCATCTAGTGGCAGGATCAAAAACAAAAGGATGCCAGACTGATGAACTCTATTAAAAGTAACACATGGAAAAAAAAAATCCCCCTTCAATAGAACGAAAAAAACAGCCTAAATTCAATCTCACCAAGTGATACACACGAGCACTGTCTAGATAATCACATTAAACATAGCCAATTTTATAACTTAAAATATGGAAACTCATGAGAGAGTTATGCTCAAGCCTAATATGATTACATAAATTCCTATCAGTGTTTAAGTAACAGCAGGAAAACAATGATAGAAATTCATAAGGATTACTAATGATATATGAGAATAACTTTTTTTACTAGGTTAACTCTGAAGGGAAAGACTCACAAATGTCATACCACCATAAATGTGACACTGTACAGTTGCAACTGGATCTCAGACTACTCTCACAAACCTCTCTCTCTGCTCTTGCAACTGATGGGTGGTCATTTTGATTGAAGCAGAGAGCATGTCATAAGCTTCAGATAACAAAGTACCTGTCTCTCTACTTTGAGCAACACAGAGAGAAAACCAAAGGTTGTTTAAAGGCTGCAAAAATGTCTTGAAGACTCCTTAGAGCTACTCTGCATCTTCCAATTTAAAGTCAGATGCATGTGCAAATCAAAAAAGAACACACAGGGCAAAACTTTTAAACACACATTAACTGAAAACAGGATTCCTATTTTAGTACCATCTCTTAATTTCTGCCTTAACTGGCAGTGACAGCTGTCAATTTTTATCAGTATCCATTTGAAAAAGGAGGGTCTATTCTGATTTATAAAGGACATTTACTAAACTAATTGGAAAAAAGAAAAAGCAACTGACAACAAAAAAAATTACAACAAAATAAGAGGCTGTTAGAGCATTTTAATGGCACTAAAAAAATCTGAAAAAAAAATCTAAGATCACATACAAAATAGTATATTTGATCAATTAAAACTATCCGGTGACACTTTGCTCAGCTAAGCCCAATAGAGATGGAAATCTAAATAATGTAGGCAGAAGGGATGGGCACAAGTGTTCTTTCTCTTTATATAACGCACGCACAACGTGTATAACATATATTTAAGTCCGGCATAACTATTCATATATTATAGAAACAAATCTCCAATAAATATTATATGTAAACATGTTATATTTACATTTCTTTATTGTTACTAGATATTATCTAAATTAGACATATGATTATGCATTATACTATATAAAGAGGATTTCTAACAATTATTAGATATAGAAATACATAATACACGTTTAAGTCAGACCCATAGTCATATACTATAAATATAAAATGTATAACTAACAAGCATTATCCATAGTAATAATATCCCATGGCCCACAAGTTGGTGTGATGAAAGAGCCAAAGTGGTTGGACAACTAATAAACTCATAAGCAAAATGACCAACTTTCTGAGGACAGTCTCGGTGGAAAGCAACAGCACAAGGTAAACTAAAATAAAACAATCACTCAAAATAAGCAATGTATACAGGCCTGAGAACTTAACTATCATAGAAGTTAGTGGTATAATACTCAACTTAGTCACCAAGACAAATCAGGAGAATCAGGGGGGATGCTATCAATGAGCAGATACTCAACTGTCCCATTTGAAAAAAAAAGTATGTTCCTAATGTGGATATACTTGTTCCTAATGCAGTAATTCAAATAAACAAATAAAAAGATTTAAAACACTGAAGAAAGTCAGTCCTAGTTTTATTATCTCTACGACTTTGGTAAAGTTACTTAGCCTTAGGCCTCAGGCTCCTCATCTATCAAATAAAACATCTACATCAGTCTTTTCCATGAATTGCATGGAACATTAATTAAAAAAAAATTAAAATCTTACAGTGATTCATAAATTAAATACGGTAAATACCAGATTAAATAAAATTAACAGTTAACTGAACAACTTCTTAAGACTGTAACATGGTAATGTGTATTGCATATCAGTATCAAAGAATGTAGTAAGCAGTTTTTTTCCCAAATTCAAATTATCAAAGATTATTTTGCTTAGAAGTGTAATTTCTGGAATATGTGGTCTGCAGAACATACTTTGGCAAAATAATAATTTCTTTGTGCTCGCCAGGTATGAAGTTTGTTCCATATTACAGGGAAACCAAAACTTATCTCCCTCAAAGGGGGGAAGGTTCTTCACCCCCTTTCCGAACAGAAAATATCAGCAAACTAATGACGGAGCAGAGAAAGAAGAGAATACAAGGAGAATAAATCAGTTTTCTCCTACCTTTAGAGACAGGTTGAGGAGAGGTGGTCAATACTGAACTATAGGGAAGCTTTACCATCCTTAACATATTTAAAATAACTTAAATTTCTGTAAAATAATAACATGCATTAAACTCCTCAGAGAATAGCATGTTTGGTATACTCTATTTTAAAATTTATTTTGAGAATACAAATGTTAAAAATACATTTATTAAATTTTAAATGGGCTCATTTTGTTCCCTATTTTACAAATGAGTCATTTGTAAAACAGGGAAAAAAATGGCTGTTTTTTTCTCCCCGGTTTCACAGAAACATTTTTTTTCCCTGTTTTAAATGGCTCATTTTCCCTGTGTTACTATGCTCAACCTGGTGAAATCTTTTTGCCAAACTACTTGACACTTATACTTTATCACAGTAACATTATATCAGCATTATTATAGCAAATATGTTATACTTTAGTTTACTTCTTAGGCAAGAATAACTACCTCTTTAAGACACTTAAAATGGAAGAATTCGGGGCAGGAAAGAATAAAAACAAATGAGGCTCAATCATGCAATGGCTGGAATCACCACTCCTGTTCCAACCAAACAGGAAGGTAAATGACCAAACATTACTTGGTCAAAAGTCTCAAGATGCTCTGCATTTCATTACATGTCCAAGAATCCTTCCACTAAGTATTATTATTTCCACTCTGTCTTTGAATATTAGATCCAAGAAATCTGAGGTGACATGAAAATAAGTCATGCTGCCTGAAGCACTGCTTTTACACTGCAGAGATATGCTGAGGTGCCTTCAACACATAGAATTTTAAGGATCAGAAACTATACTTTTACACAGAACAAATCTTCCTAATTTGAAGGTTGGGAAGAAGTGTCTACAAATTTATTGTCTTTTTGTACTTGTTCAGGCTGTTTTATCCAAAGCTTTGCATTTTGGAATTCAGAATTGTTCTGTGGCATTTCAGTTTAAACCAACTGAGTTGTACTTGATGCGTGCCTACAGCGTTCTTCTGAGATGGACTCTCGTTCTGTCATGCAGGTTGGAGTGCAGTGGCACGATCTCAGCTCACTGCAACTTCCGCCTCCAGGGTTCATGCAATTATTGTGACTCAGCCTCTCGAGTAGCTGGGATTACAGGCATGCACCACCATGCCCGGCTGATTTTTTGTATTTTTAGTAGAGACGGGGTTTCACCATATTGGCCAGACTGGTCTCGAACTCCTGACCTCAAGTGATCCTCCCAAAGTGTGGAAATGACAGGTGTGAGCCACCGCACCCGACCTGCAATGTTCTTTTTAAAGTATATAATGCAAACATTTGAATATTAATTATAAATCTCTGGCTTCTATTATAATTTTGCAAAATATTTCGCCACTACATTTAAGATGGATTTTGAATATGCTGGCAGAACCTGGTTGATCCAAACGAATAATTTAGGGAAAAAAAATTGAGGAATAAGGAGGGCAGATAAGACTAGAAAGAACTTGGGGCTGAACTTACTGCCTACTCTGTCACTCCAGGCAAGTCCTCTCACATCAAACGTCCTCAGTCCACTCATAGCAAAAGTCACAGTTACATAAAAATTTATAAGTAAATAAAAATACTTGTAAATTCTTCCAAGCCTCAATTATTTGGAGGGGAAGGGGTACAACAGGTAGGTTGAGCAAAGCATCATGCTGATTCATAATTGTACACCTTTGCAAATGCTATTCTTTGTAACAAAAATGTCACCCTGGAGGCTGACTTCAAGGCCTTTCCTTTTAACATACTAAGCAGTACTCTCTCATCTGTAAAATGGGGGCAATAAAATATCTAATAGGATTGCTTTAAGGACCAATTAGGCACAAACTGGAATAAGATATCTGCAACAAATTTAACCCAGACTTAGGATGCAAAATACATATACATATAACCTCCTACTAAATTAGTGAGACTAAACAACCCAGTCTAAAACTTTGGGAGAGACATGAACAGATATTTTACGGGAGATAAAAATGATAAACACATTGTGGTAAGTGTTTCCAAAGATGACCTTAAACAATTCTGCCCCTACCTGTATATGCATCTCCTCTCAACATTGAGCTAGGTCTGTGTGTATTTTGAGAACAACAAAATATAGCTGAAGTTACTTGTGTCTATTCCAAGCTTAACCCTTAGTTGACCTGGCAGCTTTCTCCCCCTTTGAAATGTTCTTTCTCAGAACCCCGCTGCAATGCTGAGGCAGACTAAGCAGTCACATGGAGGAGCCAAAAGCCCCAGCTGAGGTCCCAATGGAACAAGATTCCAGATGACTCTCAGCTGTCCAGGCATCCCAAACATTCTAGTCCCAGCTGACTACAGCCTATTGAGCCTCCAGGTGACTACAATCATCTCAGCACCTCAGCTGACACATGAAGCTGAAGGACTCCCCACTCAACCCACAAAATTGTGAAATAATAAAATGCTGTTTTGTCACTAAGTTTTGGAGTGGTATATTTTCATAAATAACTGAAGCATATTTTGACAAAATCCCACTCCCAGGTATATACCCCAGCAAACATCCACACATATGCATCAGAAAACAGTTTTAATGTTCATAGTAGCATGTTTCACAATAGAAAAAAAACTGGATATTCAAATGTCTGTCAACTAACAGATGTATAAATGAAAGTCAAAGAGGAGGATAAATAAGCTAATACCATTTTTTAAGCTCCAAACAAAGCAAAAATTAGCAATATATTGTTTTCACAGCAGGGGTGTCCAATCTTTCGGCTTCCCTGGGCCACAGTGGAAGAAGAATTGCCTTAGGCCACACATAAAATACACTAACGATAGCTGATGAGCTTAAAAAAAAAAAAAAAAAACCACTCCTAATGTTTTAAGAAAGTTTACAAATTTGTGTTGAGCCACATTCAAAGCCGCTCTGGGCTGCAGGGTGGACAAGCTTGGTTTACAGATATATACATATGAGAGTTTTATTAAAAGATAGCAATGGAAACGTTAAACAAAATTCAGCATAATGTTGCCTAGTGCTAAGGGGGAAACTAAGGGGACAGGCTAAAGAAGAAACACAGCCAGATGTAAAATTGGTAATGTTCTGGTTTTGTGGTTGGCTAGGAGGTTCACAAGTATTTATCATTAAGTTTTATAATTATATATAGAATATGACAGCCCATTATATATGCAAGTTGTATGTTAAATATACTTCAATTTATTTAAAATTTATTTATAACTGTATATTATGTTGTGATTCTTACACAGTTATAACATCACTTAATGTTACATACTCTTTTCAAATGTCCAGAATGATTATTCCAAAAGGAAAACCTTTCATATAACAGCTGTTTCTATTTGACACTTCATTGAAATGCAGTAAATTATTTTAACAGCCAAAATAAAGTATTTAAACAGGTGAAAAGATCTTCCTTTCTAATGAAGTGACTGATTCATTTTAACAACTTTAGAAAAAAATCCTTATTTAAAAAGATTTTAGTTGCTCCTCAAACTCATGACTTATGACTGGCCTTTACAGTTTTAAGATTAGATTTATTTCATCTACTTCACAGTTTCATTATCCTGTTCCTTCAAATGCCATAAAGCTGCTTAGCATATTAAAATAAAAGCCTTCTTTAGCGATGGTCTAGAGTAAAAATCATCTTGGGATTGCAATTAAACTTATATGGAACAAGGTTATTAAATTTTAAAAATTAAGAGCATATGCAATGTTCCCCCCCCGCTCCCTGAGACAGAGTCTTGCTCTGTCACCCAGGCTGGAGTGCGGTGGTGCAATCTCGGCTCACTGCAACCTCTGCCTCCTGGGTTTAAGCAATTCTCCTGCCTCAGCCCGTCTAATTTTTGTATTTCTAGTAGAGATAGGGTTTCATCATGTTGGCCAGGCTGGTCTCAAACTGGCTAGTCTGGAACTCTTGACCTCATGATCCGCCTATCTCGGCCTCCCAAGTGCTGGGATTATAGGCATAAGCCACCGCGCCCCGTGCAAATGCTTTAAGTGTCAATGTCTTCAACAAACCCTGCTCACTGTAATAGATTTTTTTAAAGGCACACTGATGGACAAAGATTTGTTTTTAAAACAGCACACATTTTTAAAAGCAAAAACATCTTGTGAGATCATTACAGCATACTGTTTTAGGATTCACAGGAATACTGCCATTATTACATGGAATGATTCTATAACTAAAGAGCTGACCATTTTGTCAGGATTCAATGCATAATAAAAGAAAATAAAGACTTTATCTGGTTTATTTAACCCACAATATCTACAATATTCAATGATCCTCTCCAGTAATTAGACAAGAACAAAGCTATTTCCATTGCAAAGACACTTTAATGAAGACAAGCAACTTATTTTATCCCTAATGAGTATTTTTATTTAGTATCCTTTAACCTCTTATGGGAAAGTTTAAATGAGATCAGTCAGAGCTGTGATGGTTTCCTAAAGTGTTGCTTAATTTGCATATTAATTAACTATAATCATAAAGTTAAATCAAGAGCCATGAAACCAAATGAATCATTAATCCAACCCCACCCAAATTCATCATGTGCATGAATTTAGTATATTCTAACTAATGCCTATGTATGCAATGATAATTTCAATTCTTACTATTCCTTCGTATCAGAATATATTTCTCAAGTTCAATTAAAATGGCATCTTGTGAATTTTACTTCTATTGCTGTCATCTGTCTTTTTTCATTTCTCATTTGAAAAATAATAAAACTTTCATAACTCATATGGTTTTTGTATATTAACTGGTCTGTCTTCTCTTATTCAATGTTCCCTAACTAGTGAGTTAACACTGGAGACAGACCTCTGTAAGAGTTACTTGTACTTGGAAGAAATACTCAAGAAACTAAAATCTTCCTCAAAGTTCTTCCTAAGTTATCCATCCAGCCATTCATCTCCCAATTGTTGATGGCTGTCATGATGCTCACATATACCATTTCTTCCATAAGCATTATCCCTTTTCTTCATCAACTCTTCCCTTCTTCTATAAAGAATAATATGACATGTGTATTGAAACTGGGATTATGATGTTCACTGCACATGTGATCTTACTGACATCACAGTCAAATCCAAAATTTCAAAGTATTGCACAACAGAGACTTACTGTACTATTACTATTATGACCAAAACATAAAATGTGGTTACCATTAAAGATAAAGGATCTGTCTTAATATTCACTGTGCACTCACTATGTTCCTAATACTGTGTAGGATATTCTAGAAAGATTAGAAAAATGTTCTTGCCTTAAAGAATCTTTTGCCTCCCTACAATAATAGTAGTAAGTTATTATTATATTCATTAGAGGAAAAATGAGCACCAAAATTTAAATAATCATAACAGTACCTTACCAACTTTGGCAAAGAACAAATAACTTAAGTCTCCTTGAGTGTTTTTACATGCACAGGTGTTAAAATCTTCAAAATGGCTCTGGCCTAGTTAGCCAAATAAACAGTCCTAAGTAAAATTTAGTTTGTTTTGTATTAATAAAACCTGTACCTAGACCTCTCACGTAAGACACAGATGATCAATTGTGATTTCTGAGAGAAGTAGGCCTGGAATTTATTTCTTTCTCTTTTTTTTTTTTTTTTTGTGAGATGGAGTCTCACTCTGTTGCCCAGTCTGGAGTGCAGTGGCGCAATCTCGGCTCACTGCAACCTCTGCCACCCGGGCTCAAACAATTCTCCTGCCCCAGCCTCTCGAGCAGCTGGGATTACAGGTGCCTACCACCATGCCCAGCTAATTTTTGTAGTTTAGTAGAGACAGGGTTTCACCATGTTGGCCAGGCTAGTCTTGAACTCCTGACCTCATGATCCACCCTCGTGTAACCCAAAGTGCTGGGGTTACAGGCGTGAGCCACCACACCCAGCCAGCCTGGAATTTTTCTTAACAGTCAATATATCTCAGAAAAGAATCTCCATTTGAGGAATTCTACAAGAAATACACTAGAGGCGTTAAAAATAGCTTAAATCACTCAGTTGGACCATCATCCAAATAGAGCCTAATTTGAGCCATTTATATTACTCTCTGGCAGGTACACATGGGATTTTGTGAAGATGGGATACAGTACGTATACCCACCCTAAGACACTTGGTTTAAATATTAAGTTTGAATTCTGTAGAAATACTGGCTGACTAAACAGAGTTTGAAGAAAGACAGTCCTAGATTTAAATTTTTCTTCAACAAAGAATTAACTATGACAGAAATGCAATATATGCAAAATTGCTACATCTACACAAATAAACAACAAAATACCTCAAAACCAGGATTGACAATCTCTACAAATATATCAATACAGCAAACAGTCCATGCCCAGGGTTTTCCTAAATTCCTCAGCTCAGACCTCCAGTTCCAGTATTCTCTTTCCTGCTTTCAAGAAGTATCAAGCAACCAATGCCTTCTTTATGCCAATTTTAATATACAATACTTTAATAGTTGACAAAAAGCCATAGTTTAAAACCAGTCATTTTGCATTTATCTGATTATCATTTGTCTCCTTAAAGACGATGTCTCTCTCTTCTCTCCCACCCACTTTCTTGTATTTTTGGTTTCTGTAGAAAAATTAAATCTCTGGACAATTAGTACCTTAAAACAAAGTTGTCAAAGTTACTCTAGTCAAGGATGACTCCACCTCAAGGGTTCAGCCTTGAGATAATTTTTTTAAATCTCAAGTGAAAAGAAAAATACCTTCCCTTTCTCTTTCCTAGAGGCACCTCCCGCTATAAAAGAACAGGCAACCCCGTCAGGTGAATAAGACACCTGGTTAGCCAAATTATTGCTGAAATGCCGGGCGTGGTGGCTCACGCCTGTAATCCCAGCACTTTGGGAGGCCGAGGAGGGTGCATCACGAGGTCAGGAGTTCGAGACCATCCTGGCTAACACGGTGAAACCTCGTCTCTGCTAAAAACACAAAAAATTAGCCGGGCATGGTCGCGGGCGCCTGTAGTCCCAGCTACTCAGAAGGCTGAGGCAGGAGAATGACATGAACCCAAGAGGTGGAGCTTGCAGTGAGCTGAGATCGCGCCACTGCAATCCAGCCCGGGCAACAGAGAGAAACTCCATCTAAAACAAACAAACAAACAAAAAAATTATTGCTGAACTTTATTACTTACGTACATATTGTCAACAATCCTTTGACCAACAAGGATGAATCTTAAAGAAAATGCTCAGCCAAAAAAAAAAAAAAACAAAAAAAGAAAAAAAAAGACACAAAAGCCACAATTCCATTTATCTGAAGTTTAAAAATAGGCAAAACTAAATTGTATTGTTTAGCAATGCACACAGAGTTTACCACCTATGAGAAAAAGGAAGGATGTCATCACTATAAAGTCAGGGGGTGGAAGGGATTGAGAAACACACCAGGTCGTCTAAGGTAGTGGCAATGATCTTGATCTGGGTAATAGTCACATGGGTGTTCACTATACTTTAGATTTATATTTTTCAGGATGCGTCATACTTCATCATAAAAGAAAATTGCTTTAAAAACTGAAACTGAATTATCTTTTCTCCTCTAATGAAATCCTTTGCAGAACTCATTTCTTTGCTCTTGTTTATAGAAACATTTAAGACTTATTTTCAAAGAATATAACTGTACAAGAGTGCTGCCTCCCATAGTTCTGTACTCCATTTCTGATGTGGGTTACATAAATAAGATGTATAATAATTTACTTTAATAATAAACCTTCTTAAACTGGGTATAGTCTACAGGTGTTACTGGTATTTTAAGAATAGGCATCAAATAATAAACGTGTGGTAGGCATGGTGGTCACAAGTGAGTTTCCAGTTATGATCCTTTTCTCCAACTCCTTATGGCCTGTGTTCTCCTAAAGATAAATTTGGTCAGCAACAAACAATAATTTAAGCTGTGGATATACTAGAATTTTGAAAAATCACACTACATTTTAATTTTTTTAACAGTATGGGCAACAACATAAAATTTTACCTTCAACATTAGTATTTGTATATATATGTATATCTTATACGCTACAACATTATCTATCTATTGTGGGGCGGGGAGGCAGGGGACAGAAAGTGAAACAAAGCACCAATATTTAAAGTTTAAAACAATGCATTTGAAGGATTTTATAGGTTGCAGGGATAGCTAGATATCACCAAAGAAAAGAATACCATACTGGGGAGAAAAGTCTTTACTTGAGAACAGCTAATAAATCTGTAAGGCATGAAACAAAAAAGAAAAGAAAACCCCAAAAGAAAATATTATCAACTTGGTTATCAACTAATCATTAATACTTTAACACTTTACTAATATAAACAAAATTCCTTTACATGTCTTCATGCAGTAACATTTCCCTTTTAATAGGAATGAGCAAACAAGGTAAAAAAGAATAAAGTTTTAAAATTTATACTGCTAATTTATGGAGATTACAGACAACCAGTACACACAATTTTTTTAAATAATTCCAAATGAGTCAAGCTTCACACAAAAGCTCTATTTGTTTCCAAATCTAAGCCTGAATTGTCAACATTTACGATATTGTAAATTTAAACTAAGTGGTAGAAAGTAACTTCCCCTCATCTTCTGAAGTAACAATTTCAAACGACTTCTCAAAATATTCCCTTCTACAGCAAACATAGGTGCAAAGAAAATGGAAAAGAATCTAGCCAAGCTATAATTGTATCACCTTAGAAAAAGTATTATCCTTCTGGTCCTTAGCTTCTTAGAAAATAGAAACAGGGGGCCAACACATACACTAAAAATCCTGTGGGTTATAGAATTCTGAGTCTACTCTGAAAGTTCAGCTCTCCATCTCCCAATTCCCTTAACTGGCATGGCTTAAGACTTCCAATCTCATTATTATGAACTTTTTATAGACAAAATAAATCTAAATAAGAACAATATTCAGTTGGATTTGATCATCTTTTCCTCTCATTCAGCTACTCTCTTCAGAGTTTCCGAAAATCCCATAGTAATTGAAGGTTAAAAGTCTTAACCATCAACTCATCTCTTCGCTCCATCAAAACAATCAAAGTAATCAGCTATTATCCAACTAGTAAGCTTAGTTAGCTACAGCCCGGATTGTGAAGAGGTATTCTGATAGACCAGTATTTTAAGACTTAAGTTGGGGCACCTGAATAAAAAACATAAATTAAACAGAGGACACTTTTATTTAAGCTGGCCCTGGAGGCAGAGGGTGTGGTAAGAGGAACAGACTTTGGAATCTGGCAGATCTGTATCCTTCAATTCTTGTGGGAAATACTGAATTGAATTATCTTTTGTCTATGGAAATAAAAGATGTTACCTCATCTCCTCAATTCTAAGATGTCACTGGATTGTAAAACACTGTAAAAACTAAGCATCTACTATCATTTAGAACATATATTAAAGTTATCTTGCAACATTAAATTCCACAGAAAGAAAAGAAATAGACATGGTTGAGAGTGGTCAATTAGTGCCAACAGTCACAATTGTTTAGAGATTTGTTTGTCTACAAATAGTACAACCTTGAACAACATAAAGAGGCATTCACTAATTTATGTACACATTATATTCCAAAACATGTTTAGATGTTTTTCATCTGAAACTATGGAAGTATTTTTCCAAAGACATAAAATTCTAAATAATGGTTAGATTTCCTGGCAAGCCTACAAATGCAGATTAACATACATTTACCTAAATATGGGAGCCTCTGGGCAACTGATCCTATCTCCCCCAACGCTAATCCTCACCTCCTAATATATTCGACTTTAAAAACAAACAAAAAACCCTACAGTATTCCACTTTCTATCAATTTCTAAATTCCCAGAAATTACTCATGGTCAGAAGTAGGTAAGAAGAGGACAACAGAAGCCTTCTCAGAAGAGTTACTGGTTTAAATACAAAAAGCATCCACCAGAATCAGGTAGATAGACGGTTGAAGACAGAGTAGCAGGTTAACCATTTACAGGTTTTCCCCTTTCAACAGTATTAATTTGGCCCATATAGTATATCAGTGGGTCCTATACTATTTGGAAATGTTTTTCTTTTTTCCTATTTATTGCAGGGATTTACAGAAGTCACTGTTGCAATCACACTAAAGCTAAACCATTACCTCTGGATGAAAGATGGCAGAGACAACAGGCTGACCTATAAAAGCCTTCTAATAATTCAAGGAATTTAGGAGTTTCACATAAATTACACCTAACAAAACCAACATCAACATCAATATCCATCTAACCACTTTAGAGTTTCTTCTGAGACACCAGATTCAGCAAACTCAAGTCATTTAACAGATGTGGGGCTAATGCACTGATTTACAATGCACTCAGGTAAGTTGCTAACCAAAACCTGGAATGATGGAATCTGATCCTAACTTCACTCTGAGGATACTGAAACAGCATGTATATACATATGTTCAAATAATATAGAAAACAAACACTATGTAGAAATAAATCCTCTTTATCATGGTGTTGGGGAACAAAGATGGCATTCTTCATATCATAGTAACAATGTCTGTCTACAAGCAGGATTTAAAAGTAGTAATGGATAGGAAGATATGCTAAAGCAAAATATTAATTGTAGAATCTAGGTGGTTAGAGTATATGAGTGTTCACTATAAAATTCAACTTTCTTGTGCATTTGAAAATTTTTATAATAGTTTAGCAATAGGTCTGTTGAATTGTGGGGTCTTTATAATTCAAGTTAACTGCAGTATTTTCACTCCCTAAGATCATTAAGTTTTAAAAGTAAACAAATTGAGGGGAAAAACATGATTTGGTCACTTGAGAATAATATTAACCTTTCCATCCTTCATTTCGGAGAGCACGTGTGCACAGACGAATACTAAGATATAACAATAAAGATAAATGTTAACATTTTCTCAAACACTCAAAACTTATAGAGAGTATAAAAATTGATTAGGTACAGAAGGGCTAGTTAAGTTAGCCCATATTCATTAACAACTGGGTCAGAGATTATGATGTAAATCCTTATATTGAGCTTCTAATGTTTATAACCAATGTTGTCTTTATGCAAACTACTCATGGCAGTAAGGGGCATGCAGTCCTACCCAAGTTAACCTTTACGATATGAAAACCATAAAGGGGGAAGGAAAAGTCCCAAGGGCATTCATGACAGACCCTAACTACCGTAGGGCCTATACATCATGAAATCTATGATTACTACTTATGGAAGCCATCACACTCAACCGAAATGGGAGTAGCACCAATCTTATCATAAATTCATACAATTTAATTGTCAATGCAATCAGTAACAGTGATACCTGGTCTGAAGTGCAGCTGGACTGCTGATGCTAATGATCCCACAAAGTGACTTTTTAAGATTTGGGGACGTTTGTGTTCTAAAACTGGTTTGGCTACCAATTTGTCTTCTTCAGAACTGAGGTCAACAGCCTCTTTTTGTCATCTGCAAAGTGAAGGAAAACATGGAGACCTCAAAGTACAGGAAGTAGTCCCCAACTTCTAACAGCTTATGTTCCAAAGGTTTATCATTCCTTTGAAAACACATCTGTACTAATTAACCAATTTATACCATAGTTTCTTCGGAAAAATTGCATTCTAAGTTCCAACTCTAACTTGCAACTTTCTGCCCAGCAAAAAGGCGTCTGCTGCATTTTTGCTAACTACAGCCAAAACCTAAGGCTCAGAGAATTCTCTCTAGGGAGAACCCACTTTATAACCTGCTAAGGCAGGGAAAAAAGAGCTCTCACATAGGGAACTTCATTGCTTCTATGGGAAAGGCTACCACAATTGAACAAGATAATGGATATGGAGAAGGTATCTGGCTAATATAAAGTAAAAGTATTATCTCTTACAATAAAAATATGTAGAAAACACATTTTGTTCCAGATAAAAAGGTATAGTTAAGTGCTGTTAAAGTGGCTGATTAACCAAACGTTTGGCAAGTACAGACAATATATTTTCAAACTGCTTCCTCCTATCTGTTCAACTCAGCTGATAAGGGAGGAATTACTAAAGTGAAGTCAAATTGTTACCAAAAATGTTGCTAAATGTTAAAAAAGTGCAGTGTACTTCAATAAATAAATCACACATCACCCCTTATGACAACTGGTAAGATAAATAACTTGGGTGACAAATTTAAAAAACAAGTATAACTCTGTGACGTCACTTTCAGCAGCTAACTTGAGTCTTTTACACAATTTAAGAACTACTGTAAAATTTAAAGAAATAGCTCACAGAGAAAGTAAACCCTTCACTAAAACGACTTGCAGAAATGAAACCATTGATAGAGATATGGAAAAAGAGGTCAGGGAAGGTATGAGCAGGCCAGAATAAATCGGTTTGTGGATGCACAGCCTGAGAGTAACATTTAAATATTATTAAAGGTCTGTGCCATTGCTATATGATATGATGGTGATCTGAGCAACTCCCAAACTAGAAACACTAGAGTGTTCAGCTACAGACCAGTTAAAGTGTTGCGACTATTAGTAGCTATAGAAGAAAACTAGATTTAAAAGCCCCGAAAAGCTTTAAAAGCCCAAAGTAATAATGGCAGGCAATCTACACATCCCCCTCCTTTTAACCTTTTCAAAAAGAATGACTGTAAGAATCAGATAAGAATGAATGAGATGCCTAACTACGTGAGATCTTCAAAAGACATGAAAAAAAAACAAGAACAAGGTATTTTTTTTGTCTGAAACCTGATTCTCTCATTAAGTCACCTGAATTAGACATTATATTAGATTCATACTGACAAATCTCCATTCACGGTAAGGCACAGGAGACAGTCCATTATTATACAAATCTCCTTACTACTAAGCAAGATTATCTAACATTATGAATATAAACATTTAATTAAGAAATGTCAACATTAAAACTATATGCAGAATACCTAAATTAAGTAGCTCTTTAAAACAGAGATGTATACTTTCAAATGGTACAAATTTAGCTAAATGATAATGTGTCAGAAATGCGTTTTCATATATATAAAAAATGAAGCAAAACATATTTTCTTTTTTGAGTCGGAGTTTCGCTCTTTGTTGCCCAGGCTGGAGTGCAGTGGCGCGATCTCGGCTCACTGCAACCTTCGCCTCCCGGGTTCGAGAGATTCTCCTGCCTCAGCCTCCCAAGTAGCTGGATTACAGGCGCCCGACACCACTCCCGGCTAATTTTTGTATTTTTAGTAGAGAGGGGGTTTCACCATGTTGGCCAGGCTGGTCTCGAACTCCTGACCTCAGGTGATCCACCTGCCTCGGCTTTCCGAAGTGCTGGGATTACAGGCGTGAGCCACCGCGCCCGACCAAAACATATTTTCATGTGCATGAAAAAGAATTATGCCCTCCAACCACACTACTGAAGCTGGAAAAAGAAAACTTTTAATACTTAGCTACACTAAAAAAAAAAAAATAATAAAAATAAAAAATAAAAAATAAAAATATTAGCCACTTTACTTGTTGAGCCTTTTCATTATTGCATTACTCAATTTTAGTGGGGATCTTTGGCTGACTTGATGCAGATTTCTAATCTTAAGGAAAAATGACCAAAATCTCATCATTCAGTAGTGAATTTTTCTGCAATCTTTAATTTCAGCCCCAGAGTTACTATTAAACAGTCGTTAGCCTTCCATTTGTAAAAATGTTACTATGGAAATATTCACAATTTTGTTACCTGAAATGTTTGGTCAACCATGCATTTCTGCTATTTTAATCTGAAAAGAGAACTTTCTCTTTTCATATTGTCCAGTAAATACTAGTTTTCATTTTCTGGTTCCAATTTCATTTTTATCTAACTTGCTTAAGTATTTCAAAACAAGACCACCTAATAATATTGTGTCAATAAGCCTTCACAGGTATTCTTAGGCTCATAAATAGTCTACACTAACATATTTTCTTCTGTGATTGCACGTTAACAAAAAGGTTATTTTTTAAAAAAACTAGTGTTAGAAAACAAAATCAAAACTTCTAAAATGGAATGAAAACATTTCATGGAAGACTGTCACAGTAATTAACTGATCTAAATTGAATTGTCCATGAGTGGGCCCCTCTGGTGTTCAATAGATGTTGCAGTACCAATTTTTCTCTCCATAATGCAGAACTTAAATCTGGTATATTACTATACAGGTAAGTTACTGCCCCCCTCCACCCGAACACTTATTATCTATATAGTTAGTAACTCTCAAAAAAGACTCTCTCTCTTTGAATCTCAAATGATGAAACAAATATCCTGAAATTTAATTAGGTCTAACTGTGAGGAAGTAAGATTAACTCAAGGTTGACAGGTCAATAAGATAACACTAGTTTAAAAGGCATACTCTCAGAGGGGAAAATCCTAACTCAGGGGGAAAAATCCTAACTCGGGTTGGGCAAGTTGCGAAAAAAAAGTTAAAGCAATCTTTCCATCTAGATAATTCACAGACCAATGTAGTGTCTAAGTTAGCTAGTGTTGTTAAGAGTGGGGTAATTTCCTAAAACATTCAGGTCAGTCCCTTACACCATGTGCAACTTCGGTATTACAATCTAGGACTCCCATCACCGTGGTACTGTTTGCTCTTATCCACAAACCTTCCTGCAGACCAATAAAGGAACTAATGCAATGCTTTCAGATACTGTGCATAACACACTAAGGGTGACAGTGGCTAACAGGGTAAGGATCTTGTTCTAAAAAGCAACCCAAGACGATAGTGAAACAGTAAGGTGCTGAGTGCACTTAAGAGCTCTGAAAAAAAGCCACTCTTTAAAATACCTAATGATAAATAAATAAGAGTAGCTAGCTTTCAGATCACTTTCAGGGGTATTATTTCCTTCCCTCCAACACGCCATTCACTCTCCTTTTCCCTTCTCGTATCATGAGAGCATAAAAAGAAACAGTAAAAGCGTAAAACTGCAAGGGTGAGCAGCCGGGGTTCCGGCACATCTGGACCCACCTCCAGCGGCAACAGGGCAGCCCCCCTGGCCGATTCCGTCTGAACTAGCAAAAACGCGCCCGCAAATATGAAAGAACGCGAAAGCAGCGGGCGAGGAGGGCGGGGAATCGACCGACAGTCCGCGGAGGAGCTACCTGCCGCCTCCTGGCGTGGCGGGTCCGGACTCAGCGACCAAAGCGGGCTGCGAGGGACTGCACCCACACTCCCGGCGGCTGCACCCACACTCCCGGCGGCTGCATCCACACTCCTGGCAGTCTTCACACTAGCCCGGCCGAGAATCAAGGTTTCGCTCCTGGACCCCGACGCCCCGCCTCAGGCTGCACGGGGCAAACTTCGCCCACGGGCAGGGGGCGCGCCCGGAGCTCCGGGATCCGCGCCGGCCTCAGCCAGGACGCGAGCGGGGCTCCGCGGCGGCGCGGGGCCAAGTCGAGGAGAGCTGCGGCGGGCGGAGGAGCGGGTCCCGGTTCCCCGCGGGCCACGGGCGGGGGAGGGGCGGCGAGGCACTTACCACGGGTCGAACTCGTGGATGATGCTTTCGAAGCGGATGACGGCGAAGAGGCGCGAGCTGAAGCCGGCAAGCCAGGCCAGGAAGAGGATGGTGAAGGAGAGAAGCGACTGCCACCCAGCCGGCTGCGACAGCCCCCCGGACAGCCCCGCCGGGGCCGGCTTCGGCGGCGCCGCGCCGCCCGCCGCCTTGTGCGCGCACTGGGCCCCGGGCCCGTGGTGGCCGTGCCGGCTGTTTCCCAGGGCCATGAGGCCACTCCACGGGGACGAGTTGAGGGACGACTTGTGCTTGCTCTCCGGGGCCGAGGGCTCCGCCATGTTGTGCCCCGGCGGCGGGTCTAGCTCTCCTCCTCCGCCGCCGCCGCCTGGTGCGAGGGGTGCTGGGCGGGGACCCGGAGGAGGAGGAGGAGGAGGAAGAAAAAGGAGGAGGGAAGAGCTCTGCGCGCTCCCGCCCTCAGCGCCGCGAGGCCGGCGGACTGGGGGTGGAGGAAGCGGCGGCGGGGAGTCTCCGCCTCAGCAGCGGCCGCAATCGCCGCTCTCTCAACCCAGATGGCCCCGGCGCCCCACTAGCCATCCGTATCCCCAGTGCAGCTGCGGCGGCGGCGGCGAAAGCCGACGGGACGAGGGCGCCAGGAAAGAAGCAGCAGACGGAGGCGGCACCACGGCTCTGAGAAGCAATGACATTCCCTCTCTAGCCCGCCGCCCGCCCAGCCGAAAGGAGCAGGGGGAGGAGCCCCCTGGAGTCCGGGCGGAGCTCAAGCAACCTCTGACTCCGCCTCCGGCCCGACAGGAACTGGCCCCTCCGCCTGTCACAAAGCGACAGGTCCGTTAGGGGGCGGGCCCAGAACCGCTGCGCCCACCAATAGGGGCGCGAGCTGGGGCGGAGCTTGACCCAACCGTCTCCCCCTCCCCCCCACCATCCCGGCCTCGCGCCGATTCGCCCGGAGTGGCCGAGCTGCGCGGCTACGGCTTCATTGTCAGTTGAAAGACGCGGTTTCGCGCGCCTGTGCGGTCGGCGAGAAAGGGTACTAGGCGGCTCCGCTAGGTTCATGGAGCTGAGCTGGGCCGAGGGGCGGGAACTGCGGAGCGGCCTCGGTCAAACTCGTCTTAAAGGACGCGGAAAGCGCCGCACCGACCAGCAGGACGCTCGCGGGCTCTCCGCGGTCGTGACTTTTAACCCGCTTTGCGCGGAGCCCTCACCACGTGACGGCCGCGCAGGCGCATTATCCTAGCCCTCGGCGCGTGGGTCGGGCCGAGGGGTTCAGCAGCCCGTGGCGCTCCTCGGCTGGCGCTGCGAGTGAGCCCGCGGCGGCAGTGACACAGCCTACCTTGCTCATTGCCCTTCACGTCCCGCCTCCGGCTTCTGCGGCCGCGGGAATCCGAGAATGTGAGCAAAGACAAGTTTTCCGACACCGAAAACTCGTTGGAACCGGCAAGCGCGCCCCTAGCTCCGGCAGGCAAAATGCGACCTTCTCTCGCCCTTTTTCGTTTGTACTCCGAATTGCGAAAGTACTGTATGTTCACTGGAAATATGGGAAAATGCAGAAATACATTAACGGCTGCATACATTCCGTCGAGTGAGTGAAACTAACTTACCCTGGACGTTAAGCTGTTTCCAGTTCTCACTTTACTAAATAATAATAGAACGAAGGTTCTTGTGCACGTCTACCTTGTATTTTTATAATTCCTTTCCTTTCCCCACTTCCCTCCTTGTCCGCTAAAATAAAGTGCTACCAGATAAACTCAGGGCAAAATGAGCTTAAACTAAGTGAGGTAGTGGGGAGACTCGAATTGCTCTTATATAAACCCCATAGAAAGTACGGAGCTTTCGGCGTAATCGGTGCTCAGTAAATACTTGTTCATGTCAATTCACAGCTAATTGTACATTTTATTAGGTAAGTAACATCTGGATATTAAAGGGCATATTAATGTAAAACTATAAAGGCCCTGAATTATTTTCTTAGGTGATTTAAATTTTTCTCTTTAACTACAAATTGTGTTTCAATATTAATAGAAGTCTTAAAATATTAGATAAATGAACCCTAGTTATTTTGAGGTAGCTCCTTGAAAGTAAGGCAACTCCAGCTACCCTTTTAACCTGCTAAGTGGTTACGTTTTGTCTTGTTTCCTTAAAAAAACCATAAATAGTCTTATTAAGGAAATAATGAAAAGGTTTCCAGAAATAGACTTTCTCACCAACAGTTTAATAGCCGACATTTATTGAACGTACACATTTTAATGAGAATTAGGATAAAATATTAACTGCCTCTGTTATACAGAGAAAGATGACATGCTTTTCCTCATAGCCCAAACGGTACATGCTGAAATGACAGCAGAGGATTTTTGTCTGTGTTCCCTGAACCAAAGTTTTATCAGTCTAAAATAAAATTTGTGTTTTTATTTTAATTTGTTTGGATATTTCTATTTTATTGTCTTTGTGTATCTATTCCCTAGTAAGTTCTACGTTATCTTCTTTTGCTTCCTGTTTTGGCTGTTTAATGGCCATAGGCCTGATCTGAAAAGTGACAAAGTGAAATAGTCCCAAATTGTTGCTTACTAGTCATGTAGCATTGGACAAGTCACCTGCATGGGTTGCCCTTTCTGCTCTTAAAGTCAGTTGTTAATATTAAAAAAGCTTATCTGAAAGCATTTTAGGAAATTGTTAAGGAACGTGCAAATACAGGGTAGTGGTAAAGGTGAAAAGCCCTACGAAAACCCCTTGATTTTTGACCTTCATTTATTCACTCATTCATTCAGCAAGTATATATTGAACTCCTTTATGCCGACCACTGTGAGTGAACTGGGATGCATGGGGATTCAGCTAGGAACAGGAAAGACAGGGCTCCTACTCTCAGAGAGTTCACCAGCCAGCCCTAGGAAGGGAGGTATTAACCAAATCATCAGATGGTTCAGGACCAAAATGCAGGGTGACAAACACTGTGGAGGACAGGCACATGGGGAATTTGATCTACACCAGAAGGATGAGAAACATTACCCTGAGGAAGCAGCACTGGAAGTGATGATGAACGGACGAGGAGAAGGAGAATGGAACGCGTTACATAGAGAAGCACGTGCAAAGGCACTGCAGTGGGGCAGGGGAGGCATACGAGTAACCCAGAAAAGTGGCTGCAATGCAGACAGTGGGACAAGGTGCAGTAGGAGTCAAAGGAATGGCCGGGTAGTGTAGGTCCTTTTAAGAGGTGTTTTTTGCTTCATGTTAACTTCAGAATATTGAGAAGCCATAAAGGGTTTTAAGCAGCATGTAGTGTATTTGAGATAGAGGGAGAGAGTTGATCAGATGTGTGTTTTGAAAAGATTACCAAGGCTGCAATGTGAAAAGCATTTTGGAGAGGAGACCAGTAAAAGCTCTACCTGAGAATTCAGAGATTACTTTTGTGAGGAATATGCTATTGTGGAACCACTAGAGAACCCATAAAAATAAATTGCAGCATTGTGAATTCACAATTTCTAGCCTATCAACTTGGAAAAATTGTTTACAGTTTGTGATGAAGCTTGAATGTGTTTGCCCCTTTGCACTTGAGGTTCTAATCCTGCTAGGTGCTTGTAACATCCTCCTGAGTTCAAATATCTCAGGAGTCAATCAAACACTATGGGTGCAACATGATGAGCAGAGTGGTGTGACATCAGAGGCCCAGCTTCCAGGGGAAGGGAGTATTTGAGTTGAAACTTGAGGGGTGAGCAGAAGTTCACAAGACACACCAGGAAGAGGGATGGGGGATTCCAAGAAGGAACGAGGAAGTCCTTCAAATTAATACACAAAGTTTAATATTAATGAAGGTGCATTGGGAGATGAGACTGAAAGAGGGATAAGAACCAGATTATCAAGGACTTGTCTGCCTGGTAAAGGAGTTTATTATTCTGTAAGCAGCTGGGATTCATTGAAACATTTTGAACAACAATAACATGATCAGACTTGGTTGATGGAAGAAAAAAATTGACAGTAGTATGAAAGATGTACTGGAAAGGGTGAGAGTGGAAGCAGAGAAACCAATAAGGAAGCATTTACAGAAATTTAGGCAAGAGAATTAGGTACCAAAACTGGGACAGTAGGGCTCAGAGAGGAGAGGACTGATAGGAGAGGTATCAAGAGGGTAGAGTCCAGAAATTGGTGATTGGGGTAAAATAAAAGTAGGGTTTAGGACAAATCTGGAGTTTCTGGTTTAGTTATTTGGATGGAAAGTGATGTCTCAGAAATAGGGAGCAAAGGACAAGCAGCAGATTTGGAGGGGAGATGATCAAATCAGCTTTGGAGATGTAATGTTTTAAGTCCCTGTAGGACATCCAAGAGGAGCTGGATAACAGACACTTAAAGAGATGTGATGTTCAGGAGGAAGGGTTTTCTGGGATAAAGGCTTGGGACTCCATGGCTACGGGTGAAATTTTGCTGGAATCAAGGCTATAGACAAGGAGACAAGGGTTGAGGATAGAGCCCTAAGGACTTTCCAAATTTAGATGTGCCTACAGGGAGCCCAAGATAGAGCAATGTCCCAGCAGTGAAGAAAGGGAAATAAAGTGAAGTCAGAAGCAGCACAAGGTACAGAGAAATGGAGTGTGACACAGCTGAAAAGTGTACCTTTCTTTTGGCAACCAGGAGTTCACCAATTACTTTAGCAAGGTCAATTTTAGTGGAGTCATAGGGGCAGAAACCAGATGGCAGCAGGTGAGAAGGGATCAGTGGCAAGGGATGTGGAGGCAGAGAATGTATACCACCCTTTCTAAAAGTCTGGTTTCAAAAGCACAGACAGGACCAAATCAGACCAAGAAAAAACTAAATTACGATCCGCAGTCCCTAGCCTTTCCCACAGTGATCAAGAAAAGATTTAAGTGCCTGTGATGTGTCCCAGGAATGACACAGGTCGGAGAGTGGGTTTCATTCTTCCTAGAGAAACACAAACAACAAGACATGTACGCTTGTACTAGACACACCACACTAGGGGGCTGCTACGGTCTACAATATAATTGACATTTGCAAATATCTGGTAACTGAGGGAATTCCCAATGCTTATATTGTCCCTTTCTGACAAGCACCTGTCAAAGAACCTCCCTGGTAGTCCATAGCCCCAGTAGAGGAGAGAAGCAGAGAGGGAGAAAAAAGATTTGAGCTAGGTATGCTGCTAAGTGGTACTGTGTGGTGGTTTAGAGCACAGGCTCTGCAGACACGCTGGGTACCAAATCTTGACTTTAGTTCTTCTGAGTCACATGGCTTTTGGCAAGCTACTTCCCATCTCTGCTCCTTGGTATCCTCATCTTTACAGCGTAGATAAGCACTGAACCTTTCTCTTAGGGTTATAAGAAGAAATAAATGAATCAATACATGAAAATAACTTAGGACAGTGCCTGGCGCAAAGGAAATATTCAATATATGTTGGTTATTAACAATATCACTGGTACTACTGCTATATTCAGAACCATGACAGATGGGCTATGAGACTTACTCCCCTGGATAGCCTTAAAATAATTCTCCATGACCCGAGCCCATACGAGTGCTTCTTTATTTCTTTAAGCCAGAAAATGCCTGCTTCAAATAAAACACCTTACAAAGTTAGGCAATACCTAGCTGCTGATAATGAATAATAACCTCCAATTTATAATCCAATAGAACTGGGGTCTGCAACTTTTTTTGTAAAAGGCAACACAGTAAATATTTTCATCTTTGTGGGCCATGCTGTCTCAGGCTACTACTCAACCCTGTTGTTGTAGTGTGAAAGTAGCAATGGACAATATGTAAGAGAACAGGCATGGCTGTTCTTCAGTAAACACAACCACACCTGCAGACCAGAGTTTGTTGGCCTTTGCGGTAGATGATAAGGGGATTGCTGTGATCTAATCTAGCTCAAAATCCAGTATGAGGCAGAGAATGTTTTCTATCATGATCACTGTGAAGAGTGAGAGCTTGTGTCTGGGCAGTCATCAAGGACATGTTCATGAAGTGATTGGCCTTAAAGAATAGGTAGAATGTTGGCCGGAAGCTGTGGCTCACGCCTGTAATCCCAGCACTTTGGGAGGCCAAGGCAGGTAGATCACAAGGTCAGGAGTTTGAGACCAGCCTGGCCAATATGGTGAAACCCCCATCTCTACTAAAAATACAAAAATTAGCCGGGCATGGTGGTGCACACCTGTAATCCCAGCTACTCAGGAGGCTGAGGCAGGAGAATGGCTTGAACCTGGGAGGCGGAGGTTGCAGTAAGCCGAGATCACAGCACTGCACTCCAGCCTGGGTGACAGAAAGAAAAAAAAAAAATGAATAGGTAGGATGTTGACAAGTGAGATTTGGAGTGTGGGAAGGATGCATTAGAAGCAGAGGAAGGCCGGGGGCGGTGGCTCACGCCTGTAATCCCAGCACTTTGGGAGGCCGAGGCGGGCGGATCACGAGGTCAGGAGAAGGAGACCACGGTGAAACCCTGTCTCTACTAAAAATACAAAAAAATTAGCCCGGCGCGGTGGCCGGCGCCTGTAGTCCCAGCTGCTCGGGAGGCTGAGGCAGGAGAATGGCGTGAACCCGGGAGGCGGAGCTTGCAGTGAGCCGAGATCGCGCCAATGGACTCCAGCCTGGGCGACAGAGCGAGACGCCGTCTCAAAAAAAAAAAAAAAAGAAAAAAAAAAAAAAAAGCAGAGGAAAAGGAAAAACAAAGCCAAGCAGGGGACACTTGGAAATGAGCCAGTAATCTACAGCTGAGATGCAGTGTCACATTTTATCTTTATTTGCTACCATTGAAACAACACAACACTCTAGTCTTAAAATTCCAGATCATATATAGGAAATTAATTTTCTATTTTAGTACTTTTGAAAATTCACATTTCTATGCCCACTATCTCATGGTTTTCATAGAAGGACATTGTAACAGTGAGGCACACATTTGATTTCAAAAAGGGCCAAAGGATAATGGCTTAAACAAATAGAAGTTTATTTTCTCTCATAAAGTGAAATTCAGAGAAAGGTGGTTGCTGGTATGAAGTCAGTTGCTCAACAAAGCTTTCAACTTTTTCTGTCTTTATACTCTTTGCTGGATTCTCGGATGTCATTTTCACCCCCTTTTATGCTGTCCTTTGCATTGCATAGCAGAAGCTGAGAAGTACTTTTCCCAGATTCTTTTCTTGTATGACTCCATGATATTTTGTCAGTGAGGGGAGCTCAGTCGACAAAAAAGACAGAGAGGATTTCAGATAGAAAAGGAAGAATGGGCAAATGTAAGATTTACACATCTTTTTGGCTGGTGTGAGAACAACTTACATAATTGTCATTGACTAAGACAATTTTGGGGAGCTTTTTGGAGATTATTGAGAGTTGGAGCAGTTTCCTAGAGAACTTCTGAGAGCTCCCTGCTTCAGTCCTTCAGGCTAAAGTTTTCAAAGTCTCCTTCCTTGACCTTGACCTTCAGGCAACAACTTCTCTTATCTTTATTCCCTATGGTCTTTCAACATTAGTGTAAATAATAATTCTTGATTAAACCTTTTATTCCTGAAGTACCTAGAGTATCTCTGTTTTCCTGATTGAACCTAGTAATACACTTTCAATTCACTTAGCATATTGGTTTTCATTCTCTTGATTATTGCCTCACTATTGTAAGACAGCTGCTGCAGCCCCAGACATCACATCAGCATTTGAGGCAGAAGATTAGGAGACAGGAAGATGCCAATCACATATGTCTTCCTTTTTTAAGAAAAACATTTTCCCAGAAATTATTTTAGCAGACTTTCTCTTAGGTCATATTGGCACCACCACCTCCCATGACCATATTGACTTTATATTGCTGTAAGTTTGCAGCTTCATTTCTTTAGGCATGCCTGGTTTTCCTGAGAGCACAAACAAAAGTCCTGAAATTAGGTTCCAGTGGCTCTAATTAGTCTGTCTTAGATCATGTGCCAATTCCTTTTTTTTCTTTGGGACGGAGTCTCAGTCTGTCGCCCAGGCTGGAGTGCAATGGCACGATTTCAGCTCACTGCAACCTCCACTTCCTAGAGTCAAGCAATTCTGCTTCAGCCTCCCGAGTAGCTGGGATTACAGGCGCCCACCACCACGCTGGGCTAATTTTTGTATTTTTAGTAGAGAAGGGTTTTACCATGTTGGCCAGGCTGCTCTCAAACTCCTGACCTCAGGTGATCTGCCCACCTTGGCCTCCCAAAGTGCTGGGATTAGAGGCGTGAGCCACCACACCCAGACTATATACTGATTCCTGACCAAGTGCCTTTAAGAAGAGAATAAGAAACCCTAGTTGGCTTAAGCATCCTGGAGTTGAAGTTGGGTCAAACCTAACTTGTAAGAAATCTGAGGCACTGTTACAGAAAGGAAGCAAGTCTGGATGTAGAAAGGAAAAGATAATTCTCCACTATATTTAGGATGTAGAATTTCAACCAAGAGGAAAGCAACCTGAGTATAGTTATTTACAATCTAGTGTGCATACTAGATAGAATTAGCACCAAAGAATATAAAATCTGAAGAATATATATGGAACTATAATTTGTCAATATGTAATTTTAAAAAAGGCACATACTCTAGAACACAGAAAAAAATAAAATAAAAATTGAAGAAGGTATAGAAGAAGTATTTTAAGTGAGGAAGGGGGTAGACACCTTTCCTTATTCACTTGTGACTTGATTCAGACCTGATATCAATACAGAGCAGAGGCTAGCAAAGTTTTTCTATAAAGATCCAAACAGTAAATATTTTAGGTTTTATGGGTCATATGGTTCAACCACTCAACTTTGCCATTGTAGTGCAAAAGCAGCCATAGACAATACATAAACAAATGCGATAGTTGTGTTCCAATAAAACTTTATTTCCCAGAACAGGCAGCAAACCAGATTCGGCCCAAAGATTGTACTTTGCCAAACCCTGAACTAGAGCATTCCTTATCCTTGAAGTGATGCAAACTTGGAAGCTAAGGTTCTTCAGCCTGTGTTCGAGAACTGATTTTATTATTTCTTATTAGTTTTTATTTAACTCTATACAGAGGTAATACATTCACGATCTGTCTCCTGACAGCCAAATCCTTCCCTCTCCTCATCCAAATAGGTAATCATTTTCATTATTTTATATTGTATCCTTTCAACATTCTCTGTGGAAATGCAAACACATGTGAAGCTATTTTCTTATTTTCTCATTTTTTCCATGCTATACATACTTTTCCCCATCTTGAATTTTTTTCTAAATATTTATCTTCAAGATCTTTCTCTATCAGCTCATAGAGCACTTTTCATTCCTTTTTATGGCTTCATAGTATCCCAGAGGATGCACCATAATTAATTCAACCAATCACCTGCTAGTGGATGTTTAGGCTTTTACTGGTCTTGTACTACTACAAATAAGGCTGTAATGAATAAGTTTATGCAGAAGGAATTTTGCCCAAGTGCAAGTGTGTTGATTGGAATTACCATAAGGAAAATTTGGTATAGGTATGTCCATTTGTAATTTCAATAGATAAGTTGTTCTCGGTAAGGGGTTGTACCAATTGCATTCCCACAATGTGTGAGAAGCCCATTTCTGAGGGCTTACCAACTGAGTGTGTTAACAAACTCTTGGCTTTTTGCCAACAAATGAGGTACAAACTGGTAGTGTTAATTTGCATTTCCTTCATGAGTAAGGCTAAGGGTACTTATTTAACATTTAAGACAGTCTTTTCACATCCTCAATGAGGCAGAATTGCCATTACTGATTGTATATTCTTAAGCACAATTATTGGAATAGTATGCTCCTATGTTATGGAAACCATTAACATGTATAGTTTTATTTGCTAGTTGCTCAGAAAATGAGGTCGTCTGCATTAAATTAATGCAAATCTGTTCTTGAAAAACAAAAACTCTTCTACTGTTCAATTTATCATATCCCCTAGATTATCTATTCTAGATCATGTACTTCCTGAAAGTATCTTTGAAGCAATGAAGCGATTTTTTATGATGTGTTAAGAAATTCAGATAGAATTTTTTTTAGGTAAAGTAATTGTTAGCAAACACCTCCCCTGATGGAAAGGGAATTGTTTTATTTAGTTTTAGTGTCGTTAATTTGTGTGCCTTCCTGATGTATAACTAAACGGTCCGCTGTTTCCTGAGAGCTTTATAGAAGTAGATGAATAAATAGGTTACTTCAGCAAATGTTTTCTTTCAATGCAGTTTAACTGCAATTACGGTGCTTCAGATGCAATACCATCACCTATGCCCATAGATTTGTGTTCGTATTTTTAAAAATTTAATCCAAGCAATCACAGAATCAATATCTGCACTTTATTTTTAAGAGAATTTATTAAGCTATGTTCTTATGTGGTCGACCATAAAATGAGTCAGTGAAGTTCCAAGCAGAAGCCTATAAAACAAAGATTTCAACCTATAGGCGTCAAGAAAACAGAAAATTTGAAATAGGGACTCTCTCTGGCTTAACAAGAGAACTTAATATGTTGAGCTTCAGAATTATACATTTAAGAAAATCCCTCTACTTGTTATTGTTGTAAATTGTTGATATGTCAAATGTTTAATTTTAAATTTAGGTACAATAAATTTTATACTGAAGAAATGTATTCCACTTAATAATTACACAGAACAAATTCATTTACTAAGGAATTAGAAGGGATTTTGTTGGTTATTAAATTAGTGACACAATAAAGAATGGAGTTTGCATTAGCTAGATGTTATAACATAGAAAACACATTATAATTTTAATAATAAAAACGAAATTAAAAGGAGCTGAACGGACCTACTTAATATATAATCTAAACATCTAAAACATTGTACAAGCATATGATTGGGGTGTTATTTCTACTTCTGACAGTGTGGGTTTCTTAGGCCCTTTGAGTTTTCAAAGAACAGAGTTATATTTGGGTCACTGGGTAATGGAGTTTATTAAAAAGGATACACAGAGGAGTAACAGACAGATATCATTGCAGCTGTAGAGCCATACATCATAGAAAACAGGAAGTTATGTCATACAGTGGTTCTGGTGGCTCAACAAAACTCTACTAAGCCAGCAGCATGACCTGTCATCTTTCCTGTACTCAGCAGCTCCCTACCCCACACCCTGTCCAGACGCTTTCTCCACTGTTCTGCCTTGGTTTCCTTTGTGACTGCCTCTCCTCCCCCTAACTCACTCACTAGTGTTCTCCTAGGCTCTTAACATAGACTTCCCTCTGGCTCCTACTGCTCTTATTCTGCCAAGAGAATAAGAAACATTCATTGGCTTAAGCCATCCTGGAGTTGAACAGTTATATTTGGGTCACTTACTGATTGCCTCCTCTTGAATATCTCTCTGCTTCTCATGAAATCTTCGTGCATCTGTCTTATATAAGTTTCTTCAGAAGCAGAGCCAGAACTTTTGTGTGATTTGTTAAGGTGAGTTATTAATTGCTCTCAGGAAATATCAGTAGGGGAAGGAGAAGGTTAAGAAGCCAAGCAACGATGCAATCTCAGGCAAAGACCATGGAGAGTCCTTTAGTCTCATCCCAGACTGACACCTCTCAGTCATTGACTAATTGAGAAGATGCATGAGCTTCTAGGCACTTCCAGCTTTCTGGTCATTGGGAGGAAAAGATCCAGGGAAGGGTACACACAAATGTGTGTGTAATCTGAGGATCTTGGATATGGATGGAACACTGCTTCAGCATTCCTCTCAAATGCAAGTATGACTCAGATTGGAGCTCCCAAGGAGAGAAGATGTGGTTGGGTCAAGAAGTTACCCTCCAGTATAGCCTTCTCTTATTGGGTTGTCGTACTGGGTCACTCACTCTATAGGCTAGGAGACATTGGCAGACTTTTAGACCAGGCTTATTTCTCTGGCCTTGTCAGTTGTGGCTAGGGTAGTAGGGCCACACGCTGCAATATATGGTCACTTATGTACAATAAGCCTCCAACAGGGGGCTGTGGCTCTGACATCATGCTGAAGCCTCTTAGAAAAGAGCACAGTAACTGGCCTGCATCTTGTCTAGGCTGTTCCTAGACT
This sequence comes from Homo sapiens, assembly GCF_000001405.40. Lineage (NCBI taxonomy): Eukaryota > Metazoa > Chordata > Mammalia > Primates > Hominidae > Homo > Homo sapiens. Next base: position 31,521,372 of record NC_000003.12, on the reverse strand, counting down.
AGTTTGTTTGCACCTAGATATATACTTGTTACTTTGGTTTTTGGGGAGTGAGAGGGGTTCAAGTGTGTCTTGAAAGTAGCCACCCTCACGCCTGTAATCCTAGCACTTTGGGAGCCCAAGGCAGGCAGATTGCCTGAGCTCAGGAGTTCGAGACCAGCCTGGGCTACATAGTGAAACCCCGTCTCTTCTAAAATACAAAATAAATTAGCTGGGTGTGGCGGCATGCGCCTGTAGTCCCAGCTACTTGGGAGGCTGAGGCAGGAGAATTGCTTGAACTCGGGAGGGGGAGGTTGCAGTGAGCTGAGAACACGCCACTGCACTCCAGCCTGGGCGACAGAGCAAGACTTCACCTCTATAAAAAAAAAAAGAAAGAAAGAAAGAAAGAAAGCAAAGAAAGAAAGAAAGACAGCAACACTTTTGTTTTGCATATGAAAGAAAATACCATATTATCATTTTTATAAGTTGTTATCATATTCTTTTAAATTCATACCTTTTTAAATTTTCCCCTAACCTTTATTTTAGAATATATTTTTGAATTTAAATAGCTTTTGGGGTACAAGTGGTTTTTGGTTACATAGATGAATTGTATAGTGGCGGAGTCTAAAATTTAGTGCACTATCACCCAAGTAGTGTACACTGTACTCAATATGTAGTTTTTTTTAATCCCTCACCCCCCTCTCACCTATTCCTCTTTCTGTGTCTCCAAAGTCCATTATATTACTCTGCGTGCCTTTGTGTACCCATAGCTTAGCTCCCACTTACAAGTGAGAACATACAATATTTGGTTTTCCATTCCTTATTTGCTTCACTTAGAATAGTGGCCTCCAGCTCCATCCAAGTTGCTTCAAAAGACAGTATTTCATTCTTTTTTATGGCTGAGTAGTATTCCATGGTGTAAATATACCATATTTTCGTTATCCAGTCATTAGTCAATGGGTACTTAGGTTAGTCACCAACTCTTGATCTCAGATTTATTTTTTTTAAATGAATGTTATAGTGATTATTGTTCGTGTATGGGAAAGGGAAGCAGTGCTCGATATTTTCTCATTTAATTAATTTTTTACTATCATATTTCACAAAACAAGAGCCCAGTAATGCTTACATCATAAATTATTGGGGTGTTTCCTAAAAATGCTGCTTTTTGGGTCACCTACTTAGTATGTCTGGGTGTACCCTAAGTACTCTGCATTTTCAGTCAGGACTCCAGATATTTTTCTCAAACTAATGTCAAAGTTTAAGAACCACTGCTTTACAAAGTAGGAATTATCGTCTTCATTTTACTGTGAAGGAAATCAAAGTGTTAAAAGACTAAAATATTTACCTGAGGTTACAAAACTAACACCAAAAGTGTCTCAAAGTTTTTTTCTTAAAAGGAAGTTTCCATTGATGCATTGTTTGCAATATGAACGTTCACTTGTTTACAAAAATGTTTGCTATCATCTTGAAGCAAATTTCAAGGTGTCTATGACTACATAGTGTCTGTATCTACCATCTCATTTAGACTAAGTGCAGCTTCCCAGTTGTGTGACTACAAAATCATAATTTGAGTACTTCTACATTACTGCTAGAAAAAAGGACTTGAGTGCAAAGGCAGCAGCTGAGCAAATCTGTAAAATTTAAGGTGAAGGAATTGGTAGAAGAATACTATCAAGTGATTGAACTGGTGGTTCAGCAATTTTGTTCCAGACAGAGTGACAGTGTATGTTTGGTTAAGCGATGAGAGGGTTCAGCACGTCATACTTATTCCGTGTGTCAGGCCCAAGATTGCTGTCCTATATGTAGGATAATCTGAGCATGTACGTGGAATCTTAGAGTGTTGCTTTTGATCCAGGTGAGAATGCAGGAAAAGGATGGAGCTGAAGTTCTGTCATATCTGACATATAATGCAGAGCTTGCATGTCTGGACCTGGCTGTATAGAGAAATGGCCATGTTTCTCCATAAAGTATGAATTGAAACATTGGGTAAAGTCATAGCAGTTCTTCACCTCCAAATCCAAAGATTGGCCTGCTTGCAAAAAGATGGAGCATAGTCCATAAAAATCTAATTTTCTTGTGTATTATTGCCCATAAGTCATTCTTCTATGGGAAAGAATTTAGAGATACCTTATATAACAGGATCTCATGTTCATCCTTGCCTTATCTGAAACCAGAATCTGTGTTCCTTCCACTAAATTATCTTTTCATTATATGTGTTGTCATGGACTGAATTTTGTCCCACCAAAATTCAAATTTGATGTCCTAATCCCAATATGACTGTATTTGGAAAGAGGTCTTTAAGAAAGTAATTAAGGTCATATGAGGTGATAGGGTAGAGCTCTAATCTGATAGGACTAGTGTCCTCATAAAAAGAGGCCAGAGATCTCTCTTTATTTGCACTACACAGAGGAAAGCCCATGGGAGGACACAGCAAGAAGGCAGCCATCTGCAACCCAAGGAGGGAGCCCTTACCAAGAACCAACCAGTTGACATCTTGATCTTGAATTTCCAGTGTCTAGAGCGGTGAGAAAATAAAATTCTTATGTTGAAACCACCTAGTTTGTGGTATTCTGCTAATGCAGACTGAGTGGACTAATTAATACATGTGTACTGAGTACAGCCTAGGTAATCAATACATTTTTCTTTAGGTCACTTTCTCTATTCTAGAATATTCATAAACATTTTTGAAATTGTAAGACCTGAGTCTTATAAGAGTCAGCCAGACTAAATCTAAGAAACTTACTGATACATGTATCTCATTTATCTAAGAAACTCAGGAATATAAAAACATTCTCAGAATTCTTACACCTTGAATTATTATTTTACCTATATTTGAAATCGTTTAGCATATAACATAATTATTCTATTTCATTCTTATGTACACACATTGCATGAACTTGAAGACCACAACTATAACATTTTGGCTGTAGAGAATCTAGTTCAACCCTCATTTTTTAAATAACTGAGAGGTCCAGAAAGGTTAAGCAGCTTGTGAAAGACACATTACTTATAGTGGCCAAACCAGGATTAGAATCCAGTTCTAGTGACTCCTAGTATATCTTGAATGCTTTCCAATTCGCCATCCTAAGTACAATATTGCAAAGGTAATAAATTTTGATTATAAAAATATTTTAGAGTCTCAAGATACTATAAATTATCAGAGACAGAATACCTGACACTAAATTTGAAAGAGAAAGCATTATTTTTAGCATTATTTTATAATAGGGTTGGGTTGTATTAGTCAGCTACTGATAAAATAATTACAATAATTCTGCATAACACATAACTCCAAAATTTAGTGACTTATCACAACAAGCATTTATTTTCACTCATTGGCCTGTGAGTAGTCTGTGATTCTGCTGGGCTCAGCTGATATCAGGTAGACTTAGCTTTTGGTGGTGTGGACAGAGTTGAGATCTCCTCCATGTGTCTCTTCAGTTTCCTTGGACCCAGTGGCTATTCAGATCATCCTCATTTCAGGATGAATGGCAGAAGCTCAAGAACCAAGCCAAATCATGCAAACAGATTTATATCCACATCAATGGGGTGGGGCTGTATACACCATCGATTCTCCTGGGAATCATTACAAAGTCTTATGGGAAAGGAGATGGTTGTATAATCTATTACAGGAGAATGATAAATTGAAAATAATAATCCAGTCTATGAAAAATATTACTTGTTCCTGGTTATTACAATATAGTTTATAAAATACAGTTTATAAAATTCCATGTAGCAAATTTGTGAACCAAAAATGAGAATAAATTCTAATATGTTGTACACATTCTCTTCTTTAAGATAAAGAAACATAGTATTAATTAAAAGTTCTATATTTCTTGAGCAAAACGTATGTCTCTTCTGAAGAATGCCTGCTTTACTTATATGCAAGGCTTTGTTTAAATGGGAGAAAAAGAAATATATTCTGGTTGTAAATTTGTCATTTTGGAAAAATTTTAATTATATAAGTAGTTTTAATGTTAGGCAAGTAAGCCTAACTGCATTTACCTAATAATAGACTCAACCATTAGATAAAGGAGAGTTCTGAATCCAACAATATGGATTTTGAGGTAATAAAACCAAGAGGCCAATGCAGAGTCCAGGAAGAATGACAGAGGAAAAGCTCCAAGAATGGGAAGGAATTCTGTAGAGACTCCTAAATTTTACACCCATCTAGTCAGAATTGGGCACTTTGCTTTTGGGATACCCAAACTTCCCTTCTGACCAAAATCTCATATAACACTTGATTGAACAAAAAAATAATTTTTAGCTCACTAAAGTGAAAATCTCAATGTTTGATTTCAGAGGTAGCTTGATCAGGGGCTCAAACAATGTCACTAGATGCCATTTCTCCATCACAACCATGTGTTTGGTATCATTCACCTCCACGTTGGCTTTATTCCCAGGCAGGCTCTTCCTTCGTGGCTCAAGATGGCTGCCACATCTCCAACAATTTCAACATCTCATGTTCAAATGAGAAAAAAAAATCTAATACCTTTTTTCCAGGATTCCCAGCATTCTCACTGCATCTTATTAGCTCTGAGCAGACAATGTGTTCATCCTTGAACCAATTACTGTGGTGAGGGAAATGAACTGTGATAACTGCCTTAGCCTCAGGTCATGTGCTCTATCCTGGAACGTAAATGGAGCCCTAGCTGGAGCATGTTGGTTGAGAATGGGGGTTGGGGGGGGGGGGCAAGAGGATTTCCCATGGGAATTTGAGTTGAGGTTAACAAAAGGAGTGTGAATGTTAGGTGCCAAAACATATTTATAAAATGGGTGCATATTATAACCTTGTTTACATGTTGTATTGGAAATAATCTTTGGCTGTTTTACAGTTATAAGCAATTTACAGGAACCCAGTAATAAACTCTGCTAAGCAAATGTTGTTCACATCCTTTATACACTAAGCTACTTAGGCTGTTCTTTTTTTTTTTTTTTTTTGAAGAGACAGCATCTTGCTCTGTTTCCCATGCTGGAGTTCAGTGGCTTGATCTTGGCTCACTACAACCCTGCAACCTTGAGTGATCCCCCCAGGCTCAAGTGATCCTCCCACCTCAGCCTCCTGAGTAGCTGGGACTACAGGCACACACCATCACACCCAGCTAATTTTGCTTACTTTTTATATAAATAAGGTCTCACTATGTTTCCCAGGCTGGTCCCAAACTCCTGAGCTGAAGCGATTCTCCCACCTTGGTCTCCCAAAGTGCTGGGATTACAGGCATGAGCCACCATACCCAGCCTTGTTTGGTTACTTTTATGTAGTGCAATACTGAATAATTACCATAGCTACTATTTATTGAGCAACTTCTATTTGCCAGGCATACAAAAGCTCTCATTTAATCCTCATGTCAACTGCCAGGAGAGTGTCAGTGTGCATATTTTAAAAATAATGAAATGAGGCTCAGAAAGGTCAAGTACATTTTCAGTGACTACACAGAAAACCTGGTGAAACTTGTGGACTGTATTAGATAGTATCAGAAACAAACTAGTCTTATTTACCAGTGGTTTAACATAACTGAGGTTTCTTTCTTACTCCTGGTTCCTATCCAAGTGGGCTTATGAGGGGCTCTGTTCCATATGAATGGACCTAGGCTGCCTGTGTCTTTACCATCATTTAGCTACACCATCTGAACCAAATAGCTTTCTCAATCACTGTGGCAGATGAAGAGAGAACTGAAGAGTCACACATTGGCTTTTAAATTATTCAGTCCAGATGTGGCCTGTTTCACCTCCATTAATAGCCCATTGGACAGACTAATCACATGGGCTCAGCTAATACTATGCAGCCTAGAAAATGTAGGGGAGCGCTTGGATATCCAGTGAGCAGTGAAATCACTACTACAGAGACAATCCCAGCTCTTTCTGTCTTCAAAATAATTATTCTGTCTATTAGACCCCCATTGCTGTATTTTATCTAACCACCTTGTATTTCACTGTTTTGAAGTACCAGTTGTTAAAGATCCTCCTTGACTGTAGAAAACAATACAGTGGTAAGAACAGTGTAATGATTAAGAGTATGGGTCTTAGAACCAGGCTTCCTGAGTTTGTATCCTGGCTCTTGTTACTTGCTGTGTGCCTTTGGGTGAGTTACTCAGCATCTCTATGCTTCAGTTTTGCTATCTGTTAAAAAGAATAATAATTATATTAATAATGGTGTCTATATCCCAGATAATCAGGATTAAATGAGTTCATTGAAATAAAGCATGAGACAGTGCTTAGTACAATGAAAGCTTAATAAATCTTGTAATTATTATTATAGAGCCACTTAGGTTTTCACTGATAAAAAGTATTTTTCTTCTGCAAAATGTAACTTCAGCCAGAAAATTTGGAAACATGTTCACTAGGTCACAAAGGCAACCTCATGAGAGGGAATAACAGTGCAAACCTGAAACCACTATTGGAAGAACAACTCAAAGATCATGTTCAATTGAAAGTGGTTTAGCAGTGTGACCTTTATTGGCAAAAGGAGCGTATATGTGTGCGTGCATGTGTGTGTATGTGCGCACATGCTCATGTGTGGGCATGGGTTTTCATTCAAGGTACAAAATGTAAAGCAGCAAGATGTTTGACAAGCCACACGTGAAATTCAATCTTGCTAGTCCTCCTCATGGATTATGTACATAATGTACATATTATGTACATAATATATTTGGTCTTGTATATTCATGAATCAAGAAAGTAAAACCTAGAACTAGAATATAGATTTTGTTTAATCTACTCTTATTTCACACACACACACACACACACACACACGAAATACAATCTCTTCTTGGCTACTGAGGTCTGAAAACCTTGCAGAGAAGGCCAGTATTTCTTGTACTCTCATTCCTTATCTTCCAGACACTCTCTCTGGGGAGCACCATTTCTCAGTGACTGTGGGCAGGATTAATAAGCACCATTAACTCTTCACTGTGGCCCACAGGGGTGGGGGACTGAAAATAGTCTGTCAACAGTTTGGCCAACTTGCCACGGGCAGCCTTCTGTCACCTGCCGGCATCCACTGGACACATACCACTTGATTCCCTTTTATTTCAGCATTGAGAACACAACCAAACATTTGTGAGAACCAAATCTTGCTTAGATATGCTAACAAGCCTGAATAATTAACTTTAAAATTAAATTTATTCCTGATTGAATTTCAAGATTTTATTTCGTTTTATTATATTTTTTTTGAGACTGAGTCTCGCTCTGTCCCCCAGGCTGGAGTGCAGTGGCCCGATCTCAGCTTACTGCAAGCTCCGCCTCCCGGGTTCACACCATTCTCCTGCCTCAGCCTCTCAAGTAGCTGGGACCACAGGAGCCCGCCACCACGCCTGGCTAATTTTTTGTATTTTTAGTAGAGACGGGGTTTCACCGTGTTAGCCAGGATGGTCTCGATTTCCTGACCTCGTGATCCGCCTGCCTCAGCCTCCCAAAGTGCTGGGATTACAGGCGTGAGCCACCTAGCCCGGCTCAATTTTTATTTCTTAAAATTGAGAGCACTTATTAAACCCAAGAGTCCACAAGCTTACTGTGTTACATACATGAGAACATTTAAGATTCCGAGGGCACTGAAAATTTATTTTTGAAAAGCAAGACATTTTGAAATAAGAAATTCAAATCTCTTGCTATGTACATTATTTAACAAAAATAATGAAGCGTTGTTAGTAACTTCTATGAGTATTAATATAGGCCTTAATTTAGTTCTCCTGTTTTTCTCTATTCATCTTTGTGCCCTTTAAATAAAAGAGATTTATTTTATACTTTACATATAATTATTATTTTGTGTCTCTGCTTTAGCAGGAGATCCTTTATTCTATCTCTACTTCAAAAGAGGGTTTTATAATTTCAGAAATAGTTAAGCAACTTGAGGCAGAGCACATAAGTAAAGATTATGTAGTAGACACTGACCAAATGTTGTTGGCATTAACGTCTACACAGAAATTTTTAATGCCCACGGTAAGTAGCAAGAAATAGTCCTGAGAGTTCTCAATGAATTTAACAGGTTTTCAACTCCATAGACCAGGTTAAAAGTAAGGTGTTTATTTAATTAATACCTCTGTTCCTCTCAAGGAGATAGAGTACATTTTCACCAGGTCGATAGCATCATTTATTATTCTGTTTTTGTTTGAGCTCCAGGTTTTCATTTGAGCTATGTATTTTCTATTTATTCTATTTATATTCTATTTATTTTCATTTGAGCTATTTATTTTCTAAACAAATGAACTCTGTTTTTAAATAACTTTAAAATGAACTCTGTTTTTAAATAACTTTATGTACCTGTACGTTCATTTTCTTTGCCAAGTTGTACACCCAATTTACAACCTCTATAGAAAACAGTACAGAGATATCTCAAGTAACTAAAAATAGAACTACCATTCAACCTAGCAATCCCACTCCTGGGGTTACCTACCCTCCACACAAAAAAGAAATCCTTATATCAAAAAATCACCTATATGTTCATTGCAGCAGGTTCATTGCAGGTGTGGTATTCACAATACCAAAGATATGAAATCAAACTAAGTGTCCATCAATGGAAGATTGGATAAAGAAAATGTGGTGTATATACACAATGGAATACTACTCAGCCATACAAAATAATGAAATAACATCTTTCACAGCAACACGAATGGAACTGGAGGCCATGATCTTAAGTGAAACAAGTAAGACATAGAAAGACAAATACTGCCTGTTCTCACTTATAAATGGGAGCTAAATAAGGTGTACACATGGACATAGAGTGTGGAATGATAGACAACACAGGCTTGGAAAGGTGAGGGGGTGGGAAGGGAGGGAATGATGAGGGATTTCTTAAGGGGTACAATGTACATTATTTGGGTGATGGACACCCTAAAAGCCCTGACTTCACCGCTATGTAATCTATGCATGTAGCAAAATTACACTTGTACCCCACAACTTTATACAAATAAAAATGAATAAATTAATTTTTTAAAAAGTAGTTGCAAACTTTCTTTGAAGTTATAAGACCCTTTCAAGGTCATGAAGATACATCTTGGGCATACTTCATTCTGGGCTGAGATGCTGTTGTAGAGATTTGAGAAGAGGGAAATGGCCAGGCATGGTGGCTCACGCCTGTAATCCCAGCACTTTGGGAGGCTGAGGTGGGCGGATCACGAGGTCAGGAGTTCAAGACCAGTCTGACCAACATAGTGAAACCCTGTCTGTACTAAAAATACACAAAAAATTAGCCGGGCATGGTGGAGTGTGCCTGTAATCCCAGCTACTTGGGAAGCTGAGGCAGGAGAATCACGTGAACCCGGAAGGTGGAGGTTGCAGTGAGCCGAGATCGCGCCACTGCACTCCAGCCTGGGCATCAGAACGAGACTCCGTCTCAAAAAAAAAAAAAAAAAAGAAGAGGGAAGTGATTAATTCTGGATAGAGTCTAAATATTACACAACTTAAATTTTGAAGAGGTAGGGGTGGGTTTTGTGTGTTGTTTTATAGACTGTTAAAAAAAAAAAAAACAGTAACCACATCAGACCCCTTATTTCTCTGATACTAGTGATTCCTGTCCTTAGAAATTCCAAACAAAGTGAGGAAAGAGATGGTGAGGAGAGAAAAGGAGGTATGGAGAGTGTATTAGTCTATTCTCATGCTGCTAATAAAGACATACCCAGGACTGGGTAATTTATAAAGGAAAAACGTTTAATTGACTCACAGTTCCACATGGCTGGGGAGGCCTCACAATCATGGCAGAAAGCAAAGGGAAAGCAAGACATGTCTTACATGGCAGCAGACAAGACAGAGCTTGTGTAGGGGAACTCCAATTTATAAAACTATCAGATCTCTTGAGACTTATTTACTACCACGAGAACCATATCGGGGAAACTGCCCCCATGATTCAGTTATCTCCATCTGGCCCCACCCTTAACACATGAGGATTATTACAATTCAAGGTGAGATTTTGGTGGGGACACAGCCAAACCATAGCAGACAGGGAAGAAAGAAAGTGATGTAGTTATGGGCAGAAGCTGTTGGGGAGGCAGAAGCAAGAGAGTCGGGGGAAGAGTGGGGAGAAAGGTCTTTTGCGTAAACATCATTTTAAGATAATCATTACTAGGAATAAAACCACCACAAAACTGTGTAATATCAAATGATTGAAAAAAAGAAATCTATGTGCCAAAGGAAGCAATGCTGCTCAGCTGTTGACAGGAGCACACAGGCCTTTGCAAGAGGGAAAGCAGGGCATCTGATATAGATGAAGTGTCAAATTGTCCATCATTTTCTTTTCTGTCTTGACAAACATTGTATTATTTTTACAAATTGCCACCAACTTAGCCACTTACAACAACACACATTTATCATTTCATAATTTAATTGGATCCTCTGCTTAGGGTCTCATAAGTCAAAGTGCTAGGCAGACTGCAGTCTCATCTGGAGGCTAAACTGGGAAGAATTTGCTTCCAAACTCACTCAGGTGTTGACAGAATTTATTCTCTTGAGGCTGTAGGATTGAGGGCTCTGGCTTCTTTTTGGCTGTTGGCTGGAGGCTACTCTCAGTCTCTAGGAACTGCTCTTATCTCCTCACCAGTGGAGGGCTCCCACAATGGCCAGTACTTCTTCAAAGCCAGCTAGGAAGAGAGAGCTCTTCAGTGAGTCTACTAGCAATATGGAGACTTATATAATATTATAGAAATGTCATCCCATCACCTTTGCCATATTCCATTGGTAGAAAGCAAGTCAAGGGGAGGGGATTATACTGGAGCATAAAAACCAGGTGTTGGGAATCATGGCTGACTCCTTAGACTCTGTCCTCCATGCTTGCCATGTTTCCTTTGTCTCCTCTAATCTATAACAATTACTCAGTCTTTCTTGTCTTTCATGACTTTGACACTTTTGAAGAGTACTGATCAATTGTTTTGATTTGTGTATTTTAAATTATTTTGTTTATAACATTTATTACAATATGTTTCTCAGAAAATTGTGAGCACATAGATATCATTTACCCTTGCTCCAGTCATACACCATGGAACAGTAATGCCTCTCTTGTGTTAGTCTCTTTGTCTTTACTTTTTGAGGGATGGTGGCGAAAAGACTATATTGAGCACAAGAGAAAATAAGGTAACAGTATTACATTTGGAGGGACAGCAGGTTACATATAGCGTTGTGAGCGTAGAAGAATGATCACACCTTTGATGGAAATCAGAAAATTAGGGAGAAAATCTGGCTTGGGAAGCATAGTGAATATTGTTTTCCCTTTGGGAAACCTCCCCAACTGTCAGTCTGTGCAATTCAGATGAATGAAGAGAAAACTACTCTCAGTTCAAGCCTTGGGCACATCTCAGTTAAACCTTCCAGAATCCCAGGCCACGGTGATTGGTTCAGGAATTGACCCATGACCCAGTCAGAGCCATTGAGCTGTTCAAATGAAACTCTAGGGCCACTGGGAATGAGGCAGGCATAGTTCAGGACTTCTACCTCATAGCATATAAAGCCTGGAGTGATAGTAAGCATTTTGCTATGTATATCAATTAAGATTAGATTTTTCCATGAGACAGAAAACCCAAAATTACAATAACTTAAGTAAGATAGAAATGAACAAGTGAAGTCTGGAGGTAAGCAACCTAGGGCTGGTGGTAGCTCCCTGGACATCAGTGAGGGTTTCCTTCTTTCTTGCTTTGGTGCCCTTGATACATAGCTCTGCCTGATGGTCTAGGGCAGCTGCTTGAGCTTCCAGGCAGCAGGGAGAAGGAAGAGGTGAGGAGGATGGTTCAAGGACACTTTTGGAAATTGCTTTTGACACTACTACTTGTATCCCATTGGCCAGAAATTAGTCACATAGCTATGCTTAACTATAACAGAGGTATGGAAATATAGTCTTTATCTCAGGATGGTGTGTACCCAGGCAGTTAGGGTTTTATTATGAGCTATTGGAGAACAATGAGCTTTCTCTGCTGTACCACCTCAAAGTGAAAGCCTGACCGAGAATAGAACCTGTTCTGAATGAGCAGAGTTGAAAGATGAAAAGAAATCTTTCCCCAATTATATCTTTGAGCTTCTGGATCAAGGGACATCTGAAGTCAAACTACCCCTGCTACTTAAGTTAATCCTCCTTCTTTCTCTTCTCTTTCTTTCTTTTTTCCTTCTTTCCCCTTCCTTCCTTCCTTTCATCCTTCCTTCCTTCCTTCTCTCCTTCCCTCCCTCCCTCTCTCTTTCTTTCTCTTCCTTCCTTCCTTCCTTGCCTCCTTCCTTCCCTCCTTCCTTCTTTTATTTCTTTTTTTTCTCCAACTGGAAAAATCCTGACTAGTACAGAAAGGAAGGTTCTCTCAACAGAGCATATAAGATCATCTTTATTTCTTTGTTCTCTCAAGCTCTCAATTCCCCCTGCAGTTACTCAGAATGGCAACTGAGTCTTCCCTTAGATCTCCTAAGGGCCAAATTATCCATCTTCATGCTTCATTTCTTTTCAGCATAGAGGAGAAAGAGTTGCTTGTATTTCTTAGAACTCGCCTTCTTGGATTTGAACATTTAAAAAGTATGTTTTGTAAATCTCTACTAAGAATATAAGCTGGAATTCACAGCCTTACCTATTCTAGGTATATTTATTGATCTTTAGGAAATACTTCTTGGAATTATTTTACTATTCAGTAAAAACTCCTCTGTCTAAATAGCCCAACTTCCTACCCACTTCCTCTTTCTCAATTATGACTTTTATTAACATTAACATTATCTGTAGAAATTAGAGCTTAATGGATTTCTTTCTGTTGATCTCAGAATCCTACTACAACAGGTCGCAGCCATACAGTGCACTTTTTTTTTTTTTTAAGTAACTTTGCCTACCCTGTTTCTAAGTATCAATTTACCTAGCCTGTTTCCTTGGCATCTTTTTTTCTGGGTGTTTCCTTTGAAGCAGAAGATACAAAACATTAGTAGGGTTTCCTATCAGATTCTGAAAGCATGGTTTTCACTTAAACTATTATGCTTCTCTGTACCTACTTATATCAGTAAAGTGATTAGGAGTGTCTACCAACTGCAGTTCTCAGGCTATGAAATTTGGCTTTTTGAATTTAAATTATACTGCAGCACCATATGGCATAGGAGAAAGGAGTGCTCAATTTCTTATCTCACAGAGAGTTCCTCTCAAGCAAGGGAAATTGCTGTCATAGCCTAAGTTTCATTGGCTTTCTGTGGCTTAGCATTACCTGCTGCCTCCCAAGCACATACATGTAGGCTATTCTTGAGCCACTTTGAGAAAAATGGCTGCAAACCATCACAGATGAGGAGAGCCCATCTGAGTCAACTGCTGCTCATCTTCCCACAGTTGGATGCTGAAGAAGCCCTGCGTACAAAGTTCCAAGAATGAGAGAACTCTGGGTGCCTCTTACTTACGTTTTTAAAAAAATTTATTTAACTTGAGGCAGAGCCATGTTACAGAACATCATTCACATTCCCGAGAACATTATAAGCAGTCGTTACCAGCCTAATGTAATTATGCTTGGGAGCACCGCAGAGACTCCTAAAGCTTCTGAAATGCAAGGTCAAGTTCTACAAATGTCCAGGTATGCAGGAGGAATCTACTAATTTATGATTACGGTGACTCTTTTCTCTGAGTCTGTCACAAATTAATAGAACTCAGGGAGCCACACATCCTCTTTAGGATTATAAATGGGGTCCTGACATTTCAGACTCTTTGCCACTGTAGTGACTGAGAATCCTGTCTCTCATACCCGACATTAGGGAGCCCCTTATTGTCTAATGAGATGGCAGACTTCTCTACTTGACTTCTGCCAAGTCGGCATAAGGACAACTCAGAAAGAGAGGGAATATCCAGGTTGTGTTGTTCTCTGTCATCTAACTTATGAAAGTTATGAACATATGAATCAAGCAAGTCCTCCATACGATGGTGGTTACTGGATATATCATTGTCCTCCATATCCACACCTCTTGTGCCCTCTGTCCCTGGTGGCTGAGCTGATGAGTTGTACCAACATGGTTACTTGCCCTCTGGCTTCCGGTTGGGTTTGTCCAGTGGCAAGCACTGGCAGATGAGGTTAGGATATCTATTCCCCTGGCATCTCCAGTGCTTACACACTGACCCAGCTCCTGCTGGGCAGCCCTCTCCTCACAGTTCTCATTCTGATTTCTCATAACTTCTCTCACTCCTTTCCCTTTCAGACTCTGAACCCCCTCTCTGCTGTTCCTAGCCCTGAATACTATACTAACCATTGTGGTTTCCCTAATCCTGCCCACACTTGTATAAATTACCCATTTATTAAACTCTCCTCAAATTATTCAGTTTGAATGTGCCTTGTGTTTTTTGCTGGAGCCCTAAATGATAAAACAGCACTGTTCTGATTTGCCCATTTTCTTTTCTACCTTTTTCACGTGCCCTAACTCTAATAGTCCTGTCTTTCTAAATGTCTACAAAAGATCTCCATATTTGTTTCTGTTTTTATCAGGCCTCTGAGCCCAAGCTAAGCCATCATATCCCCTGTGACCTGCATGTACACATCCAGATGGCCCATTCCTGCCTTAACTGATGACATTCCACCGCAAAAGAAGTGAAAATGGCCTGTTCCTGCCTAAACTGATGACATTATCTTGTGAAATTCATTCTCCTGGCTCATCCTGGCTCAAAAGCTCCCCTACAGAGCACCTTGTGACCCCCACTCCTGCCCGCCAGAGAACAACCCCCCTTTGACTGTCATTTTCCTTTACCTACCCAAATTTTATAAAACAGCCCCACCCTTATCTCCCTTCACTGACTCTCTTTTCGGACTCAGCCCGCCTGCACCCAGGTGATTAAAAAGCTTTATTGCTCACACAAAGCCTGTTTGGTGTTCTCTTCACACGGACGCGAGTGAAAGTTTGTATTTATGTATTTTATGCATGTTTGCCCTATTTCATTTCCAGAAGGATGTGATGATGCTGCATGTTTGCTGGTTTTGCCCCAGTACTGACTTGCCTCTGTTTTATCTAAAATGTACTGTATCTTTGGGTCCCCCAGACAGCCTTTTAACAAATTGGGGAAAATCCTCAAACTGGCTATTTCCTGTCATGAAGACAATCACTAAAAATAGATTTTATTGAATTCAGTCTTATTAAATTGAATTTGATTGAACCTGTTTGGCATGGACAGAACCTCAGAAATACAATAGGCAATTGATTGGTGACACTAAAACATATAGTATTTTGGTTAGCACAGATTTCACTTTGATTCTTTTGGGACAATTATCTTCATGTATAAGACGGATAGTTTCTTTTTCTTAGGTACCTATTGCCCTTATGAAAAAAATATGACAAGAAAAAAATACCAACGTATTGCACTTGTGATAAAAAATGATCCAGACATGGGTGCTAATGTCTGGTCTATTTAAAATCAAGATGGATTATTTAAGACTAAATTAGACACTGCCTAATTTTTAGTACAAGGGAAGAGTATGGCATCTTAAAATAGTGGTAAAAATGATTTGAATCCTAGGTATTCTGATGATGGATTTGGGCCAGGACTAGTTTGTGCCCCAATGAAAAAAGACATGTAACAGACGCTGTAAATGCCCCACTCGCCTCTTCTTGCTCCCCTGCCCCCCAGGTCCCCTGTGGCCTCAGTGAAGGGTCCCGATACTTGCAAAACAGCTTCCTCCTGCCTGCATTTCTCTGCCAGAAAACTTTTTTTTCTGCCTGTGGAATTGTGCCGTGCCTATGTGAAGAAGATGTTCGCAGTGCTTGGGATTTAAAGCCCCATTAGCAATTCTCAACCATGTAGGGACAGGAGTTGGAGGATAAATATCCACATTTTCTCACAATTCTGAGATGTGTTCTGTGCATTCACTCAGGGAGTCCCCAGCAGGATTGAGCCTCTGTTGCTCACAGCAGTAACATGCTAATTAACACACCCTTTATTGGTTTTCTTCCCTTTCCTGTCTCAGTGCCTTACTCTCACACTTGCTTCCTGTGATCACCTCCCAAATACTTGCACCAAAATTCTTGTCTCAGGGACTGATTTTCAGGAGAATGCATTTAGAATAGGAGACTTTAGAAAGACAATAAGAGGTGAGAAATACAGAATGAGTAGATTATGCCACTCTAAGCTTCAAGAGATAGTATCTTTTATGTTCTTCTGAATTATCTCTGTGTTTAGATTATAAACTATTGAGAACCCTGGCTGTTTCTAATCAAATCTATAAATTACCACTATCTATGAATGCTGTGAAGGAGGACTTCCTAAATGTTTGATAATAATGACAATTCTAAGATTATACTATTTATGGTATCCATTACCATAATGAAGGGGCATAATTATCGCAAAAGAGCAAATAAAATTCTGCCTTAAAAAAAGGTGAATGATGTTAGCTCATTTTTCGTCATCTTTAAAATCTAAAAAAAAAAAAAAAAAAAAAATTAGAATGGGCCAGGCATGGTGGCTCACGCCCATAATCCCAGCACTTTGGGAGATCAAGGCAGGAGGATAACTTGAGGCCAGAAGTTTGAGACCAGCCTGGGCAACAGAGTAGGACCTCATCTCTACAAAAATTTAAAAGATTAACTGGGTGTGGTGGCATACACCTGTAGTCCTAGTTATTCAGCAGGCTGAGGCAGGAGTATTGCATGAACCCAGAAAATCCAGGCCGCAGTGAGCTGCTGTGCCATTGCACTTCAGCCTGGGCAACAGAGTAAGACCATGTCTCAAAAAAAAAAAAAAAAAAAAGAATGTCTTACTCAGATGAGCACTGTTAGGGGATGATAAGTTTATACAATTGGGTGCAATGCAAACTGAATTTCTTCTCAGGTGTCTGGTCGATTTTTTATATTCCTCTACTCATATCAGGCTTTTAAGTGAAGCGATCACGGCACCTCTGTGTGGTTCCATTAGACAGCAACACAATTTGGCTAAATGCACATCAGGGGTGTATATAGGTTTGCATGCACAGCTTAGTCTCACAATTTAGAACTGGCTAGAGACCTTTATAGACCTTATTGGAAAGAGACCAACTCAAACATAACAGCATAGAGTTCAATGAACTCTATGTGTGAACATTGAACAGCATAAAGTCCAATGGAGAAAACAATAATGAAACAGAATTTATGTGCATTATTTTACTTTAGGTAAGTTCCGAAAATTTGACCTTTATTCTTTGACTTATCCTATTCAGTGAAATGAATAATTTTTTCATTATGTTGTTTTAGGAAATTTTCTCCCCCATAATAACTCACTAGCATTCATTATATGGTAGAATAGTGAAAAGTCACACACAAGATAATACCAGACAATTTCTTCATCTAGCTAACATTAATAAAATTGAATAGCCTTGCACCAAAATTCATTGGGAATCATTATTCACTGTCCAAGAAGCATTTAATCATATTCAGGTGTCCAAAGATTGCATTACACATCTCTGAGGAAGAAAAGTTATGGTATATAAAGTTAAAATCTCCACGGCTGTACACAGTAGGGCAAAATATGTGATCACTCTTGGAAACCACAGCAAGTCAGCTTAATTTAAAAACATCAAGCTTAATTTAAAAACATCAAGCTAAAATGTGGCATATCTTAGCAAAAAAAGGTAAAGTGCTCCTTCAAATTATCACACATTTCATCCTTCAAAATGTATTCTATATTCATTTTCAAAATCGTCATCCTAACTACATTTAGGCATCACTGCAAATAAGCTAATGGTATAGCAGCACAAAATGCTGAGACGACTACAATTATCTCTTAATTATACACAGCAGGCTTCCAATGTGTGTCCCCTTCTGAGGATACTTAACAAGAAACAAAAAAAGTCAGGCAAACCAGTTAGACATCCCACGCAGGCTTCTTGATGACAGGTTTACTCTGAAATGCTGTGGGGCAAGATACAGTAGCAGCTACTGTCACTAGGAAGAGCTTGCCCAGCTCAAGAAAATAGTTGGACCTAATCGGATTTCTCCATCCATGTTGTGAGACTTGAGGAACTAAGAAACAAAGCAAAGAGGAATATATGATCTACAAGTTAATGGTTTATAAGGAGCTCTGCCCCTCTACGTATGACATAAGGAAATTTCAGGTAACTCACCCCAGATTGTGTTGCTCAGGGTGAGTTTATCTCTTCTTTGAGAATCAATATTTCCATGTTATTGTGAGATCATATATTTAGTAGGGGAAATGGTCCAAGACCAGAAATATGTCAAACAACTTTATTTCATCTTTGAAGAGATTAATGTAATCGGAAAAAGTATATCAGTTAATTATCCAATAAAAGTTTATTGCATGACTATTAGTTGCCAGCATCATCCCAAGTGAGGTTAATAAAAGCTTTGCATGTACTCTGTGCTGTTTCACACATTCTGTGACAAAGCTGTGGAGGAAGTAGCACCCAGACACATGTGGATGGTGTGAATGTGAAAATGGATCGACTGAGGATGATAATAATTATTCTATGTGTATAAACCACTTGCCAGACAACAAAGGATGTTCACAAGCTTTCTCTTCTTTGATTCATATTACAACCCTGTGAAATAGATATGGGAAAATATTAACCCCTTTGTATAAGTGAGAACATTTCTTGATCAGTGGTCTAGAAATTACCAAGAGCTCTGGGAGTCGAGTTTCCGGTACAAACCCATTATTATATACTTTTGGTGAGAGAAGGATAGGAGAGTGAATAAATGGAGGTTTCTAGAACCACACCTAAGAACAGCTGCCACCACCCACTCCTCATATCCAGCCCCATCTGAGAAATTTCGATTAGCCTTGCATGAAACTTCCAATCTTGCTGTTTTCACAGAACATTTTTATATCTTTAATTTAGGCTTTCATAGTGCTCCTCTTTCTTTGTTCTCTCTCTTCTACTAGACCAGCAGTCTTAAAGCTGGCTTTATAGCAGTGACTTGCTGAGTTTATTAGCAATTCAGTTCCCTGGGCTCCACTGTAGACCTACTGAATCAGAGATTCTAGATGCTATCTGCGACCGGGTCTCTTTTCTTTTCTTTTCTTTTTTTTTTTTTTTTTTTTGAGACAGCGTCTGGCTCTGCCGCCCAGGCTGGAGTGCAGTGGCGCGATCTCGGCTCACTGCAAGCTCCGCCTCCTGGGTTCACGCCATTCTCCTGCCTCAGCCTCTCAAGTAGCTGGGACTACAGGAGCCCGCCACCGCTCCCGGCTAATTTTTTGTATTTTTAGTAGAGACGGGGTTTCACTGTGTTAGCCAGGATGGTCTCAATCTCCTGACCTCATGATCCACCCGCCTCGGCCTCCCAAAGTGCTGGGATTACAGGCGTGAGCCACCACGCCCGGCCTTTTTTTTTTGAGACTGGGTGTCACTTGGTCACCCAGGCTAGAGTGTAGTGCTGTGATTGCAGCTCACTGCAGCCTTAACCTCCCAGGCTCAAGCAATCTCCCACATCAGTCTCCCAAATAGCTGGGACTACATGTGCACACCAGTATGCTAGGTTAAGATTCTGTACTTTTTGTAGAGACAGATTTTCATCATGTTACCCAGGCTAGTCTCCAACTCCTCAGCTCAAGCGATCCCCCATCTCAGCCTCCTAAAATGCTGGGATTACAGGCATCAGCCACCGTGACTGGCCTTCACTTGGAAGCCTTGAACTAGAGCTCCTCAAGGGCATTTTTTTTTTTTTTTCATGACCTCAACCTGATACAGTGTAAGTAACATTCCAATCAATAAAAGTTAAATGATGAATCTAAATTAGGAGGATATAGTTGTTCATTTGATTATTCTTGCAACTTTTCTGTGATTTTGATATTTTTCAGTATAAAATGTTGGAGAAAAAAGATATGATTGGTTAAATAATCATTAACAAATTTGGAAATAGTTGAATATCCAAAGTGAATTATGCTTCACTAATAAATAAATATTTGTTGAATAAATGAATGAATGATCTACTCTCCAGCTTTTTATTTGGGAGAAGATATTAGAAGTGAAACATCAGATGAAAATTCATTTACATCAGAGAGCAGTAAATGGAACCAAGAAGATCTTAGCAACATGAAAAAGTGGGGCTAAAAAGATCTTTCTCTCTTAGTTGCATTGTTGGAACTCACAGACCTATTTTTTTTTTAAAAAAATCTTCCCATTCCATATTATCCTCTAATAGAAACCTGTTTCTGCTTTCATTTCCAGCCAACCCTTCACTGTACATACAGTTGGACAGGGAGCAATAATGTGGATCAACAAGAGCAGCAATTTGAAGAGGACAGACCAAAAAAGAACAGGCTTGTTTTGCTGTTCCTTTCTGAGGAGCCCCAGAGTGCCTGCCAAGCCCATAATCCCTCTCTGCAGAGTCCTTTAGTCATGAGACACTGTGATTTGTACCACACTGCCCTCTCCACCCAAACCATGTCTGATTGGAATAGCAACGAATTCCAGGTTCAATGATAGCCAAACATCAGCAGTCTTTGAGGTGGTCTGAATCTATCCTGGTTCGTGACTAATTTCTCTTGGGGTGTTGGAGTATGAAGGACTCCAACATGGATGTTGGATCATACATGACAGCAAGAGAAAGACGCATGAAAGCAGAGAGGAAACCAAGGGATGGCCCTAAGTGTGGAAGCTGTGATGGGAATATGAAGAGAGTTGACAATGACTGCAGCAGTAGAAGCAAAAGCAAAAAAATTTTGTCAACATTCTTGGTTTTAAGGAACAAAAACCCAATTTGAATTTGCTTGGACAAAACAAAACAAAACAAAAAGAATTTTTTGGCTAATATAACCAGGAAGATTAGGTATGTGGTTAGGTAGGATGAGAAGCAGGAATAAAACCCACCCAGAAATTAGAAATTTCTGTCTTTGTCTTATACCCATGCTTCCCCCATGTTTGCTTCATTCTCTCTTATTGTCAACAGGCATTGTGCATGAAAAGAGAGGGGGCATGGTCCCCTGCAGCTCCAACGCTAAAAAAATCCTAGGGAAGGCTCTAATTGGTCCTGCTTAGATCACCTAACCAACACTGGACTAATCAGTGTGCTCACTGTGTACTATGATTGTCAGTCTTCAGTAGAACTACACGGTTTGCAAGGGAGACAAAGAACAGATTTCCAAGAGAAAGAGAGTACACTTCCACCAAAGAAGGGAGAGAAATTCTGGGTAGAGAATACCATCGATACGCACTCCAAACATAATGGCAGAATGTTAAAGAAGGAATCAGGGAACACATACTTCGGAGCACATAAGCACTCAAGATTTGGTTGCATCATTAGAGCAGCTGCTGATCTCCTAGTGCTACAGTTTTTCATAGGTATTAGCCAGTTATTACTGTAATAAGATCTATAACAACAACCCAAAGTCTCAGCTTATAATGACAAACATTTATTTCTTATTCATGGACTGGGGGTCAGGAGGAATGATTCTGCTTTGTGTTATGTGTTGAATTCTGGTCTGCTTTGTGCATCTCCTCAGTCATGAACAAGTGGTATCTGGGGCATGTTCTTTTCATTATGAAGACCAAAAGCATAATAGATCAAGCCAAAATGGGCAACAATATTTTTAAATGCCTCTGCCTCTATTTGCGTCATGTCCTCCAACATTCCATTATTCATGTCCCACATCAATGAGGCAGGAGAAATATACTAGCTCCAAAAGAGGTGGGCAAGAAAAAGGGAATACTTGCTGAAAAATCTTAAAAACCTCTCATAATACTGAATGGCATTGAATGGCCTTTTAGGGGGTCTGCTGAAATTGTTTCTTGTGTTTTCCTACATATTTACTTAGTGGATGCCTATCTCAGTTTAGAAATTCAAGTGTTTGAAATTTAACTTTATTTTTCTATAATGCAACTTAATTCTATTTTGAGCCTCCAATCAGCTGAGTGCCTGAAACTTTACCTCATTTAATTCAGAATTATCTGTCTCAGTTTCTTTCAAGATTGTATCTAAATCCTAGGGGCTTATGTATTATCAAAACACATCTGGGTAGCATCTGATCTTTGGGTCATCTATCTGCACAGATATCCACAGAAGAGTGTTTTTGGTCCTTTTGTCCCAGGAGTCAATCCATGCAAATAACCTCTGAGATGTTACGTCAATGGCTTGCTTTAGGAATCGTATTTTGGAGCATGAGAATCATCCAACTGCTTCTGTGCGATAGTGAGCTCACTAGGGCCAGGGATGACCAAAGTTCTGCCTGCCTAGCTGCTTATGACTCTCCCTGGGTTTCTGCATGGAGCATGGTCATTGTGTAGTCTGTGCCACATTCCTAGACAGTTCCATCCACATGAAAAGCAGAGATCAGGGACCCATCCCTTGACCCGACAAATCTATCTGAGGTTTTGCTGTCTCCTGGGGGCTCTTACCAGGAAAAAGCCTACAGGCCACACTTTACAGAACTGTTTTATAAATACTTAATTTGTCTCCTAGATTTCTCCCTCTTATCCAGCCAAGACGAATCTTCTAACTGTGAGGGAAACCCCAGGCTACACAACGGCCTTCCCCGACTCCTCCCTTATTCTCAGCCCTGGAATTTCTCTACCATATTTCTGCCTGTGCTGAAGATGGTCTCCATCTGTCATCTCCTCATCCCTCAGCGTGGCCAAGGATTTTGGAAACCCAAGCCAGAAAACGTTGTTTCAGATTTCCATCAAGGCTTGTCCCTTTTCTGAAGTAACAAGCTTAGAACTGCCATGCTTCTTGGAGAGAAAAAGGTGTAGGAAAAAAATGATCTACTGGGGAAAAAGAATCTCAAAAATGCTATCTTTATTACTTTTACAAATTGAGGTACACTGACCACATTTCAGTTCTTCTTTTTTTTTTTTTTTTTTTTTTTTGAGATGGAGTTTTGCTCTTGTTGCCCAGGCTGGAGTGCAGTGGCGCAATCTCGGCTCACTGCAACCTCTGCCTCCCGGGTTCAAGTGATTCTTCTGCCTCAGCCTTCCGAGTAGCTGGGATTACAGGCATGTGCCACCATGCCGGACTAATTTTGTATTTTTAGTAGATATGGGGTTTCTCCATGTTGGTCAGGCTGGTCTCGAACTCCTGACCTCAGGTGATCCACCCCCCACCCCCACCCCTTGGCTTCCCAAAGTGCTGGGATTACAGGCGTGAGCCACTGTGCCCGGCAACTTCAGTTCTTTGACATTTGAAGGAAATAAAAATCTAACAACACACTTTCATAAATAGTGTCTATTAGGCTTTAAATGAATTTTGAGACTTCTATTAAATTACGGGTTTGTTTTACACTGAGGAAAACTACAATATTTCGAATCAAATAACAAATCTATTTACATTATGAAAATAAGGTCCAAGAAGAAATAGAAAGCTGTCCAAAATCTTCATTATTTCTCAGTGACAAGCTGAAAATGGTGGTCATTCCCTTTCAGAATGATGGGGAAAACTTGCTTAAAGCATTCCTTATTTTTCTCCCCAGTTACCAAACTTGCTACTGTTCACCTTCAATTGGATTACAGAATGTTTGCATATTTTGGTGTTTTCTTTTAACTTTTAAAGATGATGGATATGTTTAATATCTTGATTAAGATGATGGTATCATAGATGTTTGCACCTGTCCAAACTCAAAATGTATTAATTAAACATGTGCACAGGGTTTTTTCTTCTGTATATCAGTTACAACCCTAATACAGCTATTAAAAATGGACAACGTATTTTTAATGTTTGTTCCATTGTGTGATATGAGAAACTGCATTGGTAGTATTTTCTTTTCTTTTCTTTTGAGACAGCATCCCACTCTCTCACCCAGGCTGGAGTGTGGTGGTGTGATTTCGTCTCACTGCCAGCTTTGCCTCCCAGGTACAAGCAATTCTCATGCCTCAGCCTCCCAAGTAGCTGGAATTACAGGCATGCACCACCACACGCAGCTAATTTTCGTATTTCAGTGGAGATAGAGTTTCACCATGTTGGCCAGGCTGGTCTTGAACTCCTGGCTTCAAGTGACCCACCCACTTCAGCCTCCCAAAGTGTTGGGATTACAGGCGAGAGCCCCCACACCTGGCTGGTAGTCTTTCCTTTTTGACTTTTTGTGTTTAATTGTTTTGGATACAGAACAGTTATGCATATTTATGGAGTACCTGTGATATTTTGATACAACTGGCTTTTTTTTTTTTTTGGTAGTGTTCTTTGTGGGACTCTTGGAGGTGTCTGATCAGCTAGTGAGACCATGACTCCATATTTTCCCAGGAATGGCTTCAACCATAAAACTTGGTCCTCTAGCCATCATGGTTATTTTGTGTGATACCATCTCTGGCTCTGGCCAGCAAGACCCAAAGCTGGATATCAGACTCAAACTAGCCAATCTCCTGGGCATTTGGGATTGAAACGGAAAGAGTCTGTCTCTTGGCTGAGCCTGCAGGTTCTGAGAAACAGACAAGGCTGGTTTGTGGAGAGAGAATGTAGAAGATGCCTTGGCTGAATGCTTCCTTTTAGTTTTGTAATTCTCAGGCTCTTTCACTTCCTAAGGTCATGTGTCTTTCTACCTTCAGGTCCTCCAGACCTTTGAGACTCTGCACAGTATCACACTAAAGTCCCCTCTCTTGGGAGCTTGAGTTGTTCTAGTTGTATTTTTGTTGTTTGCAACTAAAGAACTTTAACACACTTTTCCTTGTGCTGAGCTCAGTTAAACCAAAACCTTATTTATACCAACAAATGACTTAATTAAGCTGAGTGGGTAACAGCATCAAGAGGAACTTGGATAATCATGGGTAGCTGATAGTAGTTACTTTAAAGCAAAAGAGAACAGTGGTGACTACACATGGAGTCGTAAAGCCCCAATCTATAATCTGTGCACATCAGACTGCCAGTGTGAAGTGCTGGTGCTTTATATGAGAGCAGAATCAGAAGCAGTTATGCCCTCAGTTAATGAACAGTGTGAACAAAGGAAGGGGGACTTTTACAGCTTGCGTGGAGCAGCTGAGCATTTAGAGGCGAAGGGAGTACACGAGAGAAAAAGTTTTCACTTCAAACACAGGAGGTTTTTGTAGTGCTTATTATTTTAGGCTGACAGGCTGCCTGCTTTCATGTATTGATATATTGGCTTTGTAAAAAAAAAATCATTAAAAAAATAAGTTTGATCACATGTTCACAGCCATCTGCTTCTGGTGACTAAGTTGGGGGTGCCAAGAAAGGATGTACTATCTTTTATCAACCGAGGCAAAAATAAAAATCGCAGATCAAAAATCAGAACTTGGGGGAAGAAGCATCCGGATTTCTCAAATAAATCAAGAAATATGCAAACTGCAGACCTCTTTTGAACTCGGGAAAAATAACTTTTTGGGGTGGGTTTTGTCTGCTTGGTAGAAGATGTGTTCAGATCCATGGATATGAGTGCTACAGGAAGTGACTACGGTTTCAGGGCCCAGATCCAAGCTCTTGCTCATGTCACTTGAAGCTAAATTCCCCTCCTCTGCATCCACTCTGCTAGCTAAAATAAAACTTAAAAATGAGCCTATTTGAGTACCCCTGAAATCTTGCCTAATTTAATTTCTAAGTACTCCGTTTACAGGCCCCAGTTCACTATGCAAGCCCCATGAAAACACTTGCCCAGAAAAGAACTGTGATCACATCCCACATTATTGGCCAACAAGAATATCTAGCAATTAGCTCTTATAGAATGGGGAGGCAATATCTCTTGAACTATGTTTCTGGTTCTTTAGATTAATGGAACATATTTTTCTTGGGGATGTTTTTAGAGTGTAGCAGTAGAGCATTTATTCTTCATCCTTCAAGTTGAGAATTTATTTAATTTCTAATTCAACCAAGTCTGCCCCTGGCCCTTGACCTCACTTCTAGCTATTAAATTTAGCTTTGTGTGATTGCTGTGGACAAGATGAGCTTTAGACAAAATTGGAAGAAGGTAACATTTGCTGTTGGCTTCTTTTCATCTCCCCCATTAGCACAATCCCTTTCTTCCCTCAGCTCTCCCAAGCCACTCATATGCCTGGGTGACACATCTTAAACAGACTCAGCATTCTCTACAGTGCCCAGAAATCCCACTTCTGTACTTACCTATGAGCAAAAGAGCAAAACCATATTTATTTATTTTTGCTAACTTAAAACATGAAGTTATTGAACATATATCGTGTGCCAGCCTATATGTTAGGCATATTGATACAAAAGCAAATGCAGTGGGTCACTGTTTTCAAAGAATTCAGTCTAGGCCTGGAGACAGATGCATATAAATGTATATATCTACAAAAGAAAAACCTAGCCACTGTAATTACTGTAATAATAATGCTTAGGTAAATAATAGAAATGTGACATAAGGAAATTAATCAGGGACCTTGGGAATGAGAGCGAGGCAGGCAGAATTGGGAGCGGGAAGATTTGGGAAGGGTTCAAGTTGTCCGAATCAAATCTATTCCAGGAAAAGTGTGAGATAGGTGATTTTCAGATTAAAGGAGTCTATGTTTCATTATTTTAAATGGAAAAAACAAGAATGCAGTCTTTGACACAGGGCTGAATCATAGACTAGGACCTAATGATGACAATTAAAAAGCATTTGAAATTGGGTTGGCCCTGGAAGATCTGGAGTAAGTTGTCACTGTATCCATATTTCTTAAGAGATTAGGGGATTAGATCTTAAGCTAAAATGTAAAACGTTGACTGTTTCTTCTTATAAAAACGGTATACAATGAGATAGAATTGGAGAAAACTGGAGTTGAGATGAACCACACCGGCACATTTATTGATCTCCCTTGGCTTAGTAGTTCATCTTTTGCAATATAAGTTTTCATAAAGAAGGATAGTAATATGATATGTTTCTTCAAAAATCTATTATAAAAATTGAAATGACATTTTCTTCTTGGATGGATTTAGCCTGATCCCGCCAAATCTGTCAGGACATTTCTCTGTACACCATACTTATGAAAGAGCTTGACAGATGCCATTATTGGCGTTAGCGGGTAATGGGGGAATGCAGAGAAGCACCACGGTCCCAGCAGTGCTCACTCACGTTTGTATTCACATGCAACACCATCAAAGAAAGCACTCAGAAAAATGATATGAAATCTCCTAATGATGGTATTTAAATGTTGTATTTATCCTGGTAATTTTGGATATAGAATCTGGTTATATTAGTTAGGTTATAGATTTCAGTTACTGTCATAGAGAGACCCAAAATAACAGCAGCTTAAATGAGATAGATGTTTCAGTGTAAGCAGCACGGGGCTGATAGGGCAGCTCCCTGGGATCAGAAACCCAGACTCATTTTCTCTTGAATTCAAATTTTTTGAACTCCATGTCTTCATCACCAAAACGAGAGTGATGACACCTCATTATCTTTGCGAAAGTGATAGGAGGTAATGCATGTAGGGTGCCTGTTACACAGTAGAATCTCAGTATTTCTTCCTTACATTCACCCCTAGTCGTGCTGACTTCTATGGAAAATCCTGGGGTTCTCTTTTAAGTGAATGTATCATAAAACTACTCTATTCTCTCTCTCTCGAAACTTGGAGTTTCTCTCTTTCTATCTCTTCTGCTGGAACTATTATGTTTTTCATTTGATGTCTTACACCTGTTTTGAGGAAGTTACTGATGGGAAAGTATGACCCCTGTGAGGAATTGAGTGACAAGAAGGAATTTCTGTTGAACACCAGGGAGGGAGGCCTCTGTGGATATTAATCTAGAAAAGTTCTCTCCAGACTTTCTTCCTTGGCATAAATCCTCAAAAAGTGTATTCTACCTTGAAACTCCAGAACATCAGAAGAGGTTCCAGGTGGTAGATCTCCTGTGTCTGAGGAAATTGCTCATCTAAAAAAGACCCGAGGGACAGACAGAGTTCAGGCCTAAGTTCCACAGGGTGAAGAATTTTCTAACTCTATGTTTCCAGAAAGATGTATGTGCTTTCTATGTGGATTGACAATTGCTTTTTATTTAAAAGGCTCTCCCTGTACTGCAGCCTGGAAGGAGACCCAAACTTTCTTCTCTTCCAGTCTGCTAGGGGCCCAGCAGGCATCTGTCTTGGGTTAGTTACTGGGGGCTTGGGCTTATTTGGGCCTACCTAATGACCTAGGGGTGTCACCAGACAGCTCTTTATTTGCATGAGGTGATTTGCTGTAGGGAGGGAGCTTATAATCAGGAAGATGACATACCTGTGGAATTGGCTTTATAGCTCCATGGATTAGGCCCAGCCCTAGTGAATATATTTCTCAATGTTACAAAGATAAAGGCTACAGCAATGCAGTGTTAATTAAAATGTGGACTCTGAACTACCTGGGGTAACTTGTAAACATAGATGACTGCATCTCACTGAGACCCTCTGAATCAGCCTCTCTGGTGGAAGGGGCCTAGGAATCTACACCCCAAGTGATTCTAATGTCTACTAAGAGTTTGCTGCTTAAAGTGCAGTACAGAGCTAGCCTCACCTGGGAGCCTGTAAGAAATACTGAATCTCAGGCCCCACTTCAGACCTATTGAATGAGAATCTGCCTTTTCAGATGATCTCCCAGAAGACTCTGCTGCATGTTACATTTGAGAAGCACTGGCCTCCCTAAGGGATTGAGAACCATTAAGCCCAAATTATGCTCTTCTTGACAGATTCTGTGAGATGGGGGATGTGAGGGATGACAGGATACAAATAGTATTCTTTGGATGCCCAAGTGATACAGCATGGCACACACAGGCCCTCTTCAGGGGCTCAGAATGACTCCAATGCAGTGAGGACACCAAGGAAGGTGGTATCACTCTGTAATCTCCAGGGATGGTGTCCTCGAATACTTTTGGAGGCAGCACAGACATCCTGAACTTGGAAGTTCAAGATACCTCCTGGCAGCACTGACGTGGGGAGGTACCCTCAGATGGCTTCCTAGGTGGCAGACATCTTGGAGGGAAACTGGAGCAGCGGGAAAGAATGGTATCACATGTTAACAGTAGCTGAAGACTTCAGGAATGTATGTGCAACAACCCCTCCTGATTCCCAGGGGGAACAGGGTGAAACTTCGGGGCTTTGAAGTTCACCCTGACAGTCTGTGTAATATCCGTGGAGACAAGGACTGGTGAATACATGCTCATGGGCAGGTTACATTATAGTTAGGCATACTAAATAAATATAATTAGAGGAAGTGTTTATGTGGCCCAGTGGTTCTCAATTAGGGGAAATTTTGACCCCCACAGGGCATTTGGCAATGTCTGGAGACATTGGCATCTAGTGAGTAGAGGCCAGAGTATACTGCTAAGCCTCCTACAATGCTTACATAGCACAGCTCCTATAACAAAGGATTATCTGGGCCAAAATGCCAATAGTGCCCAGGTTGAGAAACTGAATCATATCTCAAAGTGAGATTTATATAAAAAAGCAGTATTCCCTATTGATCTTAACAACCACTGGGTGATATTTAAAGATCTACCATGGAGGGCTAAGCCTGCAAACTGCACACACTTTTGGCTAGCCATCGAGTTAACTAGAGCATTATCTCAAATTGACTGTTTGTCCACATACCTTGGCAGACACTGAAGTTAAGCTGATCAATCTCTAATATCCAGGAGAGTCTTCTGGGATTTTAAAATCAATGGGCACTGTATTTGTCATTTTTTTTAGGTGTTTCTTTTCAGTGCTATCAGTTATAAAAAATAATGACAAGTGACTCCGCAGTAATGCCAGCAGTTTCTGTTGTGCTCCAAGAACTGTGTTATCAGGACCCACCACTCAGAATACTCCAGTTTTATCACATACTCCGCCTCTGGGCTGTAGTAGAGGAGGCAGTAATTATCTATCACATGCTTGCACCCAGCATTTGCTCTTCCTATCTGATCAACTTAGAGCTTAAGAAAAAAATTATATATATATGTATATATAAAATTTTTGGGCCGGGGGCGGTGGCTCACGCCTGCAATCCCAGCACTTTGGGAGGCTGAGGCGGGCGGATCACGAGGTCAGGAGATCGAGACCATCCCGGCTAAAACGGTGAAACCCCGTCTCTACTAAAAATACAAAAAATTAGCCGGGCGTAGTGGCGGGCGCCTGTAGTCCCAGCTACTTGGGAGGCTGAGGCAGGAGAATGGCGTGAACCCGGGAGGCGGAGCTTGCAGTGAGCCGAGATCCCGCCACTGTACTCCAGCCTGGGCGACAGAGCAAGACTCCGTCTCAAAAAAAAAAAAAAAAAAAAAAAAAAAAAAAAAAAAAATTTTTGGAATAACCAGTTACTAGTTTTTTAAATCCTATTACAAGTGGGCAATATTGAGAACTCACAGAATAAAGTAAAGACATGATTCTAGGAAGTCAAACTTCTCGGCAGGGGAAAGAATACACTTTCTAGGGAGGACTATTGACCTCAGCAAAAACCAACCAAGAGACACATGAAAGTAAAAATCATATTTATTTTGTTTGTTTCAAGGAAAGAAGAATGTAAAGATTAAAGAGGAAACATACTGTAGATAAGATAGCACTGGAGTTTCAATCAGACAGACTTTGGTGTAGATCCTGTCTTTACAGCATTCCAGCTGTGTGTCTGTGGGCTTATTTCTTACTCTCAGTTTCCATTTTGGTTAAAAAAAGGGGTAATACTACTGCTTATCTTACAGGATTGTGCATTGGTTAGCTACTGCTATATAACGAAAGCTACAGAATCTCAGTGGCATAAAACAACAAGCCTTTATTTAGGTTATGCATCTGGAGAGCTGGGGTCAGCTGGAAGTTGGCTAATCTGGGTTGCAGTGGCTTTGTTTTCTGAGAGATTCATCCTTCTCCTGGAACCAGAGGCCTAGCCTGTGAGTTTTTCACATGGCATGGCAGAAGTGCAAGAGGGCAAGCTCAATAGTGAAAGCGTAATTCAAGTTTCTGCTTGTTTTGTCTATGCTACCATCCCATTGGCCAAAGCTTGTCACATGATTGAGACCAATGTCAAGGGGCAGGGAAGTACATCCTGCCCAATATTGAAGCCACAGCAAATCATTTAGGCAAACCCAACATCACTGGAGCAAGAAGTATCCTCTCCCATGAAAGTGAAGGGGAGGGAGTGAATATTTCTGAACAATATCTAATTGACCACAGGCTGTTAAGATGATTAAATGAATTGATGTCTGCAAAGCGCCTTGCCTAATGTCTGATACTAAAATGTTTAATAAATGGTTGTTCCTTTCTCCTCCTCCAAACTCGGACTTCACAATAAAGAATGGGAAATATAAACTTCAGAGATACAATAACTATTTTAAAATAAACTTGAATTCTGTATTATGATCAGTTGTGAGAGAAAGAATGATAAGAGAGAGGAGATATTCAGGAAAATAATAAAATAGAAGAATGATGGGAGAAAGAAATAATACCTCCTTAAATTTTGAAGAGGTAAGGAAGGGGATAAATAAGTAATATATCTATAAATGAAAAACAGAATACATATAGAAATATAGCCACAGAACAGTAGAACAGTACAAAGAAGGTGGAAGGGAAAATTACTTATCAAGAGAAACACCAGGATGTAAGGGGAGCTTTTTCAAAATACATGCACCTTTTTTCTCTCCTCTACCTCCCAAATTCTGAATTATATATGAAATTCTGTTATTCACATGGAGTAGGCTGGGAAAAAGAGAAGTAAGTGTTCATAGTTTTATCACTTCTTGCCAAGGTTCTATAAAAGACTAATTAGAGTTTTAACCATTGTCTATCAAGTCACAGAGTGAACTTTATTCTTGATGCTTCCAAAGGCTCTAATCTTTGTGGGGTTATTATTGCCACCTACCAGATGAGCCATCATTTTCTGGGAATGTAGTATGAAGGACAGAGAAATAATACCACAGGGATCAAGTGAAATTGAGTTGGGTTTTTTCATTGTGATGACTTGGTCTATGCAGAAAAAGAATATTGTCAGCATAACACATTTGATCATACAGTATTTTATATTATCTGACTTCTTGGTATTCTATGGTAGGAAAAAATTGTATAGAAATTATTTTCTAAAGGACAAGACAGCCTTCAATACAATAAGATGCCTGCAAATATCTCCTAGAAAAAGAGAAGAAAAGCTTTGGTCAAATTTGGCTTGGTTAACAACCAATGAAAAGACCCTTATTAAGATGAAAACCTTCATATTTAACCATGCCTTCCTTATGAAAAGGAATGGAAGTTGTCTTTGTGTCACCATTTGCCTAGAGAAGCAAAAATATCAAAAGTCAATCCTCTTAATTTTTCATATTGTTTGTTTCTTGCCGGTGCTCCTCTTGCTTTTTGGTCACCTTGCCAATAATCAACACATAGTAGTTGCTCAGAAATTGGAGCAAGGTCAGGAAAAGACCATTTCTGAAATTATAATGAGCGAAAATGTGACTTGTCTCAGATAGGCGTGGGCATATGGAAAAACAATCCTCTCCATACTCACATTCCTTTTTTTTTTTTTTTTTTTTTTAAAAAAAGAAAGTTTGTATTGGTTGTTGAAAAGAGAATGTTTTCTAAATATCCAGAATTGCATACCAAAAAGATAGGCCTGCGATGTAAAGATGTCAAAAAAACAATAAAAAAGAGAGAATCTCTTGAATTGTGCTGTAAACTGGTAGCCTGAGGTAAGGAGTGACTTGAAAAAAAAAAAGATTAGTCACTGAAGGTCTTTGTGTTGCCTATGGAATCTAGAAAGAGGAGGCCGGAATGCAAAAATTTTTTGGCATTTTTCTTCTCCCACTCCTCTTTGCACTTTCTCAGGCACACCAAGCTCATTCTTACCTTCTGGCCTTTCCGCTTGCTCTGCTGGTGGCCTTGTAAGTTCTTCCCTAACCTAGAGCACTTCTCACTTCCTCACTTCATTGACTTAGGGCTGCTTAATCATGGCCTCCTCACAGAAGCCTGTTCTAACCACCTGTCTTAGTCTGTCAGGCTACTATAACAAAACTACCTTAGACTGGCTAACTCGTAAACAACAGAATTTATGGCTCTAAATTCTGGAGATAAGGAAGTCCAACATCAGGGCACCAGCAGTGTCTGGTGAGGGCTCACTTCTAATAACCTTGCTGCATTCTCTCTTCTGTGGCAGAAGGGGCACACAGGCTACCTCAAGCCTCTTTTATGGGCAGCACCCTCATGACCTGACCACCTCCAAAAGGCCTCACCTCTGATTACCATCTTGTTGGGAATTAAGTTTCAACATATGAATTGGGGAAAACATCATCTTATCTAAAATTGTTCACCCTGATTCCCTCTATTTCCCAACTCAATACTAATTTTCTTCATATCACTTCCTCCTATCTGTCTTCAACATTCTATTACATACTTCTTTTGCTTATTTGTCTCCAGTGTTTTCTGCACTAGAATATAAGTTCAATGAGGGAGCTTTGTTTTGCCCACTGCTCTATCTCAGTGTCCAGGGCAGTGCCTATACCTGGCACATAAGTGAATATTTCAGTAATCTTTGTTGAATGAATGAATGCTTGATGGGAGGAAAAGATTTTGACTATTCATTATAGTTCAAAGAATAAAAATATCCCTAATGTGAAGAGGGCAATACTTTGGCTACCACAACTTTATGAAAAATTCACTTAAGTATATCCATTCATTTCTCTAATAGCCCGCTGAACCTACAGGGCATGAAGCACTGTGTGGGTGCTGTATGTGGACCTCAAAGGATTAAGACAGGGTGCATGCCCTCAAAGAATGACAACTGAGAGGTGGACTAGAATTCCCCTGTGTGATCTCTGGGGTTGCCATTCACATAGACATGACATAAATCACATTTCTCTAAAGCTACGAAGTGTACAACCTGTCCCACGGTACACAGTAGCCCTAAGAGATAGGTGTTTTTCTTCCTTTCATCTAACTGGTATTTCCTATCAATCCAGATGCCACTCAGACTTTCATTTATCCATTCAACAAACATTTATCGAACATCTACTACATATAAGTAAGTGGCTAGAAGCTGGGATGCAAAAATGATCCCCAATGATTCCCTGACTGTGGGCTGCTTCCAGTGGTGAGACAGATAAGTAAACAGGCAAATATAGCACCTGTGGTAAATATGGAGTTGGGCCTTTATAAGAGGACATAGCAGGGCCTTTCAACACTGTCCTAGGAGATAGGGGAGAATCAAGCAAGTTTTCTTGAAGGGGATAATCTCTAAGCAGAATTTCTGCAAAGAAGCATGTATACCTCTATAATTGTAGTGGTAACTGGATTTATTGTCAGGCAGTCTTTGGTTCAAGATTTTGCTTCTCACCTGTGGGATGAGTAGGAGTTCTCCAGATGTGGAAAAGAAAGCGTCTGATGGGTAAGGGGAAAGCAAGAGCAAAGGGCCAGGGTTTGGGAGTGCAGGGGACTGAGTTCAAATCTGGGCACAGACAGGGCCCAGCTCACATACGCCTCTCTGAGAAGTTTGGGCTTTATCTGCTAAACTGTTCTGGGGATCCCACTGGAGTTTACATGAGCTTCCTGGAGGAGTGTGGAGGGTGGATTGGACAGGGGTGGCGGGAAGCCTAGGAAGCGGCACCATGGATATGAAAGGAGAGAAAGAGGATAACAGACAGGGGAGAGGGAGAGAAAGCAGGCAAGACCATTCCCTGGTCTCCGGCTTGGGCTCTGTTTGAACGGTTGCATCATTTACTGAGGCAGGACAAACAGGGGAAGAGCCAGGTTAGGGTCAGGGTGAGATAAGCAGGTGAAGGGCCCCATATTGCTGATTGGGAGGTTCATTTAGGCCCTCCTACTCCGTGTCCTGTTTGCTTGTCATTTGCTTCCCTACTTACTCTCTCCCCTGCACACATACCCCTTCACACAGTGCCGTGCTAAGCCACGTTGGAGCCTGAGGCAAAAGGAAAAGGACTCTGCCTTTGTTTAACATTTTGGTATCTTGATCATCATGGATTTTTAGCATTAATTCTGATTTTAAAAATATAATATTAAAATATTATTTATCTTAATTACCGAGTTCTTGGGCACCCCCTTAAAATTTGCACCTGGGGTGAGTGCCTCCGTTGCCTCACCCTAGTCCAGCCCTGGACCCCTCCTCATCACCTATCTGCAAGCTTCTTGACCACAGAGACTAGGCCTAATTATTTTATAGAATCCATAGCACTTACCCTAGTATCTGACACATTTTACACAGTAACTTCATTGAATTAACATAAATAACGAGTTATAGAACAAGGCATTTATTTGTTCTATGAATGAGCTAGGCATTGTTCCAGGAACAAGAATGTGTAGTTTAACATAAGAGTTTACTCAGACAGGTAGAGGGGACATGGACAGGCAGCATGAGAGGAGCATGACAATAGAGACCCAGGCAGAGGCTAAGGAAGTACAAGACCTGGGGCTCATTCATTCCCTCAGGGCCTTGGAAGAAGCTTGACTTACCCAAGGAAGTGGCATTTTCTAGAGTTTGGAAAGAGAGGTAGGGCTTCCATGGTCAGTAACAGAGAAGAACATTTCAGGAAGAGGAAACAGTTCAAAAGGCATGAAGGGATGATGATGAATGACTTTCTGGGGAAATGGAGCATGTTTGGGATGTTCAGTGGGTGACACAGCCACAGGGATGGGGATGCAGTGGTCTTTTTGGTTCTGTTGGGAGCAGGAGCATGCTTGTGGAGACCCTGTGGGGTCAGGAAGCAGCCGCTCTGACTGGTGGTGGGAGGAGAACAGCTGTGGCTATGAAGGAAGGCGAGGAAACAAGAATAGAGAGAAAACAGTAGATAATAAGAGTGAGGGTGGAAGGGTCCTGGAATAGGGATGAATAGAAGGAAATTTGTATAACACTTTGTGCATTAGGATGCATAGAAACAAAACAAGAATGCCATTTTTCTATTTTGATATGCCAACATATAAATAAATTCCTAATTTATATAGTTATGCAAACAATTTATAGTGACATTAATAGAGTTCTAACACAGTAGAATTCAAAATGTAGGTGAAAAGAAGTTCGCCTACATTTTTACCACCCCGAGAAATGAGTAATTTCATTTTTGTATCTTTCCAGGCCTTTCGGGAAAGCCTATGAAATGCTTCTATCTCTGTAATCAGAGTATTGATATGATTTTATGGTCAGAGAATCATGGACTCAAGCCTTTACTCAGATCCTAGGATTCACATCTGAGTCCAGTGGATGTCATGCAATGAACACCTGTACTTCTCTTTGCAATGCCTTTAGCAAATGCATGCTAACTTTTACAACAGGACCCTGCTGAGGCAGCTTAAAGGGAAGTGGGGAAGTGAGTGTAGCCAGCAATGCTGAAGCAAGCATAAGCAAGCATGGGTGTGTGTAATCACCTTGCCAGCTCTAAGACACTAG
Organism: Homo sapiens; assembly: GCF_000001405.40. NCBI lineage: Eukaryota > Metazoa > Chordata > Mammalia > Primates > Hominidae > Homo > Homo sapiens. The sequence goes on along the minus strand of NC_000003.12, from coordinate 31,485,325 downwards.
GCCAAAAACATGCACGGAGTAGAAATAAAGGAGAAGCAAAGTAAGCAGGTTATATTGAAGTGATTGCAATTTTCCTTCTTCACTAAGGAAGCAGGATTCTTGCTTATGTGGTCTGTCCAGACTCTTCCTTTCTTATACAGAATTTGGGTATTGGGAAAAATGAACAAATAAAAAAGAAAAACAAACAAAAACAACAAAAAACTCTCAACCAACAAGATACACCATAAATACCTGAGGTGACAAAAGGGCAGGGGACACCAAGAAATGGAGTGGTTATCTGGCAAACAAACATTATATAATAGTGGTGTAGTGCTGGTAAATGCTTAATAACTGGCTTCCTGAAAACAAAACTGTGTTTGCGTGTGTGTACATACATACATATATTTATTATACATTTTTCTGTGAAGCACATAATTTATAAATTAAATATATGATATTTCTTTTTTTTGTTTTTGTTTTGAAACAGAGTCTCACTCTGTCGCCCAGGCTGGAGTGCAGTGGCATGAACTTGTGCCTCCCGGGTTCAAGCAATTCTTGTGCCTCAGCTTCCTGAGTAGCTGGAATTACAGGTGCATGCCACCGTGGCCGGCTAATTTTTGTATTCTAAGTAGACACAGGGTTTCACCATGTTGGCCAGGCTGGTCTTGAACTCCTGGTATCAAGTGATCCACCCGTCTTGTCCTCACAGAGTGCTGGGATTACAGGCATGAGCCGCCGCACTTGGCCATAAAATGTAATATTCTTTATTATAAATTCTATACAACCAATTGATCCTTATTGAATGTTTTCATTGATTTTTGCTGAATTCTTGTATTCATAGCCAACCTATGGCTGCAATTGACAAATGAATATAGTTCTAACATAAGCATCAGTTATTATTTTTGTTAATGAGTTAGACATAAGGAAATAAAACAACAAAGAATATGCTGGAACTTTACAAATTGGCCAATGATGTGAGCGAGTGACTTCTATGCTGAATCAGATAATAGCTTTTAAATGCTGAAAAAAGTATTTTATTTTTTCTTCGGAGAGAGGGTCTTGCTATGTTGCCCAGGCTGGTCTCAAACTCCTGGGCTCAAACGGTTCTCTTGCCTCAGCCTCCTTGGTAGCTGGTACTACAGGCATGTGCCACCATGCCTGGCACTTTTTAAAAAGTGGATTTTCTTAATATTTTGTGCTGTTGACAGTGTAATGGCTATAGGCATGACATGTTTTGAAGTTTAATCTGCATTATTAGCATTTTTCCATGACTTTTTAAAGTCAGAAGTCAACAGAACAATAAATCAAGTTCTGATTTGTAGTGTTTGTTGATTTCCATAGTGTAAATCCCCCAACCATGGCCAATTTCAAGGTACCAAAGTGACGTCATTGGGTGTGGAGCTGGGAGGAGATGCCAAGCAGCACATTATATAGTGTTTCTACATACAGATGTAATAGCTGTAAAGAAACTTCAAGTGTATAGATAAAATGTATAGGAAATGTATAGTAAAATGTAATAAAATAGTAAAATAACTGGAAAGTGATGGATTTTGAGTGTTTATTTAAAATGTTGGCTGGGTGCAGTGGCTCACTCCTGTAATCCCAGCACTTTGGGAGGCTGAGGCAGATGGATCACTTTGAGGTCAGGAGTTCAAGACCAGCCTGGCCAACATGGTGAAACCCGTCTCTACTAAAAATACAAAAATTAGCCGGGTGTGGTGGCGCATGTCTGTAGTCCCAGCTACTTGGGAGGCTGAAGCAGGAGAATCTCTTGAACCCGCGAGCTGGAGGTTGCAGTGAGCTGAGATAGTGCCATTTCACTCCAACCTGGGTGACAGAGCAAGACTCCATCTCAAAAAAAAGTGTTATTGAGGCATACTTGATATACAATAAGTTGCACATATTTGAAGCGTACAGTTTGATAAGTTTTGACAAATGTACACACCTGTGATGTGTACACTTCAATCAAGATGATGAATATATCCATTACTCCCCTAAATTTTCTTATGCCCTTTTGTAATCTCTTACTTTCACTACTTCTTACCCTTGCCTACTCAGGCAACCACTGATCTGCTTTTTATCACTATAGATTAGTTTTCTACAGTTTTATATAAGTAGAATCATGTAGCATATACTCTTCTTTTGTCTGGCTTCAGCATAATTATTTTGATTCACCCATGTTGTTACATGTTTATTCATCTTCCTCCCGAGTATTGTATATTTATTATCTCTGTTTATAATTTATTTCATTGCAAGTTTATATAGTTTAATCTTAAATAATGGCTATGTTTAACAGCTTGCTGGCAAAATTCCTAAAAATTTAACAATTGGCTTTTTCAAGTTAGTGCAAGCCTGCTCTGGTGGGCTGTGTGCATGTATCTGGCTTTAGACAAAGAGCTGAGAGACTTTGGGGTAGCTGCAGGGTTTGGGAGTAATTGAAAACGAATGAAAAGGAAAAGAGAATTTCTAAGTTCTTCTGTGCTCCCTATTTGGCTTTTTTTTTTTTTTCCCAAGAAACTGCAGTAAAAATGCTAATGAAAAAAATTACTTTTGAGTTGCTGGCTTTTTGTTTTAATTAATGCATGACTGGACCACAATGCAGCTACGCTTTGGGTACTTTACATGAAGGACTTTTATTACTGAAGTCTCCAAGAGAGAACTAGGAAGCCAGGGTCAACTTGCATATGATTCAAAGGGGTGAACTCTTAGAGAGGGATTTAGGGGTAATAGTTAGGCACAAGAATGCTGGAATTTGGCTGCTCATATACTAGGAAGTCATGACCACCTATTAATTCTCTCTCAAACTATACCAGACAGGCAGGAGTGTAGGAGAGGGCTTGGGCTGAGTCAGGGATAGATTGAAACTAGAGAGACATAATTTGAGATACAAAGCTCACAGTGGCCAGGCATGGTGGCTCACACCTATAATCCCAGTGCTGTGGGAGGCCAAATGGGGAGGATTGCTTGAGGTCAGGGGTTTGAGACCAGCCTGGACAACATAGCTAGACCCTGTCTCTACAAAAAAAAAAAAAAAACTTAAAAAATTAGCTGGGCATGGTGGTGCATGCCTATAGTCCCAGTTACTCAGGAGGATGAAGTGAGAAGATGGCTTGAGCTCAGGAGTTTGAGGTTACTGTGAGCTGTGATCACACCACTGCACTCCAGCCTAGGAGATAGAATGAGACTCTGTCTAAAAAAAACAAAACCCAAAACCAAAAACACTCACTGTGCACTGTCCTTGACACATCCTCAGGTAGAGGACAGGTGTGTGTGTTTTTGGGCGGGGGGGGTGGGGGGGGCAGTTATTCTATGCTTCTATGCTGTAACAAACTAAAAAGCCAGGAGAGCAGCAATAATAATATTTTTTGAGTGTTTACTACATGCGTGGCACTCAGCCAAATACTATATATTATCTGATTTAACACTCAAAGCAATCCTGAGGTGAGCAATTGTACTTGTTTTACAGGAAAGTTAAGTCTTTTTTCAGAGGTCACACCAGGGAACAGTGGAGACCATATGTGAACTCAGGTCTGTCTGATTCATCTGGTCTTATTCCTCTACACTGTACCGCCTTCTGGTTTGCAGAGCTCTAGAAAATTGAGTGTAAGGCCCTAAAATAGGAATTACAACCCTGGTTGGAAATTAGGGCCCTTCTCTAACTCAGTGACAATGTCCCTGGCTGCCTAGAGAGTATATCTGGAGGTAACATTGAAGCCCAGTCATTTGGAGTCTTTTAAACATTTTTTTATAGAAACGTGGATCCTCTCCTAAGGGCAATTGGGGTGCCATTGACAGATTTTAGTGTGGAGCAACTGGCTCAAGTATGCATTTTAAAAAAATAGGTTGGATAGTGACTGTATAAGTTGGGACAAAGACACCCCAAAATGCAAGACAGAGGTTATTTCTCTCTTGTGTAGCAGTCCAGTTGGAGGTGGAAGTCAACCTGAGATAAAATCCCAGTAAAGAACTTGGCTGATCCTGCTGCGAGTACTGAAATACAATGACTCTTCAGATTTATTTTGAGTTGGGACAAAGGAGCTGAGCCTTAAATCCCTAATTCAACCAGTAATTTGATGTGGGAATGGGATGCTGCCCTAGGGTGAGGTGGCTCTCTTCCTGGAGGAAGGCTGACTGCTAAGTGTTTCTGCCAGCAGTGCTCCCAGCAGCCAAAGTAAGAAGTCTTTTATTTTTGCAGGGGCATCTGGAAAGTGCATCAATGAATTCACCTCAAGTATACTGGTTGGTTGCAGCTCTCAAAATACAACCTGAAGAATACCAGCAGTTAAGAAGTGGGAAGAAGTAAAGGACCACAGCAGAGACACAGAAGGAATTCCTAAGAGGTCAAATCCAGAGATGATCAAATCATGGAAGTAAGTGAGAAATGAATGTTCAGAAAGAGTTTGTGTCAGTAGTGCTTAATGCTTCAGAGGCTGACAAGAGAAGAATTTTGCAATCAGAAAGACACTAGCAACTTTACTGAGCCATGCCAGTGGAGTGGTGGGTGCTAAAGCCAGATTGAAGGAAGGGGGAGGTTGAGGAATGAGTGGGAAGTGAGAAAGTGGGCAACCCGTTGTGGATTTTGGGTTGTGAAGAGGAGAAAGTCAGGGTGGTTATTGATTTGACAGAGTTCTTATTCTTAATTTTTAGGGTGGGAGAAATTTTAATCTGTTTATATGCCAATAGACAGAACAAAAGAGATGGAGAGGTTACAGATATGGGAGAAGTGTGGGTAATTGGTGGCAACAGGGAGCTTTCAGAACACTGGCGGGATGATTAGATTTAAACCAGGAAAGAGAAAGACTGACACTGACATTTATTTAATGCGTTCAAAATGCCAGGAACTGCGGGGTAGTTTGGCTTTATTTAATCCTTTTGACAAATTATTCCAACAATTATTTTGCAGATTAGGTTTAGAGAAGGTAAAAGGGTTGCCCAAGGTCTCACTTCTCCCAAGAAGCTGTGTCAGAATTTAAGGCTGTACTTTACACAGTGAAGGAAGCACACACCTCATCCTCTGAAATTCAAGGAATGACAAAGGATGACTGAAAATGGGCAGAATGGGATTGGATAAGGGGAAGAAGGCTGCTGTAACAAAGATATATAAAACTCTAGTGGCTTAAGTATGTTAAAATTGATTTATCCCCAAAGGAACCAGAATGAGCTGTCTTGGGATGGTAAGGTGGCTCTCCTCTATGAGGACAGTCAGAGACCCCAATTCCTTCCATCTTATTGCTTTGTAATCACCTTCTAATATCCATATGGCAGATGTTGGCTTATGTCTGTATTGGTGATATAGCCTGGGGTAAGAGAAAAAGAGTATTTAGATAGATCTTTTGGAAGACCAGAAGTTTGTCCACATCCCATTTATCTGAAGTAAGTCACATGGCCACACTTAGCTGCAAGGGAGGCTGAGAAATGTAGTTTTTTTCTCGGCGGCCATATGCCCACCTAAAACTAGGGGTTCTAAGAAAGGGGAAAATGAACACTGTGTGATCTAAGTCTTTTTATTAGAACTACTCCTAGGGAAGTCATGTGACAAAACCACAAAGGCTGTCCACATACTAGATTCTTATATAAAACAACTAATGAAAACAATATTCCGTAACAATTTTTAAAATGTGTCTTGTGGCAAGAAGTGTTTCCAGCAGACAGAGAGGATGCATTCATTGTCCTTGCTCCTGCATCATTCCTCTGTGACTCTTGGCATTTCAGCATCTTTTGACAATGGTAACAGTGTCAGAGTGGACACATGGCCAGGGCCTTTTGAGGACCAGTCCATAACTGACCATAATAGTCTGCCTGTTCTCATGAGTGGAGGGAGCCAACAGAGACTCATTTTAGAATGGAATGATGATGCTGTCTGATGGAGATAGTAATAGCCACTGAGGATGGGCCTTGGGCAACTAGTCCTCATCTTTAGCTGGTGATTGCCATAAGGGAATGTAGCTGGTGTTTTCAGAAATTTGAAATTTTCTATAGAATCTGGGTATCTGGATTTTTAGCACGTAATCTGGGTTTTTAAGCATGTAATCGTCTTATTTTTAAATGCTAGCTCAAATGTTTTAATGTAGACCAAAAAGAACATCCATATGATCTAAAAGCAGCTCTGGTCTTTCTGACTTAAACTCTCAGAACCATATTTCCTCATTTGTAATGTGGTGTCAATATCCATCTCAAAGGATTATAGGGAGGATGGAAGGAAATAGTGTATGTTCTAGGTTGACAAATATCACTGTATCTGATTTTTTTCATGATAAATCTGCATTAGAATAAGGTAATTCTCAGATCTCCTCTTAGTGGATAGGAAGTTCAGGATAGAAGTTCCAAAGGCCAAGAGGATGGAGTCTACAAGATTTACTGAAATTGGCTGTTCCGATTCATATCTTCAAAACTACCCTGATTTACATTCCCCAACATTTTCTTTTGGAGGTGTCATGGTTAAAGGTTTGAGTCTGGCTAGTGTCTTCAGCTTGGATTACAGTGATGGATAATCCGTCCTCTCTTTACCCCTTGTTAGTTGTGTGACTTTGGCTCTATTATTTAACATACCAAAGCCTTAGCTTTCTTATTTGAAAAGTGAGAATAATAATAACTTACCTCATAAAATAATTGTCAGGACTTAGTAAGATGACACATATAAACCCTAATGTATATTGCCAAGCATATAGTAAGTATTCAATAAGTATTAATTGCAATAAACTATTATTTCTTACCTAGGTGGAAGATACATAAAATAAGTTTTTTATTGTTTTGATTTTTGATAATACTTATATTTTCAAGCAAACCACCTTACTTAGTCACTGGACTGAGTAATGGATAAAATCTTAGAAAATATTGCTTAAAATATTTTTTTTGCAACTTCTAACAGTAAGAGGATAGTGTCAGGTGTAAAGAGCTCTAAAACAACAAAGTGACCTTTAAAGAAAAGCAATTTATTTATAAAATAAATCACCAAAGAAAAGAGGAGAAAGGTCTTCTTTTATATTGCTAGCAATGAATCTCTGGGCTAATGCATTGTTTTGCATGGCTTGTGCTGGTTACAGGCTGTGTATAAAAGTTTCTTATTTCAGAGCCGATGGATTTCTATGAAAAGGAATGTTGAAATTTACTACAGTAAGAGATACACAATCTGTTCTACAGAAAGCCCCACAGGCAAAAAACAGTGGATGCAAAATACAAATTGTGAATGAGTACTTCCCCTAAGTTGTCAATTAAGTTTCTTTTCAAAAATAGACACATTTACATAGGACGGTTAAAGCTATTGCTTTTTCTTATCTTTGTTGCTGTTAGTAGTAGCAGCAATAACAATAATTACTGAGGTTAATTAGGCTCTCCCTATGGGCCATATATTGAGCAAACTACATTACATGCTTTATCTCACTGAATTCTCTCAACAATTGTGTGAGTTAGGGCTATTATTATTCCCATTTTTCAGATGAGGAAACTGATGCTTTGAAATGTTATCTAACATGCCCAATTTCATTAGCTTGTAAATGGCATGGCTTGGTTTGCAACTTAGCACTGCATGGCTCCAATGCTCATGATTCTATGAGGAAATGGAAATTTCGCTGGGTGAAATGGAAAGAGAGAAAGAAAGACGTAATTTTGGAGCTTTAAGCTGTTCCCCAGAGGGTTATGTCTAAATTGGATGCCTCCTTGTGGGGCTTTCACAGACAAGGAATTGGGCTGCTGGGGGTTGAAGGGTGAGGGAGAAAGGAAGTCAGAAGGTGCCAGAAAAGAAGCAAACAAGCAGAGAAGACGTTGAAGACTTTTCAATTTTAGCAACAGTGTTGACATGTCATGCTCATCCTTTGACACCTTGACCTACTTGCTCTGACTACAAATGACTTTTATTATTGATGTTGGTGATCACCATTCTGGAATTCCTGGGAAGTCCTGCTTTCACATAGCCCGTGCAGTTGTCCTCCTATGTACATTTACACTTGTCAGACTGTGTTTGGAATTAAGATTTTGCAATTACAGGCACGGTTTCTGGAGCCCTCGGTTACAGTTCATTGACTCCAGTTGGTGAGGTGGGTACTCTGAGTGCCATCAGCCTCTATCAGGAGACAAGAACATCTTGGTGACAGCTCCGACAATCTCCCAGCCTCCTGTGGGGAGGGAATGTTGTTTAGGACTTTGCACTGTTGATTATGTTATTTATTTGCAGTGTCACCATTCTTTATTTATGTTGTTTAATCAAATAGTATAAATCCCTTTAATGATAACAATTTAACACATATCCTTACCTTGATCACCTTGAAACACAATTGGTAGTTTGAATGCATTTATCTATAACTACACAATGTTGTCCTTGACCATCTGAAAAGGAATTTTTGACAAAGAAAGTACTTTGAGTATGAAGTTGTTGACCTTGAATTGGGTAAGATAAAAACTAGACACACAACCATAAAAATAAGAGGCAGAAATATTTTTCTGTATAACAGGCTAAAAAAAATTCCCCAAAGATTATTGTCACAGTAAAACAAAAATACTATTTTCATTTTTTTCATGTTGTTTTTGGAGTCTACCAACCACATCTTATGTGTAAAGAAAAGTGGACATTGGAATATCTGGATTCTAGTTTTCATTTGGTCATTGTATCATTCAGAATTCTTTGGGTTGTAAGTTGAAGAAAAGGCAACTCAAAATCACTTAAGCAAAAAGAGAGTTTATTGCCTAAGTAATCTAGATGTTTGGGCATAGATTGGACCTAGGTACCTCAGAGCTGTAAGTTACATCATCAAGACTTAATTTCTTTCCATTTCTCAACTCTACCTTCTGCTTTGGCCGCTTTATTCTCAGACTCCATTTGGCAGCTTACAGAATTCTAGTCTCATTTCCTTCCAGGCTTTAGACTAGCATGAAAGGGCAAGAGTCTTTTCCAGTAGTCCTGTGGTTTGCTTGATCAGACAGGCCTAAGTATCGTGGTAACCCTGAGCCATTAACAGTGGTGTTTTGATTGACCATGTCTGGATGGAGCCTCACTCAAAGCCTGTAAGAGTGGAGAGGACAGATCCCCAGAGAAAAGTTGAGGCTATTACCAGGAGAAAGGGGAATTAACCCTGGGGGGTGTCAACACCACTCACCAATTATGTGATCGTGAGAAGGTAACCTCGGTGAAAAGTAAAGTTATTAATGCCTACCGAAAAAATGGATTGAAACAACAGTTTGTACACTACTTGTACCTATAATAGTGCTTAATAGACTAGAGTGCTGTATAATTTTGTGTTATCATTTTTAGAGGTTTTTCGAGAATTGATATGTGGGAATGAAATGGATAAGTTTTACATAAAATATGTACATTTTCGATCAGGTAATGCCAAATCATTTTCTACTATCAACATAGTCTTCTAGCACTTGGTGTTAGACTTTTTAGTTATTTTCCAATCCAGTGGGGCTGCAGTTCTTATTATTGCATTTTCTTGATAACTTATAAGGAACATTTACAAAATATTTACTATATCAATAAATATTTTGATTATGTCATACTTGTTGGTTATATTCTGAGATGTACTTGTTCATATATTTTGCCTAACTATCGCGTTGTCTGTTTGCTTTTGTAACCATTTACAGTTCCTGTATTTTCAGGATACTAATATTTTGTTGGTTATCTTATTGCAAACATACATTCTCAGTTAGTGCCTTGTCTTTTCACCTTCTTATGGTGTCATTTTATGAGTTTAAGATCACAATTTTAATGCCCAATTTAGCAATAAATCTCATCCTATAAGATTTGTGCTTCTTATGTTTTGTTTAAGAAACAAACAAGAAACAAGGTTTCTCCCCTAAAACCTTCAGGTCATAAAGATATTGCCTCTATTTTGTTCTAAAAGTTTGAATGTTTTGCCTTTTGTATTTGAATTCTTAAATTCTCAATAAGTTGGAATTTATTATGCATGCTGTAAGGTAGGTATTCAATTTCAAATTTCCCATATAGACAACCAATTTTTCCAACACCATTTATTCAATGACTGTCTTTCTCTATTTCTGTGAAATGCCTCATCTATTACACATCAAGTGTCCTTATAGGCATGCCTCTGCTTCTTGGCTATCTGTTCTGTTCCATTTTTTTTGGGCCTAATTGTCCATCTCTAAGTCAGTAAATTTTTTAAACCTAGGACTTGCACATTGCTTGTGATGGGGTATGACAGGACATGACATAGAGAATCAGTATGGGACGTGTGGAGCTCTTCCATGTCCCATCATATACCCCAACAGTGCTGTGCTGACCTGGGTTCAGTAAGTTTTATTAACTTCTACCTAATAGATACTATTGCTAGTCCCTGTTCTTGTCCACCTATTTAGGAAAAAAGGCATTATTTTATTTTTTTTAAATCACTTATGCTATTTGAATTAAATAAAATAGAGTTTAAAAATGTGAAAGATTTGAAAAGGTTATATATAACCTTTTTACCTGTAGAAAACCTGGAGAGTGAAAAATTCTTTTGGAGGAGGGCTAAAAAAATAACAGTCTCTCTAGGATCTCTACCCAGAGGAAAGAGGGTTTGGTGATTAGCAAAGCTCGGTAAGAAGAAGCTAGAAAGGGGTTGCTCATAACTTGGAGTTTCAGGGCATAAACAGATTCTCTGAATAAGAAAAGCCCAGAAGGCAAAGGAGCCTCACGGCTCTCTTAGCCTATGGCATACTATTTGTACTCAATGAAATATAATGAGAATAAAACAACAGTCGATAAAATTAGCCAGATAGGATGTAGATTTTAAAAATATATAGCTTTTGTGAATAAGTCTTTTAGCCTACACAATTTTTTTTCTCTCTGTGAATAGGTTTAACTATCATTGAATGCACTATCTTAATGTGATTTTATATGAACAATAAACAATAACATGATTCTTATCTCCATATTTTAATTTTCTGGCCCTTCTCCAGGGGAAATGACCACCTTTGTTGTTCTTCAAAGAAATTTCTAGCCGGGCATGGTGGCGGGCACCTGTAATCCCAGCTGCTCTCGGGAGGCTGAGGTGGGAGAATGGCGTGAACCCAGGTGGCGGAGCTCGCAGTGAGCCGAGATGCCGCCACTGCACTCCAGCCTGGGCGACAGAGCGAGACTCCGTCTCAAAAAAAAAAAAAAAAAAAAAAAGAAATTTCTCTGTCTGCAGCACTCCTAAAGAGCAGGCTTTAGCAAAACTTAGTGGGGAAGCAAATTTGAATGAATGGATGAATGGCTACCTACTTTAAATAAGCTAACCCAATTAGAAAAACGTGGGAGAGTAAGATTTTAGGACTGAATGATCCAAATAGTCAGAAACGAAATAGTTTCACTCAGAGATTCCATCTAGGCTGTCCTGTCTGGTACACTGTACATGGATGTGGTGGCTATTGATACTAATTATGAGTTGAAGAATGTGTAGAAAAGCAGCTGCCCTAAGATGAATTGGACCAGAGCCACAGTGAAAGGTGCCTGATTAATTAAAATCCCTGGTGCTTGTTAAAATCACCATTCTACTCAACAGAAGCCAGTCAAGGAAATATACAGCAAGGTTAAAGCCGGCATGTGCAATTCAGATATCAGCTGTGCTCTTGGCCTTTGACTTCTGCATCTGAACATGTTGACTGTCTGCCAGCGTGGATGTGGAAGTCAATCAATCCTCTTCTACTTTCCCGACAAGAACCCCCCTCATAAGCATTAACAAGCAAAGAAAAATTAGAATAAACCTTTTGTAGAGAAGATGGAGGATTGAGATTTATATTGTATACACCACAGCAAACTAGTTTAGAAGTCACCTAAAATATTTCTGATTTCCCCAGTCTCTTGGGCCCACTCCCAACGGAATAACTTTCTCTGGATCCTCGCATGCAGACCCCAGAAATGCTGGGCCCTTCTCTCTACATCTTGCCTTAATTTTTCTTTTCTTCATTCTTTAGAGCATCTCAAGTTCTTCTCATTATCTTATGCACAGCAAGTTATCCACCATATTTCATCATGGTGGGGGTGGTGAAAGGGTTAGGGTTAGGGTTATGCTGGAGGCTCTTACATCCACTCTAAGGGGATAATTAATTTATTTGACAAGTGTTTATTGGGTGCATACCATGTGCCAAATACTGTTTTAAGACCTGAGGAGACAGTGTGGGCAAAACAAATAAAAAATCCTTACCGTCATGGGGTTTATATTCTAGTGGAAGGAGACTGTATTAGTCTGTTTTCACACTGCTGATAAAGACATATCCAAGACTGGGTGATTTACGAAGAAAAAGAGGTTTAATGGACTCGAAGTTCCATGTGGCTGGGGAGGCCTCACAGTCATGGCGGAAGGTGAAAGGCACTTCTACATGGCAGCAGGCAAGACAGACTTGAGAGCCAAGCGAAAGGGGTTTCCCCTTATAAAACCATCAGATCTTGTGACACTTAGTCACTACCACAAGAACAGTATGGGGGAAACCACTCCCATGATTCATTTATCTCCCACTGAGTCCTTCCCACAACACGTGGGAAGTATGGGAGCTACAATTCAAGATGAGATTTGGCTAAGGACACAGTCAAACCATATCAGAGACAGACAAAATAAATAAATACAACAAATAAATAATTAAAATGTATAATATGTCAGATAATGATAATAGCTGTGTACAAGAATAAGACAAACAAGGGCTAAGGGATTCTGGAGAGGGTGCTGCAATTTTTACAGGGTGGTGAGGGAAGATTTTGCTGATAAGGTAGTATTTGGGCAAATGCCTAAAGGAGGTAAGGGAGTGAATTTTGGGTATATCTGAGGAAAGAGCATTCCAGACAAAAGGAACAGCAGGGCACAGTTTCTGAGGCAGACGTGTGCCTGGCTTGTTTCTAGGACAGCAAGGAGGCCATGGTGGCTGAAGCTGAGTGAGCAAGGGCCAGAATCAAGGGAGATGAGTTTGGAAAGATAATTAGGCAAGATCCTGAGGGGCCTTATCCTATGAAGATTTTGGTATTTACATTGAGCAAGATGGGGATACACTGGGGGATCTGAGGCAGAGAAATGGCATGCTCTGATTTGTTTGATCAGATCTCTTTATGGCTACTGAGCTGGCAGTAGACTATAGCAGGAAAAGGGTGGTTGTAGGGACTGGTTAGAGGCTTATACCATAATCTAGACTAGAAATAGCAGTGGCTTGGAGAAGGGTGATTGAGATAGAGGTGGTAAGAAGTGTTGGGTTGTGGATACATTTTCAAAAGTGTGTTAATAGACTTTGCTGATTTTTTTGATGGGCATATAGAGGAAAACAAGAGGAGAGTAAAGAAAGACTTAAAGGTTTTTGGCTTGAGTACTTGAAATAATGGATTGTTTTACTTTCAGAGGTTGAGGGTGAGGTGAAGAAAGTCCAGAAATTTGATTTTAGACACAATAAGTTGGAGACGCCCATTAGACAATCAAGATGAGTTGTTTTCTAGGCCCTTGGGTATAGAACACTGAAGTTCAGGGAGAAGTCTAGACTGGAAATATGAATTTGGGAGTTGTAAACATACAAACAAGAGTTATTTGTATGTGAATGAGAGTTGTTGATATCACCAAGGTGGCTGATATGATCCAATGACATGAAAGTTAAAGCTCATCAGAATATTTCATCTAAACAAACAAGATGCTGTTCCCAAGTGAATGTTTCTTCATACATCATTGTGGTTGGGTTGCAGACACCTGAGACTCTGTGTGCTCTGACCTTTTACCTCCTCTCTGACCAGTCTCCTATGTTTCTTGTCCTGGCTCATTCTGTTTCTGGCTCACCGTGTTCTTTGCTGTTCTTTCAACATGCCACATGTGCTCGAATTGTGTGGCCTTAACACTTTCCTTCTACCTGAAAGTCTTCATTCCCAGATACATGCAGAGTTTACTTGCTTATTTCCTTTGGGTCTCTCAATGTCACTTTATGCATTACTTCTCTCTTGCTGCATAACAAATTGCTCCAAAATTTAGTGGCTTAAAATAACAACAAATACTTATTATCTCACCTTTTCTGGGGCCAAGAATTTGGAATCAGTTCAGCAGAGTGGTTCTGGTTAAGGGCTTCCAGTGAGGTTGGAGTTCAAACTTCAACTGGAGCTGCAGTCAGATATCCGAAGGTTTTACTGGGGCTGGAGGTTCCACTTGCAAGCTTGCTCATTCACATGTTTGACAAATTAGTACTCTTGGTGGGAAGTCTGACTTCCTTCCCGCATGGTCTTCTCCCAAGGGTGTTTGAGTGTCCTTATGCCATGGAGGCTGGCTTGTCCCAGAGAGAGTGATCCAAAAAAACAGAGTGGAAGCTTTGGTGCCTTTTATGACCCAGCCTCAGAGGTGAAATATCTTAATCTCTGCTCTACTCTGTTGCACTGAGACCAGCCCTTGACTCTATCACATTGAGACCAGTCCCAATTCCTAATTTATTTGGGAAGAGACTATCCAAGGGTGTGAACACCAGAAGATGAGGCCCACTGAGGGTCATCCTGAAAGTTAGCTACCACATCTTATCAGGGACGTCTTCTCTGAATAACCTGTATGTTATGGACTGAAGGCATGTACCCCTCCAAAATTCAAATATTGAAACCCTAACACCCAGTGTGACTGTATTTGGAATAGGGAACTAATTAAGGTTAAATGAGATCAGAAGGGTGGGGCCTTTATCGATGGCTTAGTGTTCTTATAAGAAAAGAATCCAGAGAGCTCACTCTCTCTCCCTCCTCCAGCAAATACTGAAAAAAGGCCTTGTGAAGCTATAGAAAGAACTTGGCCATCAGCCAGTCAGAAGAGAGCCCTCATCAGAAATGGAATCGGCTGGAACCCTGATCTTGGCCTTCTAGCCTCCAGAATGGGGAGAAAATACATGTCTGTTGTTTATGCTAACCAGTCTGTGATATTTTGTTACGGCATTCTGAGGTAATACATAGCATAAAAAAGCAACTTCCTTCCTCAGCACTTTCCATCCTTTTATCCTGATTTATTTTTCTCCACAGTACTTATTACAACCTGATATTTTCTCAATTTATTTATTGTCAGTTTCTCCTTAGTGGAGTGTAAGCTCTCTGAAGGCAGGGAATTTGTCTATTTGTTTACAGTTTTATCCTTGGGCCCCAAAACAAAGTCTGGCCCATGACAGGTACTCAAAATTACTTGTTGAATGATAAATGAATGGATGAATATTGGATATTGGACTTTATTTTATTTCTATTGATTGTCTTTTTGGTGGCTGGGATTGTTCGTTCTTTAGTTAGACTTTACATTCATTATACCCTAGTACCATTTCTGAAATCAGGTACAAAACAGAAATATTTTTAAATTTCAATTAATCTTGTGTGTGTATTATTAAATTATAATGGGCTATCTGAAAATTAACACAGTGAAATATAAGCTCACTTGAGAAAATTTTGAGTTTGCTTTCACTTGATTAATAAACTGTTGGCAACCTGGAATTCTTGGGGCTGTTCTTCCTGCTTGAGGGTGAGAATTCTGTACCTTTGTAGAGAAGTGGAAAGAACATGTTATGACCGATCCTGATGAAATACTACATGTGTTTTTGTGTGTTCTGAAAGAGAGACTGAAAAGAAATATAAAATACATTTCTGTATATTCCAATTTTTCCGTCATGCTTATGTACTTACTTCTGTAGTTAGAAATAAAAAAGTTATAAAGATGAAATTTAAAAAAGAATAATAATTTTGAAATAGGATAAACTCATTCATGTCTGTGCTCTGCTTTTTACTGATCGGAATTGCTATTTAATCTCTTTGAGTCTTAGCTTCCTGCTCTGTATACAGGAGACAATAACATGGAAGTTCAGCCTTGACTCACGTAGAAAAATGTCACAGTCTTGGAGTGTGTTAGCTCATTCTTGTACCCTTTGGTAAAGTCCTGAAAGAAAGGGAAGTGTTTAGTCCAAGCTGGCTCTTATAAGAGAAAACAAGACATAACCTTCCTATGTGAAGTCCTTTTTCTTAGCAGAACCAGGGGAAGCCAGATTGGCTGACCAAGAATATCCCTTCATTGCCAAGGACGGGAATTCCTGCCAGTCTTCTCTGACTGGATATAGCCTATATTAAGGACTAATTGTTCTGAATTGTTCTCCTTATTTGCTTTTGTCCAAAAAGGAGTCTACTGTAGCTAGCTTATTTTCTTTCTACCATTATTCTGTTGAATATGGTGTATTGGAAATATTTAAATTTATGTAGCCATATGTTGGTAGACTCTGAGAAGTTTACGCATGGGCCTGACTCAGAGAAATATACATTGCTCAGAGATTCTGGGCTTGGATCTAGATGTAGTAGTGAGGTGAGACTTCAGATTGTCTCCCTCATAAAGCACCTTTGCCCATAATAAATGCTTGGGAGGGTAGCTACCACCATGCCCGTCATTGTAATTAATGCCACTTCTTTCTCCCCCTCTACAGTAACACAGACTCCATCATTAATTTGCCTCTATCTGGGCTTGCTTAACACTTACGGGCTTGCACTTCCATAGAAGCATGGACATGCTTACAGCCAAGATTCTAAAGAAGCTAGAGCGATAAGAAATCAGCACACTTTCAGCCAACAGTTGCTGGGAGAATCTAAGTCAGTAGAGATAAATTAGTCACAATACTGATATTGATGGATTTGGACAATTCTAATCAAATTAGAATGGAAACACAGGGGATTCAGAAAGGCAGGTCAATAAACAAGAAAACCCATTGAAAAAAATCACCAGTATAATGATTGGACTTCACATCTTTGGCTTCTTTCCCACCCTCCCAGGTCAAATCAGTACTGTGATCCTCTTGCCCCTGCCAGGCTCCCTTCTCTGGCTCCCTTCCTGTTGCCTTGCTACCGCTTTGTAGCTCTTTTCTGCGCACCCCCGGCCCTCACTTTTATATAGGCCTGACAGGCTTTTCATAGCTTTTAAGGAACAGGTTTCAGGCTTAGTTGACCTTATAAATACCATCATTTTATTTCATTGCCTTGGACTTGGGGAAAAATTATAAAATCCCTTTCCTTAGAACACTAAATCCAAATGCTTACCACTCATCTAAACTCAGCTTAAAGCAAGGTCTTGTATTTCATGGGCAGAAATACTGTCTTGTCTAAAAATATAAAGCTATAATGGGTTTTCTTTGGTCCACATTATTTCATTGAAAGATTTGTATTAGTTGCTTACTTCAAAAAGGTGAAGAGATTTCACATACTAATTTGGAATTCTGAATTTTTTTGAAAAATCAAAAGATCTGGCAACACTGAGCCTACATTTCTGCAGAACAAGGGCCGCTGTAGCTGAGTCCCTTCAACTGGTGGCAGGAGCCCTTCAGTTCAGCACAGTCCCCACATGGACAACTTCATGCATTCATGGTGCCTCCTTGGTTCTTATGGGCCTTTCAGTGTTTGACTTCACTGTTAGAGAAAGTGCACTGTAGTTTCTCTTTGAACTCTGTCATCCTTTCCCTCAAGCAGATGTAAGAACAGAGGTGTGTACAGAGGTTGATGGAAGATGCATTAACTATGATGAAAGAGCTAATGGCCATTTTGTTTAAAGGGCTTACTCATTCACTTGTGTACTCAGTCATTCATTCCCATTATCCTGCTTTCTCTCCATTATTGCCTATCACTTTATTTAAATAGACATCATAGAAATTCAAACAGCACAAAAAGGCATATGCAAAAAGCAGTGCTCCTCTCACTCAAATCTCCTAATCCTCCTTCCCAGAAACTACCTCTGTTACTAGGTTTTTGTGTCTTCCTTCCCAAGATAGACTGTATTTGTAATACATGTCCCACTTCATGTTATACCAACTGGTGACAGACTACAGACTATTCTGCACTTTCCATTTTTTTTGCTTGATGATATATCTTGCACATTATTCCATATTGGTGTAGATTTGCCTCATTCTTTCTAAAGCCTGCATAGCACTTCATTTTATTGATGCACTGTGATTTGCTTAAGCTTACTGATGCGTCTGTAGCTGGTTTTTAATCTTTTATGAATACAAACAATGCTGCAATGAACATCTTTGTATACATTTACGAAGGGCAAATTGTGCCAGCATATTTGTTGGATGAATTTTGTTAAGTGGTGTTGCTTGGTCAAAAGGTATAAGCAATGGTGTGTGTATGCTACAGTTAACTCACGCAGGCTTACAAGCAGCTGATTTCTCTGCATCTCTTCCCAACTCCATGATCAATGACATCACATTGGTAACTTGCTATTGGCCATAGTGGGAGCATTCATAACATGAAAATATGCAAACACCACAAACTAGGGCTTAGGGCTTCCCCCCTCCCTCCTGGAGAGCTGGTTGTCAAACATTGTAATGCTGTAATTCAATTCTGATGCTAACTACCCAGAGTTAGCCCACTCCACAGGTTAAGGGAACAGTCCCTAACAAGACTTACCTCACTGCAGACGCCAGCCACAAGTTCAGGAATCAATAGGTAACCCACATTTTTGACAAATTGCTACAAATTTGGGAGTTCCCACAGCCCCCTCAGATTTGATAATTCATTCGTTAGAATGATTCTTAGAACTCAGGAAAGCTGCATTTATAACTGTAGTTTTATTATGAAGGACAAGAATTAGGACCAGCCAATGAAGATACCCCATAGGTGAGGCCTGGGAGGGTCCCAGATATGAAGCTTCTGTGTCCTCACCCTGTGGCTTCAAGATGCATCACCCTTTTGGCACATCAATGTATTCACCAATCAGGAAGCTCACCAGAGCTTCAGGTGTCCAGAGTTATAATTTGGGTTTCATTATGTAGGCAGGATTGATTAAGTCATTTACCATGCGATTGTACTTAATCTCTATCCCCCCTCCTCATCCCTTCCTTGGGGGTCAGGAGATTATAAACGAATCTCATGTGTCCTGAAGCCCAACCCTTTAATCATATGATTGTTTTTTCTGGCATGGCCAACCCCTATCATAAAACATAGGAGGGCTCCTACATTTCCTCCTGAAATGTAGGAGCCCACCTTGAGTCACCTTATTAGCATAAACTCAGCTGTGGTCCCAGGAGCTCAGCATGAATAAAAAAGACACTCCTATTTATCATTCAGAAAATTCCAAGGGCTTAGAGGCTTTGTCCCAGGAACCTGGGCCAAAGACCAGTCAGATTATTTATTATACAACAAACACAACAGCACATCACTGGATGTAAGTATTTAAAAGTGTTGACACATATTTCCAAATTGTCCTCCAAAGAAGTTGTACCAAATATGCATTCCCACCAGCAATGCATACAAGTGTTTTTGGAGCAACAATTCTGACCACAATGATTTGTCATATCAGATCACTAGAGTGTGCCAGTTATTTTCTTGAGACTGAGCATGAGAGAACTCTGGGTTATTTATATGTCACTGGGAGGATACATTTATATTCTTGCTGAGATCTTCATATGCAACCCAATGCTTATAAACTTTTCTTATGGCTCTCTGCTTCCATTACATGAGCAAATAGTTGTTGGTAAAATTCACCAGCTATTAATAGAAATGAGAGGAATTGAGATATCTCACAGTTGGTTTTAGCTTTTCTATAATCACTCTTCTTCATTAGAAAATGTCTCTAAAGACTTCTACCTTACAAGAGTAGAGTCCATGCATGATAAAATCTCACAAGCTTGGGGAAGGCCATTCTGAAATTGTGACAATAATAAGAATGTTTTGAAAATATCATTGTGCATTTTTATTGTTTCCTTCACTTGACTAATGGTAATTTGTTCCAAAGCATCAATAAATCCTACTGGGTAATGCCTTAGTAGAATAGATAAGAAAAATATATAATCATTAAATAAACATTATTTCCAATCATTGAAGTTTAATTAATATGTTATTCATATACATTAATTCAAGTCTTCAAAAACAGCTTGGATAGTCAGCAGGTTAAACAGTCCTCTTGAAAATCTAGACCAACATTGTATAATAAAGTTTTCTGTGTGATATTGGAAATCTTTATCTGAGCTCTCCGATATGGTAGCCACTAGCCACATGTGGCTAATGTGACTGAGTAACCAAATATTTAATTTTATTTGATTCTAACTAATCTAAATTTAGATATGTAAATAGGTATATGTGTCTAGATATGTAAATAGGTACATGGTTACCTTATTAGACCAGTTCTAGGTTATAAAGACAGATTTAACCTTTGTTCTTTTCTTTTCTCTGATTTCTGATCCCTTCCCCTAGCTAGTCATGGAAAATGAGGAAAATGAAAGTACCTAAAGAGGCTCATTTCTAAGTGCTTGACACATATCAATTCCTTTAATCCTCTCGACAACTGTATGAGATAGGTACTAACACTATCCCTGTTTTATTAACGCAAATGAGAAAATTGAGGCATAACTTGGACAAGGTCACACAGCTGATAAGTGGTGAGCCTAAGACTTGAATACAGAAAATGTGACTTTAGGAGACCATGCTCTTAACTGCAATACCACACTGCCTCTACATCTATATGCAAAGAAAATAAAAATCACCAGTGAGAAGTATTTTTCGTTTTCCAAATAAACACTTGAGAATTGACATCAAAGGATCAAGGAAGCTGGGGATAAGGGTGCTAAGATGAGAGGACAGGAACAGGGTGGTGATGTGGAGAGGTGTGGAGTCAGCCTAGCACCTTCCAGGGCCAGAGCCAGTCTGTGCATGGATATTTATCCTCCACCTACAGACTGTCTGCTGACATTTGATTAAACACATCGTGGAGGCCCACACAGAGGAGCTGTGTCAACAGTTTTTCCTGGTGCTCGTGGGCCTTTCATCGTCAGTGGCTGTGGATTTTCTGGCAAAAGGAGGCCCACTTCTAACCATGGACTTTGCAGAGATTTATTTAAAAGCCAGAACAAAATGTGCTGGATTGTTGTATTATCAAATTGTTTAAGCTGGGAATTAGTTTCCCAGAATCCCCTTCCCTCTATGGTTCTAGGATAGAGTTGGCCAAAAGAAGAACTTGTATAAAGCTTGGGAGGCAGAAGTGAAGCAGTGACCATAGCTCATCTTCCCACCTGCTGGTTCTTCTGACCAACAGATTCATTTCTGGCTCCAGGTCCACTTCCAGATGCCTGGCAGTGGACCCACAATGTGGTAGCTCCACAGGGGAAGAGCTGCTCATAGGCTTCTCTACGAGCTCCCCTCCCAAGATCTGCTTCAGTGGCTGGAGACCCCTCTGCAAACTCTAACTTGGCTATTGGTGTCAGTGCTTCAAGAAGGCTGGTTGGTAACTTTTTCTCTGACCCTCCAACTCTTTCTGGGACTTTCTCTTCCAGCAACTTCCACAGTTGTGAGGTCTAATTCCTCTAATACATTTCTGTCTTAGTCTGTTTTCTGCTCCCCTAACAGAGTACCACAGACTGGGTAATTTATAAAGAAAAGTTATTTATTTTGGCTCACAGTTCTGGGGCTGAGAAGTCCAAAAGTGTGATGTTGGCTTCTGGTGTAGGCCTTCTTGCTGTATTATCCCATGGCTGAAAGGTAGAAAGTGGAAGGGAGCCCATGAGACAGAGAGGAAAGGAGGAGCTAAACATCTGTGATAACTAACCCACTCCCACAATAACAGCATTAATCCATCCATGAGAGTGGGGCCCTTATGACTTAATCACCTCTTAAAGGTCCCACCTCCCAACACCACTACATTGGCAATTAAGTTTCAACATGAGTTTGTGCGGACATTCAAACCATAGCATTTCCTTGTAACATCCCAGTGGCTCTGCTTCCCTGACTAAAACTGCAATTGTTATACTATTCTATTAATACGATGCTCAAAACGGAAGCTGGGCTCCGTGATACTTAGAGGAACCATGTAGGAAAATAAGTCTCAGCCCTAGTACTTGGGCAGGTCTAGAGTTGTGAGATCCTCCCTACTAAAACAGTTTATAATATTCGTCTTCTTGGAAGTTTCCTTCTGCCTGTAGAAACTGCCAGGACAAACTCCAGCTGATTAAGATGCTTCAGCTAGATGTTCCTGAGGCATTGTGGACTGCCCTGCACCCCCCACTGCAGAGCTTTTCCCATAATAGTATAATACTCTATTCAGTGGTCTGCATTCTCTGCCTTGTTGCCAGATATGAGAGGCTGGTAACCATACATTGGGCTCACCACTCTACCCCCAGGGCACTGTGCCTGAGAGTAGTGGTTCATCTTGAATGAATGAAGTAAGAGAGAGTGAGCTTTGAATTAATGTGACTTCACTGTGGTGAGAAACAGGGATATAGAAGACCTTGTCAGTGCCCTGGCCAGAAGCCCTTGGGTTCCTTTTACCTTTTCTGTGCAGTTCTTCCCAGCTTCAGTGTATTTCTGTTTCCAAAGACCTGTACCTGGGACTCTTTTTCAGAGGCCTGTTCTCAGACTACTGGAACCAGTCAAAATTGCCTGGAAGTTTATGTGTCCTTAAGGCAGCTTGTAGACAATGACTGACCATGTGATCAGGAAAGCTCTAAGGCATAGCTTATACTCCAAAGCTCCCCTGGGGATCAGCCTGGAGCTACCCTCTGTGAGACCTTACCTGCATCTCTCCCCTGCTTGGCTTCATCCTGCCTGGCTTACCTCATTCTTTTAAAGGCCTCTCTTAATAGCACACTGGTAATAAGTCACTAACTCCTGAATCCTCATCTCAGGGAGTATGTCCAGAGAAACTAACCTAGACCATGAGTATCTAAGGAAGAACATTGGCTTCCAATCCAGTTTGCCACGGGTCTGCCAAACTCAAGCCACCTCCCCTTTCTGGGAAGGCCCTGCTCTGATTCCGTTGATCCTAATGAAATGGCAGTTCCCAAAACCCAGGTAGTAAAGATGGGAAAAGGGTTTCACTTGCCTTTTGTCCCTTGTTAAAGTAGGCGAAAGATGCAATCTTAGCAGTCTGCATCTGATCAGGAAACAGAAGCTACTCTAGGTTTTTAAATAGGCAGTTGGTTGTAAAGGTGTTAGAAGAGCCAGAGGAGAAAAAGGGGAAGGTAAGATTTTTCAAAGATCAGTAGCTGCAGGAAACAGATAACACCTCTAGGTTCAAAAGAGCAAAGAGAAAAAGGTGTTGCTCAGAGTACACAATGTGGTGTTGTTAGAACAAAGTTGGCAGAAATCCAGAAGCCACATTTGTCCATGGCTACCACTGCTGTTGCTGCTGAGACTCTTGCCTCATTTGTTACTGCATCGTCTGTAAGAAGCACAACTGTGTCTACAGGAAAAAATATTTCTTCCTTACTTTCACCTTCCAAACTCCTGCCAGAGCCTCCCATTGGTAGCATCTGACAGGAAGCTAGGTGGAAAGTAGGTCTGACAAATGTAGCTTGCAGGCTTTCTGCCCTGCTGGTGAGAAAACGGCATAAAAGGGGAAGTGTAGGGCTGAAAGACGACAGACGCAATGTGGCACTTCACCTCAAAGTTTCCATCCTTTTCCTGATGGTAAAAATCATCTAAAGTCTCCCAAAGCTTCAGAATTGGTGCAGGAAAACCTTATTGGGGTAGATGAGCAGGAGAGAAGGAAAGGGCAAGAGACAGAACAGTGAATGAGACAGCAAAAGGCATTGCCTACAGTCTAAAAAGTATCCCTTTATGAATACCCAGGAATTCTTATGGGTTATTTAGCCCTTTCATTGTCTCATGTAGGGCAGAAACTAAGGAGCCATGCTTCTTTCTATCTTCTTTCGAATGCAGATGGATACGCTTTCCTCTAAACAGAAATCTATACATATCCCAGAAGCAAGCAAGCATGCTTTTTAACACAAGTGAGTTTTACAGGAGACTTGTAGATTCTCCTGCTTGATTGCAAAATACAGCTCATCTCCTGGAATGGGCCCAGAGACTTTGGCATTTGTTAAGAATCAAAGTCATAGTTGGTTAATCCCATCTGCTTTCAAGAAATAAGAAAAATCAGTGTCAATGTGTCTCAGACTCCTTGCAAATTATTCTCCCTTGGGTCTCCCAAAGGTTCCTGTTTGCTCAGAGAATTTTAAGCTATGTCATGAGAAAGATAATTTAAAACCCCACACTATTAATTTTCAATTGCTGCTATAACAAACTATTATGAATTTGGCTTAAAAACAATGTAAATTTATTATCTTACTGTTCTGGGTGGGTACCAATGATCTACAGACAAGATGTCAGCAGGCTTGTGTTCCTTATGGAGGCCATAAGGGAGAATTCCTTTCTTTGCTTTTCCTAATATCTAGCAGCACTCTGTATTCCTCAGTTAAAGGGTCCTTCTTCTAGACTGAAAGCCAGTGGCATAGCTTTTCTCTCTTCTCTGATCTCTGCTTCCATCCTTACATCTTCTCTCTCTGACTCTGATCCTCCTGCCTCCCTTTTGAAAGGATCCCTGTGACTACACTGGGCCAACCTGGATAATCCAGGCAAAATTCTCCTTCTCAAGACTCTTAACTTAGTCACATCTACAGTCTTTTTGATAATGTAAGGTAACATATTCACAAGTTCCAAAGATTAGAACATGGATGTCTGCTATAGACAGAATGTTTGTGTTGAAATCTGATCTCCAATGTGATGGTATTAGGGAGCGGGGTTTTTGGAAGATGATTGGGTCATGAGGGTGGATCCCTCATACATGGGGTTAGTGCCCTTATAAAAGTGATCCCAGAGAGCACCTTTGCCTTTCTGCCACGTGAGGACACAGTGAAAAGACAGGCATCTAAAAACCAGGAAGCGAGCCCTCACCAGTCACTGAATCTGCAGGCACCTTGACTTGAAACTTGCCAGTCTCCAGCACTGTTAGAAATAAATTTCTGTTGTCTATAAGGTACCGATTCCATGGTATTTTGTTATGGCAGTCTGAACAGACTAGGGTGACAGCTTTGGTGGGGGCGATTATTCAGTCTACCACACCCACTGTTTCTAATATATATTAAATGCAGTGAAGGCAGAGGGTGTTGGGATTGATTATAATCCCACATCTAGTGAAAAAAGCAGCTTCTGTGTGGCTATTGAAAATGAAAATTATTTGGCAAATAAATAAGTATTAATCCAAATTTTCTTGACCCTTTACTATTTTTAACTAAATCACTTTAGGCTTTAGTTCCTTTTATTCATTGAACAGGTATTTTTGTAGAGCATTTGACACATGTGTCCCAAACTACTGATTTGGGACATCAGTGGTTCACACAGAGGGCAGAAAACAGACAGATCACCAGAAAAACAGAGTAGGCGTGAGAAGATATGAGCTCAAGATATGCCTACTGAGCAGTGTGAGCAGGCAGTCAGGTGAATCTGGACGTATGGGGATCAGCTCTCCACAAATACTGGGCTTAGGATATCTCACCACCAATGAGCCAGTGTGCATGCCATACTGTGCCTAGAGCTCCAAAATCACCACTGCAGTGCAGTTCAGCATTGGTATGCGTCTGAATCACCTGTAAAGCTTGTTCATCACCCACCACTCTCAGAGCTTCTGAATCAAAAGATCTGGGGTGAGGACCTGGGATTAATATGTGTAACAAATGCTAAAGATTATTCTCAGTAAAGCTTAAGAATTTTCACACTCCTGTCTTGGAGCCCTCATTGACATTTCTGTCCCAAAGGCAGTTGTGAAACAGAGGAGTGCGTCATAGGAATCCAACCAAATGCCAGCTTGGTAACTGCCACATTTATGACCTTGAATCTATACTTTTTAAAAATTATTTGTATAAATTTATGGGGTACAAGTGCAGTTTTTTTTACGTGCATTGATTATACATAGTGGTCAAGTCAGAGATTTAATATATCCATCACCTGAATACTATATATTGCACCCATTAAGTAATTTCTCATCATCCTCCCCCTGTCATCCTCCCACCCTATTGGGTCTCCATTATCTATCATTCCACTCTCTATATTCATGTGTACATATATTTTAGCACTCACATATGCATGAGAGTATATAATATTTGACTTTCTGTGTTTGGCTTGTTTCACTTAAGATAATGACCTGCAGTTCCATTCATGTTGCTGTAAAAGACATAATTTCATTTTTTTGGCTTAATAGTGTTCGATTGTGTATATATACCAGACTTTCTTTATTCATCCATCCATTCATGGACATTTAGGTTGATTCCATATCTTTGCTATTGTGAATAGTGCTGCAATAAACATACAAGTGCAGGTATCTCTTTGATAAATTGATTTCCTTTCCTTTGGGTAGATTCCTTTAACAGATTGAGAAATCTCCCTATGGTTCTCCATGTAGGTTGTACTAATTTAAATTCCCACCAAGAGTATATAAGAATTCCCTTTACTTCAAATACTTCCCAACAACTGTTATTTGCTGTCTATTTAATAATAGCAATTCTGACTGGGTAAGGTGATTATCTCATTGTGGTTTTAATTTGCAACTACTTGCAAATTATTCATCTGACGGGGGATGATGATTTGTGAAGTTGAGCATTTAAAAATATATGTTTTTGCCATTTGTATGTCTTCTTTTGAAAAAACATTTATTCATGTCCTTGGCCACTTTTTAAATTTTTCAATTATTTTTATTTTAATTTAATTTTATAATTATTATTTTCTTGAGATGGAGTCTTGCTCTTGTCTCCCAAGCTGGAGTGCAGTGTCGTGATCTCCCCCAGGCTGGAGGGCAGTGGTGTGATCTTGGCTCACTGCAACCTCCGCCTCCCAGATTCAATCGATTCTCCTGCCTCAGCCTTTCAAATAGCTGGGATTACAGGCACCCACCACCACGCCCAGCTAAGTTTTGTATTTTTAGTAGAGACGGGGTGTCACCATGTTGGCCAGGCTGGTCTTGAACTCCTCACCTTAGGTGACCCGCCCTCCTCTGCCTCCCAAAGTGCTGGGATTATAGGCATGAGCCACCGTGCCCAGCCATTTTTAAAACAGTTTTAAATTATTATTATTATGTTTTTGAGACAGAATCTCGCTCTGTCGCCCAGGCTGGAGTGCAGTATTGTGATCTCAGTTTACTGCAACCTTTGCCTCCCAGTTCAAGTGATCCTGGTTCCTCAGCCTCCCCAGCCAGTATCTGGGATTACAGGTGCACACCACCATGTCTGGCTAACCCTGTAGAGACAGGGTTTCACCATATTGGCCAGGCTGGTCTCGAACTCCTGACCTCAAGTGATCAGCCTGCCTTGGCTCCCAAAGTATTGGGATTACAGAAATGAGCTACTGCACCTGGCCTTATTTTTAATTTTTGCAGGTGCATAGTAGGTGTATATGGGGACAGGCTTTGCCACTTTTTAATGGGAATATTTGTTGTTTTTGTTGTTGATGTTGAGTTGTTTGAGTACCTTGCATATTCTGGATATTAATCCCCCATTAGATGAATAGTTTGCAAATATTTTCTTGTATTCTGTGGGTTGTCTTTTCGCTTTGTTGATTATTTCTTTACCCATGAAGAAACTTGTTAGTTTAATTAAATCCCATTTGTCTACTTTTGTTTTTGTTTCCCATGTTCTTGAGATTTTAGTCACAAATTATTTGCCTAGACCAACGTATGAAAGAGTTTTCTCTAGGTTTTATTCTAGTATTTTTATAGTTTTAGGTCTTACATTTAAGTCTTTAATTCATTTTGATTAATTTTTGTATATAGTAAGAGATAGGGATCCAGTTTCATTCTTCTACATATGGCAATCCAATTATCCTAGCACCATTTATTGAAAAGGGTGTCCTTTCCCCCAGTGTATGTTTTTGTCAGCTTTGTCAAAGATTAATTGGCTGTAAATATGTGGCTTTATTTCTGGGTACTCTTTCTGCTCCATCCACCTATGTGTCTATTTTTATATCAGTACCATGTTTTTTTGGTTACCATAGCCTGGTAATATAATTTGAAGTCAGGTAATGTGATGCCATCAGCTTTGTTCTTTTTGCTTTGGATTGCTTTGGCTATTTGGGTTCTTTTTTAGTTCCATATTAATTTTAGGATTATTTCTCTAATTATGTGAAAAATGGTGTTTGTATTTTGATAGGAATTGCATTGAATCTATAGATTGCTTTGGGAAGTATGGTCATTTTAACAATATTAATTTTTTTACTCCATGAGCATGGGATGTTTTCCATTTGTTTGTGTCATCTACAATTTCTTTCATCAGTGTTTTATAGTTTTCCTCATAGAGATGTTTTACCTCCTCGGTTAAATTTATTTATTTTGGTATTTTTTTTATATATATATGTGTGTATATATATATGTGTGTGTGTGTGTATATATATATATATATATATATATATATATATATATATATATGTAACATCTGCCACTTCATTTATTTGCAGGAAGAGTTAAAAAACATTTTAAGGGAGATTTTCATTTTCCCGCTAAACATGAATCATCAAGTAAAACTAACTTAACTATAGAAATGTAGCAAAGTAAGGGGAAAGCAGCACAACAACTCAAGAGGCAAAGTCTCAGAAGAGGTGGGTGCAGTCTGCGTATAACATATGCATAAACGCCCTATGATTCACTTGCTCAGGACCACCTCCCCTGAAGACAAGCACAAGGACTCATTTTAAGAGGATGTTTCCCCGCAAACATCTGAGAATGCTTCAATTTAAACAGCTTAAGGTTAAAAAGACAAAACAAACAAACAAACAACACAAACAACTAACTAAAGACCCCAAAAAACTCCATGAACCACCCAGCCATAACCACCTTCCTTAATCGATCATAGGAGTTTTTCATTTTATAAAAGGATTAATAAAAATATTGAAAAAATTATTTTCTCATCTTATATTTGTAAAGACAATATAATTCATAAATTTTTTAGAAAACAGACCAGACACTGCCCTCCAGTTTCCACCCCATTGCTGGAAGGATCAGCAGGACTAGAAAGTTTGGGATACCGAAGCTGCTGGTGGAGAATGGGAAGTCCAGCCCAGAAGAAATCAGGAAATAGGGCTCAGGGGCACGTGAGGTGTGGTTAGGAGCAACCCCACGTGATACATGGCTGTGCAGAAAAGGGGAACACAAGGTGGTCAGAAAGGCCTTAAACTCCTCCTTGACATACAAAACTGGTTTTTACAAAGATCCAAGCAATTTGGTCCCAAACTGAGGTGAACACTTCAAAGTTTATTCACATGCTTTGTTTTCTCTTTTAAGAATCAAAGTTTCCCAAATTAAATGTTTCTAATATTACTACATAGGCCTAAAAAAAGAAAAGAAAAAAAAAAGAAGGGCTTTTAAAATCAGGATGGGGAGAAGAGATTGAAAATCATCAAATTAGTCTTCTTAGCTCCAAATGAAATGAAATTCAGAACAAAACTGTTGGTTTCTGATAGGAAACAAAAATTCAAGCATCGCTGTCCCGCCCTACCCTTGCCCCAATGCCACACACCAGCAACAAATGAGAAAAACAGCTAAAGCCCAATGAGTTGTGTTCTGCTCAAGAGCTGGGCCTGATCCCTGGGCTCCACAGCCAGCCTCCTCTGTCCAGTGGGAGGCAGTGCCAGGGATGACTTCCATGGTAGTACAACCTGCATGGCCGGTGAGGGGTGGGGTAGGATTTTGAGAATCATCTTGAGGTTCCTCTGTTTAGCTCCTCGCAGCCATCTTCCCAGCACCTCTCTCCCCGGGGCAAGGAATCCCATCAAGAGTGGCCCCTACTTGGTTGTGGGCTATAAATTGTCCTCTTCTCAGTTCTCTGTCCCACTCTTGTTGTCTTCAATCTGCCCTTCCTCCCCACTGAATTTGTCATGGGCCAGCTTAGGTCTGGTACTTGATTTCTGGAACATGAACCGGACCTGACCCGGAGGAAAGGCTCCTCCCCCTGGCCCCGGCTCACCCACTTGTCACTGCCTTCACCTTCATGGTCATCATGCAAGTAATGCTTCTTGCTTTTGGGTGTGTACTCTGGGTCCCACTCCTCTTTCTGGTTTCTTTTTTGAAAATCGTTGCTGTTGTTTTTATTGTTCCCAGAGTAGTTGCCTCTGCCCCAGCCTCTTCCTCTGGCTCAAAATGGAAAGGTTCCTCGAGCTCTGCCACCTCCTCTTTCACTTGGACCCACCAAGACTTTGGTCCCCAGTCTCGATTTCTCAAAGCCCGTGGTGCTTTCCTCTCTTTCCTCTGTCTCTTCCGTGTACTCTTCTGCTTTGTAGGAGTGAGATGACTGGGAGGAAGAGGAGGATCTGGACCTGTCTCTCGATCTCTGGTGCTTCTTCTGCTTCTTTGATCCTTTATGAGTTTTCTCTGTTTTCTCAGCTGACCTTTTCCTCGAGGGCCTGGAGTCTCAGGAATCCACTGATCCTCTCGATTTACCTAATTTAAGATCTCTCTCCTGGCTGGGAATGGTGGCTCATGCCTGTAATCCCAGCAATTTGGGAGGCAGAGGTGGGTGGATCACTAGGTCAGGAGATTGAGACCATCCTGGCCAACATGAAATATAAAAATTAGCTGGGGGTGGTGGCACATGCCTGTAATCCCAGCTACTTGGGAGGCTGAGACACAAGAATCACTTGAACCTGTGAGGCAGAGGTTGCAGTGAGCCAAGATCATGCCACAGCATTCCAGCTTGGACGACAGAGTGTGACTCTGTTGGAAAAAAAAAATCTCTTACGACGTTCAATATCAAGGCTGAGATCAACAGGATCATCTTTGTATTTTCCCTCAGCGTTGTAGCCAGGTACTGGGGGAAACGTCTATTCTTCTGTGTATCTCTGGGCTTTTCTTGTTTTTGGCTGCCGCCTGCTCAGTTAGTCTCTTTAGGTATTTAGTAAAGCGTTCATGTAATGTCATTCCTGAGGACCCAAAGTGATGCTCTTTAACATGGTGAATAATGGTCACTATATGTTGGGCAAACAGTTCTGAGGGGCTACGCTGAGACTGAGCTGACTGTATGTGCTGGAAAATGGAACAAAACTCCTGTTCCTTTTTGTTGCTATGGACTAGATCTTGGCAAAGCTTGCGTTCCCGAGCCAATAAGCCATTGGGTCGTGCAAAGTCCTCATCAAAAGAGTCCATCCAGACATCGCCCTGTGTCTCTCGAGTAATGGAAAAGGAAGACTTCCCTGTGGAAAAGTCTCCTTTCGCTTCCAGCTTGTCTCGGCTCTCAGAAGTCTTTCTTGGGGGAGGCAAAGAGCTTTTCTCCCGGACCGCTTTGTGAGCAGTCACTCAGAAATTCCTCTCAGGCAGAAAGCCCTTGTGCCCACCTTTGGTTCTCTTGCCCCGATCCTCCTTTTTGGATCTCTCTGGGAAAGACTCCTCCTCCAGCTCCTCTGTTTTCCTCTGCTTTTCCTTCTCTGGAGGTGCATATACCAGGCCCTCCCATTTGCCTGACTTCTCCTCCTCCTGGTTTTCGTTTGCACCTATGACTTTAGACATATTTTGGGTTCATCATCATCAAACTCAGATTCCTTCCTTCCCTTAGCTTTGTCCTTATCTTGATCATCCATCTCTTCCTTGTGGAAGTCAGCCATCTTCTTCTCAAAGTCACTTCGGAGCTTATGCCTTTTGAGAGACTGACTGCCCCGAAAAGGCTTCTCAGAATCAGTTTTGGGAGCAAAAGAATCAGATTTCATTTTTCCATCACCCAAGTCTGTGTCAGAGAAGCTCCCTTTTCTCTTTTATTTTTTCTTTATCTGTATTTGTTTGTTTCCGTTCCTTATCTTTTCTATTCTCTGTCTTCTGCTCTTCTAGGTACCTCTTTGTACAGGCTGCTCCTCCTGGAGCAGCACTCTCCTCCTTCTGAGATGAGACATATGTGGAGCCAATGGATGGTAAATTCTTACCCACAGGGCTGTTTTTGGATGGACTCAGGGACCAAAGAACCACGGTCGAACTGAACTTGGTGTGTCCCAGGCTGATACTCAGCACCGCTTGGCAGAGTTGAGCTCATCTGGGATGTGCTGGAAAGTGGAGGACTAGGTTTTGGCACGGGGCTAGGAAGGAGTGACCGCTGCCTCACCACCACAGCCTGGAGGGGGCTTTTGAGAGCTGAGCTTTGCTCCCGAGGACTCAGCTCAGAAACTGCTGAGGCCCCTGATGCAGAACCAGTGCCGTAGGTGGCATCTGGCCATGGCTTCGAGCTCTCAGATGCTTTTGTATCTTGAGAGGTGCCTCCAGAGAATGTCTGCTCCCTGGCCTCATCTCCCTGGTTATCCCCGGTAGCCTGAGATGGCCGGCTATCCTCGGAAGAGGACTTTTCTCCTTTGCAGACTTGCGCTTAGAAGATTCAACTCGGCTATGGTTGGAGGAAGAACGGGAAGATGAGGAGCGCCTTGACTGGTCAGAAGACGACTTATCAGAGTTTCTAGAATGGCTCCTGGACCTTGGTGAAGGGGACCTTCTCGCTGGGGACCGGGATCTTGAACGGCCCGTGTGCTTGCCGGCAATTCTGCCAATTTGAGCGGTAGTTTCCATAGCCTCCTCCGTTATACTGGCCCCATGGATAAAAGCCTCTGTTGCGCCCACGGAAATAATAGGGCCTTCTATATAGCCTTTGTTGTGACCTCGGAAATCCCGATTCGGTTATACTCTTGGGTGGTTTCTTTCTCTGTTATGAGCTGGAGAATATAATCTGGAACGAGACCTAGAACTCAGCCTGCACTTCCTTGAACCAGAGACAGATGGCCTTAGGGACCGAGACTTCCAACATGAACGAGAACGAGATCTTGATGCAGATCCTGAGCGAGGAGAGCGAGATCCAGACTTGGATTTGTTTTTGACAGCTCTGAAGAGAGGATCACTTTTCAATTACACCTTATTTGAACAGTGATTCGACTTGCACCGGATCCCAGACACTACCCCAAAAGAACACTTGCAGCACCAGTGGCTTCGTCAATTTACGAGTCAGGATACACTTCTGGGCCTGCCGCGGCGATCACCGCTGCAGCTCGCAACGGCACAACCAGCCAGAACCTCGCCCCCGGTATTTTATATTTTTATAGCTATTGTAAATGTGATTGCCTTTTGATTCTCAGCTAGATTGTTATTGGTGTATAGAAATGCTATTGATTTTTGGACATTGTTTTTGTATCTCGCAACTTTACTAGATTCATTTATCAAACTAAGGGTTTTGGTGGTGTTTTTAGGTTTTCCAAATTACACAGAGACAATTTGAGTTCCTCTCTTCCAATGTGGGTGTCTTTTATTTCTTTCTCTTGCCTAATTACTCTGGCCAGTACTATCGGTACTATGTTGAATAGGGTGGTGAAAGTGGGCATCCTTGTCTTGTTCCAGTTTTTATGGGAAAGGCTTTCAACTTTTCTTCATTCAGTATGATGTTGGCTGTGGGTTTGTTGTATATGGCCTTTGTTATTTTGAGGTACATTTCTTCTATGACTACTTTGTTGAGGGTTTTTATCATGAAGGGATACTGGATTTTGTGAAATGCTTTTCCTGCATCTATTGAGATGATCATATGGATTTTGTCCTTAATTCTGTTTATGTAATGTATCACATTTATTGATTTGTGTATGTTGAACCATCTTTGTATTCCCGGTATAAAACCCAGTTGAGTGTGGTATACTGTCTTTCTGATGTGTCATTGGATTTAATTTGCTAGTTTTTTTTAATTTTTGTGCCTATGTTCATCAGGGATATTGGTCTGTAGTTTTCTGTGTTCTGTTGTGTGCTTGTCTGGTTTTGGTATCAGGGTTATACTGGCCTTGTAGAATGAGTTAGAAAGAATTCCCACCTCCTCAGTTTTTTGGAACAGTTTCAGAAGGATTGAGATTAATTCTTCTTTGTATGTTTGATAGAATTTTACTATGAATATATCTGGTCCTGGGCTTTTCTTAGTTCAGAGATTTTTTTGTTATGGATTTAATGTTCTGTGCATTATTGGACTGTTCAGGTCTTCTATTGCTTCCTGGTTCAATCTTGGGAGGTCGCATGCTTCTAGGAATTTATTAATTTCCTCTAGGTTTTCTAGTTGGTGAATGTATGGTTGTTCATAATAGTCTCTGATGATCTTTTGTATTTCTGTGGTATCATTTATCATGCCTCCTTTCTCATTTCTGATTTTATTGGGTTTTCTCTCATTTTTTCCTGGTTAGCATATCAAGTAGTTTATTGATTTTGTTTATCTTTTCAAAAAACCAACTTTTTGTTTCACTGATCCCTTGTGTGTATATATGTATTTTTGGTCTCTATTTAGTTTAGTTCTGCTCTGATTTTTCTTTTTTTCCTTCTACCAAGGGTTTGGTTTGTTCTTGTTTTCCAGTTCCTTGAGATGCATCAATAGTTTCTTTATTTGGAGTCTTTCTATTTTTTTTTTTTTTTTTGGTGTAGGCATTTATTGCTACAAACTTCCCTTTTAGCACTCTTTTGCTGTATCCTGTAGGTTTTGGCATATTGGGTTTTGATTTTTGTTTGTTTCAAGAATTTTTTTATTTACTCCTTATTTCTTTCATTCAGTCATTCAGGAGCATGTTGTTTAATTTTCATGTATTTGTATCATTTCCAGAGTTCGCTTTGCTATTGATATCTAGCTTTATTTCATTGTGGTCTGATTTCAATTTTTTGAAATTTGTTGAGACTTGTTTTGTGTTCTAACATATGGTCTAACCTGGATAATGTTTCATGTGCTGATGAGAAAAATGTGTATTATGCAGCCACTGGATGAAATGTTCTGTAAATGATTTTTAGGTCCTTCTGGTCTAATGTGCAGTTTAAATTCAATATTTCTCTGTTAATTTTCTGTCTAGATGAACTGTCTCATGCTGAGAATGGGGTGTTGAAATTCCTATCTATTGTTGTATTGGAGCCTGTCTTTTCTTTTAAATCTAATAATATTTGCTTTATATATATGGGTGCTTCAGTTTTGGGTACATATGTTTAGAATTTTTATATCTTCTTACTGAATAGATCCTTTTATCAATATATAATGAGATTCTTTGTCTCTTTTTACTGTTTTTGATTTAAAGTCTGTTTTATCTGATATAACTACTCTGCCTAATTTTGGTTTCTGTTTGCATGTAGCTTCTTTTTCCATGCCTTTACTTTCAGTCTGTACATGTTTTTACAGATGAGATGAGTTTCTTGTAGGCAGCCTATACTTGAGTCATTTTAAAAAATCCATTGAGCAAGTCTATATTTTTTTTTAAGTGGAAAGTTTAATTTGTTTACATTCAGGGCTATTACTGATATATCAGGGCTTATTCCTGTTATTTTGTTACTTGATTTCTGGTAATTATATATATTATTTTTTCCCTTTATTTCTCTGTTATTGTTTACTATTGTAGTTTGTTGGTATTCTACAGTGGTAACATTTGCTAATTTCCTCTTCCTTGTTTGCTTGCTCTATCAATGCCTTTTATATTTTTGAGTGTTTTCATGATGGTAGCTATTAATCTTTTGCTTCTGAGTATAGAACTTTCTTAAGCATTTATTGGAGGGCTGCTCTAGAGGTGATGAACTTCCTCAGCTTTTGCTTGTCTGGGAAAGACTATTTTTCCTTTATTTATGAAAGATAAATTTTCTGGACATAGTATCCTTGGCTAACAGTGTTTTTCTTTTAGTGCTTTGAATATATCATCCCATTTTCTCCTGGTCTGTAAAGTTTCTGCTGAGAAATTAGCTTTTAGTCAGATAGAGGGTTTCCTTTATAGATGATAAAATGTTTTTCTCTTGCTGACTTTAGAATTTGTACTGTCACTTTGACTTTAGACAGCCTGAATTGCAATAGGCCATGGTGAAGTACTTTTTGCATTGTATTTTCTGGGGATCATTGAGACTCCTATATCTGGATATTTAAATCTCTTCCTAGAATTGTGAAGTTTTCATTTATTACTTTGTTAAGTAGGTTTTCTAAGCCTTTCAATTTCTCTTTACCCTCAGGGATACTAACAATTAATACATTCAGTTGCTTTTTGTAGTCCCAAGTATCTCAAAGGCTTTGTTCATTTTTTAAAAAATCTTTTTTCTTTATTTTTTGCCTGACTAGATTATTTCAAAATATTTGTCTTCATGTTCTGAAATTCTCTATTCTGCTTGGCCTAGTCTATTTTTGAAACTTTCGATTGTATTTTGTTCTTGCTTTGATGACTTTTTCAGTTCCAGAATGTCTGTTTTTTTCAAAAAGATATTTATCTCTTTGATAAATTTTTCACTTATTTCCTGAATTGAGTTTTGAGCTCTTTGTATTGCTTTTCATATTTCTCTTGCATCATTGAACTTTTAAAAATAAATATTTTGAATTCTTTATCTGGCATTTTGAGGATTGCTTTTTGGTTAGGATCTATTGCTGGAGAATTATTGTGTTCCTTTGAGGATGTCATATTGCTTTTTCATGTTTCTTATGTCTTTACAGCATTTGCTTCTCTTTATTTTTGAATTTTCCTTCACTGGGGGGGCTTTTTCCTGAATATGTGACTATGATGTTGGTTGGGTTTGCTTTTGGGTGCATGGAGTAGGGAAGACTACTATAATTTCATTGGCTATAAATAGCATCAGTGGTATCTGTGGTTTCCTTGGTGTGTTAGGGTGCGGTTATTGGTGGAGGCTGTGGTGAACTTGTGCTAGGGTCTGGAATGCCAGATTGGTCTGTCTTTAGCTTTCAGTGGGGCTAAGCATGTCTATCCTTGTGTTCTGTGGCAGTGTATTCTGATACTTGTGTTGGTGGTTCCAAGCAGGCTGATTTTTGGGCTCTGGGTGCCTTTCTCAATGCTGGTTGTGGTAGTGGTGGACTGGTTGGGTGAGTAGGCTCTTGGGTTCCTGGGCAGCCACATGATGTGGGCAATGGTGGTAGCAGTAGTGGTGAGATGCTCTTCTGATTCCCAAGTGCTGTGCTTTTGTGTTGGCAGTTGCAATGGGCCATGCAGGCTGGCTTCTGGGCCATGCAGGCTGGCTTCCAGGCCACTAGGTGGTGCTTGCAGGTAGAAGCAAGCACCTGCAGATACTTGAGGTGGTAGTGATATGTTGTTTGTGTCCAGCCTCTGTCCCCCAGGATAAATGCTTAGGTGCCCCAGGTGGTGGATTGGGTTATGGAACCCCCAGGACCATGGATCCTGCACTCTGTCTCAGAGGGTGGGGTGAAGCCAAGCAGAGCCAGACCAGGCAAACTTGTGCACAGGTCCCCCAATGATGAGTGCATGGACTAGCTGTGATGAGGAGTTGGGGGTGAGGTGGGTTGATCCTTGGGCCCTGGAGAAATGCTTGGGTGAGGGGCAACCACCACTACAGTGAGGTCTTACCATGTGGTGGGGGTGGCCAGTCCCAGCAGTCTCAGCAGCCACAGCCTTGGCCAGCAGCTGGGGGACTTATGTCCTTTTCATGCCCCAGTGCTTGTGGGGCTCCCTCCCCCATCCTGGCTGTTGCAGCTGGGGGATCCCTCCCCCATCCTGGCTGTTCAGTCAGACCTGGTAGTTCATGCCTAGCCTGGAACTCAGCGCTGGGCCATGGGGGCCCTCTTCCCAGCTCATGTCCAAGTTTCTGCAGCAACTCTTGTCTTACTCAGGACAAGTGGAGGAGTTGTCCACATGTAGCACCAGCAGCTGCAGCCCACAGCACACTTGCTTCTCAGTCCCGTTTGCAAAAGCCTCCCCCACACCCCTACCTAGGCCCCATGCCCCACTCTGGAAGCAGCAGCCTGAGTTTCCCCAATGCCCGGGACTGGTGCCACTGGTTTCCAGGACTGAGCATAGTCTGTTAAAAGCAAGGATCAAGAATGGTGTTTTATTGTAGCTCCTCAGGTCCCAGAAAGAGTGTGAGACCCAAAGTGTGTTCCCTCCTTGGGGTTCCTTCCTACAGTCTCCTGGCTGCTCCCAAGTCAGAATCAGGGCTTAGAAGACTCAAAGTGTTTCTCCTATGGCTTGGATAGTACAGTTCCCAAGTGAGAAGGTAAATTGTAGGAAGACACTCACTCACCTTCCCCTGTACTGAGGGATTCACTACCAGTTCCGGGCCAATCCTAGCCACAGAAGCTGCACATTTTCCTTCTCCTTCCTAGATTTTAGTGTTTCCTATCATTTTTTTTTTCTGTCAGACTCCCACATTCCACCTTGGATAATGTGTTTAAAATGTGAATGTTGGCGGGGCACAGTGGCTCCTGCCTGTAATCCCAGCACTTTGGGAGGCAGAGATGGGCAGATCACAAAGTCAGGAGATCGAGACCATCCTGGCCAACATGGTGAAACCCCGTCTCTACTAAAAATACAAAAATTAACTGGGCGTGGTGGCAGGCGCCTGTAATCCCAGCTACTCAGGAGGCTGAGGAAGGAGAATCGCTTGAGCCCGGGAAGCGGAGGTTGCAGTAAGCTGAGATCGTGCCACTGCACTCCAGCCTGGCGACAGAGGGAGACTCCAGCTCAAAAAAAAAAAAGACTGTCTACATATTTTTTGGTAATTCTAAGTGGATGAGGCATGCTTACAATGCCTCTAGTCAGCCATCTTAAAAAACAAAACAAAACAAAACAAAAAAACACCTATACTGTTAAGATAGTCTCTTAGAGCTTATCCTAAATGTGGGCAATATTCTCAAAATTGCAATAGGTGAGAGAAGGCATATGTAGTGACCTGCATATAGCACTCCAAGCTTTGGTTATTGCTGTTTGCTCCTGATAGGGTCCAAAAGGGGCTACATTAGACAGGAAATTCAATTTTTTCTTTTTGCCTTTCACATATCTGCATTTTAATTTGAAATTTATTCCATGCTTTCTTTAGCTGGGTGAGTGTGGATTGCCATATTTCATCAAAACTAAGACACTGTCAGTTTTAAGGTCTTATTTTATTTACCATTATTTTATTTACCATTATGAAAGGAAAAAACCTGCCAATTAAACGATGACAATTATAAGACATATCACCATTTCAGAGATGTTACTATGTTATAATTCCTGGCAAGAAGGGGAGGTACAGTGTTGAAATGCAACATTTTAAGATTGCTGCCTCCCATGAAAGAGGAGGCTGTTATTTCTGGGATGAGATCAAGTTTCCCTTGAACTGTTTTTGCAGGTTATCTTCTCTACACTTGGCGTTCATGCATGGAAGAGCAAAACCTGGTTCTGTGTTAGCACATATTTTGTGTTACATTGATCTCTATCTTGCTAATTACAAAACAAAGTTTTATAGAATAAAAACCAGTGATTATAGAAACCAAATTGAGAATCAGGACTAAGGATAAAGTTTAACAAGAAAATGTAATTACAGGAAGTTAGAACACTCTCTCCTCTGTATCATTTAAAGATTAAGAGACTCAGCAAGAAGAAAAGGGAAAATTTTGTCCTATTGATTGTGGAATTAGCCAGGAAAAGTGTCTGTGAGTCCTTTATACTCTGAAATATTATTCTACACTATGGAACTTTAATAATCAGATTACACTCTTGAAGTTTAATAAATGGCACTGAAAGTTGTTTTTTCCAACTCAGGTGCGAATATAACCAAGATTGTTCTTTGTCCCTAGTAAAGAGAAGGCTAGATATTACTATTTCTATAAAACTGTAGTAGGATTTAGAAATAACATTTAATATGCTGTAGGCCATAAGGCAAAGGGTACACAATGACTGGAATTAATTTTTCTAAACTGAACTAGTAGAGTATATGTATGTGACTTTTATTCAGACAAGACATGTAAAAGAAGCCTCTCCGCTCCTAAACCTAGAGCAACTGGATTTGAAAACCAGATTTGCAACCCATGTTATTTGATGGCAGCTATAAGATTTTGGCCCCAGGGCAAGAGGTGATTTGGTTAAGGGTTATTTATTTTTTGCCTTCACAGGATACCTTGTGGTATTTTCATCCTCTTTTTCCCACACACAGTCTTCATGGCTTGAACTACTTACAACAGTGGGTTTTTTTTGTTTTTTGTTTTTTGTTTTGAGATGGAGTCTTGCTCTGTTGCCAGGCTGGAGTGCAATTGTGCGATCTCGGCTCACTGAAACCTCTGCCTCCTGGGTTCAAGTGATTCTCCTGCCTCAGCCTCCTGAGTAGCTGGGACTACAGGTGTGTGCTGCCACGCCCAACTAATTTTGGTATTTTTAGTATAGACGGGGTTTCACCATGTTGGCCAGGATGGTCTCAATCTCTTGACCTCGTGATCCACACACCTGGGCCTCCCAAAGTGCGGGATTACTGGTGTGAGCCACTGCACCTGGCCAGAACAGTGGTTCCTAACCTGGACTCCACATTAGAATTAGCAGGGGAACTTTAAAAAAATACTGAAAATATCCATGCATACATCTTATTCCAGCCCAGTGAATTCAGAATCCCTGGAGTAGGTCCCAAACATAAAGGTTTTTTTTTTTTTTTTTCTTGAGCTCCGAAGTGTTTGTAGTGAGTATCCCAAATTGGGGATCCCCTGATTTAGAGTTATAATGCTTGCTCCTGGGGTTTTGCAGATGTCAGCATGGAGACTTGGATTTAGTCCACATTAGTAACAAACCTTCCTAGAACAGGAGGCTGAAATCTTTGGATTGAAATAAGCTTTATCTTAGGGTCAGGTTTCCCAGAGGCAAGACTCTGAGATGAGAGTTTATGTGTAGGTGATTTCATTTAGAAAGTGCTCCCAGGAGAAAGCTGTAAAAGAGCAAGGAGGACAGGGAGCGGAGTGTAGTAACTGGTTTTTAAAGGTGGCTGCCTCCCATTCGTTTCCTCCATGTTTGCACAAACCACTCCACCCACCAGGGAGGGGTCTATTTCCCCTCCCATCAGAGTTGGCCTTATAACTTGCTTCGACAAACAGACATGGTAGAAATGATTCTGGCCTAATTCCAGGCCTGTCTTTTAAGATGCCTAGCAGTGTCTGCTTGTCCCCAGCAGTAACCAGTTGCCATGTAAGTAACCCGACCACCTGAGACCACCAAGCTGTGAAGTTTGAGCTAGCACCATGGGGAGGTGACATGGAATAGAAAACTGAGGAATCCAGCTGGCAGTGAAAACCAAAGCCCCAGATATATGACACCAGTCCAGCCAGTCCAGCCAGTCCATCCAGCCCCTACAGTTGTTTCAGCCATCCCAACTGAGGTCCCAAACATCATAGACAGAGACAAACAATCCCTGCCATGCCTTGTTTGAATTCCCAACCAAAAGAATCATGAGCAAATACAATAATTGCAGTTTTAAGCTTTGGAATAGTTTGTTATGAAGCAATAGAAAATTGAAATTTGGGGTAGTTTCACAGTGATAGAAGACTAATGTTTGGGTGGCTTATTGTGCAACACTAGATACCGGAAATAGGAAGAAACCCCCCTGCAGGGATAAAATTTCAAGCAAAATCCTGTGAAGGTTATCTCCAGCCTGATCCCATTGGGAAAATCTGAATTATGTCTCAGGATTATCCTGATATTAGGCTTTCATATTCCTAGTTATTGGATGAGGCCTACTATGTGGTCAGAAACAGCGGCATAAACTCCCAGGTTTTTCTCGCTTTCTGAGGAGCAC
Organism: Homo sapiens; assembly: GCF_000001405.40. NCBI lineage: Eukaryota > Metazoa > Chordata > Mammalia > Primates > Hominidae > Homo > Homo sapiens. The sequence continues at coordinate 31,444,181 of NC_000003.12, read as the reverse complement.
CGGCAGAATTAACCATCCCTCAAAGGACACCTGGCCTGTGGCAAGTGCCACATCATCATATCAGAGCATGTGGTAGTAACTGTCTTCTGATATTATTTCTCAATGTTTTGCAGAATATGCAACCCAAGCAAGAAAAAAAAAAACCAGAAAAGTGAAAAAAAAAAAAAAGAAATACAAGTATCTTAGGCATAAAGTTCAAATTTGATCAATAAAAGGGAATGAAGACTTTAACAATAAAAAATTATGGGAGGAACCTTTGTAGATAGGGGAACAGGTAGGTGCGGTTTCTTTTTGCAAGATAGGAAAAATAAGCCACGAAAAATACTGCAGGTAGAAGATGCTTGTGTAGCAAAGCAGAGGAAAGCAGCTTTGTGACAACGCTGAACATTTCCTGCTGTTCAGAGAAGCATGAAGTGGGAAGATGCTAAATTGTTGGCAGGTGTGTCTGATAGTAGTGTTGGCACACCTAACTTCATAATTTCTGACCTAGTTGAAGAAATGCCTATGATCTTTTTGCTGGGTTTAATTATAGCCTAAATATAATCTACTTCTTTAAAAAGAAAAAATTGGTTAGAATTCAATTATTGTTTCTGTGGAGAGAATTAATTTTCAACAAAGTGTTATAGAGAATCTGTGTTGGCAGTTCTGGGAGGAAGACCTCATTTTCTAAATGCAAATTTTGGCTCCTCCTGTCTTCTTCCTTCTACCTCAACACTTAGAAAACTACCAGAAACAGGTTTTTTTTTTTTTCTGTTAACTCATAAAACAGTAAGTTTTGTGATATTCTTTTCTAGGTAGATCTTACATTAGAACAGAAAAAAATTCTTCACTAGGCATGTGGTTTTATACTTGCAGATGTTTGGAATGGATCATCTTTATGTGCTCATTCATTAAGAGCTAATCTATCCCACTTGCTGATATATACACACACACACACACACACACACACATACACACACACACACAATTTCAACTCCTGCTGTGCACTACAAGCACTGCCTTTGGGGGTTATGCAGGGTGAGGTGACAACTTTTGGCAGTGCCAAAAATGCTTAACTGCTGAGGTTAAGCTAGAAGCTCTGGGTGAATGTTGCCTCAAAATGGCTGCTGGCACCCAAGCCAAATTAGCCAAGGAATCAATTACCCTCAGGTGGCTGCCACAGAGATATCACCACCAAAGCTGCTGAGAGAAAAACCTCTGGTCAAGCCAGACTTCTGATGATACAAAGGAACAGAATACACATCTATCTCCTGGGTCATTGTTTCCCTTCCTCAATTTTCAGCCTGCGGGACACAGGCAGTTTCAGCTGGCCCCAAGTTAGCAGCCCTTCCAGCACCTGGGCATCATTTCCTCTATTCAGATACCTTATCTGGAAATAATGAAAGTTTAATACGAGGCAATCAGACCCCAGGGATTTCCAAATGATACCTGATGGAAAGAGGTCTTCTGGGGTCACAGACACAATCACTGCTTCCTTCAGACCTGTGATTGCTCACTGCTGGGGATGATTGGGATTTGCAAGTTGATTAAAGCTGGAGATTTAGTGTCTGAAATAGAATTTCTCAGATAATTGCTGGAAATTGGCCAATGCCTTTGTTGCACTGAGCTCCACATAGCAGATTATATGCTCTCGGACTTAAACCAGATCCATGAAAGGGATCTCAAGGAGGAACCTTCAGAACTGGTACTCTGTCTTCTGACATGCAGAACAAGACGAGAGAGGATTGGATGCTTCCTTGGGATTGGGTGCTGAAGAAAATGAAATCAAAGCAAAGATTTCCTTCTGGAAACAATTTCAAAGAGTAGTCCATTTCTTTCTCCAGCTGAATCTTTTCTTTGGTAATTTCACAGTTTTCTTCATGTAAATATTCATGTCTTTCTTGATTTTTCCTGCACAAAAACATGTCTGCCTCTTACAGTAGGCCAGGACCTGATTAAAACAGTATCCCAGAAAAGCTATTAGAGCTTATGCTTCCAAACCAAGACCCAAAACATCTTTGTGTAGTGCCAAAGTTGAAAATGTTGTGAAGTGGTATGCTTGAAAGATTTTTTAACAAAATTATACCACCCAAGATTGGTGAGAGGACCTGGAAAAATGTACTCCCATACTCTATAAATTCTCCAAGAAAACATTTTGGCAACGTTGACCAATGGCCTTAAAAATGTTCATGTCTTTGGACCCAATACTTCATCTAGGACTTAATCAAGGACTTAGTCTTTAGGAAATAATCAAGGGTGTGAACAAAGGTTTAGCTTGTTCCATCTTTGCTGGTGCCTGTCTAGCAAGAGCATGTCTAGCAAAAGCATGTCTAGCAAAAGCTTGGCAATAGCGTTCAATTTTGGAGGACTAGAGTAGTGTATATCCAATAACAATAAAGATGGAAATGTTAACAGTGGTTGTCTTCACATGGTGCAATTACAATTTTATTTTGCTTATCTGTATTTTCTAATTTTTCTTCAGTGAATATGTTACTCATTTAGAAATATTTTCAAAAACTCCCTTTGAACTGTAATAGTTTTGTTGCAGAAATTTGTCTACTGACATGAAAAAATGTTCACAAAAATAATTGATGTAAATAAAATGGTATTAAACTGTACGTAGTATGATTCCACTTTTGAAAAAGAGAAATCAATGTATTCTCTTTGTCTTTTTCTCTGTCACACACACCTGGAAGTGCACACACCGGTATATTTCAGTGGCTTTCTGTTGACGGAGAGATAATGTTAACTTAATTTTTTCTCTTTGCTTGTTTATATAATTTATAACTTTTCTTCGGTGAACATGTAATATTTGTATAATTGAGAAAAAATAGAGTATAATTTTACATGCAATAGACAGGAGGCCTTATGTGTGTACAGATGCTCTCAACTAAGATTAAGATTTTTTAACTTTAAAATGGTGAGAAAGTACTACACATTCAGTAGAAACCTTACCATTCTGTTTTTTACTTCCAGTATTCAATAAATTACATGAGATATTCAACACTTTATTATAAAATAGGCTTTGTGTTAGATAATTTTGCACAGCTGTAGGCAAAGGTAAGTGTTCTGAACAAGTGCCGGTACCTTGATTTCAGCCTTATGAAACCCAGGCCAGAGACATCAGTCAAGCCAACTGAGAGTTCTGATCATGAGGTGATACATTTGTTGATGTAAGCTGGGAAGTTTTCATAACCAATAGAAAATGAAACACATGAAAAGTAAGTTTCACTCCCATCCTTGTACCCCAGCCCCATGTTTTCCTTTCCTGGAGACAAATTCCCTATGTTTAGAAGGAAAAAAAAAACCAGAAAAAGGAAGGAAGGAAATAGGTCTATTTTGGGAGGTGTTTGAAGCAGAGATTTTATTAGGGAAGAGAAAAGAGTAGGAAGAATATTTCTTGGATTTTTTTTTTAGGGAAAACTGGAATGCTGCCTTGTGCCAAGTGTAATACTGTCCATGTGAAAATGATTAATAAAACTGTAAGAACATTTATGATCTTCTTAACATTTAAAAACAGAAAAGAAAACCACAGCTACTTAGAAAGTGTGTATAATTAAGAGCATAATGGGGAACTTAAAAGATTTGTCTGTATCACAAAGGAAAGCTCCCTGTGTGAAAATGTCAAAGGTTTTTCTTTTAGAGCCATGAAAAAACTTCTGAATAGTTCAGTCATGTCCCTCCTAGAAGCCAAAACCTTTAAGAGTATGGGAGGAGAGAGAGTAGAAGGGAGAAAAGGAAGATACCATTAGTCAATTTAAAGAAGGGAATTACATGAACAGAAAGGGCTTGTGAATATTCTGAATACAATCTGAGTTTGTATAATTTCAAACAGGTCTGGACAAGGTAGACAAAAGGCAGTCATTTAGACAGATTGAGGTCATTTTGTATGTCCTTGCGTCTACTGACAGTTAAACCAATAATCAGTGTGTGGTCTTTTATTTCTCTTATTGATATTTGGAACGTTGACAGTCTATCAGCTAATATTTATATCTTAAACCTGTTTTGTTTTGTTTGGATTTTTTTGGTGTTGGGGCAGAGAGGAGCAGGAAGTTCAGGAAGGGAATGCAATAAATCATCCAATGGTTGTGCTGGCATATTATTTAGAAGAAGGACTGAATCTACCACAAACCACAGAATACTGAAAACTGACCTTCGTGTTGAAAACTCCCTGCATTTTACTTCATGCAATTGATTCACAACTGAGAAATCCATTTTTTAAATGCTTCATGAATATTTGGAGGAAATGAAGTATATTGACTAGTTTGATGAATATTAGCCCTAGTGGGAACATTGTAACCATCCTTACAGCATATGAATGGCGAAATAATCATTGTTCAAGTCACATTGCAAATAAGGCAACAGGCAGCTTTTTCATGACAAAAATATCAAAATAGAAAATGGTACTGTCAGTCGTTTTTATTTTTAAACAGAAAACAAAACATTGTATTGCTTTGCTATAATTTTCTCAAGAGATTCTTCCTGAGAATAAGATGTAACTCACTGACTTTTATTTCCAAGTAGTGAATGTATCACAATGTATGAGATTACCCAGGAGTTCACTTACAGACTTGTACATCCCCAAACTCAAAGTTACAGTTACATTTATTGCAAAGAAAGGCCAGAAACAATTTCCTCTGAAGTCTTCCTGCCTGTTAACATACACCACAGAACACCAGGACTGATGAACCCATGTGGCCCCTTTACCCTAACAAAAGAATTTCTGGTAGCTGAGCGAGTGCTCTTGATAGTCAGGGCTCCTTGGGTCTCTGCTCTTGGCTGAAAAGAAAGCTGTCTTAGCTAACGTGATTTTTTGATCCATCTTAGAATGCCTTCAAGGTTAGCAAAGGGAGCTTGGTTTAATTTGCTTTGGCAGAGGAATGAGGACAAGTGGGACCTATCACAGGTAAAAGGAAAAGGCAGCTGGAGGGTGTTCTCATAATGCCAATGTTGAGGGCAACACACCTTGGGCTTTCAGTTAAGGTTTCTTATAGCTTTCTTTGGTTCATCTCAGGTTCTCTTTGTGTAGCTAATGAACAAGATGTCACAGGTGGTTAAAATAACCCCAGAAGAAACTGGGATCCTAATTATGGGCATTAAATCAAAGAACATGTTTATTTGTTATGATCACACATTTTCAAAAGACAAAACATTAATACTCATGTAGTTGTCCTAGTCAATTTGCTAAGAGGTCTCCACATCCAGCCCTGTTAGCTGGATCAAGCTGCACGCATCTGTTTGCCAACTAGATTATTGCTGATTAAGCTGGATAGTTGCTTATTGTTGTTATGAGAAATATGGGATCAAATGCTACAGTTCTGACTGAAACATGACGTTTGAGAAAATCAATGTACATTTGTCTTTAAATTTCAGAGTCATATTGACTGTTGATAACATCTGCTGTTAGTTTTCTTTTTCTACCAATCTAGAAGGAAAGTGTTCAAATACTTTTGTCAAAAGATTGACAAGAAGTTCCTCCTTCTTGTTTCATTTATAAAGCTGAAGTTTTGTATCTCATTATCTTTTAAAGACTGTATCAAAAAAGTGGAGCACTATTCTTGACTGTGGGAAGTAGTTATCATGATTTTGGCAGGAGTTTGTGACTATCTATTTTACAGAATTCAAATCAGCTCACTTCTGTGATGACCCATCTAATAAACTTTGGGTTTTTCCATTTAAACTTTCTTGGACTCATGATAGTTCTCAACATATTTCTCCACTTATCTGTCTTGTTGTCTTCCTAATGGAATCAGGTGGGTGGCTTGCTGCTGAGCTTTGATGATTGTGATGCACCGTGCCTGGTGGGAGCTTCTCAGATGCAAAGGTGGGGAGCTGACAACAGTGAGAACTGCTGTGGGCAGCCGTATGAGCTGCCATGTGTTTTAATTAATAGACCACACAATATTTAGGTCTCAGCTTCCAAGCCTCAAGGAAGGCTTTTCTTTCCTAAATTTTATTTTTAAAGTGTTTAACAATTAATATATAATAGTCGTACATACTTTGGGGGTGCATATGTTATTTTGATACTTGCATACGATGTGTTATGATCAAACCAGGGTAATTGGGATATCCATCACGTCCAATATTGATCTTTTTTTTAAATTTTGGGAACAATACAGTTCTTCTCTTCTAGTTATTCAACCAGTTTCTCCTCATTTCTCTCCCTTCTCTTCTCAGCCTCTCATAACCATCATTCTACTCTCTGCCTCCAAGAGATTCACTTTTTAGCCCCCACATATGAGTTAGAACATGCAATATTTGTCTTCCTGTGCCTGGCTTATTTCACTGCACTTAATGATCTCCAGTTCCATTCATCTTGCTGCAAATGACAGAATTTCATTCTTTTTATGGCTGCATAATATTCCATTGTGTATATATACCACATTTTCTATATTCATTCATTTGTTGGACACCTAGGTTGATTCTATATCTTGGCTATTGTGAATAATGCTGCACTAACATGGGAATGCAGACATCTCTTTGATATACTGATTAAGAAACCTTTTCTAACTGTCCCAAATTAAATGTCCATTCATAATCCACAACTCCCTCCACCTCCTCTTTCACAATGCTCATCAAATTTCCAAGTACTTATCTATCTTTCCTCATAAACTATATGCTCCATGAGGGGCAGAAATTGTGTCTATCTTATTAATGTCTATATCTCTAGTACAAATCCAATACCTTACCACTCAATCACAACTATATGCACATCATTCTTTCTTTTTTGATCATATCACTTACATCTTAGAAGGCGCCCACTTTTGCAGTGTATAATGCCATCTTTGTGGCTTGGCTTTGAGAAAATTTCCCACTATACTTCTTGGCTTCTCTATCAGGATTTTTCTAGGTTTCCTTGTCAATAAACTCAAGCTAATGAAAATGCAAATCTCATGTTTTATGGGAAGAATTTCTCTAAGACTACATGGGTGCTTGTTTATTTGACCGTTCTGTCTTGTATGTACACCTGCTGTACAAATGCTTGCTCAATACTTGCTGAGGTTAGAAATCAGTGTTAGAGGAAGTGGTAATATGGGCTCAGGAGCTTAAATTTGAAAAAGCACATTTGGCCTCCCGCATTTAGATCTTTACAGAATGTAATGCCAGACAGATTCATCTTTCCCATTGCACAGATGAAGCTAATTACTTGAGACAGCAGGGTTGCAGTAGAGAAAGAGTTTAATAATCACATGGCCAGCCAAGTTGAAGGATGGGAGTTATTAATCAAATCAGCCTCCCTGAGAATTCAAAGGCTAGAGTTTTTCAAGGATAATTTAGTGGGCAGGAGGGTAGAGAATGTGTAATGCTGATTGGTTGGGTTGGGAATGAAATCACAGGAGGTTGAAGCTGTCTTCTTGGGTCACTTCCTGGGTAGGAGTCACAAGACCAGTTGAACCTGTTTCTTGGTATGGGTTACATGTTTCCAGCTAGTCTACCAAAATGCAAGCTTTGAAAGATACCTCAAACACCAGTTAAGGTTTTACAATAGCGGTGTCATATATAGTAGCAACTGGGGAGGTTACAAATCTTGTGACCTCTGGCCACATGACTCCTGAACCTATTTCTAGCCTTGCAGCCAATTTATTAGTTTTACAAGGCAGTTTCAGTCCCTGAATAAAGAGGGGGTTCATTTTGGGAAGGGGCTGTTATCATCTTCATTTTAAAGTTCAACTATAAACTACATTCTTCTCACAGTTAGCTTGGCCTATGCCCGGGAATGAGCAAAGACAGTTAGCTTTGTTGTTTTGCAAGGGCAGTTTCAAAAAGGGTTTCAGATTCATGACAAGAATATTTCTATTTTTAATTATGTTTTATCCTGGAATCAACATTTGTAGCCTATAGTAGAATAACTTGGGGAACTTTAATATATGCCTCTTTGAGGCTGAAAGTAAACTAAACAAATAAACTGCAACTCAGATGGTCTGCAAATATGGATAATTGTTTTAAAAGCCTCAGGATTCCTCTCCCTCTTCTCCCTATTGAGGTTAAGTGCCTTCTTTTCTGGGGACAAGGAGGATTTCTTTCCTGTCTGCTAGGCATTTGTGTATTACAGTCCTCTGATTCCTGTCCTAGATCTTTATGAATAACACAGCTGCCTTCTGCATCTGTATTTTCTAATTTATACTGGTAAATTTTGGGGGAGTAAAGGTAAGAGTTAGCTTGAGTGGGAAGTAATTGCAGTTATCAATCTTTATGCCCAATTTTTATCTTCTTCTAAAGGGGTGAAGAGAGAATGAAGGCCTTTGGATGGTTATAATTATAAACCTGTGGGTGCTCTTGGAAAGAGAAGCTATACAAATGGATGTGAGCTGCTCTCCCCTCCCTGTGTGTAAGGACTGGAAGAAAACTGGAGAATAACAATTTTAGGAGCTTAAAGGGAGTTTGTTCAGTATTTGCCTTTCCTAAGATTTCAGGTAAGCTGAGCGGATTTCACCCAGACATTATGGAATGAAATGCAGAGCTAATTTTAGAAGTTATTATTCATCAATCAATTAAATCAGGAAGTTATTTAATATCCCCCCAAAACAATTTTCTAGGTTTCCTGTTTCAGGCTATGATGAGAAGGCAGGAAGAAACTTCACCTTGGAATGGGGTCATGATACATAGCGAGCATTCATCTGCCTTGTGAGGAAAACATGTGGCTGGGGCTGTTTCAGTGAGGAACGAGGGAACACAAGTGACTCTGAGATTTTCATTTTCTTCCTCTGCTATGTTATTTGGCTTTTTCATTAGAGACTATCAATTTGTTGCAGATATGATTTTTATGCCAAAACTGTTTTTGTTTTGATCTCTAGGGACCAGATGACCCTCATCATCCAGTGGCTGATTGTATGGCTATTTGTGATAGATTGTGTTATTGTTGAAAACATTGTCTTTCCCTGAAATGCCCTTCCTGTGGTATCTCTTCTGCTGGAGGGTTATATATCCCTGCCCTGCTGAACTCAGGTATGGCCATGTGACTTGCTTTGTCCAAAGGAATATAAGTGAAAGTGATGTGCAAGACTTGCAAACAGAAGATCTAAGGGCTCTTGTGTGATTTTTACCATACCTCTTTCTTTCTGCTACAAACCAGCCAGGTCACAAACAGTCAGCTCCATCAGTCTGATCCCCAGGGTGAAGCTGACCTGGAGAAGCACTATAGCTGATCTGTGATGGACCAAACTTGGGGTCATTTGTTACTGCAGCACAACAGCTTAACCTGACTGATGTAGTAATGAAAATATTTGGGCCCCAGTTAGTGAAAATAATTTTTGTCCTTCTACCTCTTTGTCCGATTTTTTCTCATAGAAATAAAATCACCATATTCAAGAACACTTTTCCAGGCCAGTGTGCTGGCTTAGAAATAAGCTGTGAAGTCACTCACTGAAAAATGAGGCTCCTACATCGTAATAAACTCCAGTTCATTTCTAGAAAAGCAGAGACTGGTTGCTCCACAAGGGCTAGGATCACACTGGTCTTGCTTGTTGCTGTATCTGTGGTGCTTAGCAAAGTGCTTTGCCCATAATGCTCAGTAATTATTTGTTGAATGAATACTGAATAACTGAATAAAGAAGAAATCAGGTGTCTCCATTCTTATGGATCAGACAAGACCATAGGTGGCATTTTGTATTTAAAAAATTACTTTCGTGTTTAGAATTATACAAGCAAGTTAAGTCAAGTAAGGAACTGAGAGGCAAAAGTGGGTCTAAAGAAGTCGATAAGGGTCACTCCAGGTATCACAGCCCCAAATGTGGCTCAGACCTATGCAGAAAGCATAAATGAGTGAGACAGGCTGGATCACTTCAGCACAAAAATATACACCCTCTCCTTTCTCTTGAAACATGGTTCTCTTAGTCTAAATTTCATTGTATTTTGATAGAGATGTGTGTGAAAAATACTTATCTCTCTAACATAACTATAAGAAAAACAATAGCAGGAATATAATGACAATCAGTTACTCATGGTTAACCTTGGCTTCTAGGGCACAAAAGTGGTGACCTGAACAGCACACATCCTATCAAAAGAAGTCAGGGATTTCTCAGCTCCTGTTGAGTGCTGCTGTGTTGTGCTGTGGGATATGAGTCCAGTCTTCCCAGAGCATCCTAATTTTCAGGAGAATCTTGTAATCTGGATTTTGGTTTTGAATTTCCCAATGTTTAAATGTTGGCAATGAAAAAAATGATATTAAAATTGATGTAGGTTAACAGAATGCAGCCCAGTGAAATACTTTTCAGGGCAGATTTGATCCATGGGCTACCATTTGTGACTTCTGACCTTGGTCAATTTTTACAGGGATGGTTTATGAGGTAAAAGCTCTAGACTTTAATATTAAATTTGCATGGTGTGTATGTGGTTTTTAGGAGACACCTGGAGGAGGAGCTGTTTTGAAAGTCTGCAGCTAAATTGGGGTTCCAGTACCAGAGTGGCTAGTGACTCTGCCCAGGGGAAGCTGCCTGTGGGTGTTTATGGTTTGCCTCTCTTAGCATACTATACTTCTTTACATGGCAGATGGCCTTAAGCCTAGTGGTTCAACTTGTGACCAGGAGTCTTGCAAATGGGAAGTTTGTTTATACTGGCAGACATCCTTGTGGCTCTTGTCTGACCCATGTCCACTTTATGCCTGCCTGACCATCACTCTGGCCGTGGGAGCCTGACCTCACATTCTTTCCAGTGTCCCAAGGAAAACCTGGTTTGGGGAAGCCCCTGATTCTTCAGATGAAATGTGCAAATTCAATACATCACCAAAGAGGAAACAAGTTCAAAGATTTTTACTTTCCGAGCAAGGAGGACATAATGAGTCAGGAGGGCAGTCTTTTGTCCCCGGATCACCTAAGGCAGTAAAGAAGGCTCAGGCAGATAGAGAGAGAGAGAGAGAGAGACAGCGAGAGAGCAAGAACACGAGAGTGAGCATGTGGCAACTAGAGCATGTATAAGAGAATAATGTGGATCACTTTAAGTTTGCAGGCAAACGTCTGAATCATCCGTTTGAAAGAAGTGGCAGGAAAACAGGGAGCCCAGTCTGCCAGGTGGGAGAGATACCTCTAAGTTCTTATCTCTGGCCACTGGCTTGAGCCATTTGCATGTGGTGTAGAACTGGAAACTGTGTCCAGGATGACTGAGCCCTGCTTCTGGTATGAGAAAGTTAAACTTGTATTCAAAATGAATGCCAAGGCAAGATAAAACCCTGAGAATTCACCACATAGGCTGATGCCAGTTTCCATTGCCCCAAACTGCAGATTGGTGGTTCATCACCTGAGCTGCCACAGGGACAGCAGGAGGCTGCTGTGTGTCCTTTCTGAATCTCTCCTGGAGTCAGGCCAAGGTCCTTTGACTTTGAGTATTTCTAAGATTAAATAGGAGATTTGGGCACTAAATTATATATTCAGAGTGTCCTTGCTGGAATGAAAAGTTTTAATTTTGTGCAAGTGTGTTCATTTGTTTCTTGTTTCTTTCTCTCAGATAATATTAGGAAATGTCTAATCTCCTCCAAGAGAAAAGATATTGGCCTGGATGAAAATGCAAAGAGTTTGTGGTCCTAGGAGAAAGAAAATTCTAGAAGAGAAGAGAAAGGCCTGCATGTGAGGAGGTACCCTTGAGAGATGTGTACCACAGCAGTGGCTACTGCTTGAAGATGTCCATGATTTTGGGAGCAGTACCCAACTGATGTTGAAGATGTCCATGATATTGGGAACAGTACCCAACTGAGTTTAAAGAGGACAGTTGTCCAGTTGTCCTGCTTGTAGCCACCCAGCATCACTGGAACACCTTCCTTTTTTCTACCTTGGAATTTTCCATCATTTAAAATCCACCTCCTGAAGGTAGAAGGCAGAGCTCACCTTCCTGGTCTCTCCAACAGCTGGTGCTCAGGCCTCTGAGCTAGGCTTTGGGTGATATGGGTTTCTTCTGTTTGTCCCTCCAGATCCACTCTCCACCATTCTCTACCTTTCCTGTCCTCCAGGAGGCTGACTTGGATGGACTACATCACCAAGGTTTCCTTGTCTCTTGCTTCTGGTTGGGTTTGGCCAATGGCAGCAATGGCAGGCAGTTGGAGAGTGGGAGGGGAGTGCAGTGGGGACATTAACCCCCAGCTCCATCTATGCTGAGCAGTGTTCCTACTGTTGTTACATTTCTATACCTAAGAGCCCAGCTTGGGAAGGGAAGCTGTCACCAGGTTCCAGAATAGCTCCTTTCCCTTGGCCCTTCAGATCTAGGTGCAGTAATGTTTTCCCCCTGTCGCTAGTTTTTGGGTGCTTTACCATCCTTTCCCACACCATTGCAAACAGCCCCCCTAATAAACTTTCTGAAAGTATCTTTCTGAGTGTGTCCTCTTTTTCCTGCTTGATTCACTTTGTTCATCAGATCTTTGCCAAACCTTTACCCAAAAGCTTGTGACAGAATAGAGCTGGAATAACATGATGGTTAATTGTATGTGTTGACTTGGCTGGGCCATGGCATCTAGATATTTGGTCAAACTATCTAGATTCTGGATGTTTTTATAAAGGTGTTTTTGAATGTGATTAATATTTAAATTGGGACTTTGAGCAAATCAGATTGCCCTTCATTGTGTGGGTGGGCCTCATCCAATCAGTTGAAGGCCTAAATAGAACAAAAGTCTAGCCTCTCCCCAAGCAAGGCGGAATTTTGCCAGCAGATGGCCTTTGGATTCCAGCCACAACATTGGCTGTTCTCTGGGTCTCAAGCGACTGCCTTTGGACTTACTGCAATTCCTCCCAGCTGGTCTACCCTATCAGATTTTGTACTTGCTAAGCCTTTGCAGTCATGTGAGCCAAGTCCTTAAAATAAATCTCTCTCTTGGGAGGTTAAGGCTGTGAGGTAGAATTTCTGGCATGGATGTGGTAGTGGTACGAACTCATAAATACTGCTTGGTGGCAGTGGTAGTGATAACATTTTTGTCATCAGACTAGTTCTGCAGTGTGGGTTTAGGAATTGTTCCTGGGAGCTCATCTCAAGCCTGTTTCTCGAGATTTCCAGAGGATTTTGTGAACTACTTACCATCCTTTGAAAAATCTCTTTTGCTTATTCAATCAGAGTCTAGCTTTAACTAACCATCACAGAAGCATGGATGAACTATAGTTTGAGTAAGGTCATATTATAAACAAAGATTTGTTTATGTTTATTGTCTTAAACATATTTATCAAATATAGTTTTATGGCTTTGAAATAATTCATTTTTTTTCTTGCAATAAGCAATAAATATGCTGTCATTCAGCTGTACTATTATTTCTTTCTTTGGGGTGTAATATACTTTTCCAGACTGGCACAAATAAAACTACTCAAGCATATTGTTATCATTCCCTCATTTAATTTCACTTCTGAATGACCCTGCAATCTTGATTTAGCATGAAGAAGCAAAATGTGATTGTGTTTGCAAGACACCGCTTTCTAAAATGGTATGTGTATATTGGTCTGTGTTCCTTTCTCTCCTTCTCTTTATATAAATATGAAGTTAAGCTTGCAGTTTCTGTTATGTTTGTGGAAGGATTAATTTCTACAAAACAGAAGATTTAAAAACCTGCCTTAGGAACAGTCCTACTTGTGGGGTAATTCAACCTATGGTTTTTATTTCTGATATAATAATGTCTTAACTTTTTGGCTCCCATGGGAATGCATGAAAGGATGAAATTTATGAGAAAATATGATTCTCCTCTTGTTATATGGATTAACTAATGGCTCTATCTCTAAACTGAGCATCTTTTGTACAATATTCTTTTAAGTGTAACAATAGTTTTATTTCCAAATATAGAAATTTATATATTTATGTATTTATTTTTTCAGACAGAGTTTCACTCTTTTCATCCAGGCTGGAGTGCAGTGGTGCGATCTTGGCTCACTGCAACCTCCACCTCCCGGGTTCAAGTGATTCTCCTGCCTCAACCTCCCGAATAGCTGGGATTACAGGTCCCCAACACTATGCCCAGCTAATTTTTGTATTTTTAGTAGAGGTGGGGTTTCGCCATGTTGGCCAGGCTGGTCTCGAACTCCTGAGCTCAGGTGATTCACCTACCTGGACCTCCCACAGTGCTGGGATTGTGGGTGTGAGCCATGGTGCCTGGCCTCATTTGTACCTTTTTGTGGCTTGATAACTATTTTTTTATGCTGAATAATATTTCATTGTACAGATGGACTACAGTTATTATTTATCCATTCACCTATTGAAGGACATCAACTGTAGTTTTTCCCTTTAATTTTTAATAATTTTTTTAAATTAAAAAATTTTAAGGCTGTGAGTTAGAATTCCTGGCATGGATGTGGCAGTGCCACAGACTGTATGATTATGGCCTGATGCCAGTGGTGGTGGTCACAGTTTCCTCATCATACTAGATGTCACAGGGTTCATATTTAATTTTAATAGCTGTGTATATCATGTTCAGGCTAAATAGCATACTTAAGAGCAGGACAAGAGCACAAGCAAATTTATGGATTTAAGCTTCTGTTTTCTTTTATCATTTGTACTGCAGTGATAAACTTGATCTCTTTGCTGCTCCCCAAGGCGCAACTTAAAAAATATATTTTTCTCCAATTGTATTAATAAGAACTCTTTTAGCTGCTTATGCATGGCATCCCCAGAGACCACATGTGAGGACCCTACTTCATCTATTGTCCCAGTCATCATCGAATAGGAAAATTGAAACCTTTCCAGGTAGTTTAAACAGAGAGGGATTTAACATAGCAAAAGTCCCGGAATGACTGGAAAAGCAACATAAGGAAGATAATGTTGCTTAGAAGTCAAGAAACTGCTTCTAGCAAAAAACGTATTCTGAGAAGACAAAGGAAATGTCAGAACCAGATTCAGATGTGGCAGAAATTTTGGAATTATCACATGAGGAATTTAAAGTAACTATGATTAATATACTAAGGGTGCTAGAAGAAAAAAATGTAGCAGAAAGATGTAAACTCTAAAAAAGCATCAAAATGAAATACTAGAAATAAAAAACATGATAACAGAAATGAGGAATGCCTTTAAGGGACTCATCAGTAAATTGGACATGGCCGAGGACAGAATCAGTGGGCTTAAAGATGTGTTCATAGAAACGGGGTGAACTGAAAGGCAAAGAGAAATAAGAATGAAAAACTGGAACAGAATATCCAAGAAATCTAGGACAATTACAAAAGGTATAATATACATGTAGTGGGAATACCAGAGGCAAAAAAGTGAAAGGAACAGAAGAAATACTTGGAATAATAATGTCTGAGAATTTTCCAAAATTAATGACATCCAACAAACCACAGATCCAGGAAGGTTAGAGAACATCAAGTAGGATACATAGTAAAACAAAAACAAAACAAAAATCCTGACACCAAAGCACATCATATTCAAACTACAGAAAATCAAAGACACAAATCTTCAAAGAAGCCAGGGGAAGAAAACCACCTTACCTATAAATAATGAGGATAAGAATTACACTAGACTTCTCTTCAGAAATGATGCAAGCAAGAAGAATGTAAAGTACAAGATTTAAAGTGTCAAAAGAAAAAAGCTATCCACTTAGAATTATGTGTCTAGAAAAATTATCCCTTAAAAGTGAAAATGAAATAAGACATTTTAGATAAAAGTGAAGGAATTTGTCCCAAGACATGCCTTGTAAGAAATGTTAAAATAATTTCTTTAGAGTGAAGGAAATAATATAGGTCAGAAACTCAGATCTACATAAAGAAAGGAAGAGTGTTAGAGAAGAAATTATGAGGGTAAAATAAAATCTTTTCTTATCCTTAATTGCTCTAACAATAGTTAACAGTTTGTTAAAAATAATAATATATTGGATGATATACCTTATGGATAGTGACACAAAGGGCAGCAATTTCATAAGGGATGGAAGGGAGGGATTGGGCATATTGTATTACAAGATAACTGTACTAGCTATGAAGTGGTACAGTGTTGTTTGAAAGTGGACTTAGATTAGTTGTAAATGTATATTGCAAACTCTAGGCAACCAGTAAAAATTTTTAAAAAGAAGGATAATTGAATGCTAAGAGAGGAGAGAAAATAGAATGGTATAAAATGCTCAATTAAAACCAGAGAAGGCAGAAAAAGAAGGAAATACCAAAAAAAGAGGAGACACAAAGGCTACACATAGAAAACAGTTACAAATATGGTAGATATTCATCCAAATATACCAAAATCACTTTAAATGTAAATGGTCTAAATACACTAATTAAAAGACAGAAACTGTTAAAGTGGACACAAAATAAGACCCAACTATGTATTGTCTTACAAGAAACTCCCATTAAATATTAAGACAGATAGGGTTTAAATAAAGAGATGGAGAAAGTTATGCCATGCTAACACTAATGAAAAGAAAGCTAGAGTAGTTATATTAACTTCAGACACAGCAGACTTCAGAGCAAGGAAAATTATTATGGACAAAGGAGGGCATTACGTAATAATAAAGGGGCAAATTCTGTAGGAAGACATAACAATCCTTACTGTGTATGCACCAAAAAACACACTGTTAAAATAAATTAGACAAAAACTAAAAGATTGCAAGAAGAAATAGACAAATCCAACTACCATAGTTGAAGACTTCAAATACATACAGCAAGTACTAATAGAACTGAAAAGAGAAATAGACAAATCCAATTACTGTTGGTAACTTCAATGCTTCTAGTTTACCAGCTAATCAAAAAAGTAGACAATCAGCAAGGGTATAGAAGATCTAAGTAACACCATCAACCAGCTTGATCTAATTGACATTAAAAAACACTTTACTTACCAATAGCAAAATGCACATTATTTTTAGGTCCATATGAATATTCATCATGATAAACCATATCTTCAATAATAAAACAATCTTGAATAAATGTAAAAGAATTGAAATAACTCAAAGTATGTTCTCTGACCTTAATGAAAACAAACTAGAAATCAATAAAGATATCTGGGCCGGATGTGGTGGCTCATGCCTGTAATCCCAGCACTTTGCGAGGCTGAGGAGGGTGGATCACCTGAGGTCAGGAATTCGAGACCAGCATGACCGACGTGGTGAAACCCTATCTCTACTAAAAGTACAAAAAAATTAGCCAGGTGTGGTGGCACATGCCTGTAATCCCAGCTACTTGGGAGGTTGAGGCAGGAGAATTGCTTGAACCAGGGAGTCGGAGGTTGCAGTAAGCCAAGATTGTGCCATTGCACTCCAGCCTGGGTGATAAGAGTGAAAATCCATCTCAAAAAACAAACAAACAAACAAAAAATACATATATATATATACATATATATATATATATATATATATATATATATATATATATATGGAAAATCCCTCAGTATTTAGAAATTAAACACATAATTCCAGATAATTTATGAATCAAAGAGGAAATCTTAAGGCAAATTAAAAAATATTTTGAAATAAATAAAAACACATCGTATTAAAATATGTGGGATGCAGCTAAAGCAGTGTTTAGATTCAAATTTTTGGCATTAAGTGCACATATTAAAAAAGAAGAAAAGTTTCAAATCTGTAAGCTTCCACCTTAAGCAACTAGTAAAAGAAGAGCAAAATAAGCTCAAAAGAAAGCTAAAGGAAAGACATAATAAATATAAAAGCATAAATCAATAAAATAGAAAACAGAAAAATAGGGAAAAGTCAATGAAACAAAGAGGCAATTATTTGAAAACATCAATAATACATACATAATACCTGATATGGTTTCGTTTTGTCCCCACCCAAATCTCATCTCGAATTCCCATGTGTTGTGGGAGAGAACCGGTGAGAGGTAATTGAATCATGGCGGCAGGTCTTTCCTGTGCTGTTCTCAGGATAGTGAATAAATCTCACAAGATCAGATGGTTTTAAAAAGAGTTCCCCTGCACGAGCTCTCTCTTTTCCTGCCGCCATCCACATAACATGTGACTTGCTCCTCCTTGCCTTCTACCATGATTGTAAGACCTCCCAAGCCATGTATAACTGTAAGTCCATTAAACCCTTTTTCTTGTTTAAATTATCCAGTCTTGGGTATGTCTTTAATAGCAGTGTGAGAACAGGCTAATACAATACATCTATCCATACGCTCCAGGGAAAAAATAAAAGACACAAATAATCAACATCAGAAATGAAATAGGAATATTACTACAGACGCTGCAGACTTTAAAATGGTAATAAGAAAAATCTATAAATAACTCTATACACATAAATTCAACAACATAGATAATATGGACCAATTCCTTGAAAGAAAAAAAATTAGCAAAAGTTATTTAAGAAAAAATAGTCCTATATCTTTTAAAGAGATTGAATTCATATTTAGGAATCTTCAAAAAAAAATCCCACAGAAAACAAAAGTCAATAACAAAACCAAATCCCAAAACTTTAGACCCAGAGAGCTTTACTAGTGAATTCTGCCAAACACTTAATGAAGACCAAAGCACCATTTCTACAAAATCTCTTATATAAAATAAACAAGGAGGGAATACTTCCAAACTCATGATACAACTCTAACATTACTTTGATACAAAAACCAAAGATAGTACAAGAAAAGAAGATAGACCAGTGACATTGATACAAAAATCTTCAACAAAATATCAGCAAATTGAATCCAAGAATATATAAAAAGAATAATGCAATACAACAAAGTGGGATTTATCCTGAGAATGCAAGGATGGCTCAGTATTTGAAAATGAACCAATATAATCTACCATATGAACACACCAAAGAACAAAAATCCTATGTATTGGCTAGGAAGTTCTTCTGACCTGGGATGAGCTGCTTCATATGTTTGTAATCAGCTCTAGGTTGGGTAGGCAGGTCTGCTGATCTTAAGTGGGCTCTCTTATGTGCTTGAAGGTCAGCTGTTGTTGAAGGGGCTTGGATGACTTGGATGGCTGGAATGACTGTTCTCTTTCACATGGTTTCTCTCATTCTTCAACATTTGTTTTTGTGGCACTGGCAAGGATTCCAAAAATAGGACAAAATCATGCACCTGTTAAGACCCAGACTTGGAACTGGTTCACTATCACTTCTATTGCATTTTATTGTCAAAAGAAGTGACAAGACCAGCCCAAATTCAAAGGGTATGAAAATAGATATTTGATTAGAGGACCTACAAAGTCACATTGCAAAGGGGTATTGATCAGGGAGATACAGGGGGAGACAGAGAATTTGGCCCATTTTGGGCAGTCGGTATACACAGAGATTCACTTAGGTATTTTCAAGAAAAGGGCATTCATTACAAAGTACACATGGCTATATATTACAGCTTGCAACTAGACCTAATCTTAGAAGCTCTATTTTCCTCTGTGTGTCCTGCTAATTAGTGTCTCTCTTCCTTCCCTTCCCCCTCCTCCCTCCCTTCCTCCCTCCCTTTCTCTTTCTCTCTTTCTCTCTCTCTCTCTTCCTCCTTCCCTCCCTCCCTCTCCTTCCTTCCTCTTTCTTTCTCTTTCTTTCTTTCTTTCTTTCTTTCTTTCTTTCTTTCTTTCTTTCTTTCTTTCTTTCTTTCTTTCTTTCTTTCTTTTCTTTCTTTCTTTCTTCTTTCTTTTCTTTCTTTCTTTCTTTCTTTCTTTCTTTCCTTCTTTCTTCTTTCTTTCTTTCCTCTTTCTCTCTTTCTTCTTTTCTTTCTTTCTTTCTTTTTTTTTTCTTCAGGGTCTTGCTCTGTCACCCAGGCTGGAGTGCAGTGGCATGATCATGGCTCATTGCAGCCTTGACCTCCCAGGCTCAAGTGATCATCTCACCTCAGCCTCCCTAGTAGCTGGGACCATAGGAGCATACCACCATGCCTGACTAATATTTAAATTTTTTTGTAGAGACAGGGTCTCACTATATTGCCCAAGCTGGTCTCAAACTCCTGGGCTCAAACATTCCTCCTGCCTCCACCTCCCAGTATACTGGGATTACAGGCATAAGCCACCATGCCCAGCTGTGTCTCTTTTTTTCTATCACAACTGTCTAGATCTTGGTACTAATTCCTGAGTGAGAATGTGATGGGTCATTTCTATCATGGACTATCCACCAAACTGTAGATTGACTGCCAACTGCCCCCCATATCCCCTCAGCATCACCATTTCAGTAATTGTCAGTATTGTGCTACTCCGTGTATCTGCAACTCTCTGCTTGAGGGCTTTCTCTTGTCCCAAGCTTGTGGGCCAGTCTGGCAGTGCTGGGGATCTGATCTACATCAATGGCAGATGATATTGGTGGATATGGCAGATTGTTTGCGTTTAAAGTACCAACTCTTAAACCCTCTCTGAATCCATGCCCCTTGCCTTAAGACTTTGCAGTTTCTCTCACTAAAGAGAGGGTGTCTATTTTCCCATCACTTAAATAAGGGCTTCATGTGATTTTCACTGGTCTGTAGGACATTATATTAGCGGACTTTTTGTAAGCAGAGGCTTGTGAAAGTCCTTGTGCATTTCTGCTTTCTCTGCTATTCCTCTGTGACTGCGCTGAGAACATGGCCAGGCTAGCCTGCGCAAAAATGAGACATATGGAGCAGCCAAGGCCTTTGTAGAACAACTGATAGTCATATGACCCCTGGGCATGTGAGAGTGAACCAAGCTAAGATCAGCAGACCCAACTAGCCAATCCACAGCTGGACTGCAGATGCATGAGTGAGCTTAGCTGAGATCAAAAGAAACTGCCCAGCTGACCTGCAGACTCATGAGCAGAATAAATGGTTGTTATTTTAAGCTACTAGATTCTCCTTGAACTCTAAGCCTGGAGGCTTTAGTGATTCAGGCAGGAGAGGTTAGGTTCCTGACTTCTTTAGCAAGAGATAGGTTTGAGCATTAGGCATTGTTGAGAAGGGAGATTTTTCTAAATTTCTTTAGTTGTTTTTTTTTCATAGCAAAAGCCAGTTTCCCTAGACTTTCTCTTATTTAGTAAAAAAAGAAATACTTATCCCCATCTAGGCTTAGCCTCAAAGCTGGAATTGAGAAGGAGAATATGACACAGAGAAAGCCTGTCCCTTCTGGTGAGATGTTTGAGGGGATAAGAGGAGTCAGACAGAGTGAGAGACTGAGGAAGAAAAAGAAGCCCTTTGGACATGTAGGTCCTGGATATTCTGTCTCATGAAGATGAGGAACAGCATTAGAGGACGCTGTGCAGATCTGAGGTAATCACCATGTCATTCACATGAAGACACTTGAACCCCCTCCTTCTTATACCCAACTGCCATTTTGGAAAGAAATGTTTGTGCACATGTGCGTTGGATATGTATGTATGTGTGACTGGGGAGTGCTGAAAATAATAGAGACTGGGAAGGATAGTGGTTACTCCTGGGGGAAGATATCTTTAGCTCTCAGGCTCTCATGGTTGCAAAATGGCTGTGACATCTACATGTAGCATGTCTGTGCTCCACACAGGATAAAGTTGAATCTTTTAAAGAGCTTTCCTGGAGGTCATAGCCAGCAAATTCCATTTACATCTCATTGATCAGGACTGAGTCACATAATCAAATTTCACTGCAAGATAATCTAAGGAGATCAGTATTTTTAAGTGGACACATTGTCAACCTAAACAAAAACAGGATTCTGTTAGTCAAGAAGGAGTGAACAGATTTTAGGTAGGTATATATGTTAGGGTAATGCTAGCTGCCTTAACAACGAAACTCTAAAATTTCAATGGCTTAACACAACAGAATTTTATTTCTAGGCCATTAAAAGTTCAATGTGGGTGTTCTTGGTCAGTGGTCAGCCTGTTAACATGTTGTGCTGCCATCCTCTAGGGCAAGGGAGTGTTCTTCATTCATTGGACAGATGGGAAGGGAGGGTAGAGAAAGTACACAGTGCTGTAGCCGCCATGACCTAGAAATGGCACATATCACTTCTGCTCACATTTTGTGGGTGAGAACTAGTCACAGGGCTTTATCTTGAAGCAAGCAATCCTGGGAAAGTTTCCTGCCTGGATATCTGCTTCTAGTCACAACTGTACACCTAGAATGGAAGATAACATTTTTTTTCTCAGTTTATTCTTTTCATTTGCCTATATTGTGTATATTGGATAACTGATTAAAAAAACTTTTAATTAAAGCATAGAACAAATCAGAAAGATGCTTATATGATAAATGTATAGCCCAATGCATTTTCATAAACTTAGCACACCTATGTGACCAGTATCTAGATCTAGAAACAGAAAATAATTAGTACTCCAGAATCTCCTCTGGGGTGGATAAGTTTCTTGATGCATAGTTAGCTATTGCCACAGAGATAATCAGCAGTGTCTGCCACAGTCACCAACAGCAGGAAATTTATATTTTCAATTTATCTATGTTGCTTATTAAGTGCCATATCAATCACTGGTGCAATTTGGTGGCTGAGTTTGATGGGAATTTAAGCAAACAACTCTGTGTATAGTCATAGGTCAGGGTACTGCTGCATCCTGAATTGGTTGAATTTCTTGTGGTCTGTTGCATATTCAAAGGGTGCAGGTAATGGAAACCACCCTTGCTGATAAACAATGCTGAGAATGTTTTCAGTTTTGCCTGGTACATGAGAGTGCTTTTTTGGTTCTAAGTAACTAGTGGTGACGTTCAGTTTAATGGATCCTACAAATGAAATGCCCAAAGGAAAACATTAAAATATAGCTGAAATTGTGAGTACATTTGTATTGTGGAGTTTACATAAATGTGAATGAGGCACACAAGTACACAGGAGCTAGTTAAGTGTTTCACATGCTTGTATTTGTGTGGTAGGGTGTTTATCATGGCTTAGTTTGATAAGGCCTAGTTTTAACGAGATCCTTGAATATGCAAATATGCAAAGGGCTGGGTGGTCACCATTTGTGGGTTTGTTGGAGTGGCCTTTGGGCACTAAGTGCTGTTACAGTTGCTGTGGGGTAGAAACAGAGTAGTAGTTGTGAGCATTGGCTTTGGCATCAGAAATATCTGCATTGAATCACTGATTTTGATACTTTTTGGCCACATTTACTGGGCAAATGACCTAACCTATCTTAGCTTCCTCTTCTCTTCTAGAATCGTTCTGAAGCTTGTTATGTTTTTATTTTCATTTTATTATTTTTTTCTGAGATAGAGTTTCGCTCTTGTCACCCAGGCTGGAGTGCGGTGATGTGATCCCAGCTCACTGCAGCCTCCGCCTCCCTGGTTCAAGTGATTTTCCTGCCTCAGCCTCCCGAGTAGCTGGGATTACGGGCACCCACCACCACGCCTGGCCAATTTTGTATTTTTAGTAGAGAAGGGGTTTTGCCATGTTGGCCAGGCTGGTCTTCAACTCCTGACCTCAGGTGATCCGCCCACCTCGGCCTCCCAAAGTGCTGGGATTAGAGGCATGAGCCACCACGCCTGGCCTGAAGCTTGTTATTGTAGTTCAGACATTGGTTGGGGTCACACTAGACACTGTTCCTTAACAATTGGATGAAATTAGCTTGAACTCTATTTAACAGTTGGTGGAAAGTCCAATGCCCCATCTTATGAACTCTGGTTCTCCCGTGCTTGACATCTTTACACATACTATCCTTTACATGCTATCCCATGCACGTGCCCCAAGTGGGTAATCCTATTTATTTCATCCCAAAGCTTTCGTGTATGCTCTAGGTTAAAGGTTTGGGAGGCAGAGACCTTTCCATTTCATTAACAGAAACAATTAAAAATTGAATATTAGACATCCCTGTACTTAGAGCTTTGCTCATTTCTGCACCTCAGATTCCAGCTGCTATAAAAGTTCCTTTGTAAGGCCGTCTGTATGGTTGTGTAGTTTGTACAGTGCACAGAAGAATCTGGCCAAGGGAGGTGAGTGAGGGTAAAATCCAGCCTGTGATCTGCTTATCAAGCTGTGAGCCCGAGGGAAGGCCTGTGTTTACTCAGAGGTGGTCCTTTTCGCTAATTAATCCACTCAGATGGGCACTTTTATCTAAGTCACACAAGGGCTATGTTAACTCATCATTTTTCTCTCTCCTATCCCCTTCTTTTATCTGGTCTTTATATCCAAGGAGCAATTAAACAAATTCCTCGTATAAATTCATATTCTCTTAGCCTAAACTCTTCGGCCACACATATGTTTTCTGAATTCAGAATTTTCAGAATGTAGAAAGGTACACATAACTTGTGTTATGTAACAACTCCAGCAGGGTCTGGAAAAGCACTCTGTAATTAAACACGTTAATATTTACCTGGAAAAATGGATGAATATTCACACTGTGTTTGATGAATAAAAACTATAACTAGTCGGGTCTTAACACCAAATGATTCAAGTCAGGTCAGGGTTTACTGCCATTGAGTTTTGAAAAAACTTTCAGTTTTCAGAGCCTGTTGGGTTTCAGACTAAGGGATTTGGGCCTGTATTTTCTTATGCCGAACAACTAGGGTCCCTTCAGCTCCTACTTACCAAGTCATCTAGGGGTCTCCTTTTGCCTATCCAAAACTGTGTTGTAAATTTGAAATGAACTCTTCTCAAAGTCTGATTGGCTGGATTAGATTTTTAGAAAAGTGGGTCCCAAACGGCACTGCTTATTAGAATTTCCCAAGGATCTCTTAAACATTGTGGTACCCAGATCTACCACAGATCAGTTAAGTCAGCATGCCTGCAGTGTGGGCAGGCATGCTGACTTAATGATCTCTAGGTGTTTCCAATGTGAAGCAAAATTTGGGAAATTCTGGCTTCAGGGAAAGGGGAAATCATTTGGAAGGATGCTGAGGCCTGTCTCCTAATCACGGAGAGGGCTAAGCTGATGTTGAAATGGGGGACTTAAAAATTATCTTTTGCATCTGCTCTCTAGTGTGGAGGTGAGTGAAGGGTTCAGTAGGGCTACATTAGCCTGCTGTCCTGAGGCAGGATACCTGGGCCTTGTGGTAGGGAAGTAGGTTGCTCTACCAAACTTGGCCTGCAACAGTATAAGACCCTGATGACCAGATGGAAACTAGCCAGGAGAACATTGAATCTCCCTGCCTGTCTGACCTTCATCCTGCTTCTGGGTCAATTCAGCTTCTTACCGTTGAGGTTCATCTCTTATTATTGTCTCTGTTGGGTCCCTTTGACCCGGAAGATGAAGTTGGGCTTCCTCATATTACTTTTGCCTGTCTCGCTCCCGTCTTTTACCCACACTCTTTGGGTAAAAGACTTGAGGTTAGGATTCTTTATGTTACTCATCCCACTTGATTAGATTTTGGCTCTTATGTCTCCACTCCAGCATTGTCCTTCTGGCTGACATCCCAAAAGACCCTATGAAAGTTAGAAAGCAGGCAGAGTCCAAGAGGTCAAAACCATCCAGGCGGCTGTAAAGCCAGACCAGCAGTTAGGGGTAAGGGACCCCAAAATACATAGTGCAAGGAGAAGCAAGGGAGGAGATGAGTGATGTAGTTAGAATTATTGTTCAGCAAATATTCAGTCCCTTCTCCCTCAATTTCACACCCTATTGATTTGGAGCTTGGCTGTATGATGTTTCTTGGCTGGTAGAATGCTAGCAGATATGACAGAAACAGATATTTTACCTGTGCTTGGGTTATAGGGCAAGGTCTCTTATGCTCCAGTGATCCACTAAAAGGAAAGCATACCTACGTATTTACTGTCTTTTCTGCCTGGGGCTCAAAATAAAAAGACACATGGAGCAGACACGAACACAACCTACAGCCTGGAGCTCAGCCAGCCAACCAGCAGTTGAAAGTGAACCATCCCAGCAGACCCAGAGGACTGTGAGTGAGAAAAATACACATTTGTTGTTGTAGCCACTGAGTTTTAAGGTATTTTGTTATGTGGCATTATTGTGGTAATAGCTGACTAATACAGAAATAAATTAAGGGAGGATCAAAGGCCATTCCTGTTTCAGCAGGGAAATCTTTGCATTTCAGCCTGGACTTAGGGCTGATCCTAGAGTATAAATAGCTTAGAGCTGGTGGGTAGGCAAGTGAGCCACACTGAGCTGCTAATAAGTGAGTTGGCTCAAGATGAGGGTGGGAGGTGGAGAGGAGGTACTACAGTCTCCCTCAGTATCTGTGAGGGATTGGTTTCCGGACCCCCTCAGATACCAAAATCCACACATATTAAAGTCTCAAAGTTGACTCTTGGGAACTCACATATAAAAAAAGCCAGCCCTTCATATCTGTGGATTTTGTATCTCGCAAATACTGTATTTTCCATCTGTGCTTGGTTTTCTGCTAAACCCGCAGATATGGAGGACCGACTGTATTTATTGAAAAAAAGTTCGTGTGTAAGTGGACCCATGAGGTTCAAACTTGTGTTGCTCAAGGGTTAACTGTAATTCTGTTTCACATTGAGAATTTCCTTTTTTATATTTTATTTTTCAAAATTGACATATAATAATTATACATATTTATGGGGTACCCAATGATGTCTTATGCATATAATGTAGAGTGATCATATCATGGTAATTAGCATATCCATCATCTTCAACATTTATCATTTCTTTGTGCAGGGAACATTCACTATCCTCCTTCTAGCTGTTTGAAACTGTATAATATATTATTGTTAACTAATCTCTCCCCATCACCACTTCTCCAGAATTTGTTTTAAATGGAAATGGATCCAGGTAAATAACTCAGGGCTCTACTTTATAAAAGAGTTAGATCTTGTCCTAAACTGTAACAAGCAGATAAGCTAGACCAGCAATCAATCAAAATCAGACACTTCTCAGAAATACTCCTAAGTCCCTGCCCACCTCAGACCTGTCGTGTTTCTCCATTGTTGCTTTAGAGTGTCAGAGAATGACCTGTAGTGCAGTCATGTCTTTTACTTTTGTCTTCATAGAAAAGCAAGTCTGACCTTGGCCTCTGGGTACCAGAACAATAAATTAAAAAAAGATTTAAATCAAGCAGAACCTCATAGGCATGCTGATTCAGTTCTTCTTCTTTTTTTTTTTTCTTTCTTAAAGGAAATTGTTTTCCTTCCACACAGGAAAAGAAATGCACTGTGGTTTAATTCAACATTAAAATATGGAGTAAGCAAATACAGTTTTCCTAATTAAATTCCACTATGTTGGGTAGTGTGAAGGATAATTTGGACTATGTGAGATGTATGTTTTGGTGAATAAAAGGATTCTTATGGCCGAAGAAGTCAGCGACATGGGTTAAACAACATTTAGCAGCTTTCTTTACTGTAGGACTTTTCAGAGCCTTTGTCTAGCCAGAGGACTTCCCCCACACCCCGCCCCAGGATCATCTCTTGGGAATAGGGTGGAAAATGCTTTCGGAGGCATTGTATTAGATACATGCTTGGACTTTTAATAATCTCTTCTATGACTGTCAAAGGTTGTCCTTGAAGCAATAAAAATGATGGGTACTCTCCAGGAGTGGAGATTTTGGTTTACTCTGCCTGATTTCCTAGATCTGTGGCCATCTCTTGATCAAGGGCCATGTCTTCCTCTTTCTTTCCTGGAACCACTCTTTAAAATGCATGGAATGAGTTTGGCAAGCTTGTTAATGCCTGGATATTTATAAATACGTAAATATTTCATTACTGCTGCTTTCCTCTGTGCAATGCACACTCCCTTGCAAAGGTATTTGTACTAACAGAGCTCAAATCCACTGGCACCCCCACATCTGTCACTGTCTTTCTCCTGGAATTTAATTGGCAACAGTGACTCGAGGGACTTTATTTGGTAGCACTCTGGGAGGGACTCTTTCCCTAAAGGTTCATGTTCACAATGACAGATTTTTCCTTGTGGATGACAAGAGGGGCTTGTAAGCTGAAGCCCCTCCTGCAGAGATTGCCATGCCTCACCTCTTACCCCAGTAGTGTAGCAGGATTCTGCTTGCTCCTTGAGATAGCATATGAGAGCCTGGGTGCTTTTAATTTAGGTTCCCCACACCAGTGTTTCACCACTAGGACCGTGTTCTTCCTTCTATTCTAAAGATAGGAGAGCTTGCTAGGGCTTATTGGTGGGGGAGATAAAGAGCAAAATTGCAGGAAAAAAACTTTCTTATCAAAATTGGATATTTTCTAAGGTAAAAGAAGCACCATTTTTTTTTTTGTCTCCACATCTTTCTTTCATAGTCATGTGGAATCAGACTTGATACTTCCAGTTACTTAGTACATTTTTTTTTCTTTTCTTCCCGAGATGGAGTCTTGCTCTCTCACCCAGGCTGGAGTGCAGTGGTGTGATCTTGGCTCACTGCAACTTCTGTCTCCCAGGTTCAAGCAATTCTCCTGCCTCAGCCTCCCGAGTAGCTGGGATTACAGGGGCCCGCCACTACACCCAGCTAATTTTTGTATTTTTAGTAGAGACGGGGTTTCACCATGTTGGCCAGGCTGGTCTCGAACTCCTGACCTCGTGATCCGCCCGCCTCGACCTCCCAAAATGTTGGGATTACAGGCATGAGCCACCGCACCTGGCCTACTTAGTACTTTTTAATACACATCAAGATTCAGGAGCTTAGAAATAAGAATTCCTGGTAGCTTTGTGAGAACATGATCAGGAAAAAAAAAAAAAATCAGTTACCTGAAAAAGAGAGCTCCGAAGAATACACCAATGTTAGATTGTGATTTTTGACTGTAGGCTAGAGTTTTTCATGATTTTGGTTCTATCATCTGAAATAGGTTTGCACTGATGCAAATCCAACTTCCAGACCACATTTTGCATTTAGTTTTCTTTGCCAAAAACTGAAGGTAATTGTGTGGAATTTGGCATTTTGAGCTTTGGTTTTATTAAGAACCCTCACCGAATCCCTATAACAATGGATTATTAGAAAAGGAATTGCCTGATGGCTTGGAATCCTATGAGATTGCCTCACCTATTCACAAGCAACTGTCTTTTCCATGTTAATATTCCTTGTATTCTTTGATATGTATGATACATATTAAATGGGTTTCCTGAGAGCAGCTTTGGCATTTTTTTTTTTTTTTTAAAGAGAGGGTCTCACCCTGTTACCCAGGCTGAAAGGCAGTGACACAATCATAGCTTGCTGCAGCCTTGAACTCCTGGGCTGAAGCAGTCCTCCTGCCTCAACCTCCCTAGTAGCTGGGACTACAGGTGGCACTGCAGTGCCTGGAATTTTTTTTTTTTTTTTTGAGTTTTTGTAGAGACAGAGTCTTGTTATGTTGCCCAGGGTGGTCTTGAGCTCTGGGTTCAAATGATCTTCCCTCCTCAACTTCCCAAATTCCTGGAATTGCAGGCACGAGCCACAGTGCCCAGCCAGATTTGGCTTTTGAAATCTATGCAAGAGACCCATTTTCTGCCTTTTACCATATTTAATTGTAGTAGATAGTTTCCCTACCACAATTCTAAAAACGGTTGAACTTAACTTTGATTTGCATTATTCTCATTTTTCCATTTATTAGCAAGCATATTGGCTCTGCCAGAGTCATGTAATTATTTTTGTGTCTGCCAGATTAGGGCATATGGTGTATTATTTTGGGAAGGCAGATAATGCTTCCATTTAGAGTGGTATCCAGGCAGTCTGAACATGTCTTAGAAAAGGTTTCTCTGTAAATTAATTTTCCCTCTCAACTGTGTAACGGCAGTATATTAATTTTTTGCTCCTTGAGGCATGCGGATTTAACTAGGAGAGGATTTTATAATGGTCCCCCATGATACCATTGGTTTGGCAATTTGAATATCTTAGCCTGGAGTTTTTTGTTTTCTGTTTTTTTTGTTGTTGTTGTTGTTTTGTTTTGTTTTTCATTTTTTTAAGAAAGCAAGCTGACAGTCTGGTGTGCCTCTTAGAAAAAGGCCACTGAATGAACAGCACTGGGTCCGAAGAGAAATAAGACGGCTATCAGATGCTTTCCACCAGTGTCAGAATATCAGATGCTGTGTCTAAGAAGGGCAGACTGTCCACCAGACGTAAGGACTTCAAAGCACCTGTCAGTGGCTCCAGCTCTCTCCTGTGGAGTCTAATTGGAATCACATAGCTAAATCCCTGCCTAGTGCTTTGGAAACTCAGGGATACATCCTGAAGACACTTCAACCTGAAAAAAAAGGTCATGGGTAACAGTTTTAAAGGAAAAAACAGGTTTCTTTTTTCCTTATTCTTTGTTCACTGAAGAGCTATGGTTAAAAGAAAAAAAATGCTGTCTCTAAAGGTAACTGAAGCCAGGCATGATGGTGTGCACCAGTAGTCCCAGCTACTCGGGAGGCTGAGGTGGGAGGATTGCTTGAGCCCAAGAGTTTGAGACTAGCCTGAGCAACCTAGCGAGACCTCCATCTCTTAAAAAGAAAAGGACCAGCTTGCAAAGTTGACCCTACTTCTGCATGTTTCCTTTTTATGGCTTTTGTCTCTCTGCTGAAGGGATGCTTAGTTCTTTGGAGTAGATGAACTTTGAGGATGCCCCAACCATTGCACTATGCTTCCTGACTTCCATCACCACATCTTCTAGGGGTCACTAAACAGGAACTTGTGGAACAGTGCTTCTCAAACTTTGACCTGCATCAGAATCACCTCGAGGGCTTGCAAACAGACAGCTAAGCTGCAGCCCCAGAGTTTCTGATTCTGTTGGTCTGGACTGGGGTCTGAAAAGTTGCATTTCTACCAAGTTCATGGATGATGATGTTTCTGTTCTGAGGACTACCCTTTGAGAACTATTGGTGTAGATAGAAGCTATGCATGCAGACTCTGAATTTGAATTGCTTGAGTTTATGTACAGTGATTAGCTTTCAAGACATTGCACAAACAAAAATATGTGCATATCAGATCAGTGCCCTTGCTTTGCATGATTTCAATATATGTGAGTTTCAGTCAACATGATATCATGAGGACTGCCTGTGATCTTTAACCTCTCTGTGCTTCAGTTTTCTCATCTGAAAATGGGAATAATAGTACCTACTTTATACAATTGTTGTGAGGATTATATAAGACAATACTTGGAAAGCATGTAAAACAAACAGTGCAATCTATGAATAGGTATTATAATTATTAGAGTAATAGCCTTAGAATTATAAGATTTTGGACCCTGAGGGGATTTTAGAGAGATAATGTAGTCTAATTCTTCACTGCACCCTCTTCTTTAGGAAAAGAAACAGAGTCACAAAGAAGTAGAATAACCTGTCTAAAGTTCTATGAGAATGAAGACACACCTGGCACCAGAATGCTCTTCTCTTAATTTCTAACTCAATACTTTCTCCAAAGCATCATGTTGATTACTCTGCTTTTAAAGATTTGTTCACAAATAATCATTCAGTTTATATTAAGGATGTATTGATCTTACTCAGCTAATATGAAGATTAGAGAGACCTGGGAAATACAGGAGCAATGTTGTAATAAGGAACTTAACAAGCTCCTTGCACTTATTCCATTGCCTTGACTCACAGGAACTCCAGGATGAGTGTGTTTGGTAAAGAGTCTCTGCAGTTCACTCCTGGGTGTTGTCATTCCAAAGGCTCTTACCGCAGAATAGTTTCTTAATTTGCCATCAGACCCAGCCTTTGATGCAGTTATTCAGACAGGTATTTATGGGGAAGCCTTGATGTGTTTACTCATTTATTCAACAAATATTTAATTAAGCACCTACTGTATGCCATGTACCATTGGGTTAAGAACTGTGGAAGTTGGCATCCAGGTAGTTCCTGGCTTGATTTATTTCATTTCTGGTTCCATTTGCTTTTCTTCTGTTCTAGGTGTTCAAAAACCACCTTGTAATAGGTCACAGCTTTCAGGTTCATTGTAGGCACTCAACAAATAATTGACGAAAGAACAAATCAAAGATGGAGGGAAAGTAACTGCAAAAGAGAGTCTTAATTCTCATCTGCAGGCCCAGCCTCAGGGCCCAACTTCCTGATTTTAGAATCTTAGTGAGAGGAGCCAGGCATGGTGGCTCCAGCCTGTAACCCCAGCACTTTGGGAGGCTGGATCACCAGGGGTCAGGAGTTTGAGAGCAGCCTGGTCAACATGGTGAGACCCTGTCTACTAAAAATATAAAAAATTAGTCAGGCATGGTGGCACGCACCTGTAGTCCCAGCTACTCGAGAAGGTGCAGTGAGCTGAGATCGCACTGCTGCACTCCAGCCTGGGTGACAGAACAAGACTCTGTCTCAAAAAAAAAAAAAAAAAAATTAGTGAGGGGTTTCATATTATTCCTAATCTTTACTTCTACCTCATCATCCCTGCACCAAAAGAAAATTAGCTTCAGTTTATTTTGAATGATCCCAAGAACTGCTCTGGCCATTAAGGAATGACTGGGTTATTTGCCAGTGGACCTTGTTCACAAATGGTTTATAACATGGATTCATCCATTTTGGAGGCTGAGTAAATCACAAGGGCCGGCCAAGAGGCTGAATTCACAAACATCAGCCTTCCTGAAAATGAGTCTGTGTTGGATATTTGAACTATTAAAATAATAGTCTACCACTATACATAGCTTTATTGTACATGGATTGTTGTCACATGCATTTGAGAGACCTGGGGGACAGTTACGTGGAAACAATATTAGGCTTTGGGTATTTGAGTAGGGGCTTGGGACAGGAGGCTGGATCATCATTATGCAGCTCAGGGCTTTTGGGTATGGATGACATCAGACTTGCAGTGAATAACTCCTTAAAAAAAAAGAAGGAAAAAGTCCCTGTTTCTATAACCATTGATTGCCCATAGTTAGGCTGATTTACTGCATATTTCTCTGTAGAGAGATTTTCTGAAGTAACTCTTTGGTTGTAACTTGATGTTTGCTTTTTTTTTTCTTTTTTTTTTTTGCAAATAATGTTTTTGTTTTAGAATAGCATGGATTCACAGAAAAGTTACAAAGATAGTCAAGAGAGATCCCATGTATTTCACAGCTTTCCCTGATGTTAACATCTTACATTACTATGGTGCTTTTGTCACAATTAAGAAATCAACATTGGCATATTACTGTTAATTAAACTCTATGGTTTATCCAGATTTCATCAGTTTTTCTCCAGAACATCATCCTTTTTCTGTCCCATGATTCTATCCAGGATACCATATTATATTTATTTGTCATGTCTCCTTAGCTTCTTTGGTATGTGACAGTTTCTGTGACGTTCCTTGGTTTTGATGACCTTGACAGTTTCAAGAAGTACTGGTCAAGTATTTTGTAGAATGTCCCTCAGTTAGGGTTTATATGATGTTTTTCTAATGATTAGACTGTGGTTATGGGTTTTTAGAAGGAAACCATGAAAGTAAAATGCCATTCTCTCAACACTTTAGTTGAGGGGTATCTGTTATCAACATGACTTATCACTGATGACGTTAACCTTGATTGCTTGGCCAATGTAATTTGCCAGATTTCTCCTTTGTGAAGCTTTTTTTCTCCCTTTACATACTACTCTTCAGCAGTAAGTCACTAAATACAGCCACACTCAAGAACTGGGGAGTTAAGTTCTACTTCCTTGAGGAAGGAATATCTACACAGATAATTTGGAATTCTTCTGTATTGGAGATTACTTTCTCTTCCCACTTGTTTATTTATTCAATAATTTATTTATATCAGTAGGGACTCATGGATATTTATTTTACAGTTTGGATTTTAATCCAGTACTACATTATTTATTTTGCTTCTCAAATTTTTCTGATTTTGGCTGTTGGGAGATCTTTCAGGTTGGCTCTTGTGTCCCTTGACGTACCCTCATCATTTTATTTTAAGCACTTCCTTACTTTCTGGTACTGCAAAATGCTCCAGGCTCATCCTGTATATTTCCTGCCCCAGTTCTAGAATCAACTATTTTTCCAAGGAGCCTTGGTTTCTTTTATTGGAAAATGACATTATAAACCAAGATCTTTGCGTTTGGTGGTGAGTTGAAGGTGCTTTTAATAGAACTTCAGCTAGGGAGCGTTTGGTGGTGAGTTGATGGTGCTTTTAATAGAACTTCAGCTAGGGAGCAAGTTGATCATCTGTGGAATTAATTAACAGCCCCATTGGGTTGTTCCAAGTTTTGACAAAGTCAACAAAAAGAGCTTTAGAACATGCAAAAAAGGGCTTATCTTTAAGAGTAAGCTTTTGGGATATTAAGGTAGAGGTAGCTACTTGTTCTATATAGCAGAAATAATCCTTTATTAAAACAATAGTTTTTAAAGAGAGATGCTCACTTTTTTCAATATTCTAGTCCTCAAAATCTTGACTGCAATTGTCATGATGGTTCGCCTCATTCTCCTATCTCTTTATACCAGTACCTGGTGGGCATCTTTATCTTGGAACTCAGAAGCCAATTACAGAAATATTAGTTTGGGAATGACTAAAGACTTTGAAATGAGAACTCTAAATATATGGGACAGAGGGTCACGAAACTCCATTGCCTGCTTCTCAGGAAGTCTACTACGGGCAGTTCTTAGTGCCTAGTGTTGCCTTTCCTGGTCCCATGCGACTCTGCTGACTCAGCCACACTGCTTGGACCTGTGATTGGTAACTTAGACAAAGGCTTGAGATTCACCTACCCTGCCTTCTTTTCTTCTCTGCGGGCTTCCCTGTAATTAACTTCCATTACCCGAGGCTCTATCTTTCACACCAATGAAGTCTGAAATGAGCCGGAGTAACAGTTAAGTTCTTAACAATTTGAAGAAAACTATGTCATTTAAAACATCTGCATATTAAGGCCAACACAGACATATACAACACTTGAATAAATTTTAAAGGTAAACATTGAGGCTTCAATATTTTTTCAGATTTGCTAAACAATGAAAAAGGCTATGGCTCCATACAGCGAAAACGAGTCAGCAGTAAAAAGAATTGAGTACTGGTATCTGCTACAATATGGATAAGCCTCAAAAAGATTACACTAAGGGAAAAAAGCCACATGAAAAAAGACCACATATTGTACGATTCCAATTATATAAAATGTTCAAAGTAGGCAAATCTACTGAGACAGAAACAGATTAGTGGTTGCTTGGGGCAGGTGGTGAAAATGGAGATTAACTGTAAACAGGCATGAGGGATCATATTGGGATGATGGAAATGTTCTAAAACTGGATTATGGTGATGGTTGTACAACTCAGTAAATTTATTAAAAATCGTTGAGTTGTAAATTTAACAGGTGAATATGACAGTCTGAAAACTACACCTCAGCAAAGTTGTTTATGAAAAATAGGTAAGGAAGAGAGAGAGAAAAAATATTATGGCTTCCAGAGCCTCTGGAGGTATATAGGTTCAGCTGTTAGGAGGATTTGGTGGGAAAGTTTTAAAAGCATAATTGTAAAGTAACTTGGAGGTGCCTAGTCCGTGCAACCTAAAAGAACCTAACTAAGCACTATTGTTACCAGCGATGAATCCGCATCTGTACGGGTCTGCAGCAACCTCACTTTTTGCCTCTTCAGAGGAAAGAATTCAAGTGAGGGGCATAAGGCCGAAGGAGAGACCGAGGCAAGTTTTAGAACAGGAGTGAAAGCTTATTAGAAAGCTTTAGAGCGGAACAAAAGGAAGATAATTATACTTGGAAGAGGGCTAAGTAGGTGACTTGAAAGACAAGTGTGTGGTGTGACCTTTTGACCTGAGGTTTTATACTTGGCATATTTCCAGGGTCTTGTGGGCCTTGTCCCCTGATTCTGCCCTTGGGGTGGACTGCTACTAAGGATGATATGAGGATAAAGTGCTTAGGAATAGTCCTTGCACACAGTGGGTGCCCAAGACAGTTGTCACTATTACTATTATTGTTCTAATGCTGGACATCAACCTCTTTTCTTTGTTTCTTTTGATATTCTGCTTGCTGGGTAACCTTTGCTCTGTCTTGGTTTAATATTAGAGTATCTTATTTCTTTTTTTCTCTCATTTTAGTAGTAAAGCATTTGTTCATTAAAGTTCACAGAAAGTTGTTAGAGTTTGTGTACGTGCTTTCAAAAGGGTCACTCTAAGTACCCACTTTTTGCTTAAGAGGTTTGCTTCCCTCCTATGTCATCTGCAACATGCCTGGCCCTAAATAATTCCTTACCCAAAAAAGACTTTTCTCTGGGTGGAGTTCAGACTCTTCCGGTCCCTCTATCTGAACTAAGCCTTCTGTCCTGTTTGTGTTTTCTGGGCTGTGGAGTAAGGAGGAGTTTTTTTTTTTTTTTTTTTTTTTTTAGCTGTTCCCCGTTTTTAGGAAGAATCATTTCCTGATTGGGGTTTGGGCTGAAAATGGAATTTTCCCTGGGTTGGGTAGAAAATTCCAGAATCCAGGACTATTTCTCAAGACAAATCCCCAGCTCCACCTCCACCACACTACCTATAACAGTTGGAGGAAACTCTTAATGGTAAGAAGCTGATGGAGTCAAATGTCCCCAACTCCACCTCCCCCACCACACGTATAACAGTTCAGAGGATATTCTTGCTTAATATAATTCCACTTTTAATATTGTTTCATATGCAAGTGCATTTTTATAAAGATGCCCATAATTTTGCCTTGACTGAATTGTTCTTCCAAGCTATATCTTGCACACGCCTCCAAGCTACATAAAGAGTTCATTACTAAATAATTTTCCTTTCTATAAGATATTCAGATAAACTGTATTGTATACTCTTTGAGGTGTGCGTGTGTGTGTTTTATTCAAAAGTACCCACAGGAGGGTAGAACGCTACAAGGAACAAATGAAGACATATTTCCACTTCATGCTGGTGGCCAGAATTGGAGGAAATCCAAACTTGGAAAAGAAAATCCTGGGCCGTGCTGCTGAAATCTCTGTGGCATTATTTTAGATTCCAAAAAGATTAACTCATGATTTAGTAAAAGTACTGCTAGGGGATATTTAAAAAAATCAATTTCATTGAGGTACTTGTTATTAATATATTATTAAATGCACTCATTCTATGTGTACAATTCAGGAAACTTGACAAAGATGTGCACTCATGTAATCACCACCACAATCAAGATATAGAACATTATTCTCTTTGCTGGGGGGATTCTTAATCCTAATAAAGTCCTCTAGTAGAAGAAGGGCAAGACTGTGAGGAATTAAGTTCTTTTAAAGGGGAGAAAGGGCCCATATTCTGAAGGACTAATGGTGGTGGGTTTTATTGCCTAGAAGAGGATGTGGCACTATTTGACCATGAGAGAAAAAAGTAAGCCAGGAACTGGAGTTTTCCATGAGAGGACCCCAAGTGAAAGCTTTCCTTTTTTTTTTTTAAATTTTACTCGAAGTCATGTTTATTATTCTGTGTTAAGTGTCACCAATCTTTTACAATGTCACAGACTGTAGGTCAGTGGCAGATGTCTAAATACAGGGCAGCAAAAGAAATACCACCGTCTCTGCATCACCCTTTGGCTGAGGCCAGCAAGGCAGAGGCTGTACCCTCTTCAGGATGAACAAGAGCCTTGCAGTTCTAGTGACAAGGCTTAAAGAAATGATGGCTCAAGATGGAGCTGGGAATGCTAGACAGGGAACATGTGATGGAAAAAGGCAGCTGCAGTTTGGACTAACTCAGAAGCAAATGTGCAGTGCATATAGACAGAGATAATCCTTAAAATAGGGTTGTCAGATTTAGCAAATAAAAATACAGAATCCCATTAAATTTGAATTTCAGATAAGCAATAAATAATTTTTAGTATAAGTAGGTCTCATGCATTATTTGGGATGTACTAAAAACTTTTGCTGTTTATCTGAAATTGAAATTTAACTGACATCTTTTATTTTATTTGGCAATCTTACAAGAAAGACCAACAACTGGATTACAATGTTGATACTGAATCAAAAGGATCAAAAGTAAAATAAGAAACATAAGAATACACATCTTAGGGAGGTTTGAATAAAGAGTGATGTGTGTGTGTGTGTGTGTGTGTGTGTGTACAAAAATGATCAAAGAGAATCAAAACTGAAAGGACAATATATATACTTTTTGACCTGAGCCTAAAGTAAGCTTGATATCTTATTTATTTGATTTGAATTTTTGCTTTCTGGAGAACTGAGTATGTTTTTGATGTTTAGTTTTGAACTGGCTTATAATCTTTTAAAAAATTGGTGCTAAAACATTTATTACATCAAAAGTGACCTTCTCTTTCACCTTTCTTCATCCTTTACTTTCAGTCTCCAGAAATAACCCATTTCAATTCTTTTTAGAAATTACATCTAATATGTACCTCCACATTTCAAATAATAATCTTATGATTTTTTTATGTTATTTTTTATATTCCCTGCAAGATAGTTGAGAAATTCACTGCTGTATACACTTCTCTGATCCTTCTGTCTCCACCTCCCCTCTCCACCATCTACCCAATCTATCACAATTTTGGTTTCAAGGAGCTGGTGTTTACATCGTTTCAAACTACAAATGCCATTCACTGCTGAGATAAGTAGTATATTATGGTCACATCTGAATACAATTTTGGTTGTTCTTGGAGTTAATAGTTACCTCTGTTTCATGAAGGAGATATTTTTCTTGGGGAGTGCTACATGTCTTGAAAGGTCTTATATTTGTGCTGGTCAGCTTTTGCAGAGAAGAATCCAGCCTCCATAATGGCGTGGGATGAAGGGGAAATAAGTTGCCTTGCTACTGTCATTTTGGGGCAGGTGGAAGAAGGAGGCTAAAGTTCCTACAGTTAAGAATGCGGATTTTTACTTAATTGCTGTGTTTTCAGTCCACTTGTAACTCTATCCCTTTGCTGTCTCCTCTTCTGCTCTGTTTGTCCTTTTGAGTTAACACATTTAAAAAATTCCTTTACTGGAATTTCACGGGGTTTGGCAAGGAAAGGGAGAAAACCATGGAGGATAATACATCTCAGCCAACTACTTTTCACAAACAATCTTTATCAGTCATGGGCCCTGAAATTCCAGCTAAATAGACTGTGCTGACTTCAAGGACTGGAGTGTTATTACTCTCCTTTCCAACTAGACTCTGAGCTGAGTACTATCTTGCTCTGTATAGGACTTGCACTTACTGAGTTTAGTTTCTAATTCTTGTACTTAGGTCATCCCTTGCTTCTTGTGGGCTCATTTTAATGGATGGAAAGAAATAGGCCAACCTGGAAACAGCTCAAAATGTAGGTGCTGGGAAGCGGGATGATGAAAGGCATGAACATGATTAAATGTTCAAATTCCTGTTGAGTGCTAAATAGAGATTCTTTGACATTGGGTCCTTTAATCAAGATTAAAAAAATTTTTGCTGAAGTGAACATGTACCTTAGTTATTAGGAAGTAGGATAGCATTTGAAATGCAATTGTGGAAGCTGTGAAATATATCCAAGAGTCCACAAAGCAGCCACATGTCTATTATTACCCATAATGAACTCCAATATAAAGAATTTGGTTGAAATCCTTTGGATATCTGTGATTTCTAAATCTATTTATGACAGCTAATGACATTCCTTGGTTATTGTTAAGAATATTCCTAGTCCTCCACTGTGGGAAGAGAGATTCTTAAGGATGCCTTGATGTATAATTAGGTGGGAATGCAGTCCTATTTCTCTTCGAAGGTTTTGAGGATAATCCTCTAGCTTGCTAACTGACCTTATTTGAAAGCTATTATGCTCATGGAAATCAGTGGAGCTTTTGTGATCTCATGTGAGTATGGAAAAAGCAATAAGTGGGAAAATATTCCATTAGATTTTATTTTTGGTATGCCTGATTAGGTGAAAAAAATAGTAACATTTACTGAGTGGCTACCATATGCTAGGCATTGTGTTAAGAGTTTTAAAGGCATTATTGTTATTTAAATCATTGGAATAATCCTATAAGGTAGACACTATGATTATATACGTTTTATAGATAAGAAAACTGGGATCATGGAGATGGTAAGTGGTGACACCATATTTTGAAGCTAGGTATTTCAGTTAGGATGTATAGTGGATAATAGCAGTGGTCTACCAGACCCTCTAGATCTGATTTTACCTGTGTGTGTGTGCATGTGTGTCTGTGTGCATACACTTCATTGTGCTTTTGCTTCCAACAGTTACCACCTCCAGTATTTTTGTGTGTGTGTGTTTTTTTTTTTTTTTTTTTTTTTGAGAATTGTACCCAGGACATTGGAACTCACTTTTCCTGGGACGGCCTTTAGTCAATGACTCTCAAGTGTGAGACCATGAAAGCCAGCTTTCTCACCTCAAATTGGGACAACCTGGAGATGTTGAGTTAAATATCTTTGCTTTGGAGTGTTCCCTCTATGGTTGCAGCCCTACCTGTGGGACTCTGCCTGAGATTTCTCCCTTCCCTAGTTTCCACACGTTTTCTAACTTACTTCCCCATCCTCCCTTACTGCTTTTTTGAGGGGCACACTTCATTAATAAATTACTTATACAGGAATCCTTATTTTGGGGTAGGCTCCTAGGAAACTTGATGTAGAACAGAATAATTTTTTTTTTTTATAACAAAACAAGATGTGAGAATTCCCCCATTCACCAGCTGCTACACAATGAGGCTGGGATAGAATAGACATATAGGAAAACAGACTCAATGCTCACTATCCTAACTCTGACTTGGGACAACCATACTACGCATACCCTTAGACATTCAAGCATATTGACCTTGGTCTTTAAGATTGCACATGACCTGGATTCAGCTTGTTGCTCCAACTCCATCTCCTATCGTTCCCCTCCTCACTTCCCCAGCACATGACCTTCCTTTAGTTCCTTGAACACACCAAACTCATTACTGCCTCAGGGGCTTTGTACTTATTCTTCCCTTTCTTATCATTTAGGTCTCAGTTCAAATGACACTGTCTTAGAAAATCTCACTTGACCTCTATCTAAAGTTACATCTAACTCTCATATCATTTAAAAATCACAATATTCTATTTTCTTCCTAGCATTTATTGTCACATGAAATTACCTTATTCATTTGTTTATTTGCTTATTGTCTGTTCTCCTGCATTAAAATGTTACTTGCCTGAGGTCAGGGACTTGGTCTGTGTTGGTCACAGCTATATTTCCAGTGCTTCTTAGTTGAGTGCCTGTCTCATATTGTCATCAATACACATGTGCATGATCATGAATATATTGCCTACATGGAAAGGGCAAAGAAAGATCCTTTTCCTTCTATGCGGTCTGCACTCTCTCTTCTCCATTATGTTGTTTGCCAAGAATATCAGATGAATAGAAATGGAAATAGAAATCTATGATCTCTCTGGAGCACCTAGCAAGGAGTGACATGTTATAGGATACAGACAACCCAGATGGCCATCTGGTGTGTTAATGATGTTTGATTTGTGTTCAAAGCAAGTTTATGTTGCCCTTTCCGAGGCTTGGTTCTACAATTTCTGACTCAAAATTTTTCTGCTGACCTGGGAACCTCTTCTTCTTCTTCCTTTCCCCTAACGGTATTAAAAAAAAAAATGACTCCATTGCTCTGTAGAGCATAAAGACTAACTCCCATTCCCTATATCCTCACTCTATCCCTAGCCCTGTCTCAGGAGAGGTTTTAATATTTTAATACTCAAGTAGATATTTTGGTTTGAAAGTGACAAATCTCCACTTGGACACTTGAACTGCCTAAATGGACAAATGACTGGTTCTTGATCATAGTTCATTATGCCACTTGCATCAAGAGTGCTTGGGCACATAACCATGTGTGGAAAAAGGAAAAATACTGACTGCTAACCCCCTGCTTCATTAATGCTTTTTAAAATGAACTGGGCATAGTGGTTCACGCTCGTAAACCCAGCACTTTGGGAGGCCAAGGCGGATGGATCACTTGAGGTCTGATGTTTGAGACCAGACTGGGCAACATGGTGAAACCTCATCTCTACAAAAAATAGAAAAAATTAGTCAGGTGTGGTTGCATGTGCCTGTAGTCCCAGCTACTCAGGAGGCTGAGGTGGGAGGACCACCTGAACCTGAGGAAGTTGAGGCTTCAGTGAGCTGTGATTGAACCACTGCACTCCTGCCTGGGTGACAGAGTGAGACTCTGTCTTAAAGAAAAGGGGAAAAAAAAAAGAGAGAGAGAAACAACAAACTTAAAACAATTATTGGCTTGGACCTGCAGGACTCTGTGCACATGCATCTGGCATTTCACAATAACCAGTTACTTTCTTTCTACTTGTCAATATCATTGTTTCACTGCTGGTGTGTTTATGTCACCAGATCCTTTCTTCTGGGGACTTTGAAAAGGGCTAACTTGAAGCTTGGATAGTCATAGGTCAATTAGGTTACAGAATAATTTAAAGAAGGGGCCAAGTTATAAGACCTTGACTGCAAATAGAGAGGAAGGAAAGAGGAAGTGGAGTAATAAACACTGGTAATCCAAATCAAGTTGTCAAGCCAACGATGGGACCACAAGGAAACAGAGCTTGTTGTTTAGCTAAGACCGGAACATGGCAAGAAAGGAAGGAGAGCCCCACTTGTCTAAATCAAGATAAATAAAACAGCAATAAAAGGAAATGTATATTTGAGGACTTTGAAAAATGGGTGGCTACTCCTGTTCAACATAGTGTTGGAAATCCTAGCCAGAGCAATCAGGCAAGAGAAACAAATAAAGGGCATCCAAATAGGAAGAGAAGTCAAACTATCCCTGTTTTCAGACAACATGGTCCTATATCTAGAAAACCCTATAGTGTCAGCTCAAAACCTCCTTCAGCTGATAAACAACTTAAGCAAAATTTCAGGATACAGAATCAATGTAAAAAAATTAGCATTCCTATACACCAACAATAGCCAAGCTGAGAGCCAAATCAGGAAGGCAATCCTATTCAAAATCGCCACAATAAGAATAAAATACCTAGGAATATAGCCAGCCAGGAAAGTGAAAGAGCTCCACAATGAGAATTACAAAACATTGCTCAAAGAAATCAGAGAAGACACAAATAAATGGAAAAACATCCCATGCTCACAGAGAGGAAGAATAATATCATTAAGATGGCCATACTGCCCAAAACAGTTTATGGATTCAATGCAATTCCTATCAAACTACCAAGAACATTCTTCACAGAACTAGAAAAAACTATTTTAAAATTCATATGGAACTGAAAAAGAGCCTGAATAGCCAAGGTAATCCTAAGCAAAAAGAACAAAACTAGAGACATCACAATACCTTACTTCAAACTATATGAGAGGGCTACAGTAACCAAAACAGCATGGTACTGGTAGAAAAACAGGCAAATAGACAAATGAAACAGAATAGATAGCCCAGAAATAAGGTCACACACCTATGACCATTTGATCTTCAACAAAGCTGTCAGAAACAATCAACGGGGAAAGGATTCTCTATTCAATAAATGGTGCTGTGATAACTGCTAGCCATATGCAGAAGATTGAAACTGGACCCCTTTCTTACACCATATACAAAAATCAACTCAAGATAGATTAAAGACTTAAGTGTAAAACCCAAAACTACCAAACCCCCGGAAGACAACCTAGGCAATACCATTCTGGACACAAGAACAGGCAAAGATTTCATGACAAAGACATCAAAAGCAATTGCAACAA
Organism: Homo sapiens; assembly: GCF_000001405.40. Classification (NCBI taxonomy): domain Eukaryota; kingdom Metazoa; phylum Chordata; class Mammalia; order Primates; family Hominidae; genus Homo; species Homo sapiens. Next base: position 31,401,112 of record NC_000003.12, on the reverse strand, counting down.
AAGCAAAAATTGACAATTTGGATCTAATTAAACTTAAGAGCTTCTGTATAGCAAAAGAAACTAGCAACAGAGTAAACAAAAAATCTGCGGAATGGGAGAATATGTTTGCAAACTATGCATATGACAAAGGTCTAAAATCCAGCATCTATAAGGAACTTAAACAAATTTATAAGCGAAAAACAAACAACCCCATTAAAAAGTGGGCAAAGGGCTGGGCATGGTGGCTCATGCCTGTAATCCCAGCACTTTGGGAGGCTGAGGCTTGTGGAGCACCTGAGGTCAGGAGTTTGAGACCAGACTGGTCAACATGGTGAAACCCTATCTCTACTAAAAATACAAAAAACAAAGTCGGTTGTGGTGGTGGGCACCTGTAATCCCATCTACCTGGGAGGCTGAGGTGGGAGAATCACTTGAACCTGGGAGGCAGAGGTTGCAGTGAGCTGAGACTGGCCATTGCACTCCAGCCTGGGCAACAAGAATGAAACTCCGTCTTAAAAAAAAAATGTGAGCAAAGGACATCACAGACACTTTTCAAAAGAAGACATACATGTGGCTAACAAGCATATGAATAAAAGTTCAACATCACTGATCATTAGAGATATGCAAATCAAAGCTACAATGAGATACCATCGCATACCAGTCAGAATAGCTATTATTAAAATGTCAAAAAATAACAGATGCTGAAAAGGTTGTGGAGAAAAGAGAACACTTATACGTTGTTGGTGGGGGTGTAAATTAGCTCAACCATTGTGGAAAGCAGGAAGGCAATTCCTCAAAGAGCTAAAAGCAGAACTACCATTCGACCCAGGAATCCCATTCCTGGGTATATACCCAGAGGAGTATAAATCATTCTACCATAAAGACACATGCATGTGAATATTCACTGCAGCACTAGTCACAATAGCAAAGACATGGAATCAACCTAAATGCTCATCAATGACAGATGGAATAAAGAAAATGTGGTACACAGACACCATGGAATACTACGCAGCCATAAAAAAGAATAAGCTCATGACTTTTACTGGAACACGGATGGAGCTGGAGGCTATTATCCTTAGCAAACTAACATAGGAACTGAAAACCAAATACTGCATGTTCTCACTTACAAATGGGAGCTAAATGATAAGAACTCACAAACACGAATAAGGGAACAACAGACACTGGGATCTGCTTGAGGGTGGAGGTTGGGAGGAAGGGCAGGAGCAGAAAAGGTAACTATTAAGCACTGGGCTTAATACCTAGGTGATGAAATAATCTGTACAACAAACCCCCATGACACAAGTTCACCTTTGTAACAAACCTTCACATGTACCCCTGAACCTGAAAGTTAAAAAAAAAAGAAAAGAAAAATGGATGGCACATCATGCTTTTCATTCATTGATTTATCTAATCGTAAATTCATTCATGCATCAGTTATTTTTTGAGCCTCTACCTTCTTTCACTTGGTCTAATGACCCTTGCCTCTGTGTTAAACAATCTGTATTTAGTTCATCTGCTTTCTTTAAAAGGTACAATTGTGCAATCTATAGAGTTTCTGTAACAGACAGTCTTCTTAGCCTTCTAACTTCCTTTTGCTGGTTTTTGATCTTTTCAATACTGGGGGAGTAGAAGTAGAAGTGATAGGGAGGAAAGAGAGGATGTGGAGAGTTTGTGGCTACAGTGTAGTTGGGGTGTGAATGGACTGTTATTGGACAGGATGATGGGGCAAGGGGAAGTGTCTCTGTTGATTAATTTTGGCAAGAACTCAGGTGAGCCTTGGACGAGGTAAGTTTATGTCCTATGGTCCAGAGAGCCTGTCTGTATACAGTTAGCAGCATATTCTCTTTGATTGGGAGGGCTGGCCAAAGGCAAGGTTGCTTTGAATCTTTAGTGCCTTTTGCTTAGTATTTCCTCCTGTTCTCCACCTGCTAGGTATACAATAGAATTGTATTTCTTGGACCTTATGTGGTTGCAAGGACCATATGACTAGTTTTGTCCAATGAGCTGAGAGGAAAAGTGACTTATATCTCTTCTAGGCTGAAGCATTTAATTGCAGGTGTGAAAACTTCCAGAACACTCTTTTTCTCTCCTCCATTGGCAACTGGAAACACTGGAATTGGCAGTTGCCCTGTTAGCCTGAATTCTGTGGTGAGAAGATCTGGGGAGCAGCACCTACCCCATCTGATCTGTGATAAACAGAGGATGTGAATAAATAGCTTTGTTGTAACTAGCTACTAAAATTTTGGGATTGTACCATTCAGGACATAGGCATAGGCAAAGACTTCATGACTAAAACACCAAAAGCAATTGCAACAAAAGCCAAAATTGACAAATGGGATCTAATTAAACTAAAGAGCTTCTGCACAGCAAAAGAAACTATCATTAGAGTGAACATGCAACCTACAGAAGGGGAGAAAATTTTTGCAATCTATCCATCTGACAAAGGTCTAATATCCAGAATCTACAAAAACAACCCCATCAAAAAGTGGGCGAAGGATATGAACAGAGACTTCTCAAAAGAAGACATTTATGTGGTGAACAAACATATGAATAAAAGCTCATCATCACTGGTCATTAGACAAATGCAAATCAAAACCACAATGAGATACCGTCTCAAGCCAGTTAGAATGGCGATCATTAAAAAGTCAGCAAACAACAAATGCTGGAGAGGATTTGGAGAAATAGAAATGCTTTTACACTGTTGGTGGGAGTGTAAATTAGTTCAACCATTGTGGAAGACAATGTGGCAATCCCTCAAAAATCTAGAACCAGAAATACCATTTGACCCAGCAATCCCATTACTGGGTATATACCCAAAGGATTATAAATCATGCACACGTATGTCTGTTGCAGCACTGTTCACAACAGCAAAGACTTGGGACCAACCCAAATGCCCATCAATGATAGACTGGATAAACAAAATGTGGCACATATACACCACGGAATACTATGCAGCCATAAGAAAGGATGAGTTCATGTCTTTTGCAGGGACATGGATGAAGCTGGAAACTATCGTTCTCAGCAAACTAACAAGGGAACAGAAAACCAAACGCTGCATGTTCTCACTTATAAGTGGGAGTTGAACAATGAGAACATATGGGCACAGGGAGGGGAACATCACATATCAGGGCCTGTCAGGGGTTGGGGGCCAAGGGGTGAGAGAACATTAGGACAAATACCTAATGCACGCAGGGCTTAAAACCTAGATGACGGGTTGACGGGTGCCACAAACCACCATGGCACATGCATACCTATGTAACAGTCCTGCACATTCTGCACCTGTATCCTAGAACTTAAAGTCTAATAATAATTTAAAAAATTGGGATTGTGTGTTACCAAGCAGTATCTAACCTTTGCATCTAACCTAACGTGGATAATATGACTTCCAAGAGTATGAAAATTGGCTCTTGGGATAGGAGAAAAAAAAAACAGTGTGCACACACTGTACATAAGCAGATACTTAGCACATTTGTGGTATTCAAATTTCAGGGAGAAGTGAACAGAAATGGAAAGATATTGGTCAAAGAGTATAAATTTTCATTTAGACAGGAGAAGTAAGCTCTATAAATCCACTGAAAAGCATGGAGATGAGACTATAGTTAATAATAATGTATATTTTAAAATTGCTAAGAGAGTAGATTTTAAATGTTCTCACCATAAAAAATGATAAATATAAGAGGTGATGGATATGTTAATTATCTTGACTTAATTTTCCCATGATGTGTGTGTGTGTGTGTGTGTATCAAAACATTACATTGTGCCCCATAAATATATATAATTTTTATTTGGCAACTAAAAATAAATAAATTTTACAAACTAAATATCATGGGTTGGGGGATCAAGAAAAAATGTCCAAAAAGACTCTTTAAGGGAAGCGATAATGAAAAATCAGTTCAGAGACACTGGACTAGCTTACCCTGAATGATAGAATTATAAAGCACACAGTCTTTGTGTTTTCTCTGTGTTGCTCTCTGTATCATTTTTTCCTCTTCTATGTCTCCTCTAGAACACTTTTAGCTACCCAGTGCCAAGATGAATATATGCCTGAAACTTTTAGGATACACTTATTTTAAAATTTTCTGTTCCTTTATTCCAATTAGTACTTTCTTATTTTCCAGGCATATTCTTGTTGTTTAATTTGTCCAGGGCCTGCATGATGTCTTGATTTCCCTTGAATAGGAGGGTTCTTAAAGTTTTCTTAATGGTCTTTTGTGGAGGATGAGGAAAGGAGAGTCAGGATGTATATGGGAAATTTCCAAAAGTTCCTCTTGTCTTAATAATCTTTTTGTTAAGACATTGAGAATGTTTGGGTTTAGTGTGTACAGTAAATCAGATACAGCTTCTCTGTCATTGAGACCTGACTAAAAGAATAATTTTGAGTTGAGGGAAGAAATGCTGTACACTAGCTCTGTAAGTACATAGAGGAGACAGGTGTCCATGGGGTACTCCTGGATGACCTATCTTCTCCAACGGGAAAACATTGTCTTTTGCAAGATAAAGAAATTGAGTCAAATATAAATGAGCCTCAAAGCTATTAAACAACCCAATGAGAAGTGAGCCCCTACTTCCAAGGTAATATTCTGGAGATGAGCCAGTGCTCAGATGGACAGAAGGAGTGATGGGGGCACTTCAAGGGGCTAAAGCCCAGTTAGGGCAAGGGACTTCGATGATGCCCTTCTGCTCATTCAGTTAATGTGTTGAGACTTGAGTTGACCCCTTTGGCATGTAGTCATTGCTTAATAAATGTTTTTAAAATAAATGCATGCATGAGGGAATACCTGTCATCAACCATAATGATTCCCAGGGAAAACACCCAGACTGTGAAGATGTCCTGTCCTGAAAGCAAAGGTGGGACAATAATTAGGGGAATGGGCATCATGTGCCCCACTTCCTTTTTATCCTCTTTGTCCACTACTCCCAGTAAATAGGTGTCTTTTTTTCTTTTTTAAACATGCCTGGTGGTGAAAGCTTAAACAGTCACCGTGGGTGGTGACTTCATCAGGTAAATTTGGGAGGCCTTCTGAAATAGCCCTTCTATTCTCTATCCTTTAATACTACAAATCCTTCTTATACAGATTATGGTCTGTGGACCAGCAGTATCAGCCTCACCTGAGAGCTTGTTAGAAATGCAGAATCTCAGGCCTGGTCCCAGACCCACTGAATCTGAATCTACAGTTTATCAAGGTCCCCAGGTGATTCACAGGCACATTAAAGTTTGAGAGACCCCGATGTAATGATTATAAATACAATATATTACCTCTTATAAGTAATGAAACCTGAAGAGAAAGGCAAGAGTGTAGAAATAAGTAATTATTCAGATACATGAGCCAGAAAAGAGAAGCATTGTGTAGAGGGATTCCCCCAGAGACCCCTGCCTCCACCTGTTGAGCTAGTGATTGGCATCCCTTCCCTTAGGGAAGGATGACTCCATGTGACACGCTATTCATAATGCTGACTATATCCAAAAGAGAGCTAGCTGGTCCATGTCTTTATGATGACAATACAGTAAGAGAAGGGCTTGCCTTTTGCTTGATTTTCAATCCACTTCTGTATAACTGTTTTTTTCACTACTCTGTTTTGCAGATGAAAAACTGTTGTTTTTGAAAAGGTTGAAGGTAAACCTAATAGAATCTTTCCTAAGAAGAATTAAAGACTCCTTGATATAAGGATATATTTTTTTATTTGGAATTCATTTTATGACCAGAACGTTTTCCTAACTGAACACTTCATTGCTCACCTGAGCCCAAGAATTACTCAGGTAATCTGGTGTCTTACTGTAGGAATTAGTAAGTGCTCATTATAAGCCCATGAAGTGCTATACTTTACAGCGTGGTGGTTCCTAAACTTGAACATGCGTCAATATCACTCGGAGAGCTTGTTAAAACCGATTCCTGGGCATCAGCTCCAGAGTTTCTGATTCAGTAAGTCGAGGTGGGGCCCAAGAATTTGCAATTCTAATATCCAGGTGACACTGATAGCTGATGTTCCTGGTGCCAAGTTTACTTTGAGAACCACTATGATAGAGAATCTTCTTAGAAAACATTGAGCTTTGCTTATCGAAGTGGGTGACCTCTGTCTAACCTGGGAGCCAGCTTTGGCCTTTGGCTTGATTTCATTTAGATTGTTACCTTACAGTTTGTTACTGCAACTTCAGCCCAGAAAATAAGATTTCTTTTGGGAGGGTGTTCTGATAGAGACAGTAAGTTGTTCCTCAATTTTTTTTCTCACTTTGTTCTCTTGTAGTAAAATCCCTGATCTTTATGTGCACATGGCTTCCCATAATATTGACTACATTTTTTAGCCTTCCTTACACCGGGATGTGGCCATGTGACTAAGTTCTAGTCAATTACGTGTGGGCAGAAGGGATGAGGGCAATTCCTGTGTCATGCCTTAAAAGGAAAAGAACATCTTCCATTCTCCTGTCCCCATTTTTATGCCATGGTTTGGATGTGGGCCAAGAGGAAAAGCCAACAAGATATGCTAGAGGAAGAAGAAAGAGGGAAACTGCCTGAAATTATGGCTACCATACCACTCTGACTGCCAATGCCTGGGCTGTTAGGTTAGAAATAATCACCTTTTTATTGAGGCCACTGTTATTTTGGGTCTCTGATACAGAATTCCAGCTGATAGTCTAACTAAAACCAGGGGATGCTGTGACTATTCTATTTATTGGAGAAAGCCTCTGAAGAATTTGTCAGGATAAAGAACCATTAAAGGGCTTGAAGGAGCAGCAGGGAGAACTTATTGCCTTTGTTTTGTTGTTTTTTTCATTTTTATATGTTCAGAAGAGTACGTATCCACTTCAAAAAATAATTATGAAAAAGAGGAGGACGAAGGTGATAGAAAGTAAGGTCTTAAGAAGCTTAATGTTAATCCAGACCAAATCTCACGGACATAAGACCTGAGCTCACTATATCTCTTATCTACACTCTTTTCAGGCCAAGAGCAATGCTTATAGGGTAAACCTACAGAACTTTCAAAGGAGAGAAATCTCACAGTCTCAATGTACCTTGACTTGAATGAGGAATTTAAAATAAAGTCTCCAAGACAGCTTTGTGGATAAGATAGAGAAATGATGATTGCTGTTCAATACAGGTAGACAGAGTTGTGTCTGAATGATCAACTATACTTGGAATGTTGATCAATGTCCCGTTCTAACTGATTGCATCATTTCAGATATGTTTGAGTGTAAATCCCAGGAAACCTATCTATTAGTGGTTTAGGCAATGAAGATACAGTTATTTCTCATAACAAGAACTCTGTGGATAGGCATAACAGGCTGGTTCAGAAGCTCCTTCATTTTCATCGTATTGACTCTTCCTTCATGCTTGTTACCTCATGATCATCAGATGGCTTCCATGGTTCCAGGCAGTGCAACCACACTCAAAAGTAGAAGCAATTGAGTAATTGTGTTAAAAAAGTATGTCTTGGGTTGATATTGCTTTTTTTTTTTTTTAAATGACAGCAAAATATGTTTCCACATTTCTTCTATAGGTGTACCTTATTTCTCACTAGACAACACTAGCTTCAAGGAAAACTGGCAAAGTGGGTCTCTGGCATGTTTTAAACTTTATAACTAAAAAGGAAAAACTAAGAGGGTTGGGGAAAGGCTAGTGAATTAATTGACCAATTATTCCTGCCACATGGGGAAAGAGGCAGGTGTATCGTAGCGTTTTTGTGGTGCTAGCATAAGAAGACAATTTATTAACAATTTGAAAAAGGCATGAAAGTCATGATTATAGTATTTTCAAATGACATCTGGTGAGAACAGTTATTATCTTGACTTGCAGAATTTCATTTCAAAAATACTTTTTTCTCAAATATAAAACTTTACATTTAAATGAAACAGAAATTGCTTAAGCATAGAGATATACCTGGCTTGACTTCAGTTAATGTAAAAAAAATCCAGTGGGGTTTAAGTTGGTTGCTAATACCAAAAAAAGTAACTGAGAGAGATAGCATTTCACCAAATTCAAAGAAATAAAAACACACAAATTATGAGTAAGTTGGCTAGAAATGATCTTTCTCATTTTTTGGGTGATTTTATCTCTTTATATTATTCATTCATTCATTCATTCATTCATTCGGGACAGTCTTATTGAATATATCTTATGTGCAGGGCACAGTACTAGGCACTGGGAAAAGTAGCAATGCAAAAGATAGAAAACAACTAAATATGTAGAGTCACCATTTAATGAAAAAGTATGAAAAGTCTTACAAAAATAGAAAGTCAAAGACATTGCGACACTGAGTAAGCAGAGGTTTTGACCTGGCTTTCTGGATGCAGGAAGCTTTCTGTGAGGAACTGAGATCTAAAAGATGAGAAGAAACTAGACAAGGTGAGGAGGAAGCATGAAAGGCCAGAAAAGAACCAGCCCTTTTTGAAGGTGCTGAGGTGGAGAGAAGTAGGGTGAGCTTGAGAAAATGAAAAACCTGTGTGGTTTTTAGAGTGGAACTGGGAGAGGACATGGAAGGCAGGAAGGTATCTCAAGGTGAGGCTGCAGAATTGTGCAGACAAGTCTTTCACAGCTTTCTGGGCTGTGATAAGGATGTCGATCTTTATCCTAAAAGCATTACAATGCATTGAACAATTCTCAGCAGGAGCAAGGCACAATCAGCTTTGCCCTGTAGAAAAATCCCCCTGGCTGGTATGCACAGAACGGACTGAAGGGAGCAAAAGTAGATGCAGAGAAACTGGTTAATAAGCTGTTGCCATTTTGGATGTAGAGATGCTGGCAGCTTGGACTTTAGGAGTAGAGAGAAGAGGAGATATTTAGGATTTGGAGATGGATTAGATGCGGGGTGAGGGAGAGAGAGTTTCAAGACTGACTCTTAGTTTTCTAGCTTTTGAAACTGAGCAGATGGATTTGCTTTCACTGAGAAAGAAACACTGGAGGAAGACTGGGATTGAAGGAAGGGGTGGAGGTCAGTCTGGATCACGCTGAGTTGTGTGTGAGACATACAAGGGGCACAGTCAGCAGGCTGCTGGATGTGTGGGCCTGGAGCTGTGGATGAAGATCAAACACATGATCATCTGCTTAGAGAAGGTGTGGAGCTACAGTGTGGATGAGGTCCTGTGGGTGGGTAGTACATTGGCAGAATAAAAGCAGGCCTAGGACCAAGCCTTAAAGAACCAACCTTGAAGGAGGCAGGTATATCACAGGGTTTCATAGTCAAGTTTGAGGAGTTCATGGTCAAGGGTATATCATAGTCAAGTTTGAGAAGAGGAGGAAGACCTGGCAAGTGACACTGAAGAGTGGGAAGTTGGAGGAGGAGGAAAACCAGAAGAGTTTGGCATCGCAGAAGCCAGAGGAAGAGAGTGTGGCTGGGGGGAATGGGCAGTGCTGTAGAATGCATTAATTTTACCTGCATCAAGTTTGGTGGAGTGGAAGGAACGAAAGTCTTCCTTACCTGCTTCTCATCTGAAATCAAGATACATCCCCCTAAATTGAGTATATTTAATGAATCATGTTGAAAATTCCCTATTCTCGACATTTAAATTGTGTGAGTTTAACCTTTGATCTTTCTCACTTTGTAAATCACCCAACCTAAATTACTTTTCGGTGATTATTTTTTCCCCTTCTGTGAGCCAGTGGCCCAGAATGGAAAACAAGCTTCCCCCTCAGCTCTAGAGGTTTGCATTTCAAAAGACCCTCAGCCACCAGCTGAAAAACTCTGCAGTGGATTTGCAGTAGGTTCTGTCTTCTCAGTTCCTCTACCGGAGGAGCACAGCCAGCCAGCTCACTAAATGAGGACGGGTGCTGACCTTGTGTTGGCCCCAATCCACTGTGCATTTCAAAGCAGATTAGGAGACACTTTGAACAAGCTTTTGCTACACGCCAGGTGTCCTTCCAAATGCCTTGGGTAGAACTAGAGATGAGTTCCATGAATTGTTAATGCTGATCTGAAACAGGGCTTTCAATAATTCCTGCCCTCATTTCTTCCCTGGATGAAAATCACATTCCAAAGAAGGGCAAAAGGCAGTCCTCCAAAAGCACTCCCAGAATTGACCACTGACAAATTAGAGAGATGATAAATTCCGGTGTAAAATAGAAGTTTATTTGGTTACTTTTCATTCTGGCCGCTAATTTCAGGTCACCAATTTTTCATTCTGAATGGGTGTATGTAAATCTTGCCTAAAACTTTTTGCCTTTTCTGGCAGCTTGGGATGAGTTCTTATGAAGGATTCAGACTGGCATCATTAATATTTTTAATTGCTATGGTCAAATAGCTTCGATTGAATGGTGTAGAATTTGGTGTCTTAAGACACTTTAAATACACACATGTGCACACACGCAAACTATGGCTTAGTTAATTTTATTTTTAATCTCAAATACTAGTTTTGTGTCTCTGACTTTTAGCAAATTTTCCCCAGCCTCCTCCACTCTCTCTCAGGCCCACCCACCAGTTTCTTTGGCACACTGTTTCTTCCCTCTGCAGCTCACTGCCTCCCCCTTCCTTGCTAAGTGAATTCTTTCCAGGTACAGTGACATCTGGTAGTGAAAGAAGAAATAATCAACTGCAGCTGAGAAATATTCCCCAGTGATATTTGCAATACTAAAATTTCAGCCTTGTGTCAGGGAGAGATGCGAATGGACTATTTGCAGGAAGAAGTTTCCCTTTCCAATCTGAAAAAATACAAGTAGAGAGTAAATAAAAAAGGATTAGAAAAAAGTTAGGTATTAACACTTTCTTAATATTATTAGCAGAGGAATCACAAAGTCATAGGGTTTAAAAGGACCTTTAGGGGCCATTTGGTTCAATCCCCTGCCTCTAGGCATGATGGGACCTGAGTTATTTAGATAGGTAGTTGTTCATGTCTGATTTTAAATGGCCTCCAGGGAAAAAATGCCAGAGCTTCCCTTAGTAATCAGTTCCAGTCCGTAATAATAGTGATGGAAATAAAGATGGTTTCCTCTGAGATGTCTGACAACATTATCATCAATTAATGTAGAACCTATGGGCAGGACTGAACTACCCAGCACCTGGGTTTTTCTAAGTCATTCCTCTTTTCTTACTCTGTCATTTTAGCCATCATTTTACAACCCTGATGGTCCAAAGGCTCTTTCTTCTTTTCTCCTAATTCAGTCTTCCTGCTATATTTTAAACTAGTTTCCTTTTGTGTGGGCCTTAAGGGAGAAGAGGACAGCTGGCCTGTTTCTGCTCTGGATTATCTTTCATAGACTAAGATATTTTATTGTTATTTCTGACTTGTCTAAGATTTGCCCCAAATGACTTAGGTTGTCTTTTTAAGTACTTTATATCATATATAATACAACTGGCAATATCGGTGGAAATCAAAATAAAAATTAAAACAAAGCAGCTCATGATCCTGTGACATGAATGACTCAAACATTTTATTTTTAGGGGCTTCTTTTCAATACTCATTTTTCTCTCTCTATGTATATACATATTTTTTGCATAGTTTCTGTTTCATATAGCTTAATGTTCTGTTTTTTTAAATTTAACATTACATGTTAAGGATTTTGCTTTTTCCTCAGAAGTATTTTATAAACCAGTGCATACATTTTCACTACTGGTTTTTCTATAACTTACATAAGCATTCTCTTCTTGTAGGGAGTTTAAATAATTTCCAAGTTTAAAAAAAAACAAAATAAATTGGTATCATAGCAAATGGAACTCACTAGCAACCCAAAAACTTGATAGCTGGACACAGAGGTCCGAAGCACAGAGAAGTTTCCAGACTGTCACTGATGCTCAGATCCAAAGCCCTGCTGAAGAGGTCTGATCCTACCATCAGAATATTTGAACTAAATCTCACTAAATGAGATGCCAACAATGTCCAAATTCAGCTAAACTTCAGATTAGACTGACTCACCACTGTCCCCTTCTCTTGCCACCCATCCATGTACTAGTGGCCTGAGAGAGGAAGGGGCATACTCTTTCCTGGGAGTGAATATTATTTACTTCAGTTTTCATTGTACTTTTGTACAAAATCTCTGGCACATAATTTTTAAAAACAAACAAGTCAGGAGACAAAGGAAGAAAATGTGACCTATAATCCAGAGGGGGAAAAAAAGAGTTAAAAGAATTAGACTCAGATGTGGCACAACAAATGTAGACTTTCAGAAAATAATTGGAAAATATTAAAAGCCAAATGGAAATGATAGAATTGAAAAATATCTATCAGAATTAATTTTAATAATTGAATTGATAGGCTTACTAACAGGAAAAGATCAGTAAACATGGAGAAAGGCTAAAAGAGATTATATAAACTGAATAAAAAAGGAAAATAAGTATGCAAAACTGAAAAAAAATCTGAGACTTTAGGTACAATATCAAATGATCAAATATAATAGGAGTTTTAAAAGAAGGGAAAGAGATAATGGGGCAGAAAAAAATATTCGAAGAGACGATGGCCATGAATGTGTCCAAACTGATGAAACAGATCCATAAATCTCTGTGAACTTCAAGCAATATAAATTCAAAATAAACTACAAGCAAATTGTAGTCAACTTCCAAAAGATGAAGATAAAAAAAAATAAAATTAGTTTGAAGAAAAAGGCATATTATTATGCTTACAGAATAATGGCAAATTCTTACTACAAGTAATTTATAAATACATTATTTAAATGGTTTAATATATATATCTTGTTTTAAATGTTCAATAATAAAGACTATATGCGTGTGTGTGTGCATAGAGATATACATTATATATACATTATATACATTATATATAATTATAATGTATAATCATATATAATTATATGATATATACATATATACATACATTATATACACTGTAATATATAATGTATAATATACATTATACATACATTATATATAATTATACATTATATAATGTATAATTACATACATTATAATGTATATATAATGTATAGCTCCATGCACACACATGTATATTCTTTATTATTGACCATTTTTTTTAAAACAAAGTATAGTAATAAAAATATATTGTGGGATTATAACATATATGGAAGTAACTCATATGACAACAAGAGCAAAAACGATATGAAAGGGGTTAAATACAATTAGAATGTTGTAAGTTTCCTGAATTATTAATAAAGTAGTTTAATATCATTTTACTTGATATCTAAAGATTCATATTTTAATCTCTAGACCAATCACTAAAGGATAACACCAAAAATAAAGTACTTAAAAACAACAAAACATAATGAAACAAAACCTAATTAATCCAAAAGAAGGTAGGAAATTAGAAAAAGAGAAAAAAAATTCCACTGTATCAATAATAAAATTGAATGTAAATAGACTAAAACTTCCGTGCAAAAGCCAAGGAGTCAGAGGTTAGATGAAAAAGCAAGATCTAACATTTGCTGTTTACATGAGACAAATTTCATAGAAAAAAAAAAGTTGATAGTGGGTGGGCAAAGATACACCATACAAACACTAAGCATAAGAAAGCTGCTCTGGTTTTATTAATGTAAAAAATAATACCTCAAGAGAAAGTGTTACCAGAGATGAAGAGGGTTACTTCATAATAATGATGAAAGGGTCAAGCATCAGGAAGACATAATGATCCTAAATGTGTATGCATCTAGTGATAGAGCACTAAAATACTTGAAGCAAAACTGACATAACTAAAGAGAGAAATAGACAAATCTGCCATTGCATTATTAATAGTCCATTTTCACACTGCTATTAAGAATTGCCTGACACTGGGTAATTTATGAAGAAAATAGGTTTAATTGACTCACATTTCTGCATGGCTGGGAAGGCCTCAGGAAACTTACAATAAAAGCAGAAGGTGAAGAGGAAGCAAGGCATGTCTTACATGGCAGCAGGAGAGAGTACAGGGGAAACTGCCACTTTTAAACAAGCAGATCTTGTGAGAACTCCCTATCATGAGAACAGCATAGGGGAAACCACCCCCATGATCCAACCACCTCCACCAGGTCCCTCCCCAGACATGTGGGGATTACAATTCGAGATGAGATGTGGGTGGGGACACAGAGCCAGACCATATCACCATTATACAGATTACTGAAATGTACTGTATGGCCCTTTGTATTCCTGACTCAGCCATGCACATGGATGCTCCCATACTGACAAAATAACCTTGAGTCGGGGTGTGCGGGGAGGGAGATCTCTGGGACTTTTGCAGACAGAATCACAAGTCTAGGACTGTAGGACATAAAGGAGGTAGCTGGGCCCATGACATGAACATACAAGCCCTTTCCTGCAGAGAACATCTTGTTGGTCAGCAATCCTGGAAGGGCCCATAGGTGTGGAATGATGTGGACACTTCATCTCTCCCAGCTTCCAGGTGGGGCCTGTACCCTAGGCCACAAAGAACCTCCCATTTCTTTTGGTGACAATGATTTACTGGTGTGGCCATGATATAGAAAATGTTGAAAAGCTCTGTTTTGTCATTTTTGTTCCTTCCTGCTCCTCCCTGACTGCTCCCACTGCTGATCTGTTCCGCTTGCTAGGCCCATGTATTTTGAGCAGAACACTCTACAGAGTGCTTTTCTGGGCCTCACAAAACTCTGATGACCTGGGCTTTCTGTGGCTCTAGAGCCTGGTGATGTCTACAAAGCTTTCCACCGGGCCATCCTGAAAATGCCCTGTAGGGGTGAGCACCATCTCTGAAGGTGTGAGCCCAGGTGCAGCCCTCAGGGGCATTGCCAGGAGATGGTATGAGGTTTTTTTGTAGATAAACATCAACTTTTAGAGGTGGGGAGAAGAAGCTTGGCATAACTTTTTCTGCCTTAGACAAAGAAAAAGTAAAATTTTGTGCTCGGGAATATTAAGAAATTATGAAGCACTGGAATCCTTTTTGATGGAGGCCAGCCTTCTGAAGACCAAGCTGAGTCTGGAGGCAAATAATTTTTAAAAACTCCAAAAACTGAAAAGGTCCTTCTTAAGGTTAAATAGACTTTTCAGGAAAAGAATCAAGAGAACAGAAATCTAGATGTCCAGAATAAGAGTTGGTGAGGACTCACATCACAAGAATACAGTTGCTAGAAGATAAATCAGAAGCCATTCAATCCCAAGTGGCTGAAGCCAAAACAACTTTAAAGTTATGTTAGAAGAGTGAAGAATAACTAATGACAGCATTAAAGAAAAGTGTGGATGAATATGCCCATGTTTAGGAAAGCATAAAATTACTTTCCTAATAGGCTGGTGGATAGAAAGAGGGAGAAACTCAATAAGCAGGAAAAAAGTGGTTGAGGTCTCTAAACTAGCAGTTCTACACTTTTTAGTGTCAGGACCCCTTTACAGTCTTAAAAAGTATTGAGGACCCCAAAAAGTTTTTCTTTATGTGGATTAGATCTATTGATGCTTACTGCACTGGAAATTGAATGGATAAATTTTAAGATAAATATTTATTCATTATTGTATTTATCATAATAATTAAGGATTTGTATTTTTATAAGCTGCTTACATTTTAAAATAAATAACAAATTTTAATTTAAAATCACCAAATTTCTCCAAAACAACAACAAAATTAGTGAAATGACTGGTGTTGTATAGACTTGCAAATTTCTTTAAAGTCTGGCTTAATAGAAGATAGCTGAATTCTTATAACTGCTTTTGCATTCAATACATTGCACTATGTTGTTTTAATTCAGGTATATAAAGAAAATCTTGTCTTACGCAAATATGTACTTGGAAAAGGGAGGAGTATGTTAATAGGCTTTTTAGATAATTGTGGGTATTCTTTGTTACTACTAAAACCTGATAATTATTTATTAAAGGGTGGTTGCGATGTGGAATCTGACATTAGATTAATGAAATTTCCAAATTCTGTTACATTAAAACTAGTTGGTCTAGATACCACACTTTGAATGGATTTATTTTACCTATGCATGGTTTTGTAACATCATATATTGACCACTTGAAAAGTATTGGTTCATTGAGTTATTAAAATTTTCCAAATATTGACATATTTTATTGTAAAATATCAAAATATTACATTTATTAATAACTCCACTGATTTAATGAGATTTTTTTTAAGTATTGGGAAGCTGTCAAGCTCATGGTAACAGATATAATTTTTTCCTATATTCTAGTATTCACTTGGAAAGTTGAATTTTATCATTAGCAAAAAATGCTGTCAGTTTTCTGTCAAGTGATAGGCTTACTTTGATTATTTTTATGAAAATGTCTGCCAATACTTAAATTTATATAGTTTGTCAGTTTTTCTTTCAGGTGAAAATAGTTTTTTTATTAAAAAAAGGTAGTCATTTAGCTTGCAACTCAATCAACTGCACATGCTTTCCATACGCTTTGCCTCTGGACGGTCGTCATAGCTCAGTATGGAGCAGAAATATTTTATGTGTGCTTCTAATTTTGTTGTTCAAGATACTGGAACAATTTGTATCAAGGTGTCAGGCTTAGATAGGTAAAACTTTATTTTATAAAATAAAATTAATAGTTGTTTTCTCCTGCTTCATCAAGGACACACTTAAGTGAAGCTGTTTTTGTTTTGTTTGTTTTTTTTTTTTTAAACTGAGATTGCAAGGCAAAGAAGAATACAATGACTACTAGTACTATTTGGTGCCTCTGCCTTGATTCATACTACAGTGTCACCAGTTTTACCCAGCATTGATTTGCATTATCAGTACAAAATGTCAATGGTGACAAAAATATATACTGTCTTAGTATTATTATGAAAATAGTTTCAGAGGATCTCACAATCTTCTGAAAGAGTCTTGGGACCCCCAACTCCTGCACTTTGAGAACCACTGCTCCAAAGCATGGGTGGAAAAATTCTACATGAGAAAGAACATCAGATCAAAACTCTTACTAATCTCTCTGCTAAAGATGGTGGGTTTGGCTGCTGTCCTAGGAAAAGATAATATAGATGAAGTCACCAGGAAATGGAAAGAATTAGATCAGGAATTGGATACCACCTAAATGACCAGTCAATATGAGCTTTGAGGAAACCGATAACATCAAGCTAAATGCTTCCTTATAAACTCTTGAAGCAGAAAGTTGAATATATACTCAACTAGCTAGAGAAGATAAAACAGTCACTAGCAAATTATATCAAAACTCTCAAACAAAATAAATGCATTGTTGATCAGAAAATGAAAATATTAAAATGAGATTCAAAAGCTTTAGCATGAACTTGAAGACTGAGCTTTCTTATCAAGACAATGATAAGAAAACTCACAGAAAATTATTCTGTAGAGGGAGAGAATGATTTGCGATTGAGAAGAAAAGTTCCACAGCAAATAAAAATGTGAGCCATGCCCTGAAGATCTGGAGGCCAAAAAATAAAAACAAAAATTAAAAGTAAGCCAAAGCTTTAGGATATGAAATGAAAGGACTTACTTGCCCTTTGAAAAACCAAACCATTGCTCTCGATAACAGCTCTTGAATTGCCGATGATAATTTAGGCTGGACAAAAACCCTCTACAACTTAGGAGAAAAGAATGCACACGGAAGACCAAAAGCAGCTGAAGACGTTAAACTTGAGATTTTTAGAAAAGGGTCCTGAAGGCCTTGCTGATCCACATGCAGTGTTTGGCGGAGGCCCACAGGAACCACGCAATTTGCTGGAAAATCAGATCCTCAAGACAGGAGGTATGTCCAGCTGGGATGGTTTGGGGATTCGAGCTTCAATACTGCCTTGCATTGCCAGATGCTATCTCATGGGATCTAGACCCTAGCATGATATAGTTCCCACCAGGCCAACGATATCCTGCTCTTTGTCCACATGTACAAGACAAAGTTTATCTTTCTGCTTCAGACACTGGTGATCTTTCTACATGAACAAGATTCACAAGTTTGAATGGGACTGCTTTTGAAGAGCAATTGGTCCACACTTAAAAAAAAATGGAGTCTGGTGGGATGCATTGTGAAGATGCTTTTGGTTGTTTAGGTCCTCCTGATCCATCTCTACTACCTCAACCACATCATCCAGTTGAGTTTCCATGTTAGGAATGGATCCATTGGGATACAAGGGGAGGGACCTCTTGTATCTCCCTTTCCTCCAAGAAATCCCTATGAAGTCCTGAGATTACTTTCCATAGGGGATTTTCCTGGTCCTTTCAGCCTGCATTGGCACTGAGGGACATCTGTCCATCACGGGAGTTTCCCTGTGACTCTTGCACAAGAGCTGGATTTTACTCCCATTACCAAGAAATGAATTCCCTAGGGCTGAGCCAGCCTTCAAGAGAGCCTCCTTCTGAAGGTCTGAACCAGAACAATAATGTCTCTGTCATTCTTCTAAATGCATTTTGAATTCTTTTTTAGTTTAACAGCTGTTGTTTAAGTGATTGTACATTTGTTCACATTGAAGCTTGATAGAATTATAATTCTTGGGGTAATATTTTATAAGTGAAGTTGATTTACAAACTAGATTCTTTTAAATGAATCATTTCCATATTATTGTACTCTCTAGGTAGTAGATTTGTATTTTGATTTGATTAACCAGTTCTCCATAACATAAGCTATAAGAGACATTTTGCATAAGTAACTATACACATTTAAAACTTTACAAGTCATTTGTCTCTGTTATGAACTGTTTTCTACTGTAATATTGAGGAAATTGAGAAAGGTGTTCAAAGTTTAGTGAAATAAATTTTTATTGGTTAAAAATAGTAAATGAGTAAAGCGGTGTCACAGAATGCCTTTCTGCATCAGAGCTGCAGTGGGGACAAAAGAGTAAGTACCCATGCATCTGAAGAGAGGGGCCAGGTTATTCATGTGGTCCTTGCTAAATGGAGCTTTCAACCAGCCAGTTCCACCTCCCATCCCAAAGCCCATCACTCTGTTCTGTATGCCTGTATTCTATGTATATGGGGTGAGGGATAGATAGATGGGGAGAGGGATAGGAGGGATGGGGTATATAAATCTCTTTGGGGAGAGATGAAGGAGTGCGGTGTTCCCCTCTCCTCACTTAAGCCAGGTGAAAAAGTTCTCAATAGAACTTCTGGGAGGTGTGCCCTGTGTTGGAGGACACAGAGGCTAGTTTCTGGTACACATCTAGAAATATTAAATGTGAGGGGCTGGTTATACCTTCCCCAGGTCAGAGAGTTGGGAGTGCAGCAGCAGCAGGAATAAGAAGTACTTTTAGCTGTAATGGGACAAGTGTGGTCCTTGGAAGATAGTTGGGGCTATGTTGAATTTAAAGCACTCTGCCCCAAAGTTCTGCCTGTGCCAGTGAGGTAAATCACAAGCCAAGAGCCTATCTTTCACTGGAACAATGTAGAGGGAGGCCCCTAAGTGGGGAGTTCCCCAAAAAATGGACTAAAGAGAAAGGGCTAGCATTTAGGTATCTGACCCTTACAGGGAGCTCTGACCCCAGATTAATATCAGTGAAATGACTTTTTAATCTATCTCTCTTCTCTTCTGCTGGCCCCCATTCTCAGCAGAGAAGTGAGAAAGGAAGTAAAACAAAAATAGGAAAAGCTGTCTTTCTGCTCCCTTCTTCTACTGCCTCCCAATCAGGTTTCTAAGCTCAGATCAAACCAAGCATTTTAAATGAAATTAGGTTGAAATTTTGACTTAGATTTCATTAAACATTTGAATACCCCAGAATGAGAGTGTTATTTATGTTTAATACTTTAAATTGACTGAAAAAGCTACAAGATCTGCTTCAAATATCATCCAGCTGAGAGACAGAAATGTTAAGAAAAAAAAAGATATCTCAATATTTTACCCCCACTTGGTTTGGATTGGTAAATATATTCATTATGGTAGCAATAAATACCTTTGTATACAGACCTTTATTATTCATTGGGGTAATTTTCTTATGATAAATGCCCAGATGTGAAAAAAATTGATCAAAATTTATGAACATCGTGATGGCTTCAGATAAGAAGTGCTAAACTGACAACCCACGTTTACCAATATAAACTGCCACTGGCAACACAAAGAAATTAATTTCATACCAAATCTCACTGTACCATTGTCACCCTTATAATAAGATATCCCAAGTCAAGGTCACAACAATACAGTATAGAAAGTAGAACAGGGGTCAGAACTGCTAGTCTTCTCTTTGTACCGCTGGCTATATGATTATATATTTAGAAAAAACCTACAAAAATTCATATGGATTTTGTCTTGCAAAAACCAAAATGCGATTATACAGTACATATTTGTATTCACTTTGTTGTGAGTGTCTTCCCATGTCGGTACACAAAGAACTGCTTTCTTTTGCTAATAGATGTCCCTTTTCTTAAAAAATAAAAACATTAAGTTAAAAATTTAGGCTGGACGTGGGGGCTCATGCCTGTAATCCCAACACATGGGGAGGCCCAGGTGGGCAAATTGCTCAGAAGTTCATGACCAGCCTCGGCAGCATGGCAAAACCTGTCTCTACCAAAATATATAAAATATTAGCCAGTGTGGTGGCATGTGCTTGTAGTCCCAGCTACTTGGGAGGCTGAGGTGGGAGGATCACTTGAGCCTGGGAGGTGGAGGCTGCAGGGAGCTGAGATCATGCCACTGAACTCCAGCCTAGGTGACAGAGCGAGACCCTGACACACACACACACACACACACACACACACTCTCTCTCAGGGAAAAAGTCACATTAAATGTGTCATATTAATTAATTGCTTGGCGTTACAAGCACTGTAGTCTTTCTTCCTTCCCCTCTTTCCCTTCTCTCTTTATGGTTGTATCCTGTATTGTACACTACTTTCAGAATATGCGTTGTGTTGTTTAGCACCCACTCATTTAATATATAGGTGCTGCACATACAGGCATGAAGGAAACAAACATGGCACCTGCTCTTTGGAGTTTCCACCCTCATGGATCTCTCTTTGACTTTCTGCTTTGCCTTCTAAGCTTAATACTTAAATTCCAAATGCTTATCATATCCTGTGTCATTTGCTAAAAGTTGGCAATAATTAAGAGTGATCTTTCTAGTAGCAACACAAAGTGGGAAATTTGACCAGATACATAAGTTACAGTTGCTAAGGAAATGAACAGTTATTCACAGTTCTGGGGATGGAGAGAATTTTCCCTGTGGGTTTTCATTAAGAAGATACCTTGGCCAGGCACAATGGCTCATGCCTGTAATCCCAGCACTTTGGGAGGCCGAGGCAGGCGGATCACCTGAAGTCAGGAGTTTGAGACCAACCTGGCCAACATGGTGAAACCCTATCTCTAATAAAAATAAAAAATAAAAAATTAGCCAGGCATAGTTGCATGTGCCTGTAATCCCAGCTACTCGGGAGGCTGAGATATGAGAATTGCTTGAACCCAGGGGGCGAAGGTTGCAGTGAGCCTAGGTTGTGCCACTGCACTCTGGCCTGGGCAACAGAGTGAGACCCCATCTCAAAAAATAAGAAAAAAAAAAAAAGATAACTTATGATGTAGAGCAGTATGTTCTCAACATTATCTCAACAGTCAGCACAAACTGAATTTCACAACACTGTTTTCTGGGATGTGCTTCAATACAGCCCAGTGACGTAATGCCAAATATAATTCAGAAAAATGAATTCTCCCAGGATTACAAAGCTTAATGACTAGGTATACAACTTTCTGACTTAACCCAATGATATAATTTAGAGGGTCTGGAGTCCAGACCCCAGACACTAGAGAATATGTGGAATACATATGTTTTATGAAATAATTCATCGATAATACCTCATGCAACGTAAGTTTCTATGAATATAAGTTAGCAAGGAGTTTGAGAATATACTTCACCAGTCCAGATATTTCATGCCACTAGTTATAGCATATTTGGACGCTTTAATGGGTTCTATAACATATCAAACCTGATGCTAGAAACTTGATGTAGACAGCTGACTCCAAAATATCCCTACCCTACAATGCTCACCATCTCAAAAGAAACCAAGACTTGTACACAAATAGCTGTAAGAAAAAGTATTAAATGTCAAAGTTCATAAAAGGAGTTTAGATAAAGTGCAATTCATTCATTCAACAAACATTTGTTGAGTACCTAGGATTTGCCAAGTACTGTGCTAAATTTTGATGATACATCATGCCTAATAAAAAGTGTGTTACCAACAAAATTTTAAAAAAATAAAAAGGCGCCATTTCACATGCCTGTAATCCCAGCTAACTGGGAGGCTGAGGCAGGAGAATCGCTTGAACCTGGGAGGCAGAGGTTGCCATAAGCCGAGATGGAGCCATTGCACTCCAGCCTGGGAAACAAGAGTGAGACTCTGTCAAAAAAAAAAAAAAAAAAAAAAAAAAAAAAAAAAAAAGAAAGAAATGAAAAAGATTACATTTATAAGGGCAACAAAAAGTATTAAATATCTTTACAAGCATTTCAGAGATAAATTTAAAAAGACCTAAATAAGTGGAAGGATATACTACATTCATGGATTGGAAGACTCAATATTGTTAAGGTGTCAATTCTTACCAAATTAATCTGTAGGTTTAATGCAATTACAATCAAAATTACCTTAGAAATGTTTTTGTGGCAATTGATAAGCTGATTATAAAATGTGTATGGAAATGCAAGAGACCTAGAAGAGCTGCAGTAGGGAGAAATGATCCCTCCAAAATGGTCACATCTTAATTTATGGAACCTGTGAATAGTTATGATCCATAGCAAAAGGACTTTGCAGGTGTAATTAAGGTTATGGAGTTTAAAATATGAAGATTATCCTGAATTACCTGAATAGTCCCAATCTAATCATGTGAGCCCTAAAAAGCAGAGCACTTTCTTAGACTGAATACAGAAGAGATGCAGCAAGGAAGCCAGAGAAGTTTGAAGTATGTGAAGGACTCATCTTCAAACCATTGCTGGTGGTTTGAAGATAGAGAGGGCAGCATGACAAGGACTGCAGGTGGGCTTATAGCTGTTAGAGGCTCCCAGATAACAGCCAGTAAGTAAGTGGAGAACTCAGTCTTACAGCTGCAAAGAACTGAATTCATTCAAAAACCTGAATGAACTTGAAAGGAGATTATCCCTAAGGGACTACAAATAAATACCCAGACTGTCTGATATTATAGTTTTGGCCTCGTGAGACCCAAAGCAGAGGAACTAGTTGAGCCCATCTAGACCTCTGATTAACAGAACTGTGAGACAATAAATTTGTGTTGTTTTAAGCTGTTAAGTTTGTGGTACATGGTTACAGGATCAGTAGAAAACTAATACCATATCGAAGGCAATCTTAAGAACAAAACTGCAGGACTTAACGTTCTTTGTTTCTAAGAATTGTTCTCTCCACCACATAGCTCTAAATGAAAGAATGGCTTTTGAGGCCATGTTCGTCTTATATGACTCTTCCTCTCTGGCTACAACTGGTTGGATGGACTGGGATGAACTTGATTGTCTGGGGAATTTGAACTAAGCCCCGCAGAGACAGGGTCTGTTACTCCAATGTATCTCACCCCCTAAATAAGTGGAGTAAGTATTCATGTGCTTGTGTAGTCTTCTTCCTTTGAATCTGGGTTTTAACTAAAAGAATGAAGCAGAAGTGTCACTGTGTCAGTTTTACTAATGTGACCATGTGTTTATGTTTACAGTTAGGAAGGACATTAAAATGTAAAATGGGGCTCATGGCATGATAGGGTTGATATGATGATTAAATATGCTTGTATTCATGAAATGCCATGTCTGATTCTTGCTATGTGCCTGTTACTTAACAGGGGCCTAAGTAAATGTGAGTTTCATTTGCCGGGTAAATAACTGGAGACTGATGGCTTTCTGAATTTTTCTTCAAGTAGTGATGGTTATTGACTCAATTTCCTTAGACTAAGTATAGCTATGTGCACAGTAGCTTATCAGGAATTGGATACAGTCTGTGACCCCAGAGAAGTGGTGGGGGAGAAAACTCATAAGAAGATCAGACCAGAGCCCAGGCTATATAAGTACAGTGAACCAACTGAGCTAACCATGAGTCACGGCTCAAAAAAATTAATACCTCATGAGTCAATCCATGGCAAACTTCAAAGGCTGCTCACAGAAACCTGTTTACCTTCCCTGCCACCACTTGAGAGAACAAGGTCTTGCGTTTCTTAACTGCCAGCCCTAGAACCAAAGCTTAGTTCTTTGATCCTGTTGTGTACTCTACTACCTGGTGGAGTTATGTCACATGTGATACTAATGCCTAATATGTAACTGAGCACTTCCCATGAGGCAGATACCGTTCTAAATACTTGATGTGTATTAATTCATTTCAACCTGCCAATATGCCTCATGAGACGGGTATTAATAATATTCTCATTTATAGATGATGAAACTGAATTAGAAGAGTTTAAATGACTTTACTTCAAACAACAAATTAGTAGCAGAACTTGAATTTGTCTCAGGCAGTCTAATCCAGGATTTGTGTTTTTAACCACAATATTATACTGATTAGCTACAGGATGAGAAATGTCAGAGTTAAAATTATTTTGAAAATATAATTATTTTGGTTTCACAAATTGCAGGTACACAGAAAAATTGCAGTACACAGAGTTCAGCTTTGTTGACTTCAAAGACGAGGTGTATTTCTCTTCTTACTACTTTCAGGACACTGAAAAGAATCATGTCTACGAGCTTCTCCCCTGCTTCACTTTGTGATGAGTCTCTGCTTTCTAGGACAGGAACATTTCCTTTCAGGTTCCTGCACTTGAATATCTCCTTCCCCTAATTTATCGTCCTGAATGGATGGTCATGGTGACATCTACAACCTGCTTTCTGTAATTCCTATTCTGATTAGCTAAAATATAGGTATTGTTTTCTATCTTGTTTATTTTTACACAAGTTTACCTATATAACAAACCTGCACATGTACCCCTGAACTTAAAATAAAAGTTAAAAAAATTTCCTTCATTCACATTCTTTCCTCTACAACCTTACTTCCCTATTTTTCTGTTTTCTGTTAGTCATTTTCTGACATTTTGAAAATTAATATTTATACTACCCACATCTATGTTTGATTTTTATAAAATGGCCCTTGTCATGTGCAATTGAAGAAGTGGACTATTTGTTACACACCATTTACCAAGGCTTTATTTTTCTTACAATTGCTTGCTCTTGATGGGCCATTTATTCATAATA
Organism: Homo sapiens; assembly: GCF_000001405.40. NCBI lineage: Eukaryota > Metazoa > Chordata > Mammalia > Primates > Hominidae > Homo > Homo sapiens. The sequence goes on along the minus strand of NC_000003.12, from coordinate 31,376,208 downwards.
GAATGTGGACCTCTTTTAATACTTTAATATCTAAAGACTTACACTGAATTTTCTCCACATTTACACTTCCTGGAGTCCTCTGAAATTTTCCATATCTTTTGGTACTTCACACAGGTGAAATCTGGGGACCAAAAGAGATACCTTTTCCCATACATCAGGCAAATATCTCTTTTCCTATCATGTTTGCTCACAGAATGAAACCTACTCTCAAAATCCCTTAGCTCTGTTCTGAGATCCCTGATAAACTTCGATGGTGTTGGAAATCCATCAATGTCAGCCTCCAAGTTTTCTACTAATGCTTCTAGACCATGTGGCCTCTTAGAAACATCCAACTGATATACAGCAACAACATGCAGGAAGACAAAGGCATCTCCAGTGGGACTGAGAGCAATCTTAACGCAGTGAACAGCTTGAGATTCCAGATTGCGGTGTTGGCATTGGTATCCCTATTCTTCCCTTCAGAAGAAAATATTCTTAAAATGGGCAATTTGTAGGTAAGTATCTTGTTTGGGGTCTCTAGAAGCAGAACCTGAGGCAGAGATTTGGGTACATGTGATTTTCTACAGCATGGATATTTCCTTTCAGGTTCCTGCATTTGAATATCTCCTTCCCCTAATTTATCTTCCTGAGTGAACAGCCATGGTGATGTCTATAAACTGCTTTCTCAAATTTCTCTTCTTTTCTCCTTCCCTCTTTGAGGGAATACTCTTCAGGAACTACCTGTTTGGGAGTGAGGAAAGCAGGACTGGAAGGCAAAGAATCAAGCAAGGCTACAGTAGTCCAGGTTGGCTTTTATCCATGCGGGCTCTGGAGCATGCATGGTGCCATGGAGAAGCGGTTGGACTCTTAATTTTTTTTTTTTGAGACAGTCTTGCTTGTTGCCCAGGTTGGAGTGCAGTGGTGTAATCATAGCTCACTGCAGCCTTGATCTGCTCACCTCAAGCTAGCCTCCCAGCTTAGCCTCTTGAGTAGTTGGTACTACAGATGCCTACCACCATGCCTGGCTAATTTTTTTTTGATTTTTAGTAGAAACAAGATCTTGCTATGTTGCTTAAGCTGGTCTTGAACTTCTAAACTCAAATAATCCTCCCACCTCAGCCTCCCAAAGTGCTAGGATTCCAAGCATGAGCCATTGTGCCCTGCTGGGCTTTTTAATTTATTTATTCTTATATCACTTATTAGTTATTTGCCACTATCTGCCTCCTCCCTTGGTCACGTAAACTTCTAGGCATCTCATGGCCAGCTATTCTCTTTAGTCAAGTACAATTCTCTGGCAAAGTTTACTCAGGTAAGCCGCTAATGGCACCATTTGCAGCACCTGGGAGAGGGGCACACCAGCTGTTAAAGAGTGTCCAGTGGATCTCATACAGGGTCTATCGCAATAGGTAAGAGTACAATGATTATTTATAGCTCAAACAAGACTCATTTTTTTTTTTCCAGTATGCAGGAAATTTTCTGTGCCATGTTGTTGATTGGAGCTTCATTCTACAAGTGTTCCTGTTGGAGTTAGGAATGTGTTTGGCTGCAATAATAGGCAACCTAATTAATACTGGCTTAAACAAATAATGATTTATTTTCCCCATGCAGTTCCAGATTGAACAAATGCTATGAGGGACACAGGCTCCTCGAGATTTCTCTGGCATCCTTAGAATGTTGGTGTCATCCCATTCATGCTCACCTAATGCTGCATTACCCCAGGCCTCCTCCATGTTGCAGGCAGAAAGAAGTAAGAAAGGGAAGTGTTGGCACCAACAGGCTTCCACTTCTGCTTCATGCAACATAACTATGGTATATGGCTACTCCTGGCTGCAGGAGAGGCTGAGAAAACCAGCTTTTGGTTTTTATAGCTTCAACAGAATGGAGATAGGCATGGGATAGTGAGATTGGAAATGAAAATCTGTCTAGTTCTTCTGCAGTATCTGCTACAGAACCTTTATTTTTTAGCATTATTTTCTGAGGAGTTACTTATTGACTACTAAGGGTGTGATAGTTTCCTTTAGGCAGAACAAGACAAGCTAGGAGGCATTGGGGAGCTTGCCCTCTAGGGAGGAAAGTATACCAATAAGTCAGAATCCATTCAATGTGACAAAGACTCTGAGAAAGGCATGACTTTCCCATATAAGTGAGAACACAGAGGGTGGACTTGGCCAGTTGGGCTGAGAGAAAGCAGTTGATGGAGACATATTGGCACAATATGTCTGTGTGTCTAATGTGATTGTGGATGAAGAATAGCCGGTAATTGAAGATAATTCTTACTTTGTAGCTTCAAAGAATGGATGAATGGTTAGCTAGTGAATATAATTGGATTCTGAAGTGCCCCTGTGGGGCATATAAGAGGAGCTATCTAGTATGCAGTCAGAAGAATAATGGTTAAAACTAACTCAGCCCTCACTACGTGCCAAGCTCTTCATATGGGTGAACTCTCTTAACTCTCACATCACAGCTTGTGCTTATTACTATCATCCCCATTTTACGGAAGAGCAAACTGAAGCTCATAAAGGTTAACTAAGTCATCTAAGGTCACACAACTAGAAAGTGGTGGCACCCAGATTTGAGTGCAAATATTCTGACACCAATCTCTGCTCTTAACCACTTATTAATTCAACAAATATTTAATGAGCATCTATGATGGGCCAGGCACTGTTCTAGATGCAGGGGATACAGTGGTACAGAAAGACATACTTTCTATCCTTATGGAGCTTTCATTTTATTGTAAATAAAACCCCACAATGTTATATAATAAGTAAATTTTATTGTAAAAGAACTGATTTTAAAAAGAACTGATTTTAAAAAATGTATAACTATTTTATAAAAAACATGTAGTAATAACATATATATAATAACAGTTTGATGTTAGTAGTGATACCACTATCACTGTACCACACCGTCTCATGACAGAAATGGAACCCAAAGTAGCGGAATCGGGGTGGCAAAGAGCTTGGCCTGGAGTCCGTGCAGGGATAGGTGGATGACACTGCTGCAAATGGGACTACAGAGAGGAGACTTGCTAGAGCCAAGTTTCCAGAAGCGAAACCTGGCCCAACAGTGCTGGTTTTGACCAGTGCTTCATCAAGAGCAGATCAGAGGTAAGTGTACGTGATACTGCCAAGGCATGGTGGCTCTAGGGCAGTGACCTGGCCCAGACCCAATTCCAAGGTTCTATAGTACTGACAGAACTGGCACTAAGCTCTTTTTTTCCCTGAAAGTCTGACATGTAGTTGAAGATATGCAGTGAGGTTCTGAGTTGGCTTGAGCTATCTTTTTCTGTTTCCTCTCTACTCTCAGGGGTATGGTCAGAGACAGGAATTTATATGGTGCTGTCTTTTGAGAGGCTTTTTGTTAATTACATGAGGTTAGATCTCAATACAGATTTTAGAGACCTAAGCCTTACAGTCCCACAGAGAAGGGTCATGGGTTTTACCAAACATCATAAACTTGAATTGGGAGCTTTTGTTAAATAGGGGTGGGACATTTTCTTGGGATGAAGAAAATAAATAATTACTGCCCATCAGAATAAAAGAAGACAATATAAAGGTCTGTCTTCATAACACTTTGTGTTTAATAATCAGGTTTGCTCAGGGAATTAGGAGGAACTGAATTTATTTAAATTATGTGTTGATCTTACTATTAAAATAGGAGCAAGTGGAAGAATGAAATAAAAATAAAGGAAGACATCTGATTAACGGGGAGAAGGGAGACGTTTCTTTAGGAAAATGATTAAAGTCTTAGCATATAGTCTAGACAAATATGAAAGAGAAGAAGTTCTTGGAGGCCAAATTCGACATATCTGAAACTGGACAGGAGAAGCACATCTATCTAGCTGCTCCTGTCTGATGAAGGGATTGCTATACAACTGCTCTAAGATCAGAAAAGATAATTGATCTCAGGGAGGAGATGAGTGTGATTCTCTAGAGGGTTCCTGAAATTAGGAAACTATTGAGGAATATCTCTATAAAACTGCAGATAGATATTCCCTAATAAGAACACATGGGTAAGCACCCCTTGAGGACTGAGACAGCTACGCACAATATTTGGACAAATGTGAATGAGGAAGCCTGAGAAGCCAGGATAAAATACTGAAGGCACTGAGTCGCAAATTGGAAAATTGTACAGTTATCATAGATGGGGAAGCAGGAATTGCCTGTGCCTGACGAAACCTGCCAGGAAAATTTATGGAATTATGATCCCCCCCAGGGGAACTCACAGGGCAAATAAGATGTACTACTAGAGAGCCAGGCAAGATAAAAATAAATTGAGGTCAGTCCTGAGTTGGATATTGATCTGATGAGATGATGCCTCCTGAGTGGTATTATACAACTCAAGCAGGTGAAGATAAACAAGCTTTGTTTGAAAATGGCATGCTTTGAAAACTGTTCATTCCTTGACTTGGCATCAGACACTCTGGAGAAACCCAAAAGAAAAAAAATCTAGAGGAATAAGTTAGAAAGACAAATGTCTGGGCCAGAAAAGCAATGTGAAAGCAAACAGAAGGAAAGCACCATTCCAGCAAGCAGTGTTCATACTATTCTCAATAGGGAATGATAAGGTCAATTAAGAAACAGGCCAGACTGCTGAAATCTCAGCTAAGATTCAGATGGGAAAAGAAGGACACAGAATAGTGGAGGCCTATCACCCCTGCTACGGTTGGAATGTTTATCCCCTCCGTAACTCATATTGAATCTTAATCCCCAATGTAGCAGTAAAGGCAGGGCCTTTAAGAAGTAATTGGGTCATGAGGGTTCTGCCTTCATGAATGGATTAATCCATTCATGGACTAATGAATTAATTGGTTAATAGATGAATGGGCTGTCATGGGAGTGGAACTGGTGGCTTTATAAGAAGAGGAAGGGAGACCTCAGTTAGCACACTCAGCCACCTTGTCATGGGATACCCTACACTGCCTTGGGACACTGCAGTAAGTCCCCACCAGCAAGAAGGCCCTCACCAGATTCAGCCCCTTGATGTTGAACTTTCCAGCTTCCAGAATCATAAGAATTTTTTCTTTATAAATTACTTAGTTTCAGGCATTATGTTGCAAGCAACAGAAAATGGACTAAGACAATGCAGAAAATACATGGAACTGAAGGAAATGTTAAAGGTCTGGAACTTTCAAAAGCAGAAGAAAAACAGGTTTTCCACGAGCATAAAACTGAGATATGGAAGCGATTTGTTTGTTTAGTGACTTTCCTGAACTAATTTGGTAAAGTCTACATTCTTTATTGTGTGTGGCTGCTGAAGTCTTTGCTCAATGAGCTTAGAGATTAGCTAATGATTGCATAGAGACTTCCTTCAATGCTTTGAACCAATAAATTTCCCAGCCTTTGCAGAGGAACTCTGTGTGCATATCAGGACATGCTTTCAATGCTCAAGCAGTAGCCTTTACTTCAGACTTCAGCAGAACTTCAAGATAAGCCAGAGATGAGAGTTTGGAGTGTTCTCAAGGTTTTTTTCTGGCTGTGTGTGCAGTCCTGGGCATGTGGACAGCCCTGAACTTATGAATGGGCTTCTAAATTTCCAGGATGTTGTCAGCGCTTTTCAAAGCTCCTTATGGACTTTGCTTTTCCTTTTAAGTTTCTTGGTCAGTTTGTTGATTGCCTATTATTGCCACCTCAGGCAGCTGTGATAGGAAACAATTGCTGCTGATTGTTTTTGCTAAATGTCCTCAAGGAAAAGGTTGTTCACACTAAGTGAGCTCCAGTCAGGTCATATAAAGACCTGCTAGTGAGAGTTTCCAAGAAACTGCCAGAGAGGTCAAATAATGACAATTCTCTGAATTGGTGATTTTGGAGAGTGCCTGTCTGCTTCCTCCAGTGGCTGCTAGGCTTCTAGTTTTTGCTGTGATTACAAACTGTTTATTTTCAAGCCTTCTGGGTAGCTAGGAGAGGGGAATGGGAATAGGGCAAGTTAAAATATCACATAGCTTGCTGTTCTTACTGAGTCAGCTCTTTTTCTTGAATAAACACTCCTTGGATTGTTATGAGCCTTTGGTTAATTTCCAGAGTTCTGAAAAAGTTGATTTTTACAATTTGCTAGTGTTCTCATTGCTTTTATGGAGAAACAGATTTTCAGAGGTCCTTATTCCACCATTCCCACTGACATTCCTCTTACAGAGTTGTTTTTCCAGTTCCTGAACCATGTGGCTAAATCATTAGCCATTGCTCAAGAATCGAGGTGGATCCATTTCTTTTACCATATTTCTGTCTGGCAAAGTGGATATCAAATGTGCTATTAAAGTTTTGCCCAGGAATGGATTCTTCAATATTTTTCACACTTCAGAGTGAGTCAGCAATATTTCCTTCTGGCTCAGGCTAGAATACTGTATAGACCATCTGTAAACCAGACCTAAGTTTTATCTTCCTTAGTCAAATAGTCACAGGAAACTTCCATGGGGCTGTTGGTATGGATTGAGCATAAACAACAATGCAGCAAGAGTGGTTACCATGGGAGTCTAAGCCCATGCAACTTACTTGTGGCTTCAAAATCTGGTTGAGCCTGATCTTGGATAAACCACGTGGATTGCTGCTGTGTACATCCAACTTTACAGTTGGTGGGTCAGATAATGATGAGAAGTTAATGTTGGGTAGGTCAGACACCAAGGTCACTTGATACCCCTTGGTTGGATGCTCAGTCTCTATTAGGGTATATTAGTGAGCCAAAAGCTATGTCTCAAAATCAGAATAATTATTGACTGAAGAAGGCAAGAAAGCATTTTAAATTCTGTGAGTGTGTCCTTGAATTCTCCTATTGGAGTTTACCAGAAGTCTCATTGTGTTTCTATTTGCTACGGCACCCTGAGTACCATTGTAACTGCTGGACCATGTGGCCCAAATGGCAAAACACTTTGTATTGCATCCTGTACTTATCATATAGCTTTCTCTTGCTCTGGGCCCCAATAAATAATGGCATCCTTATGTGTTATTTTATAAAGGTAACATGCTGTATTTTGCCTCTAAAATTTAAAAAGTCCCAACAATTATTGTGGCTCCTTAGTGGTGGGTTGCACGAAGTATAGAAATTTGTCTTTCACTTTAAAGGGACTATGCCACCATGTCCCAGACCCATGCATCCCTGAGAACATCACTTAAGAGATACCCGGCTCAGTGGGATTTATCTTTCATCCCCTGACATGCCTGTGTCTTACTTAGATTATTCCAGAGTAGAAAGTACTTTTTATTTTCCAATTTCAGGCAAGACATCATCAATATAGGGACCAACGTGGCACTCTAGAATGTCTGGATGATCAAGTTCCCTCAGGCTAGATAATGAGCAGGAGAGTTAATACAAACCCGAGAGTATGTACTGCTGTACAGACTGCACATCTGTACCAATGCATGATCTTTTCTTAACCATTTAAGAAATTTAAATCAATGAATTATTTTAAAAAGGTAACACAGGTGTATGATGCAAAATTTAAAATGTGCAAAAGCATTGGCAGATGAAAATGGGTTTCTCTGCTACTCTACCCCCTCATCACTCAGTTCCCCTTTCTAGGGGTAACCAGTATTTTTAATTTTTTGTCTATCTATCCATAAACAATGCCTTAAAGAAAAGAAAAATACATACACACAAATACATAGTTATATATGTGTATATAAACATAACTGTCTATATATACAAACAGACACATACACACATACATACATATCTTTGTAGTACAACACCTTGGAGGTCATTCCACACAAGTTCTCGTAGAGTTCTTTATAATGGTTGAAAAGTATCCACTCAGTGGATATGCTTTAATTTATTTAATCATTTCCCAGTTGAATTGGATAGTTTTCCATTTTTTTCACCATTAAGAGCAGTGACAAAATGGATATCTTTTATGTATATGTCTTTGTGCACATACATGCTTATATCCACAGGGTAAATTACTTTAAGTTCATCCATTTATTTTTAATTTAATTTGAATTCTTTTTGAATATGTTAAGTTCTATACACACAAATGATTATATCTACAGGGTAAATTCCTAAAAGTTCATTTATTTCATATTTAATTTCAACTCATAGTGTATATTTAAGCCTCCTTAAAACCTTTTTGTAACATTATGTGGTATAAATAAGCAAAATACAAAGAGTGGGATCGGTAAGTTCGTAATTTATCTGTGTGTGTGTGTATATGTGTGTGTGTGTATATATACACACACATATATATACACACACACACATATATATATGACACTACAGCTACTAGTTCTGTAATATTTGCTGAACTGTTTGCCTCTCTTTCCAATAAAGATACTTTATCACAAGGTTAATAAGAATTTCAACACAGTAAATGTTTATGTTAGACCAATAAAACACATTGCTGGGTATCTTTCATTAAGCTTTCTGGATCTATTCTCCATGTTTTCTACCTTCCTCTGTGTGAGGCTGAGAGGCTGACCCATATGGTCTATACCAGAGGTTGACAAACTTCGGTCTGCGGGTCAGATCTGATCCATGGTGTCAAATCCAGTTACATCCATTTAAGTATCATCTATGGCTGTTTTCATGCTACATCTGCAGATTTTAGTATTTGTGACAGAGACCATATGGCCTATAAGCTTAAACTATTTGTAATCTGGCCATTTACAGAAAAGGTTTGCCAGCCCCTGGTCTATATCATTGGCTCCCTTGCCCTCTAGGTTCTGGTTAGGTTTATCACTTTGGAGCATGGCAGGAGTTTGGAGGGAGAGAGAAAGGTGAGTTGGGGACTTTATTCCAGTTGCCTTCTTGTGTGGTTGTCACAGGATGGCTCCATTTCTGGATTGTAAATCTCAGCTTCTCTCAGAAGCCTCTTTCCAGTCAGCCCTCTCTGCCTTGGGGTTCTGGTAATCTCACCCCAACCTACCCCTTCAGGCCCAGGGATATGCCGTTTTGCTGTCACTGGTCTGGGGCCCTGCACTGTCCTCTGTGGTAGCCTTGCCCATGCCTAAACAAATAGCCCTTTATTAAGCTATTCTTAATTTCTCTTTTAAGAATACTGGGTGTTCTTTCTGGGACTCTGATACAGCAGGTTACAATTTTATGGATATATTGTCCCCTGAATTTTATGAAAAAAGGGAAAATACTGAAAATAATTTCACAAAAACGGTAACAGTGGTTATCTGTGCATAGTGAGATATCAATGACTTTTATTATATTCTTCTTGCTTTCTGTGGAATCTATATGAGGAAGAATTACTATGTTTGTTCTAAGGATAAAGCTAAATAAAGAACATAATAAAAGAAAAAAAATGACTGGACTCTTTGCCCTCTTTGCCCTCTATAGTTACCAGACTAGCTATGTCCTGAAACTCAGTAGTAGACGTTGCTTTTCCTGGAAAGCAGCATACAGAATGGAGAGGGCACTGCCTTTAGAATCAGCAGGCTTGCTCTGTCACTCCGGGTTTGGTCATGAAAACAAGCAGAAGACCCATATACACACATTCGTGTGTGTGTATGCTTGCGAATACACCTACACAGAGCTGGAAAGTTGTAGCAGCCTTTATTTCAGTTGTTGAACACTAACCTTGCATAATCTGATGCATGTGTGCCTGCTGCTGTGATGGTGCCCATGTTCGTTGAAACTTTCCCCATTGGCAGTGCTAACACCTGCCTGGGCTCCCAGGTTATAGCTTCCCAGTTCTTGCATGCTCAGTGATTAGTCTTCAAAGCATGACCCTCTGCCCTCTGGCTTGGTCCTGAGGAACTTGCAATGTTAGCTATATGCTATTCCAGATTCAGCCTCCTCTCAAGACTCTTTGACTGTTGTTTGAGCTTGGATCACTGGCTCAGAGTCTCAGACTCCCCAACTGTCCCTCCACTCCTGTCAGGTTGCCCTTTGGGGTACTGGTGGCAATTTATACTTGCAGATCTTGGTCAAAACCACTCTGACCTATCCTGACAGGCTTCTTTAACTTTAAATTCACAGGAGCAGTGGTTGGGATCTGTTTTTCTTTCTCTCCAGAAGATCAAGAGTTCATGCAAATTGGTTGGGGTGACCAGCTATGAATAAAAAGAGGCCTGCCTGGGCACGGTGGCTCATGCCTGTAATCCCAGCACTTTGGGAGGCCGAGGCAGGTGGATCACGAGGTCAGGAAATCGAGACCATCCTTACTAACACGGTGAAACCCCGTCTCTACTAAAAATATAAAAAATTAGCCGGGTGTGGTGGCGGGCGCCTGTAGTCCCAGCTACTTGGGAGGCTGAGGCAGGAGAATGGCGTGAACCCGGGAGGCGGAGCTTGCAGTGAGCCGAGATCCCGCCACTGCACTCCAGACTGGGGACAGGGCGAGACTCCGTCTCAAAAAAAAAAAAAAAAAACAAAAAAACAAAAACAAAAACAAAAAAGAGGCCTGCATTTGTTAGGCCAGAGAAAGTTCTACTGTGATCTTTTCCCAGGTCAATGATCTTCATTAAGCATTGAGCTAGAAAGAACTGAGCTGACAGGTGTTGAGGTGGTCCATTAAAACAACAAGCCAAAACCAAAGCACCTGTAAAGCCTTTAGCCACTTACTGCAAAACTGTAAACAGGACCTGAACATGAAAGGGCTCCAGAACCCACCCCCACACCTTGTTCCATTTTTGAGTAGTGTAGGTGGGAGGGTCAGGTGGGTTGGCACAGATGTGGGGATCATCTCACTGTCATGGGGAGCTGTGAACAAAAAGCTCCTTCAGTTTTGTGGATGTGAAGGCTAGGTGAAGAAGGAACGAAGGAAGGGCTATGAGTGGGAAAAATATGGAATATTGAGTCAAATGTCTTTGAGGCTCACCAGATAATGTGGTCTTAGCAGAGGTGCCTGAGAAAGGCATCAGTGGAGGTATCCTCTGATAAGGAGGCCTCAGAATGGAGATGCCTGGGCTAAGAATGTTGATTTTTTGCATGGCCAGGCCTCTGAGTTCTTGGCTATAAATCTCTCCCACTGTGCCCAAAGTCTGGAGAGGGCAGCTTTCCCCCATGAGGCCTATGAGATGAAAACTTTGTAATTGCCTATGGGCAATTTGGCTTAAAAAATCACACATAGGATTTTGACCTGGAGCCAACTCCTCAATATCTACTTGCCCTACGCTGAAAAAACTAAGAAAGAACATGCAAATGACTGCTGTCTGAGCAAAGCTCTGCTTCAAGGTGTCTTGACAATGTCTGCCTCTCTATACTCCAGAAACAGATCTAGAGACAAGAATTCAAGGACATGTAGGTTCTTTTAGAAGTGAAGGAAAACAGGGGAGGAGGGAAGTTGGAAATGGCAAGGCACCAGGCTAAGTGCTTTTTGTTTGTTATCTCTGTTTTATTCCCATTCACAGAAGTGGAACCTAAAGCCTGAGAAGGTGAAATGGCTCCCCCAAGGCCCATAGAAAGGAAGTGGTGAAATTTTCTCTGATGACAAAGACCATTCCATAACTATATACTCACTAATTTCTGACCCAAATACAAAATAAAAAAGAATATGCAAATGTCAAGTTAAAATAAGTGCAATAGAGGTTTGTTTTTTTTTTTCCTAATGTAATGCATTGGTTAAAAGTTGATTTTCATTTCATTTTTTAAACCATATGCATTTATCCTGGTTACAGTAACTCTGGAAAGTTCATAAGAGATGACTATGAGTCTCTTGAGTACGTAACCCCCTCCAGGAGAATGCATTTAGCTAAAAGCATGAAGAGCATGGAGAAAGAATGGTAAAAAGGACCATGTTGAGGTGAAAAAATGCTGATGATGGAGGACTAGAGGCAGAAGGAAATTAAAAGAAAGTAAGAGAGAGAAATGAGGGAGAAATTAGGGCACTAAGAATGTTTATGTATATCCCCACAAAAAGCAAAATGCCATGGATTTCTAGGGTATAATATAGTCTCAAAAAAGTGCTGAGTCATAGCCATCTCTAGGAATAAGGATTAGTTAGCATAGACAGAAAGCATGGATGCCCTTGAAAACCAAGTGAGGTGCCATCATGGAGATTGCAATACATGGTGTGCTTACTCTATGAGCTTTTGTTGCATGTGGATAAGAGCTTACATTTGGGCGAATGGGTGGGTTAGCTAAAATATCAACTAAGATTCATTTCAACTTTAATTCCAACAATGATTTCTTATAATTTAATATTTTCAGGAATTTGCTTAGTTTCTTTATTCACCACTTCCCTCTCCCAGTTATGTTTCAATTACTCCTTCCCATGACTCTCATTTTCAAATCCCCCTCTCCCCATGTAGTTTTTGGGGGTATGGGCTGCTTCTTCCATTTAAAAATATTTTCCATTGTTTCAAGTTCTGTATTATATGTCTATTTCTCTTTTAATATTTTCCTGTTGAGTGATTAAGGTATGACTGCTCAGAGTCAGCTATGTTTTTTAATTATTTGTGGAGCTTCCTGATTGCATAGAAGACACATTTCTGTGAAGGGTCAAGAGGAAGAATTTAATTTAGCAAATATTTATTGAGCACTGGCTATGTACAAGCTGAGACAGAGGCTTCAAGGAATCTCCAACCTAGTAAATGAGATAAAATGCAGCACTAGAAAATTATTACGCATAGGAAACTAGTAAAACCAAGATTCAAAACAAGCTGGAAAAGCAAAGAAAAAGCAGAACTTGAGTTTTCAAAATGATAAAGCATTGAAATAGTCATCCTCCAACATTATTCATGCTTATAACTTATGCTTAACTATTATTTTTATTTTTATAGTTTTGTCTTTTTACATTAGGGGAGCATCATAATCTTTTCAGAGATTTTAGGACATTTAAAAGTCCTTATCTGGCCATGATTATAGGACACAAGGGTACCTATAACAGTTCTCATCTTAATTTCAAAGCACCATATAGTTTGCACAGTTTCCACACATATCACTCATCTTAGTAGTATTCTGAGAGAAGCAATGCAGATGGCATCCCTATTTCACAAATAATGAAGCTGAGTCTTCGAAAGATTAGTTGGATTGCTCGTAGCTAGTATAGACTAAGATTTTTAAGATCAGACCTTAAGGAAAGGTCCAACTGTGGTCCAAGGGAAGGACCAACTGCTCCTGAGAGGCCCCATGGTGGTAGAGGGTATGTTGGAGGCAGACTTTAAGAAACAGCCAAGTCTTCCAAAGAAAAAGGGGTAAGAAGGGCTTGTCAGGGAGGGGTGATCACATTGGCAAAGAAAATTAGGTGGGAAGTTACAGGGCTTGTTAGAGAAAACAAAGAGCAGGAACTATCAAATGACTGTCGTCACGTCTTTTAAAATTACCCTCTAATTAGAGCCATCTTTGACCGGTTGACTTCCCTCTTGCCCTTGTTCACTAGTGTGGGTTAAGAAGGAGGAGGAGGAGGCAGAAGTGATTGGTGGAAAGCAAACTAGATTTATTTTGTCATGGAGTGAAGAGCTAGCCCCCAAAGCAGACTCTGTGGCTCTTCTCCATTCTATTTTCATTCTAGTATCCACCCCCCACTCCCTGGCCCTGTTAGTTCAGCATCTTCCCAGTGTTTTTATAATTTTCTCTGCTTCTGTACATCTCCATTAGTGACTCTAAAAGCATTAAGAGAAAATCATACCACACTTGAATAAAAGTGAAAGAAGCCCCTGAATCCACTGAAAGATTGTTTTTGTTTGATGGAAACTTATTAAATAAGGCAATAAGAACAGACCCTGAATCACATCAATTCCTTTGGCCTTTCCCAGTAAGTTAAAATCAGGTACAGCGATGATTCCTGTATATAGGTTTAGAGACAAACCAACTAAGGAAATATGCCAATAGCTTCTGCTCTTCCATCTGGTTGCTTAAAATTAAGTCATCTGCCTAGATTTATCCAATGAGGTACTCATGTAAACAATCTTTGATTCAATGGAAAGTCACTGAGAAACTACAGCATATCAGAAACATTCTTCTTTCAAGAACCATGCAGTCTAGTGTCCCATAAGGTCACAGCTGCCTCATAGATGCATTGGTGACAGCCCAAGTTACAGTCTGAGACTCCCAGGGATGAGAATTGAATGACATATGTTCTCTTAAGAGCTAGATTTTCCATCCACTTTCCATGTTGACTAGTATATAAGGCTGGACGTCTACCTTGGAGCCTATTGCCTCCCAACTCCCCATTTGTACTCACCATCTCCATCCAAGTCTGGGGCTTGTCCTGAACTCAGGCCACTTCCCTCAGTACCTGCCTTGCCCTCATGTGTAATTCAAGAGTCAGATTTTTCCCACATCCGCTCTGTGCTTTTGTGGATATTCTCATTGTGCCTTGTTCCTAAGTTGTGACAACCACTTGTCTGTCCATAAAACTTCAAACAGTCCTAACCAACTACAGCCCTCATTAAATCATAACCACTAAGTCAAAATTTGTAATGTAGTAAAATAATAGACTTAGTCTTCATTTTTTCAAAGTCAGCTGATAAACCAAAGGAATTCTTTTTTTATGTCCCTGAAAGGAATTGTTAAGGAATGTGATGCTCAGCGTAGTCAGGGGTCACTGTCTTCTCTGAATCAGAATTGATGAAGCCTTTTGTGGTTTGTCTTCTCTCCTTATCTCAAAAACCTCAAACTTTTGAATCACATGAGGGTGTCTGTCTAGAGGAGAATATAATTCCTTTCTTCTGTGTGACCTATAAGGATCAGACATTAATGAACAGAGCCTGATGCTGTTGAAAAGGATTCATGAAAAAGAAACCAATGATAGGGGCTGGGAGCACTTCCAAGGTTTTACTTCCTTAAAAAGCCTCACATATAGATTGCTCCAGTCAGCAAGGCTAAAAAATAATTCCCAAGAATGTTTAGGGAAGACTAGAATCTGACAGCGACTCTGGCTGTGAGATTTAACTCTTCCCTAAAGTCACAGGGTCAAGTAACTTAATCCTCTCTCGTGCAAAAGAAACTACTGGGTGGCCCGCTGAAGCCAAGATGAAACAAACAGGAAATTTACCAACTTAATTTTTTTGAAAGCCTTTTTATTAATATTTGCTTGCCAAGAGAATGAAAAGCAATGTTATTTCCTTACTCATCTATCTATAGCATGTAAGAATCAGCTGGACAAAAATGGATAGGGGAAGGAGCTAGAATTTTCCTGCTAGCATTAAAAGACTGTCTTCCTTTGTTGTTTCTGCATTTGCCTTTCATTCCTAAACAGTATGTTTTCCACACCACAGCCAGAGTGCTCCTTTAAAAATTTGAGTCTGATTGTATTACACCTTTTTCTCAAAACTCTCTGGGGGCATTTCATCTCTCTCAGAGTAAAATCTAACATCCTTATAATAACCTATAGATCCCTACCTGGCCTTGTCTCTGGTTTATCTGTTACCTGTTTCCATTTTTCACCTCTGAAAGTCTATTTCCTACTCATTAGACATACAGTGTCTTTTGAAAACATGTATTAGAACATGTCACTGCTCTGCTCAAAATCTTCTAATGGCCCTCTGAACTCCCCCAGAGCAAAAGTCAAATAGGATAAATACAAAATCTTTATAGGACAAACAAGAGCTTGTTGTTCTGCCCCTCTAAGAATTCTCTTTCCTCTGTGCCCTGCTTAATTTTTTTCCATAGCACTTATCACTAACTAATACACTGCATACTTACTTATTTATCTGACTTTTTGTCTACTCATAAAAACATACAAGCTGCAGCAGCTAAGAGATATTGTTTCTGATGCACTGTTGTGTCTCTAGTGCTAAGAAATATACCAGGGAACTAGTAGGTACTCAATAAATATTTCAATCAATAAATATATAAATACATGTGAATGATATGTAGTCAAGTTTACCTGGCTGGTAGGTAGTTCTTTATTGGGAAACAGAAATGGCAAGGTAATATTCTCTACTCATGCTATTTGTTTTCAGTTGACTCTTTTATTTTTAAACGCATAATGATGTGTTGTGAAATGACAATTTTGTCTTCTTCGTGCCACTAAGTCAATATCTTATTTATATTTTGCCCTTATTACATTGATTAGAACTCCCAAGAGAATGAGGTTCGTTCTAAGAGAGTGAATCCTGTTTGGGTTCTGATTTTAAAGGGGATGCCTCCAGTGCAGTTTCCCAACCTCAACGCTGTTGACATTTTGTCACAGATAATTCTCTGCTGTGGGGGCCATCCTGTGCATTTCAGGATGTTTAGGATAAATTGTTAGAGAATAAATAAGTATATATATATATTTAAAGTATATATATTTATATACTTTATATATATATATAAAGTATAAATATATATAATTATATATATAAAGTATATATACACTTATATATGTGTATATATACTTATATATAAGTATATATATACTTTTATACAATATATATATGTATATACTTATATATGTTTCAGTGTTAAATTTATTGTTTTCAGGCCAGATTTTCTCTGAGAACATAATATACTCTTACTCTTTGTTGGAGGAAAAAATAGTATAAACATATACTATATAGAGAGTATATATATAACTTATGGTAAATATATATAAACTTATATATATTATATAAAAGTATATATACTTATATATGTGTATATATACACTTTTATATAACATATATAATACATATATGCTTATATATGTATATGTATACCTTTATATATATATAGCTATCTTAGGATCAGCAGATATATAACATTATATAGGTTATGATCTTAATCATAACATACATGCACACGTATATGTGCACACACACACACAAGCACATGGTATGATCCCAAGTTGGTGAGAAGCAAATAGACCAAAATGCCAACGATGACTTTGCTAGGATTATATTCTTGTCTTCACTTCGCTTGACCTGGGGAGGTGAGGATTTGGGCCATCTATAGTGAAAACCATATGGCTTTCATGATGAATAAAACTCATGAAGGAGCGTGGCCCCATGGACTCTATGGCCTTTTACCAAGCCGAATCTGTTTAAACATCAATCCTTATCTGTTTGTGTAAACCTTCTTGACCTTGGAATGGGAAGAAGCAATTAGGAATTATTGGCCTTGTTGTTATATTGGTACCTTCCTCAAAACCAACTTGTTGGAGTTGAGGCATCTTAAAAACAACAGGATAAAATCATCCTCTCTGGGAAATACATATACACATATGTCCACATTTTTTTTCCTAACAACTTTTGCAATAACAAGATGAAGTAAAAAGTTAATTACAAATATATGCCACAAGGTCTACATTTGGGCATATATGATGTTTTTCTAAGAGATTTGTAATAGTAGCACTAGTATTCAGCTAGTGAATGCTTTTTCTTGATATTTATTTACAGAAAAGGTACTTCAGATTGGACAGATGTTAACAATGCAGTATCTTTTTTCCACGATAACTTTGTTTTGTAATAAGAGCCTTTTGCTATGATGTCTTTTTGACTTTTATCATGTGGGGTATAGCAAGATGCTGTTGGTTTTATTTCCTCCCCATTTATCTGTTATCTCAGTCATGCTACATAGTCACACCCATTTGGAGTTAGGCATATACCAGATAAGATAAGAGAAAGGGGCCTTTCACAGTGTAACTCAAGGATGAAAAGAGAGAAAGTTTCTCATAGCATAATAATGCACAAACATTGATTGTCTTAAAGAATAGTTTCCAAACCACTGTTTGTGTACACCAAAACCACTGGACAACTTGTGAAATCAGATTGCTATGCTTTATGTCCAGACTTTCTGAGTATTCAGTAGGTCTGAGTTGGTGGTCAAGATTTTGCATTTCTCATTTCTCAGGTGATGCTGATGCTCCTGCCCTTGAGCAGGATGATTCAAGACCAGTGGTTCTGAATGAAATAAAATCTTTTCTTTTTTTTTTTGAGACAGAGCCTCACTCTGCTGCCCAGGCTGGAGTGCAGTGGCGTGATCTCAGCTCACTGCAACCTCTGCCCCCACTGGGCTCAAGCGATTCTCCTGCCTCAGCCTCCCAAGTAGCTGGGACTACAGGTGTGTGCCACCATGCCCAGCTAATTTTTGTATTTTTAGTAGAGTGGGTGTTTTGCCATGTTGGCCAGGCTGGTCTCAAACTCCTAATCTCAAGTGATCCACTCTCCTCTGCCTCCCAAAGTGCTGGGATTACAGGCATGAGCCACCACGTCTGGCCTGAAGTAAAATCTTAATTACAAATATATGCCATAAGGTGCACATTTGCGCATATATGGCTTTTTTCTAAGACATTTGTAATAGTTCTCATTTTGAGAACCACTGATCTTGAATCAATGAATCAATCACTGATGGCTGCTATCCTTCATCCACTGCCCTCCCCTTTAGATCACTTGAGTGGATCAAAAATTTTCTCTGAGTCCTCAGGTGATAGAAATGAATGACTGACAACATAAGCTGAAGACAGAGAAAAAGAGGAGGTGGGATACAGGTGAGATGGTGATGGAGAAAAGGGTTTAAGAGACAGGGATCTATGGGAAGAACAAAGAGTGAGTTTATGGGGCTAGATTTCTTCTTCAGCCCCAAAGAGGTACGAGTACATGAGCTACACGAGAGTACAGAAAATTGGATGCCAAGCTCATTCTGCCTGTGTCTCTGGATGAGCTGAATACAAAGCACTTGGAATTGACTATTACAGATTGACTCAATTTAGGCCACAACAGGTGTTTTGAACTTGAAGGAAAATACTGGCATATTTCTCTGAATACTGTGGGTGTCACTGTTCTCAGTAGTAGAATTCATTATGACCCATGCTGATGTTGTTTATGGTAAAAGAGCTTCAGGTGAGCCTTGTTTCCTAGAAGGAAGGGAACATTATAGCCAAGTTTATAATGAGTATAGGGTTAGTGTAACAGAACTTTCAAAATCAAATGATGTCACTCCCTGTTTAAAATCTTCCCTTACAGTGGTTCTCAACCTTAGCTGCCCGTAAAAATTCTCTCCTGGGGAGTAAAAAAAAAATTCCTAATGCTCTAGCCATATGCCATATCATTTCAGAATTTCTATGCTTGAGACACAAGCATATTTTTCAAAAGTTCCAGGTGATTCCAGTGCAGCCAAGGAAGACAGCCACTGCTCCAGTGGTTTCTTATTGTACTAGAAGAAAATCCAAATTATATTCCAGGGGTTACCAGCCTTCATCACCCTCTTGTGTCTTCATCACCATTTTATGCTTTCTCCCCACTTGCTCATTATACTCCCTGTAAAGGAGATGGCAGCACTTTAGCCTGGAGTAGGCCGAGGCGGCCTTCCAGCACAGCATGACTCAGCAGGTTTGGAGCACAGGCTTACAACCCCACACATTACATAACCATGCCCCGTGAGGCGCATTAGGTGATCACTCACGTGAGCTTGTGCTTGGCTTGGACGGAGCCACTATTGTCTGTAAAAGGTATAACTACCCGAGTAATGCTGTACCTATGTCTCACCCAGGCTCGTGGCTGGGCTCACGCCCAGAGAGAGAATAAAGCCATGTCAAAACTGCCTGTGATTTCTTGAGTGTTTTTCTAGTTACCCTTTACCTGCCCACCGACTCCTCTTGGACCTCAGTTTGGCCTAGAACCTGACACTCCCCCAGCACTGAACTCCTTTTAAAAATGTGTAATTGTTGTAATTATTTTGGGTACACAGTGATTGTATATATTTTTGGGGTATGTGTGATGTTGCTCCAGGCATACAATGTGTCATGATTAATCAGGATAATTAGGGTATTATTACCCATTTATCATTTATATGTGTTAAGAACATTCTAATTCCACTTTTTTAGTAAATTTAAAATATACAATATATTATTAACTATAGTCACCCTGTTGTGTTACTGAATACAAGATCTTGTTAATTTTATCTAACTATATTTTTGTACCTATTAACCATCCCCACTTTATCCTCCACTTTCTGCTGCCCTTCCCAGCATCTGGTAACCATCATTCTATTTTCTGTGTCTATGAATTCAATATTTTTGGTTTTGGTTCCTACATATGAATGAAAAAAATGTAAAAAGCAGGCATATTTGTCTTTCTGTGTCAGGCTTATTTCCCTTAACATTATGATTTCTAGTTTCATCCATGTTGCAAATGACAGGATTTCATTCTTTTTTATGGCTGAATAGTATTCCATTGCATATATGTGCCACATTTTCTTTATTCATTTGTCCATTGATGGACACTTAGGTTGATTCCATATCTTGGCAATTTTGAATAATGCTGCAATAAACATGGGAAGATATCTCTTTGAAATACTGATTTTCTTTCTTTCAGATAAATACCCAGGAGTGGGATTGCTGGACTGTACGATAGTTGTATTTTTAGATTTTTGAGGAATCTTCATACTGTTCTCTGTAGTGGCGGTACTAATTTACATTCCCGCCAACAGCGTACAGGGGTTCCTCTTTTTTCACATCCTTGCCAGCATTGGTCATTGGCTGACTTGGATAAAAGCCATTTTAAGTGGAATGACACCTTATCTCACAGTAGTTTTGATTTTCATTTCCCTGATGATTAGTAATGTTGAGAATTTTTTATATACCTGTTGGCCATTTGTTTATTTTGAGAAACGTCTATTCAGATCTTTTGCCCATTTTAATTGGATTATTATTATGATTTTTATTTTCCCCTATTGAGTTGTTTAAGCTCCCTATATATTCTGGTTATTAGTCCTTGTCAGATGGGTAGTTTGCAAATATTTTATCCCATTCTGTGGATTGTCCCTTCACTTTGTTGATTATTCTCTTTGTTGTGCAGAAGCTTTTTAGCTTGATGTGATCTCATTTGTCCATTTTAGCTCTTGTTGCCTGTGCTTTTGAAGTCTTATTCAAGACCTCTTGACCCAGACTAATATACTAGAGTGTTTCTCCAATGTTTTCTTCTAGTAGTCTCACAGTTTCAGGTCTTAGATTTAAGTCTTTAATCCATTTTGATTTGATTTTTATATATGGCAAGAGACATACTTTCATTTTTCTGCATAGGAATATCCAGTCTTCCCAGCACAATTTATTGAAAGGATTGTCCTTTCCCCAGTGTATGCTCTTGGCTCCTTTGTTGAAAACAAGTTGACTGTAGATGTATAGATTTATTTCTGGGCTCTCGATTCTGTTCCATTTGTCTTTATCTCTGTTTTTATGCCAGTAGCTTGCTGTTTTGGTGACTATATCTCTGTAATATAATTTGAAGTCAGCTAATGTGATTCCTCCAGTTTTGCTTTTTTTTTTTTTTTTTTTTTTTGCTCAGGATGGCTTTGGTTTTTCTGGATCTTTTGTGATTCTATGTAAATTTTAGGATTTTTTTTCTATTTGAAGAATGTCATTGGTGTTTTGATAGGGATTTTGCGTTGAATCTGTATCTTGCTTTGGATAGTATGGACATTTTAATAATATTGATTATTTAAATTCATGAACATAGAATATTGTTTCATTTTTTGTGGCCTCTTCTTTTAATTGTTTAAGCTTTCCCCTATCTCAGGGACTTTCTACATGCTATTCTTACTGCCAGAAAGGCTGTTCTTATAGCTCTTGAGCTAGTTAGCTCTTTAGGTCTTGGCTTAATATAATCTCTATCCCTGAATATGTATATAAAATAATTTTCCCTTTATTACTATCTCCTCTAGCACCTTTTTGTTATTGTTGTTTTTCCTAACAATATGTATCATGATTTTTAATTATATATCTATTTACTTATTTATTTATTAAATACTTGTGTCTTCTACTGTATGTAAGCTGCATGAGGCCATGTTTGTTGAGCTCAGTACTGTAGTATCAGGGCTTAGCACAGTGCCTGAACATGGAGTATGTTTATAGCTGTTTTAATGCCTTTGTAACTTCATCATATCTTTTACTTCCTGGCAGAAAAAAACCAGGCAGATTTTTTCCTGGTTATGAATCACATTTTCCTACTTCTTCATATGTCTTATAATTTTTTTATTGAATGACAAACATTGTACATTTTATTTTGTTGAATACTGGACTTTTTGTACTCTTTAAAGAATGTCAGATGTTATTCTGGCAAGTGGTTAAGTTTCTTGCAGATTAGTTTGAACCTTTGGAGTATTCTTTCAAATCTCCTTTAGGGTGATTCTGAGTTTACTCTAGGTAGAATTTTGTCAACTTCAACAGTATTTACAGTTTGACCAGGTAATTCTTTGTTTTGAGGGTCTGTGTGTCCATTGTAGATTGTTTAACAGCATCTCTGGCTTCTGCACATTAGCTGCTAGTAGTAACTCTCCAGCTGTGACAGCCAAAAATATGGGCAAACATTGTCAAACCTCCATCCAGTTGAGAACCACTGCTCTAGGGTTCAATTAACCTCATTACTAAGGCATGATAGTCCTCTGGGTTTCCTACTGAATCCTTGTATATTCAGTGAGGTCTCTTCACAATGAATTGTAGGAACCCTAATGAGTCCTGGTATTGTGTGAATCTAAGGGTTACTCATCTTCTTGCTCCTCAGTTAGTGCTCTTTCCTCAAAAGTTTCTCTGTATGGCCTCATGAGGTTTTACACTATGTAAGCCTGAGGTAGTACCCAGTCAAACTCAAAATAATACTCTATTTTTTTCTGGAATGCCTTCTCTGTGTAGCTTTCTCTTTGGGTGCTCTTCACTGAAAATTCTAGTATTTTTTTTTTACCTCCTCAAATTCTGATATCTGCCTTATCAACTCAGCAAGACTACCAGGCTCTGCTTCAGTTCTCTACCCTTGTACTGCAATTTGGAAATTGCCTCTGGGCAGAAAGATAGACTATTCCTCATTTGTTTCCCTTCTCCCAGAGATTACAGTTCTGAACTGACTTTCGTCTAATATCTGAAAATACTTGTGTCCTATATTCTTTTCCAGTTTTCTAGTTGTTTATTGCAGGAAGGTAATTCTGAATTTTGTCACTTCCTCATCCTGACTGGCATATACAAGTTTTAAATGAGTGACTGAATGAATGAGTAAAAGAATGATCCAAGGAGAAGTACATTATGATGGATGAGAGGGATTGAAAATATCTGCACCTTGGGGTGTGACTAAGGCCAGCAGATGCAGGCAGGGAATCCTAGGCAAGAACTGAATGCCTGTGGTGAGATGTCTTTAAGCAAAAGCGTCTATTCCTCTTAGAGGAAGTGGGAGCCCATGATAGGCTTGACTATGGCTTTGAGTGGTGGAAGAAGCTTCTGGATTGGACTGACCTTAAGGGGTCTGCACTCTGGTCTTAGCTTTGCCACAGACCAACTCTTTGTGTACAAATTAGCTCCCCTTTGTAGGCCCCAGTTTCCACAAATGGCTTGCTTCAGAATAAGGGAACCAACACAAATGTCTGTGGGCACCAGGTGGCCTAAATCAGTAAAGGTGTGTATGTGCAGACTACAGTGAGCCAGGGAATACATGCTTCCCTAAAGCGGTGGCTGTTGGGGGAACTTTGGGATCTTGAGTTGTCACATATCATAATTTTCAAGAGAAGACCAAAATTTAGATTTTTGTACTAAGTTTTCTGATTTTAAATGATTGACAACTAATACAACTTGGGGCTAAGCTCATCACATCTTTGGGCAAAATTTAGTCTCAAGGCTACCAGGTGTAGCCAGTTATTCTTTTCCACAATGTCCACCTCTTTTATTAAAAGTACTCAGTGTATGATGATATTTCTTTTAGACCTTTTTTGTTTGTTTTTAATATGTGTCTCCTTCTCTTGACTATGAGGTCTATGGGAATGGAACCATGCTTCTTTCATTAACTTCTATATCTCTGATGCTTGGTGTGTACTACACCCTTGAAATGCAATTCTAATGCTAAATACCTGAAATTAGCACAGACTTCCCAGTTAAGGGCATCTCTAACAAGACTGCTTTCACTTCAACATCAGCCACAATTTGGGGGTTCCCTGGCCACCATGTTTCTCAACAACTGGTTACAAATTTGGGGATTCCTACTACTTCCTCATGTTTGATAATTTGCTAGAATGACTAACAGAATTCAGGAAAGTGCTACACTTACAATTATAGTTTTACTATAAAGGATACAAATCAGGACCATCTAAAAGAAGAGACCATAGGGCAAGATCTGGAAGAATCCCAGACATGGAGTTTGCATGTCATCTCCCTGTCAAATCCAAATGTGTTACCATCACAACCTGTTGACGTGTTTAGCAACCAGGAACACTTACCTAAGCGTTGGTGTCTAGAGTTTCCATTGGAGTTTCATTACACAAGCATGACTGAATCATTGGCTATGGGGTTGAACTCAATCCTAGACCTTGTCTCCTCCGTGGAGGTTGGGCTGATATCATGTGGGTCAAAGCTCCAAGTTGCCAATCACATGGTTGGTCTTTCTGGTATAGTCAGTCCCTTTCCTGAAACTATCTAGGGGCCTACCACATGTCACCTTGTTACACAAACTCAGGGGCAGTTCCAAGAGCCCACCACAAATAACAAATACACTCCATCACTCAAGGAATTGCAAGGGTTTAGAAGCTCCCTCCCAGATACCCAGGACAAAGACCAGACAAACTATTATACAATAGCCCTCAATAAATATTGAATAATTATGAATATAAATATTGAGTGAATAAACAAATGGGATACAGTGGAACTCCTGCGATTTTTTTTCTTGCTCTGACATGATGATGCACTGGATGATAATAATAACAACTACAACAATAATAGCTAACCTTTATGTTCTAATGCCTTGGTAGCCATTAGGACTGTTAAAATATGTGGTAGTTTTTCTACCCTTTCTGGGACATGATAGGATTCTATTTCTCTACCTCTCTCTGAAAGTAGGCATAGCTATTTGACTTGCTTTGATCAACAAAATGTTAGTAAGTGAAACTGGTAGAGGACACTTCTGGGTGGGATCTTTGAAAACCGTCTGACTTTTGCCATATTCTTTTCTCATCATCTAAGCATGTATTGAGAAGCTAATGATCCAATTGGGACATATAGGATAAAAAGGAAATAGACTTTTGCTGGGTGAAATCATTGAGATTTGGGGGTTTATTACTACAGCATAACAGAATACATTTTAGCTAGCATAAATGCTGTACATCCATTATTAAATTATTGTAATAATTTAATGCTTCCTAGAATCTGTGAGATATTCAGTATTAGCAGTCTCATTGTTATAGGTGAGAAAACTGAAGCATAAAGGAATTATGTGACCTGTCCAAATTCACATCATTGGTAAGAGGCAGGGCTAAGCCAAGGACTCAAGTCCAAGGAGTTGTCTCCAAATCTAAGTGCTAAAGAGTACAAATCAACAAGGGTGAGGCAATGGGAGAAAGGTACCTAAAATTTGGTGGTGACAGTGGGTGGTACCTGAGGAGCAGCACTGTGTGGGATGATTTTTTACACTCTGCTGCTGTGTTTGGTTTAAGCTGCTTTGTCCTTTCAGTTACAGGCTTAGAGGAGGAGAGAGTCTAGAAGTGTCTCTGGATGTGCTTTTGACATTTTGTATTTCACGCCCATGAAATAGTGGAGATTCTTAATTGTTGGTTGCTTTTTCAGAACAAATACGGAAGTTATATTCAAAAGGATTTCTTCATGCCACATGGAAAGTCTTTGATGCTGCCTTGGCATTTGAGGAAATAAACATCCAAGCGAATAAATAGCTGTTGCATGTGATTGGGCGGAATTTAAATGGCAGCAAGGAAGGACCGAGGTTAGGGACAAAGGAATAGCTATTTGGGTTTCTCCTGGCCCTTGTAATCCTTTGAATACTTAATTGGGTTTTCTTTCAAACATCTTTCATTGTCTTCTGCAGTTTAAATGGAAAGGAAACTCATCCTATATATTCATGAATTACAAACAGTCATGCTTTGGTTTCAGTAAGGGGGCCTGGAGAAGGACTGAGGAGGTTATCTCGGGAGGCTGTGAGAGACAGAAAATGTAAACAGGTTGTCCCAGCAGCTTGCCTGTCTCTCAGGCCTCAGGGACATCCCTTCTCTGGGCCCTCCCGACTCTAAGGTCTGTACCACTCATCCTACACCAAACATGTACTGGCTGCTTGTGCTTGCTGGTTTCTCAGTCCTATATCTCTCTCCAAGACTACTCTGCAGGCTCAGAAGGACATGATCTATATTTGACACTTTGACACAATCTCTGATGCACAGCCATGTACATAGAAAATAGTAGTTATTTATTAATTGTGATTGACCAGGAAATGAGGATCTATTGGGAAGAAGGTTTGGAAATACTTTATGCAGCTCTGTGATCTATTCTGAGAGATTTTTCTGTAGGAAAGGATTGTTAGCTGTCAATACTCCAAAAGAAAAGCCTGTTGATTTAGCAAAGCTAAGTTTATTAGACTTTCTACAATTAAGGAGAACACTACCTTGACAGTGTTAGTAATAGCTCAGAAGGGGATAGTCAGGGAGGATATTTAGTGGGTTTAGGACCTGGGCTGGAGAATTTTAAGGTGAGTCTTTCGAGGCAGAAAACTATTGGAATCAGGCAGAGTTTATGACATAATATTTTATGTAATATAGAAGTGAGGGTTTTGGGGTGTGTATATTGGTGAGGCAGCTATTGGTGTCCGAAAGTAAACTGTTTCATTATTTTATGGTCTTATCTTCTAAGTGCAAGTATTTCCTGGATCAGGTAGTTAATTTATTTATTTTTGTCCGATTTCAGTACTGTTTAGCCCTGAGGTTTTGCTTGTATATAAATACTCCTCAATTAAGTTGATAAGAAAATAGAAGGAATGTTTTGTCCCATAATTGTTTAGCACAAGGACAGAGAGGTTTGTTGGTTTCAGTTCTCAGGATAGACAAAGAACCTGGCAGGTCTTTTGGAGACTATATTTATGACTCCAGCCATTAGCAAATATCTTTTCTCGAAACCTCCTCACACTTAGGATCTGTATTATTCTGTACTAATTATGAAAGTCTGACATGAATTATTCTGAATTATTTAAATCTGCTGGGGTTAAACTAACATGAATTATTCTGAATTATTTAAATCTGCTGGGGTTAAACTAAGGTGATAATAGAATCCTCTGACAGAGAAGACTTAGTTTTTCTGCTTTTTAAAGTCACTAAAGTTTTCACAACCTAAATGAATCAAGTATCTTTCAATGGGTGAAGTGGTCTGATAATTTTGTTTCAGGTCAATCAGAAATAATTTATTTTTTTGAGACCAAGTCTCTCTCTGTCACCCAGGAGGCTGGAGTGCAGTGGCAGCTGGCTAATTTAAAAATTTTTTTTGTTGTTGAGATGGCCTGTGTTGCCCAGGCTGGTCAGTAGTCTTTAGCCTCAAGCAGTCCTCCCATCTTAGCCTCCTAAAGTGTTGAGATTACAGGCATGAGCCACTGTGCCCAGCCCAATCAGAAATAATTTGATGTTTGCATTTGCTGTAGTCCTCTTAAAAAGGAGTTGACCCTGCAATGGTCTATAAATATTTTTACCAAAATGGGGATGCATTCCCAAAAAAATTAGTAAATGTTATTGCTCTCTACTCTTGAGTAAAACATTCTCTGCTTCCTACATGCAGAGAAGCAAAGTCCCCTTTTTAGAGAGTACAGTCAGTGAGTGTAATGAATTATTTTGCTTAGTTGAAGCATTGGCTATTGCATTCTAGCCCAAAGATGACATGGAAGACAGAGTTAAAAAAAAGTTGTTTGTTAAATGTTAATAATTGCATGCACCAGTGATTTGTGAAATACAGGCAAAGTAGAACTAAACAATAAGGAAACATACCTGTGCCCTTAGAAAAATAAATTGTACACTCAGCATCTGGAACGTAAATGACATGTTTTCCTCCTTAGATGCAAATAACAGTTAATGGTGACAAGGGCGTAGCAATCTTAATGTGATTTCCCCTCTGGAAATATGTCTTGAAAATAATGAAGCTATTTTCAGTTCAAAAGATGAGTTTAAAAAGATTAAGTTAAAGGGCTATCAAAAACAAAGCAAAAAAGAACAGAACAAAACAAAACAACTTCAGAGATAATTAGTTTATTTATTTGTTTTTGAAAAAGCAGCCCCTTGTTCCCTATTAGTTCTCAAGTTTTCTTAGGAATGTCATTGTCTCTGCATAATAAATAAAATAATAACCATCACTATGATGTCATTTGTTGAGTAACTACAATGTGATAGCCATAGTGCTAGATGCTTCATTGTATTACCTCAATCAACCCTCCCAACAATTCAATGAGATAGGTATTCTCTCATTTTATAGATGGTAAATTTGAAGCTCAGAGAGATAATATTATCTGCATCTCACATTCTTGCTCTTAAAGACTCGTGAGTCATTGAATGTTAGATGCAGAATGAAACTTAGAAATCATCAATTTCAGCCCCTGGCTTGTTAGATAAGAAAACTGAGACAGAGAAAGGAAGTGATTTGAAGTAGAAGCTTACTGTGGGTTGCACATTGTGGAGGACATTGCAGTTGGCTCTTCACATCCATTCCAAGCCAACACTGGTAATTCCTTCACCTTTGCCCATTATTAATACAGGAATGGACAGTTGATTATGGCCAGTAAGTGTGAGGGGATTGTGTGTTAGAGGTCTTCCTGGAGCAATTCCATAATTTCACTGATCCTTAACAAGTTACAAGGAAAGAAGACAGCCATCTTCCTGTTAATCCAAAGAGGATGCCAACCTGAAGAATGACAGAGTGGAGAGAGAAAAAGCATCTGCATTCTTGATGACATCGCTGGACCTCTAATTTAATTAACTTTGAAGCTCATCAGACCTCTGGACTGTATAGTTATATTAAAGGTCAATAAGACTACATAGTTATGATTAGCTATAATACAAAGTTACATGGTTATAATAAGTATATAGTTATATATAGTTATAACAAATTTCCTCATTATGTAATTCAGTTTAAATTGGGGTTTCCGCTTGCTGTGAAAAGGATAAAAAATTTATTTAAGTTGAATTTATCTGTCTCCTCTCTCTCTCTATGTGTGTGTGTATATACATGCACATTTAATGTAATGAACTCAATGAGGAGAAAAGCAAATTATATGCAAGTATGTAACAAAAATATAAAACTGAGAACATGATATATAGATAAAGAATAAAATATATGTAAACTCAGAGAGCAATGAGTAGAGTAGATACAGTTGAAAATACATGCTATCTAGATTGGGGGAGACGGTTTATTGAAGACGAATTTTGAACAGAATCATGAAAATGGGAATGGATCAGTATCAATAGAGTTTTAAAATAAAAAGCTAAGCTTCTAGGGCCATGATATTTTATTTTCATTTCCTGACAGAGAAACACACCCGGGTTGTGGCATAATAATTTTTATAACTTGACTAGACTAAATGAATAACATAAGTATGGATACTTGTGTATCTGCAATCAAGACATTTTTGAGATACTTAGCCTTGGCCCACTCATTTATATTTGGAAGTTTGAGAAATGTAGAGAAAATATATTCATTTGCTTTTTCCTCCTTCCCAAAATATGGTCACTTCACAACAAAATAAAGCCTTTGTTTGAGTTTTGTCTGAAAAATTGAACTTATTTCTCAAATATTTGCCACCCTTTCACCTTCTTCCCAAGAGGTCAGAAGTTTCCAGAGAGAGCAAATATCCTTACTTCCACCTGGTTGAAAGTCCAAGAGCAAATGTGGTCCGGGCCCTGGGTTTACTCTTTGGTGGGCCACTTGGCTATGTTCTCTTGCAGAGCTCAGTCTGGCTTTTCATTTCACCATGGCCTTGGGAACAAAGGGGATTTTGGTAGACTGTATCACTGTGCAAAAACATCCAGTGCCTCTGTCTCAGGGAGAAGGATACATTCCCACTCGGTTGTAATCAGGCATGCCATGAGATTTGCTCTGGCCGGTGGCATGTGAGAGGACGTGATGTGTGTCACTTCTGGGCAGAAGCTTTAAGAACAGTGTGTGAGTTGCCACGTTCCCATTATCCTGCCTCTATGATAGTAGAAATGGGAGTTGGGGGTTACTAAGTAATTGCAATGAGCAAAGCCCTGGACAACCTGCATTGTACATGTTCTATGTGTGAAAAATTAACTCCATTATTTAAAGCCAGGAAGATTTGACATTGTTTGTTATCACACCATAATCTAGCAAATCCTGACTGATACAGTGACAAGCAAGGATGTGGAGTTATGGATCATGGCAATTATCCCTCACTAGAAATAATTAAATTACAGATGGCACATTCTCTAGAGAGGGTCAATTTTTTAGATCCTGTTTTAAATTTTGTAAAGAAAGATAAAAGAGAAGGTGTACAAATATTAGAGGCCTGAGAAAAAACTAAAAAATGCATAGAATTTTTTCAGTCATGTCAAGTTATAGTTTATGTACATCTTGGTGCATGGGTTTTGAAATTTCAACATGAATGATTATTGTTCTCTTGTTGACTGTCTTATTAAAGTTTTGGCTAGTATTATAGTGCTTATTATTTGCAAAGCTAATTAATACACATTGTTTATTAAAGTGTTACAGCAATCCAAAACTTGCAGTAGTTAAAAGGTGTGTGTGTGTGGGTATTTACAGTTGTCTGCTTCCCTCTCATCCTGCTCCCCATCTCTCAATCTCCCCCCAGCTCCCATCTATGGAGGAAAGAGTCTTTGCTGCTTAGATGGCTATGTGCCTTCTGTTGTGTTCAGGGAGAATACTGGGAAGGAGAGGGTGGAATTTGAAAGCAGGTCAAATTACTTAAGTAGAAAAGGATGAGTCTGGGAGGGGTAGCCTGGGAAGATGAGAAAATCCGTCAGGTATGTGGGGAGTGGGGTGAGAAAGAGGAAAGCGAAAAGGAAGGGAAGCCAGGATGCTGTGATGAGGAGCACTGGGAGAGATGAATAACAATTACTTTTTGGAAGGTCTGCTGTGTTGTGCTTCTCAAGAGACATTTCAAAATTCAGTTTTCTAGTCCAAAAAGAATATTCTGTTGGTATTTTTATTCTTCTCACATTACATATATAGATTACTTTTGGGAGAATTGACAGCCTTCCCATGCAAGGATGGAATATGCGTATTAATTTCTTCAACTTTTCTTTTCCATATTTACCTCAGTTTAAGTTTTCTTCATACACCTTGTATATCTTGTTAATTTGAATCAATTCTATTTAAATTTAGTTCTAGATATTTTATATTTTTGTTTCTCTTGTCAAGGGTATCTTTTCGTCTATGACATTTTCTAACAGCTTACCATTTTTTTTGTAGGAATACTTTCTATTTTTTGTTTTATTATTATACACCCAACTGCCTTACCTGTTTTTCATTGTTTGAAATTTTAGTTGATTCTCTTAGGTGTTACAGGTATACAATCATATTAACTGTAGGTAGTGGTAATGTTATTTCCTCCTTCCTGTTTTTTTGTACTTTTAATTTTATTCTCCTACATAATTGCATTGGCTAGTACTTCCATAACAATGTTAAAATAATATGGTGTCAGTGGATGTCGCTGACTTCTTCCTGACTTTACTGATGATATTTGCAGTGTTTCTGTGATGCTGCTGTTTGGGTTGAGATGCATGCTTGTACAGAGCCATGCTTCTCTCTGTCTCTATGGATAAAAAAGTATTTGTCTATTTCTATCAAAATGAGTGTAACCAACCTGTCCCTTTTGCCTGGGCCTTTCCCAGTTTTGGCATTGAAAGTCTTGTTCCTGGGAAACTTCTCAGTCCCAAACAAATTGGGAAAATTGGTGACTTGCACTAAAATCAAGAATGGATATGAATTTTATCTGATCATTTTTCAGCACCTCTGTAGATACCTTATAATGTTTCCATTTGTGTGATTGAATGATTAGTTATATTCATATGTTCTATAATATCGAGCCATATTTTTTCTCTTGGCATACACTCCAATTAATCATGTTATGTTAGGTATCTAGCTAACTGGTTGCTGGACTCTACTTGCTAGCATTTTTAAGTTATGTATTTTTTGTCAACATTCGCAAGTGAGATCAGTCTGTAGTTTTCTTTTTTGTCTGCTATCTTTGTTGGATTTGGGTATCAGTGTTGTGGTGACTTCATAAAAATAATTTTGAATCTTTCTTTTTCTCTGTTCTGCAACAATTTTAAATAGCATCAGCTTTGCTATTCCTTATAGTTTTGGTAGGTTTTCCCTGTGAAACCATCTGGACTTGGTGTTTTTGTGATAAGTAGCTATTTGACAATTTTTTTTTCTAGTTTTTTTTTTACTTGACAGTAATTGGCTTATTTAAATTGCCTGTATCTTGGGGTTCAATTTTGGTAATTTATGTCTTCTTGGACAATTCTACATTCAGGTTTTCCAAATCACTGGAATATAAGTGATAAAAATAGTCTCTCTTATGCTTCTTTTAATATATTCTATATTTGCACATTTTCACATTTTCATTTTTAATTTTTCATGCTTCACACCTTTAGTCCTTACTTTAGCTTAGGATTTTCTATTTTATTAGATGTATTTTTCCCTGTCAAAGAACATATGTCTGTCTGTCTTCTCTTTCTCTTATCTATATCTCTTTTTATGTAGTTTTACTGTTTTTTGTATTTTATAATAAATTGATTTCTGGCTTTATTTATTATTTTCTTCTGCTTTAATAGCCTTATTTTTTGTTCTTTTTATAACTCCTTGAGAATGTATGTGTAATTCATCTCTCTTCATCTTATTTATAATGTATGCTTAAGATTATGAATTTTTCTCTGAGAACTCTTTAGCTGTAGCCCATAGATTCTGACATGGTGTTTTAAAGCCTATGTCATTCATTTTTAGTCCAATTGCATTGTAATCAGAGAATTATGTGTATTACCCACATGATTTCCACTTGTGGATATTTGGCCCATCACCTCTGTGATTCTGTAGAATCCAGGGAAGTCCCCCTGCCAACTCACAAAACCCATCTGGATCCAAAGATAGAATTGTTAAATTCACCCCTCAGGGTTTATCACTTATTTTGTGCTTTTCCCATCTTCCAGAACTCTGTCTAATTTTCTCTGCATTTGGCAACTCTTCCTCATGTATTGTGGCTCAGCTTTACAGATGTCCCTAGTTCTGTCAAAAATGGAGTTTGTGTCCTGTGTCCTGTCTCTCCTTCTCCTTGTTGTTTTGAGGCATTTCCAAAAGAAAAGGGTACCAGAAACTTCTTTACTCTGCCATCTTATAACTAGCAGTCTGGGGCATGATGTAATTCTAGATTGTCCTGCAATCTAGATTTTGGGAAGCCAACTATTCTACACTCATGCCTCCTGGCATTTCATCAAACCAATACTTGGGTGTTTCTGCCAAGCCTGGTCAGAAGGACTCTTTCAGTGTGTGTTCATTTCTAGCATGCTCAAATCAGATTCAATTATCTCAGTTGCTTCTTCCCAACTGGTTGTTCTCCATTCCTCTCCTTACGTTTCTCCTCAGTCCTTTTTCTGTCTCACTTGTTACTGGACCAACCCATGTTCCTAGCATCATGATTTTGAGTTTTTCTCATTTCAGCTACAAATGTTCTTTGTAGCTGATCTGCTTCTGCAAAATTGTAACTGCTCTTTCAGTAAAAGGATCGTTTCTTTCTTTTAAATTTCAAATCATCTGGTGTCTAGTAAGTAAGTTCAGTTCATGACCATGGTAAAGAGACCATGATCTTGCTGGAAAATATCCTTCTGGAAACTCTCCCTTTGGTGCATCTAACAGCCTCTGTGCTCACCCCCTTCCTATCTCCTCACCGTTGTGACTTCTCTGTCTACCCCTTGCATATCGATGCTCTATAGGTCTCTGTCTTCAGCTCTTTCCTTTGGCTCTGCGTTCTTCCTGGTAGTCCCATCCTTGTCCTTGGCACAACTGAGCACCTGAGTTGTGAGGATGCCCACATCTGTGATTCTCTGCTCACACCTCAGTTGGTACTCAGCCAGGCCAGGCCCCTGCTCCCCTGCTTTCCTATGGATTGGCTCTGCAGTTGCTAAGTATGGACCTGGATAAAACTACTGGTGTGGGAGGGGCACCACTTGCCATGTAGTCACCCAAGACTGAAACCTTCATTGCCACCTTTCCTCTTATCCCGCATGTCATCAGTCACAAATTCCATAAACTCTGCCTTTCAAACTCCTCTCCATTCTTTTCCCTCCTCCCTGCTTCTATCACTATCGAATCCAGACCAAATTCATCATTCTTTCCCTGGATACTTAACCCTTGAATTCCTCCTCCTGCCTACAGTCTTTGCCTGCCTCCTAACTCCATCTTCCACCCAATGTCAGAATTATCTTTCAGAAATGGTCTCATGCCCCCACTGCCACCCCCTCCTCAGTAGACCAAAGACCAGCCAGGCTGAGGGATACCGTGCCCAGCTCCCATTGTTAGCCAATAACCAAGACATCTCTGCCTTGACTAAACTCCTGGAAATGAGACACAGCTCCAGGGAGAAGAGAGGGGAACAAACCCCAGGTTGTGTATGTTTCTGTCACTGGGGCAGAATAAAGGCTAGAAATAGAATAGACTTGAGTTACAAAACAATAAATCATAATTCAAATACACTTGAGATGTGAACGGCTGTACTAATTGTGTTTATATCTTTGTCTTTACTAGATAGGGAGCCCTGGGGTTCCTGTCTAATTCCTGTACATGACTTTTGGGCCTAGGACACAGTGGGTGCTTTAATATGCACTTGTAGAATTGCTGATGTGCATCTAATACCTCACTGCCCAAGTGCTCCTAATCTGAGTCCATAAGAGAATCCTTGAGAAACTTGTTCTTCTCTTTCAGAGAGGGATAATTAAGTTAGAGCTAATATAGGCAGCTAGGAAAAGGGGCTTGCAAGGGGGGGAAGTAGGGAAAAAAGAGAGAGAGAGAGCACACCAGTGAGCCCTGGGCTTCTCTGAGGATAAGAATTACAGATTATTATTCAAATACCTAGACAGGAGCACAAACTGGACACTTTTCAGTGGATTGGCTCTGGAGTTGGCTGGGATAAACCTGGATATAAAGCTGAGGACTCATGCAAACTGTTTATTTCTCCTCATTGTGTGGGAAGGAAATTATCCTTGGCTGAGCATGTAACTGTGAACTGGAGCATGCATCCCTGGCTAATACTAATTTAATGGGGTGGGCCTGAGATGGCCTTGCCAGCTACCAGTGAGTTGCCCTTTGGCTCTGGCAGCCACTCTCCTGCCTAGTCAAGCCAGTGGCAGCCTGGGGATCCCAGCTTTCCTCCGGACCTCACACACTGCTGCTCCCTGCAGGTCATGAGCAGGGAGGTGGAGGACAGCTATGACTCCTGTTCATTCACTGAGAACTTTCCTCGGTGGCTTCTGGGCTTCCTGGGGAGACAGAGCTTTTTGCTTATAATCCAGAGATGAATGAGGAAAGGTGTCTTGCTTTCCATATTCTATTTTTTTTTTTTTTGGTCTTTATAAGATGGCCAATTTGTTTAAAAGCTGTCACCTCCCCAAACCTTAAAGTGGCATCACTTGCATTTTCAATTGCTTGCTTTTCAATAGGCCTTTTATTTACTACATAGAAGATTTGCAACGTATATAGAATGCTTTTCTTTTTGAGATATGGTCTCGCTCTGTCACCCAGGCTGGAGTGCAGTGGCATGATCTCTGCTCACTGCAACCTCCGCCTCCTGGGTTCAAGTGATTCTCCTGCCCCAGCCTCCTGAGTAGTTGGGACTACAGGCACGTGTCACCACGCCCGGCTAATCTTTGGATTTTTAGTAGAGATGGGGTTTCACCATGTTGGTCAGGCTGGTCTCGACCTCCTGACCTCATGATCCACCCACCTTGGCCTCCCAAAGTGCTGGGATTACAGGTGTGAGCCACCACGCCCGGCTAGAAAGCATTTTTGAAATAGCAGGTTCCAGGCTGTCAGCAATGACCATAAACTTGCATTTCACTGAAGTAAGTTGCCAGAACTCTTCCCCCATGACATACAGTTTAACCAGCAAGTTACCTAATGACTCAATGAAAACATAAGCATGCGGCAGGCAAAGTTACACAGATAACTGAGGAAATGTGATAATTACCATGCTGTGGACGTTCTTGCCATTTTTCATACACCACGACGTGAATCAGAATACCCAGCCTCTCTCCTCTTGTAGGAGACACCCCTGCTGTCCTGCTCAGGCCCGCTTTACCAGACTGGTTGTTCAGGATTGGCAGCCGATGGCTGACAGCTGCTTCTTGTTCAGGAGAATTGCCATCAAAAGGAGCCACCTCAACTTGGAGGTTATGCTTCCCCCATCCATCGTGCATCCCATGGTGACTGACACAGAGGTACAACAGAGCAGCCCCCTAGCCTTAGCAGGGACTAACTCCAATGTGCACTTCTTGCTCCAGAGCTCCCCATGGGGTCAGGCTGAAGCAGGCTCCAGCTGAGACCCCAGTCTTGCCTAGCTCCTTCCTGTACCTCATTCTGCTTTCTCATTCCCTTTCTTCTGAGAGCTCCTTCTCCATAAACCATGCACAGCCAAACCTCTGTCTCAGACTCTGTCTTTCGGAAACCTAACCCAAGACACCACTCACATACTACCAACAAGCAATTGTTTGCTTCCCACAAGACGAGAAACAGTGCCCCAAAGATTAAAGTGGAAGCGTAAATTTACCAAAAAGGAAGGAACAAAAGAAATAATGATGAGTTGGGGCAACACTTCATTTTTCTCTCCTCCTTTTTCCATTCGATTTATTTCAATTCCGATGTATTTGTTTTGGAGCAACCAGTCCCTCACTGTTGGACACGTTGGTTATTTTCAATCTTTGGCCATTACAAATAATGCTGCAGCAAATACTCTCAAACATAAACCTTCAATTGCATCTCAACTCTGATTTTTTTTTTTTTTGGCTAAATTTGAACAAGGGATATCACCAAGACATGAAAGATATAGGTTGTTTCTGAACTCTTGATACACATCAAGTTTTTTCAGAAAGTGGGAGGTAACAACCCACTCTTTTATTTGTCTCTTATGAAGATAGCCCATTTCACAGTTCTGCTTTCACTGAGTGTTACTTTTTAGAAGCGTTTGCCATTTTTAGAGGAAGATGGTTTCTAGTTTTAATATGGTTTTCTTTAATTACTTATGAATAATTTTTCTTATGGTTATCAGAACTTTAATTACTTTTCATGTCAATTATCTGTACATGGCATTACTCATTGTTCTGAAGAACCCTTTTTCTTCTATTTGTCCTTAATGGTAATAGCTCCATTTACTACACTCTTGTAATGTACTGGGCCTGGATTTAAGTGCTTTACATATATTGCTTTATATAATTTTTATAATGTAATTATAAAAATAATAAAATATAATCATTATTTTATGTAATTTTCTTGTATTTTATGTAATTGTCATCTGATCACTACTGGTTCATATGGCTCCTTAATACAAATGAGAAAATGTTGTCTACTACCTCAGGTAGGAAACTGCAGTTCTGCTTCAAGGCTTGGTGAGTGGAAAGTGAGTTGAATTTCAGCTTCTCCTTGCTGTGCTCCTTTGTGTAGTGTACAACCTGTGCACCTATAGAGGATGTTCTTGATTCTCATAATAATCCTTTAAAATGGGTATTATTTTCTCCATTGTGAGATGCAGAAATTGAGGCTCAGGCAGTTTTTATTTTGATTTATTTTTAAATGTGTTATTTTAATTTTTGTGGGTATATAGTAGCTGTATATATTTAGAGGGTACATGAGATGTTTCGATATAGGCATGCAGTACATAATAATCGTGCATAATGGGGTATCATGCCCTCGAGTATTTATCCTTTGTGTTACAAACAATCCAACTATACTATTTAGTTGTTTTTAAATGTACAAATGAAGTGTTATTGACTGTAGTGATGCTATTGTACTGTAAAATCTAGGTCTTATTCATTCTATTTTTTTGGACCCATTAACCATCCCCACCTTCCCACCCTTCCGCCTTGCCAGCCTCTGGTAACCATCATTCTACTCTCTATCTCTGTAAGTTTAATTGTTTTCATTTTTAGATCCCACGAATAGGTGAGAACATGTGATGTTTGTCTCCCTGTGCCTGGTTTATTTCGTTTAGCATAATGACCTCCAGTTCCACCCATGTGGTTGTAAATGACAGGATCTCATTCTTTCTTATGGCTGAATAGTACTCCCTTGTTTATAAATACCACATTTTCTTTATCCATTCATCTGTTGAGAGACACTTAAGTTGCTTCCAAATTTTGGCTCTTGTGAACAGTGCTGTAACGAACAAGGGAGTGCAGATATCTCTTTGATACACTATTTTTCTTTCTTTAAGTTACATACCCAGCAGTAAGATTGCTGGATGATATGGTAGCTCTATTTTTAGTTTTTTGAGTAACCTCCAAACTGTTCTTCATAGTGATTGTACCAATTTACATTCTCACCAACAGTGTACAAGGGTTCTCTTTTCTTCACATCCTCTCCAACATTTCTTATTGCCTGTCTTTTGGATGTAAGCCATTTTAACTGGAGTGAGATGATATCTCATTGTAGTTTTGATTTGCATTTCTTTGATAATCAGTGATGTTGAGTACCTTTTCATATGCCTATTTGCTATTTGTATTTCTTCTTTTGAGAAATGTCTATTCAATTTTTTGCCCATTTTAAAATTGGATTATTCAATTTTTTCATATAGAGTTGTTTGAGCTCCTTATACATTTTGGTTATTATTCCCTTATCAGATGAGTAGTTTGCAAATATTTTCTTGCATTCTGTGGAATGTCTCTTCACTTTGTTGATTGTTTCCTTTCCTGTGCAGAAGCTTTTTAATTTAATGTGATTCCATTTGTCCATTTTTGCTTTGGTTGCCTGTGCTTGTGGGA
This sequence comes from Homo sapiens, assembly GCF_000001405.40. Lineage (NCBI taxonomy): Eukaryota > Metazoa > Chordata > Mammalia > Primates > Hominidae > Homo > Homo sapiens. The sequence goes on along the minus strand of NC_000003.12, from coordinate 31,337,724 downwards.
CATTAATTAAAATTTTTTTGCCCAGAACAATGATTTTTCTTGACATTTCTTGTAGTAGTTTTATAGTTTGGAGGTCTTGATTTAAGGCTTTAATCCATTTTGACTTGATTTTCATATATGGGAGAAATAGGGATCTAGTTTCATTTTTCTGTATATGGATATCCAGTTTCCCAGCACCATTTACTGAAGAGACTATCTTTTTCCCAGTGTGTGTTCTTGGCACCTTTGTTGAAAATGAGTTCACTGTAGCTGTGTGGATTTGCTTCTGGGTTCTCTATTCTGTTCCACTGTTTTATGTGTCTGTTTTTATGTCAGTACCATGCTGTTTTGGTGACTATTGCCTCTGTAGTACAATTTGAAGTCAGGTAAGGTGATTCTTCCAGTTTTGCTCTTTTTACTTAGGATAGCCTTGGCTATCGTGGGTCTTTTGTTGCTTTATATAAATTTTAGGAATTTTTTTCTATTTCTTTGAAGAATGTCATTGGTATTTTGATAGGGATTGCATTGAATCTGTAGATTGCTTTGGACAGTATGGACATTTTAACAATACAGATTCTTCCAATCCATGAACATGGAATATTTTTACATTTTTTTGTGTCCTCTTCAATTTCTTTCATCAGTGTTTTATAGTTTTTATCATGGAAGTGTTTCACTTCTTTGGTTCAGTTAATTCTTAGGTGTTTTTTTTTTTGTTTTTTGTTTTTGAGATGGAGTCTCGCTCTGTCACCCAGGCTGGAGTCCAGTGGCGCAATCTCAGCTCACTGCAAGCTCCGCCTCCTAGGTTCACGCCATTCTCCTGCCTCAGCCTCCCAAGTAGCTGGGACTACAGGTGCCTGATTTCTTAGGTATTCAATTTTATTTGTGGGTATTGTAAACAGGGTTACTGAGTTTTATTTCTTTTTCACATTATTCACTGTTGGCATACAGAAAGGCTACTGGTTTTTGTATGTTGATTTTCTATCCTGCAACTTTATTTATCAGTTCTAATATTTTTGTGTGGGGTCTTCAGATTTTTCCAAATATAAGGCCATATCATCTGCAAACAAGGGTAATTTGACTTCTTTCCAATTTTGATACCATTTCTTTCTTTCTCTTGTCTGGTTGCTCTAGACAGGACTTCCAGTACTATGTTGAATAACAGTGGCAAAAGTGGGTATCCCTTTCGTGTTCCAGATCTTAGAGGAAAGGCTTTCCATTTTTTCCCCATTCAGTATACTAGCTGTGGGTCTGTCATATACGGCTTTTAATACGTTGAGATATGTTCCTTCTATACCCAGTTTTTTCAGGGTTCTTATCATAAAGGAATGTTGGATTTTATCAAATACTTTTTCAGCATCAATCGAAATGATCATATGGTTTCTGTCTTTCATTCTGTTGATACTATGTATCACATTGATTGATTTACATATGTTAAACTATCATTGGATCACAGGGATAAATCCCACTTGGTCATCATAAATGATCTTTGACATGCATTGTTGAATTCAGTTTGCTAGTATTTTGTTGAGGATTTTTGCATCAATATTCATCAGAGATATTGGCCTGTATTTTTTTTTAATGTGTCTTTGTCTGGTTTTGGTATCAGGTAATACTGGCCTCATAGAATGAGTTTGGAAGTATTTCCTCCTCCTCTACTTTTGAAAATAGTTTGAGTATGATTGGTATTAGTTCTTCTTTAAATGTTTGGTAGAATTCAGCAGTGAAGCCATCAGGTCCTGGGAAACTTTTTATTATGGCTTCAATCTCATTACTTGTTGTTGGTCTGTTCAGGTTTTGGAATTCTTCGTGGTTCAATTTTGGTAGGTCCTATGTGTCTAGGGATTTGTCCATTTCCTATAGCTTTTCCAATTTATTGGCAAATCTATAGGGGTTCCTAGTAGCTCCTAATGATCTTTTGAATTCCTGTAGTATCAGTTGTGATGCCTCCATTTTCATTTCAGATTTTATTTATTTGGATCTTCTTTTTTTCTTAGTCTGGCTAAAGGTTTGTCAATTTTGTTTAACTTTTCAAAAACCTACTTTATGTTTCATTGATCTTTTGTATTGTTTTCCTTGTTCCAATTTCATTTATTCCTGCTCTGATCTTTATTATTTCTTCTTTTTACGAACTTTGGGTTTGGTTTGCTCTTGCTTTTCTAGTGTTTAAAGATGCATTGTTAGGTAATTTATTTGAAATTTTTTTGATGTGGGTGCTGATAACTATAAACTTCACTCTTAGTACTGCTTTTGCTGTATTCCATAGGTTTTGGTATTTCATGTTTCCATTATCATTTGTTTCAAGAATATTTTCAATTTCCTTCTTAATTCCTTCATTGACCCACCGGTCATTCAGGAGCATACTGTTTAATTTCCATGTATTTGTATAGTTTCCAAAATTCTTCTTGTTATTGATATCTAGTTTTATTCCATTATGAGAAGATGCTTGATAATATTTCAATGTTTTTGAATGTTTTAAGACTTGTTTTGTGATCTGACATATGGTCCATCCTTGAGAATGATCCATGTGCTGAAAAAAGGAATGTTATTCTGCAATCATTGGATGAAATGTTTTGTAAATGTGTATTAGATTTATTTGGTTTATGGTGCAGATTAAGCGCAGTGTTTCCTTGTTGATTTTCTGTATGGAAGATCTGTCTAATGCTGAAAGTGAGTTGTCAAAATCTCCAGCTATTATTATATCAAGGTCTATCTCTTTCTTTAGCTCAAATAATATTTGCTTTGTATATCTGGTGCTCCAGTGTTGGATACATATATATTTATAATTGTTATATCCTCTTGCTGAATTGATCCCTTTATCATTTTATAGTGACCTTCTTTGTCTCTTCTTATGGTTTTTGTCTTGCAATCTATTTTGTCTGATATAAGTATACTACTCCTGCTCTCTTTTGATTTCTATAGGCCTGGAATGTCTTTTTCTATCCCTTTATTTTCAGTCTATGTGTGTTTTTATAGATGAAGTGTGCCTCTTGTAGGTAACAGATCATTGAGTATTTTTTAAAATCCATTCAGTCACTATATGTCTTTTGATTGGAGAGTTTAGTTCATTTACATTCATTGTTATTATTAAGGACTCACTCTTGTGATTTTGTTATTTGTTTTCTGGTTGTTTTGTAGTTTTTCTTCTTTCTTTCCTTCATGTCTTCCTTTTAGTGAAGGTGATTTTTTTTCTGGTGATATGATTTAGTTTTTTGCTTTTTATTTTTTGTGTATCCATTGTATGTTTTTTGGTTTGAGGTTTCCATAAGGCTTGCAAATACTGTCTTATAACCTATTATTTTAAGCTGATAACAACTTGACACTGCATAAACAAAGAAAGAAACAAGCAAAAATAAAACTAATAAAGACTCTGCCTTAATTGCATCCTCCTGCTTAAGTTTTTGTTTCTATGTATATCTTATTGTACTCTCTGTGTCTTGAAAAGTTGTCATAGATATTATTTTTGATTAGTTCATCATTTAGTCTTTCTACTTAAGATAAAAGTAGTTTACACACCACAATTTCAGTGTTATCATAGTCTGTGTTTTTCTGTGTATTTACTATTACCAGTGAGTTCTGTACCTTCAGATGATTTCTTCTTGCTCATTAATGACCTTTTATTCCTGATTGAAGTACTCCCTTTAGCATTTCTTGTAGGACAGTTCTGGTATTGATGAAATCCCTCAGCTTTTGTTTTTCTGGGAAAGCCTTTATTTCTCCTTCATGTTTGAAGGATATTTTCACTGGATATAGTATTCTAGGGTAAAAGTTATTTTTTCTTCAGCACTTTAAATATAGCATGCCACTGCCTCCTGGTCTGTAAGGTTTCTACTGGAAAGTCTGCTGCCAGATGTATTGAAGCTCTATTTATGTTATTTGTTTATTTTCTCTTGATGTTTTTAGAATCCTTTCTTTATCCTTGACTTTTCTGAGTTTGTTTAGAATGAGTTAAGTGCCTTGAGGTAGTCTTTTTTGAGTTAAATCTGCTTATTGTTCTATAACCTTCTTATACTGGGATGTTGATATCTTTCTCTATGCGAAGTTCTCTATTATTGTTCCTTTGAATAAACTTTCTATCCTTATCTCTTTCTTTACCTCCTTTTTAAGGCTGATAACAGATTTGCCCTTTTGAGGCTGTTTTCTAAATCCTCTAGGTGTGCTTCATTGTTTTTTCTTTTTTCTTTTGCCTCCTTTGACTGTATTTTCAAATAACCTTTCTTCAGGCTCACTAATTCTTTCTTCTGCTTGATCAATTCTGCTATTAAAAGACTCTGATGCATTCTTCAATATGCCAATTGCATTTTTCAGCTCCAGAATTCCTGCTAGATTCTTTTTAATTATTTCAATCTCTTTGTTAAATTTGTGTGATAGAATTCTGAATTCCTTCTCAGTGTTATCTAGAATTTCTTTGAATCTCCTCAAAACAGCTATTTTAAATTCTCTGTCTGAAAGATCACATAACTGCTTCTCCAGGATTGATCCCTGGTGGCTTTTTAGTTCATTTGGCGAGGTCATGTTTTCCTGGATGGTCTTGATACTTGTAGATGTTCATGTGTGTCTGGGCATTGAAGAGTGAGGTATTTATTGTAGTCTTCTCAGTCTGGACTTGTTTGTACCCATCCATTTTGGAAAGGCTTTCCAGATATTTGACAGGGCTTGGGTGTTGTGACCTAAGCTGTATCTACTTTAGGGGGTATCCCAAGCCCATAATACTTTGGTTCTTGCAGACTTGTAGAGGTACTGCCTTGATGGTCCTGGATAAGATCTGGAAGAATTCTCTGGATTACCAGGCAGAGACTCTTGTTCTCTTCCCTTACTTTTTCCCTAACAAACAGAGTCTCTTTGTCTGTTCTGAGTCACCTGGAGCTGGGGGTGGATTGACATAAGCACCCATCTTGCCACCACTCCTAGTTCTATGCTGGGTCAGACCTGAAGCTAGCACAGCACTGGGTCTCTCCCAAGGCCTGCTGTAACCACTCCCTGACTATGGCCTATGTTCGCTCAAGGCCCTGGGGCTCTACAATTAACAGGTGGCAAAGCCAGCCAGGCCTATATCCTTCCTTTCAGGGTAAAGAACTGCCCCAGGCCCTGGCTGTGTCCAGAGATGCCATCTGGGAGCCGAGTACTAGAGTCAAAAACCTTAGAAATCTACTTGGTGTTTTATTGTACTGCAGGTGGACTGGCACTCAAACCACAAGACACAGTCCTTCCTACTCTTCCCTCCAATTTCCAAAGGCAAAGGAGCTTCACCCTATGGCCACCACCACCACAGGCCCATGGGGATTACCACAGATGTTTCTTTAAGGCCCACAGGCTCTTCAATCAGCCTGTGATAGATGCTTCCTGGCTTAGGACTCACCCTTTAGGGCAGTGGGCTCCTCTCTGGTCCAGGGCAAGTCCAGAAATGCCATCCAAGAGCCAAGTTCTGGAATTGGGTACTCCAAGAGCCTAGGCCTGGACTTGGGGACCCTAAGAGCCTTCTTATTGCTTTGCTCCACTGTGACTGAACTGGCATCTAAGGTGCAAGCAAAGTCCCCTTTACTTTTCCCTCTGCCTTTCTCAAGTGGAAGGAGTCTCGCCTCATAGTCACTATAGCTGGGAATGTGTTGAGTCTCCTCTGAAGCAAGCAAGTCTCAGGGTCTCACCTGAGGTCCTCAACATAGTGCCTGGGTATCACTGCTCTTTATTCAGGGCCCAAGGGATCTTCAGTTAGCAGGTGATGAGTCCCGACAGGACTGGGTCCTTTCCTTCTGGCCCAGGATGTATCTAGAAATGTTATCAGGGAGCTAGGGCCTGGGAATGGGGCCTCATGACTCTGAGCAGTGCTCTGTCCTGCTGTGGCTGAGCTGATATAAAAGATTCAAGACAACATCTTCTCTACTCTTCTGTCTCCTCAAGTGAAGGGAAGGGGGCTCTCTTTTGGAGCTGTGAGCTGTACAGCCTGGGGTGGGATGGGGGATGATGCCAGTACTCCCTTAGCTACCTGGGCTGGTATCTCAGTGGGTCATGTTCTCCATCCCCCTCCCCAAGTCCACTGTCTCTGGGACAAATTCAGCACTAGGATTCTCTAGGAGTTGCAGTTCTTGTGGTCTAGACTGCCTTTCAAGTTTATTTGGGGCCCCAGAATCCTTTAGCTCACAGTAGCGAGACACTGGGATTGGTGACTCCCCTCTGGCTAAGGCTGGTTTCAATGCTCCCTTCATGGGTCAGCTGAGTTTGGTCTGTTTCTTTCTTTCTTTTTTTTTTTTCTATTATAATAGGGCAGCACTGAGTTCAACACCTCACAATTGCTGTGCTCTCCCGCTCCCCAGCACAAAGAAATTCTCTTGGCACCATGCCACCACTCCTGGGGAATATAGGGGTGGCAGGTGGTGTCAGTGATTCAAGACTAACTTTATATCACCGAGAGAGGCACTGAAGAGGTTTTTCCTACCTTATCAGTGCCTCTCTCAGTGATAGGAAATTAAAACCAGGTACTGTGAGTGCTGACCTGATTTTTGGTTCTTATGAAGGTACTTTTTTTTGTATAGAGAGTTGCCTGTTAGTGTCCTTGCAGGGGGAATGATCAGTAGACCCTTCTATTTCAGCATCTTGCTCCACTCCCTCAGGCAGCTTTTAATGGACTTGTTCAGGTTATACACCTGTAAGTAAGTGATCCAGGTTTCGAACACAAGCTTGGGTGATTCCAAAGCCAGAAGTAATTGTGGTCCTATGTGGCCTTTATCTACTATGCTTAGCAATCCCCTGACTTAGGCAGAAATGTCTTTTTCTTATTTTGCCTTTTAATTTTTGACGTATGAAAGATTTAAATGTTTATGCAAGCAAATTAAGCAATTACTCTTTTCCTTCATGTTTTAAAAATATTTTTGTTTTTATGCTTAGAAAATGTTGGTAATTTTCATGGTGGATTAGAAAGCCCTTTCTATGACTTGCTATCCCAAATTAGGAGCTGCTTCAGCTGAAAATACTTAACATGACATTTCAAAGCCAATGTAACATTGCTTAGTGTTTCTGCAGGATTCTTTTGGAGAGTTGTACAATTTTTGCCTAAACAGGTGGGCTCACATCTTTCTTAGAAGCCACGTTATCTTGAGTTTACTTGCAGTCTTACTTGCATTCTTGCATAATATGTTATGTTAGAGAATAAAGCAGCCTCCCTTAACAACCTAAATTCAGAATCAGCAATATTTAAAACAGGAAAAAGGAACTATGTGGAGAGAAGAGGGGCTGGATCAGTGTCCTTGAATTCTGACTTATCTTCGAGGATCTCTTTTCCTGCATGCCAGTCGCACTTTCATGATGATTTGGGGAGTGAGCTCTTTTCCAATTCTGGCTCAAGCACATAGCTATCCTATTCTCTGGATTTTTCTAGAGATGGCTCCAAATTTGAAGACATTTTTACTGAATAATTTGAGTAAAACAAAATAGTAATATTCAGGGTATACAAAATATGAAACAGTCCAATGCATGAATTTCAGGCTTTTGATCCTACCAACACTGGCTGTCCTAGCTAGTTCTGTATCTTATTTATGTGTTAGGTCCCACAAAACAGACATTTCCTGCCTTCATGGAATGTACTTTTAAAGAGAAGACATTTACTCATTTATTAAACTAATATTTATTGAGCACTTTCTCTGTGCAAGGCTTTGGGCTAGTAGCTGTATATATGGCTGTAAACAAACAGATATATGGCCTTGACTTCATGATTCTTAGATCCACTGAGAGAAAAATGCATTGAATAAGTAAGCACACAAATAAGTGTGTAATTACAAATTATAATAAAATGTACTTAATACTATAATAGCTTATGAGACGTATATAGTTAGGTAGATTAAAGATGATTGAAAATTGTTTGCTATTCCTGCCATTGAGAGGTGGACTCTAATGCCCTTCCCTTAACCCTGGCTGGCTTCAGCTTGTTACTTGACCAGTGGAATAAAGTGGCAGTGATGTTCTGGGACGTACAAGGCCAGCTCATAAGATGCATTGGAACTTCTATCCAGGCCTCTTAGAACATGCTTCTTCAGAGCTCTGAGCTAGCAGAGAAGATGTCTGATTACTGAGTCCTCCATGTGTAGGCATTCTGGCCTATGGTTCTAGTAATCCTAGACTTTTATCTCTACTGAGGCACCAGACATGTGAGTCAAGCCATTTTTTGTAGAAAGAGTGACCTTAAAACTTAACTGCATTATGTAACTTCAAAGGCCCTCAGTATACTCAGAATTAAATACAAACTTTTCCTGGGGTTTACTAGGCCCTGTATCACCTAGTTCATTCCTACTTGCCAACCTCATTATTTCAGTTACTGAGCCTCTGTAACAAATGACTCTAAATATGTAGTGGCTTAAAACAATGACAATAATTATTTTGTTGCAGTTTGGGTGGGATCCAAATTGCTCATTTCTGCTCCTTTTGGCATTAATTGGGGAAACTTGAAGACCAGGGGCTGGAATCACCTGAAGTTTTATCAAGTCTCACATGTGGTGGTTAATGATGACTGACAGCTAAGACTTCAGCCAATTATGTTGACCCAAACACCTACATATGGCTTCTGCATGTGGCCTGGGCTTTCTTAAGACATGCTGGCTGGATTCCAAGAGCAAATGTCCCCAGTGAGAGAGTGAGCCAGGTAGAAGTCATATTTCCTTTTCTGACTTAGCCTTGGAAATAAGGCATCATCACTTCCACTATATTCTATTAGGCAATCACAAATGCTTGCCCAGGTTCAAGAGAGGTGGGGATGGGGTGAGGGTAGACTCCACGTCTTGTTGGTGTGTGGCCAGGTTCTGGAAGAGTGTGTGTGATGTGATTTGGATCTGTGTCCCTGCCCAAATTTCATGTTGAATTATAATCCCCAATGTTGGATGAAGGTGGGGCCTGGTGGGAGGTGATTGGATCATGGGAGTGGATTTTTTCTTTTGTGCTGTTCTTGTGATAGTAAGTGAATTCTCATGAGATCTGGTTGTTTAAAAGTGTATAGCATGGCCTGGCATGGTGGCTCACGCCTGTAATCACAGCACTTTGGGAGGCTGAGGCAGGAGGATCACAAGGTCAGGAGTTCGAGACCAGCCTGGCCAATATGGTGAAACCCTGTCTCTACTAAAAATACAAATAAAATAGCTGGGTGTGGTGGTGCATTCCTGTAATCCCAGCTACTTGGGAGGCTGAGGCAGGAGAATTGCTTGAACCCGGGAGGTGGAGATTTCAGTGAGCTGAGATCATGCCACTGCACTCCAGCCTGGGTGACAGAGCGAGACTCCGTCTCAAAATAAAATAAAATAAAATAAAAGGTGTACAGCACCTGCCCCCTTCCCTTTCTCCTGCTCTGGCTTGTAAGACATGCCTGCTTCCCCTTCACCTTCTGCCATGATTGAAAGTTTCCTGAGGCCTCCCTAGAAGCATCATGCTTCCTGTACAGCCTGTGGAACCATAAGCCAATTAAACCTCTTTTCTTTATAAATTACCAAGTCTTAGGTATATTTATTTAAGGTAGTGTGAGAATGAACTAATAAAGAAAATTGGTACCAAGACTGGGGTATTGTTATAAAGATATCTGAAAATGTTGAAGCAGCTTTGGAATTGCGTAACCAGCAGAGGTTGGAAGAGCACGGAAGGCTCGGAAAACAGGAAGATGAGGGAAAGTTTGGAACTTCCTAGAGACTTGTTGAATGGTTTTAACCAAAATGCTGATGGTGATATAAACAGATGGCCAGGCTGATGAGGTCTCAGAGGGAGATGAGGGACTTACTGAGAACTGGAGTAAAGGTCACTTTTGTTATGTATTTGCAAAGAACCTGGCAGCATTGTGCTCCTGCTCTAGGGATCTGTGAAACTTTGAACTTGAGAGTGATGATTTAGGGTATCTGGCAGAAGAAATTTCTAAGCAGCAAAACATTCAAGATGCAGCCTGGCTGCTTCCTATGTGTGAGCAAAGAAATGACCTGAAACTGGAACTTATATTTAAAAGGGTAGCAGAGCCTAAAAGTTCGGAAAATTTGCAGCCTGGCCATGTGGTAGAAAGAAAAGCCCATTTTCTGGGGAGAAATTCAGGCCTGCTGCAGAAATTTGCATAAGTTAGGAGGAGCCATGTGCTGATAGCCAAAACAATGGGACAAAGGCCTTCAAGACATTTCAGAGACCTTCATGGCAGCCCCTCCCATCACTGGCCCAGAGGCCTAAGAGGGAGGAATGGTTTTGTGGGCCAGGCCCAGGGCCCCTGCCACCCAGTGCAGCCTCAGGACACTACTCCCTGCATCCCAGCCACTCCAGTTCCAGCCTTGGTTCAAAGGGGCCCAGGTACAGCTCAGGCCACTGCTTTAGAGGGTGCAAACTGTAAGTCTTGGTGGCTTTCATGTGGTGTTAACCCTGCAGGTGCACAGAGTACAAGAGTTGAGGCTCAGAAGCCTCCAGCTAAATTTCAGAGGATGTATGGAAAAGCCTGGATGTCCAGGCATAAGCCTGCTGCAGGGGCAGAGCCCTCATGGAGAGCCTCTACTAGGGCAGTGTGGAGAGGAAATGTGGGGTTGGAACTCCCACATGGAGTCCCCACTGGGGTGCTACCTAGTGAAGCTGTGAGAAAAGAGTCAACATTCTCTAGCTCCCAGAATGATAGATCCACCAACAGCTTGCACCATTTGCCTGGAAAAGCTGCAGGCACACAGTGCCAGTCCGTGACAGCAGTCACAGAGGCTATACCCTGTAAAGCCTCAGGGTTGGAGCTGCCCAAGTTCTTGGGAGCCCACCCCTTGCATCAGTGTGCCCTGGATGTGAGACATGGAGTCAAAGGAAATTATTTTGGAGCTTTAAGATTTATCAGCTGGCCTGCTGGGTTTCGGACTTGAGTGGGGCCTGTAACCCCTTTCTTTTGGCCAATTTCTCCCTTTTAAAACAGGAGCATTTACCCAGTGCCTGCACCCCTATTTTATCTTGGAAGTAACTAACTTATTTTTGTTTTTATAGGCTCATATGCAGAAGGTATTTGCCTTGTCTCAGATGAAACTTTGGACATGGACTTTTGAGTTAATGCTGGAATGAGTTAAGACTTTAGGGGACTGTTGAGAAGGCATGTTTGGTTGTGAAATGTGAGAAGGACATGAGATTTGGGAAGGACCATGGGTGGAATGATATGGTTTGGCTCTGTGTCCCCACCCAAATCTCATGTTGAATTGCAGTCTCCAATGTTGGAAGTGGGGCCTGGTGGGAGGTGATTGGCTCATGGGGGCAGATTTTCCCTTTGGTGCTGTTCTCATGATAGTGAGTTCTCATGAGATCTGATTGTTTATAAGTGTGTAGCACTCCCCTCTGCTCTCTCTTCCTCCTGCTCCGGCCGTGTAAGATGTGCCTGCTTCCCCTTCATCTTCCACCATGATTGAGTTTCCTGAGGCTAGCCCAGAAGCTGTCATGTTTCCTGTATAGCCTGAGGAATTGTGAGCCAATTAAACCTCTTTTCTTTATAAATGGCCCAGTCTCAGGTTTTTTTTTATTTTTTATATATATAACAGTGTGAGAATGGACTAATACAATGTGGGACTAAATAATATTGCTGTGGTCATTTTTTGAAAACATAATATGCATTACCCATCTTCAACAATTTCCCACCAAGTTCACTAAACTCCATATACAGTGCTCTTTGAACATGTTAAATATCTTTTGAAGGCATGCATAGTCTTTAAAATATTCCTGCAAGTTATGTGTCATTATCCCCATTTTAGAAAGTTAGTATGTGGCAGAACCAGGATTTGAGTTTCTTCTAATCACTGTCCCCAACTGTGCTAGTTCAAATATTTGAACTAGCTTTCCCCTTTTCTACCAATATCCTGAACAGATTCCATAATTTTACAGCCAATGGTGATAAGTAAAGCAGTCTATTTCATCATTTACAACTCCATCCTATTTGTATTTAAAGTTTCAATCTTATATTCTTATTAAGATCTCTTCTCTCCTATCACCTCAGTTCAGGTTAACCGGTGGTGTAAGGGATATGAGGCAGAGAGGGGGCATTGGCCACTGATTCACCCTGCAGGCTCTAGAATGCCTTGTGCTTGACATGGGGAAGAGGGCTGGGAAAAGTAGCAGGGGGTCTTTATTAGCTGGCTGGCATTGGTGAGGAGAGTTGCTTCTGGTCTTCTTCTGCTCCATCACTCCAGTAACCTCTGTTAGTGTGGTGATGTATGTTAGTGGTGAGGTTTTCTTGGGATGCTCTTCACCTCTATTCCACTTCTTTGCTGATGAAGGTCCCTCATAGAAGGAAGTTGTGTCTTTTCATCACCCTTAGGAGTCCATGCTCCAGATGGGCTGTAGCCTTGGCTGCCTGGCAGCTGTCTACACAGCTTCATGGCTTCTCTCTCTTCTTCTAACTCACATAATGTACATGTGAAAGTCATGGAAACTTCTGTGGTTTCTTTCATGCCCTGCAATGGTCTGGAGGAACTTGTCTGGGATGGGCATTGCTACTGCCTTGTTTCTAGGTTAACCTCACCAATTCCGCACTTTCCACACTGTCTTCCTAAACTGTAAATTCTTCAGGAAAGAAGGCTCCATCACTATGTTCACTTCTTGGGGAGATTGCCAATGTTACCTAGGAACTCCTTCCCCATACCCTGGCTAGCTGGGGTACTTGGCTGGATGTGTGGGTTTCGGTGAACATTCCAGCCATAGAGTGAGGTATGGACCTGCTGTCCCACTTGAGGGCACCCCAGTCTCAATGAAGGGTCTTCAGAAGTCATCCTTACTTGACTTGGGGTGCCAGGAGAACCCATTCAGCTCCATTTAATGAGCCCTGATGAGTTTTCTGCTGTCTTTAGGATTTTGACGGTGGATGCAGTTTTTATTATCTTTCTTTTTGGCTTTGATCTTAGTCCTCAGTTCTGGAGCAACAGGAATTTTCCCACTCAGCACCCAGGGGCAGTCATAAAATGGCTGTGACAGTTCCTGGCCTCACATTTACCCTCCACAGATAGAAAGCCTCTCTTTTCCAATCACTGAAGACAGTGGACTTCATTTTGAGTGGACAAACATAGGTCATATGACCACTTGGAATCAATCATACTGACTGGCTTAGGCCTATGCGGGCACACCTCTGGACCTAGGGGTTAGCTCAGTCCCACCCAAACTACTGGGCTGTTAGTTCATGAAGGCAGCATGAAATGAATGTGGAAGAGGCATTCACAGGTTCCCCCTCTTAGTGCTTCCAGAGCATCTTGGGTGAGCCTCAGCATGGTACCTAAAACATTTATTGAAGTATCCCTCTTCTAGGCTGTCTTTCCCATAAAACCATAAGCCCCTTGATGGCAGGCGCCATGGATATTTAGTCCACCACCATATGTCTACCTATGTCTAATTGCATGCCTGGAACATAGCAGATGTTTCAGTAAATGTTTGCTGAGCTGAATTCAAATAAAAGAAAACAACTTGGAGGACCAAGGATTTCTGGTCTCCCTATCTCAAAGACTAATGGGCTCCATTTACATGCAGAAGCCATGTCTACTTCTTACCCTGCTACATTTTCTTTGTTCTTTATTTGATATTTCCTAATGGATTCCTAGGCTTTACTTTTTGCCTTCTTGGTCCCTTCATTCTACAATGTTTAGTTTGTTTGATGACTTCTGCCCATGCTACCCACGTTTGACGGAGCCTTGCTTGGTCTGCCTTAGGATGATCAACTCTATAACATCTGTTTCCAGGAATGTACTGCATTTTAATTGCATCTTAAAAGCAGAGGCATCCTGTTCTTAGTTACTTTGGGGAATTTGGTGTGGAGTATTATTGATTTATTTATAATTCATACCCTACTCACTTCTGAAAAAAAATGCCTTGAAGCTGAAGCTGCTGATGAATAGTGAGATAGTGTCCTAAAGAAGAAACAGTTCTGGCCCTGGATTTTAATTCTAGTTGTTTGTAACTCGCTGTGTGACCTCAGGCAATTCATATGACCTTTGTGGGCCTTGATTTTCTTCATCTATAAAATGGAGGTCTAAGTATGTCAAATTGGGAGGTGGATGAGCGGACAGATATTTGCGAGGTAGTGCCCAAGTTTCCCTCTTGCACCACATTCTATGTTGCTGTGAGTATGAATGTATCAGAAAGCTTGTTTGATATGCACAATTACAAGATAGTGCTCTACAGAAATGGCCTGTGGAAACCCAGTAGGAGAACTCACTTATGAAAAGTCATCTTTTAAGTATTCTGCACCATGGCGTGTTTGCATTGATTGACAGGATTCTTCAGGAACCCACCTAAATACTTGCATTAATAGTATTGCTAGCACATGTCAGGCTTGGAACCCCTTGAATATGATCCAATTTTGTTATTTTCCCTCTGCTTTTGTTTTTAATAATGGCAACACACCCCAGATGAAGACATTTTAATAACTCTCTTTAGCAAAAATGTGTTCTGGCACCTGCCTCATTGCTGATAGCCGAGAGCATCCATACCATTTTCAGAGATCATGCAGAGAGAAAGCCGACTTAGTTCCTAAAGCAAAGTTATGACTATAATTTTCCTCAATCGCAGTCGAGTCTCATTTGATTTGTGCTCAAGGGTACTTCAATTGGATCGATTTCCACCAATTGGAATATCTTGCTACAGCTGGAAGCCTCAAATGGAACTTACTCCACTGATTCTATTAAAAACCAAATGTATTTGGTACCTAAAGTGGCCAAGGAATCTGTCTCCAGATTTGAGGAGAGTCAGGGAATAGAGTGGGTGGACGTCAACCTGATATCATATGGCACATTGCCCCACGGACAAGAAATCTCCAGGTGCATTCACAGCTTTTCCCTTCTGACAGTCATTCCCAGGCATCACGTATGTAATTATCTTAGTTCTTCTGACTGAAAACCAGCAATGACCATTATGATGACAAAAAAGTTGACACGAGCATTTGTCTGTAAAAAATCCCTATAATTAGGTGTGTTAAGTAGTCAGCATTCTGTCTTGTTTCTATTTTTAGCCAAAGACCAGCATCCCCACAAACATCATTTCCACAAATTTCGGTGTGCTCTTTCTTGCCGATAATTTGCAAAGCCCATTTTAATTCATGAGTAAATCAAAAGGAATCTCCCACACTGTTCCCAAGCCCCTTGTATCTCTGGCAAGCAAAGAAGGTCATATATCAAATCCAGACAGTCCCTTAGCACCAGGCTGCTGGCATCGTTCAACGAGAAAGTGGGTGACCAATTGAGCTGCTCTAAGCCAGCATCTGCTGGATGCTTTCTTTTTTTCCTTTTTATTTTATAATAGAGAAAACAGATGCCAAAATGGATTTGTATTTATGAATCTTTTTTCACTTGTCGGGATTATTTTCCTGTTCATCTAAAGTTGTATAAATTCATCCGGGACATTAAGCTCTTAAATGTAGTTTTATTCCCTTGAATCCACAGTAAAAGATTTTCAAAAAAGGAAAAAGAAAAAGAATTATGGCACATAATGGAAAATGATTGATGAAAACATAGAGCAATTCAGGATACATATTTTAAGAAAAGATTTCCAAAGAGGAATCCATCATGGCAGTGCTGTAAAGCATACACTCTATCATAGAAACTCTAGATTATAAAATCAAGATGCCTATTTTTTTCTTTAAAAAATATTCTATTCAGGATATAAAACCACAAGGACTTTTATTAATAGTGCTAGCTGATGAGAAAACTAACAATGAAAAAGCCCAACTGATTTCCTGTGGCAGTGAGAAGGACAGAGGAAGGAAGACGGAGAAAGCAATTATTTTCTCAAATCCCAGGTCAGGACAATCTAACTTTTTGCAAATGGGTGGGGAAGGGGATGAGGAGAGATGGCAGAAGTTATGTATTAGTCAGCATAGGCTAGGTTATACTGTGATAACAAAGGACCCAACATTTCATTGGCTAACAACAACCAAGACTTCTTTCTTGTTAGTACTATATGACCATTGTGGGTTGGCCATGGCTCTGTGCCATGTCATCCTTGTCTCAGGACTCGGGCTGCAGGAGTAGCTTCTGTCTGGAACATTGCTGAATGTTGAGAAAGAGGAAAAAAGGAACATGGCAAATCACATGCTGGTTTTTAAAGCTATTGTCTGGAAGGAACACCTTCAACTTCTGCTCAAATTTCATTGGCTAAAACAAATCATTTGGCCATACCAGAAAAAATAAGATGCACGGTCCTCCAGCAGGGAGGGGCTCAAATAAGGGGACAATTATATAGTCCATCAGTGACTATGAGAATGGCTTCCTGGAACGTGGAGTAAAGGGAGTGTAATTGACTGAGGCTTCAGTCACTGGCTTTGTGTTTGTGCCAGGCTGTGCTTCCTATGGACTGCTCCCCACCAGTGACTTTCAGTGTGTGGTGTAGTTACTAAGGCAAACCTGTTCCTGAGGAGCAGAGGACTCCCTTTGTTAGCTAACTCTGGCTCAAAGATCCTCAACAGCTTTACCAAGCCCTCTTTTGACTGCATAGGCATTTGGGATGCTTCCATCCAATTTTCTCTTCCTCTCTCCTTCACTTGCGGTCATATTTGCATCATGATCTAATGGCTCTCCCAGTCTTCTCTACCTGCCTCCCTAATTCCTTTCAAAAAAACATCTCCCCTAATCAAGTCTCTGTATGTACAATCTTTTCTTGGCAGAGTTCACCACAGAACAGTCTACTGGAAGATGAAACAAAACTTAGTAGCTTATGAGTCTCTGGAGTTGTTTGAATCACTTGTACTTATAAATAAATGTGGTGTCTGGAACAATATGTATATCCTATATATATTGGGGGGATATGCCATACCTACTAACAGGATATGTCCAGAGAGAGATATAGATATTCAGATTCCTACTGAATCAGGTCATCAGAGTGCCTGTCCTGCTCAAAGCCATCCTAAGGAAGATAGCTCCACTCATGGCCTCCTGCTAGAGAAGCAGCTCTTAGCTGCCATGTTTTATACCCACCTCTGCCTACAGAGGTGTTTGGACCACAGGTCTAGACCCAAGGGCAGTGATTAATAGTGGCTAATGCCTGTAAAATGGTGTTGTGTGAAAAGCTCTGTCTACATACAGGCAGTAGTGATTAAAGGAGAATCAGTCAAATTCTCATGGGATTTGAACTGGGAGTTACTGTAATTGAGTTTCCCCCAGAAGCAGAACCTGAGACAAGAACTTGGGTGTAGTTAGTTCATTCAGGATGTGATTTCCAGGAAGTAAAAGTAGGAAGTAGGAAAAGTGAGGCATGGAGGAGAGAAAACTAATGAAGAGTAAAGGAGTGGTTATCACTGCAGGCAACTGGAGCTCAACCTTACTGGGGATGCTTTGAGAAATTATGGCAGACTCATGCTAAAATAGTCCCCCTGGAGGACATGGAAGCCAGAGAATTCACTCACTGAGTTCTGCCCTCCATCATTTGAGAGTTCCCACTTCTAAGGCATTACCTCCTTTACTCTTCTGGGTTGCACTTGCTGCAGCTGAACAAGCTCCCATGGATTCTCAGGTGCAGAAGTTGAAAGGTGCTTGAATTGAGAAGCTCATCTGCTAGAAACTCTACTAAAGCTGTGGATAGATTCAGAGGTGGGCAGAAAGGATAAGGGGTAAGTTCTTGACAGCATCAGCAAAGAATTTTAAGGAGAGAGACAGGACAGGGGTTGAAAAGACAGGAAAGAATGTGAACAGAAAGAGTCATAACTGAGCAGACAATATCAAGAAGCTGACACTGTGAGCAAGAAATTGTGAGGTAGAAGGCAAAGTAGAGAAAGCACAGATAATGAATAGCTGGTTAGGTCACTGGTTAATTATGGAAAGGCTGTTTAATCAGAGATGAGAGGGGCTATTTCTTCCTAGGGGCATTGACCCTTACTGTCCTCTTCATCCTTTACCTTGTAAGGCAACGCCAAGACTTCTCAATAGTTTCTTTGTGACCTTTGTATTACTTGGATTAGGGATTAAGTCCTTAGTCTCAGGCATGGGATAAAAACCAGAAGTAGGTTTCCCCAAAAAACGATCGGGTACTTATGCAAATTCTCAGGATATCTCAGGGGTGAAACATAAGCAAGCACTAATGATGCCTCGTGAGTTTCTGATACCCAATGGAAAAGAAAGGAGAAGAACCCTTTCTGAAAAGCGGGGTGCAAAAGTTTCAATTTGTTCTTATGTCTGGTTTGGTGCTGTGGTGTGAGGCTGACTGATGATGCATGGGTGGAGTTCTTTCACAGCTTAGGGGTCTGCCTTGGCCAGTGAAGAAGCAGCAGCTGTTCTTTAGTGGATTTTAGCAGGTGCAACAGCAACATCACAGCCTTGGTGTGTGTCCCTTTGCTTAGCTGCCTGGGAGACTGCTTTCAGATCCTTGCTAGCTTTGGAACCAGGTCAGTGCAGGTCTCACTCTTATCAAGGATGACTGAGCATTCAGGACCCAAACAGTTCAGGGCCAAGTAAGCCACTGATCCTTTTAAAATACCTAACTAAAAGGTAATATGTAAAATTAGTACCTAAATATGAATAATTATATTATAGTCAAGATGTATTATTCCGTTTTATATTTAAGGTCTACAAACTTCAAGTACTTTAGGGAAAAGTTTGGAGACCAAAGTCTTGTTCCAAAGTGCTATTTATTAGCTTAAGACTCCCCAAACCTCCAAACAAGATTGTCCTGAAGATCAGTACATTTCTTAAAGCTTTGTCTACTATCCCCTTCTTTTCTAGCCCCTTCTAATGCAACCTTGCATCATAAAAATATTCTGAACTTTCTGAATCTATTCTCTTTCTCTGCTTAAATGTACCTGTGCAGTGTCTTATGCATCACTGCTTTTCCAAGGTGCTCAAGGCTAGGAGTGGCTTACTGCATGCTTCTATACTAGGATATTGGCCTCTTCATGGAGAACCTTTGAGGATGCTGCCTGTCACAGGTTGAGTTCTCAGGGAAGCAGACGCTAAGATGAAGTTAAGAGTGCAAAAAATTTATGGGGGAATCATACCTGTGAAAGCAAAAGAACATGAAGCAGGATTGGGCAGTGTGAGCCATCAGACCATGATGCAGACTTGTTAAGCCTCTGCCAGCTCAATGTGGGAACTCCAGAGCACAGATTGCCCATTATAGGAGCCGCATGTTGTGTGGAAATGAAGAGGCTCTGTACCACTGCCTTCCTCAGTCATTGGCTGGGCTCCCCTTTCAAGAGCATGACCTTGGCCTGAAAGTGGAGGAAAACTCTAAAGACATTGAAAGCTGAGGCTGCCAGCTACTCACACTCCTTGAAGTCAGGCGGAGAGTCCTTTCTTGGAGAAGGATCTGAGTGGTTCATGTTCATGTCTGCCACGCTAACTTAACCAAAGGGAAGACTCTCTAATAGTGGAAATTTTAAGGCCTGTGGTGGGCCTTAAAATGTTTATAAACATTTTCCATGGCCTACTTTGTGCTGGTTGCTTTCATATAGCATTTCTTGAGCAAAACAAGAAAAAAGGAAAATGAGATTGCTTTTTTGTTGCTCCCTTTCCCATTCCTCGTTACCTGTTGTTTGGTTGTCTTGCTTGGCAGAATATTTAAATCCTACTTATCTTTCAAGGCTCAGTTCAGGATTGCCATGGTGACAAAATATTTGAAATTGGGACTCTCCCAGAAAATCAGGGACTTATTTGAAAGCCTGTGCCTTCAAATCACCACTGCTGGCCAGCTTGTGTTCTGTAGGTGGAAGAACCGTGTTTGTTTTCATTTTAGTTAGATCTTCCTAGTACCCTAACCTATTATTGTATGTTACCGGACACACTTACTATTTTTTTTTTTTTTGCTTGTTTTTTGAGATGGAGTCTTGCTCTGCCACCAGGCTGGAGGGCAGTGGTGCGATCTTGGCTCACTGCAACCTCTGCCTCCCAGGTTCAAGTGATTCTCCTGCCTCAGCCTCCTAAGTAGCTGGGACTATAGGTGCACACCAACACACCCAGAGAATTTTTGTATTTTTAGTAGAGACAAGGTTTTACCATGTTGACCAGGATGGTCTTGATCTCTTGACCTCATGGATACACTATTTAACGTTCATCAAATCAACAGCTCACTGGGTCAAGGTGTGTTCTCAATGCTCCCATTAGACCTATTTGGTTTTTTTCTTGGTTAAGTCTCCACATATTGGGGAGCAAATTTCTTACCCAACTTTGACACATACTGATGCATATCCTTCTCTCCCTCTATAATAAAGGAAGACTCAGAGGGGAATATTTTTAAGGCACAATTTTTAGCAAGTTGTGCCTTAAAGAAATACTCTTTACATCTTGTTGTCTGTGGGAGATTCCATTTTTCAAAGATGGCTCCAATATCTTCCATTCTCCATGTTCCTCTAGAATTTAGCCCTTCCCTTATTAAGAAGTGGAGCCTAAGTCCCTTCCTTTTGAATCTGGGTAGGCTTGTGACTACGTGCATGGATAGAAGGCAGTGGAAGTGATGCTTTATGACTTCTGAGGTCAGATGAGCTAAGGATATGCAACTTCATGGTTCTCTAGGACACTCACACTTGGAACCCAGCTAGCATGCTGTGAGGGAGGCCAAATATCCTATGAAGAGGCCCATGTGGAGAGGAACTGAGGCCACAGGTCCACAGCCCTGGCAGAACTCCCAGCACAACTTCAACTTGCCAATCCTAGAAGTGAGCTATCTTGAAAGGATCCCCCAGGCCACACCCAGACTGCTCAGGCTGAAGACACATGAAGCAGCAATGAGCCTTCCTCATTGAGTCCTGCACAAATTGCTGATCTGTGAACAAAATATAATTGTTGTTATTTTAAGCCACTCCATTTTGGGATGGTTTGTATATTAGTCCGTTCTCACACTGCTATAAAGAACTGCTTGAGACTGGGCGATTATGAAGAAAAAAGGTTTAATTGACTCACAGTTCTGCAGACTTAACAGGAAGCATGACTGGGAGGCCTTATGAAACTTACAATCATGGTGGAAGGTGAAGGGGAAGCAAGGACCTTCTTCACATGGTGGCAGGAGAGAAGGCAAGTGAAGGGGGAAGTGCCACACACTTTTAAACCATCAGATCTCATGAGAACTCACTCACTATCATGAGAACAGCAAGGGGGAAATCCACCCGCATGATTCAATCACCTCCCACCAGGCCCCTCCCCTGGCATGTGGGGATTACAATTTGACATGAGATTTGGGTGGGGACCCAGAACCAAACCATATCATTCTACCTCTGGCCCCTCCCAAATATCATGTCCTTCTCACATTTCAAAACACAATCATGCCTTCCCAGCAGTCCCCTAAAGCCTTAACTCATTCCAGCATTAACTTAAAAGTCCAAGTCTAAAGTCTCATCTGAGACAAAGCAAGTCACTTCTGCCTATGAGCATGTAAAGTCAAAAACAAGTTAGCTACTTCCAAGATTCAAGGGGTATAGGCATTGCCTAAATGTTCCTGTTCCCAATAAGCTCCTCATCATCATTTGTTCCAAAAGGAAGAAATTGGCCAACACAAAGGGGCTACAGACACCCTGCAAGCCTGAGACCCAGCAGGGCAATCATTAAATCTTAAAGCTCCAAAATAATCTCCTTTGACTCCATGTCTCACATTCAGGCCACACTGATGCAAGGGGTGGGCTTCCATGGACTTGGGCAGTTCAGCCCCTGTGGCTCTGCAGGGTTTAGCCCATGAGCCTGCAGGATGGCATTGAATGTCTGTGGCTTTTTCAGGTGTACAGTGCAAGTTATTGGTAGATTTACCATTCTGGGGTCTGGCGGATGGTGGCCCTCTTCTCACAGCTCCAGTAGGTAGTGCCCCAGTGGGGACTCTGTGTGGGGGCTCCAACCCTACATTTCCCCTCACATTGCCTTAGTAGAGGTACTCCATGAGGGCTCTACCCCTGTAGTAAACTTCTGCCTGGACATCCAGGTGTTTCCATACATCCTCTGAAATCTAGGGGGAGGTCCCCAAACCTCAATTCTTGACTTCTGTGCACCTGCAGGCCCAACACCACATGGAAGCCACCAAGGCTTTGGGCTTGCACCTTCTGAAGCAATGGCCTGAGCTGTACCTTAACCCCTTTTAGCCATGGCTGGAGCTGGAGTGGTTGGCATGCAGGGCTACACAGAGCAGTGTACACAGAGCAATGGGGCCCTGGGCCCAGCCCACGAAATCATTTTTGCCTCTCAGACCTCTGGGCCTGTGGTGGGAGAGGCTGCCTTAAAGATCTCTGACATGCCCTGGATACATTTTCCCCATTGTCTTGGCTATTAACATTAAACTACTCCTTATTTATGCAAATTTCTGCAGCAGGCTTGAATTTCTCCCCAGAAAATGGGTTTTTCTTTTTTACCACATGGTCAGGCTGAAAATTTTCCAAACTTTTATAGCTCTGCTTCCCTTTTAAATATAAGTTCTGATTTCAGAGGATCTCTTTCTTCATGTATATGAGTGTATACTTTTAGAAACATCCAGGACAAATCTTGAATGATTTGCTGCTTAAAAATTTCTCCCATCAGATATCCTGCATCATCTTTCTCAGGTTCAAATTTCCACAGATCTCTAGGGCAGGGGCAAAATGCTGCCAGTCTGTTTGCTAAAGCATAGCAAGAGTGACCTTTATTCCAGTTCCCAATAAGTTCCTCATCTTCATCTGAGACCACCTCAGTCTGGCCATATCTATCCATATCACTATCAGCATTTTGGTCAAAACCATTTGACAAGTCTCTAGGAAGTTCCAAACTTCCCACATCTTCCTGTCTTCTTCTGAGCCCTCCAAACTGTTCCATCCTCTGCCTGTTACCCAGTTCCAAAGTCGCTTCCCCATTTTCAGGTATTTTTATATTAATAGCAGTGCTCCACTCTCCTGGCACCAATTTTCTGCATTAGTCTGTTCTGACACTGTCATAAAGAACTATCTGCGATGGGTAATTTATGAAGAAAAAGGCTTAATTGACTCACAGTTCTTCAGGATTAACAGGAAGCATGACTGGGAGGCCTCAGGAAAGTTACAATCATGGCAGAAGGTGGAGGAGAGGCAAGGACCTTTTTCTCATGGTGGCAGGAGAAAGAGAGAAAGAGCTAAGGGGGAAGTGCCACACACTTTTAAACCATCAGATCTCGTGAGAACTCACTCAGTATCACGAGAACAGCAAGGGGAAAATCCATCCCCATGATCCAGTCACTTCCCATGAGGCTCCTCCTCTGGCATGTGGGGATTACAATTTGACATGAGATTTTGGGTGGTGATCCAGAGCCAAACTATATCAGTTTGTTACCCAACAACAGTAACCAGAACACCTTCATTTTGTGTTCTTCTCAAATATAATTTATTTCTGCCCTTTTAGTGACTGACATGACATATTTGTACTGTGTGGTGATCCCAGGGAAAGATGACTCAGCAAATTAATTTTGAAATGATTATAATGTAGCTTTTCTAAAAATGTTGCTGTTTTACAGTGGTAGTAGCCGGGGATTCAGGTCTTCTTCTATCTCTCCATTGATGGCTCTGGAGTCTGTAATGCTCCTCTGGTTGTCTTC
This sequence comes from Homo sapiens, assembly GCF_000001405.40. Taxonomy (NCBI): domain Eukaryota; kingdom Metazoa; phylum Chordata; class Mammalia; order Primates; family Hominidae; genus Homo; species Homo sapiens. The sequence goes on along the minus strand of NC_000003.12, from coordinate 31,314,309 downwards.
ACTGATGGATGGATCTTCACACCAAGATTTGGGCGATTTATACAATGTGATGGGAACACAGTATAATCTTTATAGTGCTTCTCTTCTAAGAGCTTCTAAAAGTAAGTACTCATATATATATATATTTATCTTCCCTAGATTTCTGTGATGCTCTGACTTTTAGAAACACTCCCTTCTCTCACCTTTACTTACCCCAGGATTTTCCAAACTGTGTTCTGTAGAACCCTGTTCCCTACAACATTAATAGGTTTTCTGCAGAGACAAATTAGTTTGAGAAACACTGAATACTTTACTATTCTCTTGGAGATTGATGAGGCTTATTAGCATCTGAGAGTCTTGCAGGAAAGAAACTGGTTTTAATTATTTATTCATTTGAACAGTATTTATTGAGTCCTTATTGTGATTCAGGCTTTGTGCAGATGCCAGGTATACAGCAGTGAAGAAACATACATGGTTCCACCCTGAACAATCTGGGGGGTGGGGTAGATAGCTAATTTCTAATTACAAATTGTAATGACTATTCTGAAGGAAAAGAACTGTGGACCACAAGAGAGAATGGTGGGGCACTTATATTAGAGTGAGTGATAGGAGGAAGTGATGTTTAAGCTGAGACCTGATCGAAGAGTTGGGTTGGCCAGTTGAAGAATGTTCTAGGCAGAAAAACAGCACAGATAAAGGCCATGAGGCAAGGAAGATATTGGCAATGAGAATAATGTTGGCCATTTCAGCAATGGAGCCAATGAGAAAAGGCCAGTGGGGGTAAAGGAGAGTGGAGGGTGGGTTAGAACAGTCCCTTCCAAATGGTAGTTGGCAGGTGCTAGGGAAGCCTGCCTGAAAGGGGAGAAAGCCCAGAGTGCAATGATCATGTGTATGTAGCTGCTAAAGTGATAGCGAGGCTGGTAAGAACACATCAAACTTTAATGTGCATACAAATAAAATTCTAATTCAGTAGGCGTGGGGTGGGGCCTGAGACTGAATTCTGCTAAACTCCCAGGTGATGCCAATGCTGCTGGACTACAATGTGAGAGGTAGGAGTGATAACTGCCTTCCCTGCCAGCCCCTTTCCTTCTGCCACCATTCCCGACTCTTGGGCTCCTCATACCTGCTTCAAGTGGTTTGGAACATAAATCATGCATCTGTCCTGCCCTGGTCTATGGTAATTGTACCTTTTCAGGCTCAAAAAATTGTCTTGTTTATCTCAGTCTTACCTCTAGCTCCAAGTCCAATTAATGATAAAGGTTCTAAAATTTCTTTTGCTAAAGTTTAGCGAATTTTAACTGTCGTAATTCAATTCCACACGTCACAGCTCACGTAATGATTTGTAGTGGTTGTGGCGGTAGGAAAATCCAGAAGAAACCTTCTTAAAACTTTAATCTGAGATGCCTGTTTATTCCCTTGGGATGGATAGCAAATACCAGCATGTGTGGTCACCTTAGAGTAATGGAAAGACAGTTCATAGTGTGCCCATGCTGAACATCCCTAATATGAAGGTGGAGTGGGGGCCTGTGTCCCTCCTCACTTAGGATTTTAAGGCCTGTTGCACTTAGAGATGAGAGGATCTGGGTTGATGGATATCTTAGGTTAGGTTCTTCAAAGGCAGTCCCTGAGCTGCCTTGGTTTGTGTGCCAAGTGATATTTTCAGGAAATGCTCCCAGGGGAACCCAGTAAGAGAGTGAGGCAGCAGGACAGGAAAGGAGAGAAAAACCAAGCAGTTGCACAATCTCAGAGTTCTACAGAGAAGAGCTTCAGGCTGGGTCTGCATGTGAGCTCTGGAGGGGAAGATCTGCCTCAGCACTGTCCCTAGTTAAGGCGCCCACACCCATGCATCATTGGTGAAGGGTCAAGGGTGGAAGCACAAAAATTATCAGGCACTTTAAACTTTCTGTCCGTGGGGGCAAAATGGGCTTCAGTAGTCTAAGGGCAGCCATCCAAGAAAGATCATCAGGTGCTGTCTGCTGGAAACACACACACACACACACACACACACACACACACACACACTGAAGGCAGGAACATAAACACGGTAAAAATGGATCTGATCTGAAGAGATCTGAGGGGCACTGATGTTATCTGCTATAATGAGAACAGGAAAAGGCATTTTTCTGGAAAGGTCATGTTGAGGACAAGGGGCCTTTGATGCCTTTGTCAGAGGTGTTTGAACCAGAGTGACTCCATCTTGAATAGGGTCTAGATAAAATGAGGCTGAGACCTGTTGGGCTGCATTCCCAGGAGGTTAGGCATTCTTAGTCACAGGATGAGATAGAAGCGTGGCACAAGGTCACAAAGACTCTGCAAGGACCCTGTAAAAACTCTTTACAACAAGGTGAAGTAAAGAAGCCGGCCGAAACCCACCAAAACCAAGATGGCCATGAAAGTGATCTCTGTTCTCCTCGCTGCTCATTATATGCTAATTATAATACATTAGCATGCCAAGAGACGCTCCCATCAGAGCCATGACAGTTTACAAATGCCATGGCAACATCCAGAAGTTACCCTGTATGGTCTAAAAGGCAGAGGAGCCCTCAGTTCCGGAAATTGTCTGCCCCTGTCTTGGAAAACTCATGAATAATTCACCCCTTGTTTAGCATATAATTAAGAAGTAACTATAAGTGTACTCAGTTGAGCAGCCCATGCTGTTACTCTGCCTGTGCCATCCTTTCATCTCCTTACTTCTCTAATAAATGTGCTTTCACTTTACTTATGAACTTGCCCCAAATTCTTTCTTGGGTGAGATCCAAGAACCCTCTGTCAGGGTCTGGATTGGGACCCCTTTCTGGTAACAGCTTCATTCTACTGGTGTGGCTAACCCAACTGTCCCTGAACATCCTTTCTAGGTAGAACTTGTACTTTTCCTACCAATGGCCTTTGATTGTGTACTTCTTCTCAAAATAACATTCTCTACTTTGTACTTAAGAAGTTGAAAACTTTTTATAAATTCATCTTAATTTTTGCAGAGAGTTGGCAGACAAAAAAATCTATTATTGTGTCATTTATAAAAACCTTAATGAAAAACACGAAGAACAGAATGATTACAGAGGTGATTCAGCAACACATGGTTAAAGTTGTCTTATCACTTGTTTCATCTATTTAATATTTTTTCAATTTCTTATTTTTCTCCAGTAGATGTATTTAGTGCACATTCTTAGCTAGGAACCCTTTATTTGCTTGTTGAAAACTAGAATAATAAAGATGCAAGGTGCCTTCTTTAGGATGAGAAAATTGGCATTTGGCAACCATCCAACCTGTCTCCAGCTTCTCCTTGCTGCGTATATTATTCTGTGTAGCTTATATTTAAACAATGGGACAATGTGGTGAGGGGCTGGTCTGTAGTTTAGATCTCACTCCCTTCACTTCAAATGATACAGTCTGTTGGAGCCAGTTATCTAGGTCTTTCCTCTTCTTATTGTATGCATGTTAGTTGCGTGTTTTAAGTTTTTCACAATATGTTGGAACGAAGATAATTTCTACATATTTGAATAAAATTTGTGACATGCAGAAAAAAAGAAATTAGGCCAGGCCCAGGGGCTCATGACTGCAATCTCAGCATTGTGGGAGACTGAGGTCAGAGGATCACTTGAGGCCAGGAGTTTGACTAGCCTGGGCAATATAGCAAGTTCCTATGTCTACAAAATGTAAAAACAAAAAAACAAAAAACAAAAAAAGGAGTTAAAACTTTAAAAATTAGATGCAGTTCTGTTGAACACAAAAAATTCAGACTTCAAGATCAATAGAACATTTTGTGATGCACAGATACTGTAGATTCTGGGACTTGACCATTCTGAAGTCATTTGTAAAATAAAAGAGGTCAGGGGAACCTGCATTATCAGCTTAAATACAGAAGAGAGTTTGAACCAATTCTTTCTTAAATCTGGTAGAATTGTTGAAGAAAATGAACAGTTTTAAAATAATTTTATCAAGTTTAACACTTGTTAGCAATTCACTTTCAGTCTAAGATAATTTCAAACTAAATGTAGGTCCTTTGTCAAGGCCAGTACTGTCCAATAGAAGTCTGATAGGAACCACATGTAATTTTAAATTTGCTAGTAGCCATGTTAAAACAAAGTAAGAAGAAATAGGCTGGGAGCATTGGCTCATGTCTGTAATCTTCTCAGCACATTCGGAGGCCAAGGCAGGCAGATCGCTTGAGGTCAGGAGGTCAAACAACATGGTGAAATCCTGTCTCTACTAAAAATAAAAAAATTAGCTGGGCATTAGGTGGGTGCCTGTGATGTCAGCTACTCGGGAGGCTGAGGCAGGAGAATCACTTGAACCTGGAAGGCAGAGGTTGCAGTGAACCAAGATCCTGCCACTGCACTCCAGCCTGGGTGACAGAGCGTGACTCTGTCTCAAAAAAAAATAATAAATAAAAATAAAAAGTAAGAAGAAACAGGTGAAAATAATTTTAATAAGATTTAATTTAAACCAATACAACTAAAATATTATAATTTCAAGATGTCAATATCAAAATTTTTGATAAGATATTTTACATTTTTGTGTACAAAGTCTTTGGAATCCAGTGTGTTATTTTATACTTAACAGCATATCCCAATTTGGAGTGGCTACTGTATTAGAAAGTGCAGGTCTAGGCAAAATTTAAAAGCATAGTTCAATTACATCATATTCCAATTTAAGTTATAAAAATTCAAATATACAGATCTCACTCCTCCCTCCAAAAAAGGAAAAAGTCATTTAAATAGTGTGGGCTATTTTGTCTATATTCAGCTTTATAAATTCCCGTCCTGGACTAGGTCTGCTGTCACAAAGCTAAATCTGCTCTTTCCTACTTGGCCTGAGTCCCATATGCCTCTTATAATATACACCTCTTGCTACATTAAGTATGTTGTTGGTGTTTAAATATGTGTATTATTTCTTACAACATGGCCTCTAACACAAGCCAGCTACTTCATGTGGTACTTATTCAAAAAAATAGGGAATCCAACACTGGAGGAAAACCTGCCTGTGATGGGCTCAGTGAAGGGTACCAATATTTTGGTTTCCAATATGGAGCAAGTAAATATGGCTGTAACAAATCTAGCTACAAGATTCAAGAGAGAAAAATGCATGTACTTTATGGGCAATTTGATGGATTTTCAAGGGTAATTTTGACTTTGCAATTTTAACTTTGGATGGAATAACTGTAGTCAAAGATGTTATTGCCCTGTAGTAAAATGGGTCATTCACTGAAGTCATTGACTGAGTAGACATGGTCTCCTTCTCATCCCCTCCCCCAGCCCTGCCCCAGAGACACTCAGAATCCTCCTGCTACCTGAGGGCATGTCACCAGCTGATCACCTGCCTTGCCTGCTCAGCTGTGCCTGGGTTCAGTCTTTCCTCAGAACTTTGCCTTCATCCAAACTTAGCTTTTCCTGTCTCATTTCCTCAGAACCCCACTTCCTGCTGCACAGCAGCTGGCCATTTTGATGAAGACTTCATCCTGTGATGCTACTACCTGGATCATCTAAGGTAAGGTTTGTATTGGGAACTCATGCCTGGACAGACAAAACTTCAAAGAAATGACTTTGAAAGCAACAATAAAGTTGGATGACTCTTCAAATGGTTTCAGAATTACCCCTGGAATGAGATGATAGGGATCATACAACTGGGTCTTACTGTTAAATGCTGGTTGGTGCATGCATGCAATAAAGTTAAAGACTTCTTGGCAATTCAACTTTGTTATTATAGCAACTCTTTCTCTAGATTTTGCCTTGTTATATTTTCCTTGAACTTTCTGCCAATTTTCCTCAAAATGTGGCATTGCAGACAGGAGTTGCCTGGAAAAAGACCCTTTACTTTTAATGCTATTTATTCAAAAGTGCTAAAATAATAATTTGTGATGTCATTAACAGAGTTTAAATAAATGAATAAATTTAGCTTTTATTTTATTATAAAGTTTATATTTTCAACTGTAAAATGGCATTTTTATGGCTTTGTGAGCTTAGGCAAATGTAGATATGTGTCAAAGCTAATATAGATTCCAACTTTTGTGCACTAAAAATGGAAAATTAACAATATTTTGACACTGCAGGAAATTAAAATGGTATCTTTTTCTTTATAAAAATTTAAAATCAATGATTATATCTTTTGATAGAGATTAACTGAATAAAATCACCTTTTAACATAACATAAATTTATTTTCCCCAAATGTGGTATTGTGATAGCTCAGCTGGCACTATGGTGACATTATCTTAGGTTAGTAATTAAATCTGGCTCTGAGAACTTGTGTTTGCCACTAGATTCTGAACTTCTAAGGTTCTCAAGCTCGGCTCTAGGTCTCTGTGTTCTTGGCATCAAGTGCAGTGTGTTGAACCAACACATAACTTTGGGTATGTCAGGTTCTAAGAGCTGTGATTTGCAGAAATAAAATGGCTTGGTGTTATGATTTCTTAAATATGCAGTATGAGTGGACGAGGGAGGGGCCCAGTGTCTAGTGAACACCTGCAGTGTGCCAGGCATTCTGATAGTTGTTACAACCCACTGCATCTATGGTACTAGCTTAGGTCCTATGGAGTTATCTGTATTCATTAAACATTCTTAGCCCTTTAAGAGCAGGAGACAGACCAAATCCTATCACAGCTAAGCCAGTTACAATGAGAAACCACAAGCAATTGAAGGATTTCTAGGTCCTTGTTGGCAGTTCTCTTATCTCAAGAACTTTCCAGGACAGGGAATGACCTTGCACTGTTCCAAGGATTCACTGTAGTAGGATTAGCCTTGGAATAGTTTCTTGGTTATTGTCCAAGTCTTTCTGGTTTATTTCAGAGTCACTTTTGGCCCAGGGAAGAAATGCTTTATCCCAGAGGCTCAGGTCAGTGTTGTGAACTCCTTTCTAACCACGCTCCAGGGCAGAATTATCTGGAGCACAGCTTTGTTGTACACAGACCACTGTGAAATCTTGCCCAAACTTAAGGCAGTTTACCTATTCTCTCTGTGTCAATGAAGATTCTAATATCTAACTTTCAGGTTGAGAATGAAATGCACTTATGTATATGCAAACTGCTGGCTGACTGTATCCATTACTCATTGTCACAATAATGCTATGTAATAATGAACAACTACAAAACCTCAAGGACATTTAACAATAAGTATTTATTGCTCATGGGTTTGAGTCCACTGAAGTTTGGCTAGGTGGTTCCATTAGTCTGCAATGGACTTGTTCACATGTCTGTAGCTTGTCTAGTGGTCAGCTGGCTGATCTAGGAGAGTTAATCTGGGTACCTTGGCTCTGGTCTATGTGTCTCTCATTCTCTCAGGCTAGCCTGGGAATGGTCCCATCATGGTGGCAGAGATGCAGAACAAGTTCTAATGTGCAAGTTCATTGTAAGCTTCTGCTTATGAAACTTCTGCTGACATCCCATAGGCCAACATGAGCAAATGGCTGATTTGAGTGCAGTGTCAAAGAGTGAGGCAGACCACCCTGCTCATGGAGGGAGGTCATGGCAAAGCTATATGGCAAAAGGTATGGATATGAAGGAGGGATGAAGATTGAGGACAGTCTGCAATATACCATAACAGACGTAGGTGGTTTAGAGGAAGAACTGTCAGAGTTTTGGCTATTTAGCATCTGAACTCCATTTCTATGTTTGAGGTATTCACTACTTCATGGGTCTTGATGCGAGATAGAGCCTATCTCCTATTAAGAAAGTAAAACAAGCTGACATACTTGCTTTCTTGGTGCCTCTGTGCCTAAAGGATGCAATCACACGATGTGCACCCAACTACTCTGATATACTTGCCTGGAACCCTGGATCTGGAGCTGGGATACAAAGAAGCATGGAGAACCCACATAGGTTGATATCGGCAGTGATGAGTTGAGGTGTAGTTTCAGGGCAGAAGGGGCAGTGGTGCTAGCGGTGGCTTCCTGTGTGTGATGGATTGATTGCATCAATGGCCTCAATTTGTTACCCCCTGTATCAGGCCTTTTGTTGAGTGGTTTTATAGGACCTCTCACCAAAGAGCATCCATTTCCCCACTCCTTAAACCTAGGCTGTTCTTGTGATTTGCCTTGACTTGTAAAGTGATGGTGACACCAGTTCTGAGCCTAGGCCTCAAGAGGTATTTTTGGGCACTTTTGTGATTGCTTTGCCATCACCATGAGAATAGAACTGTTGGAGAATGAGACGTGTGGAGCAGAGCTAAATTGTCCCAGTTGCCCCACGTGATGCCAGCCTAGAAAATCCAATTGCTCACCAACCTGGAGCCTCCTGAGTGGCCCAGGTAAGAGGTCAGAGCTGCTCACCAGCCTCTAAGGGACCCCAAGCCCATGAGCCACACTTATTGCATGTCACACTGTTTGCTAAACAGCATTATTGTAGAAGTAGCTAACTCATACACTGTGTCCAGTGCTAGACTAGTTGTGTGGCAGGATTTTCAGTAGTTGTGGCTGCCTCCCATCTCTTTCTTTCTGTCCATTTTCAGAGCCTGGACCTCCAGAATTGTTAACAATTATGAAAGTTACTCAGTATCTTTTCAACAAATTCCCTTTGTGCTTACATCAGTCAGAGCCAATTTCTTTTTCCCACACTTAAGAACCCTGTCTAGTACAGTGCAAATATATCGTTAGCTCTTACTATTTTCCCATTTCTACCTATGTCTGAACTGCCACTTATCTTTCTCAACTTGTTTCATGCCTGAATTAAACAGCATCTGACACTCTCTCTTCCCCAAGAAGCCTCTCCTAATTGGGAAGTGCCAATTTCTTTTCATGTCTTCTCTTCTTTGTGTGCCAGCATCCTCTCAGCCTCACTTGTCACTGTCTTCTGCCAAACTCACAGCAGCAGTGAAACGACTGCCATTGTTCTCACAAGCGATTCATCTGTTGGATGTTTACTGGAGGCTCAGTGCTTGTTCATGTCAACATTGCCTATGGAAGAGAGTAAATGTGCAATGGACACAGATGGTGTTGATTTAACTGATTTTTAACAACATGTAGCCATGCACTTGTTTCAGGTGGCTAAATCAGCCTTTTGATGATGATGAGTAGTTCATATGTCGGATGGAGACAGGCGGTTAGTGGCCAAATTTGCAACAAAGAACTGAACCCTGTCTCAGGCTTTTCTCAATAGAATCTAAGAAGTTTTTTGAAACACTGGCCTATTGGCAAGAATGAGGTCAAGTGGCTGAGTGTGCCTCCTGTCTCTGGCCTTGGGCAAATGCCTTAGTTTCCCCAAGGTATAGTTTCCTTATCTCTGAAATGGGGATACAAACCACTACCATCCCTGTTCAGTGGTCAAAATTGTTGTTAACAATTAAAAGCAATATTAGTCATGAATGTGTTTTGTAAACTGTAAATAACTGTACAAACAAGGGAGTAATAACAGCTGCTGACTGTATTAGGTTATCTTGACCCCAGATTCACTGTTTAGGGAGGCCACGAGAGGATGAGGAGCCATTACAAGCCAGGATTCTGGAGCCAGTGTCCAGGTAGTCATTGGGTAATTGTGATAAATATATATTTGTTCTTTGTCCTCAGTTTCCATCACACAGCTCCTAAATCCCTTGGAATTTCCTAGGTGATAAGACAATCTTTTGTCCTAATGAGGTCACTCTTGTTGGGGCCCTAGGCTGTTTCAGGATGGAGGCTGGTTGCCATGATTAGAGGGTTGAAACTATCACCCCCAACCCCTAACCTCCAGGGAGGGGAGAGGGGCTGGAGATTGAGTTAATCACCAGCAGTCAGTGAATTAGTCAATCAGGCCTATGTAATGGAACTCCATAAAAACCCTAACTGATGGGGTTCAGAGAGCTTCCAGGTTGGTGAACACATTGAGGTGCTGGGGAGAGTGACGTGTCTGGAGAGGGCATGGAAGCTCTGTGTCCTTTTGCTTATACCTTACCCTATACAGCTCTTCAATTTGGCTGTCCCTGAGTTGCATCCTTTATAAAAAAAAAAAAAAAAACCGGTAATGGTAAAGTGCCTTCCTGAGTTGTAGGAGCCATTTTAATGAGTTATCAAACCTAAGGAGGGGGGCCTTGGGAATCTCCTATTTACAGCCTTTCAGCAGAAATATGGGAGGCCTGGAACTTCCTATTGGTGTCTAAAGTGGGGGCAGCCTTGCAGGACTGAGGCCTTACCCTCTGGGGTCTTTGCTAACTCTGCGTAGTTAGTGTCAGAATTGAACTGAATTTCAAGATACCCTGTTGGTGTTGGAGAATTGGTTGGTGTGAGGGGAAAAAGCCACACATTTGGTGCCTGAGGGATTGTAAGTAAAAATAGTTTAGAATAAGAAATTCTCAGTCCTGGTCAGGCACCAGTAGCCACAGGCTTGACCATCCCAGGGTAACAGCCAGGGATGAGGAGTCCATCTCATGTCTCGTATCAGGGTGTAGCTCAGGGCAATGCCAGCTGACATGGTTCACAAACGCTTCTTAAGAAGACCAGTTGGGAATGATACCCAAGAGTGAGTCCTCCAAGTGTAGTGTGAGTGTGAGTGTCACAGAAGGCTAAGATAAGACAGGAATTGTTTTTGGCCATGAATAACAGAGGCCTGACGTGTAGTGGCTTAAACAATTATTAAAGGTTTTATTTTTTCACGTGGAGAGAAATCCTAAGGTAAGTAGTTGAGGGCTGATGTGGAAGCTCCATGATCACAGGCTCAGGCTTCTGGAAATCCATCCTGTCCATTCTTAGGTGTCATCCTTTTTCCACAAGAGCTCAAGATAGTAGCTGAGACACCAGCCATCATGTTTGTATCTCAGGCTGGAAGAATGGGAGAGGGTGCTTACTAACTTATTCCCTTTTAAAGAACTTATCAGAAGACACCTTCCAATGACTTCTGCTTCCATCTCATTGGTCAAGGAAGGCTGGGAAATGTGCCCTTCTGGCTGGGCATATTGTCATCCCAAAAGAGGAGTGGGATTCTTTTAGTAAGAAAGAAGGGGAGCTTGGATAATGAAGGGGCACTTTGCTGTCTCTGCCACAAGATTCTTACTGCTGTGACAACCCAATATCATGATTCATAGTCCCCAGAGGGGAAATGAACTTTTGGAAATTATATAGCATTATCAGTTAAGAGTCTGGATTGGGAGACCTGGTTTTATATCTGCCTCCATCACTTACTAGCTGTGCAATGTTGAGATATTTACTCAGCTTAATTGAACCTGAGTCTTTTTTTTGTCTGCGAAATGGAGTTAATAATAATATTTATCTCATGGGGTTCCTGTGCAAATTGAATGGTTCTTCAGGTCTGCTTAGCATGGTACTTGGCACCCAGAAAATGCTTGAGAAAAGTCTCTCTAAGAGCACATGAAATGAGTTATTTAATTGTGAAATGTGAGTCTTGTTTACTCTGCAACAGTAAGAAAAAGACTTTTTAATCAAGAAGGGATATCGCCCTAAATAATTTATTATCTAACGGCTGGCAGCAGAATTTCTAGTAGGAAGGAAACTGTCTTTGTGCTGGAAATTACTATGGTGAGCCTGGTGGGGAACAGGGTAAGTTCTGAGAGTATGGTAATGCGGGAGATGTCAAAGGAGAGCAGTGTGACAGAGAAGAGGAAAGGGCAGGGGCCATCCAATCATAGCCCACTGGCCAAAAGAAATCTGGTTCATCATCTGTTTCAATGGGGCCATGAGCAAAGAATGGTTTTTACATTGTTAAATGGTTGAAAAAATACAAATAGTAATAATATTTCATGATATAAAAAATTATGCAAAATTCAAATTTCAGTGTCCATAAATACAGTTTTGCTGGAACATAGCTGCATTGCCCATTTACATATTATCTCTGGCTGCTTTCATGCTGCCATAGAAGAGTTGAGTAGTTGGGACAGAGCGCATATGGTCTGCAAAGCTTAAAATATTTACTGTCTAGCCCTTTACAGACAGAGTTTGCCAACCTGGAGTAGAGAGAGGTGTGGTTAGGCTGGAGAAGTGTGTGGGGATGCAGCTACCTCCTGGTGGGGAAGATACTGGAGGACACTTAACAATGGACAGGCTGAGGGTTTGTTATGAGCTGAATTGTCTCCCTGCAAATTCATATGTTGAAGCCCTAAGCTCTAGCACCTCCGAATGCAATCATATTTGGAGATAGGGCCTTTAAAATGGTAATTAAGTTAAAATGTGGTTGTTGTGGGCCCTAATCCAATGTGGCTGGTGTCCTTAAAAGAAGAGGAGATTAGGACACAGACACAAACAGAGAGGGAAGACCATGTGAAGACACAGGGAGAAGGTGAAGGAGAGAGGCCAGGCTGAGTGCAGTGGTTCATGCCTGTAATCCTAGTGCTTTGGGAGGCCAGAGTGGAAAGATTGCTTGGGGCCAGGAGTTTGAGACTAGCTTGGGCAGCATAGTGAGACCCTGTTTCTACAAAAATAAATATAAAAAAATTAGCCAAGGATGACTGTGCATGCCTGTAGTCCTAGCTACTCAGGAGGCTCAGGCAGGAGGATCCCTTTAGCCCAGGAGTTTGAGGTTACAGTGAGCTGTGATCGCGCAACTGCACTCCCGCCTAAATGACAAAGTGATACCTCAACTCTTAAAAAAAATAAATAAATAAAGGAGAGAGGCCTCAGAAGAAACCAACCCAGCCAGCACCTTGACCTTGGACTTCTGGCCTCCAGAAGGATGAGAAAATAAATGTCTGTTGTTTAAGCCAACCAGCTTGTGGTATTTTGTTACGACAGCCCTAGAAAACATACACAGGGTTCAACTCAAATCGTTTGGGTCCCTAGAAAACATACACAGAGTTCAACTCAAATCGTTTGGGTATCTGCAATATGATTTATTCCTTCATCTTCCTCCCAGATCTTCAGTCATGTTTATAAGAAGCCACAGTGCCTTGGGTGAGATTTTAAAATTACGGACATTGAGGAAGAGGGTAAGTTACAAGCCTAGGTCAATGTGGTCAAGAACTGTGAGATAATCTATAAGAGGAGGATAGAGTTAACTGTGCTTTTAAACACTTAAAACTCTGGGGTTTTAAGCAAAACTTATCTAGATTTTAAATATCTAATTCACATTTTGGTTACAACAACAAAAGCAAAACAAAACAATTTTGAAAGCCACCTGTGGCAAGATCTACTAGTTTCAAGTTCAAGTTGATTGGGGCTGCACTCTCTCAGTCATTTTTCCCTCCACACCTCTATGGTAGAGTTCTTTCATGCTCAGACATCACATCTAGCCCAGAATCAAGGCTGGTAGCCTGATTGTATGGGAAGTTTTGTTGTAGGAATGGCCAGCTTTCAGAGGGCAGTGGGACACTCATTCCCACTCTTAGAACCCTGTGTTAGGGAGAGATCTTGTCTATGTGGGTCAATTGCCACATAGCCATATTATTTTTTTATTTATTTGCTTTGGCATGGTTCCCTCTTTGCTTTGGCATGGTTCCCCCTTAAAGCAGCAGCTGCAGATTGGGGCCTGAACCCAGACTTGATATCCTACAGTTTACCGACTGCTTTCAATGGCTAATCACTTTGCTGTCCAGTTGTGCAATGCAAGCAGAGACAGAGGTCTCCCTGGTGCCTAGAGGATGTGTGAGGAGGGCATGCAGCACTTTTCACTGTAGGGTTAACATTTCAAACTACTGCCATGGTCTGCCATTAGTGGAAAATAGGAAAGCTGATGGGTAGCCTCTGGCAAGTCCTGGGAAGAAAACTTGCCTCTCATTTCAGGGAAAACCCAACAGATGACCAGGATCCCCCATCAGGTGCTTTCCCTCAGCTGCAGGAGTGCTGTTGGCAGATGGCCTCCAGCTGTCAGTTTCTTCCAGGAATTGCCTTGGCTGATGAGGGCTGCCTCATCCAAGAGTATTCCCCTTTTCAGGGTCTGCACATGCCTGATAACGGATCAACAGGGGGTCTAAAAGCCTGGCTCCTTTGTCCCTACTTGGGACAGCTCTGAAAGGCCATCCCAGATCCAGAACTCTCCACAGAGGTGTATGAGGCTTTCCTTGAGACTGCACTGCAGCCCAGCCTCTCCCTCTGCCCACTTTTGTTTCCCTCCCTTTCCTTCTACAGGCAATGATCCCAAGCACATACCCTGGTAAATGTCCTTTAAGCTCATTGAGCCTCCAAGAGTCTGGTTCCTGGAAAACCTAGCCTGTGAAAAAGTCAATCTATAGATGGAGCACCTGGGTGGAGCATACTGTGGTCCTGCTGCCTCTGGAAACAGGCATTCAGCCCTCAGGCCAGGGCATATTAGCAGAGGAAGCTGGTTTTCAAGTGCTGGATAATGGGGTGAGATTGCCTTAGCTGTGTGTGTGTAAGGAGGAAGAGAAGAAGGAAAAAGAGGAGGAGGAGAGAAAGAAGGAGAAACGAAGAAGGAAGGAGAAGGAGAAGAAGAAAAAGAGAGATGTGGATTGGGGTTTGCTGGATACATGTATGTGATTTTATTTTCTGCTCTAAGAAGGGAGTCATCACCAGATATTTGAAATAAGATACTCATGAAAGAGAACATTTAAATGTCCTGACTCTCCAATAACAATAGGCAGTAGAGCAAGAGAGATGGAATAAATTTTCTTTCTCCAAGAATGTGTAAACCTTTCAGAGTATGTGTTCAAGTGGATCACACTTAAATAAAATAAAATGTAGCATACCCAAACTCACATAATGGAAAAATGAGGGCCATGGTTTCTAATTTTGATTTTAAAAACCCTAACATTCATTAATTCATGTATTTATAAAATATTTATTGAAAATATATAATGTATCAGATATCATGCTAGGTTCTGAAAAACTCTGAAAAGCTCACATTCTAATGAGGGAGTAGGGCCAGGGAGAGCAAGTAAATAATTACAGCAAAAGTCAAAAAGTTTGATAACTGTATTAGTCCATTCTTACACTGCTTTAAAGAACTACTTGAAACTGGGTAATTTATGAAGAAAAGAGGTTTAATTGACTCACAGTTCCACAGCCAGGCTGTAGAGGAAGCATGGCTGGGAGGCCTCAGGAAACTTACATTCATGGTGGAAGGTGAAGGGAGAAGCAAGCATGTCTTACCATGATGGAGCAGGAGAGAGAGTGAAGGAGAGAAGAGCTACACACTTTCAAATGACCAGATCTCATGAGAACTCTAGCAAGAGAACAGCAAAGGGGATGTTCGTCCCCATAATTCAATCACCTCCCACCAGGCTCTTCCTTCAACATGTGTGGATTACAATTTGACATGAGATTTGGGTGGGGACACGGAACCCAACCATATCAATAACATACTGTTGGTGAAGCTGTAGGGAAAACAGTACTGTGTTGATGCTGTTGCTGAGAGTAGAAACTAGTGTAGGAAATTTGGCAATATTAATAAAAATTGCAAATGCACTTACCTCTTGACCCAGAAATTCCACTTCAGGAAATTTATCCCAAGGAAACAATGGTGCCAAATGTCAAAAGTATAAGATTATTCATTGTAGAACTGTATGTAATGAAAAAGATTGGAAGCACCCAAAATATCCCCAAATGTGGTACATCCATACAATGGTATACCATGAATGGTCTAAAATAATGAAGTTCGATGAAGAAAAACATCCAACATATATTAAAGTGCAGGTACAGACCAGCATAAAAACATTTGTGTAAAAAAGAGAGAAGAAAGTAATATATTTTGAACATACAATGTCTCAGAATGAATACTTAAGGAATTGTTAACATTAATTCCATCTTGGGTGGGGACTTAGCTGGCTATAGGATATACTCTTTTTACCTTTCTCATTGCCAATTATGTGAACATATTCATTTTTCAAAAAATACATCAAAGTTTAAACTTTTTATTAAAAAATAATTGCATAAATAAGCAAAGTACTAATGGAGGTATATATAAAATACTATTGTGGTACAAAGTGATTTGTATGTGAATTATGACATTTGGTGGGAAGAATTGAGTCAGACTAGATAACTTTTAATATCCTTAGAATCTGGTGAGCCCATGAAAATAAAGAGTTATTTCAAAATAAAGAGGATGCCTGAATTCCTCTCAAACTCCAAAATTCTGTGATTCAATAACTTAAAGAAATCAAAGCAGGATTGGGAGCAGGGTTTTGTGTGTGTGAGGGGCTTTAAAAGTTAAATGCTAGGTGTGCTTCCAATAATATTCCAATGAACAAGGAAAGACAGTTTATTCATGCATGTCTTTACCATGCAAAGGGAGGCAGCCCTGCATTCATGCAAAGGTGGTTGCAGTTGTAGCTTGCTCACTGGTATTGTTCAGGTTTGTTTTGCTTCTTTAAATCAAATCAAAGCAAGCAAATTTAGTACCAGGAGTGGGAGGTTCTGAATAATTAAAGATTTTGTTTTCTTGATCTATACGTTTATATGAACACACCAGCTATGTTGTTAGCCTCTTGCTGTGGGAAAGATACAGCTTTATAACTTTGGCAATTGTTGAAGAGGTTTGAAGGAAAAAAATTGTTACAAAGATTTATTAGGTGATTTCTCTCAGTTTTTAATAAACTATGGAAGAAATGTTAAGAGCCAAGAAACGGCACTGGGAAAAACAAGCTAAGGCCAGGGACAGAAATAACCCTTGGGAAAGATACTTGCCTGCAGCAAACAGGATGCCACAGTGAACCATCAGCCTGAACTCCTTTTTGAGTCTGGGCCTCCCTCAGTGGTGGTTTCCAAGCTAAGTTTGGGAGGGTTCACCTTGTGAATGATGCGAGAAGGGTTCAACTTGTGAATGATGCGAGATCTGGGGCAGACTTAGTCGCCCCACTGAGCACACTCTGCCTAGCCACATTCACCAGAGCTCATCTGCAGCTGCAGTTCTGGGTACCACAGTCTATTTTGATTTCTTGCACAGGGTTTGATGATATCCATGGGGTCAGATTGGCTAAATATTGTATTCCCAATGGAAAGGCTGACTTTATCCACAATTAACCCTTAATGCTTTTCCATTTTTATTCCCCAGCTTTTCTGGACAGGCTTTGGAGCTCTAGGAAAGTTTAACTCGATTTGTTACCATGTCCCTGGCCACCTCCTGGTTAAGCAGGAATTAAGGGTGCCTGCTGTGTACTTAGGAGAGTTACCAACAAAGGACTCATCCTTCCTTCAGTTAAGTGGAAAGATTCCAGGTTCCCAATTGAGAAGGGCATTTCTTGGAGAGGCCTGGTGGTCCAGCTGTACCCCCTACCCCCACCTGCAGCTCCTAAATTTTTCATAGTGACATTGAATCTGCTACTTGCCAAACTAGATCTTTTACACAATTAAACTATCTCTCCCATACCTCCTTTTTTTTTAAAAAAAAAAATCTTTCTTTTTATTGTGGTAAGATGTACATAACATAAAACTTACTATTTTAATCATTTTTTGAGTATATTGTTCAGTGGTGTTAAGTATATTCATATTGTTGTACAATCATCACCACCAACTGTGTCCAGAACTTTTTCGTCATCCTAAACTGAAACTCTTTACCTATAGGGGTAAAGGGAAAACCTCTCCTTGGCCCTTGGAAGATTCACTGAAAAATTTACTGATAAAGGCAGATTAATAGAAGAAAACACACAGTTATTAACATATACACAGGGGAGAATCACTGAGTGATTACCCAGTATACCAGTGGAGCCCAAATACTTTTATAGCCTTATTGCGGAGAGGAAGGGAGGCAATGGGGAGTGTAAGTAATTCTATCAAAGGACAGTAGATGATTATTAGTGAATGGATACTTGGGAGAATGAATGGATGGAGGAACAGAGATTAACTTGTAAATGGTTTTATTTGGATACTGAATGAGCCTGAGGGATAGACATTATTCTGTGAAAGGGTCTGATCATGTCTGGTTACATTCTTGGTTTTCTTTTTTTTTTTTTTTTTTTTAATTTTTGAGACAGGTTGTCGCTCTGTCACCCAGCCTGGAGTACAGTGGCGTGATCATGGCTCACTGCAGCCTTGACCTCCTGGACTCAAGTGATCCTCCCGCCTCAGCCTCCTGGGTAGTTGGGAACACAGGTGTGTGCCACCACCTAATTTCTCTATTTTTTGTAGAGACTTAGTTTCACTATGTTGCCCAGGCTAGTCTTGAACTCCTGAACTCAAGCAATCCTCCACTTCAGCCTCCCAAAGTGCTGAATGAATGCCTCCCACAGTGCTGAATGAGCCTCCCAAAGTGCTGAATGAATGCATCCCAAAGTGCAGGCATGAACCACTGCACTCAGCCTTGATTTTTTTCTGCAACAGGTACTGAGATAACAGGGAGGGTAAGGAAAAACAATTATTCTTCTTGGTGGGCCCATCCTGTCTTTATGTAGACAGGGGAGAAGTCTCTTGATCTCTAAGGGCTTTTAATTCACAATACTCACTATACTGGGGAGCTATATTTTGAGATGATGTTCCTTTTGCTCTTTCATATCCATTAAAGATTTACTCCCATTCTCCACTTCCCCAGCCCCTGGCAACCATTCTTCTACTTGCTGCCTCTACTAACTGACTACTCCAGGTACCTCACGTGAGTGGAATTATTCAGTGTGGAATTTTTGAGGCAGTTTCCAGAAAATGCCAAACAGCAGAGGTTGAGTGAAACACCAAAGCCAATTTAGGCCACCAATTATTTCTTCCTTCTTGGCTTCCTAACACTGCCTAGACCACCCTGGAGCCTGCTCTTTTGCAGGCTTAATCTGTGATGGCAGATTAAAAAGTGGAATTATTCCTTTTGTGTCTGGCTTATTTCACTTAACATAATGTCCTCAAGGTTCATCCAGGTTGTGGCATGTCCCGCACTCCCTGCTTTGATCTTTACTCTGTTCCCACAGCCTCATCCTCGCCCTCGGGTTCTGCCTTCTCCTCCTCTCACCACTTTGTTCCATGTACTCTCTGTGACCCTCATTCCATGGTAAATAAAATACTTTAACTATGGTAAATAAAATACTTTAACTAGTCCAAAACGTGGCCTCCTTCTATGAGACACAGCCTGGAGCTGGGGCCCAGATCACATTCTTTAAAGGTGGCATCTTCTTAAGAATTGATTCTAAGGTCACGTCTAGACAGGAGTTACGATAAGATTATCAAGAAAGAGGAGAGGAAGCAGTAAAACAATGAGACCAGGCGACACAAGGAAAAGGTAATCAAAGGGCCAGCCACCTCCTGATTTAATTGGAGCCCAGAGCCCTTGGAGCCTGGATCCCCTGCAGCCTCTTCCAGGGAACTGCCCTTTATTTTCCCACCTGCTACACACTGCAGGTTACTTTCCACCTTTGTGGAATTGTCTGTGGTTTCCTGCATAGCAGACAACAGAGCCAGAGCCATGAGGGTGGTGGGGGCTCCACCAATATCAATGCTTTTCTGAGGTCTTTCTGTGAAAACAGCACAAGGGATGGAGAAGCAGCAGATGCCAACTGCATGCTGAGGCTATGTCTGTGTGAAGGGGAAGCATTACAAAACCCTATTAAAAATATTACCTCTTTAATCTCTTAATTTTCTTCCTGCTGATAACGTAAGGGCTGACATACCTGGAAAACCATTGGTGAAAGCTCAGTGGAATTTTTACCAGCCCCTCCATGTTGTTAATCAGGTCCATGCCAATCACCAGGTGGAGTGAGGTTGGCAGGGAGATAACTGTTCCTGTGTAGGTTGAGTGACCCAGTTTTAAAGGGAGAGCTCAGACTTCGTGGTTTTTCTATTATTGCACTTAATATGGTTGCCTATTATTTCTAAGAAAAGGGAGTTGCTGGCAGTCTCCATGTGGAATTTCTCTGGAGGGGCTGTCTGAAGCTTAACTTCAGCCATTCCTTTCATTGGCTACTTCTCAGGTCATTTGTGATGGGCTGAATCAGACATTTAAACACAGATAAGGTCTTTTCATATTTGACTCATCAAAACGGTCTCTTTGTTGGGTGTTTTTTTTTTTTTAGACAGTGTCTTGCTCTGTTGCCGAGGCTGGAGTGCAGTGGCATAATCTCGGCTCACTGCAACCTCTGCCTCCCAGGTTCAAGCAATTCTCCTACCTCAGCTTCTCAAGTAGCTAGGATTACAGGCGC
This sequence comes from Homo sapiens, assembly GCF_000001405.40. Classification (NCBI taxonomy): domain Eukaryota; kingdom Metazoa; phylum Chordata; class Mammalia; order Primates; family Hominidae; genus Homo; species Homo sapiens. Next base: position 31,294,416 of record NC_000003.12, on the reverse strand, counting down.
ATGCCACCACGCCTGGCTAATTTTTGTATTTTTAGGAGAGATGGGTTTTCAGCATGTTGGCCAGGCTGGTCTCAAACTCCTGACCTCAAGTGATCCACCCGCCTCAGCCTCCCAAGGGTGTTGGTTTTTAGGCACATTTTCAGTCTTAGCTACTGAGTAATGGATACTATAATTGAATTTGAAATACTTGAGTTTGATGCCAGTGTTTATAAAGGCTCACATGTTCTGGTATTTTGTTTTGGGTTTTGGTGGGTGGGAGGTTAGTCTCTTTTTTTAACTGCCATCGCAGATTAAGCCTGCAAAAGAACAGGCTCCAGGGTGGTCTAGGCAGGGTTAGGAAGCCAAGAAGGAAGAAATAATTGGTGGTCTAAACTGGATTTGGTGTTTCACTCAACCTCTGCTGTTTGGCGTATTCTGGAAGCTGCCTCAAAAAAAATGAGGTAGCAAAATAACTTGAGTAGAATAATCATTATTGTAGGGTATCCTGAGAAGTCATCTCATTCATCTCCACCCTGCTTGACCTGCTTGGCCACCCTGCTTCTGTGAAAGGAATCAGTCGGACTTCTCTTAGTAGTCTCTTTTCATGCAAAAAGTCCTTGCCATATTATCTGGAATGTTCAGTTTTGCCTCATATAGTTCCCTGATGCTGTAGTGCAAGCCTTTTATTTTTACTGTTTCCATTTGAGGTGGAGAAAAGCTAGTTACCACCCTTATAGTGGATTTACTCAGCCTCTATAAATTTAGAAAATGAATATTGTTGAGTTTTCCTTCATTCTTCTTTTCTCCAGGCTTACTAGAAATTCTGTTTCTTCACTGAAGCCTAGCATCCTTTGCCTACACCTGCCTATAATATCTAATTTATTAACTATAGATTTGAAAGAGGAGGTTTTGTGTTTGCAACATTTTCCAGAGAAGGCATACTTTGTGTTAATGATCCTCTAATTCAGGGACAGAGAGAGGGTTTGGTACTGAAGGAATGGAGGTGGGATGGGTTCAGGGAATATGTCTGAAGGTGGGGCGGGGCAGTGAAGTATTCAAGAGTGCAGGTTCAAAGCTGGACAGCTTGGTTGGAAGTCTAGCTCTGCTGAGTCTAGCTATGTGACCTTGCATAAATCATTTACCTCTTTGTACCTCAGTTTCTTTTTTAAAAAGCTTTGTTGAGTTTTTGTGGGGAGTATATGAGATTATGCAAATGGATTAACACAGCACCTGGGATATTGCACACTGAATAAATGTTGTCTATCATTATCATCATCATCATCATCATTGTTGTCCTCATCATTATCATTATCACTCATTGGCTAGACTGTGAGCTGCTTCAGGACAGGGAACTGTGATTTACCTGGAATGTAGGAGGTGCTTAGCAACTGTTTGCTGAATGAATGAGCAAATGTTGCTTAGTGTTAGTCTTCCCTTTCAGCCTTTTCTTTTAGGACTGATTTATTTTGAGGTTTCCCTTTGTTTTCCTCCCTCGCTCTTAAAGACAAAATAATAAGTGTAATTTTGGAAAGAAAGGAATATAAAAGACTCATCCATGATCTCACCAAGTTAGTTACTCATCCTTCTTAGTTTATTTCTAGTTGGTTCTTCTTATGGTAGATTACAATTCAAAAATACTTACTTCCTCACCTCCACTTCCATGGGAGAAGTATACTTCCCTGCTCAGTTGGTGTTGGGCTTTACCATGTGACTTGCTTTGGCCTCAGACGGGGGTACTTTCTCATACCTTGACTCTAGACTCAGCCACATCATTTGCTTTGGCTAATGGGATGTTAGTAGACATAAGTAGGGGCTTGAAGTTCATTTGTGCGGTTGGATTTGCCCTCTTGAACCACTGCCATTGCTATGAGAAGAGCTTACCCTAGCTGGGTACTGCCCATTCATTCTGGGCTCCAGAATGAATATGTAAGGAATGGACCTGAGTCCAACCTGCATGAAGGAGATAAGCCCAGCTGGACTTCAGCTTAAAGCAAAAATGCCCGGCCAAGCCCCATCCATATTTGTAGATCCATGGCTGAGTAGCAGACATATGAGAAATAAGTGCATATTGTTTGTTATGCAGCAATAATGGATTGACCCACTTATCAAAGCATACAATTAATTTGCACATAGATATAACCAAAACATAATACTATTTCATATTTTACTTTAAATTCACTATGCATTGAATCATGGCTGGGTTTTTCTATGTTGCTGCACAGTTTTAAAATTTTCAACTAGCACCACAAAACTTTATCAAATTAATCTAGAAAATAATAATGTAGTAATATTGACTCTGATGTATTGAGGAGATAGTATGTGTCAGGTATTATGCTTTGTATACAATGAATCCTTTCAACAATCCTATGAGGTAAGCCTAACTCATCATTCCATATTCTCAAAGTCAGAGGTGATGTGGCATACGTTTAAGAATGTGGACTCTGGAGCCAAAGTGTCTGGATTTGAACATTAGCTCTGCGGCTCTTAGCTGTGTGACCTTGGAAAACCCACTTTACCTGTTTTGTCCAGTTTCTTTACCTGTAAAAGTGATAATAATAGCACCTACCTTATACGGTTGCAGTTTTTAACTTTAAATGAGTTAATAGACATAAACATTTAGACCAGTGCCTGCTCTATCTAATCTGTGTTGGTAATTATTATGAATGAGGAAAGTGAATTTCAGAGGCTAAACGGCTTGCTCAAAGTCATACAATTGGTAGATTATAGTATTTGTATTGTTTTCATGTTTTTCCCCTGACAATTATAGAATAAAAATGCAAAGAAAAATAAGTTGCCCTGGCAAATATTGGTAGTGAACTTTTAAGCACCATCTGGAGAAGCAGGGCCTCTTGATTAGTGGACTTTGGGTATTAAGGGTCCAGGAGCAAGTCCAGTTTTAGGCAGAGAGGGAAATTGAGTTTCAGAGAGTTTGAACACTTTGCCCTAGGTCACATGGATGATTAGTGGTAGAAAAAGAAAACTTTAGTTTCTCTGACTGCAAACTTGGGGACTTTTTAGGGCATCAGATTGTTTCTTTAAAAACAGTCAGTAATTGCTTATTTAAAAATAAAGGGAGTGGTCTCTTGAAGATTAATTTTTGTTATATAGCAAGGTAACCCACTTAACATTTAGCAAGGATTTTGTTTTTTACTTCTTTAGCAAGAAACATTAAGCTATTTCCTTGCTTGTGTTTTGAGCATATAAGTTGAGGTAGAGGAATGATTTCTGCCTTATCATGAGTTAAGATCCTTTTTTTCCCCAGACTGACTCTTGGAGAGTCTGGTCTCTCCTTAGGTGTCAGCATTCTCGATTGTTTAGAAAGCAGAAAGCCAGTAACTGTTCATATTTCAGGGTCAAAGAGGCAAAGCTGCCTGTGGCATTCTTTGTTTTCAGGGTCTGAATCCTTCAATTACTCCCCAGGTGTCCTTATTGAGCAGAAAAGGAATGGAGTAAATCTTTTGTACTTCTGTGCTGAAATGGAGATGATGAATTCCAGGTGTGTGGCTACGAATGCTTGGGGGAAGAAAATGGAATAAATAATGATTCTGGTCAACAAGTGATGAGCTCCTGAACTCATTTCTGATTTGGTTCCCCTGGCTGAAGCCATGGAAGAAATGGCTTTCTATAGGAGTGGAGGGGCTGAGGACTTGGACAACAAGCCAAGGGCAGCTGGTGCTGGGGTGGCGGTGGAGAGAGTGGAGGCATCGTTCTCCACAGGATGGTGGCTGCTGTACTTGGAGCTGGACCATACCTGGGCTGGGCTTCACCACCAATAGCCAGCAGTGTCTTGTTCTGACTCAGAAAACACTACTCCAAATCATGGGCTCAGAAGCAACCTCAGAAGCAAAAGTTTTCCTCTGACTTTCTCCTGTCTCTCAGTCCCATTCTCCCCTGAGGCTGCCATAGAAACTAGAATCCCTCTTCCCCAACGTGGGTCATAGAAGCCAGAACCCCTTTACTCCAAGTCCAGCCGTAAAATCTAAAAATATCACTCTAACTTTCCCTTTGCCTTTCTGTGTAAAAACTGGCCATAAAAAAAAATGATCTGACCTGTCTTGTTTGACTGTAGGCCATAAGACCTCCATTCTAGAAGGTCCTGCCCCATACCCAGATTGGAACAAAACAAAACAAAACAAAACAAAACAAAACAAAACAAAACAAAACCCACATGCTCAGAGAGGCCAAGAAGAATCTAGACAGACAGGCCTTGCTAGGTTTCCTTCTCGGGTTCTTAGCATTAGATCACACCCTTTTTGTCCAGTCATATTTCGACACGGCTGTCCATATTTCGTTAAACCTCAGTGTAAAAATGGACCATTTCTTCTGTATCTTTGGGTCTTCATTCTGAAGGCTCCTGTGTCACGTGAAACTATCATCAAATACATTTGTATGCCTTTTCTCCTATTAATCTTCCTCTTTTCAGCAAATCTTCAAAGGGAGAAGGAGAAGTTTTCCTTTGGTCTTTACAGTCTGTTGGTCCTGAAACACCAAAAGCCCACTGTGAGAAGCAGAGACAGCAGAGGCAGGAGTTGGCAGGGAAGACTCCAGTGCTCTCGGTGTCAGTGGGGGAGGTGGGCTGACCCTTTTCTTCTAAGGTTTGTGACCTCAAGGCTCATGTTTTGTAGAGTTCACAGAGAGGCAGTTTCCCAAGAGGGATGATAACATGCTTCATTTCCTGTATGGTAGTAGGGGTAGGCAGGGGGCCTGGCGACGAGGGCTTGGGCCTCTTCTAATTTGACGTGAAGACATTAAAGAGATGGGAACATATTTGTGTTGGAGTGTTAAGAAGCTCTCCAAACCAGTTACAGTCATAACTCTTAGGAAGGAGCTGTTTAGAGAAAATGTTAGCCATGTCCCTGGTTTTCAAATGGAAAGAATCAAGTGTGCACTCTTCTGATTGACCCATGGGATTCCTGCAAGGCCTCCAGAAGAACAATGGCTGGAGCAAAGGGTATAATATTTTAAGGGAAAATTGCTTTTATTCAGGCAAAACTACCAAATTTTGTTCATATTACAAAATAGAAAAAAAAAATCTTGCAGATATTTAATGACATGGAAAATCGTTCTCAACGTAGTGGCAAATGAAAAAAGCAAGTTTATTACTAGGATGTTCAGTGTGATCTCCTTTTGCAACCCTAAACAGATAGATCTCTGCAGAGAAAAAAGTCTAGAAAGATGTATTCCAACATGCTGGCACGTGCTTACTCTTTGTTTGTTGTAATAAAGGGCACTTTTTATTTTTCCATTCTGCCTCTCTGTGCTGTTTGAATATTTTTATGACAAACATGTATTGCTTTTATAGTAAGAAAAATGTGCAACATAGGTTTTTATTTTTAAAAACGGGAAGCAAATCTAAACAACAACAAAAAGCCCTGCTGCCTTTGTGTTCAGGATGGTAGAAGATAGTAAGGCCCTTTCATCTAATGGGAGTGTAGATGTCAGGGCTGGAGGATAATGACTCAGAGCCGGTGGAAATGCGGCCGGTGGAACAAGTTTCAAACAGGAAAGTGCTTGTGGGGTGACCTCTGGGGTCAGCCACAGAGCTTACTGCAGATTCCACCAAAAAAGTAAGAAGATCCAAAAGGGCAAGGCGTAGGGTCTGTCGGGCGGGTGTGTCCCAGTTTAAACAAAGCTGCTTTGATGTGCTTCCCAGCGGGCAGGCACAGGAATGCAAGGCCCTGCTCTGTCTTGCAGCCAAGAGGGAGTTATAAACATCCATCTGCAAGGGAAGATCCATCAGCTCCTATCAACCACACAGGAAAGATTTACAGGTAATGTTTTCCTCCCATACAGAAGTGTGATTAAGCAAATTCTTGGAAGGGTTTGTTGTTGTTGTTTTTGTTCTTTCCTCTTTCCTACACTGTAAATAGAGATGCTTTTTCTCTCATGCCTCGTGATGTTTATAATGACTTTTATAGACACGTACTGATGTTCAGTGCTTACGGTGTGCTTTCCTCACATCTGTCAGGAGAACCAGGCGTGTAGAATATGTAATCCCCCATTCTGAGATAAGCAGGGACAGTTTAGGCCTTAGGGGTCTGGTCTGTGCTGGAGATCGGCTGGCCCAGGGCTCCACCTAGCCCGTCCCCAAGTCGGGGTTGACTATGTGGTGAGGAAGAGAACACACCATGACCGCCATACTTTGGAGCAATGAACTAAGGGAATGCCTTGGGAGGGAATGGGGGTCTGTTTTACCGCCAATTCTCTTTAAAAGCCTTTTTTATTTAGATAGCTGTAATAGGATGCCAAGAGCTTGAGCTGGAGAGGGACAGTTCTGCCATAGACTGGTGGTGTGATCTTAAAAAATTTAGTTAATTTTTCTGAGACTTAACTTTTGACACCTGTAAAACAGATTACCTTCTTGTGTCTGGAGGCTGTACCAAAGTATGTAAAAATAAGGCAGCTAGGAGCCACCTACTCTGGCATTCCAGAGTGGAGGGCTAGCCATGCTACCTAAGCAGGACCTGCAAAGGAGGTGCAAACCCTGTCTGAGAACCACCCAAGAGACAGTGCCTAGAAATATGTGTCCTTCCTTCAGAACCTCAACTGCAGAAACCCAAAGGGGAGAGACTAACACTGGTTCACTCTCTAAGGGAATGAATCAGCTCTGTCTTCTGCTTATTCAGGACACATGGGAGAGGGAACCAAATTAAAGGTTACCTGGGAAGAGGGCTGGTGGGAAGAGAGAGTCTGCGTGGAGTGGCCTGCTGGAAGCCAGGGGAACCGTAGGAGGCTGGGAGGAGGTGACACTGTCCTTATTAAGGAAAAAAACAGGTAAAAAAATCCCAGTGATGGTCTGGGGTAGGGGTAGTGGTGTCTCTGAAGAATCCATGAACTTACCTACGAGAAAAATCATCTTAAATAGCTGCCATGGAGTAGAAACTGAGGCCCCTATAATGTCAGGGCCTCTCAGGTAACATTTTTCCTGCACCTGACCTCTCCTTGCTCTCCCTGCCATACCACACCTGGAGGAGCAGGGGGTCCCCCCCGGGAGTGGGGGAGGAGGTTAGAAGAGCTAGACCAGGAAGACAGAGACAAAGCCACCCACAGCCCCCACACACTGCAGCAGGCCTGGAAGGAGGAGAGGAACTGGAGTTTTAGGTGACATTTGGAGTTTTTTTTATTATAGGGGAGTCAACACAAAATGGAAGTTAGCCTGTTTTGTGATTGTAATCAGAGAATTTTTTATTATGTGAAAATAAAGAGGAAGTAATCAGATAATTTTTTATTATGTGAAAATAAATATTTGCACAAATATCCAGGGGTTCACCCAAGTTTACCCCAAGGTACAGGATGAATCAGACCCTTGGAGTAGTTTGAATGTGCAGGGTTGAGGAAAAGAATACAGCTATTTTCTAATTGCCCATTTTATTAGTCAGGGTTCTCCAGAGAAACAGAACCAATAGGATGTATGTGTGTGTGTGTGTGTGTATTTATGTGTCTGTCTGTCTGTCTGTCTGTCTATCTATCTCTCTCTCTCTCTCTCTCTCTCTCTCTCTCTCTCTCTATGAATGACGGAGTGTAAGGAATTGGCTCACCTGATTATAGACTGGCAACTCCAAAAGATCCAGGGTAGACTAGCAGGCTGGAGACTCAGAAAAGAGCTGAAGTTGCCATTCAAGTCCAAAGGCAATCTACTGGCAGAATTTCTTCCTGCCCTGGGAATGTCGTTTTCTTGTTCTGTTCAAGCCTTCAGCTGATTTGATGAGACCCACCCACATTATGGAGGGCAGTCTGCTTTACTCAAAGTCCACTGATTTAAATGTTAATCTCATGCAAAAACACAGTCACAGTAACATCTAAAATAACATTTGACCAAATTTCTGGGCATCGTGGCCTATCCAAGTTGACACATAAAATTAACTATCACATCCATGATTAGTCCTACGCATTCCTGTTATCTCCTTAGTCTATATTTATAGAAGTGAAATCCCATAAGATATATTTCTAGTGTAAAAAGGTCATGTGAAATTATAAGGTTTTTTAATATATTGACAAATTACCTTTCACAAAGTTGTATTTTGAAAACAATTTTAAATTTTACTGTATTGTATGAGTATAGTATGAGTACAATATATATTGTTTGAGTACTGTATGGAATTATAATTCCATAGTTCTCCAAACCCACATGAACCATTGATAGTATCTATGACTGTTAGGTGTTATCTTTAAAAAATTGTTAATGTGATGGACAACGATAGTGTCTTCTTGCTTGAATTTGCATTTGCAATTTTAATTATTGTGAAATTTAACATATATTAACATGTTTATTGACCACTTATGTTTCTCCCTTGGCTCTTGGCCTCTTCATGGTTTGCCAATTTTTCCATTAGCCTCTTTCAGACCAGTTAAATTTAAATATGTACTTTAACCTTTGCCAGTCTTCAAAAGAAGAGGCAAAATTCCAAACCACACCGACTTACAGCTCAGTGAAAGGACAACCTGTGAGCTTTGCATTTGCTTTTCCCACACTGAATCAGAACCTCTGAGCATTTCTCTCCCTTTCAGGTTTAACAAAGAATAGTAAGTATGAGAAATAAACAATCCAGGATGGAAAACTCTTGAGAAAAAAGCAAAACCCATGGCAGAAAAATACTACCATTGCCCCTAGCTCTTCAATACAGAGAAATGAGCTGCCTGTGGGATGGATCATCTTATTGCAATGTGGCCTTAGGAGCAGAACGGGGGCAGATGGCCATTCTGCGGACAGGGCAGGACCCCAGAGACAATTGTGCTTGCCTTTGAAGGTGAATTATTTCTATCATTCCAAGGCATCAAGAAACAATTCCAGCATTGTCAGCAGCATTTTCAGGTCTTGGCCCAACATTTTTAGGGAAAGGTCTTAAATTATTTTCTCATCAAATCAAACTCAACTGCAAAACTCAACAGAAGATTAAAAAAAAAAACTGGCTACAGAGCATTTCAGAAAAGACTCAGGGTTTGGGGAACATTGTAGAACAAAATGTTTGTCTCTCCCACCATTTCTTACCTTCAGAGAATTTCTGGGGCTTTTGTATGGAAAGCTGGGAGACAAAGAGGTGTTTCTCTGTCCCCCCTTGGGACAGTAAATGCAATGTGTGTATTTGGGAAAACTACAATATGGTCCTTATTTTACCTTGCTTTTCCCAAAGTCTAAGGCAGCTCTTTGAATTATTGGAAGTTTCAAATCAAAGTCCTCTTAACCCAATAGAGTGACAACTTAGGTGGTCACTAGTCTCATGACCAACTCAGAATTCTCCAGTAAGCTAAGGTTGGAAAAAAAAAAAAAAAAAGTCCAGAATCTTTGAAGTTTTGGACCTTGGCTATTTTAGAAGGTTTTTAGAGCCCATTTTTAAGGGCTTTGATTCCAGAAAATAATCAGCAGCAATGGGAAACACTGCAGGAAAGCCTGGGGATGTTGAATGATGTCCATGGGCCATTAACCAGGAAGAATTCTTGGAAAACTGCAGCCAGCATCTTGTACTAGTTCCCATTTTCCTGGTTGACTCCCTGGTGGGTGCTTGGAATAAATAAAATCGAAATTTGGCCTTCCTGGAGATAGGGAAAGGAGAGTACTAGTCATAGAATGGAGGAGGGAATGTGGTATTTCTATACTTTCTCAGCAGCCATGACTACTTCATTGCTTCCAGAGTCACACTCTAATAATTGGGCTAAAATGTTTGATGAATGTTTTAGCTCAGGCTGCCATAATTAATACAACTGGCTGTGCAGACTGAAAAAACAGAATTTATTTTTCTCACAGTTCTGGAGGTTAGAAATCTGAGATCAGGGAGCCAGCATGGTCAGGTTCTGCTGAGGGCTCTTTTCCTGGCTTGCAGATGGCTGCCTTCTTGGTGTGTCCTCACATGGTGAAGAAAGAAAGAGAGAAATCTTCCTACAAGGGTGCTAATCCCATTATGAGGGCCCCACTCTGGTGACCTTACCTAAACCTAATTACCTCCCAAGGGCCCCATTTTGAATACCATCACACTGGAGGGCAGGGCTTCAACGCATGAATTTTAGGGTGACATGATTCGGTCCATAGCAGTGAACTTGATGAAAATAGTGTTGAGGATCTGATGCAGTTCTCCATTGCCCCTCCTCTTGTCTCTTCCATGTTTCCCATGGTTTCTTTGCTCTTCTGTGTGTAATGTTAAGTTCTGATGCATAGGCACTGTCTGGTACCTTGCCAGGCAAGTTAAGGAGCTGGGACTATTGTTATAGGACTTGCTGCCTTCTTCATAATGAAAGTGATGCTGGCTACATCTCTGAAACTTGTTGGTATTTCTGTAGCAGTCCTCATGCCCCACCATAGTAAACTAGGCTGTATACTCTGGTAAGCAGGAAATAGCAACCAGAAATTTGTCCTCCAGACCATTTGGGAACAGCTAGACTGAGAGTGGGCAATTTTTTTTTTTTTTTTTTTGTAAATGACCAAGTAGTAAATATTCAGGATTTTGTGGATAACATGGTCTCTGTCATAACTGCTCAACTCTGCCATTGTACCAGGAAAGTAGTCATAGACAACATGTAGATTAATGAGTGTGGCTGTTTTCCAATAAAACATTTACAAAAAACAGCAGGCCAATTTGACCAATGGATAATAGTCTGCTGGCCCTTGAATTACCCCTTTTACTCTGTTTCTTGCTTACATTTTTTTCCTTCTCTATTCTAGCATTGATCTTTCAGATACCTATCGATCACCTTCATTTCCTTTGTTTTCATAACCAGTTTCTTTGATTCTGCCTTTAGAACTTATACCCATCCTTCAAAACTTTCTGCCAATAATGAGTTTGTGTAGTTCCTTATCTAAGGTGTGACCTGTACAACCTGAATCTGGTTGGGACAGTGAGTTGGCCTCTATATGCGTGAAGCAAAAGCCAATCAGACAGAATGAGATGATGACTGAATGTTTTCTCCTCTGTTTGGACTGTTTTAGGAATATGGATGCCCTTTACAGCACATTACATCCCTAGAAGGAATCAGGAGCCCGTAGATTAGTGGCCATCAGTCTAATCCTGGTTGCCAGGCACCTGCAGCTATGGTAATTCACCAGACATCTTGATTTATATATTGAGTGCATGAATTTCTTTGGGTAGGAAGAACGTGGCACATTGCTAACAAGCTGAAGATTGACTTACCTACTGAACAAAAATCAACTATGGCTTAAAACATTTTCAACCCTAGAAGGACAGCTTTCCTTCACACATCAGCCCTCCTTGCAGGGTAATGTTGAATGGCGAGCAGCCTTTGTTACACTTTTGTAATGAATCTTCATTTCTGGAGCCTCCTCCATTGCTGCCTCTTATGTCCATGCCACTGTGGCCATTTGTGCCTGGATTCTGGCCCCTGCTCCCACTCTTTTCAAGGCCACAATGTCCAATCTCAATCCATCAGGCAGTGCAATCCTTTAAAAAAAAAAATCAGATTGCTTTGTACCTTTGCTCAAAACCCTGCAGTGGCTCCCCAGAGTAAAAGCCAAAGTGCTTACGATTACTATAAGGCCCCAAATGATCTGATTCCTTATTCTACCCCATTACTCTTCTAACATCTTCCATAACTCTCCCTGCTGCTGGCTCCACCTAGCTACCCTCTTCTCGCCTTTATTTGAATGCTGTAATCCAGTTTCCCATGATGCACCATTTGTCTTTTGCTACTTTCAGCTCTCTGCTCAAACATGTCCTTGTTAGTGAAGCTTTCTTGACTTCTTTATTTAAAGTAATGTCCCCACTCCCACACCACCCTGGAACTCCCTAATTCCCTTGCTGTAATTTACTTTTTTCCAGGGCACTTATACTGACCTACTGTATTTACTTATTTTCCTGTGTATTCTTTCTTCCCCACGTGAATGTAAAACTCCATGAGGGCAGGAACGTAGTCTACTTGATTCATTGTTTTATCCCCAGTGCTTAGAATGGTATTTGATACATAGGGCCTTCTTCAGATATATCTATTTGTGTGCATATTTTAGTGAATCAATGCTTGAATGAGTGAATACATGAATATGACTTGTGAATTTTCTCTATGTCCTAAAAGGTCTTCCCTTGACACATGCATGGAGGTGCCCATTTCTGAGATAGATATTAAGTAATTAAGACCATATAAAACCATTAGAGTCATCAGCTCTGGTGAGGAAGGTAGAATAAATGATGTTCTGCCTAAATGGGAACTAGTCTTGTTTCTAGACTGTAAATGCTTCCAAAATCAGGAATAAAATTCTTTTGTATTTTGTGTACTCACACAGGGTATCACATTTTACCTTATTTCTTTGCTCATAGAAATGGGAAACATGCTTATTAAATAATAATAGGAATGATGAATAGATTAGCCTTTCCCAAAGTGTGTTTCATGGAGCATTAAGTCTAGGGAATTGTTCTATGGAAGAAGGAGACTTTTAACATATCAGTTTGGGATAGCCTTAAATTATGATAGCTAATAATTATAAAAGCTAACATTGATTAATTGTTACTATGTACCAACTTCTGTGCCATATACTTTACAAATTTATCTCTTTAGTCCTGTTCATCTCTCTGATTCATACCACACATTAGCATATAGAAGGCTCTGAGAAGTCCTGTAGTAATTAAATCTTTCAAATTTCCTTTAGCCCAGCATTTCCCACACTTATTTGCTTATAGAAACACTTACTCTTCACCACCCCAAGGATACTTATTAACACCTCTTGGATCTATTGTTCTGCAAAACACAAATTGGAAAATGCTGCTCTAGATAAGGGAATTAAATAGAAGAGCAGAATTATGGCAAAACAGATTATTGCAAGGAACTAAATAAGCATTGACCTTTGGGGTCTTTTAAATTAAGACAGCTATCTGCTGAACACCAAGTGATAAGAAGTGATAGCATCTTCTTAGGCCCAGTGGTGTAATCTCCCTTTAATTGTCTGAGAAAATAAAATTGTATTTCTAAGGATCAATACCTACCTAAGAAAAATTTTTTCATGCTCCTGGAATAGATACTATGGTTTTACTCATCTAAATCCTGTCCATTTACAAAATGTTGGTTTGGGTAACCAGGAAAGTGTTCTTAACACTTTCACCTTCAATAAAAATTTTGTCATTTTAGAATGAAAAACTGCATAATTACAAAGTAACAAAGTTGAAGATGTGTTTGTGTGAAAGTGTGTATGAGTGTGTGTGTGTGTGTGTGTGTGTGTGTGTGTTGTTAGAGCTTTTTCTGGCCATGGAATATGGTCTTATATTTTGTGTTACTGGATGGGACCCAAAAGGACTCCTTGTCCAGCTCTATAGCCAATGGGTGCTTGTACTGAAGACGTTGGTGTCTACGGAAAGTGGAGTAAGGTGGGCCTCCCTCTTATTCAAAGAAGTAGAAGTATTTTCTTTGAGTCAAATGGTGGCGATGAGTAGGGGAGTGGGAATGGAGCTGAAAAAGAAAAGAAATTTTTCTCCAAGAGATGAAAAGCCCCTGAGATTGGGATGGGTCTTCCAATTGCGTCACTCAGAAAAGACAGTCTTATGTCTGGCCAAGCCTGCGTTTCTGTGTAAAACTATTCTTCCCAAACTAAGTTTCCCTTAATGGATTTTTACACCAAGACTTAGTGATTTTTGCCATGATGATTCTCACAGTGATAATATGTTATTTGAGTTTCCTTGAGAAATCACTTGCTTTCTTGTTATGACTGGGACGTGAAACATTCAAAGGCAGCGAAGAAAAAAATGTGAGGAGTAGGAACAAATTATGAATCTAACATCATTTACCTCTTCCAACAAGCCCGTGGAGTGGGACAATGATTCTGTGCTTCTGTTTCTTCAAATATTCCTGTCCTTAGTTTAGAAAGAAAATGAAGTGACTTACAGATCAGCAGAGAAAAGTCTGAGCAGAAATATCAAGTCTGACACCATGGAGACCTTATTCGTCGTTGTATGTGACATAGCAAAGAGCAGCTGTAGGGGTGGGGCTTGTGCTTCATGGGGAATCAGGGGATGTTGAGACAGGAAATAAGGGGACGAATAAATGTCTAATTATTCAGGACATGTGCTTTTATTTCTGAGAAACTTGTGTCTTACTCAAAAGCGTTTGAGATGGGAGTGAAAAAAAGGGTATAAAATGGGAAACATTTATATTGAGCCTACTGAGTGCTAATCGTCATCCCAAATGCTGTATGTATTTTAATTAATTCAATCCTCTTAATGACCACATGGGCAGGTTTTGTTGTTATCCTTATTTTACGTATAAGGAAATCACAACATAGATAACTGATGACTTGCCCAATGTCGCAGAGTTGGAAAGTGGTAGGGCCAGGATTGGAACCCACATGGGCAGACCCTTGAGTCTATGCTCTTCATGCCTCTGCTATGCTGCCTCAAATAACAGGGCTAAGGGCTAGGCTTGGAAGCCAGACCAGCTCTTCGTGCACTTAACCTCCTTGAGCCTAAGTTTTCTCATCTGTAAAATGAGAACATTAATTATTCCTATCTCATAGGGCCATTGTGGTTATTTAATGAAATAACATGTCAAAAATGCTTAGTAGTCTGGCACCCAGAAAGCCACTAATAAACATAAGGAGCTTAAAAATGGTAAGCCCAAGAAGATAATCTGAACCATGTTTATCTAGAACTGTGAAAGGGGAAAGGACCTAGTATCTAGAGCAGCCCTGTCCAATAGAACTTGCTGCAATGCTAGTAATGTTCTACATCTGCACTGTCTAATGTGGTAACCTGATGTATAGGTAGACACCTGAGGTATATACGAGACATTTTAAATGTGGTTAGTGCCACTGAATAATTGATTTTTAATTTTTTTAAATTGTCATTAGTTTATATTTAAATAGCCAAAAAAGTGAGGCCATGTGCAGTGGCTCACGCCTGTAATCCCAGCACCTCAGGAGGCCGAGGTGGGCAGATCACGAGGTGAGGTGGGCGGATCATGAGGTCAGGAGTTCGAGACCAGCCTAGCCAACATGGTGAAACCCTGTCTCTATTAAAAATATGAAAATTAGTGGGGTGTTGTGATGGGTGCCTATAATCCCAGCTACTCCAGAGGCTGAAGCAGGAGAATCACCTGAACCTGGGAGGTGGAGGTTGCAGTGAGCCAAGAAAGCACCACTGTACTCCAGCCTGGGTGACAGAGCAAGACTCCGTCTCAAAAAAAAAAAAAACATAAAATAAATAAATAAATAAATACATAGCCAAAAAATGGTTTCCTGGAATTAGGGAGTTAGAGGGGTTGCGGGTGGAGGGGTGAGGGGTAGAAAGGTTGGGGGTTGGGGCAGAGAAGGACAGAGATTACCAAGGGGCATGAGGAAACTTCTGGGTGTGGAGGATGTTCATTCTCCTGATTGTGGTAATAGTTTCATAGGCGTATGTGTGGGTTAAAATGTATCAAATAGTCCGCTTTATGAGCAGCTTGTTATACTTCATTCTTACCTCCATAAAGCTGTGAACAAAGTAGACTCTAGGGTAAATCCAGCTTATACACAGTTTCCTACAGTGGTTTTCAAACTGAGTTTTGAGGGAAACCTTGGTGTTCTCAGGGCTTCTGGGACTGGTGTCCGAGGGAAGTGTTCGGGGGAAGCAGGCTGGCTGAGCTCAGCCTCCAACTCTGCTTCTACCAGAGGAGATGTTCTCTGGCCTATACCATTCTCGAGCTTTCAGGTCACTGGTGAAGCCACTCAGGGTCCACCGGTGGAGTAGGCTTCAGAGGCTGGGACTAAGCTGTGGGGAAGTTACATCTGGAAGGAAGGACGGGGAGGGCCTGGGAAGGGCCTGATGGGGGTGAGTCACTCTACAACCTGCCTGGGAACCCAAGGTAAGCATCAGGTCCTGCTGCAGATCAGCTTCTCCAGGGAAAAGCAGGTACCCCTGGGGAGGGAGACTCTGCACACAGGGCTCCCACATCCCCTGAGGTGAGGCATTAAAAGGACTAGGACTTGGGATGGGAGCTGTAGTAGGAGTCTGTGTGGTGTAGGGAAGAGGTTCTTGTGATGCATTCAAGGAGTTTGTAAATATGCAGAATCCCAAGCCCCTTCCTCTGGGACTCTGATTCAGATGTTCTGGGGGAAGGACCTGGGGATCCCCTAAGAAAGTCCAAGGACCAGGCCAGGAAAAAGCTAGTGGAGTGGGCAGAGCACTGGTTGTGGACTCAGAGTGTTCTGGCTCCAACTCTCAGCTCCCCTGACCATGTGAGCTTAGGCAAGTTACTTAATCTATCAGAGCCATGGGATCTTCATCTTCAATAGCTCCCTGTGGCTTGGATAATGTTATGGGCTGAACTGTGTCTCACATCAAACTCATGTGTTGAAGCCCTAAACTCCAGTACCTCAGAATGTAACCATATTTGGAGATAAGGTCTTTAAAGAGGTAACTAAACAGAAATAAGGTTGTTGGCAGTAGGTTCCAATCCAATATGACTGGCTTCCTTATAATAGGAGATTAGGGCATAGACAGGCATAGAAGGAAGACCATGTGAAGACACAGGGAGAAGATGGTTATCTACAGGCAAGGAGAGGGGCCTCAGAAAAAACCAAACCTGTGGACAACTTGATCTTGGACTTCTAGGTTCCAGAACCGTGAGAATATAAATTCCTGTTGTCTAAGATGCCCAGACTGTGGTGTTTTTTTATGGCAACCCTAGCAGATTAATACAAATAGGAAGTACAGCATGCAGTGCCTGGCATGCAGTGAAGCCCAGTAAATGGGAGCTATCTTTGTTACTAACACTAATCGCCCAACAGAAATATCCAGGAATCTCCAAATAGCTGGCACTGGAGCCAAGAGGAAATAGTGATGATGTTCATGTCTGGCTCAGGGCTGCTTTCCTGTGGTAGTTGTTTGCTGACCTTGCCCTGGAGGCTGGAGGGTCTCTGTGCCCAAGAAGACTGGGGCAGCACTGTGGTGTCAGCCTGCCATTTCCTGGGTTGCAGGAAGAAAGGTATTCCTTTAGTCCTGGCAAGGTGTTGGCATTGACACAAACCTGTCAGGCAGTTATGGTATTGTGGAAAGCCAGCATCCAGTGGAGTGGAGAATAGATGTGAATAACTCTAATAAAATAGAAAAATGCTAGCAAGGAGTCTGGGCATTGAATTTTCATAGGCATGCTGAGCTTTTGGGGGAATTGAAGTAAGAAATCAGCAGAAGCCACAAGGAGGAAATGGGTTGCATTTGCCTACGTTGAAATGATTTGGGGAGGTGTTTGATGAGCATTTTGCAAAGCTTTTTTCCCTTTTCCTACTCAGCCAGGAGTTTCTTCCTCTGGATTCCCACAGTGCCTACCTACCTTCTGAGACTTAGTTCATCATTTCAGTTTACTTGCTTGCTATATCTCCCATTGAATCCACGGACTTGATGAGAACAGGGATTTTGCAATATTTATCTCAGTTTCCCAGATGGGCATTGAATAGATGGTGGTTTGAGTTTCTGAATGTAGTACTCACATTTTCTACTATAATGTATTCACTCTGACCCAGGCACTACTCTGTGCATCTTAAAAACAGTAACTGATTAAATCCTTTAACCACTCCTTTGTATTACACGATGTTAAGGTCTAGGGAGAGTAAGCATTTGTCCACGGTCTCACACCTAAGTAGGAAGGAGAATTCAGACCCAGGCAGTCTGGCTCCAGCATGCAGTCACCGAGCGTACCGTCACTACCATGGGAGAGTGGCTACTTCTGGTAGCCCTTTCTTCTACATCAAGTGTTTTTAACCTTTTCTGTGCCATGCCCTCCTGGAATTCTTGTGATACCTAAGAACTCTTTCCAAGAATAATACTTTTAAATGCATAAAAACTAAAACACATAGGATTACAAAAAAACTCAATTATAGTAAAATACAGCTATCAAAATATTTAAGATATCAAATTTGTGAAATAGTAATAGTACACACCTCTTTATTAACACATTAATTTGTAAAATAGTAAGGTACAAATCTCTTTATTAACAGATTAAATAACAAGAGCTGGCAGTGGGTCTAATCACTACTGTAATTCCCCAGGAGTCATGGTGTTTAGAGATTATTATAAACATGTCATAAAGTAATATTTGGTGATATCTGCAACAACTGTAAAGTGATAGGAAAAGGTATGAGATTTTGATTGGTGATAAAGTCACAGTTACTGCACATACTACTGTGGTCCGTTCCTACTTCATAATTGAAAGAAATAAGCAATTCAGTTAGAGGTGGTAAAGAATAGAGGTGTTCGTTTTTGTCGTCTAAGCACGCAGACCCCCTGAAGTCAAGAGTTGGATGTGATCCCTAGTTTGGGACCTCTATTCCAGATGCTCTAGCTTTTATTTCTCCTCAAGTGTGATCTGTCAGCCAGCAGCCTCAGCATCACCTGCAAGGTCTTTGAAATATAGAACACAACCCCCTCCCTAGGTGTATGGATTGGAATCTGCATTTCAATGAGATCTTCAGGTGATTTGTATGCACATAAACATTTGAGAAGCACTGCAAAATATATGCTTGCTTAGGTTAGACGAGCAAAGAGCTGTGTACTTGAACAGTTTAGAAAGGTGTGACTGTACCTGTGTTTCTACCCTTCTTTCTGCCTTTTATAAGCAACTTCCTGAAGTGGGGTATAACCTAACGGATGATGATGTTGGAACAATAGCCACTGTCTGTCAGTGTGTCCTACCTTGGGACTACTAACCCTCAGGGCAAGGATGTTAGTATTCTCGATTTTGTCTCCCACAGGTGATGTGTGGACTGACCAGCAGATCTGCTTTTTGGAGAGTGCAGTCTACACGTTCTGCCTGTGGCTGGGGGTAAATCAATGCACTTCATGGAGGAAAGATATTTTATGTCTTAGATCCAAGTCCAGTTCTCCAATCCAGTTTTTCCAGTGCTAGAACATAAAGAGCATTTTAATTTTCTTCTTGGCTCTATTACTCAATTGGTTCTGAACCTTCTGAGGAGGGATCTGATTAATTAGTCCCCTCAAATCCCAGCAATATTGACTGCTGGAAAAGTTAAAGCCAAGTGTACAAAACACCAGGAATGCATTTACGTAATAACCTCATTCCTGAATCATTTGTAAGGCCCTACCCTTGTTTTCCCTTTTATTTCCCTCTTCCCTTGAATTTTTGTTTTCTTTCTGTTATCTTGTTCTATTTGCTCTGTCTTTGTAAGCCTCCTTAAATCATTTTTAGAATAAGTTAAGAGCACAGATTCATAAATCAACAAAAGTAGCAACATACAAATATAAAAATAAATATACAAATCTTAGTAGACAGAGGCTGAACCTATATGCAGGGCCACTGCATTGCTCAACGACAGACGGCACCATTCTTGTTGTTTATGTAAATAGTGCTCTTTTTCAGTACAACAGGCTACAAGGTGAAAAGTGGAATTATGCAACTGGTGGCTGTGATCCAGAACTTTTGATAAATTTAGTCACTGTATACTAGTTGGCAATATGTTATTGAAAAAGATAATGAAGTTTTTGGTAACTAAGGGCATTTGGGGTAGGCTGCTCTTTTGTGAAAATGTTCTTAAAGTATTCTAAAAATGTTCTATACTCTTGGGATATATGAATGAATGGAGGTGGCTTCCTTCTTCACTTAGCTTAGAGTATTCAGCAATTTGAAAGCCAGGAATTGAAGCATTGCATGGAGATAGAATTATGCCATTCCCCTGCTAAATGAGTCAAATACTTTCCATTGCACTTAGAATAATAACTGAACTCCTTATTTGGGTGACAGGCCCTGTTAAGATCTAGCTAGCTCCCCTGTCTTTTTTATCGGCCTTGCATAGCACCACTCTCCAAAGCTCCTTTCATCCTCAGAGTTTCTACATACACTGTTCCTTCTGCCCGGAACACCCTTCCCTACCCCTTCACCAGTGCAATGCTGATAATCATCCTTTAGAAGTTAACTCAGACTCCATCAAGTCCCCTGTTACATTCTTTACAATCCTTATCATAATGTTAATAATCATTGCTCATGCCATCATTTCCTTAGCGTCCCTTTTCCTCTGGGACTGGATGCTCCTGAGAACATGGGCTGTACTTGTCTTGTTTTCTATACTTTATTGCCAGCTAGGCCAGCAGTGCCTGGCAACTAGCAGGGGCTCACTGAATGATGTAATGAAGGAATGAATGCAAAATGGGAAACAGATCCACAGACACAACTAAAGCTTTGGAGAACACATGGAGTGAGGACAAATGTCAATGTGAAAAGGAGTGTATTTACCATTTTAAAAAGAGAAGGGAGAGGATGGGTTCTGCTCACATCCTGAACACGCAAAGAGGCCATCGTAAGGGAGGAGGGTCAGATATGGCCTTACTGTGATAGATGAGCAGCTCTCCTATTGTCAGGAATTGTGGGACAATAGAAAATGAGTTAAAGTGGCAGCAGCAGAAAAATAGACATTAAGAATTTTTCTGAATCTTAAGAATAGTGAGAATTGGACCAGAAAGGCAGAATAGCCTAGTGGTGATGAGATAGACTCTAGGTTCAAATTCTCACATTACTACTTACTGGCTTCAAGACCTTGGACAAATTACCTAAACTCTCTGTGCATCATTCACTTAAAAAGTGATAATAATAATGGTTCCCACCTCATAGGCAGGGTGAATATGCTTCAAACTCAGGCACTTTTGAGA
Organism: Homo sapiens; assembly: GCF_000001405.40. Classification (NCBI taxonomy): domain Eukaryota; kingdom Metazoa; phylum Chordata; class Mammalia; order Primates; family Hominidae; genus Homo; species Homo sapiens. The sequence continues at coordinate 31,273,879 of NC_000003.12, read as the reverse complement.
GTAAAAGGAGCACTGGGTGCCGTAAGTTTTGCTGGGATCATAGGCATAAATTGGTACTAAACCCAGCACACAAAGAATGGTTAGTCTATTCCTAAAATGTCATAAGGATTAAAGAAATTAATACTTGTTATCCACTTAGAGGCATGCCTGACACAGTGCTCAGTTAAGGCTGGCTACTACCATTAAGAAATAAGAGAATCTTTCTGGAGACTTTAGGAGAAGATAGACAGTTGATTATATGGGTCGGAGTTTATATCTCAGGGAGCATCAGAATTTAATTGCTTATTTAAAAATTCTCCCTTCCTGTTTAATCTTTTTTAAACATTAAACATATGCAGAAACTACCCAGTAACTCCTACCCAGCTTAATAAATAGGATATTGCAGAACTCCAGAGGCCCCTCTTATGTCCCTTCCTAATCACCAACCCATTGTCTCTGCCCCAGGGGTAACCGTTTTCCTGACTACCAATCCTGTTGGTGAGTTTTGCCTGTTTTTGAAATGCACATAAATGGATGCATACTGGATGTGCTCCTTCATGTCTGACTTCTTCTACTCAATTCTTGGTTAATGTGGTTTATCCCTGCTGTTGAATGGAGTAGGAATCTATTCAATCACATTGTTGTGTAATATTCCACTGCGTGAATACACCACAATTTATTGATTGATTCTACTATTGATGGACATTTCCAATTTCGGGCTATTATGAAAAATGTTGCTATGACTATTCTTATTTTTTGGGACGTACAAGTATATTCTGTCAGGTTTATGTTAGATCTAGGAGTGGAATTGCTAGCTTGTACGGGTGCATATGTTCAGCTTCAATTCACCTTTCCACCAGGATCTATGGGAATTCTGATTGCTCCACATTCTCACCACCCTTAGGCATTGTAGATCTTTTTGATTTTAGGTATTCTGGAAGTTATCTCATTGTGAGATTTTAAAAAGTGCTTATGAATTCCACCTAATTATAACAATAACACACACTCTGATTTCCTGAGTACCTACTAAATGACAGGTGCTTCACAGAATTACTTCATTTAATCTATGCAAGAACCCTCTGAGTGAGATGTTATTGTTCTCATTTTATAGGTAAGGACCAGTGGTACTCAATCATTTACACACGGTCATGGAGATTATGAGTGTCAATGCCAGGACAGGGGCCCAGTTCAGCTTAATGCAAGCCCTCTTTTGACAACACTGTGGTGTTGACCCTGCAGGAGTCAAGACCAAAGAGAGAAAATGGCAGCCTCAGGAGAGCAGCAAGGACACCGTGAACCCAGTGGCTGCCCTGATGCTGCCTGTGTGATAAATTCCTGGAAGAGATGGGGTTGGTGGGGGGTTACAAATGCTCTTTTGGTTTCACTGCAGGGCACTGTGTGTACTTCCTTCTCCAAGCCATTAGACATCGGCCCTTTGTTCCCAGGGGACAAGTATTTCAAACGTGCTGAGCCAGAAAACTTGAGTGAACACCTTGTCCCAGCAGCAAATGAATCTCACATAAGGTTGGCCCATTATTTTTCCTTCTTCTCCTCCTCCTCCTCCATCCTCCTCCTTTTCTTCTTTGAAAGAGCATCAGTCCTTTGTTTGAAGATAACCCCCTGAGTCACCCCACACTGAAGTGGGGAGGCTTCAGGTTTCTCCCTTGCCAAGAATGATGTTGCTCTCATTACCTTACGTGTGAATAAGGGTTACCCGCTGTTGTCACCCAGAACTTCGTGAGGCAGTGATAACCACTCCTGGATGGAAGTCGTGGAAATAAGGGCCACATTTGGGAGGAGCCCCACTTCCCCTAGGATCTTTCTGAGGTTCCCCATTTGCCTACCTCTCTCTGTCGCAATCTGGATCTCCTTACAGCAACCTGCCCCCTCTCCACCACAGTGACCTTCCGAATGCTCCCCAGTATGCTTTGCTCTTTCATGTATAACTGGAGCTACCTGGAAACTTACCTCCAACTTCCACATGTCCACCATCTATCCTTGAAAAAGAAGGCACATCTGTAACTCAGATACAGGTAAGTGTTTACAATAAACACAAATACCAAACTACAAAACAAACAAAACCAAAACAACTTAATGAATTATTTATATAGCAAACACTTTTGTAACTACTGCCTACAAGAAGAAGCAGAACATTGCTGACCCTCTCTGAGGTCTTCATGTGCCCTGACCCATCACCACCCCTCCATCCTTTAGAGGGATACTTCTTTCAAAAGTATCCACCTTCCCACTTCTGCAGCCATCATGTCCTTGAGTTATTTTATATAATTTTATCACCTAAGTGTGCATCCCTAGACACTCTAACAGAGTTTTCTTTTTGAGACTGGTACAGGTGTTTATCCAAATCATCAGGCAGAAAAATGTCCTAGAGTTCCTCTCATTCTTTCTGTCTCCTTAGTCCCCTCCCACACATTGATTCCTCCTTCCCTTTCTGCCTCTGCTTGCAGCCTCTATGCTGCCCTGTGGCTCCCTGCCTCCCACAGCTACCTGGCTTGTGTTTTCTGGTTTCTCATTTTGACTGCCTTTTTCATTCTGAGGAGCAGCCCTTGAAAATCCTGGAGAATACAATTCTCTATCTCATTCTTTATAGCTCACATACATACTTAGGATAACTTTGTTCCTCTTTAACTCCTAGAAAACTCCATTTCAGCCTTCAAGACAGGTCAAATACCTCTTCTTCTATAAACACTTCCCTAAATCCCTTCACAGGGTTATTTTTTTGTGTCCTCAGAGCATATCTTGAATGCCTTAATTACGTATTCCCCTGACTGTATGGTTACATTTTGCTCACATGTCTGTCTTCCTGGTTGGTAGGGTTATGAGGTGTCTGGCATGTAGGAGGTGATCAATAAATGTCTCTTGAGTGAACAAGGGCCTATGCAAATTCTTCATAATAAAGATATTGTGTGGAGTGAGTGCATACAAAAATAATAAGTTGGGAGTGGGCAGAAGCAAGCATATTTTTAGCTGCAATTGTCACGTAACAAACCCACAGGACATATAAAAAATATAGTCAGAGAATATGGGGTGAGGGGACAGTGGGTATGTTCCAAAGAAGATAATACAATGCCCTAAAGGGAGCATACATTTTGAGCTAGGAGAATTTTTTGGTTTTTTTTTTTTGTGTTCTTTTAAATTAAATGACATTTTAGAGTTCAGGAAAATCCTCAAAATATGTCAACCACTTTTTAAAAAATAATTAAAGTAATATGCATAATGGTTAACAAATATCAAGCAGTAAAAAATGTGTGAAACAAAAAGAAAAAGGCTTTCTTTTCCACCTCCCTCTTAACCTACTTGTCCAATTTTCTAGAGTCTTTTAAAGAAAATTCCTAGGTACTTTCTCAGGACATCATAAGGCACTTCAAATATTTGCTTACCAGTAGAGAGGGGTCATCTAGAATGTAGACTTTAGCATCAGTCAGATATGGGTTTTAGTCTACTGCTTATTACCTGTGTGACCTACCAGAGGCAAAAGTTTCTCCAAAATCTTGAGCTAAACATTGGCTTAAACACCTTGGATTCTTAAGGATAATAGTTCACCTTTTCTTCTTCATGCTCCTTTTGCTTTCCTTCTCTCTCTCTCCTTTCCTTCCTTCCTTCCCTCCATTCCTTTCCTCCCTCCTTTTCTTCCTCTCTTTCTTTCTTTCTTTCCTTCCTTCTTTCTTTTGTTCTTTCTCTTCCTTCCTTCTTTCCTTCCTTTCCTTCCTCCCTTCCTTCTCTTCCCTTTCCTTCCCTTTCCCTTCCCTTCCTTCTCTCTTTCCTTCCTCCCTTCCTTTCTTCCTTCCTTCCCTCCCTCCCTCCTCCCTCCCTTCCTTCCTTCTTTCTTTCCTTGTTTCTTTGTTTGTTTCTTTCTTTCCAAAAATAACAATGTATTTTAAAAACAAACTTACAGGAACAGCACAGAAGATAGACAACATTAAAAACATGTACTTACATTTAGAGCAACACAATTAGAAAAGTATAGTGAATGGATGGAATCTAGTATATGATAATAATGTTACAAACACTGTTTAGTTTGCTTTCAATAAGAAATGTACTTAAAAAAAATCAAATGCTGGCATTGTGCAGAAAAATTTAACAGTTTTATTTATACTTGCTATAAAATTGAACTGGTGAAATTTGTTCACTGAAATATTTTGATTTGCTGATTTGCATTAATGCTTTATGTCCCTGCATTTACTGTATATTAAACATTTACAGACAGATGAAAATGGAAAAACTGCTAGTACTTGATTTCTGTCTCCTATTTTTCCACTGGTAATCATATGCTTTTGACTCCCTTAGAATAAAATCTTTCCCATCATAGTGGATTCTTTTTTTTTTTTTTTGAGACAGAGTCTCGCTCTGTCGCCCAGGCTGGAGTGCAGTGGCGCGATCTTGGCTCACAGCAAGCTCCGCCTCCCGGGTTCACGCCATTCTCCTGCCTCAGTCTCCCGAGTAGCTGGGACTACAGGCGCCCGCCTCATAGTGGACTCTTAATTACGTTCTCCACGTGCTAGCTGGATGCCTTTTGGTCTAATTGTTACACATTTGGCATGGACAGCACACAGAATGGTGCCTTCAAAAAGGCAACCAGATAGGCCTCACTTGGCTCCTGCAAAGCACCAGTAGCCGTGCTCTGGAAGCGCAGATCCTTTTGAAGTTGAGAGTAATTTCTCGCATCAAAACCTGGAAAGAGAGCTTGTGAATGAGAAGTTCAGTGGACTTCTGATAACGCCTAATTTCATGGAGTGCCACAGCACCAGGCCTGTAGCCATGAGGTTTCTTCACTCCTCAGTAGAGGGCACACCATTGTGGGCAGCTTTTGCAGCCAGCTGCTTCCGGTGCTTTACCACTGGTGGATTTGGAGGCAGTGTGCTTTGTAGGAGTTACGATATGAACACGTTGTTATCTTCCCCCTTCTCCTTCCTCTGCAACTTGGCAAGCTAGAGGCAATGTTGGGTGGTATGGTGGCAGCTGCAAACATTCCTGTGCCCCTTTCTCTTGATGTTTAATCTCTTGGATCATTGAATTGGAAGTTAGAAAACCTGGGTCTTACATTATTTTAGTCACTACGTCTCTACGTGATCTTGGTGGCATCCTCAATCCCTTCTGTGTGATCTTGGCAACCCCTCAAGCTCTTCCATATGCGACCTTGGACAGATTCTCTGTGCAACCTTGGAGAGTCCTCCCAAGTTCTGTGAGTCTGAGCTTCTTCATCTGAAAACAAGTGGGTTCTACCATGCGGGTCCTTCCAGCTCCAGAATCTTATGGCTCTGTAGCTTGGTGATGCAGTGGATTTCACGAAGCCACATTTGGCCTGTTGTACTGCATAATCTGGCACACCTACTCCACCCAGACCCCAAAATCCTTCTCAGAAGCTGGAGTAGTGAACTCTTCCTTGCCTCAGAAGGCTGTTCTAGAGTTAATGAATTAATATCAGCATCGCTTTGAACTCTCCATTGTTGGAGAAGGATGTTATAAAGATAAACTATTGCTTATTATTATTTTTAGACATTGCCTGAAGGGAGATCAGACAGCACCATCAGCAGCAGGCCTGCAGCAATCTACTTAAACTGGAGCTTTCTTCCTCAAACAGCCTGCTCCTTGATTTGAAATCATAGGAGCACACGAGGGAAGAATGGTTCTGCAGCTCAGGGTGACAGAAGAATAGAAAATAAGTGGTCTTTCCAGAATATTTATGGGTCACTTTATGTTTCCCAGTGCGTACAGGGAGGCATGTTGCAAAAAAGACATGTTTAAATCAATACTTGGGATATTTTTTGCAGGGCTCACAGTGATTTAGGTTTTTAAAATATATGTAATGCCATATTTCTAACACACTGGGAGACAGAATCCACTCGGTTCTTTTATCCAGGATGGTAAATCACAGAGCTGTTATAGAGATGTGAAGTGGGCATTAAGTAAAACACAAGTAGGCAGAGATGAACCCTTCTGAAGTGTCATTATCTATTTCAGTTTTTAAAATGAAATTGGGTTTTCCTGTTTAGCCTGAAGTATGGTTTCCCATCTCTAGATATACAAGCTCTTCACAGTGGGTGGGGAGGGGAATGGTGTATGTATATATGAGGGAGTGAATAGGAATTGAGGGCGGGGAAGGACTGGAGAGAAGAAAAGCCCCTTTCTTATACAGTGTGAAGTTAAAAATAAAGTTGGCTTGTGTAGAGAAGTTATAGGTTCTAGGGGGTGAGGATGGGGCAAGATTACACAGAGGCGGTTAGTTAACTGAGCTTAGGAAAACTGAAGAAAATCTGCCTGTTGGGAATGCAATTAATAGGTGCAGATGACTGATGGGGCCACACATTACATGTACAGAGGAAACACAAAGGAATGGGAGTGTGTAGATCTGATTTCAAGTACAGGTTTGCTAACAACCAACCATGAGTTGGACCAATTTACTTAACTCTCTCATTTTAGATTTTTCCCTCAATAAAATGAGAAGATGCACACACAAAAGATAAATAAAGTTGGCTTGTGACAAGCTGCATCAAACTTGTTTCAAAAATCTTCATTAGGTACCTAACAAAAAAGAAAATCCAAATAGCCAATACAATTGTGACAAGGTGCCTAACATTATCAGTCATCGGAAAAATACAAATTTAAACCACAAAGAGATACCGCTACACATCCATTAGAGAGCTCAAATTAAAAGGAGTAACAATACCAAATCTTGGTGAGGATATAAAGTAGACCTCTCAGACATTGCTGGTAGGTGTGCCCATTGGTAAAACTGCTTGTACCAATGAAAGCATTTGGAGGTATACTAAAGCTGCACATGTGCCTATTCTATGGCTTAGCACTTCCATTCTTTATATCCACTTGAAGACATGTATAAGACTGTTCATATCACCATTATTCATAATAGCCAAAACAGGAAAACAACTCAAATATCTATTAACATATAATGGATAAACAAATTGAGGTAAATTTACACATTACACATCAACAAGAAAAAACAAATTATTGCTATACACAGTTTGGATGAATCTCACAAATATAATGTTGAGCAAATTAAACCATATTCAAGGGAGCATTTATTTTACGGTTTCATTATATGAAGTTCAAACAAGCAAAAGTAATCAATGGTGATAGAAATAAGACCAGTGGTTACTTTTAGGAATAGTGTTGATTAGGAGGGGCCTGGGAGAACCTTAAGGAATGCTAGAGATGATCTATGTTTCAACTTAAGTGGTAGTTGCACATGTATAAACATATGTAAAACTTTACTGAGATTTACATTTCAGATTTGTGCTTATTAATATGTCAATTAAATATGTCAGTCAAAAACGAAAAAAAGTTAAACCCCATTTGGCTCTAAATTACTGTGAATTAGACCCTACTAGTGTTTTCTGGGGAAAGGAGACTTGCCTGTGTCTTTCCATTACATTGTGAGCTCCTTGAGGGACGGTAGGGACTATTTAATTTTATTGCTGAATCCACAATGTCTAGGGGCACTACATGTCTGTTCATTAACTTTACTAAATGTTTAGGACCTGGTGAGCACCCAGATTGAGGTGAAGTTAATGACATTTGACATATTTCTTCCTTTTACAAAATGAGTAGTTTTTATTTCTCAAGTCGTGTTCCTTCTTACGGCCTTTAGAAAAGGGTGGAGCTGCTCAATGGACTCTTCCTCTTATAAATAGTAAAGAGGAACTAAGGATTAACACTACCCTTCCACTGGAGGCAGTGTATTATGTCAGAAGAATATGGGCTTTAGAATCAAACAAATTAGGGGCAGACTCCTAGCCCCACCACTCCCAGCTTTGTCTAAAATGAGTTTAATGATATTTATATGACAGGGTTATGATATGCGTTAAATTTCTAATTTTGAGAAAGCAGTTGGTATAATGTGCCTAGCATGTAGTAGGTGCTTAGTTAATACTAATCTTGTCATTCTTTTGTTGTCTTATTTTCCAGAATCAGATTTGAGATGCTAGCCTGCAAAAATGTCACTTCCTGGCATTTTTGCCACGTAGTCTAACATCTCAAATCTGATTATGGAAAATAATACCAGGAAGTGATATTTTGTTTTTATTGTTGAGTCATAGCAACCTCCCAATTTCAGAGCGGACACTTCCACTGTAGCTATTGTATCTAGCTTTAAGTTCAGTGGACACTTCCACTCTGAAATTCTGCTCATTATCTTGCCTGCATAAGACAGAAAACAATTCCCAATTGTCCTGTGAGAATTACCAAAACTCTTAACAGAGGACAAAGAATCCCTTCAAGGTAATGATGAGGGTAAGGAAGTCTGACAGTAAAATTATTTCTATATCTCTTCATGTATTTCCTCAGAGCTTTTATATCTGCCCACTTTAAAAGTTACTCCAAATCATTTACTGGACACTTTGGGGGCAGTGCATTAACTAAAATCAAGTGCATAGAACATGTTCCAAATCCATCAAGATGAAAAGATATAAATCTACACCTGTGCCAGCTGAGCTTCAAAATCCTTTCCCCATGATTTCCTCATATCTCCCCAAAGATCAATGGTAAGTTGTTAAAATGAAATCAGATAGAAGGAATGGGCTCCTAGTTTTAATTCGAGGGGAAAAGGAAACGTTAAACCATATGTAATTATGAGGTCAATTGCCCTGAGTTTGGACGTTTTTATAATACTAATGAAGGTTAAAGAGGCTGGGTTATGGAGATTCAAGAAAATGAGAATCTCACGTTAATGGTTCTTGGGGACTACTCAGTTTTGCTCAGGCCCAGAAGTAGAAGAATAAAATAAGATGTGACAACCTGTGAAGGTTGTTGAGCAATGTAATGTTCTTAACTTGTATAGTCTTAACTCCTGTCAAATTTTTTTCTTAGCCAACAATTGCATAGACAAATATTTTCTAAACTCTTCCTTATGGAAAATGTGCCCTACCTGTTTCTGTGAAACCAGCATCCCATGCACAAGGAAGTTTGGGCATCCCAGCACACCTTGTCTACTTCTTGGAGATTTAGATTTACAAACATGCAATAAAGAAATTTTCTTTGTTGCTAAATCAGCGTTTCTCTGAATGATTTGAATCCCAGAGTCCTATTTTAAGAGTAATGGCCCACGGAATACAGTGTGGAAAATGTTGACATATACAGGCTGTCAGTGACTGAAACCTAAAACTAAAAGTATCCTTCCTCGCAAATGTCAGTATTATACTTGGTTTTCCAGAGCTTTTTAGAATCTGTTCAATTAAGATTGTAAACTAGTACAATTTACACTCAATATGTTATCTCTAGAACTTAAAGTCTATCATCAATTCCATATGAAACTTACTATATTTTCTCTATTTATTTTAATAAAGCCTAATATCCTAAATTCAATTATGTAAAAAAAAGTAAGGTTGAAATTTGCAATCTTATGTTCACTGAAAGTATTCTCTTATTAGCATAGGTTCCTATGCCTATTTCATATGTTTAGGTCCAGGTCGGTGTACACGTGTCTTTTCCAGAGTATATAATTCTTTTTGTTCTGATTTCTCATATGGTCTCTTCCACTGTGGATGGCCCAACATAGTAACAAGATTATGGCTTTAGAGTGGGACTGATGGTTTGAATTCAAGCTCTAAGCCAAGTTACTCCAACCCTCTTGGCCTCAATGCTCCCATTTTTAAAGTCTGGGTACTAAAATTTACCTTGCACAGTTGTAAGGATTCAATGAGATTTTCTCTGTCTCTCTGTCAGTTTGACATCATTCTCCATGGCACACAATTGTTGAATACATGTTGGTTCCACTCCCTTCTGTAGTTGGAGTTGATGACCTTTTAAATGTGTCTGTTCCTTTCATTTTAATGATCTAATACCACACAAACACACACTGAATCAACGTTTGCTTTTGCTAAAAACAGCCATTACTGAGTACATATTGCTTGATATGTAACTGACAAAGAGTAGCTTAGATTTGTTTTCTGCCCTTAGTATTTTTTATAATTTTGTGGCTATAACTTACAAAAGTCATCTTGGTCCTAAAATTGTAGGTCACTATTAAATGTCATGCTTATCTACTTCAAGTTGCCTTATAATTGTCACCTGTGGCTATTGTTTTCTCCATCTCCTATGCTGACGATGCAAATGGTGGAGCTTGTTTCAATTTTCTGAGGTAAAAATGAAAATTTGAGGAAGGAGCATAGTCGTCACACTTAAAATTACAAGCTGCCACTTGAAGGGACAATACTGATGCCCACTGGGGGTTTGTTCTTTCCCAGTCATCTCTTCAGGGGACAGACCCAGACTGTAGCCAAGGCTTGGTTACCAAGTAAATTGATTTAAAATAAGTTTTCAATAATGAATTAAAATTTGACTGAGTTATTTGCCTGCTTTTTAAATTGGGGAAGACTAAAATGCATGCATGTTCTATAGAACATCTGACTCAAAACTTTGAAGACTAGGGAAAAGTGAAGTGTGTGTGTATGTGTGTTTGAGACATGAGGAAGAATGAATGTATATGTGAGTATATGTGTTTTTACACATTGAGAAAGACAGGAAAATTTATTTAGGGTGAAATGTGAGTTTACTAGTTTGGCTTAAAACATTATTGGACAATAAATAAAGGCTTTCAAACTCTTCCAATTTTCCAGTTAGGGTCTGTCTTTCAGAAGGCAGGGAAATGCCATGATTTTTCAAAATTGGAATCTCTATGGTAGGAATTTGTTAATATATGACATTTTCTTCAGAAATATCCAATGTTGACAGTATAAATCTAGTCTTAGATAAAGGTTTTGTTTTGTTTTCTTCTAGACCAGCACCTAATGTTCTATTGTGTACTCTGAAGATTATAGCTGCTATTATTTTCTAAGCTGGCTACTTTCATACCCAAGAACCTGCCATCCAAGAAGACCTGGACATTTGCAGTACTTACCTATTGAGAAATTATCAATAGAGTTGATTTTTATTTTTATTGAAATTTTTATTTCAATAGCTTTAGGGGTAAAAGTGGCTTCTGGTTACATGGATGAATTGTTAGTGGTGAAGTCTGGGTGATAGAGTTTTCTTAAAATTTACTTTGTAATTATCATGTCTTCAGGGATGAAGAAAGGAAAGCAAATATTGTATGAACTGTAAGAACTGTTACAGGAAAGCCACCCTGAATGGATCACTCTTGACTTGATTATAAGAATATATTTGTCAATGTAGGAGAAAATCTTAGTGGCTGAGGAAACTACATATTATAAGAAAGGTGGTGTACAATAATATACAATAAATTGTAAACTTCAAATTTAAACTCAACCTTTAAAAAAATATTGATCGGTATAGTAACAGCAGCAGCAGCAGCAGCACCCTCATCCATCAACAACTCTGTTGTGCAGCTGCACAGTCACATGTTGGTCTAAAACTCTTACAGCTTAAAAAAGACCCAGAACTCGTTGGAGGTTATTTGATTCCACATTACTTAGATCAGGGTTTTTCAACCTCAGCACTGTCATTTGAGGTGAGGACATTTGAGGCCCAACATCAGTTTGCACGGTAGGATGCTTGGCAACATTCCTAAACTCTACCTACTAGATGCTGGTTGCAACTCCCCACCCCTAATCTGCTTTCTTTCAGTTGTGACAACCAAACATGTTTCCAGACATTGCCAAGTGTCTTTTTGGGAAAAAACCCAGCATTTTTTTGAAAACCACTGTTTTAGAGCAAGAGAAAATAAGAATAACCCTAGAACATTCTGTGGTTACCAAGAAACAAGAATACTTCTAAGAACGTTGGAGAAAGTGATAAAAGTTGGTGATTCAAGAGGGCATAAAATGTTATGATTTTCACCAATTATAGTGATAATAATAATAATAGCCAATAGAAGCTAGTCGGATTTGTTAAAAGTCATGACAATGGTGATGGTTAAAAAGGAAAAAGTATACAAAAACGAAAGTATAATACAAAAGAAGGATGAATATAAGTGTATGTTTAATTTTTATTGATTTTAATAAGTAGGAAAAGATGAATATAAATGGACGTTTTATATACTCAGTTAAGCAAGATTTACTTAGGATATAGGTACCTAATTTTTTTCTTTATAAATAAGAAGAAATTAACAAAGCATGTCAGTAAGCCAAAAAGGAATGAAAAAAGTAGTGTTGACATTGAAAACAGGAAAGATTCATTGGTGTTAATGGTTTCATATGCTAACCAAGCAGAGGGGCTCAGTAGTTAATTAAAAAAAAGTCATAAACATTAACTGTATAAGAAGAGGGCCTAACAATATGTTACAAAATTATAAATTGGCTAAATAGCCTGAAAAGGAGAGTTGACTACAAACCGACTAATTTGTCAGGTGAAGAAACTTCTTTCTGACCCTACTAATTTTAATACTTTTAAATTTTAATAAAATACTAATAAAATGAGTGGTTTAAGCTCATCTATTAACCTCTTAATTTGTTATTGAGTATACAAATTCTAGTTCCATTTATTTCTTTAAAGTTTCCAATTTTCTACTCAAATTCTCCAGCTTATTTGAATTTCGAAACACATTAATCACAATTATTTTAAATCTTATCTCTTATAATTTAAATACCTGGCTCTCTTGTAGCCTGTCTTTATATATATATATATATATATATTGTACTTATTTTCTTTAGACCCTTAGTTCTGTTACTGTAGCATGTCTAGTTATTTTAGATCAAAAGCCAGACAGTATTTATGGCAAATGTTAGCAGTAGTTTAAGGCTGTGGACTATGTTATTTTTATCTAGGGAGGATTTGCATCTGCTTCTATCAGGCTGCTGGGATAAGGAAAAAAGATACCTTTAATCCAGTGGAAGATTGAATGGACTTGAACCCAGGCTTCAATCTTTGGTGGACTGGTCTTTTTCAGGTTTACCTTACTCTGAGTCTGTATCCCTTTAGGGGTGCAGCTGTCCACCAACGTATCTCCTCAGTGGTGGGCCCTGAACTTGCTTCTCTCTCATCTTAGGCTATTCCCCATTTCCACCCCACTTAAACCACCCCAAACTCTGCTTTTCAGATTTTTTTGTTCTTGAACTAGCAAATGCATGAAAAGCATAAGAAGAGACAAATGTTGGGCTCATCTTTCTGAGCTACCTTTCCGTCTGGGATTTTGTCTTCTCAGAGCCTCACTGCTTTAGTAGTTCTCTAGGGCCTCCAGACAGATTTTTTTTCTTTTCTTTTCTTTTTCTTTTTTTAAGATGGAGTCTCACTCTGTCACCCAGGCTGGAGTGCAGTGGCATGATCTCGGCTCACTGCAACCTTCGCCTCCTGGGTTTAAGCGATTCTTCTGCTTCAGCCTTTCGAGTAGCTGGGACTACAGGCACCTGCCACCATGCCTGGCTAATTTTTGTATTTTTAGTAGAGATGGGGTTTCACCATATTGGCCAGGCTAGTCTTGAACTCCTGACCTCATGATCTGCCCACGTTGGCCTCCCAAAGTGCTGAGATTGCAGGTGTGAGCCACTGTGCCCGGCCCCAGATTTCTAAAATGTAATTTTGTTCATATAGATATTATGTGTATGTATGTGTTTGTGTATATGTGTGTGTGTGTGTGTGTGTGTATCTTTTATTTTTTGAGAGGGCAGAGTGGGTTTGTATGTACTGTGGTAAAAGGTACGTATAGTGAAATAAATAGATCTTAAGTGTTTAGTTTGATGAGTTTTGACAAATTTTACCATGAAACCAACACATCAGTCAAGATATAGAACATTTTCATTACACCAGAAAGTTCCCTCATGTCTCCTTTCTATCCCCACCCTACATAGAAAGCTGCTGTTCTGATTTCTGTCACCACAGGTTAGTTTTGCCTGCTTTTGAATTTTATATAATGAAATAGTACACTATGTACTTTGTATCTGTCTTCTTTTGTTCAACATGTTGCGTCTGGCTTCTTTTATTCAACATTATGTTTCTGGGATTATATTGGTGTAATATAGTAGTTTATTCTTTC